>NC_000014.9:94611713-95861713 GCF_000001405.40 Homo sapiens
TGTGGCTGGGTGCGGTGGCTCATGCCTGTAATCCCAGCACTTTGGGAGGCTGAGGTGGGCAGATCACGAGGTCAGGAGTTCAAGACCAGTCCGACCAACAAGGTGAAACCCTGTCTCTACGAAAAATACAAAAATTAGCTGGGCGTGGTGGTGTGTGCCTGTAGTCCCAGCTACTCGGGAGGCTGAGGCAGAAAGTTGCTTGAACCCGGGAGTCAGAGGTTGCAGTGAGCTGAGATCACGCCACTGCACTCCAGCCTGGGCAACAAAGCAAGACTCTGTCTCAAAATAAAAATAAAAAATAAAAAGAAATAAAAAAGAAATATACCAAAATGTTAGCTGGGGTCTTCTCTGGGTAGTAAAGTGCTGGGGGATATTTTCCAAAGTCCTTCTTTACATTCTCTGAGTTTTTCCATGTTCTTCAATGAGTATTTAATAAGCAGATAAAAACTAATACAACAAAGGATTTTTTCTGTGTGCTTTTTTGACCTTTGGAGGAAGAGATTAGAGCTAGTCCCATAACCAGGTTATTTGAGTAGGTCTAACAAGCCCGTATTACCAGAAATTATCATCTGGTCATTTCCAGTCCGAGAACAGAACACTTGGTTGTCCTGGCATTTCCCAAGCAGGGGGAGGAGTTCTCTGCAGGAATAAATAAGCCTCAGCATTCATGAAAATCCACTACTCCAGACAGACGGCTTTGGAATCCACCAGCTACATCCAGCTCCCTGAGGCAGGTAATCCATGATGTTTTACATCCTGGGAGCGGAGGAATCTGTTTTTCCAGGAGAGTTTTAGGCAGCAGCCTGGAGTGTGTGGAGTGTGAGGGGTAAGCAGAGGCCAGGAGGAGGTGTACTCAGGTGTTAGGGGCCAGGGGTCTGTTCTTGGCTGCCACTGATTCCCTGTGCCTTTTTTAGAGGCATCCTCTGTGTCTGGGTTTTCACACCTGCAAAGGGTGGAGGTGCCCTGGGGCCTCTATGGTCATTTCTGCCTTGATACTTACAGATTCGGATTTGAGTCAGCTGTGCATCTGACCCTCAGGGAAGAGGTGCTGTCCCCTTGCCTGGAGCAGGGTGCAGCTCTCAGAACATGTGGCAGATGTGATTATTGCAGCAGGTCCCTCTGAGCAGAGGCCACAGGCCTCACCATGATTTCAGGGTCTCCATGGGGCTGCCTCGGGAGCTCCACTTCCCCAAAAGGACCCCTGGCCAAGTCGACAGATGGGCTGTGTCTCTGTCCAGCAACAGAAAAGACAAACTGCTGGGAAACAGCCAGCCCTCCAACTTGCCCAAACAGAAAAGACAAGCCTTTGCCCCTGAAATAATTCTGGAGAAAAATATTGTCTAACATTTATCCAGAGAAATGATTGCATCAGCCTGAGAGTGAACAGTTGAAGCAAACAAGGTGCCTCTGTCCCTGGGCTTGGCCAAAGGCATTTCCACTGGCCTCCCCTCCTTCCCCTCCTTCCCCTCCTTCCCCTCCTTCCCTTCCTTTCCTTCCTTCCCTTCCTTCCACTCTCTCTTCCCCTTTTCTTCTCCTCTCTCTACCCCTCTCCCCTCCCCTCCCTTCCAATCGCCTCTCTTCCCCACTCTTCTCCCCAGCACCCAAGCTGCCCCTTTTCTCTTCTGAATTCTAGGACTGAGTGGGCGGAGGCTGAAGGTGAATAATCTTGTTTGCTGCGGTCACCGGCTTGGAACTCAGCCCTTCCAGGGTCTCTTGTGCAGTAGCTCATGGCTCTTCTCTGGCTTGTAGTTTCAGGAAAGGGGTAGTATGGGAGGTGGTGACTGCTCGGTACGTCTAATATGAACCAGGTGCCTTCATCATTTATCTCACCTGAGCCACTTAACAGGTTGTGCAGAGACGGAAACAGGTTGAGAGATGTACAGTCACCTGCTTGCCAGTACACAGCAATCAAAAGTGGCCAAAATAAAATCCCAGTCCAAGTCTGGGAGACTCCAAAGCCCTCTCTGCCTTCTCCCCACTAAGAGGCCCTTCCAGGCTTATGGTGGACACAGACACCACGTGGCAACCTGGCAGGGGCAGAGAAGAACATTTGCCTTTCTTTGGTCTTGCTGCCAACCATTATCAGGGCCATCGAGGCTCCAGACACTGTACCAGGGACTTTCATTTCCCTCTCTCAGTCGACCCTCACTGCCACCCAGCATCACATCGTGGAGGCCTGTGGAGGCCACACCACGTGACATCTAGAGGCTGGGAGAGTCACTGTGGCCTCTATCTCTGCCCAGGGCTCCTTCATCCCTGGGTTCTACTTTGGTGGCAGTTGGGAGAATGAAGGAAGGGAGCCCCTGCTTTCTAATCCCCTAGGATGAGATCTGCTCACCAAGCAGGAGAGGAGCAGGCATTCTGATTGGACTGAACCTCGGACCCCCCATCAGCTTACAGACCGAGGAGCCAGGCAAACCTGGCTGCCCACTGGGCTCCTTTACCTGTTTGCTGTATGATCTTGGGCAAGCCCCCTCACCGCTCTGTGCCCGGCTTTTCCACTGCAAGAAAATGGCAACAATTATGGTACCTACCTCAAAGGGTGAAATGAAGCAGAGTGATGTGTGTCGGGTGCCCCAGAGAGCACCTACCTGAGGGAGGCTCCAAAGCTAGCAAGAGGCAGCAGGACAGGGACCAGGACGCAGGCTGGGTGGAGGGCAGTGGGAGGTGGTCGGGGCTCCATCTGGCCCTCTGAGACTTAAAGGAGCTTTGCTTTTCAGAGTTGAGAATGGAGAGAATGTTACCTCTCCTGGCTCTGGGGCTCTTGGCGGCTGGGTTCTGCCCTGCTGTCCTCTGCCACCCTAACAGCCCACTTGACGAGGAGAATCTGACCCAGGAGAACCAAGACCGAGGGACACACGTGGACCTCGGATTAGCCTCCGCCAACGTGGACTTCGCTTTCAGCCTGTACAAGCAGTTAGTCCTGAAGGCCCCTGATAAGAATGTCATCTTCTCCCCACTGAGCATCTCCACCGCCTTGGCCTTCCTGTCTCTGGGGGCCCATAATACCACCCTGACAGAGATTCTCAAAGGCCTCAAGTTCAACCTCACGGAGACTTCTGAGGCAGAAATTCACCAGAGCTTCCAGCACCTCCTGCGCACCCTCAATCAGTCCAGCGATGAGCTGCAGCTGAGTATGGGAAATGCCATGTTTGTCAAAGAGCAACTCAGTCTGCTGGACAGGTTCACGGAGGATGCCAAGAGGCTGTATGGCTCCGAGGCCTTTGCCACTGACTTTCAGGACTCAGCTGCAGCTAAGAAGCTCATCAACGACTACGTGAAGAATGGAACTAGGGGGAAAATCACAGATCTGATCAAGGACCTTGACTCGCAGACAATGATGGTCCTGGTGAATTACATCTTCTTTAAAGGTGAGTGTGCCTGGCTTGGGGTTCAGAAGAGGTGGATCTCAGGGCCATTTCTGTCCTGACTCAACAATGGTGTTATTAGGCAAACCACTGTAGAGGAGAGTGCCCACAGCATGGGGGCAGCATAAGCATCAAGGCCCCACCCTGCCCATAGGCATCGCCGTCTCCTGTGGGGTTTTTCCAAATTACAGTTTGTCCTTGGAAGACATAATTCAGTGGAGCCCATCAGCCTCTGGTCTGAGTCAGTGTGGTGCTTTTCACTCTGATTTAAACTTGTCCGGCAAACAGAAAGAAGGAGCTCTCCTTTCAAACCACTCCAGGGCGCGTAGGAGCTAGAGCTCCCTCCTTGCAGGGGTGCTGCTAGACTAGGCCAGGAAGTCCCTCTGTCTGGATGCACCTGGGGCTCCTGCCCTGCACATGTGGGAGGAGCACATTCCAGCCAGGGGCCTTGGTGTCTGGAGGTGGCCAGGTGGGGCTGGGGCCATCTTCACAGGGCAAGATAATCCCCAAGGAGCCTGGCCACTTCCAAGATTCTATGATTCTACTCTGCTATCATCTTTAATTATTTTAAAAAATATGTCACTGACACATAACAAATGAGGGCAGAAATGGCATTGTTCCCATCTGGGGAAGAGCCTCAAGGGTGGGCAGTATACAAAACATGACCCTTTGCCAGATTCTAACTGGTCCAGTGCCCAATCCCATTGATAGAAACTCAACCAATGCAAACCTCAGCCTGCAAGCTCCGAAGGGGCAGAGTGCAAGCCGGTAGCTTTTGCCTCCTGGAGCCCACAGTCCAGATGGGGACAAAAAAAGAGATAGGGACACAAAGAGTGATCACTGAGCCAGAGGGTGGAAAGGTGCTTAGGAGACATGAGCTGCTTGGAGGCAGAGTCCTGCTTGGAAGCTGTTGGTTGATTCCTGGGCAAGCCACTTCCCCTCCTGGGCCTGGGTTTTCATCTGTAAATGAAGGCGTGGATCCAGATCTCCCTCTAAGACTACTCCACGCCTCACGTGCCATTTGTTCTCTGAGTTTCCCATGTTCTCGCCTCCTACTACCTAGCCCTATGCTAGGACTCTCCCCTCCAGGACACAGTAGCCAGCCTAGCTTTCCCCTCCCCACCTGCCTCTAACAATGGGAAACAGGCAGGTGGTAAACAGGTGGGCAGTGGAGGTGGCCCCATGTCTCCAGCCTCCCCTGGAAGCTCCCACCCCCCTCATTGTTCAGTGCTCTGGTCCTCCTGGAGTGGAGACCTGCAGGGCCCCTCCCCTTCCTCTGTTGACCTCTCCTCACTCTCCAGGTGCCAGTTTTGCTCCCTGCCTCAGCCTGGTTTACATACAGTGTATGTGACGGGGCTTGGTCACTGCTGGGGCAGCCCTGTGGAAGGTGGAGGGGACCGAGCATGCATGAGCTTCAGGCTGAGACAGTCCCAGCTCAGAACCCTGGAGTGCTTGTTCCCTCCCTTTCTGCTCTTCCTCTTCCATTGCACCCACTGGACCCAAGAGCATGCAAGGATTGACTCACCCAGTGATGCTAGAACTATGTATTCAGCTGAAAGTAAGGGGGTGGGGGCATCCAACCAGGGGCAGAAGATGGGAATTCAAGAAAGGAAGGTTTCCCCTAGAAAACGGTTTTCGTCTTTTCTCTTAAATCCAGATAGAATAAGAAGCGAAGGCCGTTACAGCAGAGAGAAAGTTGAGTCAAGCAGAGATCAGATACTAAAGACACTAGACTAACCAGACATTCGGGCCCTCAGTTGAACAGCTGAGGATGTCAGAAGATGTTAAGGAGGCAAAATTGGAAAACTTGGTGGCTGGCAGACAGAAATGGGGGGAGATGGGAGCAGATGTGAGAAGATTTAAAGGCTTGTAGAGCTTGGGTGGTGATTTCATCCACCAAACCTATCTCTCTCCCCATTCTGGCATACAAGGCAGCAGTCAGGGTCCCCAGAGGCAGCCCATCTTTCTGGCAGGGACCCATGCTGGAGATCTGGCCAGCTGAAAGGCCCCAAAGGAGCTCGGTGCCCTGGGTAATATGGGAAGGTGCTCCATGGCACTGCCCTCACATGGAGGCCACAGAAGCCCCTGAATGGCTGCTGCAATTGGTAACGGGGACACCTGTTCAACTGAAATATCTCCTACCCTGAGATGGGTCCTTTCTCCAAGGGATCTTTACAATTACATTTGTCCCCAGTCATTCCATGTTGGGAGGCTGCAGGGACCAGAGAAGCTGAGATGGTCTTTGGGGAGGGGAAAGGAAAGATGGACAGTTATTTTGGTCCTAGAAAGCCCAAAGGTGGGGAAGTGTCAAGAAGGAAGATGAGGGCACAAGAGAATGTAGGGCCACCCAGAAGCTGGCTCTCATTGCAATTACAGAAAGAAAAACCAAAATAAAGAAAGAAAGGAAAGAAGCTCCCATTTATTGAGCAGCTACTCTCACCAGCCATTCACATGCAATACCTCGTTTAATTCTCGCAGCGGCTCTGAAAGGTGGATGGTGGTATTGCCATTTGTTAGGTAGGAGACATGCCGTCCAGAAAAGCAAATAATTAAACATTCAAAGTTGACCTGGGCCCATTTGAAAATTCCTTTTGCTCCCTCATTTTAACCCCTAAAGTAAAGCCGTTTGTGACTTTATGAGCTTTTACCAAGCATCTCCTAAAACCAAGAATGGAGGTGAAAGATTGTGGAGCCCACAACCTAGAGAAAGGATTGACAATTTTTTTTCCATAAAGGGCCTAGTAGTATGTATTTTAGGCTGTGTGGTCCACATGAGGGCAGATTCTTCTTTTTGACTTCCTCCTCTGCATCTTCTTCATCTTCTCTTTCCTCTTCATTTTTTTTACAACCTTTGAAAAATATAAGCACCATTCTTAGCTTTAGGTACACACAAAAATAAGCTATGGCTGTATTGGCTTACAGGCTATAGTTTCCTGACCCCTGTTCTAGGGGAGGAAAATAATTGTACCCAACTAAATGCGTGCGAATCATGGGCCTATGTCATGATTCCCAAAGAATGAGTTTCATGGAATTTTCAACATTTTAAATATTTTACTCCATTCTTCCCTTGCTTGCATAGTTTCTGATGAGAAGTCTGCTGTCATTTTCATCCTTATTCCTTTTTAGATAAGGTGGAGTTTTCCTCCCTCTGCCTCTACCTCTACCTCTTTCAAGATTTTCTCTTTCTCTTTACTATGGTAAATAGGCCTTTAGTGAGAGGAGTTATGTCAGCCTGGCTAGGAGTCAGGCTGCATTTCAGGTTTGTGATAGCTAGAGGTACCAGAGGCAGTTTCATGGAATTTTACCTTTGCAACACTGAGAGCCTAGGCAGCCTCAGAGTCAGAACACCCACAGTTGAATCCTCAGCCTGACAGACACTGAATCCAGGGCAAATCTTAGCTGAATATTCATGGTCTGTAGAGGTGGACATGAGCTAGATATGAGCTAAGGACCATAGCCAGCTCATGGCTTTTGTGATGTCCAACACCGCTATCCTCTAAGATGTCACAAGTGTCCCTAGGCTTTTATTCCCATGGTCTCTCCTGGCTCTGAGTTCTATCTTCCATTAAGGTTCTTCCTGTTCCTCCCCTCATTCACACTGATTGGCATCTCTTCTGTCTGCCCTCACCAACTCACATACAGAACCCAGTCTCTTTCCTCTTATTTCCACCCAAAGCCCTCCCACAAGCCACTGTTATATGTTCACATCCCTGTAATACCAGTGAGTAATAATTGCTAATGAGACATTTTTCCTTTTATGGAACAAAGGCTGTCCCATTTCTCCTCAGGCACCAGCCTCCCACATGTTGTCATGCCTCTTTCCCCCACTTTCCCTAAACCTTCTTTCTCTCTTGCACTCCTTATTCCCTGGTTCCTATTGATTTCTCATTTAGCACAAGGAACTAGGTCTTTCTTTTGTGGCCCTTTTCCCAATCCAAGCCTGCTGGGCTCTCCCTCACCCCCAATAACTTTTACTCTTGCCAAGCTACTTCTCTAAACCAAAGCAGGGTCCCTCCTATGAGGGACTCTGGGCACTTCCACTGCTGCGGAAGCAGGGTCGAGCAGGGCGACCCTTGCACTCACACCTTCTCCAACTGCTTGCTCCACCTTCAGCCAAATGGGAGATGCCCTTTGACCCCCAAGATACTCATCAGTCAAGGTTCTACTTGAGCAAGAAAAAGTGGGTAATGGTGCCCATGATGAGTTTGCATCACCTGACTATACCTTACTTCCGGGACGAGGAGCTGTCCTGCACCGTGGTGGAGCTGAAGTACACAGGCAATGCCAGCGCACTCTTCATCCTCCCTGATCAAGACAAGATGGAGGAAGTGGAAGCCATGCTGCTCCCAGAGACCCTGAAGCGGTGGAGAGACTCTCTGGAGTTCAGGTGATTCTTCCTGGCCCCCAAAGACCCCACATCTCTCCACGTCAAGGTCTCACCAATGTCCAGGGACAAGGGCATGGTGGTGGGAGAACTCATACAGGGACAGGTGGAATTTACACTTACTTTGCCCTATGCTGCCTACATGGCTTTGGGCTTGATTTTTCTTTTTCTTCTTTAAGACAATGACATCAGACAGGACAAGGGGCTGAGGCTTCCTCTGACTCCAGCATGTTCTAAGTCATGAGAAATCTTCTGCACAGTCCCAAACACTCATGCATGGTTTCTCCTGGTCTCAATCTCTTGAAGGGAGAGAGAAACAGAAGGAATTGTGATCAGTTGAGGGCTGCAGTGAGATGGACTCTGAGAATCAGTTCTGCACTGGTGAACCACTGTATTTATTCATTCTCTCAGCATTTGCTGCATGATTAATTGAGCACCTACTATGTGTCAGACACTAATTTGCACCCTGAGAGTAAATCAGCAAATAAAACACAAGATTCCCTGCCCTCCTGGAGCTTAATTTGTAATTGGAGAGGGGACAGGCAATAAATAAATATAACAAATAAGTTACGTGATATATTAGAAGGTGAGAAATTGAGTAAGGGGATAGAAATTGAGTAGAGGAGGATGAAAGGATCAGGAAAACTGGAACTCGTGTTAGTTTGTGATTTTAGATAGAGTAGCCATTAGGTGATGTTTGAGCATCCATATAACAGAGGGGAGGGGTGGAGTCATGTTGGTATATTAGGGAAAAGCATTCCTGGCAGAGGGAACAGTCAGTGCAAGGCCTCTGAGGTGGAAGTGAGCTTGATGTGGTCAAAGAAGAGTCAGGCCAGAGCAGCTGGGCTTCCACTTCCTCCATCTTGTCTTGATCAGGGAGGATGAAGAGTGCGCTGGCATTGCCTGTGTACTTCAGCTCCACCACGGTGCAGGAGCAGAGAGAGTGAGGAGAGAGTTGAGAGAGGTCAGGAGTCCCCAAAGGGGTGGAGCAGCTTAGGTAGGGCCACGTAGACCCCTAGAAAACCTTGCCCTTCCTCCTGTGTGTGAAATGGAGAGCCATCAGGAGGTTTGGAGGAGTGCTGCGATCCGAGTGTTGTTTTAAAAGACTAATCCTGGCTGCTGAGAGGAGAATAACTGTAGAGCAGGTATGGAGTCAGTGACACCCGCAGGAACCAGGCACAGACATGAGGTGGGAGCCCACTGTGGCTGGGATCCAGGAGGGAGCCATGCATGTGAGAAGTCATTGAGTTCTGGATAAATCTGAGGGTAGAGGAACTTGCTGGGACACACGGAATTGAGCTGACCGATTTCATGGGGACACAGTGAGGAGGAGCAGTAGTTCCGGGCCCAGACCCTGCAGTGGGCCCAGGGAGTGCATGTGGGCAGCTGTGTGGGGTAGAGAGGAAGGAGCACCAGCCTTGGGTTCAGACCGTGGTGGCTGGTGTGACCTGGAGCAGGTCGCTGCTCTTCTCTGGAGCTCAGCTACCTCCTGAAGAGAAAGGAATGTCCTTTCCCCACCACCCCTGTTTTCACTGGGTGATTGTGAGAATCCGGTGAGGTATTGTATGTTGAAGCCATAATAAACCACTAAGGGCAAGGGAGCTGCTTCAACACTAACCTGAGGCTGCAACCCCTGCCCCAACCACTGTCCAGAAGGCCGGACACCTCTCGGGATTGCCTGACCCTCAGCCCCTCCTCACTCTAGATCCCAGGAGACCCCAGAACGTGGGGGTCCTACCCAACCCATCCGTTTACTCCCAGACTCCTTCCTCCTTTAGCACCTAATAGCCACCAGGGAGCAGGGGCTCAGCAGATAATTTTGAGTGGAAAGAATTCTCCAAACACTTTTGATTTACAAAATGCTGAGGAAACATGTGTCCACACACTCCTGGCCCACAGAGAATGCTCAATAGATACTTGTTGAATGAAGGATGGAATGAACGGACAAACACATGAATGAATGAATAAAAATAGAAATAGGACACCTTCCTCCTTCAGGGGACTCAGAGTTTAATGGAAGACACAGCCTCCTGTATAATTGTAAGACCAGGCAGACAGTGACAGGCATCTTAAGAGGGCTATAAACTAAGGGAGGGGGAGTTTGCAGGTGGCAGGTGTGACCTGGGCCTCTAGGAGCTTGCTACCTGCTCTATGCCAGCCCACACCTGGCTTGAGGGACAGTGCCCACTGGTGAGGCAAGATGGGAACCTCCAATTGATTGTTTCAGGATCCCCAAAGCTCTTCTAACACAATCAGACTCTTCAGAGGCCCCCAGGCCCTTTTTGACCTGCCTCTGGCTCCTGGCCCACCTCATCCCTCACTACCCTCCTCCCTGAAACACTGAGATCACCCACCGCCCCGTGGAGCAACTCCTCCTGCTCCCACCTTCTTCCAGGTTCTTCCACCTGCCTCCTGCCCACCTCTTCACCTAGCTAGCTCCTTTCCTGCCTTTGGGACTCAGCCTCAACACCACCTCCTACAGGAAGCCCTCCTGGTGCCCCCGTGAAGCAGGCTGCCATGCAGCCACTGCAGCTGGCCCAGCCCAGGCTCTCAACACACTCAGGGGTCCCTGCTGGTGTGAAGGTGCTTCAACTGCATTGCAAGCTGCAGGGAAAGGGCAGGGCCAGGCTCGAGCAGGGCCACAACTCCAGGCTTGGTGTGCTGCCTGGAGACTTTCACACTTGCAGATCTGAATGAATAATTAATGAATAAGAAGAGTAAAGACAGGGGTTAAGAAATTGAGGAACAGATTATTTATTTTCCAATCAGAAGGGGGTGACTGTAGAGGAAACCAGGGAAGACCATGCTGCGAGGTGGGAGGCAGGTAGGTACTGATCAGCAGAGGTTCAGATACTTTTTTTTTCTCGTTTTCTAGAGAGATAGGTGAGCTCTACCTGCCAAAGTTTTCCATCTCGAGGGACTATAACCTGAACGACATACTTCTCCAGCTGGGCATTGAGGAAGCCTTCACCAGCAAGGCTGACCTGTCAGGGATCACAGGGGCCAGGAACCTAGCAGTCTCCCAGGTGAGTCTTTAGACTTGGGTCAATTCATCCTTTGTATCCGAACTTGAATTGGTGAAGGCCAGATGGACTTTTGGGTACTCTTGAACTTGGGTTAATGCACGTGCATTTCTCATTATATACTCACCCTGCTTGGGACACCCCCAAGCCAAGAAGAGCTAGGTTACAGCCCAGCTCCTCCTGCCGTGTTAGGGGTTGAGCCTCTACAACATAATGTCATCCAGGCTTGGAATCAGAGAGCCATGGACACCATTCCACACTATACCATTTACTATCCATGGGGGCAAACAATTAAAGTCCTCCACCCCCAGCTTTCCATGTGTCAAATGGTAGTGATAGTTCTTGGCTAGTATCCAGTGCCTGGCTGGACAGGGAATGCCAATAGGTAATAACAATGATTATCTGGCAATTGTAATGAAAATATGCTCGGAGTATGAGAGAAGACTACTTGGGACACTCAGCCTGTGTTACTAAAAGCAGAGGCGCCAAGGCAGGGTGGCCATGCAGCCTTTTGCTCTTGTCTGCCCTCTGTGCTCACACAGCACTGGGTTGAGGTCTGCACTCCACCTTTCAAACAGCAAAGTAAGAGAGGGTTGTGTGTAGAGGAGCAGACCCGTATGGTTCAGGAATTCAAGGCCATGAAAAGTACTTGAAAGCCCCAAGGATGTTTAAGCTAGAGCAGGAGAGATGCTGAAAGCCATGCTGGCTTGGCTGAGGAGGTTTCTGCAGCAGCTGCTTGTGGTCAAGAGCTGCCGGGATGTTGCTTAGAAGAAAAATGCTTTACATTGTTCTTGCTCTTCCTCCCAACAGTAGTGGCTGTTTTGGGGGCAAAATAGACTCTCAACTCAGACACAAAGGGATGCATATGAGGTGCTCCATTCTTTACCTCGATGGCTCTGGGCAAATCATACTCAGCATCTGGGTCTCCATTTGCACATCTAGGCATCAGGACTGTGCAAAACTAGTTGGCAGGGGAGTTGGGAGGAGCAAACATTCAACAGCACAAAGACAGGCCAGCACTAGGTGCTCAATGCACATTAGACCCCTTAGTGGCACACAGGCAGGTCGCTGAACTCCTGCGCATCTGTGTTTCCCGTGTGTAATGTTCTGCTGTCCCCACAGGTGGTCCATAAGGCTGTGCTTGATGTATTTGAGGAGGGCACAGAAGCATCTGCTGCCACAGCAGTCAAAATCACCCTCCTTTCTGCATTAGTGGAGACAAGGACCATTGTGCGTTTCAACAGGCCCTTCCTGATGATCATTGTCCCTACAGACACCCAGAACATCTTCTTCATGAGCAAAGTCACCAATCCCAAGCAAGCCTAGAGCTTGCCATCAAGCAGTGGGGCTCTCAGTAAGGAACTTGGAATGCAAGCTGGATGCCTGGGTCTCTGGGCACAGCCTGGCCCCTGTGCACCGAGTGGCCATGGCATGTGTGGCCCTGTCTGCTTATCCTTGGAAGGTGACAGCGATTCCCTGTGTAGCTCTCACATGCACAGGGGCCCATGGACTCTTCAGTCTGGAGGGTCCTGGGCCTCCTGACAGCAATAAATAATTTCGTTGGACACGTTGCTTGTGCCTTTCCATGCTGACTATCAGACTCTGCGCCCCTGAGGCTACCTGTGCCCCAAAGACAAGCCCCTTGAGCTCCCATGCAGGCTCAGCTCCACCCCAAGATCTGGGCTCCTTCTGCCTTCAGCTGCAGCAGCCTGCCCAGGACTACCTAAGCTTGTGGCCAAGCTCACCCAGACCTCAGGCCCAGGGTTGGGAGGGGACCCTGCTGCTCTAAGGCCAATTCCTGCCCCCCAGGCTTCTGGGTGCCCACTTTCAGTTTCTCTCCTTCCACCCCCAGGGCCCAGGCTCCACCTGGCTCTTTCCAGAGCTCCTAGCCCTGACCACATCTGGCACAGCCCCCGGACTCCTTGCTCCTGCAGCTGTGCAGGGCTTTATCATGCGACATCCTTCTTCTGCCCTTTAGCACCCCCAATTTGGGGGAAGTAGCTACTTTCTGGGTTTCCAGATGGAGCCCCTCAACTGCCTCACCAGTTCCTAGCCCTGGCTCTGTGAATGATCTCCCTCAACAACCAGAATGCAGGGCTGAGGACAAATGAGCCATCAGCGCACAACTGCAATAAAGCAATCGTGTAGTCAGGCATTTAACCGAGGCTCCCAGGCACCTTGCAATCTCTATCACAAAGGCAACAATGATACTGTTGACAACAGCTCAGTACTTGAGGTTTTGATGCCAGACAACCTGCCAAGATCTCTCCCTGAAATAGCCAATTGAATCCTCCTCACGTCCCTATGAGATAAATGCTCTCAGCAGTCCCATTCTATGGATGAGGAAACTGAGGTGCAGAGAGGCTTAGTAATTTTCCCAAGGCTACAGAGCTAGTAATTATTGCCTGTAGAATGTTATCCCAACCCTCCTGACACCACAGGCGCCCTCTTAACCACAAAGTGATTTCCGTAGGGATTGCCTTCATGGAACGTACAACCCGATGGCAAATAGATGGTGAAACAAGTCTGTGGAAGCTGAGGGAGAGCACCAAATTCAGTTTGGGAAGTCAGGGAAGGCTTCTTGGAGGAGGCAACTTCTGTGCTGAGGTCAGGGAAAGAGAAGGTGGTCAAGTGAACAGAGAGGACAATGCTTCAGATGGGAAAAAGAGCAATGGTAGCATTCAAGAAACCAAAAGAAGTTGGGTGGCTCTGGGGCAAAGAGCAGAGAGGCTGAGGGGCTACAGAGAGGAAGGTGCCATGACAGAGCTGGTGGGCTGCAGAAGGGCTGGCCGCTGGCAAGGATTCCCAAGTGATTCCTTAGAGCCACAGGGAGCTCTAAGCGAGTTTAAACACAGAGGTGATGGAAGCAGCTTTACACACTAGAGAAGGACCCTGGCTGCTGAGTAGAAAAGTGATTCATAGCCCAGGACAAGGATGTGGGTTGGACATCGAGGGGGCTCTGTGGGAACTGGGGCAAAATAGGTCAGAGCTGGGGAGGGAGAGCGGGATGATTCTGTTGGAAGGCTTTGAGGAGAATGGGTGTGAATTTATGATTGCAGGTGGGGTGGAAGGGAGAATAACTATTTGGGTTTGGGTGCCTGGGTGATCCCCAGTTCTCTGAATAGGAAACCCAGCAGGGACTTGCTGGCAAGGGAAGTCGATACATTCAGATTTGAACCTCCCATGTCTGAGGTTCCTGGGAGACACCCCAGGGGTTTGTTCAGGAAGCAGCTAGGCTGAGGTCAGGAGAGAAATCTGGGCTGGAGGGAAGCATTCAGGATCCTCCCCTGGGATGGGCAAGTGAGTATTGAGGGTGTCCCCTCAAATGAGTGCCATGGAGTGAAAAGAAAAGGGAAACCTCAATGACTGGCTAAGAAAGGGCAGCCCACCGAGGAAAGTCACCAGCGTGGGGCAGGAGACAAGAGGACAGGACGAAAGCTGTCGCCGCAGGAACAAGAGGAGATACTTATCCGGGGGAGAGGGGAGAAAACCTAGAGACAAATGATGAATGAATGGAATGAATGGGTCTGTGGGATTTAGTGATCTAAAACCACTCGGGGATCACAAGTGCAATGTTAGCAGAATTAAGGGAGGACCACAGTGGGCTGGAGAGTGAGCAGGAGAGGGAGAGAGGGAAGGCAAGACAGCGTGTAGGGAAAAAAGAGATCAGACTGTTACTGTGTCTATGTAGAAAGGAAAGACATAAAAGACTCCATTTTGAAAAAGACCTGTACTTTGAACAATTGCTTTGCTGAGATGTTGTTAATTTGTAGCTTTGCCCCAGCCACTTTGCCCCAACCTTGAGCTCACAAAAACATGTGTTGTATGAAATCAAGGTCTAAGGGATCTAGGGCTGTGCAGGATGTGTCTTGTTAACAAAATGTTTACAGGCAGTGTGCTTGGTAAAAGTCATCGCCATTCTCTAGTCTCAATAAACCAGGGGCACAATGCACTGCGGAAAGCTGCAGGGACCTCTGCCCTTGAAAGCAGGGTATTGTCCAAGGTTTCTCCCCATGTGATAGTCTGAAATATGGCCTCATGGGATGGGAAAGACCTGACCGTCCCCCAGCCCGACACCCGTAAAGGGTCTGTGCTGAGGTGGATTAGTAAAAGAGGAAGGCCTCTTGCAGTTGAGATAGAGGAAGGCCACTGTCTCCTGCCTGCCCCTGGGAACTGAATGTCTCGGTATAAAACCTGATTGTACATTTGTTCAATTCTGAGATAGGACAAAAACCGCCCTATGGTGGGAGGCGAGACATGTTTGCAGCAATGCTGCCTTGTTATTCTTTACTCCACTGAGATGTTTGGGTGGAGAGAAACATAAATCTGGCCTACGTGCACATCCAGGCATAGTACCTTCCCTTAAACTTAATTATGACATAGATTCTTTTGCTCACATGTTTGTTGCTGACCTTCTCCTTATTATCACCCTGCCCTCCTACTACATTCCTTTTTGCTGAAATAATGAAGATAATAATCAATAAAAACTGAGGGAACTCAGTGCCGGTGCAGGTTCTTGGTGTGCTGAGCACCGGTCCCCTGGGCCCACTGTTGTTTCTCTATACTTTGTCTCTGTGTCTTATTTCTCTTTCCCGGTCTCTCGTCCCACCTGACTAGAAATACCCATAGGTGTGGAGGGGCAGGCCACCCCTTCACAGTGTGCAAATGCCTATTTAGAGACTGGCCTTTAGGGGAGGTGAGAGAGAGGGTGGTGGGTAGTGAGTGCTAGGCTGAAGTTAGCTGCAGTGCTTGACAGATGTGAGAGCCTTGAACAAGCTTTCATAACCATAGAAAGGATTCAGGAGGCAGGGTGACAAGCAACCAGGGTCGCAGAGTGGCACAACTCCTCAGGTTACAATTCACAGGTGGTTTGACACCATCCTAAGTTACAGTTCACAGGTGGTTTGACATCGCCTTCAACTCGGAGTTGCAGAATTAGCAGTTGGCCAGGCTGCATGAAGCATCCCTGGAAAGGGAACAGGTGGAGGGCTGGAGGGCCAGGATCAAGGATCAAGGATTCCACTGTGATGGGAATGCAGGCAGGGCCTGGCGAGGGGGCTGGTGAGGGAGTGTGTTTCTTGGTAGGATCAGGTGGGACCTCCTCTCCTCCAATGACTCTGATGATTCCTAGTATAGGAGGCAAAGTCACCTGCTTAGTGATATTTGCCACAGGTTGGGGCAGGAAAAGGCACAAAATGGGACACAGAGTGGGCCACGGTGTCACGGCAGTTCAGCCAGGCTCACTGATGAGCGCCTTGGAGATCCAGCTGCAGGAATTCTTGGTGGTTCCAGGCTTTACAGACAGTTGTGGAATCCCCCATCTTGTGGAATATTTCTCCATTCTTACCAGCCCCTTTGTGGGCTTCAAGAAGGCCAACTGCTGATCAGAAGGACAGGAGTCAAGGGGGCTGGAGGTACAGACTACAGAAGGGTTGACATCATGGACTTGAGACCAGCACTGGGGGGTACAGATGAGGGCAGAGGGAGCTGATCACTGAGGAAGACTGAGGATGGGGAGATGGGGTCCCTAGGAGGTCCAAGAATGACCTGTTAGAAGTGCCATATGAACTACAAAGGCTACTTTTCCCCCCCAAAGAGGATTTTTTCACATTGACTCTCAGTTTTCTCAACTGTAAAGTGGAAACCATGACAGTGTGTGCATGCCTGTGTCATCCGTGTGTAAGAAGTCAGCAAGTCACTGAAATGCTTGCTCCTGAGTCTGAACGTTCCCTTGACAGCAATTTAAAAACTCCTGAGATGATCTTTTCCATGTGAACTAACTCCTCATCCAGGCTGGCATGGCTTCTCGTCACTCAGCTGGGGCTGGATGGCATTGCACTGGACAAGGCTCTGACCTGCCCACCTGCCCAGCTCCTGCCCCCGGTCCCTCCTGACCCCAGTCCAGGTGTCTAAGGAGCCTTACCACAGCCCAGCATTCATTCCCTTCTGTGACTTAGGTCTGGAAATTGCTGGCTGAAAACTGAGTTCCTCCCTTAAGGGAGCGTCTGGGCCCCAGATCTGTGAGGGTGGGGCTTAGTTTCATTCTTCCGCCTCCCCTGGGGGCTGAGGGCCCATCCACCTGCTGGTCACTAGCTATTGCCCTTAAATGGCTTCCTGACGCTAGCTGCAGGGACAAGACAGCACCTGTCCTGATTTACTACCTCCCTCACTAACCAAAAGTGAAGTCCAAGCCTGAGAGGCACTGACACCAATAAAAGACACCTACTTACTCTCTCATTCAGCCCACGCAAATTGCCAACCCTCCAAATGCAGGCCCTGAGCTGGCCCTGGAGATTCCGAGGTTAAGAAAGTGGACCTGGAATTTGCCCTCATAGAATGTTCAATTTGTTGAGCAAGACAGAAAACTGAGCATGGATGTGACAGCAGCCCTCGGGAGTGGGGTACGTGATGCCCAGAGAGGGCAGGAATAAACCCCAGACTAGAAGAGTCAAGTTTGGTCTCCTAGAAGAGCTGTCCTCAAATGCAAAATCCAGTACAGTGAAGAGGAGACACCAGGGAGATGTACCAGCAGAAAAGGAGAGGGAGTGCAGTGTGTCCATGGAGCTAGAAGAAGATCCTATGTTCTGGATAACTGATGTTTGAGGGAACCATGGTCATCTGTGGAGCTAAAGAGAAAAACATGAACAAGACCATGCTTTGTAAATCATGTTAAGGATCTCAGAGTTTATTCAAAGAGTGATGAGCCACAGTGAATATTATACACAGGGAGCTGTTTTGATTAAGTTTCATTAGAAAGATCACCGTGGCTGAGCAGGGAAGGATGGATACAGTATTGAGTGTGGATTTGGTGAAAAGAAGAGAAGCAGAATGACCAAGAGGTTCAGCCTTAGCTAGGAATTGGGAGAGGACAGAGAGGAAAGGAGACTAATTGGAGAGATATTTATTAGACAGAATTGATGAGACTTCATGGTTGATTGTGTGGGGGACAGAAAGGAAGCAAAGTTGCTGGGTCGGGAACTTGGGGAACTGAAATCCACATGCCATTCTATGAGCTAAGCATTACAGAATGAATAACGTTTTGTGCAGGAAGCAGATAAGTCCTCATGTGGGCATGTGGAGTTGGAGATGTCTGTAGGCCATCTAAGAAGAGAAGTCCAATAGAGAATGGGCTCTATGGATCTGAACTTCAATAGGGAAATTTGGGCAGGAGGGATGGATTTCAGGATTTCTTCTTGTCAAAAATGTGAGGACACCCCTGGCAAATGACTTCTATTTTTCCCTGTGCCATACAAAGAGATGTTATCTGCTGAGTCCACCATGGGGAAGCATAAAACCCAGAAGTCTGGAGGAGGGGAGACGAGGACACTTCAGGAAACCTCGATGTTCTAGCAGTCACTAATAAGGGTCCCTTGGGGGCTGGAGACTACTGTGTCACTAGCCTGTACAGTTGTGTGGTTCTAGGTATACTAGGTAGTTCAGACATAGACAAAAAGGGGATAGACTGCAAGTGGCTACTGGAGCCAAAGTTTCCCCTGGCTACAGGACGGAGGGACCATCAGTGGCTGACACAAGGAAAAATAAATATATCTGAAAATATTGACCAGAGAGTCATTCAAATGATGGGATTTTCATATTCCAGGCTGGGGACATCAAGGAGCCATAACAAGAGGAGCTGATGGGTGATAGAGGTGTCTGGAAACAAGATAGTAATTTGAAGTTGAATAGAGCATGGTGCATTGAGGTTGAAGACATGGGAGGATTCATATATTGCTAAAAGGCTTCCTTCCACTTGCTCAACATCCATTTTACACAGATCTACCAGTTGGGAAATGGGGAAACAATGCCCACAAATTCCATGCAGCTGGTTCTCCTGTTTACTCCCCCTTTCTTCTCAGAGCCCTTCCTCTTGCCACACAGCTCCCCATAGTGACTTTCAGTCAGCAAACCTTCAAGGTCCAGTTCAGATCTTGGTCACATGACTTTAGCCAAATTACCTGGCATCACTGTTACTGCCTCTGCTCTTGAATGATGGGAGAGCGTCTACTCTAGAGGACCATCAGGTGGATTACAAAGAATAATAATAACAAGACACGTCAAAGACCTGGCTGGGTTCCACAACCCCAGCTCCACCGCCCACAGCCTCTGCCACACCAGAAACATGCATGACGCCCTCTTGGGCCCACAGGTGCTGCTTATGGCTGTGATTGATGTGGCCAAGAAGGGCACAGAGGAATTAAGCTTCCATTCTCTACAAAGAAAACCCTACTGACCATTGTGCATTTCAACAGCCCTTTCCTGATGACCATCCTCTCCCCAGGTACCCAGAGCATCCTCTCTGGCCAAAATTGTTGATCCCAATAAGAAATGAAACAAAAATCACAACTTGCAAAGCAAACTGAACCAGTATGTGCAAAACAGGTAAACTATACCCAACCATGATTTGTTACAGGTACTGCCTAGGTCCAGAATGTATTGAGAGCAGCATGTTCAGACCCATGTGCTCCAAGGCAAGGCCACAGCAAATGCTTCTAAGAGTAATTCCAGACAGACTCATGGGTTTCATAGATAAAAACACTGACTACTCGCTTAGTTTACAAATCCTGGCCATGCTTTCGAAGTATCACTCAGAAACCACCATAGAGTAACTCAGCCCATGAGACCCTGTATTTCCCTTAACTACCCTCTTTCAAGACTTTACTGAGCTGCCAAGATGGTGTTCTCCCTTGCTCAGAGAGTTTAACAAACCCAGCTTTGTTTGAGAGGAGTGAAACACTGGCACACACTACAATGTGGATGAACCTTGAAAACATTATGCTAAGTGAAAGAAGCCAGGCACAAAGGCCACATATTGTATGATTCCATTTATGTAAAACATCCAGAACAGGTAAATTCACAGACACTGAAAGCAGATTAGTGGTTGTCCAGGGTTAAGGAGTGAAAGAATAGGGATGACTACTCAGTGGGTAAGGAATCTCCTTTAAGGGTGATTACAATAGTTTGAAACCAAATGGAGGTAATGGTTACACAACATATGAATGTACTAAATGTCACCAAATTGAACACTTTACAAAGGTTAATTTTAGGTAATGTGAATTTTGCCTCAATTAGAGAGAGAGAGAGATTAAATGTCATATATAGAAGTTATTTGGATTCTAATGGAAACAAATCAACAATAAAAAAACAATTAGGGTCACAGTTACACACCTCTTCTGGCCTGGGGATACACTGAGGATCAGGGTATCTCAGCCGCAGGCCACCTTCAGTGCCACGGGATGTAGCGTGGGGCATCATGACCCGGTTCATGCCCACCGGCCTGGTTTTTCTACCATCTCAGGGAGATATCTGCCCCTTTGGGCTGAGAGACCCCAACCTTTCCCCAAGATGAAGTTGCAGGGTATCGAGGTACCAGCCAGATGTCTTCTCACAAAGGGTCTGTGGTGGCATAGGAATGGGGCTCCTGCCAGTAACAGGGAAACTGACATGGTGGAACTGGCTGAACTCTGAATTGTGACCCCTGCTACAAGAGAAGGGCAAATGGGTAATCACCAACCCAAACAAAGCTGAAGAAGAGCAAACATGCCCAGTGCCCCAGGAAGAAGAGGAGGAGGTGTGGGTACTGACACTTCCCCTGCAAGCCCACCACACCATGGAGAAGATGGAGGAGTTTGTGTACAAGGTCTGAGTGGGACAGATGTTGGAGGGTCATCCCATATTGTCATGGGATCCTTGGGGGGAAGGGGTTGCTTTGCCAGCCAGAAACCTCTGTGGCCAGCAGCACCTAATGCCTGAGTATTGTTTGTGTCTGCTGGGCTCGTTCCATCCACTCAACCCAGCAGGCTGCACTCAGCTCATACTATCAGCCTGGATCCCACACCTGCCAAGGGCGAGCCAGGAGCAGAGTGGAGAAGGGCATGTGAGTTAGTGAGTGCAGGGTCTGGCCGTTGCACACAGCCAGGCATGCTGGCTGCTGTGGCAGGGCGGGCAGCTCTAGGCACTGGCACAGGTGCTGGCTCCATGCAAGGCTGTGGCTGGACCAGATGTACCACACGTGGCTTCTGTTATGGGCACCCACATCTGGACAAGGGGAACATGGTGGCACCCAGAAGCTTGGAGACATGAGGAACCAAAGAGCCCCAAAGAGGGTGTCACAGCCCTGACTTGGAGAGCCCCTAGGTCTGGGCTCCCCAAAAGGGATCAGCTATTCTCTCCTTCTTGTTGCCTACAACGTGGCGAGCAGTGGGAAGTGTTTCAGCTCTGTGTTACAGCTCTTTTAGTCCCTCCATTTGGTGTGTCCCAAGTTCTCATCCTGCATCCAGGAAGAATGAGGTACATGGACAACTGGAGGGTGAGCAAGGCATGGAAGAGCTTCACTGAGCAACAGAACAGCTCTCAGGGGACATGCAGTGGGTAGCTGCTTTCCACAGACAGGTGGAAAGATGTCCTGACATCTTTTGGAGTCTGGCTGAGCCCAGGAATTGTACAGGTTCAGAAGGGAGGAAGTGCATGCGAATTGGTCCATGGGCGGTCATAGGCAGGCCCAGAAAAAGCACCATAAGTTCTCACTCTGTACCACGGAACCCCACTCAGAACTGGCAGCCCAGTCCCCAGGCTTCAGCCTGTCCCTGGCTTGAAGGTGGGGCTTCACTGGGGATCCACCACTTTCAGCCCAGCAAACTGTCTGCCTCCTGCCATTAACATGCTGTCCACAGCACTCCAGCTGTTTGTGATGAGAGGTGTCTGCAGACCCACCTCAAGCCTCCCTCAGCATCCCCTTGACCTCCCTCCCGTGCTTGTTGGAGCTCAAAGTCCGGAGGGTGCTGAGGCGGCAGGGGGCTGGCATGTCAGCACTGCTCTGAGTGTGCACACACCCACCTGGCTTGTGACAGCACCTGGGCTCGGCCACAACTTTGCTCCACCCTGGAGCGGACACCAGGAGTGGAAGCAGGCACTTTAAAGCCTGTTGGAGCAAGCAGCTTCCTGGGTCCCCAAGAGCACAGAGATGCCTGGGTCTGGAGTTGAGGATGGGCGGCTGCAGCTGCACCTGAATGCATGGGGGTCCCACCCCACCAATTCAGTAGGGGACAGGGCTCCCTACTGTTACCAGCCCCAACTGGCTCCACAGAGCATGCAACCCTGGCCAGGCATTTCTCCCGCCCCGCCCCGCCCCCGTGCTGCTGGCATCCCGGCAGCCGCAGCTCCAGACAAGCTGCTGCCACCATCAATATGATGGGCTCCCTGACTGGCTGAAGGACAATGACTGTCTGCAGGACAATGACTGTCTGCTCTATGGCCATAGACAACCCATGTCCTCCTTCTGGGCTTGCTTCAAGAGCATCTTCTATATCCATACAGAAACCGGCAGCAGCCGGACACATCTGCTTGGTTTCGTGCTGTTTCTCTTTTTGGAAATCTTGACCATGCTCAGACCAAATATGTACTTCACGGCCCCTCTACAGGAGAAAGTGATTTGGAGGATATTCCTTTTGGGTGCAGTGCTCTAGCCTCAGCTTCTCCTGGCTCGTCCGCACTGTCTACTGTCATTCAGAGAAAGTCTCTCGGACTTTTTCCAAACTGTACTATTCAGGGATTGCTCCACTGCTCATAAGGAGCTTCGTCCCCTGGCTCTGTTACTCCTTCTACTGCTCGCCACAGCCACGGCTCATCTACTTCTCCATCATCTATGTCCTGGGCATCTCTGCCATCATTGTGACAGTGGGACCGGTTTGTCACTCCTAAGCACCGGCAGACAAGGGCAGGGGTGTTGCTGGGACTTGGCTTGAGCGGTATTGTGCCCACCATGCACTTTCCTATTGCTGAGGGTTTCGTCAAGGCCACCACAGTGGGCCAGATGGGCTGGTTCTTCCTCGTGGCTGTGATGTACATCACCAGAGCTGGCCTTTATGCTGCTTAAATTCCTGAGCGCTTCTTTCCTGGAAAATTAGACATATGGTTCCAGTCTCAGCAGATTTTCCATGTCCTCATGGTGACGGTGGCCTTTGTCCACTTCTGTGGGGTCTCCAACCTTCAGGAATTCCATTACAGCCGAGAAGGTGACTGCACTGATGACTCCCTTCTCTGAGCCTTCCCATCTGAGGGGTGGAGGAGGAACTTCCCAAGTGCTTTTATTTTATTTTTATATTTATAGTTTTTGAGACAGAGTCTCTCTCTATCACCCAGGCTGGACTGAGGTGGTGCCATCTCAGCTCACTGCAACCTCTGCATCCTGGGTTCAAGCAATTCTGCCTCAGCATCCTGAGTAGCTGAGACCACAGGCGTGCACCACCACACTCAGCTAATTTTTGTATTTTTACTAGAGATGGGGTTTCACCATGTTGGCCAAGGTGGTCTCAAATTCCTGACCTCAAGTGATCTACCCACCTTGGCCTGCCAAAGTGCTGGGATTATAGGCATGAGCCACTGTGCCCAGCCCAGGTGCTTTTTAAAAATAACTTCTTCACTGAAGTGAGAGGAGGAGTCTGAGTTGTCTGTTTCTAGAAGAAACTCTTAGAGATTTCAGTACCAACCAAGCTTCAGCCCACTTTCACACCCACTGGGCGATACACTTTCCATTTCCACTCTCCTAGCTGAGGATGGGGCATGGTGAAACTTAGCCATCCCCTCCTCGGCAGTCGCTCTCTTTGGCAAAGCAACTACCAGTCCCCACAGAGACAGTACTTTGAACCTCATGTTGAGATTTTACCCCAACCATTTTGGGAAAATTATAGAGTGGAACTCTTGAGAAATTTGCTTTTTTTCTTGAAGAAAATGTCCCTCCCTTACCCTCATCCTTACTTTGTATCCTGGCTTATACCAGGCCATCCATTTTTGTAGCACACTTTTCAAAAGCAATTGTATAACCTGATCCCATCTTTCTAGGGCCTGAATCTGCTTACATAGCAGGAAAAATAAAGCCTCCAACTCTTACACAACCCAGATAATCACGGAAGTGTGTCCAGGCTTGAAGTAACTTGAGTTTTAATTATTTTTTTCTTGGCAGAGTAATGTGAAATTTAAATGGGGAAAGATATTTAATATTTAATACTAAGCTTTAAAAAGAAATCTGCTATCATGGCTATGTATCTTGATGCAAAGACTGTGATGTTAATAAAAGAAAGTACAGAATACACTTGGCATTCAAAGAAAAAAATGATTAGGAATCAGTTAATGGCTTGATAACATTAAGAAATTATTGTTTTTAAAAGTGTGACATGCTATTACAATTACGATATTTTCCCAATTTTTACACATAAAATGAAATATTTTATAGGAGTTGCTTTGAAATATTCCACAGGAAGAAAGAGATTGGGAGGTATCAAAAAATGATATTGGTCTTATATTGAAAATAACTAAAGCTGCTGGTGGGTATATAGGGGTGCATTATACCATTCTCTCTATTTTTGTGTATGTTTGCATTTTTCCATAACAAAAAAAAAATCCTCCAGAAATCCCACTCTTGGGTATCTACCCAGAGGAAAAGAAGTCATTATACAAAAAAGATACTTGCACACATGTTTATAGCAGCACAATTAGCAACTGCAAAAATATGGAACCAGCCAAAATGCCCATCAGTCAAGGAGTGGATAAAGAAACTGGGGTATATATATACTGTGGAATACTACTCAGCCGTAAAAGGAACAAAATAATGGCATTCACAGCAATTGGAGGCCATCATTCTAAGTGAAATAATTCGGGAATGGAAACCCAAACGTTGTATGTTCTCACTTATAAATGGAAGCTAAGCTGTGAGGACACAAAGGCACAAGAATGATACAATGGACTTTGGGGACTTGGGGGAAAGGGCGGGAGGTGGGTGAGGTATAAAAGACTACAAATAGCGTGCAGCGTACACTGCTTGGGTGATGGGTGCACCCAAATCTCAGAAATCACCACTAAAGAACTTATTCATGTAACCAAACACCACCTGTTCCACCAAAACCTATTGAAATATAAATAAGTAAATAAGTAAATAAATAAATAAATAACATTAGATTGTGGTGATGGTTATATAATTTTGTCAATATACTAAAAATATTGAATGGCACACTTTGAGTGGGTGAAATGTATAATATATAAATTATATCTCAATAAAGCCATTAAAATAAAAACAAATCCTTGAGGGCAGGATTGTTCCTTATTCCCCAGTATTTAATGCATCATCCTCAGATGCAGTAAGCATTCCATAATGAATGAATGAATTAGTGAATGAATGAATACAATGAATCTCATAATACACCCCTGCTGTGCCATCCCTGATGTGAACATCAAGAATTGAAGGTTTTAGGAAGTCAACAAGAGGTGACTGTGTGGCTATTGATGTCAAGACAGTGGATAAGCAGAGCAAAAATATAGTAATAACAAGCAAAGCTGGAAGAAAATTAGTTCTGGCTCAAACCTGTTATCTCCTGTGAATCTTATCTGCACTCAATCTGCAGGTCACCTTGTGCCATCCCTGCCTCCAAGCCAGCCCAGGAAACACAAAGCGTTTGATTTGCTAAGGCTTTGCAAACACTTTCTATTGAGTACATATTAACTTTTCTGTTCACATTGCTTTAAAGGGGAAAGTTCTATTGACTTTCCTGAAGAAATAATCATTACATTGTAACTAGCCATTACAACTTAAAAAGTATTAGAGCCCAAATGAAAAAGCAATTATGACATTTAAAAATATCATAACCCAAGCTCCTTGGAGGCAAGAACTATGACTTTGGTATCTTTGTGCTCCTGTAATGAGCACAGTGTCTGACACAACAGTTAAGTGTCCATAATGTGTGTTGGGCAAAAGAATGTGACCAGAAGAGGGCAGAGCATTGCTCCAATTTGCTTAGCCTTTTGCTAGAACCTCTATGTATATCACTAGGCTTAACTTTCCTGTCAACCTTGAGCAGTAAGGAGGGCGAGGGAAGAAACTGAGGCCTGGGAGTGTCAGGCAGAACAAAAGTGGTGGAACTGGGACCTGCCCCCAGGACATCCGCCGCAATTCCAGGACACCCACCGCAATTCCAGGACACCCACCCCAACTCCAGGGCACCCACCCCAACTCCAGGACACACACCCCAATTCCAGGACACCCACCCCAATTCCAGGACACCCACCCCAACTCCAGGGCACCCACCCCAACTCCAGGGCACCCACCCCAATTCCAGGACACCCACCGCAATTCCAGGACACCCACCGCAATTCCAGGGCACCCACCCCAATTCCAAGACACCCACCCTAATTCCAGGACACCCACCCTAATTCCAGGACACCCACTGCAATTCCAGGACACCCACCGCAATTCCAGGGCACCCACCCCAATTCCAAGACACCCACCCTAATTCCAGGACACCCACCCTAATTCCAGGACACCCACTGCAATTCCAGGACACCCACCGCAATTCCAGGGCACCCACCCCAATTCCAAGACACCCACCCTAATTCCAGGACACCCACCCTAATTCCAGGACACCCATTGCAATTCCAGGACACCCACCGCAATTCCAGGGCACCCACCCCAATTCCAGGACACCCACCGCAATTCCAGGGTACCGCCCACTTTCCGCAGCTCCTTCTTCTCCACACACGGATTTCCACATCACCCAAATGGAGGGCAGATTGCTTTCCTCTGTTGGCTTTTGCCAAGGGTGGACATTGAGCCAAGGGCAGCCTTATTCAGTCTGATTCCAGGACACCCACCACAATTCCAGGACACCCACCGCAATTCCAGGGTACCGCCCACTTTCCACAGCTCCTTCTTCTCCACTCAAGGATTTCCACATCACCCTAATGGAGGGCAGATCGCTTTCCTCTGTTGGTTTTTGCCAAGGGTGGACATTGAGCCAAGGGCAGCCTTATTCAGTCTGTGTTACTCCCAGAAATCCAGCCCGTCACAACCCTCCCTGCAGGGACGCACTTTTTCAAGGGCCATTAAACCTGCCGAATCTCCCCACCTCCTCCAAAAGCTCACGGAAAGCATTGACTTTCAGGTGAGTTGGGGGCTGTGGGTGGAGCTAGATCCCCAGCTCCCCAGCTGACTTGCTGAACTTGCCACAAGTTATATCATCATGCTACACACACACCTACACACACACACACACACACACACACACACTCACATGCCCACTGTGCACCAGGAGCTGTGCATATAGGCAACAATCTGGAGTGGTGCTGACTCACCCTGCCTCCATGGCCTCAAGCATGCTCTTGCCTCTGCTGAAACCCCCAAACCCCTTTCCTGCCTCTCCCCTGCTCCATCTTCCAGTTTCAGTTCAGGTGCCACCTCCTCCAGGAAACCTTCCAGGAACTTCTACCTTCCATGCCTCCTGCAGGCTCCTCATTCACCCTTTGCAGTTCACCTCTAACTGCCATCGCCCTTTCCTCACTGAGCTGTAATCAGCTCCCCACATTTCCCTGCGATCACTGGCATGCTCCTTCCAGGCAGGGCCCAGGCTGCCAGTCCCTGTTGCCCTGACTGCTGAATATTGGTTCAGTGAGTGAGTCAGCAAGTACATGAACGAGCTTCTCTTGGGGCCTCAGTGTTCCTGTCTGTCCAGAGCCCAGGTTGGACCAGGGCATCCTTTCTGCTCAAAAGCTCCATAGTTTTGGGGCCTCAGAGGAAGCCTCTGCTGCTGCTAGGTTCCATCTACACCCTCACCAGCAAGGCACAATGGAACCCCACCTAAAGAATGTGAGCGTGGACAGGACACTGGACCCGAGACAGCTTGTCACCAGCCTGGCCATGGAGCACACGCCACCCTGCGCAGATCTCTGCATGTCTGTCCCACAGGACCCGAGCCTCCCCAAGGGAGCCATTGTGTCTCACTCATCTTGTGTCCCCAGCATACAATTCAAGTCCTGACATGTAGCAGCCGTTTTGTCTATGTTTGTTCAATGAATGAATGAGTGAATGAATGAAGGTTAAATATAATAAGAGAATGAAAGTGCAAACTTCAGCAAAACCAAGATATTCACCAAAGCAGATTACCAGGCAAATGGGCAAATGGAGATGGTTGGTTCTCTGTCGATAAGTAAATCACGGGGAACAGAGGCTTTCCTGGAGGCTGAGGCTGAGCTGATTGTTTCTTACACTGATGAGGAAGCTCAAGTTCAGAAAGGCCCAGGGCTGTCCGAGGTCCCATGGAAAATCAGAGGCAGGACAAGGGGTTGTGATGATGGTCGATTCTGTCAGTTATTAACCCAAGCCTAGACTGGACATGCGAGGCCAAGCACTTGTGGCAGAGAAAGCTAGGAATGGTCCAGTGTTAAGGTCCCAGAGAGGCAGGAAAATGCCTGTGCTCTAGGTAAAGGCTGAAGCCCTAGAAGGAGGCCCCCCCAAAGGTTAGCCCATGAACCATTTGTTTTTTCAACAAATATTGTTGAGTGAGCACTAGGAATGAACCATGCACGAGACAGAGTATCTGCTCTCACGGAGCTTATCTTCTAGTGGGGAAACCAGACAAACATGTCCTACCATGCCAGATGGGCATCAGAAAAACCAGGCAGGGTGAGGGTGGCAAGGGCAGAGGTGGGGTCTCTCTGGGGAGGTGACCTTTGAGCAGACAACTGAGTGAAGGAAGGAAGCGAGCTGTGGAAAGGGCGAGAGCAAGGCTGCTCCGGGCAGCCAATGGCAAGAGCACAGGTCCTAAGCAGGAAGAAGCTTGGTAAGTTCTAGACTAGCAAGAAGGCCAGGATGGTTGGAGCAGAGGGAAGGAGGGAAAGGATGGTCAGAAGGAGGTCAGAGGCCAGGCACGGTGGCTCACGCCTGTAATCCCAACACTTTGGGAGGCCGAGGTGGGCAGATCTCCTGAGGTCAGGAGTTCAAGACCAGCCTGGACAATATGGTGAAACCCCGTCTCTACTAAAAATACAAAAAAAAATTAGCTGGATATGGTGGCACACACCCGTAATCCCAGCTACTTGGGAAGCTGAGGCAGGGGAATTGCTTGAACCTGGGAGGTGGAGGTTGCAGTGAGCCTAGATCATGCCACTGCATTCCAGCCTAGGTGACAGAGCAAGACTCTGTTAAAAAAAAAAAAAAAAAAAGGAGGAGGTGAGAAAGGCTAGCAGGGCCTTGTCATGTAGGGCCTCCTAAGGTGTGGTGAGAAACACGGGATTTCTCTTAGTTGCTATAGGGTCATTGGAAGTCTCCAGCAGGGAGTGAACGCATCTGATTTACCTGTTGAAAGGATCACAATGGTTCCCTAAGGGGGGCCCAGGACCAGCTCAGACCCTTGCCAAAATGGATTCCAGACTCCGTGGAGGCCTGCTGAGTCAGACCACTGGAAGGGAGGCCCCACGTCCGCTGCCACTCCTGGGGCTCTCTGTGCCAGGTCCTGGGCTGAGTGTGCTCCGTGCATGATTGCTTTGAATTTCTGTAACCTTGTGATGTGGGGATTCTTAGCAGCATGCCACAGAGTGGAAGCCAAGGTCCTGAGAGGCAAGGCCACCTGCCTAAGGTGCTGGGCTTATATGAGCCCAGCCCTGGACTCCTCCCTGTACCATGAGTCACCTCCTGGCCCTCCCCTCCTCACAGCTTCCTGTAAGTCTAAGGTCAGGGATAAGAAGTGGGACTCAGATGGGCTAAGTGAATCGCCCGAGGTCATAGATCTGGGATCTGGTGCAGCCAGGATTCATAGAAGGGTCCTCTGGAGGAGGGGCTCTGACTTTGTCCAGAGATCCCCCATGTCTGTTTGTGAGCAGGAAGCTGAGGGGTGGGGAGGAGGGCATGGGAAGGGAGCCCCCAGGAGAGGCAAGGGGAGCCTTGAAGTATTTGCGGGGTGCCTGGGACAGGGCAGACATGTGGTGAATATCACACATTGTCATTATCATTACCATTGACATTGCTGTTGTCCTCTCTGCCACGCTGCTTTCAGACCAAGGACCCCAGAGGATGGAGGCCTCTCGGTGGTGGCTGCTGGTCACTGTGCTCATGGCTGGGGCTCATTGTGTGGCCCTGGTTGACCAAGAAGCTTCTGATCTCATCCATTCTGGCCCCCAGGACAGCAGCCCTGGGCCTGCCCTGCCCTGCCACAAAATCTCTGTGAGCAACATAGACTTTGCCTTCAAGCTCTACAGACAGTTGGCTTTGAACGCCCCCGGGGAGAACATTCTCTTCTCCCCAGTGAGCATCTCCCTGGCCTTGGCCATGCTTTCTTGGGGGGCCCCAGTGGCCAGCAGGACCCAACTCCTGGAGGGCCTGGGGTTCACCCTCACCGTGGTGCCTGAGGAGGAGATCCAGGAAGGCTTCTGGGATCTGCTGATCAGGCTCCGTGGGCAGGGTCCCCGGCTCCTCCTGACCATGGACCAGCGCAGGTTCAGCGGCCTGGGCGCGAGGGCCAACCAGAGCCTAGAGGAGGCCCAAAAACACATTGACGAATATACAGAGCAGCAGACCCAGGGGAAGCTCGGGGCCTGGGAGAAGGACCTCGGCAGTGAAACCACAGCGGTTCTGGTGAATCACATGCTCCTCAGAGGTAAGAGCGTGTGTGCCCAATGCAGATCTCCTTCTCAGAATCCCAGAACCCAGGCTCCAACCACAGCCTAGCCCCACCCATCACAGCATCTGGAAAGTGTCCCCTCCTGACTTGGATATAGATGACACTCGGTGAGTGTCTGCCCCTGAATCCTTGATATCTCTACTTGAATGCCTCCCGTAACAGGGAACTCATCCCCTTCTCTATGTTAATGATACTGGAAGAGTTTGTTTTTAAAGAAGACTTTTTCAAACTTAATGTGCATATGAACTCTCTAGAGAGTTTGCTTAAATGCAGGTATCTCGTACCTATCCTAAGTGATTCTGATTTCAGTGGAGTAAGTCCAAGACCCATGACTTTGCGTTTGAAGAAGCTCGCCTCCCTTCCCCACACAGGTGATTCTGCTAATGGAAGGCTGAGCTCCCCTTTGAGCAACTCTAGAAGCCACCACTGTATTAAGGAACCTGAATTTCCTTCCTCTGGCAGGCCTTAGGAGGCACGGATTAGAGCAGGAAGAATCCTAAATTTTTTTAAAGTCCTTAATTTTTTCCAAGAGAGCAAACAGGCTGCATGTCCCCACCATTGAGTGTGTTTAAATAATACGGTCATGACATTCAACCCACCGCTGTTAATGCCTGGCTTAGTTTAATACTGACGCCATGGTGGCCATTTGGGGGCAGGCAGGGGGACGCGTGTTGTTATCCCCTTGTTCTCATTCAGGACTCAGGAGGTGAACTCAGTTCTCACATTTGTACAGTGCTCTGTGGGTCTCAAAGCGTGTGTACCCCACAATCTCCCTTGACTCTCTCACTTGGGTGAAACGGACCAGGCTTATCTTAGCAGATATGCCTAAGATCAATGTTCCCATTTTACAGATAAGAAAACACATTTTTTAAAAAGAAGAAAGCTTATTTGCCTGCGCCAGTAAGGCACCACTCAAATATGCATCTATGACTATTGATGGTGTTAATTTGTAGACATGGTTACACATATACACACGCACATATTGACTACGAAGTTCTTATTAACATGCCGGCTCTGTGCATATTTAATTTTTAATTCTCATCGCAACCTGACAAGATAGATATTATCGTGTCCACTTGAACGATGAGAAACTGACGCAAAGTCGGGTAACTTGCCCTAGATTTCAAAGCCAGGCAGGGCCTAGCCTTCAAATCCACACCTACCTTCAAGAAGCCTGTGCCACAGTGATACATTTTTTCTTAAAAATTAACCACCTCCAGGAGAGGTTAAGGAGATGAGAGACCATTTGTGTTTATGTGATTGTAATCTTGCTACACTATTGTAATAGTTTCTAATAGTATTGATCATTTTCAAATGAGGAGACAGAAGCTCAGGGAGGCTCCGGGCTCAGCCCCCAGGGCCACGCAGGTACTAAGGGACCTCTCAGGAGGGAGTTAGTGAGTGGGATTTGGCTTCCTGAGTGTGGACTCCAAGATTCCAGCATCCAGGGTGCTTTCCCCACTCCCACAAGCTGCTAGAAGGGTAACCCCAAGCCCGTTCTCGGTTCTCTGCGAGGATGACGTCCGTGTTGCTCTTCCCCTCAGCTGAGTGGATGAAGCCCTTTGACTCACGTGCCACCAGCCCAAAGGAGTTCTTTGTAGATGAGCACAGCGCTGTGTGGGTGCCCATGATGAAGGAGAAGGCCAGCCACCGCTTCCTGCACGACCGTGAGCTGCAATGCTCTGTGCTGCGGATGGACCACGCTGGGAACACCACCACCTTCTTCATCTTCCCCAACAGGGGCAAGATGAGGCAGCTGGAAGATGCCCTGCTGCCTGAAACACTGATTAAGTGGGACAGTCTGCTCAGGACCAGGTAGCCTGCACACAGCAGAGCCCCGGGGAGGCCGGGCCTCGCCTTCTCCCTCAGCCACCGTAAAGTGTCCCCAGGGCACAGTCACCTCAAAAGCATTGTCACCCCAGGGCACTGTCATCTCCAGGGCACTATCACCCAAGGTCACTGTCCCTATTCAAAGCACTGTTCTCTCCCAGGATGCTGTTACATCACCCAGGACATCTCACCTCCAGGACACCGTCATCCCTCAGGATATTGTCACCCTCTCAGAGTACCGTCACACCCCAGAACACTGTCATTCCCCAGGCACTGTTATTTCTAGGACACTGCCACCCTACAGGTATTGTCACCCCTCCAAGACACTAATGCTCTCAGGACACTATCACCCTCCACCCATGGCATCATCACCCCCAGAACACATTGTCATGACACTATCACCGCAGGGACACAGTCACCCCCCGGGATGCTGTCACCTCCATGGTATTGTCCCCCCTCAGGGCTCTGTCACTCTCCAGGGCACTGTCATTGGCCCCTTGAAGATATCAGTTTGGGTCCTGGGGAGGAAGGACTGGAGAGAGCACTGGCCCAGGAGTCTGGAGGCTGGTTCCAGTCCCACCTCTGCTGCAGACACTGTCACCTGTCATGGGCTCCCTTGGCCCCTCACGCTGTTTAAGAGCCTGGTGCTCTGGCCTCTCCCAGTCTCAGCCTTCTCCCTCCTCGGCCTTTTTTTCTGTGTTCCCAACTCCCCCATGCTTATTCCTGGAACCTACTGTGCTCTCTGCAGTTTCCTGAACTTGCCAGGCTGTTCCTCAGCCCCGGTCTTTTGTGTGTGCAAATTCTCGTCCTGGCGTGCCCTTTCTTGACCCAGCCCTCTTTGGGATTCTTATTCTTTATTCATGGCGTAGCAGAGCTATCACTTGCTCTGTGAAGGCTTGACGGATCCCCAGAACAGGCAAGGTGTGCCCTCTAAGTGTTCCTGGGAACATCATCGTATCATCTGCTATTATCACATGGGAATAACAGTGTCTTCGTCATAGGGCTTCCATGTCAGTGTAGTTACAACCCACTTCCCACACTGAGGTGAATTGGGGATGGTACGCCTTTTAGAAAGCTCACACCCACTGCCCCTCAGAGAATGGGATGGAGGGGGTGTGTGGGGCAGAGGGACCCCAGGCAGGGAAGAAGGTGAGAGGCTGTTTCAGGATCTCTACTGCAACCCAATTTCTGTCTCTCCGCAGAGAACTCGATTTCCACTTCCCCAAATTTTCCATTTCTAGAACCTGCAGACTGGAGATGCTCCTCCCATGAGTGACTGTGGGTGGAGGCTTCCCTGGGCAGCCTGGACTGAACATTTCTAAAGTAAGTTGGGGATGGTGTGTTCAGAGGGCCTCTTATTGTCTTTTGACGAACACTGGAGAGAGATGTCCAGGACCTCCTTAAAGACAGGAGACGCTGTTTCCTTTAACTTTGCAAGTTGCTATTTGCTTCCTTGCATTTATTCCATGACTACAACCTGCTTTGTTAAAACACTGGGGATCCCAAAGGAAATAAGGAAAGGGAAGGCAGTAAATATGCAAATCATGTTCCCACGTTGGAAGTGCAGAGGATGCTTCCTGGGGAGGTCACTCATGCTTTTAGACCTAAAATACAAGCTATGTTAAAAAAAAAAAAAAAGGACTGACAGGGAACTTGGGGAATAGCTTGGTCCTCAGGGAACTGAAGGTTTCCAAGTGTTCCATGATCTAGTCATCACCCTCCTGTCCAGACTACGTCTCCTACTCTTCATAGCGTCCTGCTGGACTGAACTTCACGGCATCCTACATGTCCCCACAGTTTTCACCTTCTTACTTTGGCTCAGACTTTTTATTTTTAAACCACCCAAAACGTTCTCCCCAAGGCCTTGCACAAATGTTACCTCCTCCATGAAGGTTTCTCTGCTCTTATCCTTCACCCCCACACTCAAAGCAGAAAGAAATCTCTCCTGATAACTTTCCACTCTTGCTTTCTTTATCTGTCTTATCTTCCCGATCAAATGATGAGCTTCTTCAAAGTCAGTCCAATCCATGTTTCTATCCCCTACCATCCCTGGCACAGTGGAGTGCACAGCATTGGTACTCAATAAATGCACACGGAATAAATTCATGAATACACGAGTAATGGAATGAGAGAGGATAAGTTAGCAAAATTAAGTGAATGAAAGAAAAAGTCAATAATGGTTGGGTGAAAGAGTAGTTGGATGAATGCATGGATGAATGGATGGAGAAATGGGTGGATGGACAGATAGATGCTGGTGTGATATTCAAAATATACTGCAACCAGTATAATGCAGATGCCAGCCATAAAAATGGATGTAGGTGAGGAGATTGGTGATTGGATGCATGAATAGGTGAATAGCGAATAGCTGGAATCATAGATAGAAAGATGCATGGGTAGCAAGGTGCATGGATGATGCGTGGATGGGTGGGTAAGTGAGTGGTGCATGGACAACTATGTGAATACATGAGTGGTGCATGCAGAGATAAGTAGATGGCTGAGAGGGTGTGGAGTATGATTGGCTGGCTGGCTGGTTGAATGGATCAATGATGGGTGGACAACAGTCAGACAGGAGTATGTAAGAGTAGTAGATGGATAGTGGATTTTTTAAAGGGTAGTTAGCAGAATCACTGACTGGGTAAGTGAATAGATGGATACATATGGGGTTAAGTAACAGAATAAAAAAAATTGGTCCCAACATAAAGGCCTGGTTTGTCCCTCCTATGGGTGGCTTGATGATTCTATAATTTTCCTTGCAGGTCACTCATAAGGCCATGATGACGCTGGATGAGAGGGGCTCTGAAGCTGCTGCAGCCACCAGCATTCAGCTCACCCCTGGGCCTCGCCCAGACCTTGACTTCCCACCCACTCTGGGCACTGAGTTCAGTCGGCCCTTCCTGGTGATGACTTTCCACACGGAAACAGGAAGCATGCTTTTTCTGGAGAAGATTGTAAACCCACTGGGATAACGCCCCCTCAGACATGCTGGGTGACTCAGAGAGAACAGAATGGCCTACACAGCAGGGAGCTTCTATTACAGCCTCAAGTTTAAGGAAAAGTTGCATATACCTGAGTTCTTTTGCTTGGTTTCCACAGGAACCAAGTGGGTAAGGATAGTAATGGTGATCAAGGCTGTTCTCCCTGCACACAGGCAGTAATTACCATTGAGCAAACACCTACTATGTACCAAATGCTTTCTATCTCTTATCTCATTTTAAAATGAATTACAACAACAATCCAACAAAATAAGTATTTGGTTGAACCATATGAAATTGCTTATATTTGGGTTGTACCTATATTTTGTAGATATAAAAAAAAGGCAACTTCTTATGATTCAACCCTTCTCATAGCTGAGGATCAGAGAATTTCAGAGACGTGCTCAAGTTCACTGAGCTAGAAAGCAGGCGAGCTGCATTCCAGTCTTATCCATTTTGCTAAATTAATGAATCTCAAACTTTACTATATGCACAAATTCCCTGTGGGTCTTTTTAAAAAGCACATTTTGAATCAACAGGTCTGGGATGGGGCCTGAGGTCCCATACTTCTCACAAGGTCCCAGTGATGCTGAGGCTGCTGGTAGAGTGGCTACATGTTGAGCAGCAGGTTGCTAAATGCACTTGCCCCCATGATCCTCAGAGAGGTTAAGTTGGTGTGGCCTGCAGGGCAGGGGAGTGGCACTGGCCCCTTAATCTATGTGTGGGGCTGAGAAAAATATGAGCAACACCTTTTTGAAGCCTACAGACAAAGCCTGTTTTAGGGTTACCTATTAATGAGTAGAAAGGGAAAAATGAGTATCCTGAAGATTTTTTGCCCAGTCTAGACACACAGTGGGTATTTGTAACTGTCTGTACCCACTGTATTAGTCTGCTCTCATGCTGCTAATAAAGACATACCCAAGACTGGGTAATTTATATATATATATAAAAGAGGTTTAATAGACTCACAGTTCCACATGGCTGGGGAAGCCTCACAATCATGGTGGAAGGTGAACGAGAAGAAAGGCATGTCTTACATGGCGGCAGGCAAGAATGTGTGTGCAGGGGAACTGCCCGTTATGACACCATCAGATCTCATGAGACTTATTCACTATAATGAGAACAGCATGGGAAAAACCTCCCGCCAGGTCCCTCCCATGACTCATGGGGATTATTACAATTCAAGGTGAGATTTGGGTGGGGACACAGGGCCAAACCATATCATCCTCCATGTAAGTTACTGCAACTGTGACTTTGGCTGTCAGCTGGCTCATGTTCCTGGATTTCCAACTGCACAAAAGAAGGAACCCACACAAGCTTTAGGGCCAGGCACATCTGAGACCAAATCTTGAATCTGGTGCAAAGCAGGTTCACTGTGCACTGGTGACCAACTTGCCTGAGTCCAGTGAGACCCACACATGAGTTACATGAAGTGGGTTTATTACTGACAGATGGGCAGCAAAGGATAACAGAAGCCTAGGATTCATTGCAAGCTGGGTCCCCAAGGCTCAGGAAAGCTGCCTGGGGAACATGGGGTCTTATCTGTGTGGGCTCCATTTGCACAGCAGCTGAGGAACCCCAGAAGGCAGCCCACCCTGAGTGTCTTAGTCTGTTTGTTTTTCTATATGGGAATACCTGAGGCTGGGTAATTTATAAAGAAAAGAAGCTTATTTGACTGACAGCTCTGCAGGCTGTACAAGAAGCATGGCATCAGCATCTACTTTTGTTTGGGGCATCAGGCTGCTTCCACTCATGGTGGAAGACAAGGGAAGCCATCATGTGCAGAGATCTCATGGTGGGAGAGCAGAAGCCAGTGAGAGGGGAGGGAGGCACCAGGCTCTTTCTTTCTTTCTTTCATTCTTTTTTTTTTTTTTTTTTTTTGATACAGTGTTGCTCTGTTGCCCAGGCTGGAGTGCAGTAGCATGATCACAGTTCACTGCAGACTCAACCTCCTAGGCTTAAACAATCTTCACACCTCAGCCTCTGGGTAGCTGGGACTACAAGCACATACCACCATGCCTGGCTAATTTCTTATGGCGTTTTGCCATGTTGGCCAGGCTACACCAGGCTCTTTTTAACATTGGTGCTCTCAGAAACTGAGTGAGAACTCACTTACTTCCACAAAAATGGCACCAAGCCATTCATGAAGGATCTGCCCCCATGATCCAAACAGGATCCCAGCAGTCCCTACCTCCAGCATTGGGAATCGAACCTCGACATGAGACATGGCAGGGCCAGACAAACCATATGCAATCCGTAGCACTGGGTTTTACACCCAGGGGCAACAGGACTTGCTGGGCTAAAGTGTTGAAGGACACCATGTTTCTAGGGAGGATGGGAACAGAGCCTGGGCTGTTCTGGCCAGTCCTTCCCTATCTCAGGATATTGTATTCCCAGCCCATGCTGCAGTTATTCTTGAGAACTACAAATGAGAAAGAAGTGGGGGAGAACTGGATCATCCAAGGCCGCCTGGAGAAATGCCCTGCACCTGGCTCTCACTAGACGCCCCTTCTAGAGCCTTACCAAAGACAGTAGGCAGGCACAAGGAACCATGCTGAGTGCTGGTCAAGGAGCCAGGCCTGCATGAGCCCAACTAACCTTCATTTTGCATTCTACATTTTTGCAAGAGATAAAACTTGTTTTTATTTTCTCCTCTCCAATGAGAAGGTGCCCACGAAGTACCAATGAGTCAATAAAATTAGACTCCCACAGAAGGGGGCAGTCCTGGAGTCGCCGGGGATAATACCCCTGAGAAGGTGGAGTGAGCAGCCCCAGTGTACAAGAAAACAGGTGTCTTACCTTTTGTTTTGTGAGGGTTTCCAATGAAAGGATCCCAAACTCAAATGCCTATTGGGGCAGGTGGGCAGTAGGCAGTGATTAGAAAAGGAAAACAACAGCACAAGTTCAGTCATGACCTGGGCCTCTGTGAGGGGATGAAGTGCTGGTAACTCAATGCTCTTTCCTCCTCCCTCCCTGGCTTAAGGGACTCTGTCCCCTCTGTCTCTCAGATCCGGCCAACCCCGTGCTCCCCATTCACACTGTAAGGGATGATCTGGTCCAATGCCCTGGTATGAACCCAGGTGCCCACAATACCAAAGCCAGGAGGGGGCTGTTAGCTGTCTGACAATGTGACTCTCAGTCCCGTGATTCCAAATTCCTGAAACGAGGAAGCCCAAAGGCTGGCCCACCACCTGGGACAAGAAAGCACACCAGCAGCACTGGCAACATTGGAACAGGAGATCCTGCCGCACACAGGAGTGCCAACGCCATCCCTGTCCTCAAGGAGCCCATGGCAGAGAGAGGAGGATTGTGCCATGCACAACCAGCCAGAATGCAAGGCAATTACAGCTGTGACAGAGGGGACCAGAGGACAGATTTCAGTTCGCAAAGGATGAAGGAAGTAGGGTAGCATGCCAGAAAGACCCTGGCAGTGGGGGGTACCAGGTGCAACTTGATGCCACCACGAGCCGTGTGAACTTAAGGAGGTGACTTTCTCTCTCGGAGCCTCAGTCCCCCATCTGCCAGGAGCTGTTACAGAACATGACATGTATTCATGCAGTCCTCATGGCAACTCGGTGTGGGGGCTCCTTGCATTCGACAATTGAGGAAACTCAGGGACAGAGAGGCTAAGAAACTTCCTCTTCCAAGTCTCCCGCATGGAAGTGATGTCTGCCTCCCAAATCTCATAGCACCCTCCACACCTCTTCTGAGCCCTGAGCCCTCTCTTTCATGCATTTTGGTTTTAGTCTCTGCCTTTCATGCCTGCAGCAGATCGAACCATGTCTGAGCCACCTCTGGATCTTTTAGGCGCGAAGGCAGTGGGTGATCAGGGCCTGGCTGGCTGGAACACCAGCAGACCTGGATTGTTCTAATAATAGAGCAGAGAAGAGAGGTTGGGGGAGAAAAGGAAAGGAACAGTAAGACATACAGAGACACACACACACACACACACAGACACACACACAGGAACACACACACAGAGACACAGACACAGACATACACACACACAGAGACACAGACACACACACACAGAAATACACACAGAGAGACACACAGACACACACACAGACACACAGATATACACACAGAGACACACTCACAGACACACACACATATACAAACACAGACACACAGATATACATACAGAGACACACTCACAGACACACACACATATACACACACAGACACACACAGACACACAGACACACACACAGAGACACACACACAGAGACACACAGACACAGAGCCACACACACAGAGACACACACAGACACACACACAGGCACACAGACACAGGCACACACACAGAGACACACACAGACACACACACAGAGACACACACAGAGACACACACAGAGACACAGAAACAGAGACACAGACACACAGAGACACAGACATACAGACAACACAGACACACACACAGAGGCACACACACACAGACACAGACACACACACAGACAGACACAGACACACACAGAGACACATACAGAGACACAGATACACACACAGACATAAACACACACAGACACACACACAGAGGCACAGACATACACATAGACACACACACACACAGAGAGACACACACACACAGAGACATACACACAGATGCACAGACATACACAGAGGCACACACAGAGACACACACAGACACACACAGAGACACAGAAACACACACACACACAGACACACACACACACAGAGCGGCCTGGGGAAAGGGGGAAAGCGGAGCCCAGGGAGGCGCCGAGGAAGGCAGCCGGGAGACAGGAGAGAACATTTCACAGGCCCCCAAAGCGGAGCAGAAGAAATTGTTTCCAGAGGCCATTTAGAGCTGCCCCCCTCCCGCCTCTACAGCCCTGTCACTTAGCAGGTCTAGAGGTCCCCTTGCAGCTGCCAGGACTGGGTGGAGGGAGGGCAAGCAGGGCAGGGCAGACAGGGCCTGCTGGAGAAAATCTCACCAAACCAGGCTTGGCATCCGTGTCCCCCATGGCCCTGTGCCTGGGGGGTGGGGGGGTTGTTGGGGGGGGGTGGCAGAGAAAAGTGGTCCAATATGGCTGGTCTGCACACGCCCCAGATGCCCACAGGCTCATTAGGAGAGGCCAGATGGGTAACCCGAGAGCCCTGAAAATGTGGCCTTTAGAACTGCCGACTCTATGCTCTCCAAAAGGGAGCTCTGTCTGCTGGATCCCAGGTAGGTCAAAGTAAAACACAAAAAGCTTGTATCTGCTCTGGAGGAAACACATTGTGAAGGAAAGAAATCCCCCCAAATTTCTCTCTGATTTTTCTTTTATTGTTGTAAAAGGATTTAACATGGATCTACCCTTTAATAATTTTTCTTTTCACAGACAGGGTCTCGCTCTGTCATCCAGGCTGGAGTGCAGTGGTGGGATCATAGCTCGCTTCAGCCTCAAACTCCTGGGCTCAGACGATCCTCTTATCTCAGTCTTCCAAGCAGCTGAGACTACAGGTGTGCATCACCACACCTGGCCAATTAAAAAAAAAAAAAAAACAGTAGAGATGGGATCTTACTATGTTGCTCAGGTTCCCTTTTACGAATTTTTAAGCGCACGATACAGGATTGTTTTCATGCACGAGGTTGCACAGCATATCTCTAAAACTTCTTCATCTTGTATAACTAGAAGTTTTATCTGTTGAATCACACTGCCTCAGTTCCCCCTCCCTCCAGCACCTGGCAACCAGCATTCTACTCTGCTTCTATGAGTTCAGCTGTCTTACAACCTCACATAAGTGGAATCATGCAGTCCATGTCCTTCTGTGATTGGCTTGTTTCTCTCATCATAATGTCCCCCAAGTTCATCCACATTGTCATATATTTCAGGATTTCCTTTTTTTTAAAGGCCCAATAATAATTGATCATACGTATATAGTGAAGAAGCCATCTAAAGACTGGGAGAAAATATTTGCAAACTATACATCTGATAAGGGGTTAATATCAAAAATACATTAATCAATAGCAAAAAAACAAAACAAATAACCCAATTAAAAAATGCGTAAAGAACTTGAATAGAGACCAGGCACAGCAGCCCATGCCTATAATTCTAGCACTTTGGGAGGCTGAGGTGGGAGAATCACTTGAGCTCAGGAGTTTGAGACTAGCCTGGGCAATGTAGCAAGACCCCATCTCTACCAACAATGAAAAGATTAGTCAGGTGTGGTGATGCACGGCTGTAGTGCCAGCTACTTGGGAGGCTGAGGTAGGAGGATCACTTAAGCCCAGGAGTTCAGGGCTGCAGTGAGCGACGATCATGCCACTGCACCCCAGCCTGGGTGACAAAGTGAGACCCTGTCTCAAAGCAAACAAAACAAAACAAAACTTGAAGAGACATTTCTCCAAAGAATACATACAAATGGCCAACGGGTATGTGAAAAGATGCTCAGCATCACTCATCGCCAGGGAAACGCAGATCAAACCACAAAGAAGTATCACCTTGTTAGGGACCATTATTTTAAAAAATATTGGTGGGGTGGTGAAGAAATTGGAACGCTTGAACACCGTCAGTGGGAAGGTAAAATGGTTTCGCTGCTAGAAAAACCAGTATGGCAGTCCCTCAGAATGTTAAAAATAGAACTGCCGCATGATCCAGCATCCCCACTTCTGGATATTGATCCAGAAGAATTCACAGCAGGATCTAGGAGAAACATTTGCTCCCCGTGTTTATCGCAGCATTATTCACAAGAGCCAAGACTGGGAAGCAGATGTCCGTCAGCAGATGAATGGATTATGAATTCTTCTCATACATTTTCTCCTTCAGTCTTCACCACCCAATGTTAGAGAGGGGAAAGATCCCAAGACCATCTGCCCCTGGGCTTTTCAAACAGTGCTTGAGGGGAAGACCACGGAGGACGATGGGGCAGAGGGGGCCTGCTGGGAGTATCAAAGTCCCCATCCTGCTCCAAGCTGGGCAAATCTGTTGTTGAAGATTTTATTTTACTTACTATTTATGTATTTATTTTTGAGACAGGGTCTCACTCTGTCACCCAGGCTGGAGTGCAGTGGTACCATCATGGCTCACTGCAACCTCTGCCTCCTGGGCTCAAGTAATCCTCCCACCTCAGCCTCCTGAGGAACTGGGACTACAGGCATGCACCACCACACCCAGTTAATTTTTGTATTTTTTTTTTTAGGGACGGGGTTTTACCACATTGCCCATGCTGGTCTCGAACTCCTGAGCTCACACGATCCACCCGCCTCGGCCTCCCAAAGTGTTGAGATTACAGGCTGGAGCCACCAACCCTGGCCAAAGATTTTAACTGAGCTGCTAAAAATATTTTAAATTTAAAACATCCTATGATCATATTGTATAACTCACTATTTCCCAGGGAGCAGAAAGTGGCTGTTAATGTCACCAGGCCTCATGACAAAGTGGATAAGAACCTGGCCTGGGAACATGGGCCTCTGAGTCAGGGGGCCTTGGGTTCTTGCCTGAATGCTGCCGTTGTCTAGCTGTGTAACCTTGGGCGTCCTGCCGAAATGGCTTCCTCCCTCCCTTGTGGACTGGGATACTACAGCCTCCTTCATGGGGTTGTTGATACAGTAAAACGAGTCACTAACCCCGAAGCACTTAGGAGCATGTGGGGCACAGGCAGCCTGGGGAGGCACCAGCTGCTGTGTCCTTCACAGAGGACCCTGGAGACCCTGGAGACGTCGTGCTGCTTAGCTACAGGACCACAGACAGCTCCCTTCTCTCACTCACCCACTGTCTTGTCATGTGCTCAGCGAGGACATGGGTCTAAAGCAGTGGGTCCTCACCTAGGCTCCACAGCAAAGTCATCTGGGAGGTGTTGCAGTGAGACTGACCCCAGCTCTCACTCCCACAGTCTCTGACATCATTGCTCTGGAGCGGGCCAGGGCATCCGTGTTTTGTATAAGTTCTCTGGCAATTCTCTTGTGCAACCGCAACTGAGAACCACGGCTCTAGCTCATTATAAACCCCTTCCCAGTTCTGAAACTCTGTGGCTGGACTGAGCTTGATTCCAAAAGTCTCTGAAAAGTACCTCATGTGTTTGGAGCACTGAGTTAGGTCCCTGGCCTAGTGACGTCTCATTGCCTGGGAAAGGCTTGATGTGGCTGCAGCTGGGAGTTTTCAAATGAGATGCCTTTCTTTTCTTAATATTAAACTGCCTGTCTCCATCTTGCCAACTTTTCAAATAAGCTAATTTTGTAAACAGTAGCCATACAGCTGAAATTTATTGTCCCACAATAACTATAGGTTAAATACAAGAAAGAAATTGTCTTTGGGCAACTGTGACTTACCCTTATGTTGACACTGGGTCATGCCCATTCTACTCTATCTTTGCCTTCAGTTTAATAATTTTTTTAAAAGATTGGAGACATTAATAGCTTTCACATATACAAAAAATAACGAAATAAGAGGGAAAAAGAAAAGGAGAAGGAGAAGAAGAAAAAGAAGAAGAGGGACAAGGAAAGGAAGAAAGAGGAGGAGGAGCAGGAAGAAAAAAGGAAGAAGAAAAAAAGGAAGGACTGCTTTTTATACAATAGCAATGATGATGGCAAATAAAATACTAAGCACAAACTTGAGAATTATGCAAGCTCTAGGCAGAGGAAAAATTTTAAAAGCTGCAAAAGAACAAAAGGAATGCTTGAATAAATAAAAAGGCACATTGTAACCTTGGATGGGAATACTCCACATCGTAAAGACGTCAGTTCTTCCTAAGTTGGGATATAAATTTAACAGGAACTTAATAGAAACACCAGTAAGTATTCTTGGTCTTACGCGTGCACGCGCGCGCACGCGCGCACACACACACACACACACACACACATACACACACACACTGGGGGTGGGAGGTGGACAGGCTGAAACAAGAGAGAGATGAAATGATTTTAACTAGACAAAATGAATCTAAAATGCATATAAAAACAAAATAAGCAAGAATAGTAAAATCTGAAAAAAAGACTATTGGAGGAGGGCTAGACATATAAGATATCAAAACATATTCTGAAACCTCTAATAAGTTATAAATAATAAAATTATAATTTATTAATTATATAATGGATAATTAAAACTAGATGGCACATGAATAAAAAGACTGATCAATGGAACAAAATAAGAAATCTGTAAATGGTCCCAGATACATAGTAGAATTTAGAATATTATACAAAAAGTTATTTCAAAACAGTGGAGAAAAAGTGGATTTGCCATTAACTAGAACTGAGACAATAAAGTTGTCATGTGGAAATGAAATATTGGATTCATAATTTTTGTTAGTAATCACTGGAACTGTTTACAAGGATTCCAGTGTTCTTCTCCTTCTCAGCATGTGATTTGCTTTGATTAATGAAATATGGGGGGAGCATGTCACTTCTAGGAGGAAACCTTTAGGAGCCAGGGCATGGTTCACCATCTCCCTGTGCCTCTCCTGCAGTGACCAACAATGTTCCCAGTGATGTGTTCTGTCAGCCTGGGTCCCTAAGCCCCCTGCTAATAAAAAATGAACAGAGAACATGAGTAAGAAGTTAGCTTTTGTTTATTTCAAATATGATGATGTGGAGATTCTTTGTTACTGCAGCACAACTTATCCTAACTGATGCAGTCACAGCATCATATTTCAGTTCCATTTCATAGACATCAAAGATTTAAATAAAAGACAACGTAAACTAAAAGTACTAGAAGTTACCAGAGAACCATTTAAAACCTTGGAGTAAGAGGCCGGGCGCGGTGGCTCACACCTGTAATCCCAGCACTTTGGGAGGCCGAGGCTGGCAGATCACGAGGTCAGGAGATCGAGACCATCCTGGCTAACACGGTGAAACCCCGTCTGTACTAAAAATATAAAAATTAGCCTGGCGAGGTGGCAGGCGCCTGTAGTCCCAGCTACTCGGGAGGCTGAGGCAGGAGAATGGCGTGAACCCCATGGGGTGGAGCCTGCAGTGAGCCGAGATCGCACCACTGCACTCCAGCCTGGGCAACAGCGAGACTCTGTCTCAAAAAAATAAATAAATAGATAAATAAATAAATAAATAAAATAAAATAAAACCTTGGAGTAAGAAATGCGTAAGAAATAAAACCCAAAGGCCATTTTTTTCCAATATTTTTAAGTATGTATAAATTTTTTAAGATTCTACACGACAAATACTATGGGAAGCAGAATGAAAATAAAAGGAAAAACTGAAGGAAATACTTACAGCTTAAAAAGGGATTAATTCCATATATTTGATAGTATATATTGCATATATGTATATATTGTATAACCAAATATATGGAATTAATCATCCTACGTGTATATATATATATAATTTATATATATATGAGCAAAAATATTGATTGTTCATAATAAAGAAAATAAGTTGGCTCTCAAACATATAAAAATATACTCAACTTTACTCAAGTTAGGAGAAAAGCAAATTAAACTACAAATGAAATCCTGTTTTACCTGTCAGATTGGTGAAGATTAAAAAAAAGGCATGCTGTATGGATAAGAGTGTGGGAAACACGGACTTTCATATATTCCTTGGGGAAGTATATAGATATCCCTCCACAGAGGAATGTCTGATTATATCTCTCAAAATAAGCGCATATGCCCTTTGTCCCAGAAATTCAATTTCTAAGAATTTATTCCATAGGTAAATCTATACAGGTGAGAAATAATATATATACAGAGTATTCATTGCAGCATCATTTGAAATTGCAGGAAAAAAAAGGTAAGAAATTATTTTAAGCTCTCCCTCTCCCTCTCCCCTCTTTCCACGGTCTCCCTCTGATGCCGAGCCAAAGCTGGACTGTACTGCTGCCATCTCGGCTCACTGCAACCTCCCTGCCTGATTCTCCTGCCTCAGCCTGCCGAGTGCCTGCGATTGCAGGCGCGCGCCGCCACGCCTGACTGGTTTTCGTATTTTTTTGGTGGAGACGGGGTTTCGCTGTGTTGGCCGGGCTGGTCTCCAGCTCCTAAGAGCGAGTGATCCGCCAGCCTCGGCCTCCCGAGGTGCCGGGATTGCAGACGGAGTCTGGTTCACTCAGTGCTCAATGGTGCCCAGGCTGGAGCGCAGTGGCGTGATCTCGGCTGGCTACAACCTCCACCTCCCACCCGCCTGCCTTGGCCTCCCAAAGTGCCGAGATTGCAGCCTCCGCCCGGCCGCCACCCCATCTGGGAAGTGAGGAGCGTCTCTGCCTGGCCGCCCATTGTCTGGGACGTGAGGAGCCCCTCTGCCTGGCTGCCCAGTCTGGAAAGTGAGGAGCGTCTCTGCCCCGCCGCCATCCCATCTAGGAAGTGAGGAGCGTCTCTGCCTGGCCGCCCATCATCTGAGATGTGGGGAGCGCCTTTGCCCCGCCGCCCCGTCTGGGATGTGAGGAGCGCCTCTGCCCGGCCGCGACCCCGTCTGGGAGGTGAGGAGCATCTCTGCCTGGCCGCCCCGTCTGAGAAGTGAGGAGCCTCTCCGCCCGGCAGCCACCCCGTCTGGGAAGTGAGGAGCGTCTCCGCCCGGCAGCCACCCCGTCCGGGAGGGAGGTGGGGGTCAGCCCCCGCCAGTCCAGCCGCCCCGTCCGGGAGGGAGGTGGGGGGGGTCAGCCCCCCGCCCGGCCAGCCGCCCCGTCCGGGAGGTGAGGGGCGCCTCTGCCCGGCCGCCCCTACTGGGAAGTGAGGAGCCCCTCTGCCCGGCCACCACCCCGTCTGGGAGGTGTACCCAACAGCTCATTGAGAACGGGCCATGATGACAATGGCGGTTTTGTGGAATAGAAAGGGGGGAAAGGTGGGGAAAAGATTGAGAAATCGGATGGTTGCCGTGTCTGTGTAGAAAGAGGTAGACATGGGAGACTTTTCATTTTGTTCTGTACTAAGAAAAATTCTTCTGCCTTGTGATCCTGTTGATCTGTGACCTTACCTCCAACCCTGTGCCCTCTGAAACATGTGCTGTGTCCACTCAGGGTTAAATGGATTAAGGGCGGTGCAAGATGTGCTTTGTTAAACAGATGCTTGAAGGCAGCATGCTCCTTAAGAGTCATCACCAATCCCTAATCTCAAGTACCCAGGGACACAAACACTGCGGAAGGCCGCAGGGTCCTCTGCCTAGGAAAACCAGAGACCTTTGTTCACTTGTTTATCTGCTGACCTTCCCTCCACTATTGTCCTATGACCCTGCCAAATACCCCTCTGCGAGAAACACCCAAGAATGATCAATAAAAAAAAAAAAAAAAGAAATTATTTTAAAAAAAGAAACAAAGTAAAAAGAAAGCAAACAACTCAAATACTCATTAATAAACAGCTGTTTATATAACAATGGTCCATGTATATGATGAAATACGATGCAGACAGAAAGAATCAGTAAACTCTTTGGGATTCTTTGTGATCTTATATAGAAAGACCACCATAAAATATTAAACACACCAGAAGAGCAAAGTGAAGAACAGAGTGAATATTATGCTACCTTTTATATGTGAATAAAATATTTCTGGAAAAAAAGTTCAAGCTGCTTATAACGTGTTTGCCTTGGGGAAGTGACCTGGGTGCCTGGGAGAGATTTGGAGGCAGACTTTACTGTATTCCTTTAATGAATTTTGAATTTTGAACCATATTAATTACATTACCTCTTTAAAAATTACGTTACCTATTTAAAGAACAACTTTAAATAAGAGAGAGAATGAAAAATCTCTCTGAATGTAACTAGCCCTTCTAGAGTTTCCCAGCACAAGACCACAGCTAGGACCCATCAGACAATGAAATTAAGTGTTTATGTGTTTCTGAGTATTGGAAACAATTATGTAACCCTAGATGCAATTGAAATCTCATACCAAGAAGTTTCAAGGCATTTGGCCATAATTTCCCACTGCATTGAGTTTTGTATATTTCAGAATTGAAAGACATTTCTTTAGAAAAATCTAAGACCAAAATTTTTTCAAGAGGTCAACTCTAATTCCATTTCAGCCAAGAGGTTTCCCTGCCTTGATTAAAGCCATCAAATTGTTCCACAATGGCAATCACGTTTTGTGTCTTCTTATCTTAGAAGATCCCGTAAAGATTTCACTCACAGCTTCCTTCCCAACAGAGAAAGCTTAAAAAGGTCTTTGTCCAAGTGAATTTTCTATTCTTCTAAACTGCTCATTTCAGGCCAGACATGGTGGCTCATGCCTGTAATCTCAACATTTTGGGAAGCCAAGACAGGAGGATCACTTGACTCCGGGAGGTCGAGACCAGCCTGGTCAACATAGTGAGACCCCCATCTCTACAAAAAAATAAACAAAATTAACTGGGCCTGGTGGTGAATGCCTGTATTCTCAGCTACTTGGGAGACTGAGGTGGGAAGATTGCTTGAGACCAGGAGGGCAAGGCTGCAGTGAGCTGAGACTGAGACACTGCATTCCAGCCTGGGAGACAGAGTGAGACTGTCTCAAAAACAAAAACTCAGTCATTTCATGGTAAGAATTACCAATCCGGGATCACTTGGGAAGGGTGATGATGACACATCAGCTATCTATGACGCTCCAATGGTGGGTGGGGGACAAAATTGGGCCTCCCTCTCAAAGGTCCACTGAGCCCTACATTGCATATTCTGGGAAAGTTGTACATTGGGTCAGCCTGAGAAGAAGCTTTAAATCAGGAAGATCTAGATTTGAATCCATGCTTCATTTAGGGATTTACGCAGAAAGAATCCCAGGATTTCTGTCTCCCCACACAGAACTCTTTCCTTCTCTAAGTGCCTGCCTGTCTGTGGATGACATGATGAGGTTTGAATCATGCAGTTGATCTTTTTGGAAACCTAGCATGCAGCAGCCTGCATAAACTTTCCACTGGCACCTCATCCACCGCCCTACACGAAGCACCTCATCTCATTAATTTCTCGCCTTCCCAACCTGCCTCCAGCTTCCAAGATACATTCCAGAATGAATTCATCATATTCAAAATGTCGTTACCTTGTCTTTCTCTTGGAAGGAGTGTCTCATTAATTGCCCTGGCCAGGTAATCTTGCTCTCTGACAAGCTCCCATCAGCCTTCGCTGGGAAATTCCCAGTCCCTTTGCTGGGAAACTTGAATCTGGAACAAATCTAGATACTCCCACGTTGCCCCTAAAGAGGCTGCCTCCAACTCAGGCCCACTCCTTGCTGAGCTGACAAGCAGAAGCCAAGAAAGGGTCATTGCTACTGAATCTTGCATTGCTGGAGAGAGAAACTGGTCACCTCAAAGGATTTCTTGATCTGTGAGCCTCAAGAGAACCTCGAACTGTGGCAGTTTCCTATGGAAACACTGGTTCATTGGCAGCATCATGAGCCCTACAGAGGCAAGAATAAGGCCCTGGGAATGCTTCTCCTGGTGGAGAGAGGATGCTCTGGGTGGGAGAAGTCTTTGTCCAGACTATCTGTCATGAGAAAGAAGGACCTGATTGGTTTCTAGGGGACTTGTAGGAAGATGCAGGACCTGGAAGCAGAAGAGCTTTGTAATGGTCCAGCTGCCACGCAAAGGAAGGGGTAGTTTGGGGTCTCCCCGAATGATTTCAATCCAGGACTCAAGAAACATATGTTGAAGATGTACTAGAGATGGCTTGAAATGAGGTGGGGGAGCTCATGGTCAAAAGCAAGCTTCCTGGATACACTCTCAGCACCTACTTCCTAAGAGCTGGTATGAGAGTTAAAGCAGGTAGTGCTCTAAGCCACAGCTGTAACCACAGTTAGAGTGGCAGGGTGATTTCTTGACATACAAACTTAGGTTTTGCCATCTTTGCATCTCCCTTAACCTTTCCCAAGAAGTAACCTGGTCTAAGTTTGTTTTATATTATTCTTTGGCAGTGGGGAGAGGGGTGAGGAGTGTTTGTATTTTAAGGTTGAATTCAGAAAGTCATGGTCTTGGAGAAATGAGGTGGGAGAAGGAAGAGCAGGAAGAAAGAAAGGTAGATTTCCCAAGGCTGGGGAGGAGGTGGTGCTCTGTGGCTCCACTAGGAGTGAGGACCTATTTCCTGCTCACTGGTCACTCAGAGGCTGTCAGATGGCCTGGGTTCCCTTACCTCAGAAAAATCACCCATTTCCAAGCTTGCCACAACAGTAGTAGAGCCATCTGCCATCACAGAACCCACAGCACCCAGTTGGGGTGCTTTGGGCTGCAAGTAATAGAAAACCCAAAAACAAACTGGTTTAACAATAGAAAGATGTTTTCTCACATAACGATTTGGTGAATCTTTTCATCTCATAACTGCCTGCCTCTGGGTGCCAACCTACTTCCCCCTGTGGATGCCAAATGGCTGCAGCAGCTCCAGCAGTCACACACAGACACAACCATATCCAGGAACAGAGGACCCTCTCTTTTAAGGGTCTCTGTTCTTGAGCTCCTGGACTCTCAAAGTGCTAGGATGACAGGCAGGAGCCACTGCACTCAACTGCAAAGAAAGCTTTCCCAGAGACTTCTTCTTCCCCTCTAATGAGGCATGGCAGGGTGACACACAGATTTTAAAACTGCCCCTGGCAAGAGGCTGAGATGGCAACAAGGAATTCTTGTTAAAATGGACACTGGAGAATCAGGCAGCATAACTCTGACAATAAAGATATGGACAAGGAACCTCCCAGAAGCATCATAAGACAGAAGAATTCGTCAAAAGCAAAAAATTTAATAAGCCTCAAATAAGCCTCCTGTATCTTAAACTATGTAGGAAAAAGGGATACCCTACCATACCCATTTCCTGATAATGAATGACTATGAATTTCCAGCCAATTGGATGGGGACTCAGAGCCAGATTAATTTAAATTCAAAAACATAACAAAATGTAACATTTCTTGTATACCTGAGTTGGTAGGGTAAAATAAGTGTCTGCATTGATGATGATGATGATGATACAAAGCAGAAGATGCTGCTTTTCTGATGTCTAACCCTGTTGATTCACATAACATTAACTCCTCCACCCATATGACTCTCTCAAGTTGTTTCATCCACCAGGCTGAACCTACTTGCTCTGAGCTGGCGTTTCTGCCACTCCATTACTCAGCCTCTGCCTTCTGCTTTCTGCCTAGTTCCTCTGGGTCAATGCTACACTTAATATATGTGCTTGGTTATGGATGCAATATGTCCCCCATTCTCTTAGTTCCATCCCCTATGTTGGTCCCACTCACTCCCATCTGTGGACATTTTTGACCCAGTATGGTGTCCAGAAGGGTAATACAGACTCTGATTTGCCCACTTGGAGCACCAAAATCTCAACTAAACTAACCATGTAAGGTGGATGCTTAACTACTCCTGCATACTAAGGTGTTCCCGTAGCATAGATAAACCTCATAACCTCCCCAGTCGTCACTAGTTTGGCAAAAAAGTCTGAGGCATGACCAGCTGCACATGTTTTACCCTGAAAGCTTGCTACATAAAGGGCATTTTATGGAGGGCAGATGTGAGTCCACCATTTCATAGCCGTTTCAGACATGGCTTCTGTTCATAAGTCCTTATTAAATTTTTTTTTCTGAGAAACTGGGTTTCTCAGCCTCTTTCTTCAGCCTCTCAGCTCCCTCGGCCTTTGGAGGTAGGTTTGCATAGACCTACTCACTACAGAACAATGGGCATCTACAGGACAAGGACAAAGCCCTTAGAAGACACCAATGCTGCTGACACCTTGATCTTGAACTTCCAGCCTCCGGAACTGTGAGGAAGTAAAGGTCTGTTGTGTAAGCCACCCAGTCCATGGGGCTTTTTATGGCAGCCCTAGTGCACTAGTATACTGCTGTCATTCATCCACTCAGCAAATTCGTCATACTGTATGCCTCCTCCTTGTCTCTTTTAAAACTTTGGGGATGGTGTTGCCTGATTTGTTGGTCTCTCTGATGTGTGTCTGGTTTGTTCTAGCTTGCTTGCTTTCATCTTTCTTTTTTCATTTTGTTTCCTTTTTCCTTTTCTCTCTCTTCCTTTCTTTCTTTTCTCCTTCCTCCATCTCTCTCTCTCTCTCTCTTTCTCTCATGCAGCACCAATAAGGAGTGCTACAGAATTGATCGTATTTGTCAACAAACAAACAAACAAACAAACAAACAAAAACTTCACTTCCTAAAAGGAACTAAAATTTATTGCCACCGGGCAACTTCTTTGACACTTCCTGTGTAACACATTGAACTTCCTCATGGCACTACTATCTCAGAACCAAGGCTGTTTAATCACTTCAAACCACTATTATAAATTTATTCATGGGCAAGTAATGGAATGATATATTCTCAAAGCCCCTCCTGTCTTCTGAGTCCATGACTCAAGGGGTTTTTGTGGGTGCTAAATGAGATCCAACAGAGTGTCTCACACAGAACCTAGCACATAGTAGGCTCCATAAAATGTAACTATTACTATTATCGTTATTATTATTACCTCATGTCTATGCCATCCCCTCAGACTTAGCACACAGGAGTTGCCTCAGAAAATTTATTTCTATTATTTCCAAGAAAAAAAAAAAACCACGTTCTCTTTCAGTTCCTCCAAAGTAAAGGAAACATGCCAAATGACTTCCAAAAAACAATGACATGACATTTTTATCCCATGCGGTGATGGAAAACCACCTGCCACATTGATGCAATGCCTTCAAGTGCATACAAAGTTTGTTTTTAAATCTTTCTTTAATGTTGAGTCTTGACAAAGAAATTCAACAGGAAGTAGAACAATAAGTAAAAAGCTGCCAAACCAAGAAAAAAATCCTATACTGATGGTAACCCTATCATCAATGGCGTTCTCTCTCACAGTGGAGCAGCGGCCTCACTCACAAGTCCTCAGGGGCTCAGAACGGGTTGCCCAAGAAGCCATCACCCCGGAGAATTGGCTGCCTGGCCTATTCTCAAGGCATCTGCAACGGCTCAGCTCCTCCCGCTCGCCAGGCCCCACTGCCACTCTGGGGCCTCCTCCTGCCCTGCAGAACTCAGGGTTCCCAGTACCTTGGCATAGCTTGTGGTCCAGACCCAGGCCTTTGGGGCCAACCCTGAGGCTGACCAACATTTGGACAGAGATACTCACTCATGGGCTGGCGGAAATCAACATTACTTCTGTTCAGTGCAAGGGCTGAAATCAAACCGGCAGTTTCCCACATGCTACAAATAAAATAAGAGGGAGGAAGCAGGTGAAATGTTCCTCCCCTGTTTTATTTTGAAAAACTGTCAAATACATAGAAAAATGAAAAGGATAGCACAATTAACAACCGTATACTCTTCTTCTAGATTTACCAGTCATTAACATTTTGTCACAACTGCTTTGTCTCCTCTCTCTCTCTCACACACACATGTACACACCCGGTGTATATGTGTGTGTATATACTTTTTTTGCTAACCCATGTGAAAATAAATTACACACATCAAAACACACTACATATAAAAACACGTGCACATATATACATATAGGTATTTACATGCCTACACACATATATATACATATCTGTGATTATACATAGACACAGACACACACACACACAAATGTATTGCAGAAGACAGAGGCAGGCATCTCTGTCTCTGCAGGTTGGGTGCTCAGGGCTTCCCAGTCAACCCTAAAAGTGCCCTCTAACTAACATCGTTCAGGCCCCGTGAAAACAGAAACGTTCCTCCACAGCTCTTGCCTGTGTCATCAAAACAAAGGATAAGTGTGTCCAGATGCTGGGAAGGATTGTGGGTTGTGTCTCTGTTGATTTTGGAGGCAGACAAAATCTGAATATGAGGAGGCTTGAGTGTTTGGGCAAGAGGAAAGACAAATACTTTGACTTCCCAAGTCGTTCCTCTAAGATAGCAAGAATGCAATAGATTCTTACATAATGATGTGTCATTTTCCAGAAGTACACACATTCATTTTCCTGCCTCTTTTTATGTTACAGTTTGTGCTTCTGGAGATACTCACAAATTAGCATAATATTCCCAAACAGTTGCTCATGACAGCTGAGGAATATTTTTCCACATTAAAGAATGCATGTCACCCCTAAATTTGTATAAATGTGGATCTAAACAAACCACATATCAAGTGTGAGATAGACTACTCACCTTGGCAACGACAGTAAAATTGCAAATGGTTTTATAGTTATTAAAATATTTAATAAGATTTAATTAAATTTACAAGTAAATTTTGCTGTATTTGAATAATACTGATTTTAAATGTTATATTTATTATATATTAATATAATTTGCATTTTTCATTTAATAAAAGATTATTTAAAATATTTTTGGAAAATCATAATTTGAAAGTATTTTTAATTTTAACTTTCCGTATTTTTATATTTTTCATTTACATTTTCATGCAAATATATTCACATTTTTTATACTTTGATTTCAATTATTTTATTTTTTTAATCTTTTAGCTCATTACTGTCACTAGAAAATAATATGTGGTAATATTGATTATGGCAATATAATTAGTGATTTTGCTAAAATGAAGGAGTAAAATACTGTCTGAAATAAATACATTCTAATTTAAGAATTTTGTGTTTATATGTTACATTCTTCATCCAAACTTTGACAGTCCATCATCACAAGAGCCAGACATGAACTATAACACTTAGATTCAGTTTTTCTTAAATATTTTGCCAACTTTTAGTCATATGAAAGTCATAGCTTTATAGATTATTTGTTCTGTCATTGTACAAGTATATTTGAGAAGGTAGGATAAAACACATGTTAATTAGTGGTTCCTTAGTTTTATATACGACTTTTTTTGTTTTGTTTTTTAAATTTTTAAAAAATATAAATAGAGATGGGGTCTTGCTATGTTGACCAGGCTGGTCTTGACCTCCTGGCTTCAAGCAATTCTCCCATCTCAGCCTCTCAAAGTGCTGGGATTACAGGTGTGAGCCACCATGCCTGGCCAGTATACAACTCTTAAATGCTTACACATATGGTTTGTGACTTCTATTTATACTTTTATCATAGGGCCTCTATTCTTAGTCTCATAGGTCCCAAAATGTTAGGACAGACCTACACGCAAAGAACTTTGGACACACACAAACCCACATGCATGTATCTCATTTATATAAAATATAAATGTAAAAACAAATAAGGGCCTGGTAAGGCAGCTCATGCCTGTAATCTAAATACTTTGGGAAGCTGAGATGGGAGGATTGCTTGAGGCCAGGAGTTTGAGATCAGCCTGGGAAACACGGCAAGACCTTGTCTCTATGAAAAAATTTGTTTTTAAAAATAGCCATGTGTGGTACATGCTTGTAGTCCCAGCTACTCCACAGGCTAAGGCAGGAGGATCATTTGAGTCCAGGAATTCAAGCCTGCAGTAAGCTATGATCATGTCACTTCCCTCCAGCTTGGGTAATAGAGTAATACCCTGTCTCAAAAAAAGAAAGAAAAAAAAAAAGAAAAAGAAAAAGAAAAACAAGTAAGTATTGGCAAGCCAAAAAAAACCCAAATTCGTTTATAGCAATGTTCTCCAGAACCAAATAGAGAAATTTGAAAGGTAAGTGGTTTAATGGTAGAGAAATTATTAATATAATAAAATCCGTTTTTTAAAAAATGATCCTGACAAATGACACGAGAGCACATGATAAAATTTAATATTCATTCTCAATTTAAATTTCTAAATTTTTTTTAAATTGTGAAAAGTAGAACATCAAACTTAATGTTACATTCCATGGTGACATATTTCAGATATTGTGCTTAAATTTGGAAAAGAAAAGAATGCCAGGGGATATTTTCATTTGTCAACATTGTCCTTGAATTCCCATCTGAGGCGCTTCTGCATAAAGTAGAAATAAGACATATAATTGCGGGAGGAAGAGACAAATTCATGTTATTTGCAGCTGGTATATGTCAAGAAAACCCAAGACAGCCATCTGAAAAGCTATTAAAAATAATCAAGTTTCAATAATATGGCCAGATACATAATAAATATGCCAAAGTCAATAGTTTTTTAATATACTAGTAATAACAGATGAGAAGACATAAGAGAAAAAGAGGTTCCTTCCTTAATAACAATAAAAAATAAAATACCTAGGAATAGCTCTAAAAAGATAATGGAAGAATCCATATGAAGAGAAACATAAAGGTTTAGTGTGGGCTATAAAAGATTTGAGACAATGGAGAGAACATGATCCCGGATAGGACGACTCAATAAGGAAAAGACATCAATTCATCCCAAATTAAATGAAGATCTAATGCGATAGCAACCAAACCAACAGAAGTTTTTTATAACTTGACATAAGTGATTATAAAGTTACTCTTTTAAAAAGTTAAAATAGCCAACAATTTTTCAAAAAGGGTAAAATATAGTCATTTAAGCTTCCATTAAGCTGTAAAACATTATAAATCAATATCAATTAAAAGAGTGTAGTACTTGAGTGATTCAAGAAAAAGCAAAAGTCTATTTCTCCGCAGCTCTTTAATGAGCTTGCCCTTGTCTTCCTCCCTATCTCAAGTTCTGCTATCTCCTCAATAATCCTCAGCACCAGTTCAACAAAATCACAATCTACACATGTCCCCAAGAGACCGCTTGATTTTTTAAATTGGTTTCTGAGTATAAAATTTTATATATTTGGATGGCCAGGCGCGGTGAGGCCATGGCGGGCAGATCACTTGAAGTCAGGAGTTTGAGACCATCCTGACTAACATGGCAAAACCCCATCTTTATTAAAAACACAAAATTATCCAGGCATGGTGGTGGGAGCCTGTCATTCCAGCTACTTGGGAGGTTGAGGCAAGAGAATCACTTGAACCCGGGAGGCGGAGGTTGCAGTGAGCCAAGATCTTGCCGCTACACTCCAGCCTAGGTGATAGAGCAAGATTCCATTTCAAAAAAATGAAAATTAAAATAAAATGTATATATTTGGAAAATTCAAAAATTAGAGTGGTGAAATAGTCATCACTAATATCACTACCTGGAAACAAAACCTGTTATGTTTTTGTAGATGTGTTTCAGGTTTGCTTCCAAGTAAAAAATAAAACACAAATTACATAGCTATTAGCGATAATTAGGATTATGGTGTTTATACAATTTTGGCTTTTTTTCATGAAATAATTATTTTACAGTATTCAAAATGGTCTATCATATGGATATCATATAATATCAAGCAATAGTGTGCTGACAAATGTTTGACAACAGGCTTTTCGGGTGGTGGGCTGGGGAGCCCTATTTGTAGCATTTGCCAGATTCTTTGGTGTAAATGCTCCCATCACGGTCAATTTCAAGATAGTGATGTAACATCACTGAACCTATATACCATTGAAAAGAAACACCCACCATCAACTCTCATGAGACCATGCTAGCCAACTCCAGCACACCACTGATTTTAAGCAACTTTGTTTTGGTGGACATTGAGTTGGGTGAGATATTTTACCATCATAAATAAGTATTGTGGATATTCTCTTATTCCACAAATTAATAGTTCTTATTATTTCAATAACACAGATTCCCAAAAAATAGAATTCCAGATCCAAGAAGACTATCACTTTGAAGCTGTTTATGAATACTGCTAAATTGCCTTCCCAAAATGTATAGATTTACTCCACTATCAATAATATACCTGCCTCACTCTATTCTCCTCAGAAATATGATCATTTCCAAAACAATGTTGACCAATTTCATAGGCCAAAAATGAAAGTTTTACTTGCTCTTTAATTATTTGTGAAATTTAAAATTTTTCACTTTGTTAGCCTTTGTATTTTGTCAGTAAATTCTTTCATCATAGCCTTTGCTTATTTTCCCATTCAATTACTAATTTTTATTGATTTGTAGGGGTTCTTTATATGTTAAATACCTAGTCCTTTGACCTAGTTTGCCAAAAAAGTTTACATTTTTTCTAACTTTTTGATTTTATTTTTTCTTCTTTTTCTTTTACAGCATCACTAGACTTCTGATAAATTTTATTTACACCATATTTTGATGCAGAGAAATTTTAACTTTATAGTAGTCAAATCTATTAATATTTTACATTGTCATTTATTTCATTGTTTTTTAGGCTAAAATGTCCTCAATTTAATCTCTGATAAATGTGGCATGTTAAAGTAGAAAAAAATCCATTTTTTCAATCAATATTATTGGGATGATATAACTATGCAGAGAAAATTAATTTTGACTTCCTCATTATGCAAATATATTTCAGAAGAAGTAACAATTTTAATGCAAAAAAATGAAATTTTAAAAATGCTGAAGAAAACATAGGACAAATTTGTATATATTTGTGTGTGTGTATGTGTGTTTCTTGCCATGATCCTAAATCCAAAACCTATAAAAGAGAATATAATAATTTGAACTACATAAAATTGCAATATTTGACATGACAAAAGTAGCATGAAGTTACAAGTAACAAACTTTAAGAACACAATTCTAGGAGATGATATAGCTATAGCAATACTTATAGAGATATTGATATAGACAGAATCTTCCCCAAATTATTAAGAAATTATTGAGAAACAGAAAAAAACACAAAATCAGAAAAGAACATGAACAGTTCACAGAAAAGCAAATACAGGTGTCGTTTAAGTGCAGAGGATCACAATAAGTGAAATCCACGAATTGATACTAGATTCATCTAAGAGAGTGATAAAGATCTGATGAGCTAGACTGGCAGTATGTTATGTGGTAAAGGGTATGGGAAAACAGGCATCTGCAGAAACTTTGGGTGGGTATGTAAATGGATATGACCTTGGGGCCAATTTTTACAATATTTGTCAAAATTTAAAGTTTTTTCTTTCATTGACTGTTACACTTGTAGGAATTTGTTTAATAAACCAATAGGATGGTCACATGTGGTGTCTCATGCCTGTAATCCCAGCACTTTGGGAGGCCCAGGTGGATGGATCACCTAAGATCAGGAGTTCGAGACCAGTCCCAGCTACTCGGGAGGCTGAGACAGGAGAATCTCTTGAAGCTGGGAGGCAGAGGTTGCAGTGAGCCAAGATCGCACCATTGCACCCAGCCTGGGCAACAAGAGCAAAATTCCATCTCAAAAAAAAAAAAAAATTAAAGGGAAAGTAACACAGAACGTTTTAAAGTCCACAGTTTTAAAGAAAGAGCCTGTCTCAAACAGGGAGGAGGTGCTCATCACCGAGAATCTACACCTGGGACATCAGATAGGAGACACGTGGGAGAAGATGGAATTCTGCGGCCACTGAGGCTGGTGACACAAGAAAGCTGAAAATCTATGGGGCTTGGAATAGCATACATTTCTTTACTTTTTGGTCTTTGATGAGCTCCTACTGCAAAACAGGAATTTCCTAGGAGCTGGGGATACCGCAGTGAGCAAAGCAGCCAAACACCTCTCTCTGCCTCTAGGGTGTTTGCCTCCTAGTGGGGCGTGACAAGCAGCAAAGAGAACCATGAAGGGGAAGGACAAGACAGTGCATCAGATGGAGATGACTGTCATGAAGAAACCATAGCAGGGGCGCGGGGGAGGGACAGGGAATGAGGGGAGAGGGATGGTGGAGGTGGTTGGAGAAGGTGACATTTCTCCAAGACCTAGAGGGTGCTCTGTAGATACCCGGGGAAAATGTGGCCAGGCAGGGCCAGCACGTGCAGTAGTGCCCCTGCTATGAAGGTCCAGCAGAGGGAGACAGGGGGGACGTGCCTGGCCCCCCTCATGGACATTGCTCTGCGGGGCCTGGAGCTGGACCGGTGTGACCTCCAGCTTCAGGACTCACACTCTCATAAGGACAATCTGATGCCCAAGGAATTTGGGAGCTTTTGGAGGCAAGGCCCTGCCCAGGCACGATTACCTTAAAGAGCCTATTTATTTATTGATTGATATTTTTGAGACAGAGTCTCACTCTGTCCCCCAGGCTGCAGTGCAGTGGCTTGATCTTGGTTCACTGCAACCTTCACTTCCCAGGTTCAAGCGATTCTCGTGCCTCAGCCTCCCAAGTAGCTGGAATTACAGGCGTTCGCCACTACTCGCGGCTGATTTTTGTATTTTTAATAGAGACGGGATTTCACCATGTTGGCCAAGCTGGTCTTGAATTCCTGACCTCAGGTGATCCACCTGCCTCGGCCTCCCAAAAGTGCTGGGATTACAGGAGTGAGCCACCACGCCTGGCCAAAGAGGCTCTTTTAATGCCCAGAGCCCGTCACTGTCAGAAAGATTTGCTTCCTAAAGCCTTAGTTCATCGGATGTGTCAGTTTTGTAAACATTCTGAGCCTCGAGTTTTAGGGAATCTGAATTTAAAAAGCAATGCAAGGGGCTTTTTTGTTTTGTTTTGTTTTGTTTTGTTTTGAAGAAAGGGGAGGGGGAAAGAAGGCAGTTGGTCAGAGCCAGCCCCAGAGAGGCCTGGAGGATGCGTGTATGTGTATGTCCTATGGCTAGATACAAAGCTGTACAATAAGCCCTGTGGCCACCTGGTGGTGGCCACAGTCACACAGGGAACAAAGCCCCAGCCCCAAGCAAAGCCCTCTTCAGTTCAGTCTGTCTTCATACAGAGGCCAGGAGAGGGATCTGGGCTCTTTCCCTGGTGAGAGATGAGTGACAGTGACATCTTTTTCTCATACCCCCAGCTAGGGCTGGGCCACCCCTGCCAACATGACACCCATTTCTTCCGTCTCTCTTTTCTGCTGTCTTCAGGGTGTAATGTGAATTGGGGCGGGACAGTCTGATGTCGGGTGAGCGGCCCCAGCACTCAGCACTGGGCTCTGAGCTCCCGGGGTGGACAGGCAGAAAGAACTGGATCCACCTCCCAGCCCTGCGCCTGAATTGTTGCTGGACTTCAGCACTTAATTCAGATCAAAGGTGCTCAGCACTGACCCCCTCTTGACCCAAGTCTCTTCAGCTGTAAACCTGGGACCTGGTTCCCTGCTTCAGGGGATTCAGGGAGGATCAGTCACACAGAGTCCTCCTCCAAGACAAAGACTGGGTCTTGTTCATCTGCAGCCCCTCAGTGCCTCCAAGTGCCTTTTGGTTAAGCAATGTCCTATTGAATTCCTCTACTGAAATGCATGTTCATTAAAGTTTCTGCAGTTTAGCATAAATTAAATTATTGATATCTTCGTGCCACTGCAAAAGAACAAGGATTTAGCGGAGCCTCAGCTAACAGAGCTCAGATAAGGCACTTCTGGTACCAATGATAATTCCTGCCAAGAGTCCTGTCCTAAATCCAATGGAAACTCCTGGGAAACAGAAGGCATAAAATGGCATTGGCTGGCATGGTGGCTCACTGCTGTAACCCTAGCACTTCGGGAGGCTGAGGCAGGTGGATGGCTTGAGCCCAAGAGTTCGAGATCAGCCTGGGCAACATAAGGAAACCCTGTCTCTACTAAAAATAAAAAAAATTAGCCAGGTGTGGTGACATGCACCTGCAGTGCCAGCTACTCCAGAGGCTGAGACAGAAGGATCACCTAAGCCCAGGAAGTTGAGACTCAGTGAGCCAAGATTGCACCAATGCACTCCAGCCTGGGCGATATGAGTGAAACCCTGTCTCAAAAAAAAAAGGGGGGATGCTAATGAGCCCTGTATGAATGTTCATTAACAGGCATGTGGAGTCAGAGAACCAGAGTCCAAGTCAAGCCATTGTGCGTGAGTAAATTCCTTGACTCTCCTAGCCTCAGTATCCTCATCTGTAAAATGAGGACCAAATGAACTGTCCCCATATGCCCCACACATTGATCGGGAGCATCAAGCGAGATGAGTGAGCTCGCTTTGCTAAGGGCAGGTGTGGTGGGGGTGCTTGCCCTGGTGTACCCAGTGGGTGCACGGGACAAGCCACGTAGCTCCTAACCTCCATGTTCAGGAGGTTAAAACGGGACTGTGTCAAATGTCCACTGAAGCCCCCCAGGGGCCAATAGTAAAACAGTAGGCCCCTAAATCTCCCCATATTCTGAGATGAGATGCTGGACTACTGATGCAGGAGTTGTAAAGATGGTGCAAGAAAACCCATTTGGTGACCCTCAGCCTATTCTATCTAACTGAATAGAAGAGACAAAGAGAGAGGGGACCTCTTGGGGACAACTGTTGGACTACTAAGGTATTCCCTGCCCCTATGAAGGAACTATCCTCCCTCCTTACCCCAAGCCCTGGGAGGGGGCCTTGGTAACCCTGGGAGAGCTGTGTCCCTTGGTGTCCGTGCACACAAAGGCTGGTGGGTGTCAGCCTCATGCCTGGGGAAACCTGAAGGCAAGAGGGCAGCTGCCAGCCTGAAGTGTCAGACAGCAGAAGTGTCCAGGAGGAAGAAGGGCTGGACAGGGCTTGAGCGGTCTTTCCACTGAGAGTGGTCGGAAGCACGAAGCTGTGCCCCCACTAACTTAGCTTCCACCAGAGGAGCTGGCTTGGGGTCTCTTGGAAAGGGACTTTGCACAGAGGCACCTGGAGGGATGGAATGTCCCAGGACCACAGGCTGACAGAGCCCGAAGGCGGAGGGTACAGGCAAGTCCTGGAGGTTTCAGGTGCGGGGATTGCTAAGAAACCTGCAAGAAGGGTGCACGTGAACATCGCCAAGCCCAGACCGACCTCGAGTGCTCTCAGGCAGAGCTTTTCCACACCCTAGAACAGCAGGAAGGATGCCTGGTGAGCAGAGGGGAGGCGCTGGGAGTAAAGACAAGCAGCAGGCCGGCCCACCCCCACCAGAGGAGTGAAAGAAAAGTTTATCTTTGGCTGGAATTCAATGTTTTCATTATGACACTGGACTAAACAAAGGATTTTTTTAAGTTCATTCATATCCTCTTTTATTTATGAGCCATCCCAACAACATTTAGTTTATGTAGGAAATATGTATAGAATCTCATAGTTGGCTGTTGAAAGTTTAAAACAAAAAAAACTCACCTGTTTTGTCTTTTAAAGTAGGCAAAATTTCCTTTAAGTAACAACATAGTGTTAAATCTCAACATTTACTTGTTTTTAACCCCCAGCAGCAATCTGCTTTCATACATACCCTGCACATAATATTTTTTGAAACATATATAGAAAATTTTCTTTTCGGCTAGGCATGGTGGTTCACGCCTGTAATCCCAGCACTTTGGGAGGGCCAAGGCGAGAGAATTGCTTGAGTCCAGGAGTTCGAGACCAGCCTGGGCAATATGGCAAGACTCCATCCCTAAAAAACAAAATAAAAGGAAAAGAAAAACAAATTTTAATTAAAAATGTAAAATATAAAATTTAAAAAAGGAAAGAAAAAGCTTTTTTTTTTACCAGAACAAAAATATTTGCGCACTTTCTATTTAGTAGAGTTAGCAATGCAGTTATGTTGACAAATTTAGCTCTTTGTTGGGAGGCACCTGTTGTGTACACAAAAAAATCCAAGAGACAGCAGATATTTTCACCTGTAAGAACAATGTCTAATTTAACTTTTTTCTTCTATTTTTTGAAGAAGATACTCCATTTGTAAATTCAAATTTGGTTGGCCCTTTTTAGTCTCTTTGCTTCATTTTCTCTCTCTCTCTCTCTTTTTTTTTTTCCTTCACCCAGGCTGGAGTTCGGTGGCACCATCTCGGCTCATTGCGACCTCCGCCTCCCAGGTTCAAGTGATTCTTGTGCCTCAGCCTCCCAAGTAGCTGGAACTACAGGTGTGTGCCACCACACCCAGGTAATTTTTGTATTATAATTGTTTTTTTTTTAGTAGAGATGCGGTTTTGCCATGTTGACAAGGCTGGTGTCGGACTCCCAGCCTCAAGTGATCTGCCCTCCTCGGCCTCTCAACGTACTGTCACTACAGGCGTGGGCCGCTACACTCAGCCTTGGGCTCCATACTTTAAGCATTCCCATCTTTTTCTTTTTGTAGGGCCTTTGAGCTTCTCCCTCCTGCTTCCTCCTCTCACATTCTTATTTCTTAGCACGCTTAGCTTGTACCTGTTCCTCTTCTTCTGTGGTTCTCTGATTTGATGTTTGAACTTTTCTTTGGGATGGTAAAGGAGTTCACTGTTGTTCTGCATTGTTCTGGCTGAGGCTGGTCACAGTGACACCAACCTTCAAGCAAACCTGATCATGCTACACTCTTCTTCAGGCAAAGGCTGGTCAACTTTTCAGAGCTGCTTCCTGAATCTCTCCTCTTCAGTTAAATAGCGATGTTTCAAATGATCTGGGGCATCGACCTGCGAATTGAGATTCCTGTGACATTGGAGACTTCTTTTCCTTCCATGGCAATTTCTTGTAACTTTGCTGAATCTTCCATTTTTTTTCAAAATGCAAAGCCTGTCTCTAGCGAACACTCACCATGAAGACTTGCAGACAGTTAGGCAGCCACGATCTCTGATTCACATTCTTATTCCTGTATCCATCCAGAGAAACCCCTTCACCATACCACCATATACATATACATTAACTATTAGTAGGCAGAGGACTTTTTATTATCCAAGAGTGACTAGAAAAAGCTAAGCCATGGGACCTGGTGGAGACAGAGCTCAGGGATGGGGAAAAAGTAGAGCATCACTGGGGTAATAGAGACAAGGGGAGGGCAAATCCAGATGCTTTAGGATGGAATCCTCGAGTCCCATCTGTGAAAACCTGCAGCCCTGTTCATAGAAGAGCATAAAGGCATGGAGAGAAGTCTTGTAAAATAACCACTAAAATGTCGACGGTGGTTTGTGGGAAGGACTGAGAAAGTGGGGAAGGGATACTGAAAGGTATCTATTGCTTTTTTTAAATTCTAGGTGTTCTTGTATTCGGGGGTACTTTTTTTGAGATGGAGTCTCGCTCTCTCACCCAGGCTGGAGGTGCAGTGGTGCAATCTCGGCTCACTGCAACCTCCACCTCCCAAGATCAAGCAATTCTCCCTGCCTCGGCCTCCTGAGTAGCTGAGATTACAGGTGCCTGCCACCACACCCGGGAAATTTTTGTATTTTTTCGTAAAGACGGGGTTTCACCATGTTGGCCAGGCTGGTCTCGAACTCCTGACCTCAGGTAATCTACCCGCCTCGGCTTCCCAAAGTGCTGGGATTATAGGCATCAGCCACTGTGCCTAGCCTAGGGGGTACTTTTTGAGATGAGGGTGTAGACAGGCATCACTGGAGTAATTACAGGACAAGTAATAACTGCATCTGTATACACACACATACCCCACCTCTTCCCCACCTTTAAGGCCAACCTTTGTCCTCTAGGCCTGTCTCCTGCTTGCAGGCATCACTGGCCTCTGGAGTCCATGAACATCTGCTGCATCAACCCAAATTCAGTCCTGCCTGGCCCACCCCAGTGCCCAGCAGTGAAGGCTAAAGGAGATGGAAGCTAAGGAATGAAAGGGAGACAGATTTCAGGGAGGGGGCGTCCATATACCTTCCTTGTTCTCCTTTGTTTTATATAAACACTGTCATCTGCCATTAAATGTGAAGACTGTGTCGACTGGAGAAACTGCCTGACAGCTTCGTGGAAAGCACTCTGGGTTCATTATGCAAATATCCAAGGCCTCACTTGTAATCACTCATGGAGTGCCAGATTCACTCCTAGTTCCTGCCAACAGCATGGCCCTTCTCTTTGAGACATCAGAAGGAATCAAGAGGAAACCAGATGAGCCTGAACCTCTTACCTACTCCCTGACCCTTCAGGAGGAAAATGTGTTTAGCCAGAAAAGCAGGGTCATCCCTCAATCGAGAGACCATTATTGAGCCAGGAAGCAGCTGCCATTTCCTTTCAGGGTATTTCCTTTTGGTTTGAGCCCCAAGTATTATCCTAGGTGGAAAGAGCTCCTGGAATACTGTTTTCTGTGGAGACTGAAAAGAACATCAGCATCATAAATGTGGGCTCACTTAGAAGCCTCAGATTTCACATCTAGTGAGTGCTTCCATGTCCCCGGCTTTGAGGTGGGAGCACAAGACCTTGTGATGTGGACTTCACCATTCATTCCTCCGCCCACATGCACAGAGCACCTACTGTGCGCCAGCTCCTGGCTATGCATGCTGGACTCAGAGAGGGAAAAGATGTAGCCTGCCCTAGAGGCTCAGTTTGGGGGAAGGACAGACATGAAAATGCATAAGAGCAGGTGGCTTTTGTGGATGCTGGGATGGAGGTCTGTATAGGGATGGTGGGATGCAAACACAGGAGAGGCAGGAGGAGGAAGCAGGCAGAGCTTTGAGGAGGGAAGAAGACCCGAGATTACCAGGAAACAAGGCCAAGAAGGAGCCACGAGAGGGAGCCAGGCCAGTGAAGAGATGTTAGAACTTTCATGGGACAAGAAAGGGACCAACGTGGAAACGGAGGACATTTGTGTGTGGCTCCCTAACTTCCCAGAGCCTTTGCACACACTTCCTGTATTTCAGGTTTCCCCTCTTAGGAACCCCAGCCTTCCAAGGTAGAAACCGGCAGCTCTTTCCCTGCTTCCCCTACAGCTAAGGTACAGCCATGTGACCTTAGGTCCACCAATCAGATTCAGCCGAGGGAGGCTTCATTTTGGAAGCCAGTGGTGTGATGACAGAGGCGGCTCTTGGACTAGCCCTGCAGGCTCCCTCCTACAAGGGTGGCTGCAATCCCAGGGGTAAACCGCCATGTCCACCATCGCCCACACCAGCCTCCCGTCCTGTTTAGCAGCAGAGGCACCAGACCCTCCACTGGCCTGGAATGTGGCCACTGCTCCTACCCAGGAGACTCCAAGCCTGCACCCCTGGCTCTCCTGAAGGGTCTGAGAGCCGCTAACACCCTTTAATAATCTCCTTTTCTCTCTAAACTCACAAGAGTGGGTTTTATTGCTTGTAACCAAGAATTCTGATTGGTATAGTGGGGATATAACAAGAGTTGGAGCTAGAGACGCAGACAGGAGCCAAGTGCCAGCATCCGTATGCAGCCCTAGGAATCTGGACTTGACCCTGGAGCCCAGTGGCTTTCCGTTGGGTGCCGCAGAGACCTGACAATTTCATGGAGCTTCCTGAGGGCTGAAGTGGGGGCTTCTGCACGCCCTTCCTACACCCAGCTGTTCTGTCTTTAACTCTTTCACACACTGCTGAGCTTTCAAATGCAGATTGCATTTCTAAAAAAACAACAATAATACCCCTACCGTTCACTGAGCACTTGTCACTTGTCAGGCACTGTGCCACAGGTTGTATTATCCAAGGTGGCCGCAATAGAATCTTCCATCACACAGGCTCTTGTTACAACGTGACCTTGACAGCCCCTGCATCAAGAGGGCTGTGAATCCGTAGCTACTGTGAAAGTGACGCTATGTGACTTCCAAAGCTAGGTCCTAAAAGTGGATGCAACTTCTGCCTGGTTCTCTTGGGACTCAGTCTTAGAGCCCAGCCACCATGCTGGAAGGAAGACTTGGTCAAGCATGGGTGCTGCAGCTGAGTGAGTCTGGGCCAAGTATGGGTGTTACGGTCTGGACACTCAGCTCAGACCCCAGTACACAGTCAGCATCATCTGTCAGGCAGATAAGCAAGGAAGCTCAGGAATGAGTCTAGCCCCAGCCACCTTCTGACTAAACCCAAGAGACACCAAATGAGAACTGCCCAGATGAGCCCCATCGATCCCCAGAAATGTGAAGGACAATAATAAAATAATTGTCATTGTTTTAAACCACTATGTTTTGGGGTATTTTATAGTTGCAACAATAGATAACTGGAACACACTGTTTAAGCGCCTTAACTAACTGACGCATTTAATATTCACCATGGCCTATGAGGTAGGTGTCATTATTATCCATTATTATTAGTATTAGCCTCACTTTTATAAATGAAGGAGCAGAGACACAGAGAGGGTAACTTTCTCAATTACACACAGGTGACACGCGGTGGAGCTCAGATTAAACACAGACTGTCTGGCCTTAGAGTCAGTCTGTGTTACCACAGGGGTGCGCGGCCTCACTTACCATCTGTGGTAAGCCCAGACGGTCATAAGAGGATCTTAAGGAGGGAAGTGGAGTGGGGTAGCCATGGTCAGATTTGTGTTTTAGGAAGATGTGATGTGGGGGAGGGACTGAGGGCAGGTGTCAGGGCAAGGCTGGAGGCAGAGGCCACCTTGGCCACTGCAACATCTAGGTTAGTCCTCAGCAAGGCCTCACCCCAGGCAGTGGCTGTGGGGACGAAGAATTGAGAAGAGGAAACAGATCTAAGAGACAGCATCACTGGCTAGGTCATGGGAATGGGGAGGGGCAGGCTCAGAGATGATGCATTGTAGATCATCAGCATGTTTACTGCGGTGGCTGGAAGATAAAGATACCAGCTGCCACTTATCTTATTGATTTCAGCAATTGCTAAATGCAATGAGTTATTGCTCCCAAAGACCAGCCTTGGGTACCAGCTAATATCACAGTTATCAGAAAACACGTTCCCAAGGGTGAGCAGAACTAGGATGTGTGTCAGTAGAAACATGCGTGGTTCTGCCACGCGAACAACCCTAAAATCCCAGAGGTTTAAAAGAAAACAGTGCTCATTCGTCTGTCCCCTGAGGCCAGCCAAGGGCTCTGCTCCACATTTTCCCCCATCCGTGGCCTCCTTTTCAACCATTGCTGATTACCATTGCAGAGGGAGAAAGAGCTTTGGAGAGTCTCAGACCAGCCATTAAGTCTTTCCCCGAGAAGTGACCCGGGTTGTACCCACTCACACTGATTGGCCAGATCAGGTCACCTGACCTACACAACTGCCAGGGGGCCAGGAAGTTCAGCCGGGTCCCAGGATGCAAGAGCTAGGTCCAGATGCTCAGCAGGGGATGACAGTGTGGGTGTGTCCTGCCTACAGGGTAGCGTGCTTGTGCGTCCGCACCCTGGCTTCGTTTGGGTTAGCACTATTTATGCATCCTTTGACCCCATGTGAGCCCCTCAGGGCTGAAAGCCTGTCTCCCTCTTCTCCCTAGCAGCGAGCTCTCGCATCGATCTGATTGCCAGTTACACAGACTGAAAAGTCATCAGATGTGCACTTTTTCTATGTACATATTATACTTTAATAAAAAGTTAATTTAAAAATGGGAAAGACCTACTCACTCCAGCAGGGTAGAAATGCTTTTATCCCAGAGTCTCAGCTCTTGGGACTGGTCCATTCATTCCTCAGATCTACTCACTCACAAAATCAAAAAGCTGATCCTCAGCCTGACAGCTATCGATCGGTCCAGGAAGCAGGACCAAGTTAGCCTCAGTCCTCATCCAGTCTCCTTAGGGTCTCTCTGCTTTCTGGCTGAGGCTGGATAAAGGTACCGAGTGGGTTAATTGTGCGGCTACACAGCGGGAACCTCTCAGATGCACAAAGTCCATTAACCTGGCAACCTGGGCGAGGAGACACTGTTTGTCTCCCAGTTTGTGCTCTTGGGACCTGGCAAACATCTGACCTCTCCTGGATGACTTTTCCAGGGTCAGCCTATTATGAACGAATCCTGACTAATTCGGTCACCCTTCCATTTCTTAAGTATGATTTGTGGCTTAATTGCAGCAGGAAAAAAATAATGAGAAGTGCACAGCCCAGGCCATATCCATAATTCATAACTGCAATAAAACCCTCGACATGCTGTCGTGACTTATGGCAGACGTAGTGGTGTGCACCCTGGGGCCAGCGGAGGGCCCAGATGTTTCCGCTGCAGAATTTAGAGCTCACAGGCTGGAGGATCCAGGCTTCCCAACACTCATGGCAAAGCTCAATCCTGGTTGGAGGCAAAAACCAGAGCTTTGGCTTAGGGCCCAGGGACTCAGGAGGGGCCCATGTGTAGGCTGCCCAGGAAAGCAGGGTGTGTTGGAGGCTTGGAGGCTGGAGACACCATTGAGGAAGCAACTGCAAAGTATCTCAAACCTACAGAGCCCCTTGCCATCATCATACAGCAGGGCGGGTCTGCACCAGCCCCAAGAGAGCATAAGGATGATATATCAGTTAAGAGGCGAGGCCATGAATGATAGAAAACCCAGGTCAAATAGCTTAAACTATAAGGGGAATTTATTGGCTCACATAACTGAAAAGTCCAAAGATCCTCAGGCTTCAGGTGAGGCTTGATCCAGGGGCTCAAATGACATCATCAGATAGAAGGCGTCATCCATTCTTCTCTCTGCCTTGCACCTCTGGTGCCACACAGTGGCCACTCACTGGCAGTTCCAGGGTTTCCTCTCAGGAAGTCAAATGGCTGCGTGAGTTCCACATCTTACAGCCTCAGGGCAAGAAAGACTGCCTCCTTCTGCCAAGCACTGAACGAAGTTCCCAACTCTCACTGGCACCCATTGGGTCAGGTGTCCATTGCTAAACCAATTACCAGCAGAGGGGTGTGGAGGAGAGCAGAGCACGCTGATCAACTGGAGCCAAGCAGGCAAGTGAAGCCCATGGACTCCGTATACTTAAAAAGAGGGGAAGGGTAGTTCCCTAGGGGGATACTTGTTTGCCCAAAAGAAGCAGAACCGGAGATGCTAGGAAGGAAAAGGACAGATGCTCGCGACCTAGGCCAGGGGTGGACAAACTGGGTCTGGGGGCCACATCCAGACCCAGAGAGCAACCTGGCTCCCTCAGTCACTGGGACACGGCGGGTCAGGGCGAGCGGCTGCCCCAGGCATCACTAACACTCCCACATGCTGGCAATGCAATCCTTGGGACGCAGGTCTCAGGGAGCAGGCCCGGCCACAGGGGAGGCCAAGGCCCCCCTCTCAGTGTCGCCTCAGCCCCAGCAGGAGCAGTGCTCGAAACCCCTATGAGCCATCTGGATTCTGAGAACATTCAATACCAGTTCACACGCCAAACAAGGAGGCAGCGGCCGAGAAGGCTCTCCCGGTGTTAGGGAAACGCCGGGAATGGGGAGCACTGAGACTTAGGCATTCAAGAAGCTGTTTGAAGAAGGAGACATCTGAGTGCCTCCTACAATGAGGCTAGAGGAACGCTGTCACCAGGAGGAGAGGGGAAGGGAGGACCCCCTGCAGAGGGAGCTAGTTTAAAGGTCAGTGTTGAGGAAGAACAGCTCAGCTCTCACACTGAGACGGCAGCGATCCTCCCGGCTGAAGAGTCACCTGTGTGCCCGGCCCTCCTGGAATAACCTCCTCCCTCTCTCTCACTTAGCTATGTTCATTCTTTTTTAGCCGACCAGAAGTCTCAAATCTTCCCAGTCCCAGTAGTCTGGAAGGCTGCTCTCTGGCATGGTGAGAAGGCTGATTCCCACTTTCCGCAGTTTGCTTTATTGACAATTACATGTGAGCTCACTGTTCTCAGTGTTTGGACCAATGCATTAATAAGGCTGGAGACAAAGGAAGAGGCACCCAAGCCTAAGCCCTGAAGAGTTAAGGAACACATACTTAGCTTTAGAATTGTGTATTTCATTCTAAGTAATTTAGTTCCTGCCTTTTACAGTTGCAATTAAGAGATGGTGAGTGACAAAAGATTTCTTCTCTGTAGGGAGAAAAGCACGTACCCACACGCTCATGCACCCACACAAATTCCATCAGCACCCTTGTGCATGTCCAGGAACACACAGCAATACACAAGAAGAGCCCTCACCTCTGCCTGTACCACATTTACACACACGTGCACACATGTGCACACCCCATGCAAGTGCACGCAGAAATGGGCACACATGAGAGCCCACGCTGATTGACTATACATCATGTGTGGTCATTGCATGCATGGGCATGCTTGCACTAGCACTTGTGTGTGCTGGCATCACATTATGACTTGTAAGAGGCTCTGAGCATGGAAAAGCTTCTGAAGTATCCTTGCCTCCTATGAGCAATTTAAAAGAAAAGGTTATTTTTTTAAATATCAGAAAATTTGCTGGGTGCGGTGGCTCATGCCTGTAATCCCAGCACTTTGGGAGGCCTAGGAGGGGCAGATCACCTGAGGTCAGAAGTTCGAGACCAGCCTGGCCAACATGGTGAAACCCCATCTCTACTAAAAATACAAAAATGAGCCAGGCATGGTGGCGCGTGCTGGCAGTCCCAGCCACTCGGGAGGCTGAGGCAGGAGAATCACTTGAACCCGGGAGGTGAGGGTTGCAGTGAGCCGAGATCGTGCCACTGCACTCCAGCTTGGGTGACAGAGTGAGACTCCTTCTCAAAAAAAAAAAAAACAGAAAAAAACAAAACAAAACTTGTGGGTGGTGAAATTTAAGTAGCTTATTTCTGAATGTTTCTGATTACAACTTGAAGTTATTTTTCTGTACGTATTTGTTTGTTCATTTTTTCATTCATCTATTCGTTCATTCATTTCAGTGCCCCTGCTTTGCTGGATGATCCAGCAATGACATATACATGCATTCACCTATATGTACATGTAAGCCAGTACTCACACAACTGGACTAGTGCTCCCCACGCGTGCACATAGGCTTGTGCACTCAAGCACACACATGCACACACACACAGACTAAGGGAGCTCCAAGCCAAAGGCCCAAGAAGGAATCTGGTGCTGGCACCCTCACTGCCAGCTGCGGCCAGCGTTTCTGCAGGACCCCTCTCCTCCCTCCTGGTGTTTTGGCCCCTGCAGTTTCCAAGCCTGGCAGGAATCCACAGAGCGCTCACACAAAGCCCAGCCCTGCAGACCTCTGATGAGGGAATGGGCCTGGTTCAGAGAGACAAAGGCAGGGGCGGTGGAGTAGGGCCCAGGGAGGGAAGGAGACACATACCAGCGGGCCCTTGGAAATGTGGACTGGGTGGGGAGGACAGGGGATGGCACTAGGTGATGGTCAGGATGGCCAGTGGACCTCACTCTGCTCCGGATGTCTGCTGATGACAAACTAATGCCAGCCCCAACCACCTTCAAACACCAGCTCTCCCATCCCCCGGCCCAGGCCCTAGTCCGTTTATAGCTTTAAAAACTGCTGAGGGTGGCCAGGCGCGGTGGCTCACGCCTGTAATCCCAGCACTTTGGGAGGCCAAGGCGGGCAGATCACCTGAGGTCGGGAGTTTGAGACCAGCCTGACCAACATGGAGCAACCCCATCTCTGCTAAAAATACAAAATTAGCCAGGCGTGGTGGCACATGCCTGTAATCCCAGCTACTTGGGAGGCTGAAGCAGGAGAATCACTTGAACCTGGGAGGCAGAGGTTGCGGTGAGCCGAGATCACGCCATCGCACTCCAGCATGGGCAACAAGAGCAAAACGCCATCTCAAAAAAAAAAAAAAAAAAAACTGCTGCGGGCTGGGCACAGTGGCTCATGCCTGCAATCTCAGCACTTCGGGTGGCCGAGGTGGATTGATCACTTGAGCTCAGGAATTCGAGACCAGCCTGGGCAATATGGTAAAACCTTGTCTCTACTAAAAATACAAAAGTTAGAGGAGTGTGCTGATGCGCACCTGTAGTCCCAGTTACTTGGGAAGCTGAGGTGGGTGGATCGCTGGAGCCCAGGGGGTGGGGTTTGCAGTGAGCCGTGATCGTGCCACTGCACTCTGGCCTGGGTAACAGAGTGAGACTCTGCCTCAGAAAAAAAAAAAAAAGAAACTTTGAGGGGGGTCTGGGTCCCATCTCCTACATTTCGATCCAATTGGTTTAGGGTGGGGCCTGAGCATCTGGGTTTAGAAAACCTTTCCAGGTGATTCTAACATGCAGCCAACGTTGGGAATCTCTGTTCTACAGGACCCCTGATGAGTAAATGTCCCATGACGGGGAACTCACTACCTGAATTAGCGGCACCCCCACCACCTTGCTTTGGGGACAAGTTCGGAGCTGAGAGCATTTCTCCATAACATGGTTCCTAATTTCCAGAAGGGTGAAAGCAACCCCAGGGAGTGTCCTCCCACCGTCATTAGCTGGGGAGGTGTTCACTGATCCTGCTGCCCTCCTCTGGTGGCTGGCTGCCCACTCTAGCAAGACCTGCCTCCTCCAGGAAGCCTGCCTGACTACTCCAACCCCCAGGCCTCTCTCCCGGCTCTGGGCACCCAGACCTCTGAGGACAGAGTGCTTGCTTCTTGTTCCTCATATCTAAGCCTCATCCCCAGCAGGCTTTTGTCAGGTGAAAGTGCAAGCAGCTGCCACTATAGGGCTGCAGGTCTGAAGAGAGCACAGAGCGGGAGACCAGCAGATGCCGCCAGATGCATGGCCCAGGCAGGCCCTCCACTGTTCAGAGCCTGCTTGCTCAGCCACGAGGTGGGGCAGATGCACCCGCATGAAACACCTGAACAAATGTGCAGAGCATGCAAGCACCGAGCCTGCACACAGTGGGGTCCACACGGCTTTACCCCAAGCTGGGTGCCTGATGCTAGGGCCACTCCTCCACTAGGCACTGTAGGCCCCATGCCGAGAGCCCGTGCTGCTTTTAGAGGGCCCTCAAAATATCTTCAATTTCTTTTAAAATCAGGAGAAAATGACGACTATGATGTAGCCTGGGTTATATTTGTCTTCATACCGACGATACTGTAAAAGGTAAATGTGAATGTTTTATGGAGAGAGGACCCATGAAAGCCATACTGCACCCCTAGCAAAGGCAGTGACATCCAGGCCTACAGGGGGGCCCAGCTGGATTCCCCCACATTCCCAGTGGGCCCAGGCCAGTGTTTCAGAGAGCACGGTCTGTGCCCACTGAAGCTAACTTCTACCAGAGGAGTTTCTCCAGCAAAGCAAGGCAGGTGAATGCATGGGCTCCGGAGATACATGGTTGTAACCTGAGCTGTGTGACTTAGGCTGGTTGCTTCACCTCTCTGTGCTTCTGTTTCTGCTGCTGTAAAATGGTGGTGCTAAGACTCCTTCCAGGGTTATGAGGACTCAGGGAGATGATGCACTGAGAGACCCAGGCACCTGGGAGGCCTGTTCTCATCCTCCGCTGGGACAGCAGTGCCTCCAGGGCTATGGCAGCACAGCAGCGGGCTCTTTTCTGGGGCCCTGGGACAAGGCCAGGCCCTGGGCATCACTGCAGGTTGCAGACAGACATGAGTCCGTGGGAGATGCCTCAAGCCCCTGCCTCCTCAAGCCTGAGAAAGGGGCTGAGCTCCAGGGCCTCTGCCTGAGGAGCCCTGGGGAGCTGCTGTTTGATCCCTTTCTCTGGCTCATGAAGGGGTCCGAGGGAAGCCAAGAGCACTTTTCAGGATGTGTGGCTGCTCTGTGCCTGGGGCTCCTCTTCCTCCCTCCTCTTGGTCCACACAAAGGAGCAGCGGTAGCTCTGCTCGTTCTCCTGGCTTTTTATTCTGGGCACATTCAGCAAGCACTTACTGAGCACCTACTGAGTACTGGGGGGCTATGGAAGCAGAGCCACTGGCTGGGATTTCTGGGACTCAGCCAGGCTGAGGGGAATCCGAGCAGCCCAGGGAGGGAGGGGGTCTCCTCTGCTGCAGAGCACCCACAGGGGCTGGACCCCCACTGGTGGACGCTCGCTCCATCGTCACACTGCCCTGCAAGATGGGGCGGTCATCACCACTTTACAGATGAGGAGATTGATGCCCAGGTGGGAGAGGGGCTTCCCTAGGTCATGTGGCTGTCACCCGTGAGCTGAGGCCTGCACCCAGCTCTGTCTGACTCAGCCCACACCCTAAGCCACCTCACCTCCCCTGCCACAACAACTGAGGCGACCCTTATGCCAGTGCTCCTGGGACCCTCAGGCAAGAGCCTGCCCACAGGCCCACCCTTTTGGCCTGAACCCGAGAACGGCTGGGACAGGTTAGGAAGGAGCCAACCTTGATCCTCCCCCTGGGGGTCATCACCAACCAGCACTGCAGCTGAAAGGGAGGCTGCAGCCTCGGGAGCTCCGAGAGGAACATCTGACAGATGGGGAGGGCGGAAAGTGACTTCCTCAAGGTCACACGGCAAGGGAACAGGAGAAGGGGGCTGGTGGCCGGGGGCAGTGCTTCATGCCTAAAATCCCAGCACTTTGGGAGGCTGAGGCGGGTGGATCACTTGAGGTCAGGACCTCAAGACCACCCTGGCCAACATGGTGAAACCTCATCTCTACGAAAAATAAAAAATTAGCTGGGCGTGGTGGTGAGCACCTGTAGTTCCCGCTACTCAGGAAGCTGAGGCACAAGAATCGCTTGAACCCAGGAGGTAGAGGTTGCAGTGAGCCAAGACTGCACCACTACACTCCAGCCTGGGCGACAGAGCAAGACTCCATCTCAAAAAAAGAAAAAAGAAAAAAAAGAAAAGGGGGCTGGGATCAAGTAGCCCTGAATGTCCTGTTTTCTGCCCACCGGGGAGAACCCTCTAAGCTATCAGATGGGCATCACACCCCACTGGGAAAGTGGAAGATGCCCTTTGGGGCCTAGTGGGCCTTATCTGGATTTACCAAGTATCCTTCCCCCACCCACACTCACAAAAATCTCCCCAAAACACACATTGAACCTGACAATTCTTTTTTTTTAAATACAGGGAGAGAGTCTCACTATGTTGCCCAGGCTGTTCTTGAACTCCTGGGCTCAAGCAATCCTCTTGCCTCGGCCTCCCAAAGTGCTTGGATTACAGATGTGAGCCACTGCACCTGCCACCTTCCCCCTCTTTTTTTTAAACCTGACAGTCCTTAAAACATTTTGCACTTTGCAAAGCATATATATGTGTGTTATTTGTGCTTCCTTACCACAAGTGTTGAGATAATCTCTTTTAAGGGTGATTTTTTCTGATTTTAAATCTTTAAGGCACAGTAATAAAAAGATGGGAAAATTCCCCATGAATAGAATCCCTCAGAAGTAACCCCTTTTATTAACATGTGGGCATATTTCCTTTTTTTTTTTTTTGAGGAGTCTTGCTCTGTCACCCAGGCTGGAGTGCAGTGGTGGGATCTCAGCTCACTACAACCTCCACCTTCTGGGTCCCAGTAATTCTACTGCCTCAGCCTCCCAAGTAGCTGGGATTACAGGCTTGCACCACCATGCCCGGATAATTTTTGTATTTTTAGTAGAGATGGGGTTTCACCATGTTGGCCAGGCTGGTCTCAAACTCCTGACCTCATGATCCACCCGCCTCAGCCTCCCAAAGTGCTGGGATTACAGGTGTGAGCCATCACACCCACCCTCTTATTTTCTTTGCTACTTTGTTTTCACTTTCTGTTGACGTATAACATCCCCAAAATCTGTAAAGTGTACAGTCTTAAACCTACAACTCCCTAAGTTTTTAGCCACTAGCTAGATCCAGATCAGAAGTATTTTAACACTCCACAGGTTCCCACCCCACCCCTGGCCCAGGACAACTGCTGTTCTACCATCAATCAACATAGGTTAGAGTTGCTTGTTTTATAATTTTGTAAAGAAATCATTGGTATCTTGCTTCTTCCACTCAACATAATAGCTGTGAGGTTCCTTCCTGCTGTTGCCTGTGTCTGCGGTTGTGCTTTTTGCTGCTGTCTGCTATTTTATTTTATTTATAATTTTCACTTTTTTTTTTTTTTGAGATGGGATCTTGCTCTGTCGCCCAGGCTGGAGTGCAGTGGCACCATTTCAGCTCACTGCAACCTCCGCTTCTGGGGTTCAAGCGATTCTCCTGCCTCAGCCTCCCAAGTAGTTAAGTAGCTGGGATTACAGGAGCCCACCACCGCACTTGGCTAATTTTTGTATTTTGAGTAGAGATGGGGTTTCACCATGTTGTCCAAGCTGGTCTCAAACTCCTGACCTCAGGTGATCTGCCTGCCTCAACCTTCCAAAGTGTTGGGATTACAGACGCAAGCCACCTTGCCCGACCTGTTATTATATTAGAAGGATGTACCATTATTAATTCATCCTTTCCACTGTTAATGGACATTTGGATTGTTTCTACACTGGGGCTATTAAGAATGAAGACGCTGGGAAATTCTTGCTTTTTGGAGGATTTCCTACAATGAATACATCTCAATAATAATAACTGTTATATACTATATAGTATATCATATTGTGTTATATAATTAATAAATATATTAAATTTTAATGACAACAATAAAAACTAATATAATTTTCATCATCTCCAATGAAATCTTAGCTTTGCCAATATCAATATTTTAAATGCCACATCATTAAAATCCCTGCCTAGTCATTATGCTTCAAGGCTCTACATAATCTCCGATTTTATTTTTCTGTTTTGCAGACGAGAAAACAGCAAGGAAGGCTCAACTCGGGCTTGCCCGGGGGGCTCTTCCCCTTCGGCGTGGAAGTTTCAATGCGAGGAAGCAAAGAGCCTAAAATACGAACACCCAGGAAATTAAGCAGGGGAAGGGGCCCTTCTGAGACAGTAAAGAAACATACATCCGAAGACGGTGGAAAGTGTTCAGTTGTTGGCTTCAGCAAATATAAAGCAGAAAGAGCCACGAGGGGTGGACCCAGCCTGGGCGCGGCTGGCCGGGGCCTCCGCGCTGGATCCAGGGAAGCGCCGTCCCCGCACCCGCCACGAGGCGGCGCCAGAGCAGCGTCCACAGCCCGGGCCTCTCGGCAGGCTTGGGGCTGCGAGAGGGGCCGCGGAGACAAACCAGGCCTCCAACCAGGCTTCCTGCAAAGACCAGGTAGGAGAAGGCTCTGGCCGCGGATTAGAAGATTTTCCACAGACACGCTCCACTCTGCCTTCTATCCTAAAGCATCTGAAATTACCTACGCTCCCTGAGCTTCCCTGACCTCATTTGTCAGCCAGGGAGAAGGATGGAATGAAAGTGGGGGGCCTTATCAGACACAAAGCGGGGAAAGGGTGATTCTCTGCTGTGCCGCCCCGTTCCCATAGAATTTCCCAGCCAGGCAGCACCTGGAGGCCAGTCCCTCACCTTTACAGCGAGTTCAGAGAGGGCCTTCAGCCAGCCTGAGACCACAGAGCCACCCTGGGTCCTCTGTCTTCTCCCAGAAACCCTGGGATTTCCTCTTCCAGCAGGGACCACGCAGAGAAGCAGCCAGTCCCCAGGTCTCCCATCTGCACCCACCCCGCCCCGCCTGCCTCTCCCGCTGTGAAACATTGTTCAGAATAACTAGCTCCCCCTGCAATACGCAAGAGCGAGCTATGCGAGTGGCTCTTCCGGTCACTTTTATGCTTGGGGTCGGAGGAAGGCACTACAAAAGCTTTAAGACAAAAGCCACGTGGATGTCAGGAGTGCGCGCGGGGCGTCGTCTTCCACGGAACTGCTGCAGAATCATCGTTGGAAAGGAACTCTGAGACCATCGGATCCCAAAACTCAGTCCACCGACTGGGGACCAGGGTACCTGCCCTATGCCACACAGAAAATGCATTTTACTTCCAACAGATGAAGCTGTCACCTAAGGGGGGCTTCTCAGCCTAGGCTCGGGGGGCTGCAGAAATGTCTTTCACCATCCTTCACCTGCAGGAAGCTCATGAGACAAATGAGGGGAAATGGAGGGAGGAGGCGAATGGAAGAGGAGAGGCGAGAGCAGCGTGATGCCCTCCCAGAGGCGGCAGCGCTGCAGAGGGCAGGGCCACGTCCTGCTGCCCTTCTCTCCCCTGCCCAGGGAAGCGGCAGAGCTTCTCCTCGGGGAGCGGTGAACCGAGGGCCGACGCAGACACCTCCATGTGTGGGACACTGATTAGACAATCATAGCTGTTGGCATCATTAATACCACTAATATTAACTTTCCAGCCCCTGCCAGGCATTTGACGGTTGTCACTTCTGGTCCCACAATGACCGTGCAGAAGTACATACTGTCATCTCCATGCTGCGGAGGAGAAAATAGTTGGGGAGGCAACGTGACTTGCCCAGACCCACACAGCTAAGAGCAAAGGAGGCCGGAACACATCCAATGGCAGCGCCGAGACTTCCTCCTGCGCTGCTCGGCCGCCGTCCCCGGACAAGAGAGTACATGGCTGCTTGAGCTGAAAGGAAGCTTGGTGATTGCCGCTCTAGGGTGTGTTCGCATGAGGTCGGCAGGGTGACTGTATGCAGGGGATGCAACATGCACACACGTACACACACAGGATACAGCGGGAATCCCACCGGCCAGAGTCCCGGTGTTAGTGTCCAGCCCCTTTCGCCCACAGCACGGGTGAATACCTCACTAGGATAAGAGCAATGCCTCCTCTGAATGCAGGCCACATTTCCCCTCTGCATCTCTGCTTGGATTCTGCAAGTCCGCGTTTCTCTGGCCCCTGCCGTCCGCATCCCTCAGGGTTATCCGGTGGAGTGGGCACCCTTCGAATGACTGAAAGTTCTCTTCACCTCCTGCTCCAGTTGCTCAAAGCACGCACACGTGGCCTGGGCTGGCCCCCTTTGGATAGCTCCCTATACTGGGTCTGACTGTCCCTGATCTAATCTGGACACTTCTTTGCGGGGCAGGGAGGCTGCCTCATCCATCCCCTGATGTCCACTGTCTGTCCCAGGCTTGGCACCAACGGAACGTCCAGACCCCCAGCTCAGGGGCCTTCAGATTTGAGCTGCTACTGATGGCCAAAGAGTTCAGGAAGCAGGGCAGGCCTCATCTAAGTTATGATGTCAGCCTTGGACAATATCCTCCGTGTATTTTTTTAGGATCCCAGGGCCACCAATTACTAAATATTCATGGTTACTCCTCCACGCTGAGCTGTGGGTCCCCTAATTAAGGAGGCTATGTCATTGCTGACTCAGCTGGTGCCTTCTCTCTCCCAAAACTACCACAAGATAGCGTCTGACTCATCACGCTTGTTCTTACTGGCTGCGCACACGCTTGTTCGTGTGTGGAAGGCATGTGTGTGCATTAAAAGCCATTTAATATGCACAACACATGACATTATAGCTGCCATTGCATGCTCAATCACTTTGTAAATGTATTTTTCTTCATGATAACTTGATTTTTGTTTTGTTTCATTTTGTTTTTGAGACAAGGTCTCGCTCTGTCGCCCAGGCTGGAGTGCAGTGGGACGATCATGGCTCACTGCAGCCTCAACCTCCTGCACTCAACTGATCTTCCCACCTTGGACTCTGGAGTAGCTACAACCACAGGTGTGCATCACCACAGCTGACTAATTTTTATTTCGTGTAGATACAGTGTCTGGCTTTGTTGCCCAAGCTAGTCTTGAACTCCTGAGCTCAAGCGATCCACCTCCCTCTGCTTCCCCAAGTGTTGGGATTAACAGGCGGGAGCCACCATGCCCGGCCTCTTCGTAACGTTAAGGCTCTTCATTTGTGGACTACTTCCTGTCTTGTGTTTGCGTTTTCATCGCTGGTAACCCTGGTTCACAAATGCACGTGGGGATGTAGATGTAGCGATGGTGGATTTCACATCAGCTGCAGGGAAAGATGGAGCACTCATGTGTGCTCTTAGAGGAGCTGGGTGCTCGCCAGGAAAAAACTAAGGTGGGAATCACACCTCATACTATATGCTAAAATAAATTCCAAATGGAGCAAATATTTAGATACAAAAAAATCTCTAAAAACTTCAAAAGAAAGCACATTTTGTATATAATCTCAGGATGCAGAACTCCTTTCTCTAAGCATGGCATAAAACTCCAACAACAAGCCGGGCGCGGTGGCTCACACCTGTAATCCCAGCACTTTGGGAGGCCAAGGCGGGTGGATCACGAGGTCAGGAGATCAAGACCATCCTGGCTAACATGGTGAAACCCCGTCTCTATTAAAAATATTTTTAAAAAAATTAGCCGGGCGTGGTGGTGGGCACCTGTAGTCCCAGCTACTCGGGAGGCTGAGGCAGGAGAATGGCGTGAACCTGGCAGGCGGAGCTTGCAGTGAGCCGAGGTCGCACCACTGCACTCCAGCCTGGGCAACATAGCAAGACTCTGTGTCAAAACAAAAAAACAAAAAAACAAAAAAAAAAACAAACTCCAACAACATAAAAGATTGTTCAATTCTCATAAATAAATTTTAAAGTCAAAAGTCGAGCAAAAAGCAGGGGAAAATATTTGCAACTCCTATCACAGATACAGAGACAATTTCCTTAACATATAAAGACTCCCTACAAATCAATAAGACCAAAAATTCAATAGAAAAAAAAAATAATAAAAAACAAGCCCAGGACATCAACTGTTGATATGGTTTGGCTCTGTGTCCCCACCCAAATCTCATCTTGTAGTTCCCGTAATTCCCACTTGTTGTGGGAGGGACCCAGGAGGAGTTGATCAAATCATGGGGTGGGTCTTTCCCCTGCTGTTCTCCTGATAGTGAATGGGTCTCACGAGATCTGATGGTTTTAAAAACAGGAGTTTTTCTGCACGAGCTCTCTGTTTGCCTGCTACCATCCATGTATGACGTGACTTGCCCCTCCTTGCCTTCCACCATGATTGTGTGGCCTCTCCAGCCATGTGGAACTGTAAGTCCATTAAACCTCTTTTTCTTCCCAGTCTCGGGTATGTCTTTTTTTTTTCTTTTCTTTTTTTTTTTTTTTTTGAGACAGGGTTTCACTCTCGTCGCCCAGGTTGGAGTGCAATGGCACCATCTCGGCTCACTGCAACCTCTGCTCCTGGGTTCAAGTGATTCTCCTGCCTCAGCTTCTCAAGTAGCTGAGATCACAGACATGTGCCACCACGCCTGGCTAATTTTTTTGTATTATTAGTAGAGACAAGGTTTCACTACAGGGTTGGCCAGGCTAGTCTCGAACTCCTGACCTCAGGTGACCCACCCGCCTCAGCCTCCCAAAGTGCTGGGATTATAGACATGAGCCACTGCACCTGGTCTCAGGTATGTTTTATTAGCAGCATGAAAATGGACTAATACAACTGCCTTAACTCAAATCCCAGCTGTGCAAGTTACCACCTGTGTATCCTTGAGCAAGTTACTTGACCACTCTGGCCCTTGGTTTCTTTGTCTATAAGAGATCCCTGGCCTCACTGGGGTTGTTGTAAAGATCCCCACTATTACTGCTGGGTTTTTTTTTCTTTTTTTTTTTTTTGAGATGGAGTCTTGCTGTGTCGCCCAGGCTGGAGTGCAGTGGCGCGGTCTCAGCTTAATGCAAGCTCTGCCTCCCGGGTTCACGCCATTCTCTTGCCTCAGCCTCCCGAGTAGCTGGGACTACAGGCGCCCGCCACCATGCCCGGCTAATTTTTTGTATTTTTAGTAGAGATGGGGTTTCACCTTGTTAGCTAAGATGATCTCGATTTCCTGACCTCGTGATCCGCCTGCCTCGGCCTCCCAGAGTGTATTACTGCTGTTTATTTACCTCCCCACCCTCCCTCAAGACTGGGGCCTCCTGGGGGCAAAGGCTGGGTCCCTGCAAAGACCCTCTGGCATGCAGCTGTGGTTGGTGAATTGTGTTCAGATGGGCCTTGATGAAGGATCCAATTCCAGTTCTTTGGCCTAAGCCACAGTGCTGCCTGAGTCACTGATAATCCCTGCTGAGGTCCCCACTGTGCGTCCAGGTTAGAAGGAAGGAGAAAACACACCAAGGACTTGGAATGGCAAATGCGGGCCTCTGCAGAACGTTACAGCTACATGGCCCTGGGTGGAAGTTAAAATTCATAGACTGTTAATTAGTATGTGGAACAGGAAGTTTCTAAATAGCTTTGCAGTAAGGCAGTCGGCAGGCTGAGGGCCAGCACTTAAAAGCCTGCTTTAAAAGCGAGAGGAGGGAAAAGGAAGACAAAACAATCAGGACTCAGGACGTTTCTGCTTCTTTTTACATCACAGCAACTCAAATACTCATTTCTGCTGGGGCTTCCTATGGAAATGAAGCCATCTGCCCTCGAGGTGGGCTTCGAAAGGTCTTGGGGCCCTGCAACAACCTAGGGCTGGGAGAGACTACAGGAGGGTGGGAGAGTGTACACGTGAGGGGGAGTGTGTGTGTGTGTGTGTGTGTGTGTGTGTGTGTGTGTAACCACCTTCACAGGTCACAAAAGGCTTTTTCCTACCTGCTTTTAAAGCCACACCTGCCTCACTGATGAGCCAGGATGCGGGTATGGGATGAACCATAAGGAGATGATAGTGACGCTGATTCAGTGAAGTGGATGCTTTTGGCTTTCAGCAAGAAGTTAACATTTTGGGGAACCTTGAATCCCAAATGTGCAACTCAGTGACCCCCCTCTTCCCTGCCTGGGCCTCAATTTCCCCCTCAGTAGCAGAAGACCCAGGCTCCACAATCTGCTGAAACCCTGCAGCTGCACGGGTGGGAGGCACCCCGTTCCCCGTGGGGCTTGCTCGCTGTCACCCAGCACTGACTCTAGGCTGAGTGCGGCGCTTCCCAGGCATTGCTGCCCAAGGCCGGTAGAGGTGACGAGTATTCTCCGAGGTCCGTGCCCGCTGCTGCGCTACTGTGTCCCAGTTGCGGCCACAGCCTGCTGGCTCATGGACCAGGCCCACTGCCCAGTGCCCACCTCGAGGTAGCTGTCCTCAATGTTCACTATAGGGGGACCGGGCATCTGAACTCACTCTGCTTGGTGTCTCCCTGCGCTCAGTGGCATGTTGGAGCAGGGCGCACAGGCCTGCGTTCCAGCCTGTGGGGTGGGAGGATGCACCCAGGGTTCCGGAAGGCCTGCTGGCAAGTCTGAGAGATGCTTCGAGAGCAGGTCCCCTGGCCAGGAAGGCAGCCCCAGGGCTTACTGTCCCTCAAGGCCCAGCCTCTGTCAGTGGCCCGTGCAGTTTCACTTAAGGTGGAAATGTGCCCGTCGGGGAGGCCTTCCACCTTGAAGAACCTGGGAAGGTGATTGTCTTCAGAATTTTTTCAGTCTTGCTAATTGTGTGGAAGAAGAAGAAGGGCTCAGCTTGGTGCTAATGTTTTTGTTTTTGTTCTTGAGGGTCTCCCCTCTGCCATCATAGCTCACTGCAGCCTTAAGCTCCTGGGCTCAAGTGATCCTCCCACCTCAGCTCCCGAGTAGCTGGGACTACAGGCACGCGCCACCACGCCCAGCTAATTTTTGTATTTTTTGTAGAGACGGGTCTCATCGTGTTGCCCAGGGTGTTCTAGAACTCCTGGGCTCAAGTGATGCACCCGCCTTGGCCTCCCAAATTGCTGGATTACAGACATGAACCACAGCACCTGGCCTGCTAACGTTTTTAACACCTCTCTGACACCCGTGCACCCCTATTTTCCAACTGAGTGTGTCTCAGGGCCACATCCTCCAGCTGACAAAAGACCAAAGTACACAGAACAAAATGTCATGGTGTCCACGTGTGTGTTTTTGGGGTTTTTTTGTTTTGGTTTTTTTGTTTTGTTTTTGTTTTTGTTTTTGAGATGAGTCTCGCTCTGTTGCCCAGGCTGGAGTGCAGTGGCACAATCTCAGCTCACTGCAACCTCCGCCTCCCGGGTTCACATGATTCTCCTGCCTCAGCCTCCCAAGTAGCTGGGACTATGGGCGCCCGCCACCCCACCTGGCTAATTTTTTGTATTTTTAGTAGAAATGGGGTTTCACTATGTTGTCCAGGCTGGTCTCGAACTCTTGACCTTGTGATCGATCTTCCTGCTTTGGCCTCTGAAAGTGCTGAGATCACAGGCGTGAGCCACTGTGCCCAGCCGGTGTCCATGTTTAAGAATGCTTTTTTAAAGCATCTTTTTAAGAATACTTTCCGTTCACAGCAAGGGGTATGGTTGTCTGTTTATACACAGTATGTGGTTTCCTCTTGAAGGAAATTTACTAAAGTGAAAAGAGGATACAGTGTTACGAGAAATAATTAGTAACTGTGGACGTAAAATGTATTTAATTTTAAAATTTAATTTAATTTAACATTGTTAAATAAACAAGAGCTAGGGGGCTCTGCAGCTCTGGACCATGCCTGAGTGTGGCTCCTGCAGGCCTCTGGGTGGGTGAGCCCCATTCAGCCCCATAGCTCCTGCTTAGACTGCACTTGACCCAGACGGGGGACAGACATGCTCTGTCTCCACTATGGCCACGTCATGTGCTGTGCAGCTCTGAGCCTGATGACAGCACAACTTGGTTTACCCGATTCCCTGGGATCAAAGCAGGGGTCCAGTGTCTCCTGCCCAGGAGGGATCATGGGGAGGGGACCCTCCCTCTTCCCTGGGACTTGAGGGCAGGGTTCCAGAGGCAGGTTCAGACTGTCGCCGAGGAGAGCATCTCTGGCCTCTCTGATCTGATGCTGTGTGGGGGCCGTGATGACTCTCTCCTGTATGTGAAGGGCCCACATGCTCTGGGTGACTCAACTTCTGGGTTTAGGTCTTGTCTTCCCTGGAGCTGAGCCTGCCATTTCTTCTATTGAATACGCAATTATAGGATGCTTCTTCTGGGCCCTGGGCTTTTCACCAATACAAACTCATTTAATCCTACTCACAGCCCAGTAGGGGAGGTACTGTTGGTCTACCCATTTCACAGACGGGGAAGCTGAGGAAGAGTGATTCAGATCAGACAACCAGGAAGGAATGGATTGGATGTGATGTTCATCAACATGGTGGCAGACAACTGAAGTTGGAAATGGCAGCCCAGCCCTTGCAGTTGACAGAAGGCCTGGGGTTCCCGCACTGTAACCAAGGGGGCTGGTGTCAGAGTGCTCGCCAAGCCAGAGTGTCCTCCTCCGTTAATGGGGTGATGCTACACACCCCACAGGGTAAGTGGCAGGATTGCAGGAGACAGCGTGCAGACAGGACCTGGCATGGTGGGTGACTCTGTCACCAAGACTCTTCCGTTCTTCCCTCCCTGCCCTCGCTTCTCACTCCTGAGGGCATCACCCTCACTCTTACCTCACCTGTTCACCAGAAGCACACTAAAAAAACATATGTAAGCATTAGAAACGGTGCCAGGTGGGGCCAAGTTCCTGACTTCTTCAGCTGGCTCCACCACCACCTGCTGTGTGATCTTGGTCTAATCCCTACCCTCTCTGGGCCTCACACTCTGCCTCTGTAAACAGGTGGATGTCATCCCAGATGAGGAGTCAGAAACCTACAGCCCTTGCGCCAAATCAGACACTGCCTGTTACAACGGCAGAGTTGAATACTGGTGACGGATACCTAAAATAGTTACTCTGGCCCTCCAAAGTTTCCCAGCCCCTGTTCTGGAAGATCTGGGCAGAGACTTTGTTTTGTTCACTGAATTTGCTCTTGCCAAGTCTAGAACAGCACTGGACCCCGTGGGCTTTCAGTAGATGCCTGTTGAATGAATTAATTTCTGAGAGCTCTGCCACCTTTGATTATCTAAGACCACGATCACGACTTGTGGACTGGGGTCACCACAAAGGCCTGTGACTCACGTGCTTCCTCCAGCTGCCATACAGCAGACAGCTCAAGGGCTACGGCAGTCATGGAGGTGTGCCCTTCAGATCCATGCCCCTTAGGTCTGTGCCCCTCAGATCGTTCTTAAAAAAGGAATCCACTGTTCAGCTGCAAGGAGGGCAGCTGGCTGACAGCTCCAGCTGTTGGAGCCCTCTGGACCCACCTCCTCTTTCCAGCCCTGGCTATGCATTTCCAGTATTAGGGCCTCACCACTTATGCCGAATCCAGGACTCCTTTAGCGAGCAATCTTTGTTCTGAGCTCTCCAGGGGGCTGGCCAGGACTTGTCAGATGCCAACAGCAGCCTGAGTGTCTTCCTGATTCCTTTCCCTTTGCCTTTCATAGAGCTGACCTACAACAAACCTGTGGCACTCCTATCTCCTGCACACTACCTTTTTTTTTTCTTTGAGATGGAGTCTTGCTCTGTCTTCCAGGCTGGAGTGCAGTGGCACAATCTCGGCTCACTGCAACCTCCGCCTCCTGGGTTCAAGTGATTCTCATGCTTCAGCCTCCCGAGTAGCTGGGATTACAGGTGCATGCCACCACACCCAGCTAATTTTGGTATTTTTAGTAGAGAAGAGGTTTCACCATGTTGGCCAGGCTGGTCTTGAACTCCTAACCTCAAGTGATCCACCTGCCTTGACCTCCCAAAGTATTGGGATTACAGGCGTGAGCCACCACTCCCTGTCCCATGCAGCTACTTTCTGCAGGACCCGAACCACAGGGACGAACTCCTCAGCATGCATCAAGCACGTGGTGTTTAAGGAGCACTGGGTTAGGAGTTGGAGGGTGGGGCCCATCCACCTGAGGAAGAGCAGAACTGGCCAGCAGCCTGGCAGAGCTCTCAGCAATGGTCAGCTCACCCTCGCACCCTGGGAATTCCAACATTCAGGGACTTGCAGAACTTTCCAGCTGAACTTGGTGGGCATTTGGCTGCAGCCCTGCCGTCTGTGGAGGCGACTAGTCTCAGAGAGGGGAAGGGGTAGGGATTGAGGGGCCCATGACTCCCGCCCTCCTGTATTTGGGAGCAGGAGGAAGCAGGTGGAGGAGCAGTGTCATTGCAGACCGCAGTGTCCGCTTTATTGGAACAGCTGATTCAAGAGCTAGGCTTAGATCAGAGGCCAAATGCAAATCCCTGAGACTTTCTGTGCAGAGTTAAATTCACACACAGCCGCGAGCCCCCTTCCCATCCTGAAAAGAGGGTCTGAGCTGCACCCCGTCAGTTCCCCATCCCAAAGTCACCATCAGCTAAGTGACTCCTCCTCCCAGGGACAAGATTGAGTCAAGGGCTAGTGAAAGAAGAGGCCAGACTGTTTACCTCTCACTTTTTTATCCTGCAGAGGGGAGAACAAACTCTTCCCTCTCTTCCCTCTCTACATGTCTCAGATCACACATGTAGGCTGTTGGTGGTGGAGTTGGAATTAGAGAAACGCATTATCGAGCACAACATGTTGAGAGGTCTGGCAAGAAAGAGACAGCCTCCTGCACAGCTGGCATCTGGGGAGAGTGTAACCCAGGGACTGGTCCCAGAGTTGGCAAGGCAAGGGGTACAGACACATCGCGGACTAGTGAGGGGATGGCATTACCACCCCAGTGTTGCAGGGGCACGTGGAGAAACTGTGGCGGGAGCCCTGTGGGAGCTGAGCTTGGCTGAAGCCACAGAGCAAAGGAACTGGGGTAGTGACGTCATGTGGCAACCTCTCCAGGCACAGGGCCTCAGAGGAAGAATCCCAAGGGGTGGAGAAGGCATCCCGAGGGGTGGAGGAGGGATCCCAGTGGATGGAAGGGGATCCCAAAGGGTAAGGTTGAGCCCAAAACAAAGAGCAAGAACGCGGGAGCCCACCATGCCGTGCACCTTATGTACAGTGGTTCACTTCATCCCCCAGGATGCTTCAAGGTAGGAGACATTTCCCCCTTTTATAGATGAGAAAACTGAGGCTCAGAGAGGTTAGGAGCCTTGGCCAAAGGATACCAGCAAAGAGTCATGGCGTCAATCACGGGACCTCCATCTTTAACATCTTTCCACTCCCTCTCGTCTCACCTTCACAGCAGACGGCGAGAGGGATCACCAGGCTCCCTGGGGCTCTGGCTGGGTCACCGCCAGGCAGGGAAATGCTTGCTTTTCCTGACTGAAAGGATTCAAAGTCTTAGAAAGTCATCCTGCCTTTGTTCCAAGAGCCATTCTATTTGCCGTTTCTGTGGCAAAGTGCGAGTCTCTGCTAATCAAGCCCCAAAGGCTATTGACTCTGGGAGCTTTCAGCATCATTACCCCAGTGCACCCCTCATTGCATTTCTCCAGACATGTAGAAACATCTGTTGAGCATTTGGTTGTGAAACACTCAGGTGCTCCTCTTCAGGACCACTCACATGAATGGATCCACAGGCAGCTGGAAAAAACAGAGCAAGAGGCTGTGAGAAGGGGCCTCCCCTATCATTGATGGTGAGGCCAGAAATTCACTGGAGTTCGTGACCAGCCTGGGCAACATAGTGAGACCCATCTCTACAAAAAATACAAAAATCAGCCACTCGTGGTGGCATGTGCCTGTGGTCCCAGCTACTCTGGAGGCTGAGGCAGGAGGATAGCTTGAGCCTCGGAGGTGGATGTTGCAGTGACCCGAGATCAAATCACTGCACTCCTGCCTGGGTGGCAGAGTGAGACTCTGTCTCCAAAGGAAAAAAAGAAAAAAGAAAGAAAAGAAAAGAGAGAATCCAGGCCAGGCACGGCAGCTCACGCCTGTAATCCCAGCACTTTAGGAGGCCGAGGCAGGTGGATCACCTGAGATCAGGAGTTCAAGACCAGTCTGGCCAACGTGGCGAAACCGCATCTCTACTAAAAATACAAAAATTAGCCGGGCGTGGTGGTGGGCGCCTGTAATCCCAGCTACTCGGGAGGCTGAGGCAGGAGAATTTCTTGAACCCAGGAGGTGGAGGTTGCAGTGAGCTGAGATCGCACCATTGTACTCCAGCCTGGGAGACAAGCGTGAAACTTCATCTCAAAATAATAATAATAGTAATAATAATAATAATAATAATAATAATAATAATAATAAAAGAAAAAGGAAGGAAGGAAGGAAGGAAGGAAGGAAGGAAGGAAGGAAGGAAGGAAAGGAAGGGAGAAAGAAAACCCACCAGAGATGCAGAGTCAGTGCAGTGAGGAGGGAACAGTAGGGATGCTGCCCTCAGGTTCCCCATAGTGGACGCTTCATAAATGGCTCTTAGATGAGTGAGCACCTACCTTGTGCCTGTAGGGTGCTGTCCAGGGAAGGTGCCCTGCACAGAGTCAGATGCCCCAACAGAGCATGGCAGTGTGATTACTGCCAGTGGCTCTAGGCAACAGAACCTGGCGTTGAATTCTGTCTTCCCTGCTTGTTAGCTGTGTGATCATGGAGAAGCATTGTCCTTTTCAATCTTGTTTTCCAACTGGGTTTGGAAAAAAAAAAAAAAAAAGGATTGGTGGGGCACAATGGCTCATGCCTATAATCTTAACAATTTGGGAGGCCCAGGCTGGAGGACTGCTTGAGTTCAGGAGTTTAGGACCAATCTGGGTAACATAGTGAGACCCCTGCCTCTACAAAAAAAAAATTAAAAATTATCCAAGGGTGGTAGTGCATGTCTGTGGTCTCAGCTACTCAAGGGGCTGAGGTGAGAGGATCGCTAGAGCAACAGGAGGTTGAGGCTGCAATGAGCTGGGATTGTGCCACTGCTCTCCAGCCTGGGTGACAGAGTGAGATCGTGTCTCAGAAAAAAAGAAGCATCATAAACAAAGACCACAGTGACAGCTCATAGGGCTGGTGACAAATATTAAATGATGTAAGAGTTGGAAATAGTTAACCCAGTAATTGGTATATTAAAAGCATGTGATGAATGATACCTGTGGTTATAGTAATTAGCTATGTGGCTCTGGACAGTTTACTTAACCTACCTGTGCTTTAATTCCCTTATCTAGGCTGGGTGGGATGGCTCACACCTGTAATCTCAGCAGTTTGGGAGGCCAAGGTGGGGCGGATCACCTGAGGTCAGGAATTCAAGACCAGCCTGGCCAACATGATGAAACCCCGTCTCTACTAAAAATACAAAAATTAGCCAGGTGTGGTGGCAGGTGCCTGTAATCCCAGCTACTCAGGAGGCTGAGGCAGGAGAATCACTTGAACCTGAGAGGCAGAGGTTGCAGTGAGCTGGGATCATGCCATTGCACTCCAGCCTGGGCAATAGAGCAAAACTCCATCTAAAAAAAAAAAAAAAAAAAAACCTTGCCTATAAATGGTGATAAAACAGTGCCAACCTCTAGGGTTGTTGTAAGCTTACATGAGATAACACAGTGAAGTGCTTGGCCCAGGCTGCCTGGCACACAGTAGGAATTCGGTAAAGTCTAGCTCTCTAATCAGCAACCATCATTATCATCAACTACACCAATCTCAATTCTCCCACCTAATTCTTACTCATCTGCATGGATCACCTCCTCCAGGAAGTCCTCCATGACCTTGCTGTGAGATCTTAAACCAGCTTCACAACTTTACCCCTCCCTCTATTACTCACCTACTTCTTCTTCCCTGAGGCCACAATCTGGTTCCTCTTCTCCCTATCCTCCCAGTATCTAAGTCAGGGCACATTCTGCAGTAGGCTGTCATTGGATGAACGAAATGGAGTTGAACTTAATAAATGTTACTTGAAACTAAATCTGAATACAGGTGATAAGGGAAACAAAAGAGAAATATTACCAGAAGGCAATCATCCCCGCTTTCCAGGACTGAGGCTGAGAGATTAAGTCAATTGCTCCAGATCACCCAGCAAGGAAGTGGCAGGTCTAACCTAGAATGCAGGCCTGTGACCCCTTCCCTTGATGCCGCCAAGCCTCAGAGGGACTTGTATTTCTTTTTTCTTTCTACTTTTGCCCAGTGGTGCCATCTTGAGCAACTCCAGCTCAGATACATTTTCCCAGTGTTTCCTTCCGCCTACATCCAAATTCCTGGGTCCAGCCAATCACCAGGGCCCCTGCCCAGGACACATCCAACTCAAAGGAGAAACTTCTGATGTCTTCCAAAGTTTACATTTAATCAAGGATTTTGGCCAGGTACAGTGGCTCACACCTGTAATCCCAGCACTTTGGGAGGCTGAGGCGGGCAGATTACTTGAGGCCAAGAGTTCAAAACCAGCCTGGGCAATATGGTAAAACCCTGCCTCTACTAAAAATACAAAAATTGGCCAGGTATGTTGGTGCATCCCTGTAGTCCCAGCTACTCAGGAGGCTGAGGCATGAGAATCTCTTGAATCTGGGTGGCGGAGGTTGGCAGTGAGCCAAGATCGCACCCCTGTACTCCAGCCTAGGTGACAGAGACCCTGTTTCAAAAAAATTTAAAAATAAAAATAAAAAAAAAACATCAAGGATTTCACTGCATTCTACATTGTGTTAGAAGCTGGGGAGTCCATGCCGAACAAAGTTGTCAATCAATGTCCCTGCCCTCACAGGGAGAGTGTGTGTGTGTGTGTGTGTGTATGTGTGTGTGTGTCTGCGTGTGTGTGTACGCAAGAAGTGAAAAGAAGGAAATAAAAGGGGGGTGGGCCTTGAAGAAGGTGGTCAGGGAAGGCCTCTCCAAGGAGGTAACACAAAAGCAGAGATCACCTTCTCCCAGACTTGACTTGAGACACTGCTCTGCCCACCCCCACCAGACACTCATGCGCTCACTGCAGGGCAGCTGTTCCCCATCCCAGGGTGCAATCCATCCCCTGGGACCATGGTCTAGCGCAGACCTAAGGCAATGGGTCTGGTCCAGGGTCCAAGATCCTGCATTCTTTCCAAGCCCCTGGGTGAGGCTGCTGCTGCTGGTCTGTGACACCACTGAGCAGGGCAAGGGATACCGAGACCCCTCCATAGAGCTCTTTGCCCTAAGTCTTCCCTTCTAGCCCCTTCCTCCAGACCCTTCGTTAGCACTAACACTAGGTAGAAATGGGTGGCAAGAACTAGCTAGAGTTTCCCTTAGATACTCCTGATAACCCCTCCACTCTTCGGTATGGACCTTTTACAGTCTTATTAAAGTGATACAAAGGAAGGTCCAAGCCCCTGCAAACACCATGCTTCTAGCCCAACTACCCCCGATCCTGCTACATAGAAGTGTTGAATCCCATTGTCCCTGTTCTTCAGAGCATGTCATCATGGTTAAAACAAGAACTCTGGGCCAGGCGCAGTGGCTCAAGCCTGTAATCCCAGAACTTTGGGAGGCCGAGGTGGGTGGATCACTTGAGGTCAGGAGTTTGAGACCAGCCTGGCCAACATGGCAAAACCCCATCTCTACTAAAAATACAAAAATTAGTTGGGCATGGTGGTACATGCCTATAATCCCAGCTACTTGGGAGGCTGAGGCAGGAGAATCGCTTGAACCCAGGAGGCGAAGGTTGCAGACAGCTGAGATCGCGTCACTGCACTCCAGCCTGGACGACAAGAGCGAATCTCTGTCTTAAAAAAGTAAAAAAAAAAAAAGAAACAGGAACTCTAGGCTACTTGCAGTGGCTCACACCAGTAATACTAGCACTTTGGGAGGCCAAGGAGGGAGGATTGCTTGAGGCCAAGAGTTCAAGACCAACCTGGCCAACATAGCGAGACTCTATTTTGGAAAAAACAAAAAAAATGTTAAAAAAAAAAAAAAAAAAGGGGAGATCTGGAGCCAGGCAGCCTCGGTTGCAATCCTGAATCTGCTTTCTACTTACTATGTGGACTTGGGCAAGTTTCATACACTCAGTTTTCTTACCTGTAAAATGGGCATAACAGTAGTATACCTACTTCAGGGCTGTTATGAGAGTTTAGTGAGTCAGTTCTGGGAAAGCACTTAGAAGATGGCATATAGTAACTACTAGGAAAGGTTTGTTAGGTAATTAATTAATTACATTGCACTTTACATTGCCAAAAACCGCAGCCCATTTGTGGTCACTGTTCTCAGCAACAAGAGTGTCCCTTGTCACTTGTGTCAGCACTTTTTTTCATAGCAACCTTGACAACTGGTATTATTAAGCCCATTTCATAGATGAGTAATCTAGGGCCCAGAAACATTTAAGTGAGTTGCACAGCCCATGGTAAGTTGGTTGTCAAGTAAATGAGGGCACAGATCAATTTATCTCCTGTCCTGGTCATAGCACTGGACAAGAGATAAATTGATCTATGCCCTCAAAGCACCTTTTTCCCAGCTATAAAATCCCATACGTAGCATGCTACTTTACTTGGGCCCCTTTCTTTCTTTCTTTTTTTTTTTTTTTGAGACGGAGTCTCACTCTTGTCCTCCAGGCTGGAGTGCGGTGGTGCCATCTCAACTCACTGCTGCAAACTCCGCCTCCCAGGTTCAAGCGATTCTCCTGCCTCAGCCTCCCAGGTAGGGATTACAGGTGCCTGCCACCACTCCCGGCTGATTGTTGTATTTTTAGTAGAGGCAGAGTTTCGCCATGTTGACCAGGCTGGTCGTCTCGAACTCCTGACCTCAGATGATCCTCCCCCCTTGGCCTCCCAAAGTGTTGGGATTACAGGTGTGAGCCACCGTGCCCGGTACATGGGCCCCTTTCAATTAAAAGGAACAATAGCTACTGTCCAGTGAGGGCCTATCAGGTACAAAGCACTTTGCATCATCTGGGGGCCAAGGTGTGCAAATGTCATTCCCCAGACCCCTGAGCCCACTGGCTTCCTGCTGTGATCTGCCAAGAGGGGGCACTAGCAGGAGACTAGACAGCAGGAGGAAGTGAGCGGCACCGCCTTCTTCCCCCCTGCCCATTGCTCCTATTGGCATCTCCTGGCACTAGTCCTTCACCCCAATTCCACAGCACTGGCATTTTCATTTCTACCCCTCAGAAGTACCAGCAGCAACATAGCCCCACCCCATCTTGGGGGTTCCTGGCTTCAGAGATGCCCACGCTCAGTCCTCTTGTGTCCTCTTCTCCTCCCGTGGCCACTGCTTCCTGAGTTGGTCTCTGGGTGAGCTCAGCACTGTTTGCTCTTTCATCACCTGGGGAGTCACTCTGCACATCAGTCCCCTCCCTGCAGTGCCTCCTGTAGCTTGTTCTCCCGGACGCACCCCACTCATACAGTACTTGCCAGGAGAAGTCCTGGAAGAGCGACCCACAAAGACAGGTTTTTGAATCAGCCTGCCTATGAGCTAGTCTTGCAGAGTGGCACACTGGTGACCCTTGGCAGGCACGGTGGCGACACTTGCTACTCATCAGGTCATCGCTTCTGTTGGGATAAAACGCCTTTGTAGCACGCGCTGCTGCTTGCCTTGATCCTGTTCATGTATATATTGGTTCAGTCACTTGTCCTCTTTCTGACAACTGAAATCTGAGAGACTCTGTGGCCCTGGTGGGCATTTGAACCCACGTCTATCTGACTCCCATTCCAAGGGAAGGATCACATGAACGGTCAGACCAAGCTGTGACTTCCAACTTTGACCAGGGCCAGGGTCACCAAACTGGAAGAGAGAAATAAAAGCTGTGCCGGACAGTTGGAGGCAGACGGGCTGGGAGTCAGGTGCCCCAGGTCCACATCCTGGCTTAACCATCCACGGCCGCTGGGGAACCGAAGTGTTGAATTTAGCTCTTTTGTGTCTCAGTTTCCCAGTCTGAAACAGGGACCTGCATCTTTGGGTGTTTGTGAGGATAAAACTTCACTGGGAGATTATCAGGCTATTATTAGGAAAATCACATCAAATTCAAGGATTCCGGGAATCCTGGTTTTGGGAGATAAGCAGGCATTTGCTCACAAAGACCACAATGAATTTAAAATGAACACTCACTCCATGTCAGCTGGCTTTCTCCTGAGCAGCAACCTGCTGACCGTCCTTTGCTTCTACTTCTGACACACCCAGCCCAGGGTCCTACTCTCCCCACCTCCATGCCCCAACCCCAGTGTCCTGGGTCCTGATAAAAAGCTGTGTGACCTCGGACAAAGCGCTTCATCTCTCTGAGCCTCTGCTTTCACATCTATAAAACGGTAATGGGAGAATCAAATAAGATAATGTCTGTTAAGTGCCTGTGGGGAGGGTGGTATATAGTAGGTCTAGGGAAATAATAGTTTGTCCCTTTGTGCAGTGCCTTTATTTCTGCCACCCAAAGGTGCTCTTTTGTGGGGTGGGAGGGAATGGAAAGCATGTCTGGAAGAGAACCCATCTCATTCATTCATTCATTCACTACTCACTCTATAAAATGCATCTTATGTACTTGAGGGAAGGAGACCCCTGCCAAAAGTTATCACCGAATCTGGCCAAAGCTAAAATAACTACCAGCTCAGCCTCTAGGGGCTCCAGTCTGAGGAAGCCAGACCTGAAGGTGAAGGCAACATGCTTGAGGCAGTGCTGGAAGAGAGCCCTCGGGAGGAGGCGGCTTTCTCCTGGGTCATGAAGGTGGGGTAGGGGTTGTCAGAGCCAATGAGAGCATTCCAGAGAGAAGGCCCAACACTGCAAATGCAAAAGCCTTCAGGAATGGATATAAGTGTAACTCAGCACGGACTAAACAGGATGTGAAGGGCCCATCCTGCAGGGCCTTAAAGGCTGGGCTGTAATGGATGGGAACATTAAAGAGAGGGGGAGAATGGAAAGTTCAGGAATGGAAAAATGAGAGTGAAGGGGAACAGAAAAAACGATGGGAACGTGATAGAGGGAAGAGGGGGATCAAAAATGGGAATGTGGCTGGGTGCAGTGGCTCAAGCCTGTAATCCTAGCACTTTGGGAGGCCGAGGTGGGCAGATCACCTGAGGTCAGGGATTCAAGGCTAGCCTGGCCAACATGGCAAAACCCTGTCTCTCCTAAAAATACAAAAATTAGCCAAGCGTGGTGGCACATGCCTGTAATCCCAGCTACTCGGGAGGCTGAGGCAGGAGAATTGCTTGAACCCGGGGGGTAGAGGTTGCAGTGAGCTGAGATCACGCCACTGCATGCCAGCCTGGGCGACAGAGTGAGACTATGTCTCAACAACAACAACAAAACCAGAATGATGGGAATGTTGGGTAGTAGGGGGATTAAAAATGAGCATATTGGCCAGTGGGTGGGTGGAGGATGGGAATGTTGGATGGTGAAGGGGTGTAGGGCAGGAATGTTTGAGAGTGGAAGCTGGTGCATTGAGGGTGGCAATTTTAAGGAGAGAAATGAGGATGGAAATATTGTGGGGAGATCAAAGATGGGATGCTAGAGGGTGCTTGAGTGGGTGTCAGGGCTAGACAAAGGAGTTACTGCCAGACCATGAAGGGCTACGGATGCCTGGCTGAGACCCGTCACTTTATCAAACTAGGGCCATGTCCCTCCGCAGATCTCCAGATGCGTGCCTGGGGATCAAGAAATCAATTTGCAAGTGCTATAGTGAAAAAAAAAAGGCATTAATGGTAAGCTTTGTGCTCATCAGAGTCCTAATTTCCATTGGTTTTTGGTTTTTCGGCTCTATATATTCTAAATGTGCCTTTCATTTCGTTTTTCCACCCTTTGAGGACATCTGTTTGACATTTGCCTCATATGATTGGGGAGGGAATTGGTACTAGGCAAGTCCTTTGTGATGTCTTTGCCTTGAAGTGCTAGTCCACAAATGTGCCTAAGAGCATCCGGCAGCCGCTTGCTCTCTCATGAAGCTCCCTAATGTGGTGCGCACCTTCCCATCCTTAGGAGCTTCATGAAGACGGCTCGACTTCCAAGTCAATGTATTTAAAATGTATTGATTTTTAGGCCAATACAGGGTAACTTCACATGTTTCCAATTTACGGGTTCCAGCCCAGCATATTGTAACATGGATTTTATATACATGTATAGTCAGTTTTCTCTTTTCGTTTTTTGCCAGTAGGGTTTGCTTTGCCTATGTATTTCCATTTTAATTTGGCTAAGTAGTGCTGAGCTGAACCTGTGGACTTTCAGTATGAGACAAACACATAAATTTCTAAGTTGCTAGCTGATAGTGATGGTTTCAGGAGACTCTGTGAACAGAACTTTATTTACTGAGCACTTACTATGTGTGGTCACTGTTCTAAATGTTTTTTCTTTGATCTCTCTCTTGTCTTTCTTTTTATTTCTTTCCAAACGGGAATACCTTTCTTTTGTTTTGGGGGTGTGTGTGGTTTTATGTTTTTTTTGTTTTTTTGAGACAGGGTCTCAGTCTGTTGCTCAGGCTGGAGTGCAGTGGTGCAATCATGGCTCACCATAGCCTCGACCTCCCAGGCTCAGCCTCTCGAGTAGCTGGACTACAGGCATGTGCAACCACACCTGGCTGATTTTGTTTATAGAGACGGGGTCTCACTATATTGCCCAGGCTAGTCTCAAACTCCTGGGTTCAAGTGATCCTCCACATGGGCCTCCCAAAGTGCTAGGATTATGGGGTGGCATACCTTTCATTCTGATTATAAATTAAAGTCAGGTACATTTAAAAACAAATCAGTCTCATGCCTGTAATCCCAGCACTTTGGGAGGCCAAGGCAGGTGGATCATGAGGTCAGGAGTTCGAGACTAGCCTGACAACCTGGTGAAACTCTGTTTCTACTAAAAATACAAAAATTACCCAGGCGTGGTGGTGTGTGCCTGTAATCCCAGCTACTTGGGAGGCTGAGGCAGGAGAATCCCTTGAACCTGGGAGGCAGAGGTTGCAGTGAGCCAAGATCACACCATTGCACTCCAGCCTCGGCGACAGAGTCAGACTCTGTCTCAACAAGAAAAAAAAAAAATCAAACATCATAAAACAAATTGAGCACACTGCAAATATGTGCCACATGCTTATGTACCAAAGGAATAAACACTGTTAATTAACCATTTGTTGTATACCTCCAGATTTATCTATGTATATCAAGAAAAATATATACAAAAATGTGTATTATAAAGATTTTACAGAAATTGAATAATACTCTCCATAGTGCTTCAGAATCTCCTGCATTTGTACGAATGCTTTAAAAAAATTTAGACTTCACTCCAAGTCACTGAATGTAGATCTACCTGGTTCTCTTCAATGGCTGCAGCTAATTGTATTGGGGAGGGGTACTTTGCTGAACCGAATCTCTCTCAGTGGCTGTATATTGGCCATTTTTCGCTCCTATACACAGGGCAGCCCCGAACCTCCTCATTCATATATCTTTGCCACTTGTTCAAATTACTCCCCAGGATCCATCCAACAGGTGGAATTGCTGGGTCAAAAGGTATAAGCATTATTGTTGACCTGAATCACCATGTCGGTGAGGTAGAACCAATTTCCACACTCACTACCACTGTAGGAGAAGACCCTCCCCTTGCTACACCCGCCTCATTAATCTTCACCAAACCCTGCAAGAGAAAGTGGCATTTCCCAAGATGCCCTGAGAAAACAGGCAGCAGCAGGATCCATTCCTACCATTGTAGATTCTACCCCCCACCCGCCCACCAGGGGAATCTGGCTGCAGGAAAAACCATCCAAGCGCAAGACAGAGATGCTGTGGGCATCCTCAGTTCCAGAACTGGGGAATCCATGGAAAACCTGCAGAAAAACTTGCTGCCCAAGCAGAGGAGGCGAAGCAGGTGGGCGGCCACGGGACACCTGTGTGTGAATGAGAGCAGGTGGGCGGCCACGGGACACCTGTGTGTGAATGAGAGCAGGTGGGTGGCCACGGGGCACCTGTGTGTGAATGAAAGCAGGTGGATGCCCCTGCCAGGAGGAGGCAGCCCCACACCACGGGCAAGGTGAGTGTCGTCTCCACTGCCCACCTTGGCCAAGAGGCCTGCACAACAGTGCCTGGCACCTGCCCCCGCCCCAACTGGGTTTTCTCATCTGCCATATAGAGAGGAGGGTTACCTGCTGCTGCCCCTCGGGCCTGTCCTGAGGGTAAACCCCACCAAGCATGTGGAAGTAGGCGTTTCTGGAGGTTTTTCTCCCCAGACAAGGATTCTGGGCCTGCAGAGTGCCCCCTCTCCACCCCTCCGCCTGGCAGTCGCCTCCTCCTCCTACCCCCACCCCACTCTGGGGGACTGATCATTTTCCCTGGTCTGCCCCTCTGCTTGCCTGCACTACTCGCTTATTGAAGCACGGGTCCTTTTTTATTGAGTTATAAAACCAGGATTGTTTTTGGATGAGGTTGGTAAAACAGCCTGGAAACTTGGTAATCTGAACTTCTCAGGTTTGTAGACAGATCCTGTTGCTCGGAGAGATAATGAGGGCTGCGTTTTCAAGTATTAAATTAATTTCATGTTTCAGATGGTGCGGGAGGCAGCTGTGTTCTGGGCTGGGCTTGCTTCCTCAGGGCTGCTTGTGCCACAGTGGGTGGGGGACTGGGAGGGCTGGAGCCAAGCCCTCCAGAGTGACAATCGCCAATCCCCACCCCAAGAGGAAATGCAGAGGATGTCTGTCCAAATTGCCTTTTTACGAAAGGAGTGGGGGGCTGTGGATCAAAAGAAACTTCCTCTGCTCTCCAAGGCTGCCTGGGACAGGGGAAGGTGACCTGAAGCTACTCCTCATTCCACCACCATTCACTGTGTGACCTTGGGCAAGTCCCATGCCTGTTCAAGAGAACCTTGAGGCTGGACTCCTGTCCACGCAGAACGACTGGGCCCATTTCCACCTGGTCCAGGTCCCTCCAACCATAATTCCAAGCATTGTAGAGGAGCTTCATCATAGCTCCATAAATACCAATACCAGCGGGTGCTCAGACCCTCACTGGAAAAGCTCACGGTAATCATAATCCTAAAGAATGACAATCGCAGGGGCTGCTGCTGACTGAGTACTCACACTGTGCTCTGCCCCACCACCAAGGTTGCTGCAAAGATCAAATAGGTCAAGACATGAAAAGTGGATAGAGCAGTAACTGGTTCTATACTGTCACTGCTACAGAGTCAGCTCATTTTCTGAAGGCAACAGACTTGAGTGGCAGAAATGGGATTTGAGCCGGCACAGCCCTTCCTCTCTCTGCACTCACCCCATGGGGTGATGATGAGGGACTCAATGAGGTTAAGAAAACTGTACCACGGCTGGGTGCGGTGGCTCACACCTGTAATCCCAGCACTTTGGGAGGCTGAGGCAGGCGGATGGATCATTTGAGGTTGGGAGTTCAAGAACAGCGTGGCCAACGTGGGGGAAACCCCGTCTCTACTAAAAAATACAAAAAAATGCCGGGTGAGGTGCCTCATGCCTGTAACCCTAGCACTTTGGCCAAGGCGGGCAGATCACCTGAGGTCAGGAGTTCAAGACAAGCCTGGCCAACAGGACGAAACCACATGTCTACTAAAAATACAAAACTTATCCAGGTGTGGTGGTGCATGTCTGTGATCCCAGCTACTCAGGAGGCTGAGTCAGGAGAATCACTTGAACCTGGGAGGCAGAGGTTGTAGTGAGTCAAGATCACGCCACTGCACTTCAGCCTGGGCAACAGAGCGAGACACCATCAAAAAAAAGAAAGAAAGAAAGAAAGAAAGAAGGCAGGCAGGAAGGAAGGAAGGAGGGAAGGAAGGAGAAAAGAAAAAAGAAAAGAAAAAAGAAAAAAAGGAAAAGAAAAGAACAAAAAAAAGAAAAGAAAATTATACCACATTCCTCAGAACGTAAGGAGGGGAGAGCTAGGACGCTATCCTCAAATCTGTGCTCCTTCTACCACACAGCACTGCTTGTGGAGGGGCGGGGGTGTGGGTAGGGGGCTGCTGTGTTATTAACAGTCTGGAAAGAAGGCCCAGGAGGGGCCCAATAGCCCAAAGAAAGGGGAGAGCTCCAAGTCATCCCAACTGCCCCCAGCGTTAATGCTTCCAGGCCTGTCTTCATGTGTACCGGGAAGGGCAGTCACCATTCCTCTTAGGCAAAGTGCAGACTGTGGCTAATTTTCAAGTTTCATAAGTATTCATCCCTCCCAGCCCCCAAATGCCAGTATGGGAATACACACTTCACCAAGACCATTTCGCCCTGTGGCAGGCAGATCGCCCCCGCCTTGGAAAAGCCGCTGTCGGCCCGGTGACTGCATTCTATTTCACATCTCTGGCATGTCGGGCCAGAAACTAAACAGCATCCACAGGGCAGGACTATTTCTAGACAGCAGCTCTGTTATAAAATAGGGCGCCTCTCTCGAAGCCAGGCTCTGGATCCCGTCAAAACGACGTGTGTCTTTCCTTTCCTTCCTCAAGAAGGTGAAATATAAGCCTGGAATAACACTGTCTCCCTGTTCTCCCCTGGACACAAGTCAAAACTCGAATCTGATAAATCTGAAATCAATGCTCATTTTCTAATTGGACTTCATGGGGCTGGACACGGTGCCAGAGCCGGTGGCATTTCACGTCGTATGTTATTGTTGGTGCCGACAGAAGAAACGGATCTTTCAGGAGATTCAAGAAGAAATTAATATTTCCGTGATTCCAGGGAACTTAATGCTCACCTATTTTACTTGTTACAAAGGGAGACTATGTCCAGCCCTCAGGGTTTTGCAGTGACCACAAAGGCAGACTGTGGGGTTCCCTTTCACCCCTCTACGTTTGTTTGCACACCAAGGACCCTCTCTTTGTTCTCAACCTTAAAAACTTTGAAGACTCTGTTTCAAAGCGCACACTTCTGAGAACCTTCCCAGCCCTTCTCATGAGTTAGTCGCTGCTGCTTCTCGGAGATGAAGGGTCTGATGTGTGTGTCTCAGCACCTCCCAGCCCATGTATCAATCTCACTTGGTTCCTCTGACACTCCCAAGAGCAGCCCAAGGGCAGAAAGAATACCCTGTTCTTCTATTCTTCCTGCGGTCCCAAAGCAAGCACAGCACCAGCACCCAGGAGGTGCCCCTGGAATACTGGTGAATGAATACATAATTATTACTTTTTTGATTTTTTGAGACAGAGTTCCACTCTTGTCACCCAGCCTGGAGTGCAATGGCATGATCTCGGCTCACTGCAACCTCTGCCTCATGGGTTCAAGCGATTCTCCTGCCTCAGCCTCTCGAGTAGCTGGGATTACGGGCGTGCACCACCACGCCCAGCTAAGTTTTGTATTTTTAGTAGAGACAGGATTTCACCCTGTTGGCCAGACTGGTCTCAAGCTCCTGACCTCAGGTGATCCCCCCACCTCAGCCTCTCAAAGTGCTGGGATTCCAGGCATGAGCCACCATGCCTGGCTTACTTTTCTTATTAGTGAAAAGCAGTGATTCTCAACTGGCAGATTTGGCACTCCCCTTCCAGGGACACTTGCTTATGGCTGGAGACATTTTTTATTGTCACAATTGGAGAGAAAAATGCCAGTGACATGTAGTAAATAGAGGCAGGGCAGTCATATGATGTTCATAGGCCCTGCACATCACATCATGGCTTTTCTTTTTTTTTTTCTTTGAGATAGGGTCTTGCTCTAGTGCCCAGGGTGGAGGGCAGTGGCACCATCTTGGCTCACTGCAGCCTCTGCCTCCTAAGCTCAAGTGATCTTCCCACCTCAGCCTCCCAAGTAGCTAGGACTACAGGCACACACCACCATGCCCAGCTAATTTTTTTTTTATTTTTAGTAGAGACAGGATCTTGCTATGATTCCCTGGCTGGTCTCGAACTCCTGAGCTCAAGCAATCCACCTGCCTTGGCCTCCCAAAGTGCTAGGGTTACAGGCATGAGCCATGTGCTCAGCTCATTTTGGCCTTTGGGAGTCCCTTTTTCCATAAAACACACACATACATATTAAAATTATATTTTAAAATTGATTTTATATGAAGATGAATATCATTCAGGACACATTCATTATCAAATATTTTTAATTATTACGTTCACTTTTTCCTTCTGATTTTAAAATTAAAATTAAAACATTTTTGAGGGCCCTAAAAGTATCAGGAAACTTAGACACTGATTCTTCTTTGATTAATGAGCAAGCTGGCCCTGGGTGGAGGCCAGGGGTGCTGCTAACTATCCTACCAAGAGTGGGACAATCACACGACAAAAAACTGTTATCCAGCCCCAGATGTCAGTAGTTCCAAGGTTGAAAAACCCTTTTAGAAAGGAAAACTCCAAGGCTGGGTACGGTGGCTCATGCCTGTAATCCCAGCACTTTGGGATGTCGAGGCGGGCAGATCACCTGAGGTCAGGAGTTCAATACCACTCTGACCAACATGGTAAAACCCCGTCTCTACTAAAAATTAAAAAATTAGCTGGGCCTGGTGGTGAGCACCTCTAGTCCCAGCTACTCAGGAGGCTGAGGCAGGAGAATTGCTTGAACCCGGGAGGCGGAGGTTGCAGTGAGCTTAGATTGCGCCACTGCACTCCAGCCTGGGCGACAGAGTGAGACTCCATCTCAAAAAAAAAAAGAAAGGAAAACTCCACAATGTAAAAGCCTGGAAATTTAATGCCTGTGCTCCTGCAGTGACCGAAATGCAAATCTAGAAGGCCATAGCTTTTGGTAATTAGCAAGGCTTTAGGGTAGGGAAGAAGTCATTGAACACAGCACATACTTTCATGACAGCATTCATTAAAAAAATCTAAGTGTTTTTTTATTTTTCTCCAAATGGTGGATAGAGCACGGAAAACATATTTTGCTCATATTCAGCTATGCAGGCAACGGCAACACTTCATTATTCAGGCAAACTGGGGAAATCCCATGATGTCTCCTGCCCTGTGGCCAGCTTCTCATGATCAGGAAACAGCTCGCTCCGCTGCAAAGTGGCTCAGAGGCACTGACGCTGCACCTTTCACCTGCCTTCTAAGGTGCCCGAGACAATCCTGCCAGTAACACAGAGTTTTTGATTTGGGGTCTGTATTAGGATTCTCCAGAGAAACAGAACCAACAAGGGGTGTGTGTGTGTGTGTGTGCGTGTGTGTGTATTAGAGAGATTGAGATATTTATTTATTTATTTATTTATTTAGTTTGAGACAGAGTCTCACTCTGTCTCCCAGGCTGGAGTGCAATGGCGCAATCTAAGCTCACTGCAACCTCCGCCTCCCGGGTTCAAGCAATTCTCCTGCCTCAGCCTCCCGAGTAGCTGGGATTACAGGCGCCCGCCACCACTCCCAGCTAATTTTTGTATTTTTAGTAGAGACGGGGTTTTGCCATGTTGGCCAGGCTGGTCTCGAATTCCTGACCTCGGCCTCCTAAAGTGCTGGGATTACAGGCGTGAGTCATCGCGCCCGGTCGAGAGACTTATTTTAAGATATTAGTTAACACAGGGATCCCGAGCCACAGACCAGTACCAGTCCATGGCCTATAGGAATTGGGCTGCACAGCAGAAGGTGAGCAGCAGGCAAGAAAGTGAAGCTGAGCCCCACCTCTCAGATCAGCGGCAGCAGTAGATTCTCGTAGGAGCACAAACCCACCTGTGAACTGCACGTGTGATGGATCTAGGTTTCGTGCTCCTTATGAGAGTCTAATGCCTGATGATCTGTCGCTGTCTCCCATCACCCCCAGATGGAACCATCTAGTTGCAGGAAAACAAGCTCAGGGCTCCCACTGATTCTACATTATGGTGAGTTGTGTAATCATTTCTTTATATATATTGTAATACATGATATATAATATATGTTACATATCATGTATTATAACATATATCATATTACATATTTATGTTATACATGATATACATAACATATCATGTATTATAATATATGATATATATTGTAATATATTACATTGTACCAATAATAGAAATAAAATGCACAATAAATGTAATGTGCTTGAATCATCCCAAAACCATCCCCTCACTCCCATCCGTGGAAAAATTGTCTTCTGTGAAACCGGTCCCTGGTACCAAAAAGGTTGGGGACCCCTGGGCTAACACAACAGCGGATGTTTCATGAGTCCAAAGTCTGAGATGGGAGGCTGGCAGGCTGGAGACCCAGGGGAGAGCTGATTGTGCAGTTCAAGTCCAAGGCCATTTGCTGGCAGAATTCCTTCTTGCTCAGGGCAGGTCAGCCTTTTGTTGGTATTCAAGCCTTCACCTGATTGGATGAGGCCCACCCACATTATGGAATATCATCTGCTTTACTGAAAGTCCATCCATTTAAATGTTAATCTCATCCCTCAAAACACATCTTCATAGAAACACTCAGAATAAAGTTTGATCAAATTTCTGGATGCCAACACCCAGCCAAGTTGAAAACGTAAAATTAACCATCAAAAGATCTTAAAAATTGTTTTTATTCTCAGGTGTTTTTCTGTTTCTCTCTCTGAAAGATCAGTGAGCAACTATACTGGAAGGGGAAATACACAAGGTTTCACACCCACAGGAGGCAGTTAGCATCCATGGAGTACCTGGCATGCAACAGACACTTTACCAACACAGTCTCATGTCACTTTCACTTGGGCCTTAGGAGGCGGATATTGACATCCTCAACTTAGGCCAAGGACTCTGAGCCTCATGGTTGTGTGACTTGCCAAGGGTCCCACAGCTGGTTGTTGGCAGAGCAAGGACTCAAATTCAGGTGTCTCTTGAACCCAAGGCCATGTTCTGTTGACCCCCAGCAGCAGTTACTCTGGAGACACCAGGGGAAGGACAGAGATAGCCCAGATAGTAGGAAGAACAGAGTCTTGAACTACCCATAAACCCTGGGCAACAGCTTCTACTGCTCTATCGCTGCAAACACATCCCCCCCACCCCCCACCACACACACACTTGGAATACTTAGATTATGCACACAAGTTGCCTAGTAGTATATGCATATTTAGTGCATATTGGAAAGATGGTTGTCATTATTACAATAATTATAAATAGTGTATATGTGGTAGTAAGATTGTCATATATCAAAGGCAACAGAAGGGGGCATTAAAAGGTAGGAAGAGGCAACTTAAAATTAATGAGATTAGGCCGGGCTAGGTGGCTTATGCCTGTATTCCCTAGCACTTTGGGAGGCCGAGGCAGGCAGATCACCTGAGGTCAGGAGTTCGAGACCAGCCTGACCAACATGGAGAAACCCCGTCTCTACTAAAAATACAAAATTAGCCAGGCTTGGTGGTACATTCCTGTCATGCCAGCTACTTGGGAGGCTGATACAGGAGAATCGCTTGAACCCAGGAGGCAGAGATTGTGGTGAGCCGAGATCGCGCCATTGCACTCCAGCCTGGGCAACAAGAGCGAGACTCCGTCTCAAAAAAAAAAAAAAAAATTAATGAGATATGGAAGTGAGCCTTCTGCCAATGTGATACCATGAAGCCTGAAAATAAATTCTCAACACTTCCTTTATTCAGAGAACACTCTGCAGGACCCCAGGTGGTCCTCCTAACAGCCTGCTGAAGTGGACAGGGCAGGTGCCTTCTGCACATTTGAAAGGCAAGACGTCTGTGGCTCAGAGAGGTGGAGTGCATTGCCTGAGGGCACACAGCAGTCTGCTTTAGGAATTGGAGGAGGTCTTCCTGTAGCTGAGGAGACCACTGCCCTCCCCACAGGGAGTAGGTGGCCCAGGGAAAGGTTATTATAGAGGCTCTTTAAAGAGTTGAGGAATCTATTTCTCCATCTCTCACATCAAACTGGAATCCAGCCGGGCGTGGTGACTCATACCTGTAATCCCAGCACTTTGGGAGGCCAAGGCAGGAGGATTGCTTGAGTCCAGGAGTTTGAGACCAGCCTGGGTAACATAGCGGAACCCCTGTCCCTACAAAAATAAAATTAAATAAAATTAGCTGAGTGTGGTGGTGCACACTTGTGGTCCCAGCTACTGGAGATTGCGGGTGTGATGACTGAGGTGGGAGGATTACTTGAGTGGAATGCATGATCCCACTGCATTCCAGCCTAGGCGACAAGCTATACCCTGTTTCAAAAACATGTATATTTTTAAAAAAAGAAAATAAATAAATTAAAAGGAAAAAAAATGAGATCTAAACTTCTTCCCTACATGAAAAGTCATTAGCAAGAACCTATGCGAAGGTCCTTGTACCCAGTACCTGGCACAAAGTAGATGATCAGTGAATAGCAGCCGCTATTATTATCACTATTAATTCTGTCTTCCAACTTCAGCAGCTTGATAGTGCCGCAGCACACAAAATCCAGAGGCGCTTGATGGTGACAAGGATTAAAAATATCGGTGCAAGTATGTCTCAGGGTTCTTTGTGCCACCCCGTTATTCCAAATGTCTCCCAGGCCAAAGATTTCCATGGTGGCTATGTAACCATTCCCTATTTTTCACTTCAAATTTACCGTTTGCAAATGTGGGCAGGGATGTGAGATAGGAACTTTTTCTTGTTTCCATCCAGAAGGCCCGGAGCTGTTATATCATCCTAAAGTTCCTGGGATTGTTCATGACAATACGTCCACGGGACATACTATGCAGATATGGGACTTGGTTTTCCGCATGGCATGCAAGGCTGGAACATTCAAGATGACATTCAAGATGACAACAGCCATGGTGCGGAAGGAGTTGTGGTAGGAAGATAAAAAATCAGGATGACACCTCCAGTGTGGATGGAGAAACAAGGTCTTGTAAATGACAAGAGTGCTGAGGAATCTGGCCATCTCTTCTCAACGATGGCAGAGGACTTTATTTTCTTGAAAAAAATTAACTTTGGGGAAAAGTATTGGTTCATCACACCCTGCATTCATTGCATAGTTCACTCTCACCATTGGTCCATTCTAGACATCTCTCTTGATTCGTGTACTGCATTTCTTGCATTTCATCCTCATTCCCTTACCCTATTCCCCTTTCCCATGGGCAACCATTTGAATGTGTGTGTCCTGTGTCCCTTGTACGCATCCTATTTGCATGCAAGTCTTTTAATTTACATAGGTGGTATTGAATGATAAGACTCCTATTTCTTACTTTTTTCACTCAGCACTGTTGGCAGAGATAAAAAAAAATCACTAATTATAGATTCATAAAAATGCCAAATCTTAAAGAATTGGTTTCCAACTGGGGGCAATTTTGCTCCGCAGGGGAATTTGACAGTCTCCAGACATATTTGGCCCTTATGACTCGGGGGAGAGGAGAGGTACCACAGGCATCTAGAGATGTGGGAAGTCCCTGGAGAGAACCAGGCATACCACTAAACATCCTGCAATGTACAGAAAGAAGGAAATATCCAGTCCAGCACAAAGAAATATCCAGTCCAGCACAAGGAAATAATATCCAGTCCAGCACAAAGAAATATCCAGTCCAATGCAAAGAAATATCCAGCTCAAAATGTCCAGTGTCAAGGTTAGCCCAGCCTTGAAAACACCTGGAGGCCGGGCACAGTGGCTCACGCCTGTAATTCCAGCACTTTGGGAGGCCAAGGCAGGTGAATTACTTGAGGTCAGGAATTTGAGATCAGCCTGGCTAACATAGTGAAACACTGTCTCTACTAAACATACAAAAATTAGCCAGGCATGGTGGTGCGTGCCTGTAATCCCAGCTACTTGGGAGGCTAAAGCAGGAGAATCACTTGAACTTGGGAGGTGGAGGTTGCAGTGAGCCAAGATTGGGCCACTGCACTACAGCCTGGGTGACAGAGTGAGACTCCACCTCAGAAAAAAACAAACACAAATAAAACAACAACAAAAACCTTGAGTGGCATCTGGTCCTGCTTCTTACCCAATATAAGGATCATTCTACGAATACAGCCTCTGCCTGAACACATCCAAGGACAGGAGGCTCATTACCCAAGAAGACAGCTAACTGGCCAGGCACATTGGCTCCTGCCTATAATCCCAGCATTTTTGGAGGCCAAGGTGGGCGGATTGCTTGAGCCCAGGAGTTTGAGACCAAGCTGGGCAACGTGGTGAGACCTTGTCACTACAAAAAATTTAAAAAATGAGGTAGAAAGATCACTTGAGCCCCAGAGGTGGAGGCTGCAGTGACCCATGATAGTGCCACTGCACTCCCACCTGGGCGATGGGAGTGAGACCCTATCTCAAAAAATAAATTAATTAATTAAAAAAAATAATAAGATAGCTACCAGTAGTAGAAGGAGCATGGACTCTGAAGTCTTGAACACTGACCCACCCTTTATTCTGATTTATCATCCTTAAACCTTGGTTTCCTCATCTGTGAAGTGGATGAACTATTTAGCTGTGAGGACTATAAGAGATATATCTTTACACAGTGACAGGAATGTAGCCAGTGACCAACAAATGCTCACTTTTACACTTAGCCCTTATTGCACCCAAATTTACTCTCCCATGACTTCAAAATGCTGTACTTTGGCATTACAGCTTTTTCTATCTGAAGGCCCCTGAACTGTTGGCAGAGAATGCTCAATAATGATCATTTTCTCTCTCTGGTTTTCAGCTCCTACATCTGTAAAATAGAGACTGCCACTCAATCAAAATGTATAAACCCTTATCCATGCCAGAGTTACAAACACCAGACGTGTTTGGTGTTTGGTCTGCACATTTTTCCTCTCAGAATTCAAATCTAATGTTTATTTTTGGGGGGAACAATGATTCCATTGAATAATGTTCATTTTTTTAAACCGGCAGATTTCTAAAATTAGGAGTTCTAGCATCTCTTGAAAAATAAAAGATTAGGCCAAGCACGATGGCTCATGCCTGTAATCCCAGCGCTTTGGGAGGCCGAGGTGGGTGGATCACGTGAGGTCAGGGGTTCAAGACCAGCCTGACCCACATGGTGAAACCCCAACTCTACTAAAAATACAAAAGATTAGCTGGGCGTGGTGGTGGGTGCCTGTAATCCCAGCTACTCGGGAGGCTGAGGCAGGAGAATCACTTGAATCCGGGAGGTGGAGGTTGCAGTGAGATGAGATCACACTATTGTACTCCAGCCTGGGTGACAAGAGCAAGACTCCATCTCAAAAAAATAAAAATAAAAGTAAACAAAAGAGAAAAGAAAAGAAAAATGAAAGATTGGGCAGTACTGGGTCTATTTTGTTCACGGTAACAACCTGGGTGATCTGAGCAGTGCTGTGCCCTATACATGGGACACGTGTGTCCAGTGCCCCAGTGCACCGCAGTCCCTACCAGTCCCTATTGCCCCACTTCACTCACTTGTATCACTTCTGGCTCCTGTCGATTTGAATTTACAATTCTTCAGCTGCCTGGGCTCTCTAGCTCCTCCCATCACTCCAAGTCTATGAATCCTGAAAACCATGAGTTACTACTGAAAGAGGAAACTTCCTCGATAAATTTCTAGAGGTGACTCTAACTAGTGTGATTTGCTACAGCCAGTACTTAGAACGGAAGCTCTCCTTGACTCTGGTTTCATTTTAAAACAAGGGAAGGTAAATCTCTCTTAAAGAAATTCATAGTCAACTTGTTAAAATTAAGGAAAGGGTACTTTGATTTGCAAAGCCCATGAAGACAACAGGGCAGATCCAGGGCTAAAGAAAGAAAGGGGAGGCTGGGGCACTGACAAGGACCTGGTGATCTAGGACCCAGGGCCTACTCATGCAATACCAACGTATCCCAGGTAGGGGCCCCTGATTATTTTTACCAGGCCAAGGAATCCTTCAGGAAGTAGGTGGTTGGGGGTTGTGGTTGGTGGGGGTGTGGGGGCTCGGCAGCACCGGTATCATGCAGACACAAAAACCGAAAATAAAAAAAAAATCCTTTCTATCTTGGAGATAAAATTGGCCTCTTCCTTGTTAATCTCTGCAGGACTTGTACATACATCAGACAAGATTCTCTCCCCAAAGCACCTCTCAGTACAGCCCATGCAGCATGGAAAATAACCACGATTCAGACAGAGCTGGCACTTAACCACTCATACAAGCTCAGGCAAGCTACCCAGTGTGCCAAACCTCAGTTTCCTCATCAGAAAAAATGGGTATAACAATGACACCTACTTTCTAGGATGGCTACCCATGTGTCAATGGGCATCTATTCCAACTCTTTCACTTTATAGGTGATAACACTGAAGTTTGGGTGGGATGATTGACTTGCAGCCTGTGCCTGCCTTGGAGGTTCCTAATGCTGCTGGGATGTAAACCCATTAATGACATCCAAGGGAGACCTCCAGTACAAACAAGGGGGTGCTACTTAACCAGGAAAAAAAGACGAACACAGTAGCACTCAGTGTGGCCCAGTTGCAGTGAGATGGATGTGGACCCAGTGCTGTGAAGGGCCTGTTTTGTCACTCTAGGTCAGAACCGCAACATGAAGCACTGCATGTTTGCCAAACTGATGAAATGAGAGCAATTTGGCAATTGTCTGGAGAGCCAGGAGAAATATTCATTATCTTTGTTCATTTTTAGCTTCTCCTCTGGGACTTTCTTTTTCTTTTTTCTTTTTTTTTTTTTTTGATGGAATTTTGCTCTGTCTCCCAGGCTGGGGTGCAGTGGCATGATCTCCACCCACTGTAATCTCCACCTCCCGGGTTCAAGTGATCTTGTACCACAGCTTCCCGAGTAGTGGGATTACAAGTACCTGCTACCACACCTGGCTCATTTTTGTGTCTTTAGTAGAGATGGGGTTTCACCACAATGGCCAGGCTGGTCTCAAACTGCCGACCTCTGGTGATCTGCCTGCCTTGGCCCCCCAAAGTGCTGGGATTACTGGCATGAGCCACCACGCCTGTCTAATTTTTGTATTTTTAGTAGAGATGGGGTTTCACCATGTTGGCCAGGCTGGTCTCCTGACTTTAAGCGATCTGCCCGCCTCGGCCTCCCAAAGTGCTGGGATTACAGGCATGAGTCACTGTGCCTGGCCATCTCCAGGACTTTTACTAAGAATCCAATCTTGTAGGAAAAAAAAATTGAAAGAATTAAAAGCAGTAATATAAGTGAACTCCCTATGTTGACTGAAAAATGCTTTACAAATGTTTTCTAGGATGATGTGGAGCAATGGGTCGGACACTGAGTCTCCTGAGGGCCAGGATGCCGCTGATGTTCCCTGGAGCATTAGGCATACCCGTGAATGACAGAAGGTCACTACAGGCCCAGCAACTGGGACATGTAGAGAAACCAGGGCACCTTTGCAGTGGTGTTTACGAGAAACCATGTAGCAAAGGTGAAAATGTTCACGTCACAATGTTAAGTGAAAAAAGCAAAATAAAAAATGTTAGAGGTGATGATCGAATGAAAAGAGAATGAAAGTGGCTATGTCAGAATAGTAAGATTAGGGCACACTTTAAATTTTCCTCTTTATAATTTTTTTTTAGGTATTTATTTATTTATTTATTTATTTAGACAGAGTCTTGCTCTGTCACCCAGCCTGGAGTGCAGTGGCATGAACATGGCTCACCATAGCCTTGACCTCCTGAGCCCAAGCAATCCTCCCACTTCAGCCTCCTAAGTAGCTTGGAACACAGACTCACACCACCATGTCTGGCTAATTTTTTAAAATATATTTTTCATAGAGACAGGATCTCACTCTGTTGCCCAGGCTAGTCTCGAACTATTTGCCTCAAGCGATCCTCCCGAGTTGGCCTCCCAAAGTGCTGGGATTACAGGTATGAGCCACTGCCCCCAGCCCTTTCTGTGATTCTTATAATACATACATAAAGCAGAGAAATACTGTTTTGTGCTCCTCAGTTTAAACTCAGACTGGGAGCTCTTTGTCTAGCCACGGACTTCCTGATCTTTTGTAATCAAAGCTACATACTGAAGACTGGCTCTGTGCTGCTAGGCACCATACGAGGCACATTCTGCCATGCTGAAGGGGATCTTCAATCCTTACAACAGGTCTCAAAGGTAGAGATTAGTGTCACAGCTTCTAAAGATGGGAAAAAGGAGACAGCAAGGAACTTGCCCAGGGTCCCATGGCTAAAAAGGGGCAAAGTTGGGGTTGCATCCCAGGATAACCTGTAGACAGTCTGGTCTCTTTCTAGCAACTAGAGTCCACCAACGTGCTGGGACATGGGAAAGGATGTTAACTGGCTTTGAATGACAGAGCCAAAAGTTCTTCTTCTTCAGCTCATATAGTTCTGATGCTTCTGATAACCTCTAGAAAAAAGTCCATTCTTTTTAACAAAGAGAGAGCAGTCCTGAAGGCAAGAACCCTCCCCAAATAAAAAGACTGAGCTAAACTGGGGTAACATAGCCACTGTGCTATGTTCTCATCCATCATATTCATCATCACTGGTGTTTTCTCTGCTGCTTTCATCTCCATATGCAAATGACACTTGTTTTCCATTTACTGTAGCGATGTAAAAATAGATTCCTCTTCATCCCTCTTCCTTTCTGTGAATTTCAGAATGTGCCTCTTTGAGCACACATTTTAGGATTCAGGGCTTCTGGGACTTCAGATTTAACCACACCTCCCATACATCCCTGCGTTTTGAGATTTTCTTTTTTGTTTGTTTGTTTTTTGAGACAGAGTTTCTGTCTTTTCACCTAGGCTGGAGTGCAATGGCGCAATCTCGGCTCACTGCAACCTCCACCCCTGCCGGTTCAAGCTATTCTCCTGTCTCAGCCTCCTGTGTAGCTGGGATTACAGGCACCTGCCACCATGCCTGGCTAATTTTGGTATTTTTAGTAGATACAGGGTTTCACCATGTTGGCCAGGCTGGTCTCAAACTCCTGACCTCAGGTGATCCATATGCCTCACCTCCCAAATTGCTGGGATTGCCAGGTGTGAGCCACTGCGCCAGGCCGATTTTGAGATTCTTTATTACAAAATACAGTAGAGCTTAACTGGGCAAATACGGTCCAAACATTCCATCATGAAAAATATCATGTGTTGCAATATTATAAGGTCAGCATAGACCAATGTTTTCCAGAGGATCTGTGCCACCAAAAAATCACAAAAATAGAGACAGAGAAGAGCATACTGTACTGGACTGAGAAACCGAGGGCGTCCCAATAATTCACGGGCTCCATTCTGCCCAAGTCGACATCACTGCCCCGTCATCACAGGCTTTCAGTCTGTTACAGTGGCAAAAGCAATTCAGCCTTTTTGATGGTGCAGAGCTTCAACCATTTCAACAAATAAAGGGGCAGGGTGTCATGTTCTGGAAAAGAAGCATGCAGCTAGATTTAGGCATTTTTGCTCCTCAGAACTACAAAAATGAGTCTGCACACAACCATCCTTCCAAACTTGACTCATCTTTGCAAAGTCTCCTTTTAAGTACAAAAAAAATGGCATTGCCCATTAATTTTGAAAAGATAGCCTTTCCGCGCTACCTACAGAGGGGTCCATACAGCGTCGTTCTGGATTCCCGTCGTAACTTAAAGGGAAACTTTCACAATGTCTGGAGCGCTTGATGTCCTGCAAATGAAGGAGGAGGATGTCCTTAAGTTCCTTGTAGCAGGAACCCACTTAGGTGGCACCAATCTTGACTTCCAGATGGAACAGTACATCTATAAAAGGAAAAGTGATGGCATCTATATCATAAATCTGAAGAGGACCTGGGAGAAGCTTCTGCTGGCAGCTCGTGCTATTATTGCTATTGAAAACCCTGCTGATGTCAGTGTTATATCCTCCAGGAATACTGGCCAGAGGGCTGTGCTGAAGTTTGCTGCTGCCACTGAAGCCACTCCAATTGCTGGTCACTTCACTCCTGGAACCTTCACTAACCAGATCCAGGCAGACTTCTGGGAGCCAAGGCTTCTTGTGGTTACTGACCCCAGGGCTGACCACCAGCCTCTCACGGAGGCATCTTATGTTAACCTACCTACCATTGCTCTGTGTAACACAGATTCTCCTCTGCGCTATGTGGACATTGCCATTCCATGCAACAACCAGGGAGCTCGCTCAGTGGGTTTGATGTGGTGGACGCTGGCTCGGGAAGTTCTGCGCATGCGTGGCACCATTTCTCGTGAACACCTATGGGAGGTCATGCCTGATCTCTACTTCTACAGAGATCCTGAAGAGATTGAAAAAGAAGAGCAGGCTGCTACTGAAAAGGCAGTGACCAAGGAGGAATTTCAGGGTGAATGGACTGCTCCAGCTCCTGAGTTCACTGCTACTAAGCCTGAGGTTGCAGACTGGTCTGAAGGTGTACAGGTGCCCTCTGTGCCTATTCAGTAGTTCCCTACTGAAGACAGGAGTGCTCAGCCTGCCATGGAAGACTGGTCTGCAGCTCCCACTGCTCAGGCCACTGAATGGGTAGGAGCAACCACTGACTGGTCTTAAGCTGTTCTTGCATAGGCTCTTAAGCAACACGGAAAAATGATTGGCGGAAAATAAACATCAGTTTCTTAAAAAAAAAAAAAAAAGAAAAGAAAAGATAACAATGTCCTTCTTTGCAAGGCTTCTGTGAATTCAGTCCTTTCTCCCAGTTTCACAGGCAAATAAGGACAGGGACTCAGTTGAGGTGACTAATCCTCGGAGCCACAGCCCCCCAATTCCAGGGGCTTGGAAATGCTGGGATCACAATTAAAGGCTTTGAACTTCCACCAGACACCACCACCAGAGCTCACTCCATCCGCAAATGCTATGTACATTCTTGGCCACAAAAACACTTCCAGGACAAAAAAATGTTTCAGAGTTCAGAACTATTCAATCCCACATTTGTTCTCTATGAACAAACGATGCAGGAAGAAATGGAAGAAGCTGAATCTCTCTGAGGGCACACTTTATTTTGCCCTGATGAGAACTTAGTAGCACCTAAGTGCTTCCCAATCTGACAAGGCCATGCTACACACTCCAAGGACTATTGCTGAAGTTGGCTGTTCACCTGCAAAAATACTCAAGGACCAGCAAGGCAAAGGTGATCTTCCCAAAACGGTCCTCCAGGCTGGAACCAGCTGTGGTTTCCATTCTGCAACACCCTGCCTTGCCCCACATTCTAGAAATTCTAGTGGACTTTGAGAGAGTGGTATCAGGGAGATGTATTTGCCAACTCTTTTTTCAAATTTGGCAGATGAGGCCCATGTCTTTTCACGGGCTGTCTTCTAGAACTAACTGTCCTTCATTACTGCATGTTTACCTGCTGTATAGCAATCTGTCACCCCCACTGGTCCCTGAGGCTGGGAGTACGGTGTGTGTGGGTGTTCTCTGGGGCAGCCTGCAAGGCTGGGTGTGGAAGAGGATGCGACACGGCCTCTGCCTGGGCCCTGCTGACCTAGTCATTCCCTGTTTGTCCTCTCTGGATCTCCTTTGGGCTCTAAGGAGAGGCACTCAGGGTGAGTGGCTAGGTCCATACCTAGCCTCTGAAGGCCTTCTTGCTCCACAGCCAAAGCCCCAGGGAGCTGGGAGGGCCTGGAGCCCTGGCTGGTCAGGCCCAGAATGTTTTATTTTTATGTAAATGCATTTAAGCTTCAAAACATGAAATGATTTAAAGAAATATGAAGTAGGCCAGGCATAGTGGCTAACGCCTGTAATCCCAGCACTTTGGGAGGCTAAGGACAGATCACCTGAAGTCAGGAGTTCGAGACCAGGCTGGCCAACATGGTGAAACTCCATCTCTATGAAAACTACAAAAATTAGCCAGGCGTGGTGGTGGGCACCTGTAATATCAGCTACTTCAGAGGCAGAGGCAGGAGAATCGCTTGAACACAGGAGGCGGAGGTTGCAGTGAGCCGAGATCACATCATTGCACTCCAGCCTGGGCGACAAGAACAAAACACTGTCTCAAAAATAAATAAATAAATAAATAAATAAATAAATAAATATAAATAAATATCAAGTAAACCATGGCACAGGTGTTAGGCTGATGTGGAAAGTATGAATGGTTGATGTTTGGGTCACACTGCCTAACACCAGGCCTCTGAGTTTTTCAAACTAATTGCTCTTCCATGGCCTGGGTTCTGGATGCTGTTTGAAGTTTCTTCCAAGCCACCAACTTCTCTGGGGGCTGAAATTCCTTTGTTCTACAGGATCTGCCTGGCTTGAAGTCTTTTGCTCAGGCTAATCTATCCCACTTTAAATCCTATAGCACCACAGAAACTCAACGACAAAAAAAAAAGAAAAAAGAAAAAAAAAAGAAAAAAGCTGGCCAGTGGCAGGAAAATACCTCTAGAAGTTAAAAAGCAGCCAAACCCTTGGTAAGAGGATTAACTCAGCCACTGGAAGGTGAAGCTTTCTGAAGATGACATCTGGAGTCAGGAGGCAGGCCAGCCGGCTGCAAGGTGGGCTCCTAATGCAAATGGAATGCAAGCTTGGAGCTCTGATGGAGATCCAGAGGGGCTGTGGATAGAGTGCTCAGCAGTCACTGTTACAGCCTGCAAGCAGGAGGTGCCGAAAATCTGAAGTTTCAGGGAAGGAAAAACGCAATGGGAATAAAAGCAGCTCTCTGTGAGGAGATTTTCATTGGGCTCACTCCCTCCTTGCATTCCAAACCTGTTATCCATTGTGTGTTAAAGAGCACTTTCTTCAGAAGGAATCCCCTTAAGCTCTGCTGACAAGTTAAAAGGAGTTTTGCTGGCTGATAGGTAGAGAAATTGATGTGAAATTCACTAGCATCAGTGGAAATTGCAAAGTTAAATCTCCAGCTCAAATGCTAGAATTGTAATTCTGGCTTATAATAGATCAGTACCCTTTCAGTAATATTGTGTGCATCTGTTGAGAGTGTTTTTCGTTGTTGTTTTGTTTTGTTTTGAGATGGAGTTTCACTCTTGTTGCCCAGGCTGGAGTGCAGTGGTACCATCTCAGCTCACCTCAACCTCTGCCTCCCAGGTTAAAGCGATTCTCCTGCCTCAGTCTCCTGAGTAGCTGGGATTACAGGCATGCACCACCATGCCCAGCTAATTTTGTATTTTTAGTAGAAACAGGGTTTCTCCATGATGGTCAGGCTGGTCTTGAACTCCCGACCTCAGGTGATCCACCTGCCTCAGCCTCCCAAAGTGCTGGGGTTACAGGCGTGAGCCACCACGCCTGGCCAAGAGTGTTTTTTTTTTTTTTTTTTTTTTTTTTGGAGATGGAGTCTCATTCAATCGCCCAGGCTGGAGTGCAGTGGCGCGATCTCGGCTCACTGCAACCTCTACCTCCTGGGTTCACGCCATTCTCCTGCCTCAGCCTCCACTAGGAGGGATTACAAGTGCCCGCCACTATGCCTGGCTAATTTTTTTGTATTTTTAGTAGAGACGGGGTTTCACCCTGTTAGCCAGGATGGTCTCAATCTCCTGACCTCGTGATCCACCTGTCTTGGCCTCCCAACGTGCTGGGATTACAGGCGTGAGCCACTGCACCCAGCCTATTTTTTAAAAGATCATTTGGCTGCTATCCATCAAATACCCAAGGACCCTGAAAAAGATAGTCTGAGACAAAGACTATGCATCCATTCTCTGGTTCCCTAAGCTGTCTGTCTGTATCCGGTTAGAATATGAAAAGCTAGTTCCTAGGCCACAGGAACTTCTTACAGAAATGCCTTTTTATTAAATCCCACCAAAATAATAACATCCTTTGCTTCTAAATCAGAATGTCGTGGCATCATTAGAAAAATCCTTATGCTACTTAATATCCTCATGAATAAGGATCTTTGTATTTGTCACATTTGAATCGGGGATTAAATTAAGTTTGGTATGTTTCCTTTAATCAGACAAGTGTTATATAATCCATACTATTTCTCTTTTTACTTTGGCTTCCAGGAAGCTCAAAGTTAAATAATCTATTTACCTGATTTTGTTATATATTATGTCTGTTAATCAGGTCTCTCTTAGGTCTCTCTTTGCTTGCAATGGCAGATATTCAACTCAAATTAGCTTAAGCAATAAAAAGGGGGAGACAAATCTTACTGCCTCCTATAACTGAAAAGTTGAAAATTTCAGAGTAGATCTGATCATAAAATCTTAGATTAGGGCAAATCAAAGGGATATAGGAGCCAACCACAAAGGGTTTCCAATGAGCAGAGCTGGAACAATTGGAACCACAAAATAAATAATATGGAAATATAAACCAAAATGTAAAACACACATACGTGAGTCCTCACTTATATAAATAAATGATTTAATAAATACGCAAATAAACAGGGACAAGAAACAAATCTTCCTTATAAAAGAATTTCAAATAATATGTGTACATACTCCCTTTCTAGGAAGTAGAGCTTAATTCCTACTCCCTTCCCTCCACCTTGAGGTTGGGCTAGATTTAGTGGCTTGCTTCCAAGTAGTGGAAGAGTATGGGAAAGAGAGAGAGTAACTTTACCATGGAGCAACCTGGCAGACACTACCTTAACCATGAGATGAAGGTTAACATCACCAGTGATGGGTCATGTTGATATCATGAATCTCCCGAAATGAGAAGACAAGAAGGACGCTTCACTTCCATGGTTTCCTTTCCAAAAATCTACAACCCCAGTCTAATCACGAGAAAAACATCAATTTTGGGAATATTCTACAGGCTACCTGGCCAGTACTCCTCAAGACTGTCAAGGTCATGAAAAACAAAGGAAAGACTAAGCAACCATCCTAGACCAGAGGAGATGGGGGAGACATGATTAAATATGCAATATGGTAACCTAGATTAGAAAGAGGATAGAAAAAGTGACGAAATCCAAATAAAAAAGTGACGAAATCCTGGAGTTTAGTTATGTACCAATAATAACGTACCAATGTTGGTTTTTTATTTGTGACAAATGTACAATAGCAAGGTATAATACAAGGTGCTAACAGTGGGGGTAACTGAGTGAGGGGTATATGGGACTCTCTGTACTATGATTTTAATTGGCTATGGCTGCTATGAAAGGATACCACAGACCGACTGGTCTAAACAACAGATGTTTAATTCTCATGGTTCTGGAGGCTAGAAAGTCTGAGATCAGGATGCCAGCATGGTCGGTTCTGGGGAGGGCCCTTTCTATGATTTGCAGATGGCCATTTTCTCCTGTATCCTATGTGGCAGATGAGAGTAAGAAAGAGAGAGAGATAGAGAGAGAGAGAGAGAGATCCCAGGTTTCCTCCTCTTTTTATAAAGGCACAAATCTCATTCATGAGGGGTCTACCTTTATGACTTAATCACTTCCCAAAGGCCCCACCTCCAAATCTCATTACCTTGGCTTCCACAATGTGAATTTTGGGGGAACACAAACATTTAATTTATAGCAACTATCTTTGCAACTTCTCTATAATTTTTTTTTTTTTTTTTTTTTTTTTTTTTTTTTTTTTTTTAGACAGAGTCTCGCTCTGTTGCCCAGGCTGGGGTGCAATGGTGCAATCTCAGCTTACTACAACCTCTGCCTCCCAGGTTCAAGCAATTCTCCCGCCTCAGCCTCTGGAGTAGGTGGGATTACAGGTGCCCGCCACCACACCTGGCTAATTTTTGTATTTTTTTTTAGTAAAGACAAGCTTTCGCCATGTTGGCCAGGCTGGTCTTGAACTCCTGACCTCAAGTGATCCGCTGGCCTCGGCCTCCCAAAGTGCTGGGATTACAGGCATGAGCCACTGCACCTGGCAAGTAAATTTAACATTATTTAAAGAAAAAAAAAAGTTAAAAATAACAAAGGGACAAACAAAAATAAATAATTAAGTGGTAGATTTAAATCCAATCATATCAATAATCACATTAAATGTTAATGGCCTAAACACTCTAATTAAAAGGTAGAATGGTCAGAATGGATAAAAGAGATGTACTTTAATTATAAAGACAGTTAGACTAAAAGTAAATCGTAATAGAAAATTTACCGTATACAAAGTAACCATAAGAAGGGTAAAGTAATTACATTAATATCATGCAAAATACATTTCAACGCAAAGTATTAATAGAGATAAGTTACATATAAACACACCTATTTAATCTTAAGTAAAAGCCTATATGAGATCATTAATTGATATGAGATTTGTTGTTATTCTAGTCTAATATTTGCCTTTTTCTCTTTTATTTGTCACCTTCACTCCCTCGCCCCCAACATAACCAATTTTTACAACCTAGTATTTAGTATTTCTCCCTCCAAATTTTTCTTCATGCTTTTAAAAGTTCTTTTTTTGGAGACAGAATTTTGCTCTTTTTGCCCAGGCTGGAGTGCAAGGGCGTGATCTCGGCTCACTGCAACCTCTGCCTCCTGGGTTCAAGCAATTTGTCCTGCCTCAGCCTCCTGGGTAGCTGGGATTACAGGCATCTGCCACCACACCTGGCTAATTTTTTGTATTTTTAGTAGAGTTGGGGTTTCACCAGGTTGGCCAAGCTGGCCTCGAACTCCTGACCTCAGGTGATCCACCCACCTCTGCCTCCCAAAGTGCTGAGATTACAGGCTGAGCCACCGCGCCTGGCCTTAAAAGTACTTCTAAATAGATGACACACATATATATACATGTATATATACATTTCCAAATAATATTGTCTTTGTTTTAGGAAAAATGAGTTTATACCATACACATTGTATCTCAGCTTGTTTTTAGACTTCCCCAGGTCTCCAGATGTAGCACTAACTTATTATTTTCATTTTTAAGAATGATCCATTATTATAATTATTCATGAATTGTTATAAACTATTAAGAATTTTCCATAATTTACTCAACACTGACCATCCATCCTTACATTACTTGTATGATAAGGAATGCCAGCTATGAAATTCTGGGTCAAAGAGACGTTCTGTAATTTTAAAACATTTTGCCCAGGCTACTTCTCCAGAAGGTTGTGACAATCTGCGTGCCCGCCAGCAACGTACTCGGGTACCTTCTTCCCTGCACAGGAAGCAGACTCCGTCCATACAACCTGATAATCGTCCTCCCCATCCCATGATGGGTGCAGTGGCAGGCCTGACGGGTTTCGCCCAGTTGTCCGGGGGCACCTGGCTCTCTTGGTTGAGGTAGCAGCCCTGAGGCCCACAGACCCCCAGCTCCTGCCCGATCTCTTCCTTCAGGTCCCAAATCCCTGGTCAGGGTCATGTGTGTGAACCTGTCTATGTTCACCTGGGTCGAGTGCTCCTGGAGGGAAGCACCCAGCTCTCCTGCAGCTCACCCATGCACAGTCATGGGTTGAAGGGGATGAGAGGCCAGCATGGGATCCAATGAGACGTAACCTCCTCATGGGGTCTGGTGTCTCCTCCTGGCAGACTCTGCTCTCCCTGACCTCACATTCATCTTTGCTTACCCATTGCCAGCCTGACTGGCCTTAGACCCACGACAGACTCAGGGACAGCGCACTGTTGAGCTGGTTCCCATCACTGTGTGAGGCCTGATGCCTGCCATCAATCCCGTGCAACACTTAGCGGTTCTACACCTCTGCCTGCATCCTGATGAATCCACTGCAATTGCTCCACCGCAGCTTTCTGTAAAAACAAAAACGTTCAGTCTTGATTGTATTAATATATGTTCATAAGAGCTGTGACTAGGGGTAGCCTTTAAATGGTGTCTTGCAACGGTTATGCCTAACTATAAACTGGAATTCACTGATGCAGTTTTGCAGCAAGTCAATTCAGCAAACATGTATTGAGCACCTATTGTTTGCTCTCTCAATAGTAATAATTCTCTTTTATCATGACAAAGAAAAGGGAAAGTCTTGAGGTAAGGTTCTTTTTTTAAGTAGTTTATGTTGTTATTCTACCAATTTCATATCAGATTACTCCTCTAAATATCTGTAATGAAAATAAACCTTTTATTAGGTGATAAGATGAATGACGCCAGTGAGCTAACAGCTGTCATATATAGTTTTTTTGTGCTGACTTCCTAAGGACTAAGATCTAACTAATTTTCTAATGCTGGCTCTCCTTTTTAAAAAAGTAAAAAAACTCTAACACGCTAACACAGATCAACATCTTCAGAATTTCAACAATAGTTTAATTAATTTATACCTAATGCTTTTCAGGTGAGTTGGCATAGGAAAACAAACAAACAAAAAATTTAATATACCTAATGCTTAGACTTGCAAATATTTAAGAGGCATTCTTCTTTCTTTCTTTCTTTCTTTTTTTTTTTTTTGAGACAGTCTCGCCCTGTTGCCCAGGTTGGAGTGCAATAGCATGATCTCAGCTCACTGCAACCTCCGCCTCCTGAGTTCAGGTGATTCTCCTGCCTCAGCCTCCTGAGTAGCTGGGATTACAGGCCCACGCCACCATGCCCAGCTAATTTTTTGTATCTTCAGTAGAGACAGGGTTTCACCATGTTGGCCAGGTTGTTCTTGAACTCCTGACCTTGTGATCCACCCGCCTCGGTCTCCCAAAGTGCTGGGATTACAGGTATGAGCCACTGTGTCTGGCCTCTTGTTATCTTTTTAAGTAAAAAATAAAGAAGAGTGAGTATTACTGTCCATCTCATGAATTTTTTTTTTTTTTTTGAGATGGAGTCCTGCTCTGCACCCAGGCTGGAGTGCAGTGGTGCGATGTCGGCTCACTGCAGCCTCTGCCTCCCGGGTTCAAGGGATTCTCATGCCTCAGCCTCCTGAGTGGCTGGGACTACCAATTCTTGTACAAAATACAGAAATTAGTAGAGATAAGTTTCAGCATGTTGACCAAGCTGGTCTCAAACTCCTGGCCTCAAGCGATCTGTCTGCCTCAGCCTCCCAATGTGCTGGGATTACAAGTGTAAGTCACCGTGCCCAGCAGATCCCTTAGAAATTTTAAAACTTGTCTAACTCTTTGATGCTCCTCTCATCGAAAGGTGGGGTCTCATTGCCCTCCCCTTGAATATGGGCTGGCCTTAGTGACTCTCTTGGAAGTGACCCTTCTTGATTTTTAGGGGAGGTTCAGTCATAAAATGTGATACAGATTCTACCTGATTCTCTCTCCTTAGGGTCATGTGCTTTGGGATCCCTGAACTACTGTAAGGACCACAGCTACCTTGAAGGCGTCATGCTGGAGAGACTATGTAGAGTCCACACAGAGACAGAAATACCTAAGGAGCCCCATCTGCCCAGACCCAGATATTTGAGCCTTTCCGGCCCAAAAGCCAGACACGTGAGTGGGCCCCCTTCAGTTGGTTCCAACCCCAGCCACCATCCAATAGCAACAGTGTGTGAGAGACAGTGAAAACCACCCAGCTGAGCCCAGTTAACCCCCAGAACTATGAGAAATAATTACATGTTATTTTAAACTGTGATGTTTGGAGTGATTTGTTATGCAGCAATAAATAGCTGGAACATTCTAGGTAAAGAAATAAATAGCAAAGTCATCCTGCTCATAGAACTCACAGTCTATAGGGAGACAGACTCGGTCTTAATACAACCTAAGCTCTCTATGGAAGGTATTCAAGTTTCAGAGAATGCACAGGGGCAGGACTGCATCTGACTTCCAGATTTGAATGTCAAGGAATCTCATATCTTATGTTTATTAATTTATTTAGTTAGTTTTTCATTTTTGAGACAGGTTCTTGTTCTGTGGCCCAGGCTGGAGTGCAACAGTGCCATCACAGCTCACTGAAGTCTCAACCCCTCAGCCTCAAGCGATCCTCCCACCTCAGCCTCCCAAGTAGCTGGGACCACGGGTATGTACCACCACCCCCAGTTAATTATATATTTTTTAAAAATTTTATTTAATAACAGCTCCAATCTGCAACAAACAAACAAATTCCTGAAGCCTACAGAATCTGGTTGGCTTGTGTGTTATATTTGTGCAACAAACAACCAGCCCAAATAAGCTGATAATTGTCACTTAGAAACACGCTTAAAGATTGAATCTCTTTACTATTCAATTTATATGCCACCTTATGCTCTGAACATTTTAGCATGGATTTCAGAAACTCTTCTAGATATTGCAAACTTTGTTAACTGGAAGCTTGGGAGGCAACTATTTCCCACTTCACAATCTGACCTGAGAGAAGGAGACAAAACCAACCCTGTAAGCAACCTGTTCTAAGACAAGCAATTTACACCATCCTCATGGAATCACAGGCCAATCCTGGGAGACAGAGCTTGTTATAGTCATTATACAGAGGCAGGAACCAAATATTAGGGAAAAGCCATCTGCCCAAGGTCAGCAAAAGACAGGCGATGTCCCAACCCTCTTTCTGTTTATGGACTGAACTGTGTTCCCCCAAAAGATGTAAAGTCCTAACCCCCAGAATCTCAGAATGTGACCTTATTTGGGAACAGAGTTAGGACAGCTGTGATCACTTAAGATGAGGTCATACTAGAGTAGGATGGCCCCCATACAGTATGAATGGCATCCTTAAGAGAAGAAGCAGAGAGGCCAGGCATGATGGCTCATGCCTGTAATCTCAGCACTTTGGGAAGCCCAGGCAGGTGGATCTCTTAAGGCCAGGAGTTTGAGAACAGTCTGGCCAATGTGAAGAAACCCCATCTCTACTAAAAATACAAACATTACCCAAGCGTGGTGGTGCATGCCTGTAATCACAGCTACTCAGGTGGCTGAGGCATGAGAATTGCTTCAACCCCGGGTAGGTGGAGGTTGCAGTGACCCGAGATCACACCAATGCACTCCAACCTGAGCAACAGAGAGTGACTCTGTCTCAAAAAAAAAAAAAAAAAAGGTTAGAAGAGAGAGGGACACATACTGGGAGAAGATACCACGTGAAGACAGAGGCAGAGACTGTGGTGATGCAGCTGTGGGCCAAGGAACGCCACAGCACACGGATAAGGCAAGAAAGCATCTTCCCCTAGAGCCACCAGAACAAGCACAGCCCTTCTGACACCTTGATCTCAGGCTTCCAGCCTCCAGACTGAGAGAGAGTAAGTTGCTGTTGCTTATGATGCCCGCAGTCTGCGGGACTTGGTTGCAGCAGCCCCAGGAAACAGATGCTGAGCTCTGAGCCTAAAGAGGGGGTCACACAGGCCTGATCTGACTGTTCGTCTTGACCTTGACCCTGTAAGGGAGGAGAAGGTGTGCAGTGCAGAGGTTAAGGACTCACTCTGTGGTCGCTCTGGGCCAAGCACTCACCATTGCACTCAGCTGTGCTAAAAATGGTCTGAGATGGGCCGGGTGTCCCTGTGCCAGGAAACTGTTTTCTGAAGAAAGGGCTGGGAGTAGTAGTTGTTGTTCCAGTGTGGGCTCCATCACAGGAATTCTTGTTTCTCTGAAGGATTTTCCATATAAATGAAGACATTTACAAATTTATCTAGATTAATTGGGTGTGGCTGCTGAACAAACAGGGGAAAATCCCATAATTGAGCCCTGGGCCCTGGAACAACAAGGACCCTGTGTGCAGTCCCGCACACAGAAGAGAACGAGAAAGGGAAAGAAACCTAGAAATAGGAAAAATATCTCAGGGCATAATCCCAAAAGAGGCAGCTGGACTCAAAGGTCACCCTAGAGGTGTGGGTTTAAAATCTAGGTGCCCCAAACTCGACTCGGGGGTTCCTACCTCCTGGCCTTCCTCCACTCCTTTCACTCCTATGTGCGCACGCACGCACGCACACACACACACACACAGACACACAAACACAGACACATGCAGACACACACACACCCACACACCACACACACTACACACACTGACACATGCAGACACACACACATATACACACCTTATACACACAGACACGCCCACAAAGACAAACACAAACACTAAACACAGACACAGACATACAGATACCCTTGGGAACAGAAATAACTAGACATTTTAAAGCCTTTTTAGAAAAACACATTGGGCTTGTGCAATGTCTCACACTGTAGTCCCAGTTATTAGGAAGACTGAGCCAGAAGAATGCTTAAGCCCAGGAGTTTAAGGCTACAGTGAGCCATGATCACACCACTGCACTCCGGTCTGGGCAACAGAGCGAGACTCTGTCTACACACACACACATACACACACTGCACGTTGCATGTATTCATTCAACATCCAGTCCTGTGCTAGGTGATCTCAGCTGCATTATCGTCTTGCTTTTTTCCCCACAACAACCCTCCAAGGCAGTTGTTACTTTTCCCATTTTGCAGACAGAAACACTGAACCCCAGAAATATTAAGGGTTGGTTCAAGATTTCACAGTCGGCAAGCAGCCCAGCAGGAAAGCTTATCCCTCTCCTGAGCTCCAGATCCCAGGCCTGTTTCTCAGCAAACAGAAGAAGCCCACACTTATTCCATCAACAGTTACAGGGCTCAGGATAAAGCAATGACTGAAACACATAAGCCGTCTCCTCGAGGAGCTTACGTGTCTCATCATCCAAGAGTCCACACTTCTCCAATGACTCATGTCCTCCCCAGGGACAGAACTCACCCAACTTTACTGTGCATGAGAATTCTGGGGTGTAGGGTTCCCGTGCATGTTAGTTCTGTAGGTTGGAGGTGGGGGCAAGACTGCATTCCCAGCAAACTTCCAGGTGAACCTAATGTTGTTGGCCCATGCACCACACCCCGTGCAGCAAGGCTGTGTGACATCATGAAAAGAGGAAGAGGGTTTTGCTCATGTCCCATATCAGTTGCTGAATATTTTTCTTAATATCAGCCCTGGTCACCTGACTGGTGAGTTTGGGAAGGGAACTGGCAGATATAGTGGCCAGTTCCCCATGAAAGCATCCCGTTCTGCTCCCTGGGCTCTGCAGTTATCAGGATGGTCTGTGCCTGGATGGGTAAGTGCCTCTTCCTGGCATTCCATCTTAGGATACCCCCAGCCCAAAGAGATAGACTGCATCTTCCAGTATCAGCCTGACCAATATGTCAATTTCCCAACTGATTTACTTGGTAATTTATTTTATTATTATTATTTTTTTGAGACAGAGTTTCGCTCTAGTTGCCCAGGCTGCAATGCAATGCTGTGATCTCGGTTCACTGCAACCTCTGCCTCCTGGGTTCAAGCAATTCTCCTGCCTCAGCCTCCCAAGTAGCTGGGATTACAGGCATGTGCCACCACGCCCAGCTAATTTTGTATTTTTATTAGAGATGGGGTTTCTCCATGTTGGTCAGGCTGGTCTCAAACTCCCAACCTCAGGTAGTGATCCACCCACCTAGGCCTCCCAAAGTGCTGGGATTACAGGCGTGAGCCACTGCGCCCAGCATTTTTTTTTTTTTTGACAAGTCTCACTCTGTCGCCCAGGCTGGAGTACAATGGCATGATCTCAGCTCAATGCAACCTCTGCCTCCCAGGTTCAAGCAATTCTCCTGCCTCAGCCTACCGAGTAGCTGGGATTACAGGCATGCGCCACCATACCCAGCTAATTTTGCATTTTTAGTAGAGATGGGGTTTCACCATGTTGGCCAGGCTGGTCTTGAACTCCTGACCTCAGGTGATCTGCCCACCTCGGCCTCCCCAAGTGCTGAGATTACAGGCATAAGCCACTGCGCCAGGCAGGTAATTTTTAAAAATTTATTATTTACCATTGATTGATTGATTGAGATGGAGTCACACTATGTTGCCCAGGCTGGTCTCAAACTCCTGGGCTCAAGCAATCCTTCCACCTCGGCCTCCCAGTGTGCTGGGATTACAGGTGTAAGCCACCATGCCCAGCTTTAGTAATTTCTTAATTGGTTCCAAACTGTGGCAGTGAAGAGTTATTAGGTTGAACCCTGTGAAATTGCCCATTGTACAATCATTTAAAACCAGTAAAACACCATTAATTTGGTACATTTCAACCTAGTATTCATTGGGCACCCTGAAATCCCAAAACTCACTGGTGGTTTTCAGACTTAGATTATATCAAAATCACCAGAAATTTGGTAAAAATATGAAGGCCCAGGCCCTATCCTACTTTAATCAGCTTGGGCCTCTGTGTTTGGCCTGGGCCTTCTAGGTGGTTCTGCAGACAACAAAGTTTGAGGAGCCCTAGCTACAAGGTAAGCACAATACTAAGTGTTATGTTTCTTTCTTCTTTTGTTAAACACAGACATGAAAAATTAAATTGTATTACAATTAAATAAATTATATTAAAAGCAAAGACAATACATACTCAAAACTCATCACTTCCTAATTATTTTACCATATTTTACCATCACCTGTTCCTTGGGGCTCCCTTCATTGGTGGTGTCAGTGTGGTGAAAGTAATGTGCAAAGGTGGGCTCCTGGCCATCCCTCCCCAGCTCTGCATCCGTGACTTCATGTTACTTGCTTGAAATCATCCGTGCAGAGAGTGTTTACACCACGGAATTCAGCACACACTACAAATCAGGGCTCATTCCCGCCTCCCCAGAAATCAGTTGTTTAACCAATGTCCATAGTCATCCCCATTTCACAGATGAGGAAACTAAGGTATGAGGAGCAGACGACTTTCCCAAGGTCTCAGAGCCACAGTTTGAATCCAGACAGCTGACTCCGGAGCCCAGGATTTTAACCAATGTATACATTAGGCTGTGTCTCTTCCTAGGCTTGTGGTGTGAGTCTCCACCCACCTTCCTGGAAAGGGATCTCCCTGCAACAACTGGTCTCCCTGCCACCAAAATCTCGCTGCTTCTCCTCTAGCAGTCTAAATAGCAAACATAAATAAGGCTCTGGGGTCTCCAGCAGGACAACAGCCAGTGGCCTCTGATGGGTCCGGCTCCTCTGTTGGGAGTGGGTGCTTTGGTGCCCCAAGTCCAATCTCTTGCAGATCTCCCCACCAATGAATGTCCCAACAGCTGCATATACACATACTAAGCAGGTTAAAATAAATATGTGGGTGCTATTGAAGGTGGGAAAGAGAAAATGTGGTGAGAGAGGGAGTTTGGAGGTTGGAGGGTTGGCAGGTCAAGTTTTGTCTTTCAGATGAGATGCAGGCCGGGCACAGTGGCTCATGCCTCTAACCCCAGCACATTGGGAGGCTGAGGTGGGCAGATCACTTGAGGCCAGGAGTTCGAGACAGCCTGGGCCACATGGCAAAACCCTGTCTCTATGAAAAATACAAAAATTACATGGGCGTGGTGGTGTGTGCCTGTAATCCCAGCTGCTTGGGAGGCTGAGGCACGAGAATCGCTTGAACTCGGGAGGCGGAGGTTGCAGTGAGTCGAGATCGCGCCAGTGCACTCCTATCTGGGTGACAGAGTGAGACTCAGTCTCAAACAAACAAACAGAAAACACATAAGGGGCCATTGGCCAGATACCTGGAGAGGTGTCAGGCAGGCTTTGTGTCCTGGCTGGCAGTACTATCCACCCCACCCACCCCAGCAGTAGCCTCTTCGTCCCTTGAGATAGCTAGGAAGGAGAGGGGAGGGAAAGCCTCCCAAAGGTGGGGAAGATTTCAACAGCCTGGTTTGGCCCCCACCTTTCTCCTTCATTTTCCTCTCCAGAATGTTGGGCCCCTTTTGGTTCCACCTCCCACTTCCAAATGCCACCCGCACTCAGACCCAGGAGGAGGGAACACTTGGGACCAAGAACTCTCTGGGATGACTCCATTTTTATTTAACAAAATAAAATATCGGAAAAAAATTAAGGTCACAACCAGTATATGACATAGTGTTAACAGTAGGATTATGGATTTTTTATTTTCCTCCTTTTGGCTCTGGTTTACCATTGTTTTTTTTCTCTACAATGAGCATGTGTGTTTTTTTCTAATGATAGGAAACAAGTTGTTTTTTGAGACAAAGGAGTAGGAAGAGGAGGGGAAGAAAACAGCAAAAGAAATCATCACAGCAATTACACAACTACAGGATAAAAAAAAATGCTTTCACGGCTGGGGGCAGTGGCTCACGCCTGTAATCCCAGCACTTTGGGAGGCCGAGGCGGGTGGATCACCTGAGGTCAAGAGATCGAGACCATCCTAGCCAACATGGTGAAATCCTGTCTCTAAAAATACAAAAATTAGCTGGGCGTGGTCGTGCACGCTTGTAGTCCCAGCTGCTTGCGGGGCTGAGGCAGAAGAATCACTTGAACGTGGGAGGCAGAGGTTGCAGCAAGCCAAGATCGCACCACTGCCCTCCAGCCTGGCAACAGAGCGAGACTCTGTCTCAAAAAAAAAAAAAAGAAAAAAGAAAAAGAAAAAAAATGCTTTCACATTAAATAATACACTGCTTCCTTCCAATAGCCCTGCAAGGATGCAGCACCAACATTGTTAATCCAGTGTTAAAAATGAGGAAACTGGCCAGCCACGGTGGCTCACACCTGTAATCCCAGCACTTTGGGAGGCCGAGGCAGGTGGATCACCTGAGGTCAGGAGTTCGAGACCAGCCTGGCCAACATGGCAAAACCCCGTCTCTACTAAAAATACAAAAATTAGCCAGGCATGGTGGCACGCACCTGTAGTCCCAGCTACTAGGGAGGCTGAGGCAGGAGAATCGCTTGAACCCGGGAGGTGGAGGTTGCAGTGAGCTGAGATAGCACCACTGCACTCCAGCCTGGGTGACAGAGTGAGACTCCATCTCAAAAAAAAAAATGGGGAAACTGGCCAGGTATGGTAGCTTACACCTGTAATCCCAGCACTTTGGGAGGCCAAGGCAGTGGATCACGAGGTCAGGAGTTTGAGACCAGCCTGGCCAACATGGTGAAACCCCGTATCTACTAAAAATACAAAAATTAGCCAGGCGTGGTGGCACCCGCCTGTAATCTGGAGGCTGAGGCAGGAGGATCGCTTGAACCCAGGAGGCAGAGGTTGCAGTGAGCCGATATCCAGCCTGGGACAGAGTGAGACTCCGTCTCAAAAAAAAAAAAAATGGGGAAACTGAGGGCTAGAGGCTGTTGGTATCCCAGATCAAAGAGAGATTCCATGGCAGAGTCAGGGCTGGTCTCAAGGTCTTTCAGCTCTACAGTCTCCTGCCATTGAGCTGAGGGTGCTCTCTACACAACGGATATCTTGTGGAGTCCAAGACAGCCTCTCCTTACCTGCCCCAGGTCCAGAGAAAGGACTCCTCCCAGCCATGTGGAATAAGGCACCTATGCCTAACTATAGGTCCTTTAGGCCATGGGGCAGTCTGACTCGAGTAGGGGAGATCAGGGTTCATTCTGTTAGAATCTGGAATTAGGTCATGGAGAAAGAGATTGATGAGACACAAAGAAAGGAGAGAGACTTTGTCTTGTGGCTGGGTAAACATGTGTTTCCCCTATGGCTTGGAGAACAGAGAACACTGGTCTCCAGGAACATTAAAAAGTAAGAAGAGGCACAGGAAGCAACAGAGATGAGATGAGAGATAAAAAGAGAGTCTAAGTGGCCTCCTAAGCTCTTTATCAAACTTACCTTTGTCCCTGCCTACATCCTTATAATAAATGCCATTGTCGTTGTTTTATTAAAGCTAGAATGAGTTAACATCTGCTACTTGAGGCCAAAATGCAAATGAATAATATGTTCATTCATGGATGTACCTCCCCTGCACTGACCCCCAAACATCACTCTTTAATATTCTAGAAGGAGGTCTAACTTCACTTCAAGTATTTACCTTTTGTTTTGTTTTGTTTTTTGAGTCGGAGTCTTGCTCTGTCACCCAGGCTAGAGTGAAGTGGTGTGATCTCAGCTCATTGCAACCTCCGCCTCCCGGTTTCAAGTGATTCTCCTGCCTCAGGCTCCCAAGTAGCTGGGATTACAGGTGTGCGTCACCACACCCGGCTAATTTTTTGTATTTTTATAGAGGCAGGGTTTCACCATGTTGGCCAGGCTGGTCTCAAACTCCTGACCTCAGGTGATCTGCCCACCTCGGCCTCTTCAAATGCTGGGATTACTGGCATGAGCCACCACACCTGGCTATTTACCATTATTTTTAATGAAAAAATAAATAGCAGATATAATATTTATTGGTGAAACCCAGAAGCAATTCCTTTAAAGAAGGAAACAAGCATTCATGCTATCAACACTATCATATTCACTAAGTGCTAGAGGACCTAGTGAATGCAACAAAATAAGGGGAAAAAAATAAGAGAAACAAGCACTGGAAAAGAAAAGGCAAAATTAGGCTGGGCTCAGTGTCTCGCTCCTATAATCCCAGCACTTTGGGAGGCTGAGGTGGGAGGATTGCTTGAGCCCAGGAGTTCAAGACCAGCCTGGGCAACATGGGGACATCTCATCTCTACAAAATATACAAAAACTAGCTGGGCATGGTGGCACATGTCTGTAGTCCTAGCTACTAGGGAGGCTGAGGCTGGAGGATCCCTTGAGCCCGGGAGACAGAGGTTGCAGTGAGCCTAGATAGTACCACTACACTCCAGCCTAGATGACAGAGGAAAAAAGAAGAGACAAAATTATAGTTTTTAGATGATATGACAGTCTGGCTAGTAAATTCACAAGGCCAACTGAAATGCAAGTTGAACCAGTAACAGAGTTTTGTAAGACAGTAGGGTATAATATAAGTAACCCAAAGTCAATTATCTGTATGTCAATAAAAATAATTTAAATATGTAATGGGAAAAAATCCCATTAACAATAGCAATAAGAATTGTACAATATTGGCCAGGTACAGTGGCTCACACCTGTAGTTCCAGCACTTTGGGAGGCCGAGGTGGGCGGATCACGAGGTCAAGAGATAGAGACCATCATGGCAAACATGGTGAAACCCCGTCTCCACTAAAAATACAAAAATTATCTGGGCGTGGTGGTGCACGCCCGTAGTCCCAGCTACTCAAGGAGGCTGAGACAGGAGAATCCTTTGAATCCGAGAGGCGGAGGTTGCAGTGAGCTGAGATCATGCCACTGCATTGCAGCCTGGGTGACAAAGCAAGACTCCATCTCAAAAAGGGTGGCCGGGCGCGGTGGCTCACACCTGTAATCCCAGCACTTTGGGAGGCCGAGTCGGGTGGATCACGAGCTCAGGAGATCGAAACCATCCTGGCTAACACAGTGAAACCCTGTCTCTACTAAAAACACAAAAAAGTTAGCCGGGCTTGGTGGCACGTGCCTGCAGTCCCAGCTATTCGGGAGACTGAGGCAGGAGAATCGCTTGAATCCAGGAGGCGGAGGTTGCGTGAGCTGAGACCGCACCACTTCACTCCAGCCTGGGCAACAGAGCAAGACTCTGTCTCAAAAAAAAAAAAAAAAAAAAAAAAGAAAAGAAAGAATTGTACAATATCTAGGAATAGACCTAATGAGTATTGTGCAATATTTTTGTGTAGAAAACTTTGCTTAAAAAAAAAAAAAAGGGGGGGCCGGGTGTGGTGGCTCATGCCTGTAATCTCAGCACTTTGGGGGCCGGGGTGGGCAGATCACAAGGTCAAGAGTTCAAGACCAGCCTGGCCAACATGGTGAAACCCCATCTCTACTAAAATACAAAAAATTAGCTGGGCATGGTGGCGCGTGCCTGTAATCCCAGCTACTTGGGAGACTGAGGCAGGAGAATCACTTGAACCCAGAAGGCGGAGTTCAAGTACTCTCAAAGTACTAGAAGAAACCATATAGGACTGAAGTCATAATTGTGGGGAGGAGCAGGCTCTTCTAAGCAGGACACAATTCAGAAGCCATCAAGAAGTAGATTGCAGTGAGCCAAGACTGCGCCACTGCACTCCAGCCTGGCGACAGAGCGAGACTCCATCTCAAAAAAATAAAAATAAAAAAACAAAAAAAGGAGTAACTAAACAGAAAGATATACCATGATATCAGTTCTATCACTGGCCCCTTTTTTTCATCCCTCTCTGCATCCATTCCCTTACCTTGGCCTCCTTGTGGGCAGAATGTATTCCCCCATCCCTTAACTTGGAGTATAACCATGTGATCTGCTTTGGCCAATATAATGTGGGCAGAAATGACAATGTGCCAATTAGAGCCTCAGCCCTAATAGGTTTCTGTTTGTCTTCCTGCCTCTCTGCCACTACTGTTAGAGGAGCTTACCCTAGGCCTGTTGCTCAAAAGGAAAACAAGGGGGGCAGACCTGAGCCCTCATCTCAGTGAAGAACGAAGCATAAACGGATCCATCCAGAGCTTGAAGCAGGGCTACCAGGCCCTGCCCAGCCCAAATCAACCAATCTCTAGCCAACACACAGACTTGTGCTATTACAAATAGAAGTGGTTTAAGCCACTGAGTTTTGGGGTGATTTGTTACCCAGTAAGGACTAACTGATAGACATCTTATTCTTAAATGGTGGGATTCAATATTGTAAAGAGGTACACTCTCTATGAATTAATCTATAAAGTAAGTGTGACTCCACTAAAAATACCGATAGATGTTTATTTATCTGAGAAATTGTAAAACAAAAGTAGCCACTAAAAATTTGAAAGAAACTAATAGTGGGGGAAAAGTCCTATCAGATATTAAGTCCTATCAGATATTAAGAGGTGCCATACAACTAGGATAGTACCATTACACAATATGCTACTGGAATAAGAACAGATAAACTAATAAAACACAACAGTAAGGGTAGGAAAGATGATAGATAGATAGATAGATAGATAGATAGCCATAGAAAGGTAGAGAAAATGCTATATTATGAATAAGTGGTAGGAAGGTGGAAGATTATATAGTAAATAGCATTGAAAATCGCAATATAGGCCAGATGCGGTGGCTCGCACCTGTAATCCCAGCACATTGGGAGGATGAGATGGATGGATCACATGAGGTCAGGAGTTCAAGGCCAGCCTGGCCAACATGGTGAAACCTCATCTCTAATAAAATACAAAAATTAGCCAGGCAGGGTGGTAAGTGCCTGCAATCCCAGCTACTCGAGAGTCTGAGGCAGGAGAATTGCTTGAACCCAGAAGGCAGAGGTTGCAGTGAGCAGAGATTGCGACACTACATTCCAGCCTGGGCGACAGAGCAAAACTCCGTCTCAAAAAAAAAAAAAAAAGGGGGGGGGGCCAGGCGTGGTGGCTCATGCCTGTAATTCCAGCACTTTGGGAGGCCAAGGTGAGCGGATCATTAGGTCAGGAGTTCTAGACCAGCCTGGCCAACATAGTAAAGCCCCGCCTCTACTAAAAATACAAAAATTAGCTGGGCTCAGTGGCACACACCTGTAGTCCCAGCTACTTGGGAGGTTGAGGTAGGAGAATTGCTTAAACCCTGGAGGCGAGGTTGCAGTGAGCCAAGATTGCACCTTTACACTCCAGCCTGAGCGACAGAGCAAGGATCTGTCTCAAAAAAAAAAAAAAAAAAGCAATATAAATAATTATTACTATAATAACAAATAGCAAATATAAACATATTGCATTGAAAATAGCAATATAAATAAAAATATAGTCAATAGCAGTTATCAGATTGAAAACTATGAAATAAACTCTTAGCTCACCCTACATACTAAAATAAGTTCCAGATGCATTAAAAAGCTGAATGTAATAAATCCAACTCTCAAAGTACTAGAGGAAACCACACAGGACTGGAGTCATAATTGCGGGGAGGAGCAGGCTTTTCTAAGCAGGACACAATCCAGAAGCCATCAAGAAGTAGACTGAGGGCACGGAGGCTCACCCCTGTAATCCCAGCACTTTGAGAGGCTGAAGTGGGCGGATCACTTGAGGTCAGGAGTTCAAGACCAGCCTAGTCAACATGGCAAAACCCCATCTCTACAAAAAATATAAAAATTAGCTAGGCGTGGTGGCACATGCCTATGATCCCAGCTACTCCAGAGGCTGAGGCAGGAGAATCGCCTGAACCTGGGAGGTACAGTGAGTCGAGATCGCGCCACTGCACTCCAGTCTGGGGACAGAGCATGACTCCATCTAAAAAAAAAAAAAAAAAAAGATTGACAAATTTTACTCCATAAAAATGAAATGCTCTGTACAGCTAAAGACCATCAACAAAGTTAAAATACAAAAAATACAAATGATGCTTTAAGAGAAAATATTTGTAGCATATATAAGAGACAAAGGGTTCATTGGCCTGGCGTACTCAAAGCTCTGATAGTAAGGAAAGGGCCACCCGTCTCATAGGAAAACAGGGGAGGTGCCCGGTGCAGTGGTTCACACCTATAATCCCAGCACTTTGGGAGACTGAAGTGGCGGATCGCTTGAGCCCAGGAGTCCAAGACCAGCCCGGGCAACATAACAACACCTTGTCTCTACAAAAAAATAAAACATTAGCCAGGGGTGGTAGCACACACCTGTAGTCCCAGCTACTCAGGAGGCCAACGTGGGAGGATTGCTTGAGCCGGGAGGACAAGGCTGCAGTGAGCCATGACTGCGCTGTTGCATTCCATCTGGGTGACAGAGTGAGACCTTATCTCAAAAAAAGAAAAGAAAAATAGAGAAGGCGATTCACGCAAGTGGGAAGAAATGCCACCAAGCAGTAAAAAAACTATGCCCCACCTCTCTGTGAGTGAGAAAAATATAAATAAAAACGAGACGCCATTGCCCTGTTTGCCCCTTAGCCTGGCACAAATCAAGACTGACACCTGCAGTTGGAGAAGTGCGACTGGCCAGGAGCTCCCCCTGCAGGTTTCTGACCTAAGGCAAATAGGATCCCAGCACAGTGATGCTCCCTGAGCATTAACTGTGACATTGAAAAACCAGAAATGGCTTCCTAACAAGCAACAAGGAAATGGTTAAATAAATAAAGGTCGAAGCACCCACTAAAGTCAAGAAGTTGATCCACATGCACTGACAGGGAGAAATAGTCATGAGTTGTTCATGATGAATTTGTTGGCAAAAACATACACATCCAGAGACATACAGAGAGAAAATGCCTGGAACTTCGAAACTCTCAGCAGTGGTTACCCCTCGGGAAAAGCACTGAAGAGGAAGGAAGGATTTTCACACCTCACTCTCAGCTTCTGTACAGTTTGAATTTTTTTTTCTTTTTTTGAGACAGGGTCTCACCTTGTCACCCAGGCTGCAGTGCAGTGGTGCGAGGATGGCTTACTGCAACTTCGACCTCCCAGGCTCAAGCTATCCTCCCGCCTCAGCGCCCCAGGTAGCTGCGACTACAAATGGATGCCACCATGCCTGACGATTTTTTTTTTTTTTTTTTTTGAGAGACAGAGTCTTGCTCTTGGCCCAGGCTGGAGTGTAGTGGCATGATCTCAGCTCACTGCAACCTCTGCCTCCCGGGCTCAAGTGATTCTCCTGCCTCAGCTTCCCAAGTAGCTGGGATTACAGGCGTGCACCAACACACTCTGCTAATTTTTGTATTTTTTGGTGGAGACTGGGTTTCACCATGTGTTGGCCAGGCTGGTCTCGAACTCCTGACCTCAAGTGATCCGCCCACCTCAGGCTCCCAAAGTGCTGGGATAACAGGCGTGAGCCACCATGCCCAGTCGTTTTTTTGTTTGATTGTATTTTTTGGTAGAGACCGGGTTTCACCGTGTTGCCCAGGTTGGTCTCAAACTTCTGAGCTCAAGTGATCTTCCCACATCAACTTCCCAAAGTGCTGGTATTACAGGCATGAACCACCACACCCTGCCATTGGTTTGAAAATTTTACATAGGCACTGGGCATGGTGGCTCATTACTATAATCCTAGCACTTTGGAAAGCTGAGGCAGAAGGATCACTTGCGTCCAGGAGTTTGAAACCAACCTGGGCAACATAATAGTAAGACCTCATCCCCATAAAAAATAAAAAATTAGTCAGGTATGGTGCTACGTGCTTGCGGTCCCTGCTTCTTAGGAGGCTGAGATGGGAGAATTACTTGAGCTTCGGAGGTCAAGACTGCAGTGAGCTGAGATGGCACCACTGAGATGGCAACAGAGAAAGACTCCGTCTCGAAAAATTTACACTGGCACATGTAACTTATGTAATCCCGAAGGAAAGAAAAAAAATAAGTGTGGAACAGAATGAATACTTATGCTTTAGGTATGAGACAGTTTTAGCTATACAGATAAATATATAATTTTTAACCCCTCAGCACTTTCTGTTTTGCAAGTCAGTCTTAAAAAGTCAGGAGCCTTCCCTGAGGGAGCCACACAGCTGTGCTATCCATCCTGGGAGCAAACTAAGCCATGAATGGAGCCATCACTAACTTAAGGCAATAGCAACCTCATTAGCCCGATTCAGTGACATCTTTGTCTTAATGAGGGCACTGGGAATGTCATTCTAAGAGGAAGAAAAGCCAGGGATGGGTCCACCAATGAGCATTGTCCCACCAAAGCCCCGCTAATCCAGCCCTGCTGCCCCAGCCCCTCAGATTCACCCTGCTATTGTCTGCCCCAGGGCTGCCCCCAATCCCTCCCAGATCCTAGCTCCTTTGGGCTCCACCTGACACCCTCTGTGTGGCCACCTTCGAAAGGCTTTTGGGCATGACTGTTTATAACTTTTATTAATTCTGAGTTCTTTCCTAATCCCTTGCCTATCCCATTCCCAGGTCGAATAATAACCACAGCCACGACAGAGCTGCTAGCATGGGCCAGGAGTGTGTCCTGCAAGGGCCCTGAGCTAGGTCTCTGTTGCTATGCAGCACCCTGTTTAATTCTGGGCACCCCATGGAGCAGCTGCTGTCAGTGGGCTCATTGCACAGATGTGAAAACTGAGGCAGGCCAGGGGCTACCAGGGAAGGCTCCACACCTGACTTACCCTCCACTGAACCCTGCACTGACAGCTCTGTCTCAGTACCTGCCACTGTCTTGGGGTTCATGTCTCTGAGCCTGTTCACCTCCCTGACTGGGGTCTCCTTGAGCCGAGGGCTCTGTCCTGCTCATCTTCGTGTCCCCAGCACCTAGTAAAGGGCAAAGGTGTTGGAGGAGGGAAGGGCAAGGCACAGGAAAACACAGGAATAAAGTGAGGGAAATGAGGAAGGGAGAAAAATTCAAAAAGAGAAAAGGAAGCGAAGGCATGATGGACGCAGGGCCCTGAGAGTGATGTGGAATCGGAGCAGGGGTTGGCAACCCTGTGGGAGGGAACAGTCACAACGAATGGTCAAGATGAAAAACGGTCATATTTCACACTGGACCTTAGTCCCAGTGTCGGCTAAAAATAGCGCTGTTCCCACGGCCTCTGGGGTACAGTCTTCTGTGGATCTGGGCCCCAGGGCCAATTCAGGCTCCATCGTTCACTCCCTGAGTGCCTCTGGGGGCTGGAATTACCTATCCTGCAGGCCTGTCCCTGCTTCGCAGCTGGCATTGATAAATATGGGCAGGCTCCCGACACCCCCACCTTGCACACAGCATCATCCTGAACCACTTGTCCCAATGCCCCCATATCCAGCTTCCAAGGCTATTTCGGTCAGCTTGGCCATAAGACTGAAGGCATTGGGTTTGGTTTTGTTTTGTTTTTTTGAGACAGAGTCTTGCTCTGTCATCCAGGCTGGAGTGCAGTGGCATGAACTTAGCTCACTGCAACCTCCACCTCACAGGTTCAAGCAATTCTTGTGCCTTGGCTTCCCGAGTAGTTGGGATTACAGGCGCCCACCACCACACCTGGCTAATTTTTGTATTTTTAGTAGAGACAGCATTTCACCATGTTGGCCAGGCTGGTTTCAAACTCCTGACCTCAGGTGATCCACCTGCCTCAGCCTCCCAAAGTGCTGAGCCACCATGCCCAGCCAAGGCATTGGTTCCAATCATGACCTCTCCTCACCCACCTGACCTGAAGTTTAGGACTTCTCAGGCAGGACCCTCAGCCACATCTGCTCAACCACACTTCCCCACCTCCTGATGCTCTGGGATCTCCTGGGAGACCCCTTACCTGGACTGCCTGTGCTGAAAGGGCCCCAGCCCCACAGACGTGGTCAGTGACTATGAGATCCTGCACCCTGGGCATGCCTCTCTCCTCCCTGGGCCTCCGTTCGGATTTTACCTAGTTCCCCCATCATCAGGAGCATTGAATGGGAAAACGTCTCCTACTTGCTGAGTAGTCCAGGGTTGTGGTTTGTTTTGTTTCTTTTTCTGAGAACGCAAACCATTTTCATATAGCTTGCACTTGGCCTCCCCGGTGTTCCACCATGGGTCTATAAAAAGAATACTCGGATGCAATATTCTACAGGCAAAAATATGGACTGTTAGTAACATCATATTCTGCCACTTCACATCCAATTCATTTGAAGAGTCTGCTCATCCCTCCCTCGCTGAAGGAAAAGAGGAAAAAAGTTGCTTTCATGCTTCCAAGATTGCCGTAACTTGCCCTAGAGAGAACAAAGGGGCATGAGTTATTAGATCTGTTTTATACTTGAGACAACTGTGTCTCTGAGAGATTAAACGGTTCGCCTGTGTCACCAGGCTGGAGGGGCCGCGGGAAGCAGAGCCAAGTCGCTGGTCTCCACCTCCAGACACAAGCTCTTCCCACCGCCCCATCCTGCCTGCGAAAGCACTTTTACTGCCGTCTGTCGACAGTCACGTAATTTGGACCAAATGCAGACCAACCCCTAAGGACAGTAAAAAATAGAGACAACCTCAACGATTTAACTGAATGGGGTCAAAATGATTGCAAATCGCTCATTTCCAATGAGGATCTAAACAAAACCAAAAGCAAGCTGGAGCATGTTCTGTCAATCTGGCAAGAGATGCTACAGGGGCAAGTGTGAGGAAGAGGCCACGGCAGGTCAGATCTCTTTCCCTCTGCTCTGAAAACAAACCACTCTTCCTAAAAGACAAACACATGCCATCTTCCTGGGCAGTGTTGGGAATGCCCTAGACACTAAAACACTGCGACATCCTTGAGGTCGATCAGCTTTCATTGCAAAGAGACACGCTCACCCTGTGGGCTGGCTGGCGGTCACCTCCATCCCATGGAGAAGCTGGTCACTATCCAAATGACCCCTCTACTTGGAAGCCCTCAGCGCGGCTCAGCCTGGAAACCGTTGCTATGTGTGGGGAAGGTTTTTCCCTAAGCAGGCGCTGAGAAGGCCAGTGGACATCCCTGTGGAGCTGGCCCATGGATGATTAAAAAGAAGACAACAGTTTATCAGCCAGGCCTGTAACTTTCCAGACAGAGGCAGAGAGATTTGCCGGATGGGGAAGAGCAGACTTTTGGGGGAATAAAAGGCAGGGTAGCAGTGCCCAAGTCAGGTGTTCAAGGTCCTTCCCTCCACCCAGAGAGGTGAGAAATGATGGGGAAGGGAAGAAACACAGCCTCTGGAGTCAGACAGAAGTGCTTTTGCAACGCCTCCCTGACGTTTCTAGCTAAGACACCTCTGCTCTCTGTGCCTCAAGCTCCTCATCATCAAACAGAACAAAAAATTGTCCCTGCTTATAGGCGGAGGGTGCAGTGAGGCCTGGACAGATTGAATATAAAATGTCCAGCACTGTGCCAGCATCGTATTCAATGCTCAATATGTGGTGGCTGATATTAGTAGCATCACTAGGGTAGAGGCCCACAAAGAGCCTCATGAGGTGTCTGTAGATGGTGGAAACTCAGGTGGGTGCTGCTGGTTAATAAAACTGGGAAAATCAGGTATGACTTAAGAATTCCACCACCTTCACACCTGTAATCCCAGCACTTGGATGGGGCACGGTGGCTCACGCCTGTAATCCCAGCACTTTGGGAGGCAGAGGCAGGCAGATCACTTGAAGTCAGGAGTTTGAGACCAGCCTGGCCAAAATGGTGAAACCCCGTCTCTATAAAAATACAAAAAATTAGCCAGGCATGGTGGCAGGTGCCTGTAATCCCAGCTACTCAGGAGTCTGAGGCAGGAAAATTGCTTGAACCCAGGAGGCGGAGGTTGCAGTGAGCCGAGGTCGCGCCATTGCATTCCAGCCCGGGCGACAGTGCAAGACTGTCTCAAAAAAAAAAAAAAAAAAAAAAGAATAGAAAGAAAGAAAAGGTACATTCAAGACAGAGAGAGACACAGGGAAGAAGGCCACGTGAAACAGAGCCCAAGATTGGAGTGATGAAGTCACAAGCCTAGGCACGCCTGGATCCACCAGATGATGGAAGAAGCAAGGAATGGGATCCTCCTGAGCACCTTCAGAGAAAGCACAGCACTGCTGAGACCTTTGATTTTGGACTTCGGGCCTCCGGGACTGTAAAAGAATAAATTTCTGATGTTTGAAGCCACAGACTTATCATCCCACATTTCTGAAGCCCAAAAGCAAGGTGTGGCCAGGGCTGAGCCACCTCCAGAGGCTCCAGGGGAGGATGCAGCGCCTGCCTCTTCCAGGTACCTGTGGCTTTTGACAGTCCTCGGCTGGTGGCCCCATCATGCCACTGTCTGCCTCCATCTCACATGGCCTCCTCCCCTGTGTGTCTTCTCACCTTCTCTGCTTCAAATCTCCCTCTATCTTTCTCTTATGAGGACACCAGTCATTGGATTTAGGGCCCACTCAAATCCAGGATGATGTCATCTGGAGATCCTGAACTTAATTACATCTACAAAGATAAAAAGACCCTTTTTCCTTTTTTCTTGCTTTTTTTTTTTTTTTTTTTTTGAGATGGATTCTCACTCTGTCGCCCAGGCTAGAGGGCAGTAGCATGATCCCGGCTCACTGCAACCTCCACCTCCCAGGTTCAAGTGATTCTCCTGCCTTAGCCTCCTGAGTAGCTGGGACTACAGGCACATGCCACCATGCCTGGCTAAATTTTTTTGAATTTTTAGTAGAGACAGGGCTTTACCATGTTGGCCAGGCTGATTTCGAACCCCTGACCTCAAGTGATCTGCCCCCCTCTGCCTCCCAAAGTGCTGGGATTGCAGGTGTGAGCCACCGTGCCTGGCCAAGACCCTTTTTCAGAATAAGGTTACAGTCACAGGACCTGGGTGTTAAGCCTTGAATATATATTTTTGAGGGACACTATCCAACCCACTACAGGAGGAGAGAAGGGGGGTGCCCAATGCTTCTGGAGACCCTATGTTTCCCCAAAGGGCACCTACTAAAGGACCCACAAAGGCCTTCTGAGAAGTGACAGGCTCAGTGGCCTGCACTGCAAGGCAGGTGCCTAGGGTATGGCAGGCAAGTCCCCTGAGGCCAGGTCTCTGACTAGGCCAGGTAGAAACAGACACATCTATCCCATGAAGAAACCTAGATGTGGGGGAGTCAATAAAGAATGTCAGAGCTGAAAGGGACACTGCCAAATACAGTCCAAAGTCCTTGTGCCACTGGGACACCAACACTCAAGCCTGGGGCCAGTGGCCCAGCATGCTGACATCCCCCGAATCATGTGAGCCACTCAGCAACCCTGACAGGTGGACAAGGCAGGACTCAAGACTTTTCCTTTTTTTTCTTATTTTCCTTTGGAGACAGAGTTTTGCTCTTGTTGCCCAGGCTGGAGTGCAATAGTGCAATCTTGGCTCACTGCAACCTCTGCCTCCCAAGTTCAAGTGATTCTCCTGCCTCAGCCTCCCAAGTAGCTGGGATTACAGGCACCCACCACCACGCCCAGCTAATTTTTGTATTTTTAGCAGAGATGGGGTTTCACCATGTTGGCCAGGCTGATCTGGAACTCCTGACCTTAGGTGATCCACCCGCCTCAGCCTCCCAAAGTACTGGGATTACAGGCATGAGCCACCATGCCCAGCTTCTATTTTTTTTTTAATTCTTTTGTAGACAGGGGTCTTGCAATGTTGCCCAGGCTGGTCTCAAACTCTTGGTCTCAAGCGATCCTCCCGCCTCAGCCTCCCAAAGCATTGAGATTGCAGGCATGAGCCACCACCTGTGGCTGATGACTCTTCAACAAATGGGGAAACTGAGGCCTAGAGATGTTGAGTGTGGTGGTCAAGTTTCCCTGAGCCGGAAAGTGGTTGGAGGCCTAACTTCTGACAGCTAATACAATTCTCTCTTCTGCCCTGTTCCTCCCCAGCCCTATGCTTAGTCCTAATTCAAACCTTAACTTTGCAATAATCAGAAATGGAAGGGGAGGAGGGCGCTGATGCCACAGCTAGAGATGCACTCCACACCTCCCTGACCCCATGCCCAGCCCTGTTTTGGGCCTCAGAGTTGCTGTTAAATCCCCCAGAAAGAGCAGAGTGTCTGGTGGAGGGAAATCCTGTTCTTTCCACTTCATGCTCAGAGAAGCAGCTCCATTCTCCCTGCCTGGCTGCTGAGCTCAGAGAAGGGTTTGGCTCCCACCAACCAGAAGAGCAACTCACCTGGGCTTGACAGCTAAGCCTAGCTAAGCTAGGCTAGGGAAAGCAGAGTCAAGCCACTGCTCCTGGGCCCCCCCAGGCCAGAGGTCTAGTCAGCAAGACTCAAGGCTGCAAGACCACTATTTTCAGCCTGGAGACTGCTCACCGCCTCCCCACCCCACACCCTGTGCTCACTCACAGCCCTTAGCTTTACAAGGTCACTCCCCTCCTGCGTGTGACAGGAAGAACACTTGCCCCGAAGGGAGGCTACCCCAATGAGAGACTGTGTGTAAAAATCACTCACAGGCTGCAAAAAGCTTGACATACACTCACTGTCTTCAGTATCCACACTGACCTGTGCCCCATTCCCTGAAAGAAACAGCTTAAAAATAGATCCATGCTGTGAGTTAATATAACTCCAGGCTTGCCTTTCACCAGAGGTTTTTTTTTTTTTTTTTTTTTTGATGGAGTCTTGCTCTGTCACCCAAGCTGGAGTGCAGTGGCGCGATCTCGGCTTACTGCAATCTCTGCCTCCCAAGTTCAAGCAGTTCTCATGCCTCAGCCTCCTGAGTAGCTGGGATTACAGGCGAGTGCCACCACATCCAGCCAATGTTTGTATTTTTAGTAGAGACCAGGTTTCACCATATTGCCCAGGCTGGTCACAAACTCCTGCCGTCAAGTGATCCACCTGCCTCAGCCTCCCAAATTTCTGGGATTACAGGTGTCAGCCACGGTGCCTGGACTACCAGAAGTTTTGAATGGAGATAATCCCTCTTGGCATGAAAAGAGCAACGTTCTATGGAAATGCCATGGAAATCTGTAAAATATGGGGGGAAGATGTCAGCAAGAGATATTTGGGGTCGATCTGCACTCTTGAGGCTTTAGAACCTCATAGTCACTGGCAGAAATGAAGCTTGGCTTATTTGGAGAAGGGTACATCATGGCAGTGTGGGCATGAGTGAACTCTAAGCATGTTCAGGAAACCAGGCCAAAATCTCTGGGATCTGAGAAAGGCTACCGCAGACCATGAAGACTGCCTGGAGGAAGTGACACTTGGAGGATTTAGTCACCAGCTTGAGTTTGAGCCAACATCTAATGCTGAAACCAATATACGGCCATATCCAGGAAAAGCAGCTACACCCTTGAGTGTAGACAGGGTTGGATACAAATAGAAAGTTCCAAGGCCTGGGAAGTTCCAAGGCCTTCTGCTCTTCTCCTTGTGGCTGTGTGATCTTAGGAAAGCAGATTGACCTCTCTGATCCAGCTTCCTCCTCAGTAAAATGGGGAGAACAGTTCCTGCCATGCGCACATCTCATGGTCATTGTAGGGATAGGGAGTTAGTAGCTGTGAAGGAGGTTCTATAAGGTGTAAGATGCTGCACACACGCACAGGCCGGTTCCCACGGGGAAGGATTTGTTCTAAGGCTGGAGAGCAACATGGAGCATGGGATGTCCTGGGCATGTCAACTACCCTAGAATCACAGGCATCTGGAAAAATTACCTTGAAGAATCACTGCCAGGCCCCAAATCACTGCATCTTAAAATGCCTTCCAAACTCAAGCAAGGAAACAAACAAACAAAACCCCAAAACTGCCCATCTCTTCAGAAGGTTCTGAGCGATATGTTTTTCTGTCCTCTGATAGCAGACGGGGAGGATGCCAAGCAGATGTTGACAGATTACTGCCTGCAGGCCTCTCTTGGCCAGAAGACCCTGCAGAAGACAGAGGCCATGAAGCCATGGCCATCTCCCTGATCATCTTCAGGAGTCTGGAAGGGGAGGCAAATCTATTCTGTAGGTTTGAATACTTCGAAACAAACAGTTGGCTTTAAAATAGGGAACTGAGCACCTACACAGTGCCAGACTGTGGATTCCCAAGTTCCTGCCCTCAATTCCTTCCAGTATCTGCCCAGCCAAGTCCCTCCCTGGGGCTTCTTCCTCACAGCCAACTTTGCCACCGCCAAGTCTCTGCTCAAGGGGTTCCCTCTTTCCAAAAGGCTTGGCCCTTGTACCCCTGCCCAAACTGCCCGGCTGCAGTGATCCACTGCCAGAAGCCTGCGTAGAACCCCTCCTCTGCCCAACCACAGATCTCAGGGGATTCCCCACCCCTCCACCTCTACGCTGTCATTTAGCTTTTGGATCAGCCTAATTCACACACCTGAGGACGGACACTTTATTCATGTTTGCGACTGACTCAGCACCCAGTGGGGGATTGGCAAGTGTTGGATGAATGGAGGAAGGGAGTGTTGGGTGTGACGGCCAGCAGCTCCTGTCTGGTCTGCACAGGGCGACATCCTTGCTGCCACCATACCTGTTTCCGTATCTGTGCCCTGCATGGCCAAAGCCTAACCTCCCTGCAATTCTCACTTCCTCCAGGAAGCCTTCTGGGTTTGAAGCTGTTTTCCCTCTTGGTATCCTACTCAATACCACATAATTTAGCATTCTTGTCATCTTGTTTTATATGATTCTGAAATCATTTCCTGCACATGTAGACTACGTCACCAAAATAGCACTTCTTAAGATCAGGCACCATATCATGCTCTTCCCTATCCAACCTTCTAGCCCACCCTCCACTCCCCACCTCCAGACCCTCTGAGTCATCAGCAGGGGGCCTAGCACTGTGCTAAGACCACAGGGAAAGGAAATGAGACATTTGACAGACAGGTGTAAATCCTGGCTTCGTCACTTATTAGCAATCGTCTCCATTTTTGGTTTAGACTCTAATAAACTTTAGAGCAGGTGTTGGCAAACATTTTCTGTGAAAGAAAAGATAGTAAATAATTTGTGTTGTGGGCCATACAGTCTCCATTGCAACTATTCAACTCTGCCATTATAGAAGGAAAGCAACCACAGACAATACATAAATAAATGGGTATGGCTGTGCTCCAATAAAACTTTATTGACAAAATAGGCAATGGACTGGATTGACCTATAGGCTGCGGTTTGCCAACCTTTGTTGTGGAGGATTACTTGAGATGACATCGAATCTCCTCACCACACAGGCCTTAGACCACACTGTGAAGTATCCCCATCCCACCCCAGCCCCTCTATCCCCTCCCCAGACTTAGGTTTCAGCTAGTACTTACCACCGTCTGAAATTAGAGCCTGTCAGCCAGGTGCGGTGGCTCACGCCTGTAATCCCAACACTCTGGGAGGCCGAGACAGGTGGATCACTTGAGGTCAGGAGTTCAAGACCAGCCTGGCCAACATGGTGAAACACCGTCTCTACTAAAAATACAAAAAATTAGCCGGGCATGGTAGCAGGTGCCTGTAATCCCAGCTACTCGGGAGGCTAAGGCAGGAGAATCACTTGAACTCTGGAGGTGGAGGTTGCAGTGAGCTGAGATCACGCCACTGCACACAAGCCTGGGCAACAGAGCAAGACTCCATCTCAAAAAAAAAAAAAATGAAATTACTGCCTGTCTACTTATTTAGTGACTGTCTCCCCCAAGAGAACATAAAACTCCATGAGGGCAGAGGTTGTATCTCTAGCATCTAGAACAGTATCTGACATAGACTAGGCACCTTTTTAATGTTTGTCTGCTAAATGGAGATCATTATTATTACTACTATTGTTGTTGAAGATCTTCAAAAAATATTTTGTTTCATTATATGCTTATGACTATTTTTAATGTGTTGATATATTTACCACGATTAATCATTTGTATTTGCAAAACCCCAGGTAATTTTTCTTTGAGACAGGGTCTCACTCTCTCACCCAGGCCAGAGTGTAGTGAGAACACAGCTCACTGCAGCCTCGACCTCCCAGGTTCAAGTGATCCTCCTGCCTCAGCCTTCCAAGTAGCTGGAAATACAGGTGTGTGCCACTGTGCCCAGCTAATTTTTTATTTTTATTTTTGTACAGATGGGGGTCTTACTATGTTGCCCAGGCTGGATTCTCCCACCTTGGCCTCCCAAAGTACTGGGATTACAGGTGTGACCCACCACATCTGGTACCCCAGGTAATTTTTACATTTTATGAGGAATTATAATGTTAGACTTTAACCACCCCATTTTAACCACAAGCCAGCTATGATTTTCTCATTTTGGAAAGAAGGGGCTGAAACTCAAAGGTCACATTGCTTGCTGGTGATCACCAGGCATGAATTTGAATTCAGACCTCCTGGCTGGTCCTTATTAAGGGATATAGTCAAGCAGTATAGAAAGAGCACTGGACTTGGAGTCCAAGAACCAATCCTATCTTTTGCAAAATGGCAACAATAATGCCAACCTCATAGATGCAGGGACAAGATTAAATAAAATGCAGATGATAAAAAACCAGTGCTGGACACAGTAAAAGCTATTGCAGTAACTGTTACTACATAACAAGGTGACAGTGGCCCTATCCCTCTACCTCATAAGACTGTAGAGGGGATCAGAGTAGGATGTACCCAAGAAAATGATTCTGAACCGTCAATCCCTGAACAAATGTGAAGTACATTCTTTACAACACACTCCAGTGTTGCAGAAAATATTTTCCATCTATTTTGAGACAGGGTCTTTTTCTGTCACCCAGGCTGGAGTGCAGTGGTGCAATCATAGCTCACTGCAGCCTCCACCTCCCAGACTCAAGCAATCCTCCCACCTTAGCCTCCTGAGTAGCTAGGACTACAAGTGCATGCCACAAGACCTGGCTAAATTTTGTATTTTTTGTAGGGACCATGGTGGTATCTCCACATTGCCTATACTGGTCTTGAACTCCTGGGTTGAAGCGATCCTCCCACCTCAGCCTCCCAAAGTGCTGAGATTACAGGTGTGAGTCACCATGCCTGACCTGTTTTCCATCTTTTTAAAAGGAAACTATACATGTACATCTCCTATAAAGACAAAAATAAACCATGAAGATCTACAATATTTTCAGAGCTTTAATTGCAGTAAAGAAAAGGGTTAAGTTTTCATCCGCTCACATGTATATCTGTGACCAGTTACCACAAAGGCAAGAACCAAAACAAATACAGGCGGTCTCATCGAGCCAAAGGCAGAGGGCCCAGTTCTCCACTTCAGCCCATTCACATCGGGAGTCCTCTTGTGACAAAAGCTGACTCGAAGAAAAACAACCCCAAAATAGATGAAGCATCATCACGTTCCTGGGCCCCTGCACCAGTGGAGGGGGACAACCTCTTTGAAGGTTCTGAGTGTGATGGGAATCATGCGAGCTGGGGTTATGCTTAGGACCGGGTGGGGATACTCAACACCCACTTCAGTAGAAAGTGATCCACTTGGTTTCAGGTTTAAATATTTATTTCTCAAGTACAAAACAATGATGAACATGTGCACCCTCTAATGTCCCAGCCATCTGGCCTCCGTAGTGGTCTGAACATCTTCAGATGAAGCAACAGCTGGGAATCCAACTCCAGAACGCTGAGTCTTTCTCACAGAAGGGGACGTGCCAAGTGCGTAGGGCCTCCCTGTTTCTTGGAGAAGGGTAGTTTTCTTTTTCTGATTCCACAGTTTGCACTTTGAGGATTTTCAAAGGAGGGTTGGCCATATTCCAACTGGAAAGAAATGTCTCTTGGCCTCGCTGGATGATGGCAATAATTTTTTTGGGACACGATTAAAGCGGGCACCATCACCGTGAGGCTGGTCAAACACTGCCCTGTGCGATTCAGACACACACTGGCCCCAAGGCTGTCTGCACTGAGCCCTCCACCTGGCGGTGTGGGCTTCTGAAACCACATTCCTCCCCACCGGCCCCAACAAGCCTGCAAGCTCCTGCTCTGGAGCAGAACACCCTGCCAGAATGTCAGTTCCCCAGGAGGCCCCGTAGCCACGTGAGATCACTGCCGCTGTGCTGTGTGCATCCTGTTTGGGATGGCACACCTGTGGCCACAACCATGTTACTCACTGCAGGCTGCTAGACAACACAGGTATTTTCTGTGAAAATTCCATATTAGTCAGAGATTTCCCACCTATCCCCCCAAAGAAGAAAAAAAAATATAAACAAGTTACTGTGTGTTAGTTCTGAGAGTTGGGAGCAAGAAAATAGCCAGGGGACAGAATGTTCATTTTGAGAAGGAGATCAGCCTTCATGTTGAGGAGATCAGCCTTCCTGGGTTCCACAAAGAGAATCTGTCTCCTGAAGCTGCAGCGGCCTTGTCTGAGGTCAGCCTAGCTGATCATGCAACAGGGTCGAAGTCTTTCCCGGGCTCAGCATTAAACAACTAGTAAATCAGTGAGGAAGCGATAAGGACACTTTTCAACTCTGTCCATCATAGCTAAAATTATCTCACTAATTATAGTTTCTATAAATCAGCTTAGGTTAAGAGAGGGCATTGCAGGCAACGGGCGAAGTGCAGTTCACTCAATTAAACCTGGCCACTTGATTTCGACAGACTTTGAAGGACCTCAAAATTGGGAAAACAGAAGGTACAAATGGAACAAACTCTTAAGGAGAGGGGAGGGGTTGGGAGAGGAATTCTTAAGATCTTTCCTCACTGAAGCTTCCCAGGGCTGGACACTGGAGAACAAATGAAGGCTGCTGGAATCCAAAAATTATAGACCCACTTGAAAATACCGCAACATGCCATAATTCATCCTGTTTGTTCGATGGGTCACTCAGACTGCAAAGACAATGCTTTTTATTTTTCCCAGATTTAAAACCAAGCCGGGACAAACAGAAGTTTTCTGTGTTGTCACACAGCTCTAGGGACAAGCCCTAGGGATGTGTTATGTCCCCTTGACAAGCGAGAAGTTCCAACAGCTAACAGACCCAGCCGGATCCAGAGCTTTCAAGGGACTCTGCACCAGCGGCTGGGTTTTGTTTTCATTTTGTGTCTGAAAAACATCAAGGTCATTTCCCAAACCTTGGAAATCGAATCCCAATCCACTCCAAATTTTCTCCTTCTTCATCTAAATCTCCTTGTCCTAAACCTCTCCGAGAGAATGCAAAGCTATTATGCCTTATCAGATGTTCTCTTGTTTTAAATCCATGGCAATCACATTTAATTTCGTTAGAGTTTGCGTCCTGTGGTCATGCATAAGCTCCTAAACCAACAACAATTAAAAACAAGGTGCATTCCTCAATTCCTAATTCCAGTCTACTTATGCAGGATGTTATCCAACCGATCTGAAAGTGTTTTTCAAAACCTACAATGATAAATGTGTCAGACACTCTGCTGGGTTCTTTACTTCCATAATCCCTAATCCTCTACCCAAGCCCATTTTGCAGGTGAGGAAGGAATCTGATAGACTCAGAGCTGAAGGAACCTGTCCCAGGTCACTCGGTGAGTATGTGACCCCATCCACACGGACGCTTGGCCCAGTGTGGTTCTAAAGGCCAGCCACCAGCTGTCCACTCACCACAACATGTTGCCCTAGCCTCCCCAAGGTCGGAAGTCTGCATCTGCACTCCTGTTTTTTACTTAAGGAGGTGTGTAGTAAACTTGGGGGACCTGAGGTACAGACCTTGGGGTCAGAAGGCCAGCACAGCAAGGTATATTTGGGTACAAGGGTCTTGGTGTCTAAACTATTTTACTTGAGTCACTTAAAACCTCATACAACTCAGAAAAAGAGCTCCCTGTCACCCCTACCTCCTGGCTCCCATTGCCCTCCCCTCACCAACACACACACACAAAGAAATGAAAGAAGAATCTGCCCACTTCAGTCTCACATATACACATTGAAATGATGTCCTTTACGCCAGGCATGATGGCTCACGCCTGTAATCCCAGCACTTTGGGAGGCCGAAGTGGATGGATCACCTGAGGTCAGGAGTTCAAGACCAGCCTGGCCAGCATGGCGAAGCCCCGTCTCTACTAAAAATACAAAAAAATTAGCTGGGCACGGTGGTGTATGCCTGTAGTCCTAGCTACTCAGGTGGCTGAGACACAAGAATCACTTGAATCCAGGAGGCGGAGGTTGCAGTGAGCTGAGATCGCACCACTGCATTCTAGCCTGGGCAACGGAGTGAGAGTCTGTCTCAAAAAAAAAAGAAAAAAAAAAAAGATGTCCTTTACACGAGGGTTAAAACCCTTAGGTCAAAGTTCCAATGTCAGTAAAACAACTTGATTAAAGAACTGTAATTCAAATACACTTTCTGTGGATGCTCTTTGTAAAGCAATTGTTTTCATGACCTTCCCCCAGCCAGTGCCCAGCAGACTGCTAACAGCAGCTACAATGCACCCTCCATGGGGGCTCTCAGAACCTCAGATTCCCCATTTCTTCCCGCACACCCTGCACTTTTCCTCTTACTCTTCTGCTCCTTCCAGCCAGGGTCCCCCTTGGCCCAGATGACCTGAGACACCTGGAAGCCATTACCTCATACCTCTCCACCATCTTAAGAGGTGTGTGGGAAGTCCGCCGAGGTTCGGGGTCCAGGGCTTATGATTTCTTCCCGGCAAAGCTTTGAGTCTCTCTGAGCCTCCATCTTCCATGTGCAAACTAGGCTGCATTCTGCCTCCTGAGGGCCTGAGATGCGTGCGGAAGGGCTTTGCAGTGAAAAGTGCTAGACTCATATTAGGGGTTACAATTGTCCTAACTGTTCTTTGCTAGACTGTGTCTGGCACTTTGTGAGATTCAAGTTTACATCCCCCAGGGGCAACTGCTTTCACTCCTGTGGCCATTTGCTGTAGGTGAACTTTTATATAGGGTTTATGGGTTTATATTGCCACCCAAAAGAACAGCCCAGATTCTGTGAGGCAGCCTGATTTATAGCAATCACAAAAGCTAGTCCCTTGCCGACCACAGTTGGAAACCCCTTTGTGTTAGCTTTGTGCCTCAGTTTACTCAACTATGAAATGGGCAAAACACCTTTGTGGTCTGGCAGCAGGGGTTCAGATTGGAAATAACTAAAGCAAAGTCACCTGGCTTACACATTGCCCACTTTAACACGTATACACACTACCTATCAGCACCATAACCCAAATTCCCACTGAAGAAAACTACTAAGGCCCACAGCTCAGCCAATGGGGGCTCTCGAAGCCGAAGTACCTTTTGCTCCGTGACCCCATCCAGCCCTTCCTAACACGGACAGCCAAGCTGACAGAGGTTTGAGCCCCATGGCCGTCTGGGAAGGTGGGTGGGGGGACTATAATTAGACCATCCTGGCAGTTCTCTCTTCACTCCAGATATGTTTATTTCCTATGAACGGGGCCAATCCTGAAACACTTCACAGGGGATTCTGATGAGGAGATGTGGATAGTGAAGGAGCTTTCTCCTGCCACCTTGCACCTGCCCCGGGCCAAGACAGGAGAGCTCTCTGGCTCTTGGACCACTCTTCCCTCCATTCACCACAGCTTTTCACCAAACACTAATAGGGGACAAAGATCTATCCCTCCTCAATTCCCCTGCCCCTGTCACTTGCTATAGACCTCTTTCCAGACTAGATAAATGCAGATTTTTAGAAAAATGAACAATCATCTTTTATTGAGGGCCTGAGGGCAAGTCATGTGCAAAGAGACACACAGGAGTTTATAAATAGTCCTGCAGAGGTCAAATTTCTCTGGGTGGGGCCGGGCCCTGTGGCTCATGCCTGTAATCTCAGCATTTGGGGAGGCTGAGGCTGGTGGATCACTTGAGGTCAGGAGTTCGAGACCAGCCTGGCCAACATGGTAAAACCCTGTCTCTACTAAAAATACAAAAAAATTGGCCAGGCATGGTGGCTCATGCCTGTAATCCCAGCCACTTGGGAGGCTGAGATGGGAGAATACTTGAACCTGGGAGGTGGAGGTTGCAGTGAGCCGAGATTGCACCACTGCACACCAGCCTGGGCAACGGATCGAGGCTCCGACTCAAAAAAAATAAAAATAAATTCTCTGGGTGGAATGACATTGCCTGCTCTGCCTTACATTAGAATGTTCCAGATGTCCCTGCAGGCTCATTCCAATGGCACAGAGGACACCATCCAAGAACATCAACTATTGGGAAGCAGAGGGTGCAAGCCAGGCAAGGTCCTCCCACCCTGAAATTCTAAGCAGGAGGTACATTAATAGCCATTGCAAAATTCATTTGAAATTAACATAAAGGCTTCTTTGCATATTTCTCATAAGAACTGTTAATGAAAACATTTCCAATTATGGTACAAGACTCACTTGGGCAAAGATGATGTCTCCTCTTTATTTCTTACAAGCTATAGGTTGTTAAAGCATTTAACCTTTCAGAACCTTAATTTCCTCATCTGTAAAATGGTGAAAACATTCCCCTACTCTTAAGAGTTCTTGAAAGGTAAAATAAGATAATGTATATAAATCCTGAAGTATTGGGTCTGACACAATATAAATCATAATATTAAAAAAAAAAGTTGTGTTGAAGGATTCCCTTATGCCAGGTGCCATTCTATGTAAGCTGGGGCCTTTAACGTCCACAGCCACCCTGGGAAACAGACACTATGACCATGCCTATTTTAGTTACGGAAGGCGAGGGGTCATAGGGGTTAAGTAACTTGCCCAAGGTCACAAAATGAAGTCTGGATAAGAACCAAGGCAATCTCGCCCCCTGAGGCAGACCCGGCCTCCAAAACACTGCCTCTCTTTTGTCTAGGGATAGCGCTTATTAAAAAGGCGGTAATGGGTGGTCACTCTTATTTCATAGGTATCATTTTGCCAGCTACCCACCATAGGAGTCATTTTTACCTTGCAAATCTGCAAGCTGTGAACAAACACACTGCTTCTTCTAAAGTACTGTTACTTTTCACGTGCTGTGTCCCAAAGCCAGGATGCACAACCTTTCTCTGGAGGGATCTTGCACCAAATACCCGAGGTAGCCCAAGAGAAAGAACAAATCCCTGCAGCCGGCCGTTGCCGGAAGCCAAGCTGGAAAGCTCTCTAAGCCTTAGCTTTAAGTCTATAAAATGGTAAACCGAAGAAAGTTGAAAGCCATTCCTGCTGGCCCTTAGTCTCCACTTTCATCCCCACGACGGCCTGGGAAACCATACAGAGGGCAGGCTCTTGTCTTCATCCCTGGCCCAGGCGCTCATGCGCACCGGGGGCCTTCTCCAATCGTTCATAAACTGCTCACCAGCGCTCTGGGCGCGTTCCCGGGAGCTCCCTTCTCCGCCCAGCTGGTGCAGAGGAAAGACAGTCTGGGGAAGAAGCAGGAGGTGTCGGTACTGCCACCTAGAAGTGACCCCACCAGCGGTGCGCTCTTAGACAAGACTGGCCTTGAGTGCATCACGTGCGGCCCTGGTCACTCCAGATGCCCAGGGAGCAGCACCTGGTCCCGGTCAGCCCTAGGGCGCACAGCTCAGAAATGCCAGAGCAGAAACGCTTGCCCTGGGGGAAGAGGCAACTCGCATGTGGAGCTGGGCAGCTGGAGCATCTGTGGAAGTTCCAGGAAAGCGCTGGGGGAGGTGGCATGCCCGCTGCCTAATTCCCCCGTGGACCCGCCGCCTTAGGTTTCTCAGAAGCAGGGCTGAGCAGCTTGGAGCAGTGGGCTCCGTGGGAGCTCCCGGACTCCCCTAGCTCCCACCTCATCAGTGAGGGAAGAAGTGCTCCTTCTGCCCTCGGCAGAGGGGAGTCAGGGACCCAGGCTGCCCCTCTCAACTGCAATGGTACCTCCTCCCGGCTCTGGCCCAGCAATGCTACTCTCCAAACCTTCCTAGACATAAGGTTTCCTTTTAAACCAGGACACCCATGCTGTGACTGTTACCCAGAGCTTCATTTCTTGTTTGTTTGTTTGTTTAGGTAGATCATAGCTGCTCAGTTTTTTCCTCCGGAGGTTACGGACTACATAGACTTCTTTTCTTGGCTCCAGACTGATGGTGGTGGGTGGGTGGGGCGGGGGGTATGAAATACAGAATGTGGCCCGTCTACATCGCCATCACTTTATTGTACTGTCACCCTTAATTTAACTATAAATACTACGGTGGGGGCTAGTCGCGGGCGGCCTCGGGCTGCTGGGCTGTGCGCGCCCTGACCCCAGACGCCGACCCTCCCGGCTCTGTACACTATTTACAGCTCCTCGTTCCTCTTTCTCGACCCCCTCCCGCAAGGCAGCGCGTGTGCAAGAAAGTAGCATCGTCTGTCTGTGCAAGTCCTTCGAGTTAGGTAAGTAATACGGGCAAGTGTCCCGCGGCCGTCAGCTGTCCGAGTCCAAATCGCTTTTACCTTCCTCTTCCCTCTTCTCCGGTGACGCCTTCGACGACGACGTCTTGTTCCACTTCTCCGCGTTCTCCGACTCCTCTGATGAGGACCGCTTCTGCCGCCTCCATTTGGCGCGGCGGTTCTTAAACCAGACCTGTTGCGCAACGGAGGACAAAACAGTTCAGATCAAAGGCGCGCTTCCCCCAGTCCCGGGGCACCCGGGGAGCTTGGTGTGGCGGCGGGACACCCCGCGCAGGCCAACAAAAGGAGGGGAGCCGCTCGCTCCCGCTTCCGCGTTTTCATTCAACTTCCTGGGCCTAAAGCGCCCTCCAGCAGCCTGCGGGCCGCCATCGGGATGTTTTTAAAGTGCGGGGAGAGCCAAGCAGGGCTGGGCAAACCCGACTGGGGCCCCACCTCGCGGGGAAGGACCGCTAGGCGCCCACGGCAGGCCCCGGCGCCTACCTCCACTTTCTCCTCGCGGAGGTGCACTTTCCGGGCCAGCTGCTCGCGCGTGCCCACGTCCGGGTACTTGGTCTCCTGGAAGAGGTTCTCGAGAGCTTCGAGCTGCTCGTCAGTGAAGATGGTGCGGTGCCGCCGCTTCCGCCGACAGTGCAGCTGGTTGAGAAGCTGCAGCTCGGTGCGCGACAGCGTGCCCACGTTCATGTAGGGCAGCATCTGGTGCGGTACCGGGGACACCAGCACCGAACCGGGGCCCTCGTAGCCTGCGACAGAGTGGGGCGCACGGTCAGCCGCCCGCCCTCGCCACCGCACGCATGCACGCCCGCCAGCCCCCGACCCTCTTCCACTTAGAAGTCGTCTGCAAGGGGATGCTGAGAATTGGGGGTGCACGGGAATCAGGGGTGCAGGGAAAAGGAGGAGGCGTGTTAGAGCATCCATCCGCACACCCGCCAAAGCCAGTAAGAGAATTCAAAACAAAACAAAACAAAACAAAACCCAGTTTCCCCGGGCAGGCACTGAATTCCAGTTTTCGCGAACTCTGGCCAAAAGTTTGCAGCAAGAAGTTTGCAAACTCCTGCGCCCGATCGGCAAAAGCGGAGGGGGGAGTTGCAAGAGGAGCAAAGTTTGAGGAAGGTGAATTAACCAACCGGCTCCATGGGCTAAGGACCGCAGTGGGCGGCAGAGGCCGGAGCGAGCGCGACCCTACCTGGGGGCGTCGGGACGCAGGAGCACTGCTGGGCGCCCAGCGGCGGCACGGCCCCGCAGCAGGCCGGGCCCACGGGCGCCGCCTGCACGTGCAGCTGCCCGTAGAAGTAGTTGTTGTAGCCGAGGCGGGAGCCGCTGACCGCGGCCGGGAGGCCCGCGCCGCCGGGGGCCACGGGGCGCGGGTAGAAGGCGCCATAGTCCGAGGAGGCGCCGCCGCTGGCGCCGTAGAGCGAGTCCCCGTGCAGGGCCGGGAAGACGACGGGAGCCGCCGCGCTGTGCGCCACCGGCAACACCGAGTCCTTGCAGCGCGGCCGGGCGGCTAGGATGTTGTCGATGCTGAACATGCTGGCGGGCATCCCCGAGCCCCGCGTCGGGACCGGGGGGCGGCGGGAACGCGCCGAGGACAGAGCCTTAAAGTGGGGGGGTCCACTCTCCTCCAGCCGCCGACCAAACCGAAAGAGAGCGCCGGCGAGCGCGCAGCCCTGCGCCCCTCCCCGCCCCCTGCGTCCGCTCTCCCTCCTCCCGCCCTCCCCTAGCCGCAGCGTTCGCTGAACTCAACCCGCGGGTAGGACGGAGCTCAGACCAGCTGAACCTCTTGTTGGTTTTATACTGAGTCGACGTCATCCTGGATTTAGTTCCTGGTAATATGCAGATGACAAACAGAACCAGATTTGGCCCTTTCTTTTCCTTTGGGTGGGGGAAGAGGGTTGGGGGGAGGGGGAGAGGTGCCAAGGGGAGGGGGTTACAAGGCCTGAAAAGAGATTGTGGATTGCGAATTAATGAAATTAACCTAATCTTTTCCATTCGGCAGCCGGGCCGCGGGCCGGCCGAGCTGGGCGGGCGGCCTAATTGCCTTGGTTAATCTCATTAATTCCTTTGTGCCGCCGCAGTTAACAACTCCCTCCGCCCGAGCTCTCCACCCCCACCCTTTTTTCTCAGATTGGGTCCTATTATTGGGTGCGATTTCCTCTGCCTGTAGCTCAAATTCATTGTGGACGATTTTACTTTGGGGCTACTTTTTTCCCCCTTTCGGAATTGGTTTTGTTTTAGAAAATGTGAGGGGCTGCATCCCCTCTCAAGCAGGATTGAAAATTCCACCACTCCTCCGCGCCCCCACGTACTCACCGCCTGATTTACCTCTTTTTTAAATCTTGAGTTTCTCTCCCGAATGGAACTTGTTAACCCCCCCAAAAAACTTTTGGTTTTGTAAAATCCAAATTTTGTAAAGGCAAAAACGACTAAAGGAGGGGTGCATCGTGCTTCTTAAAAAGATTTTTTTTTCCAGCCACTCTGGGTCTGAAAACTACCATGGCAGTCCCTAGGTCCTACACAGCGAAGACCAAATTCAGCCGCTCTTTAAAATTCGCCACCAAGAGTTGCAGTCTGAAGCGGTGCTTCTAGCTGCTCCCAGCGTGGGTGTCGGTAGTTTTTGTGCTTTTAAAAAATTAGTTTTGGAAATGTGGTGCCTTCTCTCCCAAACTATTTTTTTGATTTTCAATCCAGATGGGGTCTTTGGGACTTCCCTATCTTCTTCCCCAATAATTGGGTCGCATTTTTCCTTACGACCTGCTGGCTGCCGGTAGGCCTGCCCTTCCGCCTGGCAGGCCCAGAGTGGATTCCCTGGGCCGCAGTGGCCTGGACGATGGCCGGGTCTGATAGCGGCAGGCGGCCGCGATGATTTGCGGGATTCTCGGCATGGCACGGCCAGCCTGCCCGAGCCACGGGAGGCGCAGCCAGCCCACCACTCACGGCAAGCAGGCGGCCGAGCGCCCTTCGAGAAGGTAGGCGACGGTACGCGCGGAACAAAAGCAGTCCCCCAGATCCTGTGGACCGGGTGCAAGCTCCCGGCTTGCAACTCAGGCCACTCCAGGGGAAGGGGCAGTACCCGACCCAGGCGATACCCCCGAGAGCCGGAGAGGGAGATGGGGTTGCGGGAGACCTCGGGTTTCCTGAAGGAAGTCCGCCTTTAACTCACACCTATTTTTCGCGATTTCTCTCAGGCTAATTAACCAAGGGACCCCGCAAAGTTGTCTGAAGTCGCCGCCGTAAGGCTAAGTAAGTGGGCTGCCCACTCCCCGGCTCAGGGGCAAAGGGGAAAGCCCACTTGTCAATTTCTGTTCGGGTTTCAAAGAGCCATTGCACGGAGGTTTAGTCCTGTCCGAGGGCACTACTGTGGCGGCGCGCAGAAGCGGCCCAGTGGAGCCAGGCGGCGACGTTTCTCCTCCTAGGCCTCCCAGCGTGGACCTCTGTGTCCTCACGGCCACCAGCTTGTGGCCTGAGAGTTGCTCCTTCCAGTGCTGCGCAAACTAGAGGTGGTTGTAAATGGGGATTAGGACATGACGGAGATGGGTCTCAATTTGGGGAAGTGAATAGAGTTTTCCTTTTTTTCTTTTTTAACAATAAAAACAAAGAGGGAGTGTGACCCTCCCCTTAGAGAGGTCAGGTCTAGGGTAAGAAGTGAGGCACCTTCCATCTCCCACTGACTAGGATGAAGTCTTTTTTATTGTTGTTCCGTTCTCAGAGACTTAAGTCACCATGCTCCAGGGCAGATACTCCCCCACCAATCTTTCCCAGGTTTAAAGCTACAGGGCAGTTGATGGACGACAACTAGAGGCTGCAACTTATCAGTGACTGCCTGCGTTTGTGTTGGAGGCTGGGTGTGCGCTGCGGTGCGCGTGTGAGTGGATCTTTTAAGACCTTTGTCTGAGCCGGGCAGAGGCACAAGTGCCACCTGACGCTTGGGGCAGATTCCTCGTCCTGTTCTTGCAAAGATGCCAAATCAGGAGAGTGTCAAGATTTCAACCGCAGACCTAAAAAAAGTGTCTCCATGTTTTTAAAAGTATCAGACAACCACCTCCACACACCCCTCCGTCTCCCCTTCCACCTGGAACATTGTTCTTTTTAATAACCAGGTTTAGCAAACTGCTATACTGCGCCTGTGCTTTCCTGCAGCCCTCCGCTGTACCAGCTGAGCCCTGTACAGAATCTGAGCGTCAGAGTTGCAGACCCAACCTTGCCACCTTGCAAATCATCCCTTCTCTGGAGGCCTCAGGATTTTAGTTGATCAAACCAACACCAACATTCATTGGGTCCCTTTGCAACCCTAACATTTAATGAGACTTGGTAATTGTCATCCGTTCGCCAAGGAGGTTGGGGATGAACTTGGGGGCATTTTCTTGTTTATTTTTCATTGAGACAAAGGAGTGTGCTGTCCCCACCTCCGCCCCCAGACAAGGACAGGGTTCCTACATCAGCTGGGTCTAAAATAAGGAAAAGCGAGTGCTGCCGCAGAGGGGACTTTCCGGGAAGGGGGTCACAGGAACCCCAAGGCCACACAGCTCCAGACACTCTGCCGGAGCTCTAGGGGAGCTCACCCCTGCGCGGCGGGACCTCCCCCATCGGGTTGCCCCTTCAATCTGCAGCCGCGCGGAGGCAGGCCCCGGGAAAGGCAGTCGGCGCTCGGTGCTCGCACTGCGCCTCGGCGGGCGGAAACTCACAAGTGTCCTCAACGTGCTAAACAAACCATCAGGGCCCCGCATCGCCTGGCGCAATTGGAATAACAAATGCGACGCACGCAAATTGTCCACCTCGTGTTGCTAAGCGATTGTTTGTCGGCCCCGCACGCACAGCTCAGCATGGGAGGACCGCGAGCGTCCAGAGGCAGCCGGCGAGCGCTTAGGTCGGAAATGCAGTAAACATGCCGCTGATTTTCCCTATTATCACCCAAACACGATTTCACACAAAGCAATCACCACGCAGAAGTCTATGAAAATGTGTTTGTTGAGGAGTCACTCGCCCCAGTAATAGTCCTCATTTTTAAGATATTAAAGAATAGCTCAGCGGATTCCACATGCATAAGGTCTATTTGCCGTTCGGCATCTGTCACGGCGCTTTTGCACTGCGGTCATCACTAAATTGATTCATAGAGTGTAGATTAAATTGCTTCTCTGATTTAAAACAGTGTCCAACTTTGGAGTATGCGTGTGAGTATCTTCTCCCGCCCCAAGGTATTTTTGTCAGGGAGAAAACTGTCGCCCCACTATCCTTACACCCCATTCCGCATAACTGTAAAAAAATAATGCATCTTCGACCCCAACTTCTTACGGTTCGTTTCAGGAACTTTCTTAATTCTCTCCGTCTCCTGCCCGGCCACAGAGCAGAGTTCACAATCGGATGCGTTTAAGTCGGATTTTTCGTGTCATGTGCAAAAAGCCGGTGTGTCCTTTTCAAGGTACGGAGCCCTCATCGGAGGGCGCATTAGCGGGGTCAGAGGAATTAGGAGCAATGCGCAGAGCCCCCTGCAGCCCGCGTGCTGCGCCGAGACCTCAGCCGTCCTCACTGAGCGGAATGGTTGTGTTGTTTGTATTGGGACTTTTAAAAAATCCAGTCTCAAAGCTAAGTGCTCAAACCCCGTTCCATGGCTCTGCTGCTTTCTGGAGGACATCTCCGGTAGCCCCAGGGGATTGTCCGTGTGAGGTTGGGTGGGTGGAGTAGAGCCAGAGGCGCAAATGCCTCCTGGCTAAGGGGCAGCGCGCATTAGAGCTGGGTCTCCTGCTTTCGGAGCGGAGGGCGTAAGGGAGCTTTCTAGCTGATTTTTTGCTAGAAGTTTTCCAACGCTCCAAATAAAAGCACCCGATCCCCTAAGGACGAAATAATCAAGGTGTTAGGGAAGCTCAACAGAAGAGAAGAGACGAGAAGAGAAGAGAAGAGAAGAAGGGGCTATCGAAAAATGACGTGTTCCCAAGGCCTTAGAAAAATAAATAAATAAATAAATAAATAAATAAATAGCTTGGACTTTCCGGGGTTGCAGAAATCCGATTTCAGCCGGGCTATTTACCAAAATTTGTTTCAAAATGACTGCACCTTTGCTTTTGCAAGTCACAGAATGCAAATGACGATAATTTGTTCTCAGAAGAAGTTTCTCTTGAAATGATTAGCAAAGTCAGTCATTTGAAAATTAGAACGAAGCCCTTCGCTAACTGATATCTGCTTCTAAAGTTTTCATTCATGTAAACCTCATTAATGAAGATCTTTTATTTAAACGTCAAGGGGATTTGAAATTTAGAGTAAATTATGAAGCTTGTATGTCTAGCCAAGTCATGGGTCAAATGCATTTGTGAAAAACTGCTAAAGAGCATATGGTTTTGAATTTTTCTACAATGACTAGTGTTTAAATAAATTGCTTGTACTGCTTAACTTCATGTGTAATTTTGACAGAAATTGGCCTATAGCCTTTTGATATGTAAACATTTCAGCCTTTTATGCGGTATAAAAAAGACACTTGCTTTTTAGGATCAGCCCAGGCAGTCACCCTGTAATTCAGAAAGCTGGTACCTACCATTACAATCTTGCTAGATTTCAACTTTCAAGTGGCAGCCTCAGGGGGAGAAAAAAAGAAAAGAAAGAAAGGGGATATTTCAAAAGCAATGTCCATTTGGGATTAAAAGCTACAAATGAGGTGAGAACGTGCCACTTACTATCTGAAAGAAATGGATAAACCATAGTTATTAAAGAACATTTCTGTCAGTTTTCTTTAAGCCAGCCCGTCTGAGGGGACACTTAAGCAGGGCTGGGAACTGACTAGCATGCCATTAAATGCTTGTCTTAGGGCCGAGCTAATCAGTCCAACACACAAATAGGTGTTAAAAATCTAGGTATCATTTCAGGATGTTACCAGGGAAATCGCTCTGTGTCACAGAACCCATTAAGATGCAAAACTCATCCAGGGCACAGAATGGCTGGACACAAATGGCTCATATGAGCCATGCACGGGGGTTTTTCTCCGTGGGAACTGCAAAGTCCGTGCAGGGCACAGTTCAGAGCCCTCCCTGGGCTGCCAGGGTTTTTGAAACACATACATACCTGCATAAACCCATTTGTTGCTAATATATCCGTCTCCCGTAAATAAGCCAAGGAATGTGGATTGGACTGCGGGTCACCAATGGGGATTCAAAGCGTCCCATAAGGTTGCCCTCCCAAGTGCGAGACCGGGCCACACGTTGATTTCCTGCGTACTCTGGTGGGGCGAGCGCTGCTCCTTCCCATCTGCTCTCACAGTCTTGCCGTATTTATCCTATGTGTCAGTTTTGTCATATACAGACTTTCTGAGAGACGCCACCCCTTTTGTGAAGTTTTGAAGGAACTGGGGAGAAAGAATGCTCACTTGACAAGGGAGACCAGTTCCTTTGTAAACAGTTGAGCCGCCTGAGCAAATTGAGATCCTCTTAATTAAAAAGATCATTCTGGGGCGAAATCTAATTAAGAAAAAAAGACACGCTGAGAAAGACAGAAGGAGGTGTTTTGTTTACATTTCTTATGCATTCCAGCTTATCATATTGGTCAGCAATCTGGGAAGGAAATGACACATTTGATGATGTAAGAAAAGCAGAAGGCTTTTTTTTTTCTAAGCTTCTACACTTCAGTCTAGCCTTTCAGTACATTTTGAAATGAATAAGGGTACACTTTTCCCCCATTAGCAGTAGCTTTAAATTTCCTGAAAAAACAATTGATTTGCTAATAAAATAGTTCTGTAGCTTCAGCTGCTTAACTTTGGGAAATGTAGCCCCCAAAAGTGCTTATGATCAAAATTAGCTGGACAAGATATATTTTGGGGGGTAAAAGAAGGGCACTTAATACTTAAGAGATAAGTTGGGAGACTGAGGGTTTTTGAGTTTGTTTTTTAAGGAAGGAACATCACAAAATGAAACTGAATGTTCTGGGAACGCTCACCATGCCTGGGAGACAGTGTTACATGTCTAGAAAGTTGAATATCTGTGGACCGTGTAATAAGGAGCTTTGTCAGCATCTTCATCTTTTTCAACAAGACTGGATGAAATGGCCATTTGCTGGTACATCATCTCCAGATCTGGAAGTGAACTTTATGTCAGGCAGCATTGTTGATAGTTTTTTTTTTTTTTTTTTTTTTTTTGAAACAGAGTTTCACTCTTGTTGCCCAGGCTGGAGTGCAATGTTGTGATCTCAGCTCACTGTAACCTCTGCCTCCTGGGTTCAAGCAATTCTCCTGCCTCAGCCTCCCCAGTAGCTGGGATTACAGGCATACACCACCAAGCCTGGCTAATTTTGTATTTTTAGTAGAGATGGGGTTTCACCATGTTGGTCAGGCTGGTCTCGAACTCCTGACCTCAGATGATCTCCACCCACTTCAGCCTCCCAAAGTGCTAGGATTACAGGTGTGAGCCACCCCACCCAGACTTGTTGATGCTCTGTAAGCACTGAAATGAGGAAACGAACAATAGGTGTGTCTTGTCTTTCAAAGTAGTGGTTTTGAAGTGTTCTGACCTCCTAGAAGGTCACTTCCTTGGGCCCATTAATTTTTGTTTGCCTTTTAAAGAAGCAGCCATACTCCTTTGCCCACTGCTTATGTGCAGAAACCAGAAGCAGGAGGAGTTAGGCAGAGAAAGAGAAAATTGGTGGTAGTGGGGGTGGGGGGAACCACTTTCAGAGGCCACAGGTCATGTTACCTGCTCAGTCCCACCCTCCATAGAATCTGACCCTATGACTCAATGATAGTACAGACTGACCAGCAGCTTAGAAGACAGAGCCCCTACCAGGCTGTTTAGATAATCAGGCCAGTTCTTCCCTGCTTATTCCTGATGGGAAAGAGGAGGAAAATTCTCAGAAACAACCTCAACTTTCAATTTGTTTGATTTGTGTTGAGCCTTTCATTGTGTTTTCTTAGCCGAGGGATCAAGAATGTTGTAATATACCCTCTTCCACACACACTCATAAACACACACACACACACCCCACTGCCCTTAACCCCTTCCTCCTTTGTTTTGCCCAATTGGCTCAGTCAATACCAGCTTCCTTCTCACCTCCTTTCTGGAGTGTGTGTGTGTGTGTGTGTGTGTGTGTTTCTTGTTTGGGGTATATAACCACAGCCAGGGACAAAAAATGGAATGATTCCTGATCCACGCTGTGGATTTGGTTTCACTCAGCAGTAAAATTCTTTCTGCAGACCAGGAGTTCTTGGGTTTAAAATCACAAGGGTCCATCTCCCATGTCATTGGGTTATTTGTAATTTATACATTAGGGGAGAAAGTAGTCTGTTCATAGTAATGATAGCTTGGGGAATTCAGTATATGAGCCAAACAGAGGACAACTGAACTAAAAAAGAATGTCTCTTGTCTATGTGATACCTCACAGACTTTTTTTCTTAAAAAAAAGCAGGTCCCTAAAGAACATTTTACTCCCTTCTCTTGGGGTTTGTAGATATAGTTATTTCCAGCTCTGCCTGGTAGGTCAATACAGTATTTGCAAGCGAAATGGTGACATCAAGACATGTTCATGCCCAACTAATGATAATACTTTCTCTGAAACTCTAGAATTCTGAAATTATTTGTGTCTTAAAGTGACTCCTGTTGACTCTGAGATGGCAACATAAGTTTTTGATAATGTTATCCACATTCTGGTTTAAGTTGTGGCCATTCTTTTTTTTTTTTTTTTTTCCAAAACCCTCAGAAAGTAGCTTTCCAAGTTAAACTAGACTAGGGTGATCAAGTGAATGTTTGACTTGAAATAATTTTTAAAATAACTTGTTCACCATTCAAGTCTTTTCATAAAGGAGAGCAGAGGCAGAGTGAGTTGCTTTTCAAAGCTCTCTCCTTGGCAGCGGTATTCTGGCACTTCTGATGAAAGGTGGATATTGAATATGTGTGGCGAATGCATACCACTCCATATTTCAGGGAAATTCCTTACTGAATATTTTTTGCTTACAAAGCTGGAGTCACCGGGAAATCTTGCTCCTTGGATCTCTGTTGGTACTGACCTGGGTCTCCCAACCTAGTAACAAATTGCCTTTTTACGCCGGGTGTGGTGGCTCATGCCTGTAATCCCAGCACTTTGGGAGACAGAGGCGGGTGGATCACCTGAGGTCAGGAGTTCAAGACCATCCTGGCCAATATGGTGAAACCCCGTCGCTACTAAAAATACAAAAATTAGCTGGGTGTGGTGGCAGGTGCCTATGGTCCCAGCTACTGGAGAGGCTGAGGCAGGAAAATCGCTTGAACCTGGGAGGTGGAGGTTGCAGTGAGCCGAGATCACACCATTGCACTCCAACCTGGGTGGCAAGAGCGAAACTCTGTCAAAAAACAAACAAACAAAAAAAAAACACAAATTGCCTTTTATGGGTTCGTGTTCTAAATGAGATCAAATGTCTGCATGCTAAAGCGTAAAGCAGAAGGAGCTAGCATGGTAGCACTCCACCAGTCCAGTTGTTCTAGAAAATGGAGCAAATGGACTTGGAATAAAACCGTGAAGGGCTAGCCCAGAAGCGAGGGAAAAGGAAAGGACCATCTCCACATGCTCTGCAAATGGTCACTATGCTCCTGGGAGGTGGGCCCTGTTGCTGTCACCTGTTACAGGTGAGGACATCAAGGTCAGGCAAGGGGTTGTTACCTGCCCAGGTCTTTCAACTGAGGCCTGGATGTGAACTCAGTTCTGTTCATCTTCAAAAGCCACCCTCTTACATCCTACCATACCAATTCTTGTAAAATAAGTGAAATGCCTCAAGCTGGAAAGCAAGACCTTTTGTTCCCTGGCACCAAATGACCTTTTCTGCCCTCCCTCCCACCACCTTCCTTGGGACTTGGGACACTGGCCACGTGGGGAGCTTCTTCGGCTCCATCCTGCTCACTCTCTGTGCCTTGGCCGGCTCTGTCCTCTCCTGCTCCATTACCTTTCTCTGCTGGCTCTGCATGTCCAGACCTGGCTTCCCCATCCAGCCATGTGGACGTGGCCTTTCCCACTCTGAAGACCTAGAGATAATTGTTGGGACCTGTCTGTGCTCCAGAACAAGTCTGCTTGGAGTCAGAAGTGTCTGACCTGGGACCACACAAGTATGCCCAAATCAGCACCTGACTCAGCTCCGTGTCTCCCACCAGCTGACCACAGGCCTTGGCCCAGTGAGTGTGCTAAGTAACTCTTTGTTTAAAGGAAGAATACATTGTCACCTTGCCTTCTTACCTCCCATCCCCATCTCTTTGCTTCAAGAGCTCCCCAAGTTCCAGGCCAGAGACCATTAGCAGGAGAGTCTAATTACATTAAGTGGGTACTCTCCTGAAATAGATAAAGGAGGAGTTAGGGAGAAGGTCTGTCTATCTGTCAGCCCAGGCAGCTCCCCTAGAAGCTGGCTGGAATCCTTGGGCAGCCAATGTGAGCACAGGAGTGGGTCAGCCTGCAGGGAACACCTGTGTCTCTTCAGTCACACCTGTGTACACAGGCGGGCCGACCGTCACCTTTGAACCTGAGCACTGACACACCCCAATGGACCGTCCCTTAGTCCTCTGGGTAGGTCTTGAGGGAAGAAAGCTTGAGAATTGAGTCAACATTGGAGCCGTCACTGGAGTCTTCCTTTTCTCATCTGTAAAATGGGAGAGTAATCAGGAAACAAACTGCATGTTCTCTCTTGGCTCAGACACACCTGCCACCCATCAGCATTTAATTCGAGTGTCCCATTTCCCACTGAGGGGCAGAAATGTCAGTCACTTGGACCAAGGCCCTGGACACAACTGATTTCTCACTGTGCTTTTCTTTTGGCCTTGACTAGTTGAAAAAGTCTTTTTTTTTTTTCTTTTTTTTTAGAGTTTCTCTCTTGCCACCCAGGCTGGAGTGCAATGGTGCAATCTTGGCTCACTGCAACCTCCACCTCCTGGGTTCAAGCAATTCTCTTGCCTCAGCCTCCCAAGTAGCTGGGATTACAAGCGTGTGCCACCGCGCCTGGGTAATTTTGTATTTTTAGTAGAGTCAGGGACAGGTTTCCCATGTTGGCCAGGCTGGTCTCGAACTCCTGACCTCAGGTGATCTGCCCACCTCGGCCTCCCAAAGTGGTGGGATTACAGGTGTGAGCCACTGCGCCTGGCTGAAAAAGTCTGAAGCAGTGGCATGTATTATTAGCAGGCCCTCCTCCACCTTTTGGGTGTGCTTTGAGATCATGGTTACTATCCCTGCCCCTACATGGGGACAAAGCCAGTAAAAGAAAGATCATTGCTTGGCTCAGCCAGAAGAACGATCCCAGAGGTGGAGCTGACAGCATCATGTCCAGTGCCGGCAGAGCTCAGCAACTTCTGTCTGATTCCAAAGCTTCCAATGCCCAGGCAGCAGCTCTGGAGAGGAGCCTGTGCTGTTTCCCTGTGGGTGGTGTCCTGGCTAAAATCCAGGCTTTGTTGCTAGACCAACTTCCCCCTCTGATGCTTTGGAGGGGTCTGAGCTGGAGCCAGCCTCTGAGCCTCAGGCTTCTCTTCTGTAAAATCAGAGGCATGACCCTCTTCTCAAGGCAGCGAGAGATCCCTGAGCTGGGCATGAAGGGTGCACAGTAGGCACTCCTCAAATGCCTACAGCAATTGTTACAAGTGTGAAGTCCTTAGCAAGTTAAGGGATTTTTTTTCTCTATTAAGGCCCCCAGCTCTCCCACACAAACATTTGAAGGAAGTTATTCATTAAGGGACTACAAAGCCTGGCTATCTGGAGCCACTTAGAGATAGATGCCAGAGCCTGCTATCTGCATAACAAAAGGCTCAAATCCCACCCCAGGGAATTTCCAAAGAAAATGGTGCTTCACTTTGGAATCGCAATTCTCCACGACTTCATTTGATTCTCAGATTAGAGCAATAGGGGCTGGCTGGCAGGAACTAGGAAGTCTTACTGATGGGGAAACCAAGGGCCAGAGAAGCCCAGCGACACGCTTCAGATGTCAGAGCTGGACCAGGCATGGTGGTTTACGCCTATAATCCCAGCACTTTGGGAGTCTGAGGTAGGGGTATCACTTGAGGCCAGGAGTTTGAGACCAGCCTGGCCAACATGGTGAGACCCTGTCTCTATTAAAAATAGAAAAATTAGTCGGGCATGATGACGCGCGCCTGTAATCCCAGCCACTCAGGAGGCTGAGGCACAAGAATCACTTGAACCTGGGAGGTGGAGGTTGGGGTGGGCTGAGATTGTGCCACTGCACTCCAACCTGGGAGTCAGAGTGAGACCTTGTCTCAAAAAAAAAAAAAAAGCCAAAAACAAAAACAGTTGTCAGAGCTGGAAGCCTTGTCACTTCCATTTGTTGCTAGGCCTCCGGGTAGCCCTGGGGCTCGTGGCCCCCGGAACCCCTTCAATGCAGCCTGATCTGCCTCTGCACAGACCTTTGCTCCTTCGAAAAGCAAGCCACTCCAATTCTACTTTAGTAAGAACCAATGTAGCTTTCACTGTGAAGAGTCTAGAAGCTGAGAGTCCCTGTGCTGGGAGGGTGGGGTCCTCCCAAGGCAGAGGTCAGTCCTTAACCTATCTCTTCCTTCCCAGAAAGCCCAGGGCGAAGGGGCAGATATCAGATGGGACTTCAATTATAACTCCACACCCTCCCTCCCCTCCTCCCTATCACCCACTGATGACCCATTTGGTTGCAGTATATGGTATTCATAGATTAATCCACTAAGGGTTAAGACTTAAGACCTCCTAAGTAAATCTGAGCTGGAAACCCTTCTACTCTTAACATATGTAATATCTGTGGGAGGACATTCATGCAACATTGTTTGAAATTTTAAAACAAAATTGAAGCTGGGCTAGGTGGTGTGCGTCTCTAGTCCCAACTACTTGGGAGGCTGAGGTGGGAGAATGGTTTGAGCCCAGAAGTTCAAAGCTACAGCGAGCTATGACTGTGCCACCTCACTCTAGCCTGGGCAACAGAATGAGAATCCATCTCATAAATAAATAAATAAATAAATATTTTTTAAAAAATCAAAACAACCTAAATGTTCACCAGTAGGGTACTAATTAAATAAGCCAGGGACGCTCTTGTAATGAATAAGCACACAGCCGTTGAAGATAATAAGGCAATCTTTTTTTTTTTTTCCCCTCTGGCTGTGTTCTTTTCTGAAAGGCCATCTTACAGGAACTGATGTAGAAAGATCTCCAAGACATATTGCTGAGGGACAAAGAGAAGTTACAGAACTCGAGCATAGTGTGATTACGTGTTCGCATGTGTGTCTGTGTGTGGGGGGTGTTTGTGTGTTTATATATAATTCACATATATATGACATACAGGTTCATAAATATAAATATGAAAGGCTGTTAGAACAATGCCTGGCACATAGTGAGTGTTGTATCATATTTGAGAAATAAATATAAAAGCAAGAGGAAAAGGTCTGGAAGAATATATATAGAATTGGCCGGGTGCAGTGGCTCGTGCCTATAATCCCAGCACTTTGGGAGGCCGAGGTGGGCAGATCACCTGAGGTCAGGAGTTCGAGATCAGCCTGGCCAACATGGTGAAACTCCGTCTCTACCAAAAATACAAAAATTAGCCAGGCGTGGTAGTGCAGCGTGCCTGTAATCCCAGCTACTCAGGAGGCTGAGGCATGAGAATTGCTTGAACCCAGGAGGTGGAAGTTGCAGTGAGCCGAATTCGTGCCACTGCACTCCAGCCTGGGGGACAGTGCAAGATTCTATCTCAAAAAAAAAAAAAAAAAAAGAATATACATGGAATTAACAGTAGTGGTCACCTCGGGTGGGTGGGTCACCTCTAGGGTGGGGGCCCAGGGCTGGGGCCTGGGATTGGGACTGATAATTACAGCGACTTGAGCCTCATCGCTATTGTTTTATCTTTGCACAAAAACACCACATTCATGTTTTACTTGTGAAAAAAATTAGATATGCATGTAAACCTAAAAAGTATCTCCAAAATAAGAAACTCCTTTTCTTCTCTACACTGGTGGTGTTAGAGGGAAATAGCACTAGGGCCAAACAAATAACCTGGGATAAGGGACCCATGGGCCCAGTCCTCATTTCCTCAGCTAACACCTCATTATGGGCAAACATTGTCCTTGGAAATGAGTCCCACTTGCTAACGACTTGCTCCCCTGGGTTCCTGGGCAGCAGCTGGGGTGTGTGGAAGAGGGGAGGGTCCTGAGTGAACAAATTATAGGTTTAGGCTGGGCGGAGGGGGGGCCCACTCCTGTCATCTCAGCAATTTGGGAGGCTGAGGTGGGAGGATCGCTTGAGCCTTGGAGTTCAAAACCAGCCTAGGCAACACAGCGAGACCATATCTCCACGAATAATAATAATAATAATAATAATAATAATAATAATAATAATAATAAGCTGGGAATGGTGGTGCGTGCCTGCGGTCCCAGCTACTCAGGAGCCTGAGGTGGAAGGATCACTTGGACCTGAAGGTGGAAGCTGCAGTGAACCATGATTGCATCACTGCACTCCAGCCTGGGCAACAGAGCGAGACCCCAACTCATAAACAAACAAAACACACACATGCACACACACAAGACCACATTAAAGATTTAATGTCTTTTTTTTTTAGATGGAATCTCACACTGTCACCCAGGCTGGAGTGCAGTGGCATGATCTTGGCTCTCTGCAGCCTCTGCTTCTTGGGTTCAAGCGATTCTCCTTCCTCAGCTTCCTTAGTAGCTGGGACTAAAGGCATGTGCCAACATGCGCCACCACACTCAGCTAATTTTTATATTTTTGGTAGAGATGGGGTTTCACTATGCTGGCCAGGCTGGTCTCGAACTCCTGACCTCATGATCTGCCTGCCTTGGCCTCCCAAAGTGCTAGGAGTTATAGGCGTGAGGCACCGCACCTGGCCACATTAAAGTCTTAAGACTGGATTCAAGTCCCAAACTTTGCCCTTTGGGGGTGGCTTCTCATCTCTGGGATCCCCGTCTTTGCCTCGTGTTCCTCTCCATTCTTGAGAAATAAGTGGATTGTGTATGAGCATCATTATAATTACCTTTGTTCTTTGGTACCACCTAACAATGCCTGATACATTGTAGATGCTCAGTGGATATTTACAAAACGGAACTGAAAATAGTTCATAAGGAGTTAAAATAAAGATATTGTTATTTTAAAGCAAAAAATTAATATTTTGGATGTTCAAATTCATATTTGCAGTGTATTCATTCAACTGGTATTTATCATTTTCCTTCTGTGTGCTGGGCACTCATGGGTGCTAGGAAAAAAATGGTGAGTATGAAAACATCCCTGTCCTGGAGCTGACACACAAAAGAGGTTTTCAACAATATAAACTATTGCTAAGGAGGAAATAAAACAGTTGATCTTAGCTGCTTGGTGCAGTGGACAGGGATAGGAAATTATTGTCACAGTTTAAAGTGTTGCAGTGGACACAGCTCAAATGTCCAAGTCATTGGGAGTCACAGATTCATAACCAAAAGGTAGATATCAAGTTTGACTTATACATTTATACACACACACATACATTGTGCTAAGACTTTTTCTAATAAGCCTGCTCTGTCTTTATCTAACATTCTTGAGCAATGCAACTTTTTTGCTTTGTTTTTTTTGAGACAGAGTCTCACTCTTGTCACCCAGGCTGGAGTGTAGTGGCGTGATCTCGGCTCACTGCAACCTCTGCCTCCTGGGTTCACGCGATTCTCACACCTCAGCCTCCGGAGAAGCTGGGATTACAGACATGCGCCACCGTGCCCGGCTAATTTTTGTATTTTTAGTAGGGATAAGCTTTCACCGCGTGGCCAGTCTGGTCTTGAACTCCCGACCTCAGGTGATCCACCTGCTTCGGCCTCCCAAAGTGCTGGGATTATAGGTGTGAGCCACTGTGCCCGGCCACAGAATGCAACTTTCTGTTTTGTTTTTAAGAGGCAAGCTCTCACTCCATGGTCCAGTCTGGAGTGCAGTGGTTCAATCACAGCTCACTGCAACCTCCATCTCCTGGGCTGAAGCAATCCTCCCACCTCAGTCTCCTCAGTAGCCGGGACTATGGTCACTTGGCTAATTTTGGGAACGTAACTTTGATGTCATGATATTTTGCACTGACAATCACACTCAGACAGACCTAAAGCTCACATTCCAGTTTCACCAATTCACAGCTATGCAATTTGGGTGACTAGGGCAGGTGACCAGGGTTTCTGAGCCTCAGAGTTTATGATTGTAAGATTGCTTATTAGTACTGTTCTTGGGGTATGCACCTTAGTTACCTCTCCTCGGTGCATGACCCCAGTACACAGAAGGAATTCAACCAGTGGAAGCCATTCTGGCCCAGACTGGAAGGACAGCAAGACATCTGTACTCCTACACAGGCTGGTCATTAAATGGGGGCTGGAGAGGCACTTCTGAGACTTAAGTCATTGTATGGATTCTCAATTTGATTCAGAAAATTAACCTAAGTCATCCTCAAGGAAAGAGGGGGAAAGATAAAGGGCACCTTGAAGGTATTTTGTTATCTATTTTAAACCGTTCTGTCTTTTCTTTTCTTTTCCTCTCTTCTCTTTTCTATCCTTTCCTTTCCTTTCTTTTTCTTTTCTTTTCTTTTTTTTCTTTTGAGATGGTCATGCTCTGTCACCCAGGTTGGAATGCAGTAGCACGATCATGGCTCACTGCAGCTTTGACCTCCCAGGCTCAATCGATCCTCCCACCTCAACCTCCCAAGTAGCTGGGACTACAGGCATGTGCCACCACACCTGGCTAATTTTTGTATTTTTTGTAGAGACAGGGTCTCACTATGTTGCCCAGGCTGGTCTCAAACTCCTGGGCTCCATCAGTCCTCCCACCTTCGCCTCCAGAAGTGCTAGGATTAAAGGTTTGAGCCACCACCCTTAAAGCCCTTTTGACTTGCATAATTCCCATTTGCACATGAGAAAATGAGGTCCTGGGAGATTAAGTGATCGCTCAGAGTGTAAGGAAGTGGCAGAAGTAGTGTACAAACCCAAATCTGCCTGGCCCTACTCTGTGTTCTCTTCATGCAACACATAGCTAGGCAAGGAGGAGATGCAGTAGAATGGAAATTTCTAGCAAGGGCTTTCGAGTTAGCCAGCCTCTTGCTGTGTTAGCTTGGGCAATTTTCTTAACCTCCCTGATCTTCAGTTTTTGAATCTGTACTTCAGGGGTAACAATACTCCTGTCCACTTAGGTTGTTGTGAGGACTGAAGGAGCTAATTATAAATCACTTAGCAAGCATGATGGCTTGGAAGATGATGCTATGTCAAAAACTGTGGGCCTGATTCACAAACATTAGACTCTGACATTAGAGAAAAGTAACTTATGTTGCTTGTATCTTTTTATGTGCACAAAAATGATGTTCATAAAAACTATTCTAAGCTGGGTGTGGTGGCTCATGCTTGTAACCCCAGCACTTCGGGGGGCTGAAGCAGGCGGATTGCTTGAGATCAGGAGTTCAAGACCAAACTGGGCAACACGGCGAAACCCCATTTCTACAAAAAACACAAAAATCAGCTGGATGTGGTGGTGTGAGCCTGTAGTCTCAGCTATTTGGGAGGCTGAGGTGGGAGGATGGCTTAAGCCCAGGAGGTTGAGGTTGCAGTGAGCCAAGATAGTGCCACTTCACTCCAGCCTGAGCTACAGAGTGAGACCCTGCCTCAAAAACAAAAACAAAAACTATTCTATGGCTACGTAAGCTTAAAGATCTCTTTACCTAAGAATAAAGGTGCTAAATGACATATGTGTGCACAGACACATGAGAAATCTTAGCATGGTGCTTAGCAAGTGTTAAAGCAGAGGTTATGTGACTTGCAGGAGTGATGTGGCAAGCAGGTGAAATCAGGCTTTGAACTGAGCAGGTGCCCGGCTCCTGGCTCTTGGACAGACATGCACAGCTGCCTTGCTGCCTTCTAGACCATTCTCGTTTCCAGCAGTGTTGCATCATGGGTTGCCTTAGGAGATAAGACAGCACTTTGCAAACTCCCTCAGGGGACACAATATTTGGCCATCATTGCAACTGCCCTTCCCCTTTGCAGCACTTGGGACGAAGTGGAGCACTTAGGAGACGTAGGACTGACCGTGGCAGTGGGATGTGGCCAAATCCCATTAGCTCTCCTCTCCAGAGAGGGTTGTGGCAGCGCTGGGGTGCCCAGGTAGCCCTAGAGAGCTGATGGGGCAGGCAGACAGCTAATCAGGCCACTGCATTGAGCTGGGAATCAGACCCAGCAAGGTTACTTCTGGCACTGGAAGAATGTGGTTGAAATGTGAACAATACCCCCTATGCCTTTGGATGTAGGCAGCCCTCTATGGAGCTGCTGATGACCGGCTTCTGTGGCTGGGGTAATGACGGGGGCCAGAAGGCAACAGTGGGGGACAGGAAACGGAAAGGCTGCAGCCTCTGTTCAGGGCAAGTCCCTGAACATACCCGCTGGGTGAGTTGCCCTAGCCTTCCTACACCTCTTTGAAGAGGTTCCTGCTTGGGGGTTCCTATTCACCCACGCTGAGTAACTTGATGGCCCTGGCTCGGACATACTCTGTGTAAGGAACAAGCATTCTGGAGCACCCTGCGCAGTCTGGGCAACATGCTCTGTGGGCTAAAAGAGGCACCTTCCGGTGTGAATCGGGGTCCCAGCAGGGTCTGACGGCCATCCAGTACTGACCCATAGCCTGAGTAGCCATTTGCATTTCTTCCTCTTTCATAGGCTGAGATTTCCTGGAGGGCAGAAAGATCCAATTTGGGTTCAGATCCCAGCTCTGCCTCTTTTAACTACAGGATTGTGGAGAAATCCCCTCAAGTCCAACTCAGGCTCACTACGGTCATATTTTATTTTATTTTGTTTTGTTTTGTTTTGTTTTGTTTTGTTTTATTGAGATGGAGTCTCGCTCTGTTGCCCAGGCTGGAGTGCAGTGGCGTGATCTCGGCTCACTACAACGTCCACCTCCCGGGTTCAAGCGATTCTCCTGTCTCAGCCTCCCAAGTAGCTGGGATTACAGGTGTGCACCACCACGCCCGGCTGATGTTTGTATTGTTTTCAGTAGAGATGGGGTTTCAGCATGTTGGCCAGGCTGGTCTCGAATTCATGTCCTCAAGTGATCTTCCCACCTCGGCCTCCCAAAGTGCTGGGATTACAGGCATGAGCCACAATGCCCGACCACCATGCTCATCTTTAAAACTGGAATAAAAACATATCTGCTAGAGCCAAGGTAGAGGTACAACTGACAGCAGTGTGGGTGATAGCACGAAGCACAGGGCTACTTTTAGGGCAACAGTACAGGTTAAACTCAGGGGTTAGGTTTAGGTCTAGAGTGAGGTCAGATTTAAAGGTTAGAGTTAGGGGTCACTATTGGGAACTTAATGAGTATTAGAACTAGCTTGGATTGACCTTAAGGACTGTGCATCTCCCAGGATTTTGGTAGAGTAAAGAGTCAGCTCAGATTCAGTGCTTAGCATGGATCTTATCAATTCTGAGAGACTTTTTTGTTGTTTGCATTTTAACATCTCTGATGTTGGGGTGGGTTTGACTTACACTTGATAGTGGGCCATAACTAAGTTGGCAGCACATTTATCTTTTTTTTTTTTTTTTTTTTTTTTTGAGACGGAGTCTCACTCTGTCGCCAGGCTGGAGTGCAGTGGCGTAATCTCGGCTCACTGCAACCTTCGCCTCCCAGGTTCAAGTAATTCTCCTGCCTCAGCCTCCCTCCCAAGTAGCTGGGACTACAGGTGTGTGCCACCATGCCCAGCTAATTTTTTCATTTTTAGTAGAGATGGGGTTTTACCATGTTGGCTAGGCTGGTCTCAAACAGCTGACCTCTAGTGATCCACCTGCCTCAGCCTCCCAAAGTGCTGGGATTACAGGTGTGAGCCACCATGCCCGGCCACATTTATTTTTGTATACATAAAATAAGGGTGCATCTTTATGATGGACAACATTTTTGGTTAGAAGGAATACATTATCTGGTTGCTGTTCCTGAGAACCTGTCTGCTGTGCACATGGTGTACACCATCAGCTTGGTCAGGCAAGTCACCTGCCCATTCCCGCTGGGCCTTGCCCATCATGACTATGGCATGTGTTACATGGGGTTTTCTGCTCACTAAGCCAGTATTATTCTATCCTGCTCCAGTACCATTCTCCAGGAAAGGAACTGGTCTTCCTCATACCTCCATCCCCACCTGGCCATCCCCAGCGCAGTGCCAGGGGAGCTGATAGGAACCACGATGTCAGCAAAAGCTGCCATTTTTTGTGTACTTACCACAAACAAGACCATTGCCACAGGCATTTTTTTTCCCTCATTTAATTCTCAAAATAGCCGTCAGAGGCAGGTATTATGATTATCACCCCAATTTATAGGTGAAAAAACTGAGGCCCATAGAGCTTAAGGGATTTATTCAAGGTTCAGTTCATTTTTTTGTACTGTTCTTGGGGTATCCTTAAAGGCAATTTTTTTAAAAAAAAATGGTTTTATCATGATATAATTCACATCCTATAAAGTTTACCTTTTTAAAGTGTATACTTCACTGGCTTTTAGTGTATTCACCAGATGGTGTGACCATCACCATGGCTATGGTATGAATGTCTGTGGCCCTGCAAAATCCGTATTGAAATTTAATCCCCAATGCAGTAGCATTAAGAGGTGGGGCCTGAGGAGAGATGAGATCATGAGGGCTTCACCCTCATGAATGGGATCAGTGCCCTTATAGGAGGGTTTGAGTTTGGTCCTTCTGCCCTCTCTGTCATATGAAGGCACAGTGTTCAGCCCTTCTGCCATGTGGGGATACAACAAGAGGTACTGTCTGTGAAGCAGAGGGTGAGCCCTCACCATATACCAACCCTGGATCTGCTGGTGCTTGGATCTAGAACTTCCCAGGCCCCAGAACTGCAAGAAATACCTTTCTATTATTTATAAATTACCCAGTCTCTGGCATTTTGCTATAGCAGCCAGAACAAACCAAGATAGCCACTATCTAATTTTAAAACAATTTTGACCAGGCATTCTGGTTCATGCCTGTAACCTCAGCACTTTGGGAGGCAGAAGTGAAAGGATCCTTTGAGGCCAGGAGTTCGAGACCAGCCTGGCCAACATAGGGAGACCCTGTCTCCACAAATAATATAAAAAATTAGCTGGGCAGAGTGGCATGTGCCTGTGGTCCCAACTACTTGGGAGGCTGAGACAGGAGGATCACCTTAACCCCAGGAGGTGGAGGCTGCAGTGAGCTGTTACTACACAACTGCACTCCAGCCTGGGTGAAAGAGTGAGATCCTGTCTCAAAAAAAGAAATTTTCATCATCCCATAAATAAATTACAGTCACACTCCATTCTCGCCTCCCCCCAGCCCGAGAAACACTAATCTATTTCCTATGTCTATGGATTTGCCTCTGGTGAACATTTTATATAAATGGAATCATATGTGACCTTTTGTGTTGCCTTCTTTAACGTTACAGAATGTTTTCAAGGTTCATCCATGTTTAGCATGTATTAGTACTTCTTTCCTTTTCATGGCTGAATAATATTTCATTATATGGATATGCTACATTTTGCTTATCCATCTATCAGTTGATGACATATGGATTGCTCCCATCTTTTTGCTATTATGAATGATGCTGCCATGAATGTTCATGAACAGGTTTTTGTGTGGATGTCTGTTTTCATTTCTCTTGGGTACCTACCTGGGAATGGGATTACCAGGTCATGTGGTAACTATATTTAACCATTTGAGGAACTGTCAGATCATTTTCAAAGCAGATGCACCATTTTATATTCCGACAGCAATTGTATGGGGGTTCTAATTTCTCTGCATCCTCACCAACACATATTAGCCTTTCTTATTAATTTCAATCATCCTCATGGTATGATGTGACACCTTATTGTGATTTTGATTTGTTTGTCCTAATGACTAATGATGGTGAGCATCTTTTTATATGCTTATTAGCCATTTGGATATCTTCTTTGAAGAAATATCTATTCATGTTATTTACCTTTTATTTATTTATTTGTTTATTCTCGCTCTGTCACCCAGGCTGGAGTGCAGTGGCATGATCTCGGCTCACTGCAACCTCCACCTCCCAAGCTCAAGTGATCCTCCTGCCTCAGCCTCCTGAGTAGCTGACTACAGGCACACGCCACCACACCCAGCTAATTTTTATATTTTTATTTTATTTTATTTTATTTTATTTTTTGAGACGGAGTTTCACTCTTGTTGCCCAGGCTGGAGTGCAATGGCATGATCTCGGCTCACCACAACCTCTGCCTCCCGGGTGCAAGTGATTCTCCCGCCTCAGCCTCCCAAGTAGCTGGGATTACAGGCATGTGCCACCATGCCCGGCTAATTTTGTATTTTTAGTGGAGATGGGGTTTCACCATATTGGCCAGGATGGTCTCCATCTCCTGACCTCATGATCCACCCACCTCGGCCTCCCAAAGTGCTGGGATTACAGGCTTGACCCACTGCACCCAGCCTTTACCCATTTTTAATTGGGTTATTGATATTTTTATGTTGAGTAGTAATTTCTTTTTTTATAAAAAGAGACAGGGTTTCACCATGTTGCCCAGACTAGTCTCGAACTCCTAGGCTCAAGGGATCCTCCTGCCTCGGCCTCCCAAAGTGCTGGGATTACAGGTGTGAGCCACCATACCCAGCCAAAAATTATTTATGTATTCTGGATATAAGTCCCTTATGAGATATATGATTCGCAAACATTTTCTCTCTCACTGTCTTGACTATATCTATTGAAGCACAAAGGTTTTTAATTTTGTTTTTTTTTCTCTTTTTAAAAAAGTCAACTGATTATAGGCTTCAACAATTTTGATGAAGTCTAATTTCTGTATTTTTTCTTTTGTCACTTATGCATTTGGTATCATACGTAAGAAACCATTGTGTAATCCACAATCCCTGAAGAATATTTTTTCCCTTTTCTAGAATGCCATAATAAAGGAAATTATATAATAGGTGGCCTTTCGTATGGCTTCTTCTACTTAGCATGCTTTTGAGATTTATCCCTGCTATTCTGTGTGTTAGTAATTTTTTTTCCTTCTTATTGCTCAGTAGTATTCCATTGTGTGGATATTCCACAGTTTATTCATTTACCAGGTGATGCACGTTTGAACTGGGTCCTGGTTTTGGCTATTATAAATAATCCTATCAATATTCAGGGATAAGGGCCAGGTGCGGTGGCTCACACCTGTAATCCTAGCAATTTGGGAGGCCAAGACAGGCACATCACTTGAGGCCAGGAGTTTGAGACCAACCTGGCCAACATGGCAAAACTCTGTCTCTAAAGACAATACAAAAATTAGCCGTGCGTGTGGCATGTTCGTAATTCCAGCTACTTGGGAGGCTGAGATATAAGAATTGCTTGAACCTGGGAGGTGGAAGATGCAGTGAGTTGAGATCATGCCACTGCACACCAGTCTGGGCAACAGAGAGAGACTCTGAAGAAAGAAAGAACGAAAGAAAGGGAGAGAAAGAAAGAGAGAAAGAGAAAGAGGAAGGAGGGAGGGAGGGAAGGGAGGGAGGGAGGGAAGGAGAGAGGGATCTGTCCACACAAATACTTATCCCTGAATTTTTTTTTTTTTTTGAAATAGAGTCTCACTCTGTCACCCACGCTGGAGTGCAGTGGCATGATCTTGGCTCACTGCATCACTGCAACCTTGCCTCCTTGCCTTCCAGGTTCAAGCGATTCTCATATCTCAGCCTCTCGAGTAGCTGGGATTATGGAGTTACGCTACCACACTCGGCTAATTTTTGCATTTTTTGTAGAGATGGGGTTTCACCATATCACACAGGTTGATCTTGAACTCCTGGCCTGAAGAGATCTGCCTACCTCGGCCTCCTTCAGTGCTGGGATTCTAGGCATGAGCTATCCTGCCCAGCCCAGATGTTTTTATTTCTCTTGGATAATCTTTTCTGGTAACCTAGAAGTGGAATTGCTGGTCGTCTGTCAACAGTACGTTTAACTTTGAGAGAAACTGCCAAAAATTATTTCCAACGTGATTGTACCATCTTGCATTCCTCTGCATAATATATAATGTATGTTCTTTTCCCTTTATTTACCAGTTTTCAAACTAATAAGCTGGTTCTTTTTTTTTTTTTTTTTTCTTGAGAAGGAGTTTCACTCTTGTCCAGGCTGGAGGGCAATGGCGCGATTTCGGCTCACTGCAACCTCCGCCTCCTGGGTTCAAGCGATTCTCCTGCTTCAGCCTCCTGAGTAGCTGGGATTACAGGCATGTGCCACCACACTGGGCTAATTTTTGTATTTTTAGTAGAGATGAGGTTTCACCATGTTGGTCAGGCTGGTCTCGAACTCTTGACCTCAGGTGATCTGCCTGCTTTGGCCTCCCAAAGTGCTGGGATTACAGGTGTGAGCCACTGCTCCCGGCCGCTCGTTCTTAATATACTCCAAAATGACCCACTAAGTTCTTTTCTTTTCCCCTCAAGTATCGTGAATTCACGTATTTCAATGTATTTTATGGGCAAGGCATAGTGGCTCATGCCTGTAATCCTAGCACTTTGGGAGGCCAAGACGGGAGGATCACTTGAACCCAGGAGTTCACAACCAGCCTGGGTAACATAGAGAGACCCTGTCTCTACCAAAAATTTAAAAAATTAGCCAGGCATGATAGCATGTGCCTGTGGTCCCAGCTAGGGAGGCTGAGGTGGGTGGATCATTTGAGCCTGGTACGTTAAGGAGCCAGGAGTTCGAGGTTGTAGTGATATATATACATATCACTCACTGCAACCTCCGCCTCCAGGGTTCGAGCGATTCTCCTGCCTCAGTCTGCCGAGTAGCTCACAATAAGGTTCTTTCCTCTAATCCAGGATGCAAACTGGGATCTCATATTGTGTTTTGTTGTTACGTGTCCTTAGTCTCCTATCATCTGGAAAAATTTCTCAGCCTTCCTTCACTTCTTAAGATACTGGCATTTTTGAAGATTACAGAGCACCTGTTTTATAGAGTACCCCACCATCTGGATGTGTCTGATTACTTCTTCATTATTACATTCAGGCTTAAAAGGTTTCGCAAATATGAGACCTAAATGATGCTTTTGGCTCCCACTGTACCCTATAACAGGGCTCACAGTGTCAGTGGTCCCATCCTGGTGGAGGTAACTGTGATCACTGATTGAGGTAGTGTCTACCAGTTTTCTCCCTTTGAATTATTAAGAATTGTTTGGTCTCCTTTTGTAATTCATCACTAATCCCTAGCTCAAGTAATAAGTAATCCATAGCTCAAAAATTAGATATTTTTATTCTTTTTTTATATTAAATTTTTGAAATCTGGGGCATGCATTACATTGAGAGCACACTTTGATTTGTAGCAGCCATGCTTCAAATCCTCAGGAGCCACATGTGGCTGGCCACCACCATGTAAGACATTGTCACAGCATTAGACCATGAAACAAGACGACAGTGTGGGGGTTCAAATCACAGCCCCATTACTTATTAGGTTTGTTAACTTTGGGTAAATCATTGAATCTCTTTAAGCCTTAATGCTTCCTAAATTGTAAAATGGGGTTTGACAAGGGAACCTATCTATCTCTTAGAGTTGTTTAGAAGATAAAAGGTAATCAACTGTGTAAAGTGCTTTATGAAGTGTTTGTTCGTTCATCCATTCAACAAGGAGGGCTTGCCACACTCTGGGTGGAGCTGAGCAGGGAACAAGCCCTCCACTCAAGCATTCTATTTATACTGAGCAAACTACTGATCAAGTATAAAGTAAGACAAATGCTGGCAGTGCCATGCTTGTGATAAATACATTGAAGATGCTGAGGCCAGGGTGCTGGCTCAAGCCTATAATCCCAGCACTTTGGGAAGCCCAGGCAGGATCTTTTGAGCCCAGGAGTTCAAGACTGGCTTGGACAACAAAATGAGACCCCATCTCTACAAAGGATCAAAAAATTAGCTGGGCATGGTGGTGCATATGTGAGGTCCCAGCTACACAGGAGGCTGAGGCAAAAGGATCACTTGAGCCTGGGAGGTGGAGGCTGCGGTGAACTGTGTTCGCACCATTGCACTCCAGCCTGGGTGACAGAGTGAGACCCTGTTTCAAAAAAAGAAAAAAAATTAAAGTTGCTGAGAAGGGATCTGCATTATCTGTAACATCACCTGAAAATTGTGATGACTCTTAGCTCCACGGTGGACCATCCTCTGAGTGCTTGGGGGCTTAATTATTCAGGTTGTTCATTCTATAAGTATTTGTTGTGGATGAATCATCGTGCCAGGAACTGGGAGAGGAAATAGCAGTTCACTGAGACCAGGGCAGAGGAGCTTAAAGGTGAACCAGGCAAGGAGCCTGGAGATGTGGAAGATGGGGAATGGGCAATGAGAGACAGTCAAGATGGAGAGGGAGAGAAAACAAGACAAAGCCCACAGTGAGGCAGAAGGATGACAATGCAGTACGTCAGGACTCTCTTTCAGACCAAGGGACTGAGAAGGTGGAAGAAGTAGCTCCCGACTCCACTGCCTGGACATTCAGTGGCATCTTTCACAAGTAAGAAGAAGGAGAAGCCAATGGCATTCTGAGAGAAAAGAGCTGCTTGCACAAAGATGAAATATAGGAAAGGGGCAGGACTTTGGGGACTGGGCAAGGCTGAAAGCAGAGGTGGAATTGGAGGAAGGAGAAGGAGGGTTGGAGGCAGGGGGTGGGCGCACGGTGCAGGGCCCAGTAAAGGTATTAAGGAAGTTTGGACTTTTATCTAAGAGCATTAGAAACGGGTTAAGTGGTTCTACTGAGGAACAGGAAGCAGGCCCTTGAGCAGAGGTGGGCCGCTGTCAGGGAAGGTAGCAGAGGGATGGTCAAAGAGGAAGGGGTCCAGGCTCCCCTCAACTTGCCCTAGGTCTCAACTGGAGAGCGGAAGAGCCAGAACTACATTCCTGGAAACTTGGACCCGTGGAGAGGTGGGCTTGGCCCGCAGCCTGAATTGAAGAGATAACCCAGGCCCCAATTGCTTGACAATGGAGTTAGGGAGGAGGGCCACCTTGGGTGGGTTCCTCCTGAGAGGATTAACAAATTTCCTCTGACAAATCTGTCTCAATCCATTCTTATCTCAAGGCCTTTACACTTGTCCTTTCTCCTTGAGCTAAGCTCACCCCTCAGTTTGCACAGCTGCCCTTTTCTCTGCAAGCAGGTCCTAGTCAAACACCACCTACAGAAGGCCTTTTCCTGACCACAGCTCCTGGTGTTATCATCTCCTCACTCTCCTCTTTCTCTACCACCCTGACCTGTTGTCTTCTTTCCTTCTGTTTTAGGATACTGTTTTAGGATATCTGGCAGACATTCAAAGATATTTGTGTCTGACTGACTACATGGATGATGAATGGACAAATGAATGAAGAATGAATAAATAAACTTGGTGACTTTCATTTTTTTCTTCTTCTTCTTTGAGACAGAGTTTCCCTCTTGTCACCCAGGCTGGAGTGCAATGGCACGATCTCGGCTTACTGCAACCTCCGCCTCCTGGGCTCAAGCGATTCTCCTGCCTCAGGCTCCCATGTAGCTGGGATTACAGGCGTGGGCCACCACACTCGGCTAATTTTGTATTTTAATAGAGACGGGGTTTCACCATGCTGGTCAGGCTGGTCTCAAACTCCTGACCTCAAGTGATCCACTCACCTCGGCTGCCCAAAGTGCTGGGATTACAGGCGTGAGCCACCGCGCCCGGCCTGGTGACTTTCAATGTGAGTGAGAGAAGTGGCCTATAATCTGAATCTAGGGAAGAAATTTTTTGGTGTAGTCCTCCTATTTGAGAAATATACCAGAACTGGACTTGATCTTGGTGACTGATTATGGAGTTGCGCATGGAGGTGAGAGATAAGGAGACTGATTCCAAAACAGGAATGGTGAATGGGCCACCCAGGAGCCACATCCAGTCTACACAGATGGTTGGTTAGGACTGCACCATGTTTTAAAAAGTTTTTTGAATTGGTTACCAACATCTAAAAATCTCTAAAGATTTCAAATAACAAATTTTGGTTTTTTTTTTTTGAGACAGAGTCTCCAAAAAAGGCTGGAATACAATGGCACAATCGCAGCTAACTGCAACCTCTTCCTCCTGATTTCAAACAAGTCTCATGCCTCAGCCTCCTGAGTAGCTGCGATTACAGGTGCACACCACCACACCTGGCTAATTTTTTGTATTTTAGTAGAAATAGAGTTTCACTATGTTGCCCAGGCTGGTCTCGAACTCCTAAGCTCAGGCAATCCACCTGCCTTGGTCTCCCAAAGTGCTAGGATTACAGGCATGAGCCACTGTGTCCAGCCCAAATTTGGATATCCATTTTCACTTAACTAAAAGATCTGACAACATCAGGCCTGTATTTTTACAGGGAAAAAATTGATTGGAGCCAGGCATGGTGGCTCATGACTGTAATCTCAGCACTATGGGAGGCCAAGGTGGGAGGATCTCTTGAGTCCAGAAATTCAAGACCAGCCTGGGCAACATAGCAAGACCACGTCTCTACAAAAAACTAAAAAAATTAGCCAGGCATGGCAATGTCTGCCTGTAGTCACAGCTACTTAGGAGACTGCAGTGGGAGGATCCCTTGACCCTGGGAGTTCAAGGCTGCAGTGAGCAATGATCACATCACCGCTGTCCAGCCTGGGTGACAGAGTGAGACCCTGTCTCCAAAAACAAAACAAAACAAAAGTCAGTTGGAGCTGAGAAGCATTTGCGCCCATTGAGTCCCACTTTGACCTTCAGGTTGAACTCCCCCTGGCCCACTTCCTCATTCCTATCACAGGACTGGCCCCTCCAGTCTTGAGTTTGCTTCTCTTGCTCTAATGCTCTAAATAATCATTCAAAGCAGTGGTTCCCAACTTTTTTAAGTATGAGAGCCCCTTTGTAAAATAACTTTCTCTCTGTAAATATGAAACTAGTATTTACAGAGGCATGCTCACAGCAGGAACTCAAGAAACACAGAAAAGTAACAGACAGAAGACAATATCACCCACACGCCCAATGTCTAGAGCTAAGCATTGTTTGCATTTAGTGGATATGGGGGCACTTGAAATTTTTATGGTTCTCACACATTTCGTGGTTTTGTATATAGTAAATATTGATTGACCAAAATAAGATGTCATAGAAACTACAATGATTTCAGAAACACTTGAGGGAATGGGATTTCCCTCAGTACATCAGCACCGATGGCCATTGAAAAATAGCCATACATGTACAGAGACACTCGTTACAGACGCACTGCATGGGACTCCTTGGTGCTCACATGGAGGTTCAAATGCTTGTCTAATATTTGTGGGCCCCGAAACCTCTACTTTAAGGAAGTAGAGCAATGACCACAAAGTGTGCCACTTTGGCTACATGGTACTGTAGATACTCTCAGGAGCTCTTATCACAACTAGGTCCTGGATAAATTAAAGAAAACATATATTTTAATGCGTTGATGGGCTTATTGGAAATAAGGAAAGTTTTGAGAGGTGTGATAAATAAATAAATGTATGCCAGAGGGCTGAAACCAAAGCAAGGAATGGTAATAAACAAGTAAATTGAATAATAACTATAAAATAGGATTGTCCTGAGTTTGAAGACCTATATCAGCACCACCAATAGAAAACTAACTTTTGGTCGGGTATGGTGGCTCACGCCTGTAATCCTCGCACTTTGCAAGGCCAAGGGGGGTGGATCACTTGAGGTCAGGAGATCAAGACCAGCCTGGGCAACATGGTGAAACTCCGTCTCTACTAAAAATACAAAACTTAGCCAGGCGTGGTGGCACATGCATGTAGTCCCAGCTGCTCAGGAGGCTGAGGCAAGAGAATTTCTTGAACCTGGGAGGCAGAGGGCAAGAGAATTTCTTGAACCTGGGAGGCAGAGGCTGCAGTGAGCTGAGATTGTGTCACTGCACTCCAGCCTGGGCGACAGAGCGAGACCCTGTCTCAAAAAAAAAAAAAACAAAAAACAAAAAACGAACTTTCAGGTTCTTATCAAATTAGAAGAGCTGAACCTGAGACATCCATATTGAGCTCTGGATTCTCTTAACAGGCAAGCAATGAAAAAAAAAAAAAGCATAGAAAAAGCACAAAATAAAATGATATAGACAAGTCCAATTTTTTTTTAGTTTAATAGACATTTATTCCTTTAGTTGAACAACCTCTACACAATCAAAATGTATGACTTAATATCTTTTCTTTTTTTGAGAAGAAATTTAGGTCTCTAGAACTTTTATGGACTTGCTATGAGTACTTCCCGGAAATCAATTAACTGATCCTTTTGAAACGCCTAGAGAAGATAGGAGAAAATTGGTTCAGAGAAATGAGCATTTAAATTAAGTCAGCACAGCCAGAATTTAGAATTGGGCAATTCCTTGTCTACATTTCCTTTACACTCAAATTCACCCTGGAAAACAGTAGCCTAGCCTCCTAGAAGACATGATGCGAACAGAAATGCAATGTGGTGGTATACTTACAGTGAAAGTGGGCGTAGAAATGATGGCCCAACTTTGTGAAATGGTAGGGATTTTTAGGGTACTTTGGCCAGGAATAAGAGAAACAATTACAGAAAACACATATGGTTGGAATCCATGCACTTGTATGACTTCTTCTGTAGCCTATGAGAGTTGACAGAGTGGGTAACCCAAGATGTTTTTAAGACTGCCTGGACTAAGAATGAGGTACTTATAGCCAACTACTTTCCCCACTAATGTGACTGAAAGGATTCATAATGATCACAAATTAGTGTTACGGTTAAGTATTTTAGGGTTGGCTTCTGAGCTCACACTTGAAAGGTATTTATCTAATGGCCACCGGCTCGCCAGCTTCCCACCCTAGCATTGATTGCTAGCTTACCAACCTTAAGGCTAATAATTTTATCTCACATTCAATTTCAAAACACACCAGTGTTAAAAGCACGACCACTAACCACTGAATGCCATGAAGCAATGGCACTGACCCAGGAGCTTTCACCTTTTATGTGAACTTAAAATGGTACCGTAAAGACAGGCAATTTTCTTCAGGCTAACCCAGATTTGTGCCCATAATTTTCTAAATATAATTGTGACATAGTTAAGATGTCCTCCTCCCACCCTACAATTTCTAAAGCAAAGCCCAATTAAAAAAAATCTGTACCTGCCAAACTAAAAAAACCCCCAGCCACTTGAAAGTAAGGCAGCAGAGCACTGCCATCACCCCATAAAGCTGCAGGTTTCATTACATGCACCAGGCAAATCTACAGGGCTAGCTTCAATACTCTTCTTTTAAAGGAATTATTTTAAACCTATTATACCACACAGCATGTTTTATACACTGACATATAACTCCCTAATAAGATAAAGCAAAGACAAAAAAGTTTGTCTTATTAGAAACAAGATACACCATCACTTATTGTCTTCAAACATTATTGCACTTTAATTTTCTTGACAAAGCATTCAGGGAACAATCTGCAGACTAGTTTTAACAGACAAATAACACCTGTAAGCAGACATGACTGTCGTAAATTGTTTATTAGACATGAATTTTACAAACTTTACTTATATTCGCAGTAACGGTGGAGCTGGAGAGTATTGTGCCTTCTCCAAGCTGCCCGGCAAGAACTACCAATAATGTGGTGGAACTTATGGCCCTTTCCAAGGCCACGGCTCTTTCGGCCTGCAGATGTCAGCCCACGCATCTCCCTGTGCTTGTGGACTGGTTTGGTGATCCACTGGGTGTCAGGATTTCTTCTGATAGCTTTATGGAATGGATTAATGAGGATAACCTCAAAAAATTTGTATGTGGAATCTTCACCAACCCAGTGAGAATTCCGGGCTCTTAAAGAGCCCCACAGTGGCGTCCAGCTTGCTCCTCTGCAACGGACCGAAGGCTTCGAGCAAACTTTAGCTGGTTAACACCATGATGGACAGACTTGCCGTCAGTTGTTCCTAAGGGAACTGGGTGTTTTCGGCCACCACGGCGAACACGAATCCTACATATAATGTAACCTTGTTTGGCCTTGTAGCCCAGTCGGTGTGCTTTATCAGGCCAGGTGGGGCAGGGAGCACTGTGAAGAGCAGAGAGCTGACACACTGCCAGCAGTGGACCCTCAGAAGAAAGCGCATGACGTCAGACTGCTTCTTTCTCCATAGCTCCTGGATGTACTTGTATGCACCCATCTTGGCTTACCTGATGGCTGCCTCCAGACGGAAAGGAAAGAGCTGTACTACCCCAAAGTCCAAATATTTTAATAATCACAATAAATGTAAGTGGACCAAACCTACCAGTCAAAAGACTAAAATTGCCATGTTAAATTTTTTTCTAAATTGAGCCATATATTAATTATAAGAGACGTAGATGAAACTAAGAAAATAGAAAGTTTATAAGTAAAAGTAGGATAAGAGATACATCAGAAAAATAATAATAAACATCAAACAAAATAGCTTTTAAGGAAAATGCATTATTAAAGGTAAAGAGGGTTAATATACAGTGATAAGAAGTTTAATTCACCAGTAAGATACAATAGTTATAAATTTGCATCCACTTTTATAAAATCTAAAAAATATAAAACAAAAATTGAAAATAACTACAAGAAGTAGTTCAATCTGCCACAACAGTAGGAGATTTTAGTGCACCTTAATTAATTATTGATAGATCAAAAAGACAAAATTTGTAAAGACATAGAAGATTTCAATTAAAACTGACAGGCATGACTTAATGAACATAATCCCCCAACACTTAGATTATACTCATTCTTCTCAAGCACGTGTGGAAATGTTAACCTGTGTTTTAAGATTTCTTACCATTTCAAAAAATTGACTTCTAACTTAGTTGCATTGTGGTTAGAAAATATGATTGAAAGGTATACACTTTATTAGGCTACAAAATGTGTCATTATATTTAAAACAATCAGTATCATACAGATATCTGTGGCCTCTGATCACAACAGAATTTAAAAAGTAGATATAGACAATACAAAGACACATTTTAGTAATTTTTTTTTTTGAGAGTCTTGCTCTGTCACCCAGGCTGGAGTGCAGTGGTATTATCTCGGCTTACTGCAGCCTCCTCCTCCCAGGTTCAAGCAATTCTCCTGCCTCAGCCTCCTGAGTAGCTGGGATTACAGGCGCTCACCACCATGGCTGGCTAATTTCTGTATTTTCAGTAGAGATGGGGTTTTGCCATGTTGGCCAGGCTAGTATCAAACTCCTGACCTCAAGTGATAAGCCCACCTCAGCCTCCCAAAGTGCTGGGATTACAGGCGATGGCCACCACACCCGGCCAAATTTTAGTAATTTTCTATGTCTGGAAATTTAAAAGCACACTTCAAAATAACATCGGAGTGAAATAAAAAATAGTAATGTAAATTGAAAAATAATTAGAATTGAATGCTACTGAAAATATTACATGTTAAAAATTCAGTTATGAAGCAAAAATAGTCCTTTGAAAGGGAATACATAGACTTAAGTATTGTTACAGAATAGAGAGGCTGGGTGTGGTGGCTCATACCTATAAAACCAACACTTTGGGAGGCCAAGGTGGGAGGGTCACCTGAGCCTGGGAGTTTCAGACCAGCCTCAGCAACATAACGAGATCCTGTCTCTATTTAAAAATAAAATAGGCTGGAAGCCATGGCTTATGTCTATAATCCTAGCACTTTGAGGGGCTGAGGCAGGCAGATCACTTGAGCTTAGGAGTTTGAAACCAGCCTGGGCGACATGGCAAAATCCCGTCTCTACATAAAACACAAAAATTAGCCAGCATGGTGGTGTGTGCCTGTAATCCCAGCTATTCAGGAGGCTGAGGCAGAAGGATTGCTTGAGCTCTGGAAGTGGAGGTTGCAGGGAGCTGAGATCACACCACTGCACCCCAGCCTGGGCAACACAGCAATATCTTGTCTCAAAAATACATAAATAAATAAAATAAATTTTTTTAATAAAAGGAAAATATACCCCCCAAAAACATAGAAGGAAAGAGACAATAAAGATAAGAACAGAAATGACTGACATAGGAGAAAAAGATCAATAAGGCTAAATCTTGGTTCTTTGAATAAAATAATAAAATAGTCAAGTTTCTGGTAAGACTGATTAAAAAAAGAAAGCTCACACACACAACAATGTTAGAAATGAAGATGAGTCAAAATTAGAGTGACAACAGAGATTTAAAATTGATGTAAATATTATGCAAATCTTTACATCAAAAATTCAAATTCTAAGATGAAATAGTGAAATTCTTAGAAAAAAATGTAACTCCAAAATTGATTTGAAAATAATTTAAAAGCTCGAATTTTTATTTAACCATATAAATATGAATAAGTGTCTGGGTGCAGTGGCACGCACCTGTTGTCCCAGCTACTTGGGAGACTGAGGGAGCATTGGCTGAGCCCAGGCGTTCAATGTTACAATGCTCTATGATTGCACTTGTGAATAGACTCTGTACTCCGGCCTGGGCAATATAGCAAGACCCTGTCTCAAAATTTAAAAAATGATTAAGAGGTTAACTATCTTTCTATTGAAAAAATAATTTCAGGTCATATATATATATGTATACATATATATACATATATATATATACCTATATATATACACACACATATATATATACACATATCCATCCCATGCACACACGCACATACATATATATATATATATATATATATATATATATATATATATATATACATGCACACACATGGGACCTGCAATTATATATATGTGTGTGTGTGTGTGTGTGTGTGTGTGTGTGTGTGTGTGTGTATGTATTATTTTAAACAGGGGAGTTCTACCAAACTTTCAAACTCATTCCAGTCTTACATAAAATCTTCTGCATATTAGTGAAAAACACCTAATTCATTTTATGGGGCTAAAAATGAGTTAGGTGTTGAGAATGAGAAAGGAATGAATATGAGAAAGGAATAGGACAAGTTAGTCTTATTCATGAATATGAATGCAAGAGTCCTACATAAAATATTAGCAAACAGAATCTGGTAATGAATAAAAATGATAATACGTGAGAAACAAGTTGGGTTTAATTCCAAAAATGCAAAGATGATTTAGTATCGAGAAAAAAATTTATAAATATTCACTACTTTAACAGATTGAATAAACAAACCATTTATTTTGACCTTATGTGTCAAAATAAAAATTTAGACCGAACACAGTGGCTCACGGCTGTAATCCCAGCAATTTGGGAGGCTGAGGTGGGCAGATCACTTAAGGTCAAGAGTTTGAGACCAGCCTGGCCAACATGGCAAAACCCTGTCTCTACTAAAAATACAAAATATTAGCTGAGCGTGGCAGTGCATGTCCGCAATCCCAGCTACTCAGGAAGCCAAGGCATGAGAATAGCTTGAGCCAGGGAGGCAGAGGTAGCAGTGAGCCAAGATCATGCCACTGCACTCCAGCATGAGGGACAGAGTGAGACTCTGTCTCAAAAAAAAAAAATTTTTTTTGAAAAATTTAATTCCCATTTATAATTAATCAATTAAATAAAAATTACCAAAATAGAAAATGGAAGGGAGCTTTTTTGACAAGGTGAAAATATCTACCAAAATCACCAATTTTAATGGTGATAAGTTAGAGCCTATTTCTAAGAAACTGGAGGTAAGACAAGAGTGTATTCTATCATTACTATTGCCCTAGAGGTCTTAGCCAGCGCAATAAGGCAGGAAAAAGAGGCAATGATTGGAAAAGAAGAAATACAACTATTATTCACAGATAATGTGATTGTTTACATAGGAAATCCAAAAGAATCTACAAATTATTGAGATTAATGAGAGTTCAGCAAAGTAGCTAGATATAAAGTCAATAACTTAAACATTGAATTTCTATGTAATACAATAAGCAATAAGCAGTTAGAAAATGTAATTTCAAAAATAATACCATTTATAACAGCAAAAAAAGATAAAAGGCACGTTGGGATAATTCCCTCCCCTCCCCTCCCCTCCGCTCCCTTCCCTTCCCTTTCTTTTTCTCTGTGGTTTTTTTTTTTTTTTTTTTTTTTTTTAGACAGGGTCTTGCTCTGTCACCCAGGCTAGAGTGCAATGGCACAGTCCTAGCTCACTACAGCCTGGGATCAAGGGATCCTCCCACCTCAGCCTTCTGAGTAGCTAGGACTGCAGGCATGCACCAGCACACCCAGCTAATTTTTTTTAAAATTATTTTTTGTAGAGATGGGGTCTTGCTACATTGCCCATATTGGTCCCAATCTCCTGAGCTCAAGTGATCCTCCCACCTCAGCCTCTGAAAGTGCTGGGATTATGAGCATGAACCACACTGTACCTGGCTGATAATGATTTCATAAACATGGAAGACCTTTGGGAGAAAATTGTACAATGTTAGAGAAAAAACATTAAAGTCATAAGTAGATGGAGAAACATTTTCAGTTCATGGCTGGGAAGACTTGATATGCTGAAGATCTCAAGTATACCCCAGTTGAGCCACAGACTTAATACAGTTTCGATCAAAATCCCAATTGGATTTTTTTCAAGGAACTGAACAAATTGATTCTCAAATTTATATGGAAGAACAAAGGCCCAAGAATAGCCAAGACATTCCTAAAGAAGCCTGAAGTAGGGCAGTTTGCCCGGACAACGCTGGAATTTATTGCAGAGCTATTTGGATTATGGCAGTATGCTGTTGGCACAGAGAAACTGACCAGGGAAGCAGAATGAAAACGCTCAGAAACAAACCCAAACACTTTTGGTAACCTGATCTGTGACTGCAGTGGCTTTGTAGGCCAGGGGAGAAAGGAGGGACTAATCTGTCAAGGATCCTAGAGGAAAGTGGTCCCTTATCTCCCATCACAGATAAAAACTAGATACAGATAAATTAAATACGTAAATGAGAAAGGCACAGCTTTCAAACTTTCAGAAGAAAGTATAGGGGGATATTCTTGTGACCTCCAAGTGAGGAAGTATTTTCTGCATAAAGACAATTGTAGAAGATAAGATTGGTAAATGTGACTACAGTAAACTGTTGTTCATTAAATTCACTCTCAACAAACAAACCACAAACGAAGAAGACAATAGCAGCACTGTAATGAAGGATTGTAATCCAGGATACATAAATAACTACTATAATCTAATTTGAAAAAAACAAGCAACCTTACAGAAACAATTTTGATATTAAAAAGGGATCTTCCTATCCCCCAAGACATAAGCAGAGCAATCCTTTTGTTTTTTGGTTGTCTCTGAGTTTGGTGCTAAGAGAAAGAGAAAATATATATTTTACCCGAGAGTCCTTTTACTTGAGAAATGGGTCACTGACTTCTTTGAGGAATGCTATGAAGGAGCGGGGCAGGGTTGTGCAGAGGTGGGGATGTGTAGCGACTCAAATGCAGGTAACCTGGTTCAAGAGGAGATGTGAGTCAAGTGAGATAGTCAAACTGTTTTGTAAATAGGCAAATAAAACTTCTAGTTTTCTAATTGCCTTCTAGAATACAGTAATCATTAAGTTTATGGGATTAACATATGTGCAAAGGATTTTACAAAGGGTGATTTTTATCAGCAGTAGGGTGGGGTCCCTTCCCAGCCAGAGTTATCCTGCTTCTATAACTTGGTTCCACTGTGCGCTAGAGTAGCCTCCAGGAGCAAAAGCAGGAAGGACTGAGAGTAAATGTGCCTGTGGCGGGAGTTTTACAGACTCCCAGCCATTTAGCTTGCAAGCTGAGACAGCAGCCAGGGAGCAAGCTGGGGACACTGGCTTCAGGCTCCTCTCCTATGGAAATGGGGTGACAACACCCACCCTCAGGATGTGATGAGATCACCTGTGTCACCTGGGTAGCGCACAGCCTGGCACATGGTATTAATAGTATCTCAGTCAAGTTCTGTCGCCTCCTTCTTTCTTGGGAGACATCTGCTGAGGTTTCAGTTCCTTCCTCCCTCTTAGCCTCCTTTGCTTGTCCCCTTTTTCCTACTCTTCTCCCTTCCACCTTCTACCTTCTGCAAACATTTAGCCAGCAGTTTCCAGGTACATGTTGATTTCCAAACCCTAAATGGGGATGCAAGTGAATGTATCACGGAGCACACAGCCGTGAGAGCTATTAGACCTGGGAGGGACCGCTATAGTCATGATGAAGATTAACATCAATAAAATAAACAATCACAGTAATGAAACTTGCCGCCATTTAACCATCACTTAATCTGTGCCAAGGCTTGCCTACTTTATCCCATTTAATCCCCATTCTTTCCCTAGGACCCTGGCAGCTTTGTTATGCCCAGTTTGTGTAACTTGCTGAGGTCTCAAGGCTCGTAGTAGCAGGAATGTGCATTTGCTGTAGATCTGTCAGTTACCGTGGCGCGGTGGTTGGGATCATGGTCCCTGGGCTGAGATTCCCAAGCCTATCACCTACCAGCTTTCAAACCACAGGCAAGTCCTCTGACTGCTGTGAGACTCATGTCTTCATATTAAAATGGCGCTTGGAAGGGCACAGTGGCTCACGCCTTTAATCCCAGCACTTTGGGAAGCCAAGGCGGGCGGACCACCTGAGGTCAGGAGTTGGAGACCAGCCTGGCCAACATGGTGAAACCCCATCTCTACTAAAAATACAAAAATGAGCCGGGAGGGGTGGTGAGCACCTGTAGTCCCAGCTACTTGGGAGGCCGAGGTAGGAGAATCGCTTGAACCCAGGAGGCAGAGGTTGCAGTGAGCAGAGGTTGCAGTGAGTGGAGGTTGCGCCACTGCACTCCAGCCTGGGTGACAGGGTAAGACTCTGTCTTAAAAAATAAAAAAATAAAAAATAATAATAATAAAATAAATAAATAAATAAATGGGGCTAACTTCAGCTTTAGAGCATTTTTGCAAGGGTTCTACTATCAGCTAGAAATACCTAAAGAACTTAAAACAGTGTCTGACACACAGTTTGTGAGGATTAAAAGCACCAATTCATGTAAAGCGCTTAGAGTTGGGCTTGGCACAGAATAACTGCTATCTAACTGCTTGTTATGATTATTGTTTTTGTTGATGGGGATGATCCTGGGACCACCCAGATTGCAGATAAGACTCTGCTTATCAATGTGAGGATGTCACCGTGGGCTTGGGGAGCCACAGAACCAGTTCAGTCATGATCTGAGTCCTGAGTCAGAGCTTCAGCAGCACACAATCTTCTTCCAGCCTGGATGTCTTTGGGGGAAAAATAGACTTTACACAAAAATCTGAATATCCAGTTTCTCTTGGAAAGCTAGATCTGGCAGCCCTGGGCCCACATCCTGTAGGGGACAATCAGTTTTCTCTTTAAGGCTAGCATGTGTGGGTCTTCCCTGCCAGCCTCAGTAGGGAGGCATCACTTACCTGGTCCCTGTGGGCAGTGCAGTTGGTGACCCATGTTGGAAGTCTCTCAGGAATGCAGAAGAGGGTGTGACTTCTTCGTTTTTTGTTTTTTGGGTGTTTTGTTTTGTTTTTTTTTAGACGGAGTTTCACTCTGCAGCCCACTCTGGAGTACAGTGGCGTGATCTTGGCTCACTGCAGCCTCCACCTCCTGGGTTCAAGCGATTTTCCTGCCTCAGCCTCCTGAGTAGCTGAGATTACAGACACCTGCCACCACGCCTGGCTAATTTTTTTGTGTGTATTTTTTTTTTAATAGAGATGGGGTTTCACCATGTTGACAGGCTAGTCTCTAACTCCTGACCTCAGGTGATCCGCCCACCTCGGCCTCCCAAAGTGCTGGGATTACAGGTGTGAGCCACTGAGCCCAGCCGAGGGTGTGACTTCTTGCATGATCCAACAAGGGTAAGAAGAACTTCTAAGATAAGGTAACATTTCAGCAGGTCTTTTCAAAAAATTATGAGGCATAGCATACGTAGTGAAGAACATAAAATATATACACATAGTTGAAAGAACAAGAAGACCTGGGTGCACTGGCACGTGCCTATAGTCCCAGCTACTCAGGAGAGAGGATCACTTGAGGCCAGGAGTTTGAAGCTGTAGTGTGCTATGATCACATCTGTGAATAGCCACTGCACTTCAGCTTGGGCAACATAGTGAGACCCCCAAAACATAATTTAAAAAAAATAAGAAAATGTATACTCATTTACCTACTACCCAGGTTGAGAAATTGAACATCACCTGGATCTCAGAACCTTGGTACCTTTTTGGCCCCTGGACCGGCAGCACCAGCCTCCTGTTGGGGCTCGCTGAAAATGCAGCATCTCCAGCTCCTCCCCAGCCCTAGGGAACCAGGTGATGTGTGTGCATGTTAGAGCTGAAAGGCTACTTCTGCAGCTCTGTGTACAATTCTCAGTTGTGCCCCTCTGTTTCCTGACACCAGAAGAGTCTCTGTCCAACTTGTAGCAGCTTTTCCTCTCTTGTGTAGGTATTTCCCCAGAATCCTGTTTCATTTTGAACAGCAGCATGAACCTGGCTGTCTCTAGGGCAAGTCCCTTTCAGCTTCCCATTGAGCTCTGTGGAAAGGATGTCACGGGGAGGGCAGATGTGGCCCCCCCTTCGACCCCATGGGGCATCTGGAGGGCCTGCCACATGAGCAGGGACAGAGATCAGCAAGTGGCTGCTCTGTAGTTTCTGCTTGCAAGCTCAAGAGCAGGTCAAAGCAGAAGACTTCTTGGGGCTGGCATGAGTGTCTCCACTGGACCCGGACCCTGCTGGAGACAGCAGAAACTTCATCAGCTCACAGTCAAGAGCAAGATTGGGCCAGGCCAGGCTTGCCACAGCAGTGCTTTGACAGTGGGGATATTAGTGATGGCACCATGGACAATCTGCTTGGGAGACCTCAGGACAGGGGAGTTGGTGGGGAGTTGCACTGAGCCAAGGGGCGCAGCCAGTCCAGATTGGCCCCTTGGTTGAAACAAACTCCATGTTGTTTCTGCCTTTCCTGCTCTTGCCATTGTGTGTGGAATGGTCTTCTTTAAAAATCCCTTTACTGGCCAAGTGCAGTGGCTCAGGCCTGTAATCCCAGCCCTTTGGGAGCCTGATGTGGGAGGGTTGCTTGAGGCCAGGAGTTTGAGACCAGCCTGTTCAACATAGTGAAACTCTATCTCTACAAAAAAGAAAAAGCCAGGTGTGGTAGCGCACACCTATATTCCCAGCTACTTAGGAGGCAGAGATGGGAGGATTGCTTGAGCTCAGGAGTTTGAGGTTGCAGTGAGCTATAATCATACCACTGCACTCCAGCCTGAGCAACAGAATAAGATCTTGTCTTAAAAAAAAATCCCTTTAATGTAACTTAATGGGATTCTTTAAGGGAGTAGAATTTAAAATGTGTCTTCAGGTTGGTGGTTCACGCCTGTAATCCCAACACTTTGGGGCGAGGTGAAAGCATTGCTGAGGCCCGGAGTTCAAGACCAGCCTAGGCAACAAAGTAAGACCCCATCTCTACAAAAAATTAACAAAACTTAAAAAAAGAAAAAACAATAGAATGTGTTCAGTCTGCCCTCTTGAGCCCAGAAAGTCTTGGCCAGGTCTCTGGATGACAAGGAAGGTTCGGGAAGGCATTCAGGAAATGTGTTCCTGAAGGGCTGGGGATATGTGAGGGGTGACTGATAGTGTGTTCCTTTCATAGGACTGCTATAAAGTGCCACAAATAACACAGATTTATTCTCTCATATATCTAGAGGCTGGAAATCCAAAATCAAGTTGTTAACAGGGCTATACTTGCCCTGAGATGCTGGGTAGAATCATTCTGTCTGTCCTCTTCTTTTTTTCTTTTTCTTTTTTTTTTTTTTTTTTTTGAGATCGAGTCTCACTCCCTCACCTAGGCTGGATTGCAGTGGTGCAATCTGAGCTCACTGCAACCTCCGCTTTTTGGGCTCAAGCAATTCTCATGCCTCAGCCTCCTGAGCAGCTGGGACTATAGGCACGCACCACCATGCCTGGCTATTTTTTGTTTGCTTGTTTGTTTTGTTATTTTTAGTAGAGTTTCACCATGTTGGCCAGGCTGGTCTCAAACTCCTGGACTCAAGTTATCCGCCCGCCTCAGCCTCCCAAAGTGCAGGGATTACAGGTGTAAGCCACTGTGCCTGGCGGCTGTCCTCTTCTTAGCTTCTGGTGGCGGCTGGCCATCCTTGGTGCTCCTTGATTTGCAGCTGCATCACTCCAATCTCTGCCTCCATGATCATACGGTCCTCTCCCTGTGTGTCCTTCTGTCTCCTCTCTTTTTTTTTTTAATTTTTAAATTTAGAGATGGGGTCTTGCCATGTTGCCCAGGCTAGCCTCAAACTCCTGGCCTCAAGCCATCCTCCTGCCTTGGCTTCGCAACATGCTGGTATTACAGGTGTGAGCCACTGCACCTGACCCTCTCCTCTTCTCCTAAGGACATCAGTCATTGGATTTAGGACCCACCTAATCCAGTATGACCTCATCTTGACGAATAACATCTGCAAAGCTCTATTTTCAAATAAGCTCACATTTTGAGATCCCAACTGGATGTGAATTTTGGGGGGACATTGGTCACCCAAATGCAGATGTGTGGCTGGATCTCAGGGGGAGGTGACAAGGTGAGATGGCAGGAGACAGCCAGAAAGCAGATGAAGGGCTGAGTTCCCAGACTTCCCTCACTATTTGGCCTTTATTCTTGGCCCATGGAGGGTTTTAAGGTTGACAGTGATGGCGCAGGTTTGTTTTGGAGCAGGCAACATCCTGCCCCACCCCCGTGCCCTTTTATATCTCCACATTTCTCTTTGCCTGTGATGAATGGTTCCATTCTCCCAGGCTCATGCCAGCGCCTCTGTGGACAGTCTCTGGCCAGCCCTGGTGAGTCCACCTCCCAACCCCTGCTCTGGCCTCCCTGGCGCTGGGCTCACGAAGCTTGGCTGGCTTGGGCTCTGCAGCGTAGCCTCTCTCTCCACGTTGTGCTGGGTCACCTTGGGGGCTAGGACTAGCTCTCATTCATTTCTGTATCCCCTGTACCCAGCAAGGGTAGGGCACAGTGGATGGGACATAGAATGGGAAGCCTGAGAAGAAGAGACTCAGAGCCAATGCATCAACTTGTCATGGTCATTTTCCAAGGGGTACTTTCTGCATTGCTGTGAGTGTTTTTTTTTTTTCCAGATGACAGATTCTTTACAGTCCCTCTCTGAAGTTATGAAATTAAATGTCCTTCTAAACATGCGCCTGTCCTGCAGCAGCCAGAAGAAGGGGCGTCCACCTTTGGAGGCTGCACATCCCTGTTCCCCAGGCTCTGAAATCCCCACCTGCCTGGCCTTCCGGCCAGTAGCCCCAACGTTCCAGGCTGCCTGCTGCTGAGACCCCTCTGTTTGCAGCCGTCCTCTTTGATGACAGGCCCCCACGTTTCCAAGACAAGGCATGGTCATAAAATCAACTGTCCGCAGCCATTTAGTCTAGGCATGGTTAATGCCAAAACTGGCTTCCAAATTGACAGTTAATGAGGGAAAATGACGAGGGGGCGTGTTAACAGACGCAGGCTCAAGGTAATAAACAGGCCGTTAAAGTCAGGTAGTAAACAGCTTGCCAAGGACCATCTATGAATTTATTTTTTTGAAGGAGAAAAAAATTAACCAACAAGGTTTGTCCCCTTTGGTGACTGGGTCTGACTGGCAGCAGGAAGAAATGAGAGATTCCTGGGAGACCTCAAATATCTCAGGAGGCCCCTCAGGCTGGGATGTGCAGATGTGCAGGTGGAGCCAGGGACATGGGCTCACAGTGGGCTCGCTGTGGGTTCCCATGGACACGCTTTGGTCCTATCTGTTCCTCATGCCCTTGGATGCTGGATGGGGTGTCAGGAATCCCAGCAGTGGTCCTGGTTCTGTCTATGGTTGATGCTGGGACCTGGAAGAAGTTACCTGATTTTCCAGGCTAGCCGCAAAGACCAGGATGGACTCGATGATCTCTGTAGAGGCTTGCGCTGAGTTACATAGTGTCCCCAACCCCCTAAAATTCATGTCCTTCCTAGAACTTCAGAATTCCATTGGCCGGGCGTGGTGGCTCACGCCTGTAATCCCAGCACTTTGGGAGGAGGAGGCGGGCAGATCACCCCGAGGTCAGGAGTTCAAGACCAGCCTGGCCAACATGGTGAAACCCCGTCTCTACTAAACATGCAAAAATTAGCTGGGCGTGGTGGCGGGTGCTTGTAATCCCCGCTACTCGGGAGGCTGAGGCAGAAGAATCGCTTGAACCTGGGAGGTGGAGGTTGGAGTGAGCCGAGATTGCGCCGTTGCACTCCAGCTGGGTGACAAGAGCAAAACTCCACCTCAAAAACAAAAACAAAAAACAAATCTGTGGCTCTAAAACCTCTGCGAGGGGTGCAGATGAAAGTGGATTTCTGGGGGGCGGGCATAGAGCATTCCCATAAGCCAGCGGTTCCTCAACAGGGGAGATTTTGCCCTCAGGGGACATCTGCTACATCTGGGGACATTTTTGGTTGTCACAACCAGAGAGGGGGACAGGGGATGGTGTGCTCCTGGCACCTTGTGGGTAGAGGCCAGGGGGACTGCTAAACCTCCTACAGTGCGCAGGACAGCCCCCCCACAAATTATGACTCAGGCCAAAATACCAACTGTGCAGAGCTTGAGAGCCCTGGCGTACATGAATGTTGACTCGGAGGCCCACTCTCTGCTGTATCAGAACCAACCCAGGATTGCCTGTGTCCGGTGTAGGCCACCACAGGTACGAGAGCTACAGAATGATCCAACTCAACAGGAAAAAATGATCTTATCTCTACAAAGTAAACCTCCCAGTTAATATAATCCCCTACCCTCCTTCCCACACACACATGCACATATTATCAGAATCAACATATCAGGGTTTGCCAAATTTGTATAGATGGCCACTGCTGGGCTGACAGGTGCAGGTAATAGGGTTAGTGTGGACCTGAGGTCAACACATTGGGGTCACTTAGTGTAAAGACCCCAAGAGTTAATAGCTGGAAGACACTTGGAGGGGTGCGTGCCTCCTTTGTTCTCTTGATGCTGGGTGGTGTCTCTGGCCAGGGCTCTGGTCCCTTCACCAGCTTCCAACCCACAGGGATGTAGCCATGCCCACAGGCAACTGATGGACCATTGTTGAGACCACTACAGGGGCTCTGAAGGCACCCCAAAATAATATGTGGGTGGGAGGACAGGATAGATATTGAAAGGATTAGTTTAGATATATTAGATAATTTTATATTATTGCGTTGAGTAACTCCGTAATAAATATAGGTAAATTGAAAAGGTCACCACTGGTTGGTTCCATGGTATTACATCAAAGCCAGTAACATCTTCCTACTCCTTCCACTTCCTTTTTTTTTAACCCCTTGCACCCTCATATTTCACTCGGTGGCAGACAGTTAAACTCTGGGATCTGGCTTCAGAGTGCTCCTTGGTTGCATAGCTGGCCCTGTGGCCTTCTATAAGTGACAGAAGCTGCCAAGCTGTAAGATGAGAGTCAGCCATCACAACAGCATAGACGTCCCAGCAGCATGAGGATGGAGGAGACCACCCAGCTATCTAAAGCACTTGGCTCAGCACCTGGCTTGGAGGACATGCACCAGAAGCCCCCGAAATGCCTGCCTTATACCAGCATCCCTGAGGCAGAAGCAAGATCCACCCGCCCCCAAAGCACAGGCTATGGGAGGCAGACAAACACACAGGCAAACACCAGAAGGGTGGCTTCCGGTTAGTGACTGGATCTATCTGATCCTCAGTTTGGGCAGCTGTAAAATGGGAATAGTGCTTGTCTTTGCAAATGTTGCTGGGAAAATTAAATCAGATGAAACTCTGAGCAAGGTATCTGGGGCTTTACACTTACTCCTGTCTCTCTCTCCAGGTTCTGGTCAGGGGCTGCTTTTCCTGCCACTGAGGCATTCCAGGGCCTGGCCAGGAGGAGAGCTGGGCTCTCTGGTACCTGGTTATCGACACCTGAAGACCGCCAGGCCTATCTATGGATACACATGGAGGCCTGCATTTTAGAATAGGCAATGGCGCCCAGCATTCTGATCTTATAACAGGAAGCCTGAGACCTGGATAGGAAAGTGACTTCCCACCCCCAAAGTCAGCCAACAGGTCAAGGAGGTCAAGGCAGAGGCCCCACTTGCTCCTTTTCTTTTTTTTGAGACGGAGTTTCACTCTTATTGCCCAGGCTGGAGTGCAGTGGCACAATCTGTGCTCACTGTAATTTCCACCTCCCAGGTTCAAGTGATTCTCCTGCCTCAGCCTCCGGAGTAGCTGCGATTACAGGCGTGCACCACCATGCCTGGCTAATTTTTATATTTTTAGTAGAGACGGGGTTTCTCCGTGTTGGCCAGGTTGGTCTTAAACTCCCGACCTCAAGCCATCCACCCACCTTGGCCTCCCAAAGTGCTAGGACTGCAGGTGTTAGCCGCCGCACCCGGCCTCGCTCCTTTTCCTTATGCTTTGCTGACAGCTTCATTTAGTAAGTGCTTGTGATCTCTAAGGTGTCAGACTTTGTGCGAGGGGCCTATATGGAGGGAAATCCCGTGTCTGCCCTCCCCACCTGTAGTGGGTTGAATCATGGACCCCCAAAGAGATACAGCCAAGCCCTTTGGGTTTATCTTTGGTATAAAAAGGTTCTTTGTAGATGTAATCAAGAATCTATTTTTTTTTTTTTTTTTGAGATGGAGTCTTCCTCTGTTGCCCAGGCTGGAGTGCAGTGGCACGATCTCGGCTCACTGCAACCTCCGCCTCCTGGGTTCAAGTGATTCTTCCACCTTAGCCTCCTGAGTAGCTGGGATTACAGGCGCCTGCCCTCAAGCCCGGCTAATTTTTTGTATTTTCAGTAGAGACGGGGTTTCACCATGTTGGCCAGGCTGGTCTCGAACTCCTGACTTCGTAATCCGCCCGCCTCAGCCTCCCAAAGTGCTGGGATTACAGACGTGAGCCACTGTGCCTGGCTTGAAGTAATCAAGAATCTTGAGATGGGATTGTCGTGGATTATCCAGATGGGGCCTAAATCGAATGATCAAGTAACCTTTTAAGAGACAAAAGTGGAGGAGAGAGAAGAGAGGGCCATGGGAAGAGAGAGGTGAGGATCAGAGGGATGCAGCTACAAAGAATGCCTGGAACCACCAGAAGCTGGAGGAAGCCAGGAAGGATTCTCCCCTAGAGCCTCCAGAGGGAGCCTGGCCCTGACAACACCCTCGTTTAGGATTTCTGGCCTCCAGAGCTGTGAGAATAAATTGTTGCTTTAAGCCATCCAGCCTGTAGTAATTTATTATGGCAGCTCTAGTAAACTACTACCCCGCCCAGAGCCAATTAAGAAAGATACATGTCACCAGCAACCATCGCCACCACCATTAGAAAATATTAAAAACGAATAGAGCACCGAGTCCCCTCTAACTCTTTCAACTCACTTAATCCTCTAAACACAGCTGAAGCAGGTACAATATTATCCTATTTTATAGGTAAGAAAACGGAAACTCAAAGAGTCCAGGAAGTCAGAAAATTAAACGAACTTCAATTTGTGCCTGACCTCAGTTTGCTCTTGATTTCAGTGCTGGACTGTCCAACACCAGGGGCCAGTCAGCAGCTTCTCTTAGGTCCTTTCAACAAGCCAACTTTTTATAGAGACCTTGTCCAGGCCAGTGGCTTTAGGGAAACTAAGTCAGCCAAGAAATAATAATAATACCAACAACAGCAAAGACATTTACTGAGCATCTACTATGTGCCAGGCACTGAACAAAGTATATCCACGAATTGCCTCATTTTCTCCTCCTAACAGCTCTACAAAATAACAACTATTATTATTATCCTATTTCACAGATGGGAAAACTGAGGCTTCCAATACAGGCCTGTCTGGCCACAGTTCATGTTCTCAAGTGACCAACCTCACTGCTGCTGCCTCTAAGAGAGGCACGGGACATTGGCTGGAGCATTGGCACATGGCTTGAGTATCATGCTCTTCTTATGTCTTTCATTAAAGCTCTTAGAACATCATGAGGTGAGGCCGGGCATGGTGGCTCATGCCTGTAATCTCAGCACTTTGGGAGGCCAAGGCAGGTAGATCGCTTGAGACCAGGAGTTCGAGACCAGCCTGGCCAACATGGAGAAACTCCATCTCTACTAAAAATACAAAAATTACCCAGATGTGGTGGTGCGCACCTGTAGTCTCAGCTACTTGGGAAGCTGAGGCAGGAGAATTGCTTGAACCCAAGAGGCAGAGGTTGCAGTGAGCTGAGATTGCAACACTGCACTCCAGCCTGGATGACAGAGCGAGACCCTGTCTCAGAAAAAAAGAAAAAATGAAAACAAAAAAGAAACAAACAAAAAAAACAACAAAAAAAATTGTGAGATGTTCACTTGTTTATTTGTTTGTTTTTCACTTGTTCATTTTCCTATGCTGGAATGGAACCTCACAAAGGGCAGGGAGCAGGCCTGTCTCCGTCTGTATTATGAGTCCAGTGCTTGGTACTGAGAAGGAGTTCAGCAACATTGGAGGACTAGTCAAGTACCTGTCTCCCCAACTGGACTCTGAACCCTTTGGGGCACCAGCATCTAGCATAGCTCGAGACTGAGAGCCTGCATAGCAAATGACCTCAAAGAAGCCATAAACATAAATATGGAGGAGACAGAAACCCAAGGGAGAATTCCTCCCAATCACAAATACCCCCATTTCTAGGCCTGATAGATGTAAGTGAAAATGGTATTTAATTAGCTAAAACCAAAGCTGTCATCACCTAATCCAGGAGTCTGATAATAAATTTTCAATGCTTTCCACTTATACTCTGAAGCGATGGTGCAGCTGCCCTGGCAGATGGAGGCAGTTGGAGACATCCACAGGCATCTGTCTGTCCAGGGAGCAGCTGTGGACTTGGTGATTCCATTGGGGAAGTCTACTGCCATGGAGAACACTCAGGTGCTGAGGAAGTCTTCATTTCCAGTAAGGCAGACGCCCCCGTTTGTCACTGTAGCCTAAAGAATGGTCATCATTAGGCTGGGCGTGGTGACTCACGCCTGTAATCCCAGCACTTTGGGAGGTTGAGGCGGGTGGATCACGAGGTCAAGAGATCGAGACCATCCTGGCCAACATGGTGAAACACCGTCTCTACTAAAAATACAAAAATTAGCTGGGTGTGGTGGCACGCGCCTGTAGTCCCAGCTACTTGGGAGGCTGAGGCAGGAGAATCTCTCGAACCAAGGAGGCAGAGGTTGCAGTGAGCCCAGATCATGCTACTGCACTCCAGCCTGGTGACAGAGCGAGATTCCATCTCCAAAAAAAATAAATAAATAACTGGTCATCCTTGTTCTCTTAGGTCCAGCACTTAGCAGTTTGCAGAACACATTCACAAGTCTTTCCTATGACTGCAGGGATGGGGACAGATTGGACTGTGGCCTCAGTGTCATGGTTGAGGGAACTGAGGCCCAGAGGGCAGCCTAGTCATTAGCTGTGTCTCCTGCCTTCTCACAAAGTGGTCACCAGTGTCATTTCCCACCTCCAGGTATTACAGGATCTGTGGCGTGTCGATTTTTCTGGCCAGAAACCTCTGTGGCCATGGTGTCTTTGCCTGAGTTTTTGTCCTGCGTCCAGGAAGAATGAGGTACACAGACAAGTGAAGGGTGAAGAAGAAAAGAGTTTTATTTAGTGTTAGAACAGCTCAGAGGAGTGGGTAGCTCCTCTCTGTAGACAGGTGGTCCCGCCAAGTGTTCAACTCTCAGCAGAGAGGACGCCCTGGAGAGGGTGGCTCTTCTCTGCAGGCAAGTCATTTGGACGTCTCTGCAGGTCTCTGAAGCTCTCAACAGAGAGGGTAGCTCCTCTGCCAGCAGGTTGTCTCTGCAGCTGTCAGTTCTCTGCAGCTGGTCATCCCATCATCTCCAGCTATCACCAGAGAGGGTGCTCCTCTCATCCAGCTATTGTCCCATACAATTGTCTCTCTGCCCTCTTCATCCTCTGGCCATCCTCTCACCTGCTGTGGCTGAGCCCAGGGCTTTTATGGACTTCAGAGGGGAGGAAGTACATGCCGATTGGTCCATGGGTGGCCATGGGGGTACCTAGAAGAGGCATTACAGTCCCCACTCCAGTCCATGGGACTGGCTGCCTGGCCCCCAGCCTTCAGGCCCTCCCTGGCCTCAAGGTGGGGCCTTACTGGGGACCCATCCCCTTCCACCAAGGAATTAATCTGCCTGCTCCTGCCATTCATGGCCCTGGGGCTCAGCCCCAACCCCCACTCTGAGATTGGAGCAGGTGCCAGGAGTGAAGAGAGGCCAGGCAGTGGGAGAAGACACCCCTGAGCCTGCAGGGATGGGTGGGTGGGGTCCTTCCTGGGTCCCTGAAAGGGTGCAGGCTGTAGAGACACCCAGCTCCTGCACCTGGGAAGGTGGCCCCAGCGGCACCTGGGAGGGCCAATCCTGCCTGCTCCTGGTCCTCCCCCAAAAGCACAGAGAGGCTCAGATCCACAGCTGCAGTTTGGGCGGCTATAGCCCCACCCAAGAGGGTGAGGCTCCTGTCTGCTCTGTAGACCAGGAGGCCTGGGTCTGCAGCTGCAGTTTGAGCGGCTACAGCAGCACCCAGGGACCTCCTGCACTAAGCTAGCCACTGCTCTGGCTGAGCCCAGGGCTTTTATGGACCTCAGAGGGGAGGAAGTACATGCTGATTGGTCCATGGTGGCCATGGGGTAGCCTGGAAGAGGCACCATGTGTCCGCACTCCAGTCCATGGGACTGGCTGCCTGGCCCTCAGCCAGCAGCCTGGCCTCCTGCAGTGGCTTTGGCCCCTTTCCTGCCTCAGATAATCTAATTTAGTAGGTCTGTGAGTTGTCTCCAGGACCTGCCTTTTATTTTATTTTTAATTTTCTTTTTTAAATTATTTTCTTCTTTTGAAATTTCAAATTTTATTTATTTTTTGATACAGATTTGGCTTTGTTGTTCAGGCCAGAGTGCAGTGGCACAAACATGGCTCACTGCAGCAGCCTCTGCCATCACAGGCACACCCCTCCTGCTAGTGGGGCTTTCAGAACTTGCTCTCCTCTGAAGTCTAATGAAGCCATCTTTGGGACCCCCGTCACAGTATTCCTCACCCTCCCTGGCCACCCCTTTCCTTTCCTCCTCCTGCTGGGCCCTCATGGGCTCCTGGGGGTCTGTGTTGCTTGCAGGGTCCTCTGCCTGGTGTAAACCCAGCCCCTCCTCACTCTCCACCCCCAGCAATCTTCCCTCTCTGCCCCAGTGCAGAAATCAGGACAGGGTTGTCCAGGAAGCTGTCCCCAACCCCCAGGCTGGTGGACTAACCTTTCTCTATACTCCTATGGCAACCAGATTCCAGAACCTTCTCTCCAAGGCTGGAGGTGGAGGCAGACTCCATGTTGACACCAATTGAGGGCTGTGTGGTTGGGGTCCCAGCAGGAAGTGGTTGCATCCACAGGGGGTGTCACTGAAGAGAGAAGAATGAAGGGACTGAGGCTGGGCAAGGTCGAGGGGTTCTCCAGGGGCTCTGAGGTGCCCCAGGGCAAGCCACAGGGTGGGGAAGTAGCTGGCACTGTTGCTAAGTCTAAGTGGACAAGAGGAGGGAGTAGCTCTAAGAGGGCTCCCTGCAGGAGCCACAGCCTTGCCCACTTGCCGCCTAGCAGTGAGGGAGGATGGGCAGTGGACACCCACCCTCCCTATCCTGCTGTCTCTGGTCCTTACTCTGCCTCTCACAGCCAAACCCCACAGGAAGCTGGAGGGCAAGGCGCCTGGGGATGCCTTCCAGGAGGGTCAGCCTCAGGGCCAGCAGGAAGGGTGGCCAAAGGGGGAGGGTGACCTGGGGGCCAGTGTAGGAAATCCAGCAGGGAGGCATAAAGAAAAGCATAGGTGCCCACACTTGCCCATTCTACAAGTTGCCATCTGCAGTGGCTTTGGCCCCTTCCCTGCCTCAGATAATCTAATTTAGCAAGTCTGTGAGGTGTCTCCAGGACCTGCCTTTTATTTTATTTTATTTTATTTTATTTTATTTTATTTTATTTTACTTTATTTTATTTTTAATTTTCTTTTTAAAATTATTTTCTTCTTTGAAATACATATTTCAAATTTTATTTATTTTTTATTTTTTGATACAGATTTGGCTTTGATGCTCAGGCTAGAGTGCAGTGGCACAAACATGGCTCACTGCAGCCTCGACCTCCTGGGCTCAAGCCATCCTCCCACCTCAGCCTCCAAAGTAGCTGGGACTACACTATGCACCATCACCTGTGTCTAACTTTTGAATTGTTTTAGAGATAGAGTTTTGCCATGTTGCCCAGGCTGGTCTGGAACTTCTGAGCTCAAGTGATCCACCAGCCCTGGCCTCTCAAAGTGCTGGGATTACGGGCATGAGCCACTATGCCCAGCCTTCTTTTCTTTTGACTTGTAAATTTCTTGCACAGTAGAATCTGCTTTTTATTTTATTTTTATTTTAATTAATTTATTTATTTTTGAGACAGAGTTTGTTATTGTTGCCCAGGCTGGAAGGCAATGGTGCATTCTCCGCTCACTGCAACTTCTGCCTCCCAGGTTCGAGAGATTCTCCTGCCTCAGCCTCCCACGTAGCTGGGATTACAGGCATGTGTCCCCACTCTCAGCTAATTTTCTGTATTTAGAAGAGACGGGGTTTCACTATGTTGGTCAAGCTGGTGTTGAACGCCTGACCTCAGGTGATCCACCTGCCTCAGCTTCCAAAAGTGCTGGGATTACAGGCATGAGCCACCACGCCCAGCCAGAATCTGCTTTTTAAAAATCACTCCTCTTGGGTGGATTTTAAGTGCAGTGTCAGCACAATGTCAGTATGCTTTTGAGCAGCAGGTTTTGAGATCAGACCTCACGGGGAGGTCTAAGCTCTGGTATTATCCCACTTCTGCTGTGTGACCTTGGGCTAGTCACTTCTATGTGTGAGACCTCAGTTTCCCTAATAGTAAACAGAGGGGTTTGGAGTCTTCCAGCCTGAGGTGCCAGCCATGAAGCCAGCCCTGTTAACTCTTACCGAAGCTGTAGAGGGAAGATGGTGGTGGCATGGGGGTGGCTGTTCATTCCCCAACTCCAGATGTCCCTCAGCTCTTCGCAGTTGACAAAAGCCAAAGGGATCAAGTCAGCTGCCTAGAGGTACACAGCTGCCCTCCAGGGCAGTCTGGGAATTGTATGCTGTCTTGATAGCAATGCTTGAATGGACGTCATTGATGTTGGGCACTCAAGACAGACATGGAGTTTAGAGGGAAGGATGGGTTTATATGGATTCAGGGTATAGCCACACCCTACCTATCTGCTTCCATGGCAAAAAGGGCTGGCTGGATGATGATGAGTGATAGCTTATAATCCTTGGGGAGCCTCACAGGGCTTCCTGTACCCGTTTCTTTGGTTGGAGGACACCTAGGTAGATACAGAGATGACCCCCAAAGGGAAGGGCTGCAGAGCAGTCTGTTCCCAAAGGAGACTGTGTCCCCAAGAGGCTCCCATGCCCACTTCCCTGAACAAGACCCATGAGGACAGCAGAGAGGAGCACTCTCACCTCCATCGTAGCCCTAGGCGCTTGGACATGAGTGCAGGGCCGGCCTGCTCTTTTCCCCGTATGTTGTCACAGGGTCTCACTTATCTTTTTTTGTGTTTTTAGAGACAAGGTCTCACTCTGTCACCCAGGCTGGAGTCTAGTGGTGCTGTCACGGCTCACTGCAGCCTCGAACTTCTGGGCTCAAACGATCCTCCCACCTCAGCCTCCCTAGTAGCTGGGACTTACAGATGCAAGTCACTGCGCTGGGCTCCAGGGTCTCATTTATCTTTTATTCTGAGAGCCCAGCACAAGCCTGGAACCCAGGAGAGGGTCAGGCCATGCTTGGCAAATAGACAAACACAAGATCTGCTTGTACCTTCCTTGGTTATTGCCAGAGCCTAAGGAACACGTGTTACTTCCCTAACCTTGCATCCCACTGGCAGCAATTCCCACCACCTTCCCTACTGCCCAGTGGAAATCCAGTCACCATTTTGTAGCTGATTCTTGCACATCCTCTAGTGGTTGAAAAGGGCTGCAACAGAATTCAAAGAGCCTCCTGGGAACCAAGCCTAAGGGCAGGGATCCATCGTCCTCAGGGTCTATTATTCCTCCTGCAGTTACTGTTCCTACTGATAACAGTTAACTCTTAAAGAAGCTCAGAGAGGTTGGGGAACTTGCCCAAGTTCAGTCAGTGAATGAGCAGCCTCATCCCCACCTGGCATCTCTGCCAGCATCAGCTGCTGCTGGCCACCACCTCTCCCTCCCGCAAGGGCTTGCTCTTTTCTCCCTTGGTTCCTCTGTCATCAGCTCCTGAGAAGAGAGCATCTTCTTCGTGTCTTCAACTTCTCACACTTTTCCCTCTCAGTCTTTTCATCTTCCTTTCTCTGAGTTTTTGCCCTCCCCGTCTAGCTGTGGGCAGTCTGAGGGGTCTAAGAATCCTCTCAAGGGCAACGTGCCCTCTGGACGAATTGAGCCACAATTGCCTGAAGCTTGGTTGGCCAGTCCTTGGCCAAGCCCTGAATGCAACACCCTTGGAGGGATCCCTCGTCCTTGTAAACTCTGTATCTGGAATCTCCCTGATTAGCTTCCCTCAAGACCCCACCCTCTTCCTCACCTTTCAGACAGTGCTGCTAGTTAAAAGCATTCCTCCCACTACTAGGACTCATGGGGGCAGAGGCAGGGGCCAGGCAGAGCCCAGGACTTTAATCCAGGTTGGTCTGAGTCCAGAGCTCAAGTGCTCAAGCTCTTCACCGCTCCATGAAAGGGACAAATCAGTGATTAGGAGTATATTGGTTGTTGTGTTTTTTTAAACAGCAAATCTTTATATATAGATAGATTTATATAAATATATTTAAAGACTTTTCATCACTCAGCCACAGGCTTCCCCTACAATCATGCCGTGGTGTCCCTGTTGATGTTCTCAGAGGCCACTACAAAGAGAAGCCTCTTGTTTGAAGCCTGACACTGAGTCATGCAGCACTTGCACCCTGGTATTAAGCTGAGTCATGCCAGGTTTTATGTTTCTAAAGCACTGAGAAGCTCCTTGGTTGGCATTTCCCACCGCTAGGGACACTGTCAGAGCCTCAGGCCTCTGAGCTGGGGATGCTCCCTGCCTTGCGTTTATATATTCCCCAAATGTTTATTTTGCACCTAGACCCTGTTCTAGACTACGGTACAGCAGGGAACAAGACAGATGAGGTCCTTGCCTTCCTGAGGCTGGTACACAAGTGGGAGAAAACATGATTACAAGGAAAGATCATTTCCGAGTGTGATAACATTAGGGAAAAAATAGGACTTATATGATATACAATGAGGGCTGCAGGCAACACCAGCTAGAATGGCTGGGAAAGGCTTCTTTAGGGTAGGGACATTGAAATGGTGAGAAAGAGCAACCCAAGTGGAGGGATGAGTGGGGAGCAAGTGCAAAGGCCCTGAGGGAGGAGCCCTGGAGGAGGCCCATGAACCTGGAGCAGAGTGGATGAGGGGAGCAGGGTTAGGAGGGGAGGTCAGAGGGCAGGCAGGAGCCAGGTCACTCTGGGTCTTGAGAGCCGTGTTAAGTATCTTGAATTTTGTTTGAGATCAGTGGGCACTCACCTTACTGGATATGACACAAATGCCCAGCTCTGATCATTCACTTGTTAGTCAGGCAATTTCTCAAGGTTGTGTTTGCAGCCAGCAAGCTTGAGGGGTGAGGTTCTATCTCTCTCCATGGCAAAGAGCAGGCTTATTTCCTGCTTGCTATAAAATGGTGGGTTCGCAAGCTCAGAGCTCCTTTCCTGTAAGGGAACCCCCCAGCACATGCAGGCCTGTCTCTGTTCGAGTTGCCCCTGTGGCAACTGGGGCTAAGGAAACTGAAGCGAACGTGCTATCACTCTGCCTATTGCATTCACTGTGAGTAACAACGTCTTTTGTCTCTGACCCAGGAATCTCATGTCTTCTGTCAGCATCCATGAAACTGGCATGCTAATTTGGTAAGTTGCAAGTAGGGTAAAATCTCAGCCCCTTCACAGTTCTTAACAAGGTGACTTTTGGAAGGCAGGGGAGGGAGGAGGAGGGATATGGATGGAAAGGAAGCAGAGAAACCAGTCATCAGGCTGACTGTGGAAATGGAGTGCAGTGGGCTGATTTGGGATTATTTAGGAGGCAGAGTTTTTAGATATTGCCAACACAGGGGACAAGGGAAAGAGAGGAACTGAAGGTGTCCCCTAGTTTGTGGTTCAAGCATCTGTACGGATGATGTTACTTAGCAAGATGGGGAAGATGAATGGGGTGGGGGGAGTTTGATGAGCAAGGTTGAGGGATGAGGTTCTATCTCTCTCCATGACAAAAAGCAGGCTTCTATGAAGCTATCGTGAAGCTACTTTTTGGCTTTGGGAGGTCTGAGATCCCCGTGAGACAACCAGGGAAGGTATGAAGGTTTGAAGCTTGCAGAGAGGCCTGGGATGGAGATGGAGATGTGGACTTGGTGAAATGGAAGCCATACGATGGGATATTGGCCCATTCCAGCCAGGAGCTGAGCCCCATGTGTGTACTCTGCAGAACCTCCCATGCTTTCTCGAGTGGGAAGAGCAGCTGGGTCTGAAGGTTCCTCTCCCGCTCCCAGTCCTCCCTAAACTCCCAGTAGCCACTCAGGTTCTGAAATATACTTTCCCTGGACCTATCCTGAAGAATGTCATTTAGTGAAAAAGAGGGATGCCCTAGAGCCAAATGACCAGCGTTCAGGATCCTTGGAATCTAGACTGTACTGTCAGCTTGCCATTAAGCACATTATTTTTTTATGGCAGCCCAAGCAGACTAACAAACTATCCATCCTCAGTTTTGCTCAGGAATTCTTATTGTGTACTTACTCTGCGTCAGGCACTGTTCTAGGCTCTGTGGAAACAACAATTAACCAAGCAAAAGTCTTTGTCATCGTAGAGTTTGCATTCCAGGGCAGAGGGGACAGACAATGAAAAAATAATCAAATGGAGAACCACAAAGCAGGGTGTGGTGGGGCCTGTGCTGGGCCACCAGGTGCCCATTCTTCAGAACAGCAACCCTCATTCCCCATTCACTGGGAGCATTGGCTGCCAATGGCTGTCAGCTGAGTCCTTCTCTGCCAATCGCCCTCAGCTGAAGAGAGCCACCTCATGCAAGTTCATCCTCACTTCCCGGGACATCTGCATCCAACGACTGGTTGATGTGGGGATATAAAGGCCTTGCCTCAATTTGGGACAATTCAAAATGGTCATCCCAGGTCTAGAGTTCCCTGTGAGAAGCTCCCTGACTGGTTTCTTGGCTTCCTTTCCATTCACACCCCAGCTTTCCGCCACTTTCCAAAAGTCATTCTTTCAAGAACTTGTTATGTAGTAGAGTTAGAAACTAGGATGAACAGATGGCTGTATGGACGAATGGATGGGTGGAGGTAGGGATGAATGGAAGGAGGGACAGATGGATGGATGGCTAGACAGATGGACAGATAGATGAACAAACAGATGGAAAGATGGATGGAGGGCCAGGTGCAGTGGCTCAAGCCTATAATCCCAGCACTTCGGGAGGCTGAAGCAGGAGGATTGCTTGAGTCTAGGAATTCAAAACAAGTCTGGGCAACATAATGAGACTTTGTCTCTATTTTTTTAAAAAAAGAAAGATGGATGTACAGATGGAAGGTTGGATGGAAGCGTGGATGGATAGATGGATGGATGGATGGATGGATGGATGGATGGATGGATGAACAGACAGATGAACAGATGGACAGACACAATGGATGGATGAATGGATGCCTTGGGATTGCTATATTTAACCTGTTCACTTGAAGTCCACTCTCTTTGGACCTCCTTGTTGACACAGCCAAACATCCTCTCTGCCCTTTAGCACATGGAATTGTGCTTCTCATAGGCACATTGTGCCACCAGCCGGCCTGTTCCCCATTAGCTGTTTGAAGAGTGGCATGATAGCGTGGAGCACACACTAGATCTGCACTCTGAGAGGCTTGGGTCCAAGTTTGACTCAGCTATTCTATCTTAGAGAATCTGCTGTGCAGATTAAATTTTTTAAAAAGTTTACGTAAAGTGCTTACATAATGCAGGACACAAAGTCTGTGCCCATTAAGGGTCATTTCCCTCCTGTCCTTCTCTCCATCCTGTTTTTTTTTTTTTTCTGTCATTTCATATGTCTTTTGCCTCATCCAGCCTGAGCTTCCATTTTGAAAGCAGCAGGCACTAAAAATAAAAAACTATTCTAAAACTTATTTCTTTGCATCCTGCCTCTTTCAATTTCATTAAGGGTAATCAAAGGGGAAATCAGGTGTTAGGAAAATAAAAGACTTATAGGCAGTAACTATAAGGCATCTGCAATTGCTGGTGCTGAGCTACCTGGCAGCCCAGGTGAAAAGGGGAATATGATCTATTGCATAGCCCTTATTATCAGAACAGGAAGAATTCACCAGCCATCTCAGGGGATCAGAAATGGAGTATTCTACATGCAGCAGAAACAATTACATTCCATACCCTTCTAAATTTCTTGAATTGAAAGAATTTTCGAACATTGCGTCTGGGGAAGATTTCTACATAAAACCTAGACTGAGGCAGGGAGGAGGGGAGGATTGGAAAGAAAGGAAGTAGGTGCTGTGAAAAAATTATTATTACACATAGCAGTGGACTTAAACTAACATGTCTGATGTGCTGTGCCTTTTGTTGGAGAAATGAAACTAGTATGCACACTGGCTGGAAAAATGCTTCCTCCTAATTGCCTGGGGATGAAGCACTTTATTTATAGACATCAGAGGGAAATTTGGCTCCCTTGCACTATAATACGGTAGGGAACGGGGCCAGGTAGCTGCCGGTTCCAGGACGGTCTGTGTTCCACAGGATAGGAATGTGGAACCACTTTCCATGTAAACACAGTGGGCTCTTCTCTCTTTCTTTTTTTTCTTAGACACTTTTTTGTTTTAAATGTGAGATGCCTTTGAAGAAGAACCTGCTTAGCCATGAATGTCAAGGGTTAGTAGCCCTCTCGGTGGGTTGGTGGTGGGATTTGGGGGTGAGGGACTCTGCCAAACTTCATTGTTCTTCCTTGTGCTTTCATTAACCCCCAAGGAGATAAGATGGATGGATTCCACCCAGCCCTCAGATTCTGGAAAGACTGCAAATGCAATGTGACATTCTCATGAGTTCTCTGGATCAGAGGGAAATCGGAATTTGGGAAACAGTAGAGAATCTACTGCCAAATCCATGGGCCCTATGCAGCTGGACTGTCCCTTAAGAGGGTAACCTAGGGGCCGGGTGCAGTGGCTCAGGCCTATAATCTCAGCACTTTGGGAGGCCAAGGTGGGTGGATCACCTGAGGTCAGGAGTTCGAGACCAGCTTGGCCAACATGGTGAAACCCCGTGTCTACTAAAAATACAAAAAATTCACTGGGCATAGTTGTGCCTGCCTGTAATCCCAGCTGCTCGGAATGCTGAGGCAGGAGAATTGCTTGAACCAGGAGGCGGAGGTTGCAGTGAGTCGAGTTCGTGACATTGCACACCAGACTGGGCAACAAGAGCGAAACTCAGTCTCAAAAAACAAAAAACAAAATACAAAACAAACAAGCAAACAAACAAAAAAAAGAGGGTAACCTTTGCTTTACTGCACTTGAGGGAGGGTCAAGGGAAGCCAGAGAGAACTGTTGCACCTGGGCTGTGGAAGCTCTGTTCCACAATGGAAATGGATTTGGGCCACAGTAGAGTTTCCTCAAATGGTGCTTCAGTTCAAGGGAAGGCAGTGGGGCAGAGGAGGCCTGTGAGTGACAAAAGAACATATGGACAGTGTTTTACAGTTTGCAGAATGCTCTCAGCTACTTGTTTTTTTTTATACATTTCTTGCCATCAAGCATTGATTGTGCACCTGCTGTGTGCCAGGCACAATGCACACTGGATTGGTTTCTGGGAGGACAGAAACAAACAGCATCTGCCAACTCTACTTTCACAGTACAGCCCCATGCAGGTGTGTTTGCAGCCTCTGAGCCACTGTCCCCTCCCAGCTCCAGGCCCCCAGCCCCTGCAGCCTCACCTGGTCTCCACAGAGGCCTCCTGACTCATCTGCCTGGTGGCAGCCAGCTGTGCCCTTCCAGTCTGTTCTCCAGGAGAAAGCCAGAGGAATCCTTTTCAAAGTAAGCCAGGTCATGTCACTTAAAAGTCAGAAACTCCACCAGGTACGTGAGCAGAGAGGATGCCATCTGCATAAAACCTTCCAGGAGCTTGGTGATGGTGAGTTTTCTGTGTCAACTTGGCTGGGGTCTAGTACCCACCCAGTTATTCAATCAAACATGGCTCTAGGCCTTGCTGTGGAGGTATTTTGCAGATGTGGTTAACACCTGTAATCTGTTGCCTTTAAGTACAGGCTATTACTATTTTTTTTTTTTTTTTTGAGATGGAGTTTAGCTCTTGTTGTCCAGGCTGGAGTGCAATGGCACGATCTTGGCTCACCACAACCTCTGCCTCCCGTGTTCAAGCAATTCTCCTGTCTCAGCCTCCCTAGTAGCTGGGATTACAGGCATGCACCACCATGCCCGGCTAATTTTGTATTTTTAGTAGAGATGGGGTTTCTCCATGTTGGTCAAGCCGGTCTCCAACTCCCGACCTCAGGTGATCTGTCTGCCTCGGTCTCCCAAAGTGCTAGGATTACAGGAGTGAGCCACTGCTCCTGGCCCCATTTTTTTTTTTTTTTTCAGACAGGGTCTTGCTCTGTCACCCAGGCTGGAGTGCAGTGGAGTGATCTTGGCTCACAGCAACCTCTGCCTCCTGGGTTCAAGCAATGTTCCTGCCTCCGCCTCCCAAGTAGCTGGGATTACAGGTGCCCACCACCACACCTGGCTAAATTTTGTATTTTTAGTAGAGACGGGGTTTCACCATGTTGGCTAGGCTAGTCTTGAACTCCTGGCCTCATGTGATCTACCCACCTGGCCCTCCCAAAGTGCTGGGTTTACAGGTGTGAGCTACCATGCCCAGCAAGGCTATTACTCTTGATCATGTGGGTAGGCCTTATCCAATCCATGGAAGGCCTAGGAGCAAAAACTGAGCTTTCCAAAAAGAAGAAATTCTGCCTCAAGACTGCAGCCTCAACTGCTGCCTGAGTTCCCAGACTTCAGGCCTGTCCTGTGAGTTTTGGATGTGCTAGCCTCCACAGTCACGTGGGCCAGTTTCTTGAAATAAATCTCATCACACACACACACACACACACACACACACACACACACACACCCTGTTGGCTCTGTTTCTCTGGAGAGCCCTGACTGATACAAGCCTTCTATTTTATTCAGAATAAATGCCCAGGTCCTCTGAGTAGCCCCCAGTCTCTCTGCTCTCCTTGCCCCTGCCCCAGCCAAGCCCTCTCTAACTTCATTTTAGCACCTGCTCCCTGCTCATCAGGCCACACCTCATCATGCGTTTTCTCACACAGGGCCTTTGCACATGCCGTTTCCTCTGCAGCACACTCTCCCCCACATACCTGCATATTGCTGGCTCCTTCACCTCTCTTTACAGTCTCCACTAAGCTGTCACTTTTCCCGAGCACCTAAATGCTATACCCTCCCACTCCCTGCTCCTGAACTCTGTGCTCTTTTCCTTGCTGGAACTTAGTACCCTGTGATGTAACACATCTTTACCAGCACTTTTTAAACATTTTCTTTCTCCTCACTAGAGAATGGAAGCAACCTGAGGGCAGAGCCTTTCGCTTATTTTGATGACTGTTCTACCCTCAGCATGAAGATCTGTCTGGCACACAGTAGGTGCTTGTCTCAGTCAGCTCAGGCTGCCATAACAAAATACCACAGACTGGGTGGCTTAAACAACAGAAATGAACTTCTCACCATTCTGGAGGCTGGAAGTCCCAGACCAAGGTTCCAGCAAGGTTTAGTTTCTGACGAGGGCTCCCTTCCTGGCTTGCAGACAGCTGCCTTCTTGCTGTGCCCTCACATGGCCTTTCTTCAGTGCAAGGGTTCAGACAGACACAGAGAAAGAGAACTCTCGTGTCTCTTCCTATATGAACACTAGTCCTATTTGGCCTGACATAGTAGCTCACACCTATCATCCCAACCCTTTGGGAGGTTGAGGCAGGAGGCCCACTTGAGCCCAGAAGTTTGAGACCAGCCTGGGCAACATATATAGTGAGATTCTATTTCTAAAATAAATAAATAAATAAATAAATAAATAAATAAATAAATAAATAAAAATAGAGCATTACTCCTATTGAATCAGGGCTCTACCCTCATGACCTTATTTAACCTTAATTACTCCCTAAAAACTGCAGTTACATGGGGGTTAGGACTTCAATATATGATTGTGAGAGGGATACAACTCAGTCCATGGCAGCACTCAACAAATGCATACTGAATGAATGAAAGGGTAAGGTCTAGGGAACCATGTGCTCACAATTCAGGGGACCCCAGCCACCCTGGAGGGTGCAGGAAGCTTCTGGAAGAGGAGCTGAACCCAAAAGGTGCTTCAGTGCTAATGGTGTTTTGTTATCATTCTTTCTACTTTAACACATCAAAAAGCTGAGGCTCTGTGATGTTCTGCACCCACCACAGTGGGAATGGAGGGCAGAAGGCCTGGTGTGGGGCTAGCAGTCAGGTCCAGCTGGGAGACAGAAACCATGGTAGTTGAAGAGAGAAAACTTTCTTTTTTTTTTGAAATGGAGTCTCTCTGTCACCCAAGCTGAAGTGCAGTGGCATGATCTCCGCTCACTGCAACCTCCACCTCCTGGGTTCAAGCAATACTCCTACCTCAGCCTCCTGAGTAGCTGGGGTTACAGGTAACCCCCCACCATGCCTGGCTAATTTTTGTATTTTTAGTAGAAACAGGGTTTCACCACGTTGTCCAGGCTGGCCTTGAACTCCTGACCTCAAGTAATCTGCCCTCCTCGGCCTCCCAAACTGCTGGGATTATAGGCGTGAGCCACCGTGCCCAGCCGAACAGAGAGAATTTGACACACAGAATGGTTGACGAGGCATCTAGTTGTTAGCTAGGTAACTGCAAGGGTGAAATGAGAACGCTAAGGCACAATGCAGGTGGCAATGGCAGGAAGCAGCTACCACCTCCAGGGCTAGGGGAACAAAGGAAAGAGTCTGAGATTATTGCAACTGAGAAGCTCACAGGAGAGTCCAGTGGTCTCGGCCCCACACCTCTGAGGTGGGGCACCAGCCCACCAGTGGGCTAGTATTGGCATCCTCAGGGCAGGGGAACACAATGAGGCAGTATTTGTGAGTGCTGGAAAAACTGTGGACTGGATTCAGCCGATTCTCTAGGTAAGAAGCCACACTGGGTGATGCCTGAGGAAGAATTCCTAGCAAGGGAGGCTATGAACGTGGGTGGTTACTTTGTCCAGTCCCTTTCGTGGAAGCAGGTTCCAGAGATGGGGCTTGGGAAGTATGAACCAAAGAGGCTGAATTTAAGAGACGAGGATGGGCAGTGTCTACTAACATGAACACAGGCTGACCCTCTGACGCACAATTCCACCCCTGGGTATAGATCCAAGAGAAAATGCGCACATGCCCCAAAGACATGCAGAAGAATGTTTATAGGAGCTTTATTCATCATCATCCTATACTAGAAACAGCCCAAGTATCCATTTATTTATGGATAAATAGTGGTATATATAGAACTAAATAGTAATACTACACAATAATGAAAAAGAACAAGCTATTGATACATACAGTAATGTGGAAGCATCTCACACATATAATGATGACCAGAAAAAGTTCTGCCAGTGTTCGAACTTCCTATAAATGGAATTTGGCAGTATTTACCCTTTTGTGCCTATATACTACATAGTTCCATTTACAGGAAGTTAAGCCTGGGCAGAACTTGCTGATGGTGAAAGAAATCAGAGCAATGGTTATCTCGGGTGGGGTGCAGGATATTGACTGGGTAGGGACCTAAGGGAGCCTCTGGGAGTACTAAAAATGTTCTACACCTTGATCATGGTGGAGATATTAAGTATGTTCATATTTGTCAAGTTGTGCACTTGAGGTTTATGTACTTTACTGTCTGTAGGTTATACCTACATTGAAACTTATTTTTATTTATTGTTTTTTGTTTTGCTTTGTTTTGTTTTGTTTTGTAGAGATGAGGTCTCCCTGTATTGTCCAAGCTGGTCTCAAACTCCTGGGTTCAAGTGATTCTCTTGCCTCGGCCTCCCAACATGCTGGGACTATACAGGAGAGAGCCACTCTGCCTGGCCTGAAACTTACTTTAAAACACAAGTCAAGAGGACGATCATCAAATCCAAGTGTGAACAGGGGACAAAGGAGTCATTTTCTTTTTTTCGTCCAGGCACCAATAATAGTTGCCTGGTACATAGAAGGCCTCAGTAAATTATTGTTAGAGGAATGAAGGAAAGAATGGCATCAATAATATTCATGAAAAAAATGCACCAACTCCTTATAGAAGGGAAGAAAATGGAAAGGAAATGGAAAATGAAGCTAGACAAAACATTCAGATTAATAAATCACGAATATCCATTTATCTATCCAATTTGGGGAAAGCAACAGAGTGCTAGGCAGCCATGATTATAATACCAGCCCCTGTTTTGGTTGACAAATTAATCTGCCCAGGGTTTGGGAAGTGAGGCAGCATCTCAGTATATCATTCCACAGGCCCAGCAGCCTCATCTGATTTCAGGAGAATAGATGGAGGCTGCCTGATTTTCATGTAGATTGTTGGAGAGCTGAATGTAAATTGATGTAAATCAGGGAAACGGATCAGCGGCCACGGCACCTCATTCTCCATCATGGGGCCTCTCCTGTGCACAGACTAGCCAGTGGCTCTCTGGGTACCTTACCAATCTGAGCCGGGCAGACTTCTGGGGGCAGGGAGGACCCAGGAAGCCAAAGGGGCGGTTGTGTAGGCTCTGGGAGCCCTTGAGGAAATAGCATTTCCCCAGGAAAGATATCTATGACAACCACCAGCTCTGTAGCTCTCGGTGAGTGTCTCAGACACATCTCAGGCCTAATCGACACACCCTCAAGCCAGCAATGAGACGATGGTTATGATTTTTATAAAGGTAATAAATGTTCATCGTAGAAGACTAGCAAACTCAGATAAGCAAAAAGAAAAGAAATAGCCACCCACAAATCCACAATTTTCATGTGTTGCAATGTGAATGCAGATATTAGGTCTGTGTATAAAATTTGTGTTTTCAGTTTGCCATTTTTAATTGTTTCATTCCTTCAGCTCCATGTAATAAATTTAGAAATCGAATAGGGATAAATGAGTTTATCCAGAGGTAGATTTTCTATGGTTAATGAAACAAACTTCATAGAAAGCCTCACTTGCTTGGCCCCTTCCTAGGCTTTGTACCTAAATTTGCATTCATAAATTTTGTATTCTTTTCCTTAAGGAGGACTTTCCAACTGTCCAATCTCTCTGCTCCACAAAATCCGATTCCATGCCTGAGTTTAATCACAAGCCAGTGTTTTGGGCTGAATGGCAACCCCCCAAAATATATGTCAAAGTCCTAATCCCTGTGCCTGTGAATGTGACCTTATTTAGAAATATTGTGGGCCTTTGCAGATAAAATCAAGGTAAGGTGAAATCATATTGGATTAGGGTGGACCCTAGTCCAATGACCATTGTTCTTATAAAATAGGGAAATTTGGGAGCACACACAGGGGAGGAGACCATGGGATGACAAAGGCAGAGATGGGAGTGATACATCTATAAGTGAGAGGATGCTAGGGAAGGCTACCTGAGCATGTCTAGAACTACCAGGAGCTAGGAGTGGCAAGGAAGGAGTTCCCCAGGGCCTTTGGAGAGAGCATGGCCCTGGCAACACCTTGATTTCAGACTTCCAGTCATCAGAACTGTTAGAAAATAAATTTCTGTTGTTTCAAGCCACCCAGTGTGTGGTATTTTGTTATGGCAGCCCTAGGAGACTAAGGTAGTCAGTGACCCCTAGCGCTTGCTGAGCACCAGAATTACTGGGGAGACTGAGGGATGCCACAGGAGGCTGTTAGGTAAGGGAGGACCCAGGGCAGTGGAAGGGAGCCTATCAGTGGCATGCCCTTGGCTCACGGCTGAGGCCACCTCCCCAGTCAGCAAATATTCCCACAGGCAGTGCTGGATCAAAAAGAGATACCCGTTCTTGTTATATGATGTCTCTTTTTCTCCAATGACCCAAGGAAAGGAAGGCCTGTTTATTGAGTATCTACTAAAAGTGTTAGGCCCTGTGCTATGTCTTCACTTTGGTCATTTATCTGCATCTCACTATAACTCCCTGCTATGGTTTGAATGTGTCCCCTAAAGTCCATGTGTTGGAAACTTAACCTCCAATGCAAGAGTGTTGAAAGGTGATAATTTTAAGACATGATTAAGAGGATTAATGTCATATCACAGGAGTACATTCCCGATAAAAGGATGAGTTTGGCCTCCTTTGTGTCTCTTTCTCGTGCCCTTCCACTTTCCACCATGGGCTGACACAGCAAGAAGGTACTCTTCAGATGCAGCCTCTTGACCTTGGACTTCCCAGCCTCTAGAGCTATAAGAAATAAATATTTGTTCTTTATAAATTATCCAGTCTCAGGTATTCTGTTATGGAAGCATGAGAAAGACTAAGATACTCCCTAAGATATAAATAGCATTATCCTCATTTTACTGACAAGAATTTGGAAACCTCATACATTGCTGCTGGGAATGTAAAATGGTGCAGCCACTGTGGAAAACAGTTGGGTGATCCCCCAGTGAGTTAATCATAGAGTTACCATATGACATAGCAATTCCACTCCTAGGTATAGACCCAGAAGAACTGACAACAGGTGTTCAGAAAAAAAATCCTGTATGTTAATATTCATGGCCGCACTATCTACAATGGCTAAAAGGTAGACACAACCCAAATGTTGAACAGCAAATGAATGGGTAAAGAAAATGTGGCATATCCACACATATGATGACATATGGTTCAGCCATAAAAGGAATAAGGAATGAGGTATTGATGCACACTACAACAGGAGTGAATGTTGAAAATATTATGCTAAGTGAAAGAAGCCAGACAGAAAAAGCCACATACTGTATGATTTGTTTTATATGAAATGTCCAAAAATACATCAATCCATAAAGACAAACCACAAATTGGTGGTTGCCAGGGGACAAGGGAAGGGAGGAACGAGGAGTGACTGCCTAACAGATACAGGGGCCTCCTTTTCAGGGATGATGACAATGTTTTAGACCTAGATAGTGATGGTGCTTGCACAACAATGTGAATATATTTCATGCCATTGTATACACATTAAAATGATGAGTTTTATGTTATGTGTATTTTATCACAATAAAAATTTTTCCAAAAGAATTGTCAGTGGATTTCTCCTGCTGCTGCCTGTTCCTTCTCCTCCCTGTCCTAGGCAAACTTCTCAGAAGAGCTGTACATACAGGCTGTCTCCTGTTGCTACCACCCCTCACTCCCTGCTCCCCTCCAGTCTGGCTTCAGGCACCATGGCTTCTGGAAGATGTCCCATTAGATGACTGTTGTCCTTTTCCACTTACCTGACCCTCAGGCATCACCGCACAACACACACTACTCATGCAGACAGCACACACACACCTTTTCCATTTGAAGTAAGCTGCTCTCTCCGAAGGCTGTTTTGTTCCTGGTGCAGCTCCCTTGACGCTGGAAACTTTCAGACTGACAACTCAATGCTGACCTTGAGCAAGGTTTTATTCCTCAACAGGAGAGACAGGCCCGAGCCCAGCAATTATGGGCTGATGGCCGTCAACCTAGCTCATCCAGGGGACAGAGATTCTCGCCCAGGCAGGCATCCGTTGCAGAATATATATTCATGAGAGTCAAAAGGTAATTTGCACATGTCTTAAATTGCACCCTACCTTTCTCCATCAATTTTCTTCTCCTGCAGAAGGTAAAATTAAAGGCTTCAGAATATTATACATTTTAGTAGTTACCAGGTGACAGGGAATCAAGGTGTCAAAGTTATTGACAGGCTGGCAGGTTGAACTTGGGCTTGGGATATCCTTTATCACAGCTACAATCAGAGCACTCTGTAACCACATCTCAGGGACAATAGCAATTAATTTAGAGAAAATGCAACCACAGTGAAAACTATGAATAATTTTATTAATACTTGTGCATCTTCTGAACACTTTGAGCTCTTTGGGGTTCAACCTCAGTGGCAATCCGAGGAAATACAGTACAGGGGTTCAGAATGCTGGCTTTTCCACCAAGACAACCTGGGCACAAGTCTCAGCTCTGACGCTTACCAGCTATATGGCCTTGAATTCATCCATTACCTCTCTGAGGTTTTGTTTCCTCTCCTGTAAAATGGGGAGACTAATAGTTCCTATAGCATGAGGACTTTTATGACGTTAAAAGGAGTACATTTCTTCATCTGAGAAATTTGCTAGGTACTGTAGTCAAACCAGGCAAGTCCCTGGCCTTGTGCCATCTGCATTCTAGAAATACTGAAAGCACAGAGCTGGAACAGGGTCTGATTTCCTATAGCCCTTAGCAAGTGCTAGTTAATATTATTATGAAGAACATGTTTTCCTTTTTGATGGTATAGAGCACAAAGTATACAGTTCAGTAATTTTAAAAAAATAGATTATTTTTTTAAAACGGGTTTAGGTTCACAGCAAAATTGAGCAAGAAGTATAGAGAGTTCCCATGTACCCCCTACCTCCACAAGTGCATAAGATCCCCCATTATCAACATCCACCTCCAGAGTGGCACATGTGTTACAATTGATGAATCTCACCGACACATCGTCATCACCCAAAGTCCATACTTTATATTAGGGCTCACTCTTAGTGTTGTACATTCTATGGCTTTGGGCAAATGTATAATGACATGCATCCAACATTACAGCATCATTCAGAAGAGTTTCACTGCCCTAAACATTCTCTGTACTCTGATTCTTCATCTCTCTCTCCCCACAACCCTCAGCAATTGCTGATCTTCTTGCTGTCTCCATAGTTTTGTCTTTTCATACACACACACACACGCACACACGTATTTTATATAATAAAAATATATTACATGTAATAAATATATATTTTTGAGACTCTGGTCTTGCTCTGTCACTCAGGCTGCAGTGCAGTGGCAGGAACACAGCCCACTGCAGCCTCCACCTCCTGGGCTTAAGGGATCTTCCAACCTCAGCCTCCCATGCAGCTGAGACCACAGGTGCATGTCACCATGGCTGGCTAATTTTTTGATATTTTTTTAGAGATAGGGTCTCACTTTGTTGCCTAGGCTGGTCTCAAACTCCTGGGCTCAAGTGATTCTCCCACCTTGGCCTCCCAAAGTGCTGCAACTACAGCCATGAGCCACTGCGCCCAGCCTTTGCCTTTTCTAGAGTGTCGTTACAGTTGGAGTCCTGTAGCATGTAGTCTTTTCAGATTGGCTTCTTTCACTTAGTGATAGTCATTTAAGGTTCTTCCAGGTCTTTCCATGGCTTGATAGCTCATTTGTTTTTAGTGCTGAATAATATTCTGTTGTCTGGATATACTACAGTAAACTGTAGTACATTTTTCCTGTGTGCATACCCAGGTAACACCATATGGATCAAGAGACAGGACATCCCCAGTCCACGCCAGGCTCCTTTGTGTGCCCTCCCAAAACATGACCACTCTTCTCACCTGCATCACCAAGGATTCCTTTTCCTATTTTAAAACTTTATATAAATAGAATCTTACACGATTCCTCTTTTATGTCTTGCCTCATTCAACCTTATGTCTGACAGATTCATCCATATTGTGTGTAGCAGAGTTCATTTTTTTCATTGCCGTACTGCATGAAAAACTGTCTATTGTGCATTATTTCTTAGAATATAAACATATTCTATAGATTAGACACTGTGCTACGTGCCAGAGATACAGAGCTGTGCCCAGCGCAGGCCTTGTGCTCAGAGAGTACACAGTTTAAAAGTTGGATGTGAAACATCCTCCAATTTTCCCAGTATGAACTGTCTCATAACATAAATCCAAAACAGGGAGTCATACTCTATGGAAACACTGTGCGGGAGGACATTTATTTATTTAAATATCTGAGCTCCTACAAGGTGTCAGGCCCCATGCAAGGTGAGTAAGGTGGATAAGATATGCTTCCTGATCTTGTGCAGCTTATGGCCTGGGGCCAGGGGAAGAGGCAAGTTGCAAAGTGAGGTGTCCTATAATCAAGGAAGAGCAACAGGCTGTTCCTGTTCCTCGACTGTTCCCAGTAGTCTGGGAAGTCAGGGAAGGTGGAGTACACATTGTTGGTGGCCTGGTCTACAGATAGTCTCTCCTTCCTCCTTCCCTCCCATCAGCTAAGTAGTCTTCCTGCAGCAATATTTTACAAAATATTTCAAACGTGGTGGCCCTGTATTCCCAGAAGTTTGAGCCTCACCCCTGCTCCGGAAGATGAACTCTGATTGGTCCAAGCCAATCCAGAGGCATCCATTCTTTCACAAGCCATGGTTAAGCCAGGGGCATGTGACACAATTCTGGCCAATTAGAAGTGAGGGGAAGTCCTTTGGCGTGGGTTGGGGGTGGGAGGTTCTGGGAAACATTTTCCTCACTAATTAAAAAAAACAAACAAAAAAAGAAAACCTCTTCGGGGAGGAATTATCCCATTTTCTGCCTCTGGTCTTCATCATCAGTAGGTGACACTGTCTTAGAGCCCATTAAACTGCCAGCACAATTCACCTAGAATTGCTTCATCTGTGACTTTTGGTTCTGTGTGATAATAAAGTTTTTGTTGTTGTTTATATCACCTTTTGTTGGATCTTCCCTTATTTGTAGGCAAACACATTTCAGTTGGTAGGAAAGTCTTCTTAAGGGACATGATTTCTAAGCTAAGCATTTAAGGATGCCCCTGAGTGAACCAGGAGGGAACTCCACGGAAGGGATGACCAGTGATTTAGCCTCCAAACCAGGACGCTGCACCAGAGAGCGTGGACTTTGCTGATGATGACCCTGGGACAATGGACCTAAACCAGCTCTGCCCCTGGTGACATGGGACATATGGACCCCCTGCCCACAGCTAGAGCTCAGGGTGAGCCGAGACACAAAGCTGCTTCTATTTTTAATTTAATTTTATTAACAAACACAGCTTGCTTGCACTGTGCCAGACATCGTTCTCAGCGCCTTATAAATATGAACCCAGAAGGTGATCCTGAGAGTGGTCAGGATACAGGAGGATAGGGCAAGAGCTGGCTTGTAAGACCATGGTGGCTTCATCCAGGTGGAGGTATGTAAGCAAGACCTGGAGGTGGGACGGGCACACCAGGCAGGAGGCACAGCTGGAGGAAGAGCAGGAGATGCTCAACAATTGGCAGAAACTGCAATCCAGTCAGAGCTTGGGGTGTGCAGGGAGGTGGGAGAGAGGCCACACCAGGCAAGGTTGCAGGAGTCAAGACTTTGTCTTGGAGACCTCTAAGGGTCTGAGCAGCAGTTGCAGATGCAGTTTTTGAGAGATCCAAAGCTGATATAATTTGAGCGATTCCCCTTAAGAAAAAAAGCATACAAAAGTATGGGTCATGGAAAGGCCCCATTCAAGTAAGAGGCCCTGAGCTTACGCTTCACTAGCATGGCAGTAAATCACCTCCAGTGAGAAGAGATGTGACATAGTCACAAGCGGGCCTTAGAGAAGCAGTGTGGTCACCATACAAGCTGTAAATGTGAGAGAGAAAGACGGGAAAACCATTGATGACAAAGCATGGAAAAGAAATTGGGGAACTACATTTTGCATCCCGTCGGAAATTTTCAGTTTGTGTGGTCAAAAGAGAGGTCTTTGGCCAGCACAAGGAGATTACAGGGAAAGGGGATGTGGCCTGACCTGGGACATGTTCCATCTGCCCACCGGATCCTAGTCTCTCCCTCTGAGGGGGTGAGGAGAACTGATGATATACGGCCTTCCACCTCTGTCATTTGGTAATTTAAGGAGGCACAGAAAGCCACCTGAGGCCATCTTGGGTTCTGAGACTTTTTCACTGGAAGTGACTTTATTATAACATAAAACATTGCTGACAGGCGGGATACCCTAGATCACCTAGATCAGTTTCCAAAATCCAGCTGGTTGTCAGAATTTTCGGGGAGTTTAAAATCAAAAACATTTAAAAAAAGAAGAAACTACATCCAGGTGCCCTGTGTGGGGCCACGGGCCATGATCAGTAGACCAGGGGTGGGGAGCCGTTGGCCTGGGATGGGAGTTTCACACCAGGCCTAAGATACTGTGATGGTTAATTTTATTTTATTTATTGTTATTATTATTATTTGAGACGGAATCTTGCTCTGTCACCCAGGCTGGAGTGCAGTGGTGCAATCTCGACTCACTGCAACCTCCATCTCCTGGGTTCAAGCGATTCTCCTGCTTCAGCCTCCCGAGTAGCTGGGATTACGGGCGTCCGCCACCATGTCCAGCTAATTTTTCTATTTTTGGTAGAAAAGGTGTTTCACCATGTTGGTCAGGCTGGTCTTGAACTCCTGACCTCAGGTGATCTTCCCGCCTTGGCCTCCCAAAGTGCTGGGATTACAGGCGTGAGCCACCGAGCCCATCCTGTGATGGTTAATTTTATGTGGCAACTTGAGTGGCCACGGGGCACCAAGATTAAACATTGTTTCTGGGCGTGTCTATAAAGATGTTTATGGATGAGATTAGCATTTGAATCACCAAGCTTGCTTAAGAAGATGGCCTTCCCCAGTGTGAGTGGACACCTTGCTATCCACTGAGGGTCTCAATAGAATGAAAGGCCAAGGAAGGAGGAATCCCCTTCCTTTTTTCTTTCTCACTGCTTCAGCTGGAACATCTCATCTCATCTCATCTCCTGCCCCTGGGCTCTGATTTCCACCACTGGGTTCTATAGTTCTCAAATATTCAGATTCAGACTGAATCACACCATCAGTTTTTCTGAGTCTCCAGTTTGCAGGCAGCCGATTGTGGGACTTCCCAGCCTCCATAATCAGTGAGCCAATTCCTTGTAATAACTCTACGACTGTCTGTCTGTCTATCTATCTATCTATCTATCTATCTATCTATCTATCTATCCATCCATCCACCTCCTATTGGTTCTACAGTTATTTTTTAAACCACTGCTCCGGAGCCAGAGCTCTTAATGTGGAATCCATGGAACCAGGGGTCCTTGACTGGGCTTCCAAGAGTTGGGGAAGTTTCTGGAATTGTAAGCAGAAATCTGTGTGCATTTGCATATTAGAAGAACTCATGGCTTTCAGCTATTCTGAAGTTTTCCTGGGGCTCCTCCCATAAAAGGGTAAGAATTATAGTACAGCTCTTCTCAGACAAATGTGCACATGTTGATCTTGTTAAAACGCAGATTCTGGCTGGGCGCGGTGGCTCACGCCTGTAATCCCGGCACTTTGAGAGGCTGAGGCAGGCGGATCACCTGAGGTCAGGAGTTCGAAACCAGCCCGGCCAACATGGTGAAACCCTGTCTCTACTAAAGATACAAAAATTAGCTGGGTCTAGTGGCAGTTGCCTGTAGTCTCAGCTATTTGGGAGGCTAAGGCAGAAGAATTGCTTGAACCCTGGAGGCAGTTGCAGTGAACAGAGATCGCGCCACTGCACTCCAGCCTGGGTGACACAGCGAGACTCCGTCTCAAAACAAACAAATAAATAAATAACAAAATAAAATAAAATGCAGATTCTGATTCAGGAGGTCTTTGGTGGAGCCTGAGATGCTGCATTTCTCACGCGTTCTCAGGTGATGCTGATGCTGCTCGCCCATGGATCACACTTTGAATAACAGGGCTGAAGTCTATCCTGTCCAATAATGAAGACACTGGCCACATGCAGCCACTGGGTTGTTGAAATGTCACATCCAATCTGAGATGTGCTGTAAGTGTGAAATACATGCCAGATTTCAAAGACTTAGTACCCCACGAAGATAAAATATCTCCTTAATAATTGCTACATTGATTATATGTTACAATGGTAACATTTCGGACGTATAGGGTTTAAAATATATCATTTATGTTCATTTCACCTGTTCCTTTTTACTTTTTAAGAATGTGGCCAGTAAAAATATTTAAATTACATAGATGACTTGCACTTGTGGCTCGCATTCTATTTCTCTTGATTATTGATGATTAAATGGCAGCCAGCTCAGGAATAAAGAGATGGCATAGGGTAGTAGAAAGAGCCCCAGAATTTGGTCCTGGGGCAAATCCTAGTGGTACAGCTGAACAGCCTAGAGACCTGGATCAGTTGCTTTCCCATCCATACCTGAGTTAGTCAACCAGTATAACAGAGGTTAGGGGAAGGGTCACTGAAGGATCCTCTCAGGTCTCAAGAGCCATATGGCTTCTACAGAACCTCACCTCCCTAATGCAGCATCACACAAACAGAGGGCTGTGTAGTGGTCAAGGTACGAGGTCTGGGGCAGACTGGCTGTGTTCAAGCCCTGGCTTGCAAGTTACCCCATTTGACCTGGGGCAAGATGCTGCATCTCTCTCTGCTGGGCCTTGCGTTTTCCACTTGTAAGATGCATATAATGATCGTGTCCATCTCACAGTCTTGATGAGGGGAATACATGAGCTAATCCCTAGGAAGGCTTAGGCCATAGCCTGGCATATGCAAGCCCTTCACTAATGGATACCAGTGTTTTCTATTAGTCTATTTTCATGCTGCTAATAAAGACATACCCAAGACTGGGTAATTTATAAAGGAAAGAGGTTTAATCGACTCACAGTTCAGCGTGGCTGGGGAGGCCTCAGGAAACTTACAATCATGGCAGAAGGAAAAGCAAACACATCCTTCTTCACATAGTGGTATGAAGGAGAAGTGCCAGAGAAAGGGGGAAAAGCCCCTTATAGAACCACCAGATCTCCTGAGAACTCACTCACTTACACGAGAACAGCAGCAGGGGGTAACCGCCCCCACGATTCAATTACCTCTCACTGGGTGCCTTCCACAACACATGGGGATTGTGGGAACTACAATTCAAGATGAGATGTGGGTGGGGACACAGCCAAACCATATCATGTTTTATTACAAACCAGCTTAAAATTCACATTCTATCCCTTCTGTATGAGGTGAGCTCGGCCTCTGACTTTGCCAACCCTCAGGTTCCTCTCTGTAAGATAAAAATATCATTACTTACCGACACGTGAATACGACAGTATATGTGAAGTGCCTAGCACTGTGCACAGCTCGTGGCAGGCCCTGAATAAATGGCAAATCATTGTCCTCTTCTGCTCCTTTCTGTTATTTTAGTGTCTGTTCCTGGGACCAAGAGATGCTGTGTTTGATCAAATCGGATGTCCCTTCTTCAGGGTATTGCTTCTCAGAGCAGCCAAGGGTCGAGCTTAGATGCCCTCTCTCACCAACATGGAGTCCGGTAACAGAGCCAGGTAAACTTTCAGCTTGAACCTTCTGGGAACCTATTTTATGCCCCATGCAGAATTTGATCAAAAATTAAAAGAAAAAAATATTGTTGTGAACCTGTTCCCACAGCAAGAAACCTCATGGACGGCCGTGGCAGGTAGTAGCACTATTTTATTCATTTGCAAGGCCTGGAAACTTTAAAATTTCACTTGGAGGCTGTGTCTTTGCCTCCTCTCCTCTCTGGGTTGTGTGTTTGGGTCTCAGTTGTAATATATTTTAGGTTTGCAGCTCCACATGACATTTCTGGTTTTGTTTTGCCCGACTGATGGAGTCCAGAAGGCTAAACCGTCACCCTGCATGGGACATTGCATCTCTGAAGTAGAGTTGCCCAGCGGAAAGGCCTGGAAAATGATTTATGGGTGGTGGGGAGTCGCCTTGCATGAAATAAAGGATGGGCTAATGGGCTGGTCCCCACTCGGGAAAGAGTGTTTTCGTTCCAGGAAGCTGAGGACCACAACTATTTCTGTCGAGCAGGCTTGGCAGTTCATTTCTGCAGGGCTTTCACAGAAGGTTTCAGGGCTCATCAACTTTTCCAGGCTTTGAAGCAAAAGGCGGCTGTGGTGTGCTGGAAAGCTCGCCAGCATTGTAGCTGAGAAATCTGGCTTCAGGTCCCAGCTCTGCCTCTTGCTACCTGGCCTCTGTTTCCTCATAGGTAAAATGGGGACAGTAATACATTGCTCCTGAGTGACCGTGGGGAGTCAGGGGCATAATGTGTGATGGTGTATCCAACATAGAACAGCCGCTTCATAAACATGTGTCAAATGGAAAACCATTAGACAAGTACACACAGTGTCGGGGAAGAATTAGTAAGAGAAAATTTCCAAGCTCTGTGGCTGTGAGAAAAATGCCAAGATCTCTGAATTCAAGATGCCCATTTTGAATGGCCCTGGGGAAGGGCTTCCTGAGGGTTGACTACCATGAGTCCCGCTGTGGTTGTGAGCAGAGGAGACAGGCCTGCTGGCTCAGGGCTGGCTGTGCTGGAATCTTTGAGGACTGTCCCATATAGATGAATTAGCGCATTTTATACTGGCTCAGAAAAGACAGCTGTGTGTTCTGTGCCCACTGGCTGCCTGTTTTCCTTACTTTGTTCAAATGGCTAATTACACTCCAATATCCGTTCTCTCCTTTTTTTTTCTTCCATCATTATAAACCATACAGCTGCGCCAGGCACAGTGGCACACACATGTGTTCCCAACTACTCTTGAGACTGAGGTGGGAGGATCACTTGAACCCAGTAGTTAGAGACCAGCCTTGGTAGCATAGTGAGACCCTATCTCAAATAAATACATAGGCTTGGCACAGTGGCTCAATCCTGTAATCCTAGCACTTTGGGAGGTCGAGGTGGGAGAATCACTTGAGTCCAGGAGTTCGAGACCAGCCCTGGCAACATAGTGAGACCGGTCTCAATTTTTAAAAATAAATAAATAAATGAAATAAAATAAAATAAAATGAATAAGTGAATATGTATATGCATCCCTATGTACATACCACAAACTCACGCATCTGTCCACCCACACTCACAGTGAACACCCTATTAGCCGGGCTCTTGCTACCCAGCTGGACCTTCTATATTTCAGCCTCCCTTGCAGCTAGATGTGCCTTTGGGCACATTTGGCCAATTCTGGCTAGAGCCAAAGCAAATGGGCACATTTTTGCTAAGACGAATTCTGTAATGGGGGAGTAGTTTATCTCACATGTGGCCTCAGAGCAACAGGATTTTTTTTCTCTTGGGACTAAAAATTGCTTATTGTTTTATTATAATTATAAATGCAGCACATGCTTATGGTAGAAAATTTGGAAAGTAATGATAAAATTAATTTATAATCTCATCAGATATAGGTAATCCCCATTAATTATTTGAGGAAATGTTCTAGTAATTGTGTCTGAATGTTTCTTTGGCACAAGAGGATTCCTACCAGACACTTAGTTTTGTATTTTGTGTGTTTTTTTAAATTCAAATTACCTTAGGAGGCTGAGGTGGGAGGATCACTTGAGCCCAGGAGGTTGAGGCTGCAGTGAGCTATAATTGTGCCATGGCACTCCAGCCTAGGTGACAGAATGAGCCCCTGTCTCAAAAAAATAAATAAAATAAAATAAAATAAAAACATTGTGAAACTTTTCTATCTTTTGAGCAAAGGAAGTACAGATGTATATGATGTAAACTAATCCAGGTAACAACTGCGAAGTAGGAATGAGATTATAATAGGAAAATAAATAACCCCCCAGTGGGGTTTAGCTTCTTTAAAGTGGAGTTATCAAGTCAAAGGACTTGCCTATATTTAAGGCTTTTAATATATCTTGCCAAATTTCCTTCCAGAAAAATTGCAACACAGCACATTCCCACCAGCAGCATATGATAGTAGGCCCTACAATCACAGCCTGGATCAGGGAGAGGTAGGGTCACCAGTCCCCTTCCCTGCCTGCTGTCCCCAGAGGGCTTTTTAAACCTCATTTGGTGAAGACGACAACATGGTTCACCGAGAATGGCAGACACCTGTACTACAAAAGGGTCCTACACACTGTTAGGGAGCCGTCTAGCAAGATTCCATACCGCACAGGGGCCACCGGGGCTGCTACACGGATTTCTAGTTTCCTCTTCACCAAGGCACCCGTGAGTGCTCTTAGCCAGAAGTGACCAAGGGGCTGTCTGGGGACCTCGCCCTATCTAGATGTTTCATCCTCCACAGTCTGCATTTTCATTCCACACTGGACTGCTCTGGCTCGGTTACTTTTTCTTTCCACCCCCAGAGACGGAATCTTGCTCTGTCACCCGGGCTGGAGTGCAGTGGCATGATCTCAGCTCACTGCAACCTCCACTTCCTGGGTTCAAGCAATTCTCCTCCCTCAGCCTCCCGAGTAGGTGGGTTTACAGGTGCCTGCCATGGCACTCAGCTAATTTTTGTAGTTTTAGTAGAGAAGGGGTTTCAACATGTTGGCCAGGCTGGTCTTTAACTCCTGACCTCATGATCTGCCCGACTTGGCCTCCCAGAGCGCTGGGATTACAGGCGTGAGCCACCACAGCCAGCTAGTTACTTTTATTCACATATTTACTCCTGATTTCTGCCTAAGATCACTTTTTAAATTATTATTATTATTTTTTGAGATGTAGTCTTGCTCTGTCGCCCAGGCTGGAGTGCAGTGGTATAATCTCGGCTCACTGCAAGCTCCGCCTCCTGGGTTCAAGCCATTCTCGTGCCTCAGCCTCCAAAGTAGCTGGGATTACAGGTGCATGCCTGTCTAGTTTTTGTCTTTTTAGTAGAGACGGGGTTTCACCATGTTGGCCAGGCTGGTCTTGAACTCCTGACCTCAAGTGATCTGCCCTCCTCGGCTTCCCAAAGTATCGGGATTACAGGCGTGAGCCACCGCACCTGGCCCCTAAGATCACTTTAAATCCAATTCTTGTTAGGCATATTACGAAAAAGGGCAGTCTCTTTAGCTATCATCTGCATAAAGTCTGCCACCAGGGACTTAAGTCATGCACTCATCCCTACATTCATTCATTTTTTTATTCAACATATGTAATGCCCACCTCCTATGTGCCAGGCATAATGAGAAGCACAGTGGTAGACAAGACATACATAGCCCCTTTCCTCATGGAGCTTATTGCGTGGCAGTGGAGCAACATAATAGACAATAGACAAACAAGATAATATATAATTACCAAACTGTGCGACATACCATAAAGGACACAGATAGACCCCTGTGAGAGTGCCCGCCCAGGGTGGGTGGATCTAGTTCAGAGGAGTGGGCAGGAATGCCTCTCTGAAGAGACCTCTCTAAAGGTGTTTAAACTAAGACTTGGAGGATGAGAATGAGAACGGGATGATTGGGGGAAACATATTCTCGACAAAGGGCACAGCATGTCCTTGAGATAGGAGAGTGCTTGGAGCTTGTAATGGATGAGAAGACGAATAGGGTGACCGTGGTCATAGGTGGGCTTGGAGCAGAGGGCAGTGAGCAGTTTTCCTTTTCTTCTAAATCCAGGCCACTGAATGGTTTCTAAGTACAGGCAAATAGAGGGAACAGGGCCCTCATTCCCATTTACAAATGAGCACATTCCCATTTGTAAATGGATTAGAGAAAATGGAGCAGGAGAGTGGCCTGGCTGGACTATTGCAGTAGTCCAGGAGAGACGGCTGACACCAGGATGTAAAATGAAGCCAAGAAGAATTTTCATGGCATCTTGTCCAAGCCATCCTATCAGGCATCATGTAGCTCTGGAGCCAGATCAGGCTGGCAAAGGGGCGGCGGGTGCTGTCAGTTTTTTACACAAAGTCAGCTGCCATCTACAAACAGGGTAACAGAGTGCCAGACAGACCTGAGACCCTCCCTCATCTGTGAAGGCCTTGAACTCCATTTGTAAAAGAGCAAAATCCCTCTCCACAGGCACATGTAATGTTTAAAGGGAAAACCCCAGGAGCGGGCCTATTTCGACCTGTTCTCAGTTGTTGATGCCTGAGTGGAAAGGAGTTTCTGAGACCTGACCTTAGGCAAGTCACCCTATTCGTATGGATCTGTTTCCTCACCAATGAGATGAGAGGGTTTGTCTCTTCCCTCCCTTCATCACTCATTCATTCAACAGCCCGCCCAGGTGCTGGGGAGGGAGATGAGTGAGATCCCATGAAGCTGAAACTCCAGCAGGCCTCTTCGGTTCCTGTTAGTCTGTAGAAATCACATCACTGGTTTCCTCATTTTGCTGAGGACCTCCCTGAGTCCAGGGAACTTCGGAGCATCACGCTCGAGTCTCCTTCCCAGGGCCCTGTCGCCCCTCCTCCCAGCTCATCTGATAGGTCCTTTTCACCGGCCTAGACTCCTCCTGGGGGCTTTAGCTCAATGTCTGGACTACAATGGAGGTTAGAAGCTCACCCCGATTTACCAGGCTGGTGTGCCCCAGAAACACAGGATGCTCACTCAGACACCTGGAGTTTGTGACAACTGCCGAGCAAAGTGACATTCCTGCCTCCGGGACCCATTCTCAAACCATTTCCACCTCGCTCCCCCCAGCCACCTCCTCAAAATCCCCCCCCTTGCAGCAGCCTGGTCTCTGCGCAGGCCAGAATCTGGTCCTAAGTGATTGTCAGTGAATTTCCACAGCCTGAAAACACTCACACAGCGACCAGGGCTAATGCCAAAGCTTGTTAATATGGATCTAACGTGAATTCTTTCTAGAAGGGTCTTGCTCTACAGGCCAAAAACCTGTTGGCTTTTTTTTTTTTTGAGGGGAAAAATGAAATGACATCAAAAAACAGAAAGAAAGGGAAGACATTGAACAGACACTGAAGGCCTACTGTGCACCAGTGGATTTTATATGCGTTAACTTTCTGGTAGCCCATTTTAAAGGTGGGCCTTTTGAGCCTGGGAGAAGTTTGCACGGGAACGGTCAGCCAGTAAGTTTCAAGACTGGGAATCAAATCACGCTTGTTTGTCTCCAAAATTTTCCCTCTTTACTACCTGGCACTCAGATGAAAACAGGCCTGGAGTAAAGACGGATGGCATTTTGGACATGGCCTCCATATCCCATATGGCTGCTGACTAGCTCTGCTTAATTCAGTCAATAAATGTGAGTCGCTGCATGCCCGGCCCAGGGGGCAGAAAGCTTCCCAAGATATGTGCCCTGCTCCACAGAGCTTATAACTAGCAGAGACGTAAGATAACACGCAGCAGGGAAAGAAAAGAGAATGTTGAGGAACCTGGTTCTAAGTAAAAGAATGGAGGCAGCGGGGTGATATGGCTCGCACCTGTAATCCCAGCACTTTGTGAGGCTGAGGCAAGAGGATCACTTGAGCTCAGGAGTTCGAGACCAGCCTGGACAACATAATGAGACCTTGTCTCTACTAAGGAAAAGAAAATCAGCCAGGTGTGGTGGCACACGCCTGTAGTCCCAGCTACTCAGGCTGGAGGCTGAAGTGGGAGGATCACCTAAGCTTGGGAGATCAAGGCTATAGTGAGCCACTATTAAGCCACTGTATTCTAGCCTGGGCGACAGAGTGAACCCTGTCTCAAAATAAATAAATAAAAATTTTAAATAAGATGGAAACTCCCAGGGACCCAGGAGTGGTCCTTTCTGGGTATGTCGCAACTCAGATTTCTTTCCTTGGGAGATTTTCTCTTTGATTTTCAGTAGGAAGCTACCCCTTCCATGAAAGGAAATTAACGTGGCAAAACCTGCCCTTCAGGAGAACGATATGTTTTATAGTTATCTGGGAACACAGCTCTGGCTGAGGACGTGCCTCCCGGCTTGGGTGTGCTCCAGGGCGAGGCCTCTCTGGGTGGAATTTCGCCAACACGCATTTTACAGAGAACGTGAGGGAAATCTATCCCGAGGTTTATTTCTGCAGAGTCTGTAATAACAGGGAAAGACGTCCATGATAGGTTTTAAAAAAGAAAGGAAGGAGTGGAGGGAGGAAGGAAGGGAGGGAGGAAAGTGTATTCATTTTCTCTGGCTGCATAACAAGTCACCATGCATTTAGCAACTTGATATAAGTTCATTACCTCCATGTTCCTGCGGGTCAGGAGTCAAGGCCCAGACCTGCTGGGTCCCTGCCAAAGGTCTCCCGCAGCTGCAGCCCAGGTGCTGACTGGGGCTGTGTCTCATCTGGAGCTCCTCCAAACTCATTCAGGTTGCTGGCTGTTGGATGGGAGAGGTGGGGACCACTCTCAGCTCCCAGAGGCCACCACACCTTGCCACAGGCCACCCCCCGCCCCTTTAACCCAAAACTGGAGAGCCTCTCATACATTGAATCCCCCCCACGCAGTTCAGCCCCCACACTCCAAATCTCTGCCTTCTCTGTCTCTGATCTCCTGACCCAGATTTTTTTTTTTTTTTTTTTTTGAGATGGAGTTTCGCTCTTGTTGTCCAGGCTGGATGGAGGGCAATGGCACGATCTCGGCTCACTGCAACCTCCGCCTCCCCGGTTCAAACAATTCAAGATATCAATATAGATATCTGGGAACACAGCTCTGTCTGAGGACATGACTCTCTGCTTGAGTGTGCTGCAGGGCGAGGCCCCTCTGGGTAGAATTTTGCCAACACGCTTCAGCCTCCCAAGTAGCTGGGACTACAGGCTGCCTCCGCCACACCCAGCTAATTATTGTATTTTTAGCAGAGACAGGGTTTCACCATGTTGGTCAGCCTGGTCTCAAACTCCTAACCTCAGGTGATCCACTCACTTTGGCCTCCTAACCAACATGCTGGGATTACAGGCGTGAGCCACTGCACCCAGCCTTTTTTTTTTTTTTTTTTTTTTTTTTTTGAGACAGGGTCTTACTCTGTCGCCCAGGCTGGAGTGGAGTGGTGTGATCAGAGCTCACTGCAAACTTCACCTCCAGTGCTCAAGCAATCCTCTCACCTCAGCCTCCCAAGTAGCTGGGACTAAAGGTGCGTGCCACCACGCCTGGCTAATTTTTTGTATTTTTAGTAGAGACGGGGTTTCACCATGTTGCCCAGGCTGGTCTTGAACTATTGGGCTTAAGTGATCCGCTCCACTCAGCCTCCCACAGTGCTGGGTGTGAGCCACTGAGCCAGGCCTTCTGACCCAGATTTTAAGGACTCATCTGATGAGGCCAGGCCCACCAGGATATCTCTTAACCTTAAGGCAGCTGACTTGGGACTTTAATTACATCTGCAAGATTCCTTCACAGTAACACCTAGGTTTGTGTTTGATTGAAGAGCTGAGAGAAAGCCTATGTCCACCAGGGGCCAGGAATTTGAGGGGCTCCCTGAGACTTCTGCCTACAAGACAGACAAAGCGAGATGGAGAGAGAGAAAGAAGTCAAGATTGAATCTTAGGAAAGTAAGATATTATAAAGGTGGGCCAGGCGTGGAGGCTCCTGCCTGTAATCCCAGCACTTTGGGAGGCCGAGGCAAGCAGATCACCTGAGGTCAGGAGTTTGAGACCAGCTTGGCCAGCATGGTGAAACCCAGTCTCTACTAAAAATGCCAAAATTAGCTGGGCATGGTGGCATGTGCCTTTAGTTCCAGCTAGTCAGGAGGGAAGCTGAGGTGGGAGAATCACTTGAACCCAGGAGGTGGAGGCTTCAGTGAGCCGAGATCGTACCACTGCACTCCAGCCTGGGCAACAGAGAGAGACTCTGACTCAAATAAATAAAGAAACAGGTGGAAAGCAAATAAAAAATTTAAAAAAAAAAAAAAGAAGTTGGGAAGTTCCCTGATGGAACAGGCTCCAAAGAGGCTGCTGTTTGGTGTGGTCTGTGGTGGAGCATGGAACAGTAGGTTAAGAAACACAGTTGTTGCAAGGGCCAAGTGGAGACCCTGCCCACCCTCCAGCATACAGAGATCCCTGCAGACCATCCACACTTCCCGGAGCTGCAGTCCAGCACCCAGCATGTGAAACTGGCCAGATGGGCACAGCTGTGGTCCCTTGTCAAAGCAGCATAGCAGCCGGACATCATGGAGAACCCCCACCTCAGTGCCCAGCTGGACTTTGCTTAGCCACACGAGCATTTGCTTAGCTAAGAGTACTTGCATTTCATCAATGAGGCCAAGGGTGGGGTCCATCTCTCCAAATGGACAGTCCATCTGATTCATTATCTTTTCTAGTTGCCTGAAGCTCTCTCATTTAAGTAGAAAACTTTTTAAAAAAGAATTTAAAGTGACAACTTGCCTTGTTTTTCTCTTCCTTCAAGTGCAATATATATTCATTGTAGACAGAGAAGAAGAAAACACAAATTAACAGAATGATAAAATACTCCTACACATAATCCCATCCTAGAGAAAACTGCTTTTAGAAACTTGTATATATTTTTGTCCAAAATGGGAGGATATTATAGGCATTGCTTTATAACTAATTTTTAACTTATTGTATTGAGAAGTTCATTGCATATCAGTATTTTTCTACCATTGTAGATATATCATCATTTATTTCACCAGTCTCCTGTTGTAAATAACGTTGCAATGAACATATGAAAACTGTCTTAATTGTTCCTTAGAATCAATGCCTGGAAGAGGGATTAGTGGAGTGAGTAATCTTGTGTCTCAGTTTCTTCACCTATAAAATGAGGATAGTAGTAGTATACATGTCCAAGGAAATGGAAGCAGTTAAGTGAGAAAAAAAAAACATATAAAGCAATTTAAACAGGGTGCAGCACAGAGGAAATGCTTGATGAAAGTTGGTGGTTAGCAGCACCTTTTTCAAAAACATGCTTGTTAATGGAAATGTTTCTAGCATATATCACATACAGGCACCAGCCTAGCCAATGGCAGAACCTGGGCGTCCACATGCCCACAGTGGTAAAAGTCCAGGGTCCCTGTGGTTATCTCCAAAGATGGCCACCATCAGTTCCCCTTCCCTGAGAGGGCATGCTGCTCCTCACAGCAATTTCCCCTCCAGTTGAATTGGATATGGCCTTTCGACTTGCTTTGGCCAACAGAACTCAGCAGAAATGACTGTGCACCAGACCCAGGACCAGCCTTTAGAGGACTGACAATTTCCTTCTCCCACTTAGAAGCAGCCACGTGTATAGGTTCAGCTACTTTGAGACCATGATGCTGTGGTCCATGCTGGCCATGTGAGAGAGAGATAGATGCCCAGGTAACCCCAGCTGGTCCAGCCACACAACCGAGGAGCCAGACACAGGAGTGAAGATGCCATCTTGATGTTTCCAGCCCTAGAAGAGGCCATGTGGAGCAGAAGAACCACCCTGCTGAGCACAGCTAATAAATGGCTATTTAAACCACTGAGCTTTCATTGAGTATTCCACAATAAATAACTGAAACACCTCCAACAATCTTCAGGTGAACTTCTGCGTATACCAAGAATCAATCCTGGCTGTTCTTGCCCAGATGGGAAACTGAAAGCTGGACCCTGCTCTTTGAGGCCAGAGGCCCCCACACCCCACCTGCATGTTGTTGCTGTAATCAGTGGTTCATCCTAGGAGTGCTAACCATCTCCCCAGGGGGACATGAATTTTGGATTTCTGTGGGTGGGGTTGGTTGTTACAATAATTGAGGAGGGAGGATAAATGTCATTTCTTGGGTGGAATAGGTGCCCCTGAGGCATGGGACAGTCCCAGAGAACAAAGGATTGCCCAACTAGGCATTCATTGAAGTAAAAACCATTATGCAATTAACCAAACTTAGAGGCCTGTGCTGAGGGTGATTTTGCCTCCTAGGGAACATTCAGCTTTTCTTTGAGACAATTTTGTTTGTCACACTGTGGGAGGGGGTGCTCCTGGCATCTGGTGGGTAGAGGCCAGGAATACTGCTAAATACCCTACAATGCGTAGGACAGCCCCCATCACAAAAAAATGGTCCTGCCCCAAATGTCAATAGTGCTGGGAAATCCCGACCCAGAGCTTTACTCTGTTTTATGTATAAATGTAGTCTTTTCTACAAGTTTGTGATATACACTAAACTTTTCTGGAGTTAAACTATGGAATTAAACTACCATAAAAATCAATGAAACTTTAGTAAAAAAAAATCATCCACCTTTCAGAAAAGCACCTATCTGGGCACCAAGGCTTTTTCTGTGTGAGTTGCCAGCCCACACTGGCTCTCACATTAACAGCAGTTTGCCCAGTAGATGCAAGCCCTCCCCTGCCTCACTGTGTCTTCCAGTGTAGTCAAGCCCAAGCATTTACTTACTGAAATGCACACCATTTTTATTATAAATCCTTTTCTATTTCTTCTTTCTCTAACAGGTAGGGCATTCTAATGATTTCTAAGATTTTGTATGTAGTTAACTTATGTGTGTAGTGCTATAAGACTAGGGATTTTTATTTCAGAATCATAAAGGAGAGGCTACAAAATATTTTAGGATAATAGAGGGGAGATGACACTAGTTGTTAGAAGGTGACATTGAGTCAGACAGGTGGAGGACTGTTTCTCGAGAACATATCATGATGCTGTCCCCAAAGCCATAGACAGACTTGACACTGAGCAAAAGCGACACTCACCTCCCCAAAGAAGGCACCCTGGCAGAAAAATGAGGTGGGCACAAGCTGAGCTCCCTGAGAGGAATCACCACTCATGGGGGTGCCCAGGTCATGAAGGGGCTCCTCCAAGCTCCAGGTGGGCTCATTGTCCCTCTGTGTCCTGTCCATGCCAACGAAAATCCCAGGACCCCAGCTTCACTTAGACACCACCTTCCTCAAAGCTCTCCTGCATCAGAATCACTGGAATGGGACCAGTCCTGGGATCAGTGGCCTTACCCACCAGAGCCACCATCCCATTTCCACCTGTGCAGAAGCCTCTGCAGGCCCCCTCTCTTCACGTTACCTAGGGGGAGCTTCCCCACTTGGCTGCATTACTCTGGCCATTCTGTCCCTCTGCCTACAGACCCAGTTCACGTTCAAGGTCCAGTTTCCCAACTTCTCTGCCTCTTCATGCTTTTGTTTATTTGGTTATTCTATTTGTTTTTGTTTTTCTGTTTTTTGGGTTTTTTTGTTTTGTTTTGTTTTAAGACAGTGTCTTGCTCTTTCATCCAGGCTGGAATGCAGTGGCGTGATCTCAGCTCACTGCAACCTCCACCTCCAGGGTTCAAGCAATTCTTGTGTCTTAGCCTCCCAAGTAGTTGGGATTACAGTCGTGTGCCACCAAGCCCAGCTAATTTTTGTGTTTTTAGTGGAGATGGGTTTTCACCATGTTGGCCAAGCTGGTCTTGAACTCTTGGCCTCAAGTGATCTGCCCACCTCGGCCTCCCAAAATGCTGGGATTACAGATGTGAGCCACTGTGCCTGACCTATTAGTTATTTTTAATAACATAATAAGCACCTGCCAATACCACCCAAGGCACAGTTAAGATCTCAACAATACATGCCATTTAACAATATGGTCTTTCCCACAACCCCACCCCCAGTCTTGCATTCAACATTACCTTGCTTTCCATTTAATATAGTTTTATTGCCTATATGAATTCCCATAAAATATATTTATTTACTTTACTTACATGTAAATGTATTCAAAGGGTATTATACCGTATGCAATCTTTGGGGCTGTTTTATTTTACTCAATATTATCTCTTTTAAAATTTCATAGTATACTGCTAAAACCCATTTGTGTTTTGCATTCACTCATTTTCCAGGTTGCATCATATTCCATCCCGAGCACATTCTGCAGCTCCACCCCGGACCTGTGTTTGGCTTTGGGGAGCTGTTAGGGCCTTGCTCTTGTAAAGATTGCTGCTCTGAACAACCAAGGAACTCTTGTCTTCCAGGAACTTGGATTTCTTTCACACACAGATGCAGAAGAGCGTCTCTTACTTGGCTCTTCCTGGAGAGCAAACTGAATGGAACAAGCCTACACCTTTCTAGTTGATTTGAGGTTGACATTAAGATGGAAAGAGCAAGTGTTCTGCTGCAGAAAGAACTTGCCATGGCCCTGCTCCGCCTTGTGCCAGCAGTGACTCTAAGTGAGTCATTGTCGTCTTGGAACCTCAGTTCCTTCATCTCTGCATGGGGGACCATGAACCATTCCTCTCAAGGATATGTGAGTTTCAAGATGCTTCCTGCACCTCCAAGTGAAGCACAAATGGCCCTGGGGAGCAGGTCCGGGTTTCCCTGGGGAACAGAGCATGACTTCCCAAAAGATTGTTGGGCCAGAGTGGGAGTGGTGAGGGGCTAGATATTTTCATGTAAATCAAACACAACCATGCTAGGTGGTAAGAACAGTATATACATGCAAGTCTCAAGCTAAATCAGCTGTAAACATAAGAGAGGCAGCTTGTGGGCCATTGGTTTCCCCAGGACAGCAAGGGAGCCCAACTCTTAGACTCTTACCTCCGAATAAATCTGACCACCTGTCTACTCAGTGTCGCCATTCTTATTGATTGATTGATTGATCGATTGATTGAGATGGGGCCTTGCTATGTTGCTCAGGCTGGTCTCAAACTCCTGGACTCAAGCGATCCTCCTGCCTTGGCCTCCCAAAGTGTTGGGATTACAGGCATGAGCCACTGCACCCTACTGGCATCTCCATTCTGATGGGACCGTGTCAGGCATCTTAAACTGAGTGTATGCAAAACAGCCCAGCCTCACCCTGACCTCCAAACTTGACTCTCCCCCAAGGTTTTCTCTACCTCTGAGCAACCCCCAACCTCATGCACAGCCAGTTGTAACCCCAAGATACAGTCAGTCCCCAAGGCCCTCAAATTTTGTCTCAGGTGCATCTCTTCCATTTCATTTTTACTTCTGCTGTACTAAAAAATAATAAAAATAACAGTAAATAAATATATAGAGATGCTTCTTAAATGCTGGGAACTGTTTCAAGCATTTTGCATATAGCAATTTATTTAACTGGATTATTGTTATTGTTATTATTACTAAGCCAATCCAAAACCCAAATTTGTAAAAGGCAGAATTGGGATTTGAACCCAAGGAATCGGGCTCAGAGCCCATGGGTATGAACACCATCCTGTACTGCCCCCTGCATGTTCCCAGCCTAGAAACCAGGACAGGGACCCCTACAGAGCACGTAGCTAGCAGGAGGGCCTCCAGGGGTTGAACTTCTCATGTCCCTACTGAGGCCCGGGTGGACTCAAGGCCAAGGTTGGGTCACACATTTTGCTGAGGCACTCAGGGAAGTCACGGAGTACACGTGGCATCTACTATAGAAAAATTAGCTAGCTACACAGTTCCCAAATTAAATGCAGCCTGATGTAGTCTCAGTTGGCTGGTGCACAAAGTAATATTTGTTCCTCTCCAGTCCTAATATTATGATCCTATTAACAAGGGAGCATTACCTAAAAGGCTGGGAGAAGAGCCCAGAGATGCTGGTGAAGGCAGCCAGGAAGCCCTGCTAGCGCCCAGCAGTTGCAGCCAGGGATCAAGTGCTATGCTGGACGCTATGCATGTGGCTTCTCTGGAGCCAGATCATCCCTGACTACATGCTCCCGATAACCACCACCAACCATAAGTCCTTCCCCTGCATGCTCAGGCTATTTCCCATCTCTTTTCTGCTAGGCATACCCTCCTTTTGGAGGAGCTCAGGGAAGGAAGGGACGGGGGATAGCTCTACGTCAACTCCTGCCTGCCTAGGGCTCTCTCCTAGACCATCATAGATGAACACGAGTCAGATCATGCATCTTACTGGATGTGTGAAAACAGAGCCCTAACTTTCACCTTGGGGCCTTAAAATAGATACAGCCCTCACAGCAGGAGGTCACTATTTCCAAAGGACTGACAGTTGCTTGTTCGAAAGATAATTACTTAACTGGGCATGGTGGTGTGCCTGTGAGTCCTAGCTACTTGGGAGGCTGAGGCAGAAGGATTGCTTGAGCTCAGGAATTCAAGGCTGCAGTGAGCTGTAGTCACACCATGGCACTCCAACCTGACAGAGCAAGACCATGTCTAAAAAAAACGTTTTTTTATTTAAGAAAAAAAAAAAAGAATGACCTACTTGCCATATCCCTAAAAATGCATACATAATATCTTGGAATAACAAGACAGAGATGATTATTACTTGATGATAGGACTACTGAAAACAGTTTAAACTTTTTTTCAGTTCTTTTTGTTTTCAGGTTTCATTCCACTGGGGATATTCAGTCACATCACTGTGCTTCTCCTTGAAATCATTCTGTTGTGTGTACTTGTGCCACCAACTGGATACATGGTCAGGCTCATTTGTTTTATTTTGCTTTTGATTTTCCAGGATTTCTGTTTTCCTTCTATTTTGATTTCCTTTTGTCCTGTATCTAAAAGATTCTGGGAGAGGTGGGCTTCAGGATCAGATGCCAGGTTCTGTTTCTCTGGTTCTTCCCTGCTGTGGGACTTTGAAGAAGTCACTTTAATTCCATGAGCTGAGTGTTCTCACCTCTAAGCAGAGTGATCACACCTACCTGGCCAGGTGCAGGGGGTGAAGTGGAGTCGGGGCAGGGACTTAGTCTTGGGAATGACACTGAATAACTAAAATACACTGAAATAGCTGGGCGCAGAGGCTTATGCCTGTAACCCTAGCACTTTGGGAAGCCGAGGCAGGAGGATTGCTTGAGACTAGGAGTTCGAGACCAGCTTGGGCAACATAGGGAGACCTCGTCTCTCCAAAATAAAATTAAAATATCAGCTGAGGTGGTGGCAACACACCTGTAGTCCTAGCTACTCAGGAGGCTGAGGCAGGAGGATCACTTGAGCAGAGGAGTTTTGAGTCTGCAGTGAACTGTGATTACACCACTGTACTCCAGCCTGGGTAACAGAGCAAGACCTCATCTTCAATGAATAAATGATAAATGAATAAGATACACCGAAACACCAGAGGAAAGGCCTGGTTTGGTGTCCACTGGCTACGAAATGCTCATTCTTCCTCCCTTTGAAGCAGCCTCCAGCTTCCTGTGCTGTGTCCAAGGGCAGAGACAGGGCTGCTGACCGAAACTTAGAGTCCTCCATGCAGCACAGCAAGGGGTCTGGCCAGACTTGGGGCCGCCTCGGAGGAGTCGTGCCATCCATTCTGGACACTCCATTCTCCTGGGAAGCCTTTGACATGCCCCGCTATCCTGCTTCCAAGGACAGGGCGGTGAGCACCAGTCGTGTTGAGAGTTCTTACGCCTTGCTCAAAGCCACATAACTTATGAAGGATAGAACTAACTCCTCATCTGGCCCTTGGCTGGAACTTGAGCTCATGACTTTCTCTCTCTGACCCTGGGCTTCCCCACAGGTAAAATGGAGACACGTATAGTGCCCGTGTAGAGAGGACACAGTAGGGTACATCGCTGGTTGCCTGGGTTCACTTTCCAGTCTTTCCACTTCTGGCTGGATGAATCCAGGCAAGGACATGACACTCTCTGTGCCTCTGTTGCCTTATCTGTAAAACAGATGATCATTGAACCAACCTCATAGGCTCATGGCAAAAATTAAATTTGTCTATGAATGCAAGGTGCTAGCTAGCCTAGTGCTGGAATAAAGCAAGCACTCAGTATTCATTAGCTATTATTTTACTGAGGCAATTCTTGTTATTAACACCTCATGGCACTGCTATTTCTACTGTGGTTTGGTTTTCTTTCTTTCTTTCTTTCTTTCTTTCTTTCTTTCTTTCTTGTTTGAGACAGGGTCTTGCCCTGTCACCAGGCTGGAGTATAGTGGTGCAATCATGGCTCACTGCAACCTCGAACTCCTGAGCTCAGGCCATCCTCCCATTTCACATTCTGGAGTAGTTGGGACTATGGGACCACCACAACCAGCTAATTTTTGTATGTTTTTATAGAGACATTTTGCCAGGCTGGTCTCGAACTCCTGGGCTCAAGCAAGCCACCCTCCTTAGCCTCCCAAAGTGCTGAGATTACAGGTGTGAGCCACAGCACCCGACCTGTGTCTTCTTTTTCTTTGTGTCTCTGGTGCCTCTGGAGTGCACTTCACCTCCCCCCTGATCTCAGCCCCCGCCCTGTCTTTCTCCTAGATCATTGGGAGGCTCATGGTAATTAATGCATGCAGAATCACTACACTGACCTTAAGGTGCAATAAAAACTTAACTTTTGTGAATAAATGATTCATCTCCTCAAGACAAAGTATTGTGCCCCTACTTTGTGCTAAGTTTTGTGGCAGGAGATACAATTAACTCTGGATCAAATTTATTCTTCAGGGATCTTGAATAAAAGAAACCAGATAGGTAGACAATAGATTTCCACTGAATCTTCAGAAGAACTTTCTGAGATGTGGCTGTTCCAGTGCTGATCTTAGTTGAGACAGTGGAGTATGTAAGAGCTGGGCCACCTGGGCTCAAATTCCATTCTCGTCACTTACCTGCTGTGTGGTTTCAGGAAAGCTACAGAGCCTCTCTGAGCTTCAGTGTCCTCGTCTGTGAAAGGGGATAACTAATGCAGTCTAGCAGGAATGTGCAGCCTGGAATGGCCTGCCTTGAGACCCAGGAAGTGGGTGAGGGCCTCTGTCCCTGGAAAATTATAGACAGGGAGGACAGGCATATGGCTGGTTAGTGTGGAAGCAATCCCTGCCCTGAGCAGGGGTCTGCCCAGGTGAATTTAGAGACAGAGGCCTCTGAACTCCTGAGAGCTTACAAATCCATGGTCCAACCCTTGAGGAATGCTCAGGCTAGGGGAGGTGGGAAGTCACTAACACTGAGGGAGAAATGGTCAACGTCATGAGAGCATCACAAAGAGGTGAGGTCACAGGTTGCAAGGATGGCTCTTGAGCGAGAGGGCATGTGTGAGCATCTTGAAGGACAGTTTGGATTTAGACCTTCAAGTATGTGAAGGAAGGACACCTGGCTGGATGTGGAACAGTCTGGTCTATAAATAGGGACTGTCAAGAACAGCTCCATTTCCTGGGGCTGTAGGATGGAACAGTGTAGGGTGGGGGCTGACACAGCTTGAATATCAAGCAATGGGGTTTGAACATTTGCTGGGCACTGGGACTTCCAGAAGAACCAGCCTGGTCCTACCTTAACTGCTTTAAGCAGAACCAAAGACCAACTGTTTAAACCTTTGAGCTGCCCTCACTTTAGATCTGAAAAGAGCTGTCTGCAGTCCCCTGTGCCTACAGAATAAGGTTGTTGTGCTAGGGCCAGATGTTTGCATCTTACCTAGCTTGTTATTTCTTTATTCTAGGTTTCTTTGAGGGATCCAGACCACTAACAGGCTGGCATCTGTGGGTTGGTAAGAGGGAGGGTGGCCTGGGGGAGAGGGACACCACCAACAAAAACAGGCTCTTTCACTCTGGGGATCAGGTGCTCCTCAAACTGAGGGTGCAGGAGATAGCCACTAAGGTGCCACAACACAGACTCCTGCTTGAATGACAGCTCCAATAAGGATCTAGGAAGCGGTGTCAGCCTGCGGATGGGACTATGCAAATCATGGACCACAGGGAGGTGTCTTTGCAGAGATGTGATTAAATCCTACTGTATCTTGGCTCAAAGACCTCTGGGATCTGGGATAAGAGAGTAACCCCTGCCCTTTAACCTCCCCGGTCACCTCTCTCTGTCTTCCTCAATGCCTGACCTAACTCATCCTGGGCACAGCTCCAGCTCTGGAAATCATGGCAGTGCTTTGCTTTCATTTCATTTCATTTATTTTTTGAAACAGGGTCTCACTCTGTTGCCAGACTGGAGTTCAGTGGTGTGATCTTGGCTCACTGCAACCTCGGCTCACTGCAACCTCCACCTCCCAAGTTCAAGTGATTGTCCTGCCTCAGCCTCCCAAGTAACTGGGATGACAGGCATATGCCACCATGCCTGGCTAATTTTGTATTTTTAGTAGAGATGGGGTTTCACCACGTTGGCCGAACTCCTGACCTCAAGTGATCCACCCCCCTAGGCCTCCCAAAGTGTTGGGATTACAGGCTTGAGCCACCATGCCTGGACTGCTTTGATTTTAATTCAGCTGAAGAGTTATTTTTAAGAACCTCCCATGTGCCAGGCACCAGGAGAGGGGCTTTCTCTACTTTATTTCTCTTGATCCTTCCAATAAACTGAAGAAGTAAAGACGGACATGGTGGCTTGGCTGGGTGCAGTGGCTCACGCCTATAATCTCAGCACTTTGGGAGGCTGAGGTGGGTGGATTACTTGAGGCCAGGAGTTCAAGAGCAGCCTGGCCAATATGGCTGAAACCCTGTCTCTACTAAAAATACAAAAAATTAGCTAGGCCTAGTGGCGTGCGCCTGTAGTCCCAACTACTCCAGAGGCTGAGGCAGGAGGATGGCTTGAGCTCAGGAGTTCAAGGTTGCAGTGAGCCAAGATCGTGTCACTACACTCCAGCCTAGGCAACAGAGTATAACTCTGTCTCCAAAAACAAACAAACAAACAAAAATAAAGAAAATTAAAAAAAAAACACAAAAAGAAGAAGAAATAACACCACCTCTTTTTTCCAGATGAGAAAACCGAGTGTCAGAGAAGGGAAGAGATGTTGCTGAGTAAATAGCAAAACCAGATTTTGACTCTCCAAAGTCCATACAGATTCTTCTTATCCCAGCCTTGCTCACTTGAGTGCCTACGATGGGGTTGAAAACAGTCTCTGCGCTGCCTGGCTCTGTGACATTGGACAAGTCACTAGTTCCACTAGGTTCCGGTTTTCTCATCTGTAAAATGGGGATAATACTATGAAACTATCTCATAGGGCTGATTTGAGAATCAAAGAATAATTATATGTAAAATGCTCTAAGCAGCGCCTGATGTGTAGCAGCTGCTCTTATTTATTTATTTATTTATTTATTTATTTATTTATTTATTTTTCGTCGAGCAGGGCATGGCCTCCAGCTTGGTGCCAACCCCCAGTCATGTTCTAACCTGACTTCAAAATGTGTGGTGCTGGCTCTGCCACTTATCCACCATGTAACTTTTGGAGAGTTGCCTCAGTTTCCCCATATATCAAATGGGGATGAACTAGATCAGTGATTCTGAACCCTAGTGGAGTCCTATGAGCCTCTGAGGATCTGAAGGGAACAGTGGATACTGTTCAGAAAAAATCTTCATGGTGCTCTGAGCTTGTCTTGGCCGCCCAAAGCCTGCCTACAAGCCTTCCAGGACTTATGGACTCCCCAAGTTCCATCCAGCTCTGGTAAGAAGGGGAGGGCTATGGGTTGGGGGGGTCACTGAACAGCTCCGGGTGTCCCTCTTCCCCGCAGTTTGTCTTTTTCCTTCCTCCCTTTCTTTATTTTCTAATTCTTAAACCTTCTTAAAACTGTAGAGTTAGAAAATGGATGCTGAGGTAGGAGGATCACTTGAACCTGGGAGGCAGAGGTTGCAGTGAGCCATGATTGCAATACTGCACTCCAGCCTGGGTGACAGAGTGAGACGCTGTCTCAAAAAAAAAAAAAAAAAAAAAAAAAAAAGAAAAGAAAAAAGAAAAGAAAAGAAAGAAAGAAAGAAAAAGAAAAGTCCAAATTCCAGGGCAGAGGGGCTAACTAGACTGGACCTTCCACCCACACACCCACCCTCATTTCTGCTTAAGGTTTTCTTGGTCTCTTCCTTTGCTCAGAAAAAGCCTTCCTCAGCGGTGGGGTGGAGGGGAGGGCATGTTTATGAGAAAAACAGCGTAATCCACACCAAGGGAAGAGGCAACAGAGAAACCCAAGCTGTGGGGAAAAGCTCCCTGCTCTATCTGCCGGGGCGGTGGCCAGCTGCCTGTGTAGCAGACCATCTCATCCACCGGGCGGTGGCAATCAGCGGGGATTTAGCTGAGGCCATCCGGGCAGGAAAGCAAAAACCAACCCCACCAACAGAAAACAATGCATCCCAAAGCCAGGCCTGCGTCACCGAGGTGTCACCACCCCATAAAGGAGGCCAGTGAGACGCCTGGGAGCCCGCGAGTCCCGTCGGTCGGGGCGCGAGGTGGAGCTGTAAAGCCCTCTGGGCGCGCTCCGTGTCCTCCCGCGTCCCTCCCGTAAATGGTCCCGCCACTTGGCAGTCTGCTCTCGCCGTTTTTATTTGGGGTCGTCCCCAAAGGCCACGTGGTGGGGAAACAGGGCCGGGGACACAATGGTGGCACAGTGACCAGCCGTCCGGGCCCTGGCTAATCACTAGAAACACCTGGAGGAACTCGTTGAAGGAAACAAGTAAGAAAATCCCTCCGATTAGTATTGCAGGCTTCTGGTGGTCCTGGCTAATCTCTTTCAGGTGGAGGGCCCGGTGGGGGGGCCGGGCTGCCTCCCCAGTCCCGGAGCCCGGGGCCTGGGGCCGGTGGCTGGAGCGTGTCAAGTCATGAGGTTTGTAAGGCTGGTCAGAAGGTCTGTGGCGGCAGGTGCCCTGCGAATGCCAGGCGCCATGGAGAAAGCCGAGGTGTGTGCGGGAACCCCATAAAAGAGATCAAGCTATTTAACAGCCACCCCCGATTTCCACAGGGAGTTACCCCCACCCCACCCCCATCCGCTCTCAAAGCAGGTCAGGAGGGAGAACAGCAGAATGTCAAAGCTGAGATGAATAAATCTCTCGGTGCTCAACTTCTCAAATAACATAAGCAAACACTGATCAGTTTTGCCCATTTCAAGAGTACTGCATGTTTATGGTGGAAAATTAAGATAATACGTAGATAAGGAAAAAAGTAAAAAGCACATAGTCCCACCACCCGGAAATAATCATGTTTAACATTTGAGGCTTCTCTTTTATTGCCGTATACATATAGTGGAAGTTTATAAATGTTATGTAAATGTTTTCTTCCCAAATAGAATTTACTCATCCCTATATCTTTTTTTTTTTTTCTTTTTTGAGACAAAGTTTCGCTTCTGTTGCCCAGGCTGAAATGCAAGGGCGCAATCTCCACTCACTGCAACCTCTGCCTCCTGGGTTCAAGCGATTCTCCTGTCTCAGCCTCCCAAGTAGCTGGGATTACAGGCGTGTGCCACCACACCCAGCTGATTTGTGTATTTTTAGTAGAGAGGAAGTTTCACCATGTTGGCCAGGCTGGTCTCAAACTCCTGACTTCAGGTGATCCACCCACCTCGGCCTCCCAAAGTGCTGGGATTACAAGCGTGAGCCACCATGCCCAGCCTAGGGTTTGCACACTGCTGTTTCCCTCTTAGCTTCATCTCACATGTCATTGAGAAAAGTCCATTTATCCAAGCCTCCATGGTACAAGAAAGTTTGTTTGGGCCCTCAGTGGGAAAATGACTCGCTGAGGGTCATGCGACCATTTGTCACAGAGCTGCGATTTCTAGGTGTGCTGCAGACCAACAGTCTGACCTCAGACCTCCTTTGGACACAACCATCTCATCAGTAGGGCAGTCGCCTTTCACATCTGGAGGGAAGGCCCCATCAGGGAGGGCGTTCGAAGGTGCTGGCAAGGATTTCTGCCAGCAGGCACTACTCCCATGGGCCTGAAGTTCATCATTAGAGAGAATTTGCACTTAAGGCACTGTTCCCCTACATCTTTGGAAACTTCCATGGATTATATGCAGCCACTTACAGATTCTCTAGCACCTTAGGGTGAGCTACAACCCAAATAATCTAGCTGCTGTTTGTTCAGCACTGGGGAGATGCTGCTGAAAAAGACAGAGCTGGCTGGGCGCGGTGGCTCACACCTGTAATCCCAGCAGTTTGGGAGGCCCAGGCGGGCGGATCAAGAGGTCAAGAGTTCAAGACCATCCTGGCCAACATGGTCAAACCCTGTCTCTACTAAAAATGCAAAAAAACTAGCTGGGCGTGGTGACGTGTGCCTGTAATCTCAGCTACTCGGGAGGCTGAGGCAGGAGAATCCCTTGAACCCGGGAGTCAGAGGTTGCAGTGAGCCGAGATATGTCACTGCACTCCAACCTGGCAGCAGACCGAGATTCCATCTCAAAAGAAAAGAAAAGAAAAGAAAAGAAATGACAGAGCCAGGGCCTGCCTTCAGGAAGTCGTCATTCTCATGGCCACACGACTTCTCAGACAGCCTCACGGCTCAGGCTTCTGCAACTGAGGCTTTGCAGTCCTGTGTGAACTTGCGTACATCACTGCCTCACTCTGTCTCAGCATCTTCTTCAAGGGAATTGGTGATGACACCCACGTTTCAGGGTCATTATGAAGATAGGTGAAATGTGGACTGCAGAGTGTCCCTACTGATGAGGAGGAGCAGGGCACCCGGAGTGGGCAGGTGCAGGAGGAAGAGGGAAATGCTCTCCACTTTCCCTGGCTCTGGTTTTATTATACAATCCGGCATCTTGGAGTTCAAGGGACTTTGGAAATGACTCCTTCCCCAGTTTTCTAACTGAGGCCCAGGTTGCTAAGCAGAGATGCAGATCTATATCCTCAGAGTAAGAAATCCTGGCTCTAGCAGGAGGCATCAGGGGCTGCCTGCCTGTAGCAAAGGTTCTGCAGCATCCCTCTCCCAAATCCCCAGTCTGGCACCATCATCACCACCATCACCCTACGTTGCACTCATGCATACATATGCCCCCACACACATTCACAGGTGCACACTCTCCTACTCACATGCGCACACTAACACAAAATTACCCATGCACACGCACACACACTGACTTCAACAATACTACCTGCATGCACACACATACTCACGTGAGCACACACCTCCCCCCTCCACACACACCCATGTGCATGTACTCTCACACACACACAGACCTGTGGGCGCACACCTACCTACACACACCCACACGCCTACCCACATGCAGCCACACTCATGCATGCACACACACCTGCCTGTGCACACTCATACATTCTAAGATACACCTACCTGTAAGCCGACTTGCACATGCACATACATACACACTCAGCCATGTGTGAACACACACAAATGCAAACCTGTATAAAAAGGACACAGGTACTTTGTACACTGAATTTATTGTGAGAATTAAAATGCAATGGTTAGATGCCCAGGAGTCCTTGCTCTGTCACTTACTAGCTGGGTAGTCTTGGGCAGGTCACTTCCACTCTCTCTGCCTCCGTTTCTGCATCTGTGAAATGGAACTATTAGTAGCACCTCCCTCAGAGATTGTTGTTGAAGATCGCCTGGCACAGGGCATGGTACACAGCGAGTGCCCAGTAAATGTCAGCTATTAGTAGTGCCCTGTGTCAGCCAAAACTTTTTGGTCTCTGGAAGCTTTCTTTTCAAATTTGCAATGACTACATTTCCTCAAAAATCTGTATGGTGTGTGTTTCATGTTTATAGAGGCAAAATACAGCATTGACCTTGCACCTACTGGGGGAACAGAAAACTCAGGTGGCTGCTCTGACAAAGTTCCTCCGACTTCCAAGTTGTAGGGGAGGGGTGATCCAGCGCGCTTTCCCCATCCTCCACGTCACTCCCCGCTCCACACAGCGCTCTTGCTTGGTGATCTCACCCTTTGTCGACCCAAGAACAGTCATCGCATTGTTTCATCCTCAGCCTAACTCGACTCCCCTTACATTTTTACCGCTAAATTGAATCTACTGCCAGTAATCTAATTTACATTTGAAGGCACACACAATGCCAACACAACCAAATGCCAATAAAATTTCTAGTAAAACCCATAAATGGCTTGGTGCTTGTGTTTATGGAAATCTTAGCCTGCTCCTGCCTTAAGAACCCCACAGCCCAGAGTCCCAAATCACTCCCATATGACTGCGAGACACTCTGGATGCCCCTGGCAACGGGGGATGAGGCCTTTCTCCAGGACCTCAGAGGTGCTGCCCCGGCCAATGGAAGCGGGTGGGAGAGGGCAGGACCGGGGGTGGGGTGGCTTCGAGTCAGGTGCACACACCTGCTGAAGTCAGGACAGCACCCCCTGCCTCTCCCCATTTTGCCCCATCTGCCTCCCTTTGGCCGTGCACTCCAGGCCACTTGCAGAAGTGACCACCTCACTCGGGTTTCTGGAATGACAAATGAGAGAAAATTACTCTACTTAATAATTCGCTCTCCCCTGCTGAGTCACCCTGTCCCATCTGTTGGGCACATTACAAGCATCCCATAGACTCATCAAAGCGTAGATTCTCAACTTTGAAAGAAACTCCAGGAGAACCCAGTCTTTCTTTCAATAATGGTTTGAATCATGATAAAAATCAAAGCAAGTACCTACTGAGGATTGAGACTGCGTCAGGCACTGCTCTAAGCACTTCACATATATTAACTCAGTGAATCCTCACAGCAGCGCTCTGTGGCAGGGCTTTTGTTATTTTCATGTAACTGATGATGACACAGAGGCACTGTCACTAGCAGCAAAGATGGGGTTTGCACTTTAGTCATTTGACTCCAAAATCCACACGCTTGGCTACCATGAAATTCTGCCTCTCATCTCCATGGAAGAAGCACCTACTATTTGCTAGATTAGGGACCAAGTCCTTTGCATATCTTGGCCCTGAGCTCTGCAACAGGTCCGCAGTACAGTACTGCAGGTCCCAGAGAACGGAATCACGCTGAGGACAAGATGAGCTACATAATTTTTAGGGACCAAGGAGAGTAAAAATTCAAGGCCCCTTGTTAAAAATTTATTAAGAATTTCAACACAGCAGCAGCAGGTCAGAAAGCCAAGTATGGGTGCTGTGCACTGCCCACAGACATCCACCTTGTGGACTTGCTGGCCCAGCTTTTGATTGTTTCAGGACCTGAGGTTCAGAGGGCGGAGTTAACCACACTCCTCAGTTCATGGCCATGGGTCCCCATTGGCCATGCTAGGTTCCTGTCTGGATTGATGAATTGATCAATGTAATCCCTTTTTACCGCATTTCCCACCTCTACCCTTCCCATTTTGTTAAAGCATGTTTTATTCGTTTTATATGCATGTAATATTACTGCACATAAATACAATCATGCTATAGATACAGTGCTGGTTCTTGTTTTTCATTCTCTATGTGTTCATGCTCTATGCTCCATGGAGCTATGTGTCTACCTCTGATGCTCATGGTATTCCATAGTGTGTGCCTCTAGAGTGCTTTTTTTTTTTTTTTGAGGCGGAGTCTTACCCTATCATCCAGCCTGGAGTACAGTGGTGCAATCTCGGCTCACTGCAACCTCTGCCTGCCAGGTTCAAAAGATTCTCCTGCCTCAGCCTCCTGAGTAGCTGGGACTACAGGCACACACCACCACACCCAGCGAATTTTTGCGTTTTTAGTAGAGACAGGGTTTCACCATGTTGGCCAGGATGGTCTTGATCTCTTGATCTCATGATCTGCTCACCTCAGCCTCCCATAGTGCTGGGATTACAGGTGTGAGCCACAGTGCCCAGCCACTTTCTTAATCCATTCCCCAGTGATGCACATATAAGTTGCCTCCAGTGCCCTTAGACCTAATCAACGATGTGATGAACATCCTCTTAAATATCCCCTTCTGGATGTGTGTTTGGATTTCTCTGGATCAACACTGGGGAGTGGGATTGCTGGGTCATAGGAGATAGATAGAATTAATTTGATTGAGTCCTGCCAGGTGACCTTCCAGGATGATACTCCAAGGCCAAGCATGAAGGCTCCTACCTCCCCCCACCATGTCAGCACTGTGCTCTTTCCTGACTTCTTGTTCTTCCTAATCTGGTGAACGTAAAGTGATATCACATTGCATATCAATTTCCAATCATCGAGTTACTAATGAGAACATCCTTCTCATGCCTGTCGTCTTTGGGGCTTCTCTGGTTGTGTTAACTGGTTCGTGTTCTTGCCTACTTTTCTATTGGGATTCTCACAGATTTACAATGTGGCAGATTTACAATGTGGCAGATTTACAATGGTTAATTATATATTCCAGGATATCCATTCATTTTTATTTATTTTATTTTTTTGAGACAGAGTCTCACTCTGTCGACCATACTGGAGTGCAGTGGCACAATATCGGCTCATCGCAACCTCCCCCTCCCGGGTTCAAGTGATTCTCGTGCCGCAGCTGCCCAAGTAGTGGGATTACAGGTGTAAGCCACAATGCCCAGCTAATTTTTGTATTTTTGGTAGAGAAGGGGTTTTATCATGTTGGCCAGGCTGGTCTCGAACTCCTGGCCTCACGTGATCCACCCACCTCAGCCTCCCAAAGTGCTGGGATTACATGTGTGATGTGCTGCACCCGGCCTCAGTCCATTTTTAATATTAGACACAACATACATTTTCTCCCTTTGTGTCATTTATCTGTTAACTTTGTTTACGTTACCCTTCATTGAACAAAACTCCTTAATTTTGATGTACTCAAACTGATCAGTTGTTTTTCCATGTGGTTTGTATTATAGGGGTATACTTTGGAAATTCCTTCTTTGTTCTAGGTCACCAAAATACTCTCCCATAATTTCCTTTATTATACTTATGATTTGTCTTTCACACTTAGACTTTTTTCATTTATGGTTCAACTTTGTTTACAACATTAGTTGGGGATCGAATTCTATTTTTCTCTATGTAGCAAAGCAGTGTTTCAGATGCTGTCTCCTAAACAGTTCTTCCCTTCCGTTGAAATGTTGTGTCCTCTTTAGTGGATATGAGGGTCCTATCTACACATGCCTCTGTCTCTGAATTCCCCCTTTGCTTCCTTGTTCTGTCACCCAACACCTGTTTCATTTGTGATACGACTTGGTCGGACATAAACCTCAGACCATGTGAGATGCTCCTCTCTGCTCTTCCTTTACTCCACTGATTCTGCTACTCACAAACCTTTGTTTTCCAAAACATATTTTACAATAAGTTCGTTGAGTTCTTCAAAATACTCAGCTGGAATTTAGATTGGGATTGAGTTGGATGTTTGCATTAATTTGGAGCAAGTTGACGTATTTTTTAAAGTGTTTTAAGAATAAAACTTTTTTTTTAAGAAACGGTGCGCTTTATTTTTAGTTTACTTCCTCAACACTTTAAGGCTTTATTGCTCTTAAGAGTAATTAAATTGTATTTTCTGATGTGTTTATTTTTTTATTTATTTTTGTTGCCCAGGCTGGAGTACAGTGGCACAATCTCGGCTCACTGCAGCCTCTGCCTCCAGGAATCAAGTGATTCACCTGCCCCAGCCTCCTGAGTAGCTGGAACCGCAGGTGTGCACCTCCACACCCAGCTAATATTTGTGTTTCTTGTAGAGAAGGGGTTTTGCCATGTTGCTCAGGTGGGTTTGGAACTCCTGAGCTCAGGGGATCTGCCTGCCTCGATTTCCCAAAGTGCTGGGATTACAGGAGTGAGCCACTGCCTATTAGTTATTTCCAATAACATAATAAGTACCTGTCAATCACAGAAGACCTTAACAATACCAACCATTTAACAATACAGTCCTTCCTCCAACCCCACCCCTCATCTTGCTTTAAACTGATCCCCTTCTGTTCTGCTGAGGCATCTCTGTAGGAGCTCTTCTAATGGACATTTGACCTTTGTCCTCCTGTGCCCCTGACCTCACTATCTCAGGAGATAGCTTCATCTACTCTTGGATAACTTTACTGCTAGAAAGCAATTCTTTAGATCGACTCTAAAATGACTCTCGGTAGCATTTCTAGCAACTTTTGGCTACCCAGAGAATGTTGCACCCAGTTCAACCATCCCAGGACTGGTCTTTGACCATTTTAAAGACATTACTTTTGGGATTTCTTCTTCTTTTTTTTTTTTTTTTTACATTTGAGTTTTCTCTTCTTGAAGTTACTCATTCTCAGATATTCCTCCAGCTGCCCTCATGTGATTCCATCTCAAGTCCCTGGCTCCCTCTTCTCTGCACCTTTCCAGGCTGCCAGTGCTTCTTTTATTTTATTTTATTTTATTTTATTTTTTGAGACAGATTCTTGCTCTGTCACCAGGCTGGAGTACAGTGGTGAGATCTCACTGCAACTTCCACATCCCCGGTTCAAGTGATTCTCCTGCCTCAGCCTCCTGAGTAGCTGGGACTGTAGGCATGCAACCACCACACCCAGCTAATTTTTGTATTTTCAGTAGAGATGAGATTTCACCATGTTGGCCAGGATGATCTCAATCTCTTGACTTCGTGATCTGCCTTGGCCTCCCAAAGTGTTGGGATTACAGGCATGAGCCACCAGGCCTGGTCCAGTGCTTCTCTTAAATATCAGAGCTCAGACTTGAAGACAATTCTCCAAGAATAATAAAAACAAGGTTGAGTGGGAGAAAATAACCTCCTTCATTTAAAATATTATACATCCATTTATGCAACCTGAGCAGGCATTAGCTCCCTTAGCCAATACCTTAAAACAGGAATCACCTTGAATTAACTATTGGCCAAAACCATTTTTCTGCACGCAAATTCTAACTTCTTATCTTGTCTTTGAGTGGTTGAGACAACTGGCTTCTTCCTTTCAGCTGGGAGACTTTCTCTCCAACTGTTCACTTCCCTTCATTCATAAACTCAATAAATATTTATTAAGTAATTACTGTGTAGCAGACCTTAGAGTTACAGGAGAGGACATACCCCATTGCAGCCCGTTCTCCGTGGCAAGGATTCATGAATTTTGCTTCCAGAAAATTAAACGAACGTGAATCCATTTATTAATTCATCCATTTTACAAGCATATATTGAACCTCTACTGTGGGCAGATACTTCCTCCACTCCCTTTTGTCCACTCCCGTGGGTGAGGAGCAGTAGAGGAGAGGGAGGGGGAGCAGAGCCTGGGCTTTTGGTGAAAGTCACATTCACTGACCAGAACCCAGAGCCCGCTCCCAAGCCTGAGAGTCTCCCAGCAAGATGCCTTCCTCTCTGGCCCCAAGAGTGTGACACCCAGACCCTTGCTGGCCCTTCCACCACTTCAAGGGGCACTGCTGAACCCTGGGAGAGCAGGGAAAGCCTTATCAGTGTCTCTGGGAGAAAAGTTGTGCTCAAATCTGAGACTTTCCCTTCCAGCATCTCTGCCACTTGGCACAGGAGGTTGGAGCTGCCGGGGCCAACGTCCCATAGGACACACGTGGAAAGTGAGGTGTGTAAACACCACGCAGTGAGGCTGGGGCAGGGGGCCTCAGCTCACTTTACCCCCCAAGTCAAAGCTTCCTGCATGGAGGTTGTGGAAGGGCCAGGGGTGGGACAGGGATGTGGGCCTCCTTCTTGGGCTGGACATGGACAGCAGCCCTGAAGAGCCAGAGTGGTCCAGGGAAGTGAGGGGTTCCCACAGGGGGTGGTGAGCTCTGAGCATGGGAGAGGATCTCAAAGAAGTGGGAGAGGCCAGTAACAGGAAGCTACTGCACCAGGACAGTGACCAGAATCTTCAGGCGTGGGCTCTGGGACACACTGGGGAGGACTGAGCAGGTGGCCAGGCAGATCAGAGAGTAACGTGTTGGAAGAGACACAGTCGCCTCTTGTCTAGGAAAAGTTCTGCTTGGACCCACTCTCTCCTGCTCCCCTCTGCAGCCCCTCTGTGGTCCAGGCCACCTGTGGTCAGCTCTCCACGCATCGTTCTTCTCGGCAGCCTAGCACCTTCCTGCGAAAGGGCAGGACACAGGTCAGCAAAACTGCCTGGCAGCTTGTAAGAAATGCAGAACCTCAGGCCTCACACCGGACCTACCAAATCAGAATTTGCATTTTGTTTTGTTTTGCTTTGTTGGAGACGGAGTCTTGCTCTGTCGACCAGGCTGGAGTGCAGTGGCGCGATCTCGGCTCACTGCAGCCTCCACCTCTTGGGTTCAAGTGATTCTCCTCCCTCAGCCTCCTGAGTAGCTGGGATCATAGGCATGTGCCACCATGCCTGGCTAATTTTTGTATTTTTAGTAGAGACCGGGTTTCACTATGTTGGCCAGGCTGGTCTCAGACTCCTGACCTCAGGTGATCCTCCCACCTCGACCTCCCAGAGTGCTAGGATTACAGGCACGAACCACCACGTCTGGCCAAAATTTGCATTTTCACAAGATCCCAGGTGCGCACTGAAGTCTGAAAAACCCTGCACCGGAATGTCAGTTCTGTGAGGGTCGGGAGCGGGTCTGTCTCATTCACATCATGTGTGTTAAGGTTGTAGAAGTACTGGGCTAACAGCAACTGTACCTGCGTGACTTGGGCATGGCATTCAAACTGTTTGTGCCTCCATGACCTCATCTATAAAATGAGAGTGATGACAATAGTTCATGCCTCAGTGGAGTTGTTGGGGTGATTAAATGAGTTGATATATAAGAAGAGTTTGCTCATGGTAATCATTATATAAGTGCTATTATCAGTACCTCCAGCCCACCCTGCTGCATTTTCCTAAACCTTCCTGGCCACAGAGCTAATAGACTCATGGTTTGGCTTTGATTAGGTGCCTATTTGGTTTTGGCATCCATTGTTTCTTTTTGTTTGTTATCCATATATTACAATGATATAACATACAACTAAGGAAATTGTGGGGCTGAGTGCAGAGGGCGGTACATTGCCCACCCCTTTACCAACCAGCTCTTCTCTTCCTTACGTGCTCATACTCTTTATTAGTTAATGCATTTGTCAAATATTTATTGAGCAGCTATTGCATGCCGGGCATCATTACAAGTGCCTGACTTACAGCAATGAACAAAGCAGAATCCCTACTCCTCACCCTTATGAACTTTCGAGTCTTAACAAAAGGAGACAGAAACAAAGGTATAACAGATAGACAGACAAGATAATTTAATGTAGACTCAGGGTGATATGCTGCTATTTTTCACTCATATATCAGATGTGTTTTGCATGTTGTCACAAAGCCTTCACCTTACCGCCCTTTTAATGTCTTCAGAATACTTGATAAACAAACACGATAGGATTTATGAAGCCCAGTGAGTGTCAGGGCTAGTGATAGATTTCAGGCTATCCATGTGACGTCACTTGAACACAGAGGTCTCTGGGGCTGGACATCTTAGAGAGTGTGTAGCTGCCCCTTGCCTTCTCAGCTTTCCATATCAGACAGTTCGGGTTGTTTTTCTTTATCCCTTCTCAGAGCACAGACGAGGTTATCTTTGTTCTCTCTCACACACACAGACACGCAAATGTCAGGAAAGAAAATTATGAATAACTGTGCTCCCAGAGCAGCAGCCAACCAGTCAGGGTTAGGGATTGATGTCTCAGTACCCCAGCACCCCATCCTTTGTGGGGTTTGTTTGTTTGTTTGTTTGTTTGTTTTTGAGATAGAGTCTCACTCTGTAACCCAGGCTGGAGTGCAATGTCTCGATCTCGGCTCACTGCAATCTCCCCCTCCCAGGTTCAAGCGACTCTCCTACCTCAGCCTCTCAAGTAGCTGGGATTACAGGCATGCACCACCACGCCCGGCTAATTTTTTTGTATTTTTAGTAGAGACGGGTTTCACCATGTTGGCCAGGCTGGTCTCGAATTCCTGACCTCAGGTGATCCACCCGCCTCAGTCTCCCAAAGTGCTGGGATTACAGGCATGAGCCACACACCCGGCCCCATCCTTTGTTAAGGGCAGTCCTCAGTGCAAATTCTACTCTACCACCAGAGTCCCCAGCACGATCCAAAACAGTAACTGGTTGATAACACACGTTTTTATAGGCCATCTTCCCTTCCCAGCCTCCCTTTCCCACTTCCCCACTGGTGTTCCCTGGGATCACCTCCCAGATAAACAACAGCGTTTGCTTCTAAGACAACCCGTGCTAATATGCCTCCCTCAGAGATAACCGTGAGGGTTGAATGGGGGATGTCTGGGGAAGTGCTGGCATTGCTTTTACTTTGACGGACAAAGAGGAAAGTCAAACAGCCTTTCCCAAGGTGTTTTTTTTTTTTTTTCTCTCTCGCTCTCTCTTAGGCTGCCAAGATCCCAAGCTCTCTAATAAGGCAGTGGTGTATAGGTTAAGGTTTATTATACATTTTACTGGTATGAAAGATGTGTAGCACACAATTTACAAACAATAAAACATACAGTACTCTATTGTAAATGCCACGCAGCCAGTTAATTCTCATAGAATGCTTCCATTGATTTTTGTTGAACTCCCATATCTATGACCAGTCTATGGTTACAATTGAAGCATGAGTGTACTTCCGTCAGGAATGTTGGATGATGTTTTCATTTATGTTAACAAGGAAGACAAAAGTGAAACAATGAAGACTTCACTCGTTCATTAATTAATGATATGAACAACTTCTTTGCTGACTTAGATAATAGTTTTCAAAGGCTGGGAGATTTATTAGATTTGGGGGCTATTCACAATGTAACAGCTGTAGCCATGACACATGTAAGTTTGTTCTACTTCAGGTTCTGACGTCTAGACGATCAACACAGCAATATAAATTAAGCCCTGATTTGTAGCATTTGCCAATTTTTATGGAGTAAATAGTCCCACTGTGGCTGATTTCAGGCTATCCACGTAGTATCACTTGAACACAGAGTTGGGAAGAGAGGCACTGTAGCACATCCTTACATATTTCCATCATATAGAGACAATAAGTCACTGTCTCTATAGCTTAGGTACTAGTAAAAGCTTAAGTACTAGTAAAATAATTAGAAAATGATGAGTTCTGAGTATTTATTACCTTTGGGGTTTCTTTTAAGTCACTAAGCTATTTTTTAAGGAAAGTTTTAGGTTCACAGCAAAATTTCACAGAAAGTAGAGATTTCCCATATACCTGTCCTCCCCACACATGTATAGCCTCCCCAAGTTCCAGGCCAGAGTGGAACATTTGTTACCATTCCTGACCCTCCACTGATACATCATAATCACCCAAATTCCATTCTTTACCATACAGTTCACTCTTGGTGGTTTACATTCTATGGGTTTTGGCAAATGTTTGATAACGTGTATCCACCATTGTAGTATCATACAAGAGTTCCCCTGGTACCTTTGTTTCTACTATAAGTTGTTTAATTGTAAATTTACATGATTTAATTGTTAATGTTGACTTTGTTTAACAACTGGCTTACAAAGTTCCTGAAATTTTAACAGCTGGTTCTCAGGGGCCAGTGGCTGCCGGCTTCAGGACACCCCGCCACCGGGTCTCCTTGGAGAACCTGAGGTCCCCAGGCTCACCTGTAAGGCAGTTTCATCTCTTCCAGGCAAAGCTGGAGCTGCTCTAGGCAGCTCTAAACTCAGAAGACCCACCTTGTAACTGGGTGGGACTAGGTCTCACTCCTTCCATTTGCATCCTTCCCCATGGCAGGCAGGACTCTCTATTCTGCCTCTTTCCACCAGAGCTGCAAGCCATGAGGTGTCTGTTAAGAACGTCTAACTTAGGTATGGGCACAAGACCTGGGACCCCACATGGGCAGCTGCACACATGGTCTAGCGACAAGGGTGGCTTCTCCAGCCTTTTATTCCTGCAGGGTGTGGATGTTTGGGTAACTGCTATCATGCTTTTGGATGGGAGGCCCTGAGTAGTTTACAATAAAAATCGAAGACAATTTTCCCCTGAGGAGGAATCATTTTCACTGGAGAGCCGTGGCCTAAAGTTTCTCAGTCCATGGGCTTAACTAGCACAGCTATTATTTATTGCCCTCCAGAGAGATTTGCCCAAAGTGTGCTGCCTTAAAGAGACAGCCAGTCAGGTGCAGTGGCTCAAGCCTGTAATCCCAGCACTTTGGGAGGCCAAGGCAGGTGGATCACTTGAGGTCAGGAGTTCGAGACCAGCCTGGGCAACATTGCGAAACCCCGCCTCTACTAAAAATACAAAAATTAGTGGGGCATGGTGGTGGGTGTCTGTAATCTCAGCTACTCAGGAGGCTGAGGCATGAGAATCACTTGAACTTTGGAGGCAGAGGTTGCAGTGAGCTGAGATCGTGCCACCACACTCCAGCCTGGGTGACGGAGTGAAACACTGTATCAAACAAACAAACAAACAAACAATAATAATAATAATAATAAACCTAAAACAAATAAAAAAGAGACAGCCACACTGAGCTTAACTTGGCTGGACCCATAAGAGAACCTCCTGAACACTCTGATGTCCCAGGCCCCCCGTGCTGGGGACTGGGGATTCAAAGACAGTAGATCTCATAGCCTTCGGGGATGGGCAATTCCAGAACAGGGAGATTTGTCCCACCACAGTGGGAAGCACAGAAAAGGCACCAACCCAGACCAATCCTGAAAGAAGGAAAACATCCTGGAGAGAGAAACCTGTTACTTATTTAACAAGCGATCATGTAGCACTTGCAACATGTTATGTAATATTCTAAATACTTTACAAATATTGATACATCTAAACCTCATAAGTAGGTGCTATTAAACCTATTTTATAAATGAATAACTGAAGCCTCAGAAGGGTATGTAACAGGATTTGAATCCGGGCAGTCTGGATCCAGGGTCAGGGCTCCAAACTATGATGCTATCCTATCCATGAAGGCAGCTGAGAAGACGGAGCAGTCAGGGACTGACTTCTGGCTGGGACAGCAGGTGTGGGGAGATAGGAGGGAGTGATGAGAATTCGGACTGGAGTGATCAGTGGGGCCCAGATTTTACACACACACACCTGTGCACAATGCACACACATGAACATGCACACACGTGCACACACAAACACACGTGCACAATCATGCATGCACATGCACACATACAGCTGTGCACATGCATATACACATGAACACACAAATACATGCAACACGAAACACACATCATGAGGTTTCCACTTTAGAATACTCAGTCTAGTGGTTCGCAGGGGAACATGGGGAAGTTTCTTCTCTCCGGATCACGGCTTCCTCATCTGAAAAATGGGGGTCCTGATCTTCCCGTAATGAATGGGAAAATTCTTTGTAAACTGCAAAGCTAAAAGCATGTAAGCCATGTTTTCAAACCCCATGTCCTTGTCAAAAGATTAAAATATGAAAGTTACCAACATAGCTCGCAACACCCTATGTCAGCACAGGGCAGTGGTGGTAAAATGTATGTGCGTATCTGCGTGTAGCAAATGGAGAAACTGGGTCCCAAAAAAGGATAAGAAGAATGTCTAGGGGCACCCAATAAGTTTGTGTCTGATCTGGCATTTAAATCCGGGTCTTTTTGACTGGAGGCCTCATTGGGTACCTGCGTGATATCTACAGTGTTTTTAAGCAAGAGCCAAGGTTAAACAAATTTTTCTCAGGCCATTTGTCTCCAGTGACCACGTGACCTACCCACTCCAAGGACAGAGCTAGTGAACACTTCCAGCAGGTCTCACAGGACAACAATCTAAAATCCATTAGCCACAGGCACCCTTTGTCCACTTCAAAAAAAAAGAGATGTGCATTATTCATAGCTTGACAAGTGGTACGATGCCCTTGGCCTGTTCCTTCTTCCTGCACCCCTTCTTGCCTTTTCTGTTGCTACTTGCAAGAGAGCTTCTCCGCAGAGTACACTGACATCAGAACAAGGGAGGCAGCTCAGCAGAGGCTTGGATACTGGCCCGAAGGTCTGGGTTCCATTTCTGGCCCCAACACTTCTAAGCTATTAAATAGGCAGAAACTAATTGCCCTTGGGTAACCTATGAAAAACGCCTAGCCCAGTGCCAGGGAAGAGGGTGTGCTCAATATGTGCTGAGAAATGAAAAGTGTTGGGGGCAGGTGTGGAGCCATGGCCCTCTGCGGTGGGACAGCTGTGCAAAGGAGGCAATGAATATTAGCTTCATCCAACTTCCAAGAAACAGATGCTGCAGGAAACAGAGCCAAAGAGGTGACCCTGTGATCCACAGGTCCCAATGCTTGGATGGTGACAGAATGGACAGAACAGGGGTCATGGGTTTGGAAAGGTCAGTGGAGCCGGAAAGACCTGGGCTGGAGTCCCAGCTCTGTGACCTCACCAAACCCACATAGCCTCTCTGAGCATCAGTTTCCTCTTCCAGGAAATTGCGATAATTGCATTGACTTCTGAACTGTTACGAGAGCTGCAGGCTCCATGGAAAGGCAGAGCGCACAGTAGATGCTCAATAAACAGCAGTTGCTGCAGTTGTCGCTGTTGATGGGACATTTCTCCCAACTGAGGCAGAAAACCTACCCAGCCAGATCCCAGGAAAACTCCAGACTGCCTGCAGGGAAGAAAAGCTTCCAGCGCCTCCCCTCCAACCGGCCCTTGAGGCTTCGCTTACCTTTCTGAAAATTAAATTAAAATTCAACAGTAGCGCCATTGTGGCTTATGCATAGTCTTTAATATCCACCGCTGACAGGATGGAATTAGCTGCATTTTTTTGTTTGGGTTTTTATTTCTTGCTCCAACTTTCATTCTCCCCCACAGGGTGTAAGCTGGTGTTTAATCTCATCCCCAGAGCACTGGGCCACTCTTAAGTAGGACGGGCGGGCGGGCGGGCGGCCTTGGCCCCCAGGCTGACCAAGGTGAGCGCTGGGAGGACGTGGGTGGAGGGCACCTTCTGTTGATCTTCCCCTGCCATCCAAGTTGGCCAACACAGGTTCTGCAGGCACAAGAGAATCAGTGCAGAATTATCGCTAAGCCTCCAGATCATCATCCTCATTAGAGGTAACCGGAGCCCAGCTGGCCTGAACGCAGCTCTAAACCCCACTAAGACGGGACGCACTCGGGAAGAATATGCTGAATGTAATTTAATCATCCTGGAAACAAGTCTGCATTCTTTTTTGTCTTTGGCCCAAAGGAGAGGTAATTCCCGATGCAGTCAGAGAAGTGGAACCATGCCGACTCGAGAGAAAGGCCTGGATTGGGTGGACAAGAAGGCTTGGTAGAATTTAGAGGCTCTGCTCTGCTTCTTCTGGATGAAATAAACTCCCATTCACCCACATCCAAATCAAGGCCTCTGCCAGCTTTTCAGAACCTTCCAGAATTTTCCAGAACCTTCATATGAATTAGTGAACGGAGTCTCTTTCTCCAGGTTAATGAAGCCTGCACTCTCATGGCATAGCAAGTGGAGAAGAGGCTGATTCCAACCCCACATCGCTCCCTTCAGGGCAGTCCGAGGTAGAAGGCTCCCTGCCTCCCCTCCCACAGCAGCCGCCTCTGTAGATTGCCCCATCCCTCCCCACCGAAGCCTCACTTGGCAGATGGTTTCCTGAGCTCTGAACCTCTGCCATCGCCGTCTGCAAGCCTGCCTTGCCAGCTCACCTTTCACCCAACCTCACCTGTGCCCTTTCTCTGCTCCAGCCCCACCAGCCATCCCTGCCTCCACCCACATGCCAGGTGGTCCCAGCACAGGGATAACCTTAGGTCCCATGCAAATGGTGCTTGACAGCTTACAAAACACTTCTGCATCCTTCACCTCTCTGGATTCTCCCACAGCCCCATGAGAGGGGCAGGGTGGAATTATGATGCCTGTTTCTCAGATGGGAAGATGGAGACTCAGAGATGGGAAATGGCTTTATTCAAACCATATTGCTGCTCAGGACTAGGGCTGGGCTGGGAACCCCGGCCTTCTGGCTCTGAGTCCAGGCACCCATCCTGCTTCCACCAAGGCTTTAGAGGCTGAATTGTGTCCCCCAACCACGCTCCCACTCCCTAAATTTATCTACTGAAGTCCTAATCCCCAGAACTGTATTTGGAGATATGGTCTTTAAAGAGGTGTGTATTAGTCCATTTTCACGCTGCTGATAAAGACATACCCGAGACTGGGTAATTTATAAAGAACAGAGGTTTAATGGATTTACAGTTCCACATGGCTGGGGAGGCCTCACAATCATGGTGGAAGGTTAAAGCCATGTCTTACATGGCGGCAGGCAAGAGAGAGAATGAGAGCCAAGTGAAAGGGGAAACCCTTTATAAAACCATCAGATCTCATGAGACTTATTCACTAACCTAGAAAAGTATGGGGGAAACTACCCCCGTGATTCAGTGATCTCCCCCTGGGTCGCTCCCACAACACATGAGAATTATGGGAGCTGCAATTCAAGATGAGATTTGAGTGGGGACACAGCTAAACCATATCAAGGTGATTAAGCTAACATGAGGTCATTAGGGCAGGCTGTAATCCAATTCTGACTGTTGTCCTTATAAGAAGAGGAGATTAGGACAGGCAGACACACACACACACACACACACACACACACAGAGAGAACACATGAGGATACAGGGAGAAGGCGGCCACCTGCAAGCCAAGGAGAGAGGTCTGAGAAGGAACCAGCTCTGCTGACACCTTGATTCCGACTTCCAGCCTCTGCAACTGTGAGCAAATGCATCTCTGCTGTTTGGCCCTCCCTCCTCTACCCTGGGGCTAAGGTACTCTGTTAGGGCTGTTCTGGCAGACTAACCAAAAGGCCCTGTCCACTCAGCCCCTAGCCGTCTGTGCAGCCTGCACTGTTTCCCCCCGCCCCCACCACCCTTGCCTGCTCTCAGCATCCCCTTGCTGCTTAGCAGGCACGTGCTGCCCACCCAGTGGGACTGAGATCCGGGACTGTGGTGGTGTGGTTATCAGTAAGGCATGCATGTGAGAGTGCTTGGGGCTCCTTGAGCCAACTTTTAGGATCTTTAGGATCTTCCTTCTCATAAACTTGTCTTGTCATTATAACTGATGCTATGATATCAGCTTTGTGTGTTTCAGGAACACTGGAAATCCTTTCATCTGGGGAACACGCTTTTGGAAGAACTTTTCGTATATTTTGTATATAATTTATATGCGCAAATGTGCATGTGGACGCACTTCATAAATTGTTATAAAACCTAAGTATATCTATTGAAAATTACATATATATGTCAACATGCAGGTAACTGTATTTTCACCCTATATATAAGCTAGCTTTTTTCTGAAGCAGAGTCTCACTCTGTCACTCAGGCTGGAGTGCAGTGGTGAGATCTCAGCTCACTGCAGCCTCGACCTCCTGGGATCAAGCAATCCTCCCACCTAACCCTCCCAAGTAGCCAAGACTATAGATGTGTGCCACCATGCCCACCTACTTTTTGTACTTTTTGTAGAGATGGGGTCTTGCTATGTTGCCCAGGCTGGTCTTGAACTGCTGGGCTCAAGCAATCTGCCCAGCTTGGGCTCCCAAAGTGCTGGGATTACAGGCATGCACATCACACCCAGCCCCTCAACTAGCTTTTTATTCAGCCTATATTTATCATCAGAATGTGAACATATCAAAGAAAGGCATTTCCTCCTAATCTTCTTTTCCAGAAACCTGTAGAAATGCCACCCAAAGAGGCTAAATGACTATAATATTGATCACATCCTGACCTTGATATTTACAACATCCTCCTTTAACATGTTTTGAGGCCTGCATGCACCACCCTTATATTGGGCAGAAATCTTCAAAAACCAGCAAGCTCACTTCCAGCAGCCATTTTTCTCGAATTGTCCCTCTCATGTAGCTGTGTCCCCCATGGCCCTGAGCACCTGAGGAAGAGTAAACAGCAGGTGCTTCATAAAGACGGATGTTATTCTCCAGGCCTGTGTCTGGCCTGCCAGGTCACTTGGGCAACCCTGGGGAAATCCACTGGTGCCTCCAAGCAACAGCCCGAGATGGAGGAGGTGCCCTGGCTTCATCTGCCGCCTGCTCTTCCCTGCAACATCCCACAAGCAAGCGGAGACCCTGGCTGGGAATGCACACGCTGAGGTTGGTAGAGCAGAGGGCTCCGCAGACAGAGGTTGGGGGGTAGACAGGTCCAGCCTGCAGCCACAGCAGCTCTCGAAGGGCTTGCCTGACTCTCATCCAGCTCAGAGGGGGCATCCCAGGCTGGCTGGGGCCACTTCTGGCCTCCAGACTGTGGCTGCTGGGCCACCCACACTGGCACATAGGCCCCAGAGATGGGGGGCTCAAGTAGAATCCCACCCAAGAGAAGTCAACAGAGCCACCCAGGCTTTTAGGACCTGGGCTGGGCTGGCAGGGCTGTGGGGGAGAGTGGCACAGTGGGCGGGGGCTCGCTCAGCCTGAGGAACAGGAGAGGCTTCGCAGAGGAGCCACGTCTTGAAATAAACCCTGAGTGTAAACGAGAGCCCCCATAAACAGGGGTGAGCCATGTACTTGACACTATCTCAGCAGCCCCCCTCGTCCTCTGGGCTCCTGAAGCCCTGGGATCGGGGCTGAGGCCTGGCTCCCTGCAGACCTTGCTGTGACCTTGGCCGAGCCCCCTCCTCTCTGGGCCTCCAAGAGAGGGAGGGAAGCAGAGCCAGTGCCCTACCCGCTACCTGGGCTTGTGATCCCAGCAATGTGAGCAGGTTGGTGGGGTTTGTGGGAGGCTGTAGAGGGAGGCCACTCAGGGAACAGCAGGACAGCGACCCTCCTGAGAGTGAATGCAGGAAATTAGAAAACACCTCTCCCTGGGCGAGAAGCTCTCCTCCCCAAGCAGCGGGCCAAGAATGTGCTGACGGCGTGGGAACCCGGTCCCTGGCAGCGCCCAGGCCCTGGTGAACTGGCTCTCTCCAACAGCAGCGTCTGTCCTGCAGACCTGCGTGCCCTTCCTTCCCACACAACCTGCGACCATACCTGAGACGGACACACAACACCGAGCCACAGACTATTGAATTAGGCTGCCCTGGCGTGACTGTCTTGGCAGCACATTCCTCCATGATCCTTATCAGCTATAATCAAATCTGGAGAGTGGCTAGAATGCTGATACCTTCCTCACCCTGTGTCCTCCTGGAACGATGCAGGCGAGAGCTTCCCCTGCTTGTCAGGTCGCTGCGGCTCCACTTCACACAGCCTTGTGTTTCAACAAGGGGATCCCCCAAATGCCAGTCCGTCAAGCAATACCCTTATGTTTGCTGGGAGAGACCCTCCTAAGCCATGACAAGGTTTCGTGTTTAGTGGGATGATGACAAGAGGACAGGATGGACTGTGGCTTCTGCCCAGCCCTGTGAGGAAGACGCATGGGTGGGCACCAAGTGGGCTCCAAATGAGACCCGTGTGTGCCCCCAACAGAATGTGTTCACTTGCTTCTTCACTAAACAAATGGGGGTTGCACACCTACCATGGGGTGCGGCAGGAATAAGATGAGGCCCCGGCCCTCCAAGGGCCCACAGACCAGGGGTGGCAGCTCTCCAGCTTACAGTTGCAGGTACATTATAGCATGCGTTATAAATGTGCTGTGGGAGCACAGTCAGGACACCCAAACTAGGCTGGGTGAGGTGGTGGCTGGAGGACTTCCTGGAAGAAGCAACGTGTTAGATGAATCAGAAGCAGGGAAGTGAGGGGTGGGTTTTTGTTTCAAGAGCTCCAACTCAAGAGCCTTTAAGGAGTCCTAGTAAGAGGATTGGAATTAGCACCAGATGCTTGAGAATGGGAAGTCACACTCTTGGGCATAGGTGAAAGGAAGGAAGGAAGGAAGGAAGGAAGGAAGGAAGGAAGGAAGGAAGGGAGGGAGGGAGGGAGGGAGGGAGGGAGGGAGGGAGGGAAGGTGGGATTTCACAGCTCCAGTTCCAGACCTCATCACAAGGAGAGTGGCTCCCTCCTTGCCAGAAATGGGGACACAGGGAGGATGAGGAGGTGGCCTGGAGGGAGAGGCTCAGCCAGACTGCAGCTGCGTGAGAGTGGGTTCTTGGACCCAGCCGGAAACAGTGCAGGTCTTCAAGTGTCCTGCATGACTCTGAGCTGTCTGTGGTGGTGCTGATGGCAGAGGCTGGGCTGGCTCGTGCTTCACACCTGACAGTGGCCTGGAGTGCTCCCCAGGGGTGGCCCAAGCTATGTCCCAGAGCTTCAGCCATGAAGGAGGCAGGTTGCTGAGGGTCCACACATTGCCTTCAGAGATCCTAACCCCAGGAGCGCACCCTGTAGAAGGAGGAGGCGGGCGAGAGACAGGGAAATACAAAACCTAACAGGTAAACAAGGTAAGCTCGGAGTTTCAAGTGCTCCGAAGGCAATAAAGCAAGATGGAATGAAGTGTGGATAGAGAGGCCAAAGAGGCTGAATGAATGGATGGATGGATGGGTGGGAGCGTGGGTAGATGGATGGACAGACGGACATTATTAATCGAATCCAAGTATGAGCAATACATTTCCTAGCACCTGCTAACTCTGATTGAGGCCATGAGTTGGAAAGGTTAGAAGACAAGACTTGGGGGTTCACTGCCTGTGCCTTGTCCCAGCCCTGCCTCTCATGCTCTGGGTCCCACGGGGCAAGGCTTCACATCCTTGTGCCTCAGTTTCCTCATCTGTGAAATGGAGGTGGTCATAGTACCTACCTCATAGGGTCAGTACATATGTGTACTCACTATGTAAATACTTAGAGGAGCCTGGTTACATGGAGTGACACAAAGGTGCTTGGTGATGGTGCCCTGGGTTGAGAAGGATTCTGAGGTTACAACGGCCCCAGTGAGGCAGGGGCCAGGAGTGGGAATGTGCTCTCTGAATCCCCATCCAGGTCCAGTCCACCTCCAGGGACTCTGCTCTGAGCTTCTGGCTGTGGGAAGCTCTCAGGTCGCCTGGTCCTGGCTGTGCCACCACCCACCTCCTGGCTTTCCCTCAGCTCTCTTGGTCTCTTTCATTCATTCTTTCCTTGGGCCACAGTGAGCAGCAGCGTGAGGTCTGGGCAAAGGCAGGGGCTGTGGATCAGAGGGGAGGGATGGGAGAGTCGCAGGCTGTGGCGCCCCTTTCAAGCCTGTGAAGAGCATGAGAGAAAGGCCATTCACAGGAGGCTGGCCTGGGAGTCACGGCCCATCCAGCCGGGCTCTGCCTCACAGGGGGTCCATGGAAAAGCCACCCCGCTCCCTGGGGCTCTGCTTCAGTCACTGAGCAATGAGGGGCAGACATCTCTTCAAAAAGGAGACCCCCATAATGAGACAGAAGTGGACTTTCCCTGGTTGGGGCTTGGGGCCTGGAGACCCGACCCCTGGGACTCCTCTGGGGACTGCTAAGCCAGAGGAGAACTGTCCTGAAACCATCAGGGGAGGGGACCTCCGAGAACCTCCACCCACAGCAGTCCAGGATTGGGGGTCTGAGATTTCTGAGGGGGAGGCCGTTTCTTGCCCTGACTGAGGAAGTTCTGAGGGCAGAGGTGAGCAGTCAGGGAGGGATGGTGGTCAGGAATAAAGGGTGGCTTAGCTCTGTGGAGGGAGAATGACCCAGGGCTCAGCCACCTTGCACTGCAAACCCAGAGCCGCCACCCACTCGCTGCAACCCCGAGCTGGCATGTGTCTCTCGGAGCCTCTGCCTCCCTGTCTCCAAGAGGCGGCAGTGACCATGGTGGCTGGTGGTGCTGGTCAGGCAGGGCAGGCAGAATTAGGGGCTCAGTGGGAGCTGGGGGAGGGCAGGCTGTCCCGGCTCCCATGATGCCAGTGGGGCCTGGAGGCCTGGTGACCGCCTCGGAAGGACCCCCAGGCACCCCGGGTTGAGCTCTCCGGAGGCCCCATAGGTCCCCGGTTCCTGGGGCCTGTAACCGCCTCTTCAGCCCCTGTCCCTTCCTTCCCCTGGTGAGGCCAGGCCTCTCCCTCTCCTGGAGCACATCTTCTCTGCCTTCCACCCACCACACCAGACTCTGCCCACCCTTCTCAGCCCGGCTCAAGCCTCACTTCTTCCCGGCAGGCTTCTAATCACCCAGCCACCTTTCCCTCCATGAACGTGCCCATCACCCTGCCTTCCCCACCTTCCTTATGCGGTCAACTCCCCTCCTCCTTCCAAGGACAAGTTCCAAGGTCACAGCGGAGTCATGGGTCCCTTAGCTTGGGCATCTGGCCCCCAGTCTTGGCGTTGCAGTCCTGCAGCGCCTGACACCACACTGCTCTGTCCCCGGCACCAGAGTTCAGCCCTGGCTTCACTGCCGCCGAGCCCACGTGACCTCTGAGCCTGACCTGTACAATGAGCATGGGAGTGCCAGCACCTCCCTCCTATGAGGATTCGCTGTGATAAAGGACCCAGCCCTGTGCCCCACCTGTGATAAGTGCTTGTTAATGACATCATGGGTTACTGCATTGCAGTATTTAACACTTATTTGCATACTGTTCGCCTGTGCCTAGCGCAGCACCACAGGCTCCCAGGAGGACAGCCACGGCACCCACACTCCTCGTAGGCTCGTGCAGGGAATTTGAAACAGCTTTCTCCTGTGTTAGATTAAACCCTGAAAGGCTTTTTTTGATCCTTACCTCTCTCTCTGAGACAAGTAGACCAGGGATTTTTTATTCCCATTTCACACTCACACACACACGCACACACACAGAAATGCAGGCTGAGAGAGCTCAGGTCGCTTGCCCAAGGTCATACAGCTCAAATCAGCAGAGCCGGGGCTCAAATGTGGGCTCCCCAAGGCTCCCAAGCCTGAGGTCTTTTCCTCCATGCTCTCCCTGCCTTAAGTTACCCCTGAAAAGGAGTCGGCAGAGTCAAAATACAGGGCTGATGCTGACAAGCCCGATGCTGATTATGGTGCCTATAACTGGAAAGAGACCCTTTCTCCATTTGAAAGTACCCCGGCCTATTCTGCAAGTGAGGAAGACACATCCGGGGAGGCCATAACGTCACGTGATGGTGTCCTGGCCGTGAGCTTCTGCAAAATCCACATCTGTCACTGTGTTTTCAGGACCATCATCACACTCAGGTCTTAAAACCCACCAACTACAAAGCAAGGCTCAGCAAAGGGTAGCAAGGGTGTGTGTGTTGGGGGGTATATATGTGCAGATGTGGGTGTGATGTGTGTGGTGTGTGTTTGTAGTGTATGTGGGTGGCATAGATGTGGTTTTTTTTAATTTAATTTTTTTTTTTTTGAGATGGAATTTTGCTCCTGTTGCCCAGCCTGGAATGCAATGGCACAATCTCGGGTCACTGCAACCTCCGCCTTTCGGGTTCAAGTGATTCTCCTGCCTCAGCCTCCCTAGTAGCTGGGACTACAGGCGCCCACCACTACGCTCGGCTAATTTTTTTTTTTTTGTATTTTTTAGTAGAGATGGGGTTTCGCCATGTTGGCCAGGCTGGTCTTGAACTCCTGATCTCAGGTGATCTGCCCACTTGGGCCTCCCAGGTGTGGTGTTTGTAAGTTGTGCATGTGTGTGGTTTGTGGGTATGGTGTGTGTGATGTTTGTGATTTGTGTGGCATGTGGGTGTCTACGTGTGTGTGACATGTACATGTATGTGTGTGTGATGTGTGTATGGTGTGCGTGTTATGTGGTGTGTGTGGTGTGTATGTGTGTGTGATGTGTGTGGGTACGTATGTGTGTGGTGTGTATAGGTGTGTACATGGGTGTGTGGGACTGTGTATGTGTGTGATGTTTGTAGTGTGTGGTTTGTGTGGGTGTGTACATGTGTGTGGTGTGTGTAGTGTGTGCATGTGTGTGTATGAGGGTGCATGTGTGCATGTATGTGTGTACACGTGTGTGGTGTGTGTGTAGTGTGTGCATGGGGGTGGAGGTGGGGGGCGTACGTGTGTGGTATGTGGGGAGGTGCATGTGTGTGGTGTGTATGTGTGTTTGTGTGGTGTGTGTGGGTGATGTGTGTGGTGTGTGGTGTGGTGTGTGTGTGGTGTGTACATGTGTGTGATGTATGTGGGTATGTATGTATGTGCATGTGGTGTGTGGGTGTATACATGTGTGGAGTGTGGGTGTGTACTGTGTATGTGGTGTGTGTAGGAGTGGATGTGTGTGGGGGTGTGTGCATGTGTGTGGTGTGAGTGTGTGTGTGGTGTGCAGGGTGTGTATGTGTATGTGGTGTGTAGGGGTATGTGTGTATACATGTGTGAAGTATGTGTGTAGTGTATACATGTGTGTATGTGTGGGCGTGTGGTATGTGTAGGTATGTGTGTAGTGTGTGTGGGTGTGTATGTGTATGTGTGGTGTGTGGGTATCTGTGTGGTGTGGGTGTGTACATGTGTATGTGCTGTGTATGGGTGTGTATGTGTGTGGTGTGTGTGGGTGGTGTGCATGTGTGTGGTGTGTGGGTGTGTAAATGTGTGTGGGGGTGTGCACATATGTGTGTGGTGTGTGGTGCCTGTGTGTAGTGTGTGGTATGTGGGTGTGTATATGTGTTTGTGGTATGTGTGGCTATGTGTGTGTTTGTGGTATGTGGCGTGTGTGGTGCGTGTGGGTGTGTACGTGTGTGTGGTGTGGAGGGTTGTGCACGTGTGTGTGGTGCCTGCGTGTAGTTTGTTGGTATGTGGGTGTGTACGTGTGTGGTGTGTGTGAGATGTGTGGTGTGTACATGTATGTGATATGTATGCTATGTGGTGTGTGTGGGTGTGTATACGTGTTTGTGGTGTGTGGGGGTTTGTGTGTGTGGTGTGCTTGTGGTATGTGATGTGTGTGGTGTGTGTGGGTGTGTATGGTGTGTGAGGGTATGTATATGTGTGTGTGGCGTGTGTTTGTGGTATGTGGTGTGTGGGTGTATGTGGTGTGTGTGTGGTGTGTGTGACTTATATGTGTGTGGTGTGTGTGTGGTGTGTGTGACTTATATGTGCGTGGTGTGTGTATGTACATGTGTGTATGTATGGGTGTGTACATGTGTGGTATATTGGTGTGTGGGTGTGTATGTGTGTGTGTTGTGTGTGGATGTGTAGTGCGTATGGTGTGTGTACGCATTCATGCAAGTATACGTCTCCATGCCTGTCGCTCAGTGCTTTTCTGCTAACGGTGACAGGGTCAAGGAGGAATTTTCTGTAACTAATTAGGTTTGAACTTGCCAGAGAGAAAGTGGACATTGGCAGCCTATTGTATAAGAGTGAAACAAAGTTTGAACTAGAGTGAACTTAATTTCCTTTGCACTGAAAGGAAAGAAAGATTAATGAAATATCCCCAAATCCATCCTGTTAGTTTTTATTAAATCAGCAAATGAAATTTAACCTCCAATTCTGCTATAACGTCCTTTCCTGCAGATTGGGTTTCAGCAAGCCTAAGTGAAATAGACACACTCCCTCTAGAACAACATTTCGATATGAAAATTGCATTATTGCCGTCAACATCAGGTTACCTGAGGAACAAGCCACTTGGAAAACAATTAATTCCACAAAGAGCAGAATGACACATACATTGCCTCAAATTTACAAGAAGCACAATGTTCTGATTACAGCATTTGTGTAAGTTCATTTCTTACCTCTTTGCTAATGCTAATAAAAAACCAGTTGAAATTTATGTCATAGCAGCGGCAATACTTTTACCTTCAAACAGGGGTGAGAAAAGGGAGGGGAAGACGATGGTTATCCACCACCCACCTATTTATTGTGTGCCAGGTGCTGGTTCTCTCCGCATGTTGTTCTCATAACGTCTCAAGGTAACAAAACTTACCCGTTACAAGGATGAAGAAACGGAGGCTTAGGAAAGCAAAGGGCACACTAAGGTCAAAGACGTGCTATTCAAGCCCATTTGCTAACGTGCAGCCGTTTCCTGGCTTTTCAGCAAGGAGATGTGTGTGTCGCTTTATTCGTTCATTGAACAAATGCTGGCCAGCGGAGCGTCGCTCTGGGCCGGGCACCCCGATGGTCTTGGGAACCCCAAGCATCCGTGTTGATTCCTCATTTCATTTGACCCTCACCGCGGCCCCTTGAGAGGGGGTGCTAACACCATTTAAAGAGTTTCAGAGGAGGGTGGCGACTAGTCCAGGGTCACAGAGAGTAAGTGGTGGGGCTGGAGCTGAGAGCCAGGGCTTCAGCCTGGAAGTCCAGGGCACCCAGAGCCAGGCCACCCGATGTCCCCGTACTCGTGTGTTCTGCGGGCACCGTAGTAAGGAGGGGAGCACAACACTCTCAGGCCAGCCTCAAAAGTGGTTTTCAGGTGAGTTACAGAAAATCTGTTTTTGTCTCCGTTTTCTGATGTTACTTAATGGAAGTAACAATCCAGTATCAATCCAGTAATGTGAATAAGATTAAAAAGGTGGCTTGCGAATTATCATTTCTGTGAGACTGAGACAGAAATGTGTGTTCTGTGGGCCCGTGGGAGCCTGTGGGAGAACCTACCAGACTCAGATCTCAGCTCAGAAAAGGGTGGCATCAGCCAGAGCTCCCTTAGGGAGAGATGAGTTGCTTGTCCCTGTGGGAAAACAAATGGAGACGAAGGGACCATTTGGAGGGGAGGCTGTGATGGGGACGCAGCTCATGCTCCTGCCATTCAATGACTCTGTACGTTAGGCTACTTCATGTCCACATCTTCTCTGGAGGTGGCTTCAGTGAGCCTGAGGGTGCCCGCACAGTGCAGCCTGGAGACTCTGCATCCGAGAGAGGATGCTTCTCACTTGCCTTCTGCCTGGGATGGAGAGTAGGCTGGGCTGGAGTGTGAATCCTGCCCTGCCACTTACTCCCTGGGAGCCTTGGCCATCTCACCTGGGAACTGGGGACAATGTTTGGTCCGTCCTCACTGGGCCTTGTCAGGGTTAAATGAGAGGGCGAGTGCAAGCACTTAGCACAGAGAGACAGTAGATGCTCAATAAATGTGAACTGTGATTATCGGCCAGTTGTTAAGATTTTCTTCCTTCAAAGCATGAAAATTCATGCAAAACTCCTGAGCTGGAATCCAGGATGTGAATTCCTTGCTGGAGGGACTCCAGAGATCTGCTCTCAAGGGGGACTGGGAACGTCCATCTGAGTGGAAATTCACAGGGGACCCTGCAGGTTTCCAAGTACCCACATTTTGGGCCCCATCAGAACGCTATTAGCTACATAAAATATTCAAAGCAATAGCCAAGAGGGAGGCCCCTTTGCCAAGGTTCCCCAAGCTTGTCCTCTGGAATTGATTACTTGAATCCTTTCAGAAACGCAGAAATAAAACGATGCCAGGGCGGATGGACAAGCTGCAGATTGGCTCATGTTTCTAATCCAGCAGCCCCCCCTTCCCCCTCCCACCCCGGAACAAAGTCTTCTCCAGTTTTTAGTAAACTTAACTTGACAATCGTCAAAGGGAATCAAATAGCGCAGAAACGAAGCTTCTAAAAGATGTCAGAAGAAGTCAGAATCAGTAGAAATCTACTATGTGTCCCACCCACCCCCTCCCCTGAATTAGTACTTAAATCTTTTAGGAACAGGCCCTAGGGGCTGGACGATTTAACTTGCTGGCAAGAATGCATTCAGGAAGGGCACTCGTGTTTATTTTGGGTATTACCTTCTCGCCTCTTTAGTGTAATCCCCCCAAGGCTTAATCCGAGCATTATTGGGAAGACACCAATTAGCAGCAACGGCTCCTCACCCCAAATCCCCAAATCCAAGGGAGAAACCCCTGGAAGGGAGATAATTAGCTGAAGGTGCTGCTCTGGTATCTGCAGGCTGGAGAGTGGGAGCTGGCCCCCAGACCACCAACAGACTGAGGGGACTCTTAACAGCTTGGCCCAGCATGTGTCCCCAAACATGCCCTTGCTTTATCAGAAGAGCCTCTGCCAGCTAAGTAGATTTTCCCCACGTCCTCTGCTCCTAAATAACCCCAGCTGGGGACTTCTCTCCACACAATGCCTCTTTACGGCACAAAGATGTAGCACCGACCAGGCCGAGGTGCATCCGCAATGTCTGGGTACGGCTGGCTTGCTAAGGCTTCATCCCGCTAAGGGCTTCACCTCCTCTGGTCACGTACAGTGGGACCAGATTCTTGGGTCCAGGTCCTACTGAGGATGGGGGTGGTGGAGGCATAATTCATCGTCATTGATCGTCTCCCACAGGCCAAGCCCTGAGCTGGGCAATGTATAAATGTAATGTAATTCCATGTGAAGACCCCCCTCCCATACCGCTGCAGCTGCAGCTGACCACCTCGTCTCTATTTGGATGCCCTGAGAAGGACAGGGCAGCTCAGTGTGGCCACTCATGGTGGAAGGGCGCTCAGCTCAGCCAGGACAGGGAAACTAGTGCATAAAGGTGGGGCATTTGCACAGTTCCCGTCTTGCACAGCTACTGCCTGCCAGTGCCTCTCCAGGCTGAGGTTTCCTCATGGCCAAATAGCAGTGGATGGATGCGTACACTGGGACCCCAGGAAAACGGAGGCTTTCCCTTCCTGGGTTCCATTGCCATGCTTAGAAGGGACTCTTGGGAGACAGCAACTCTAGCGCTGTTTTTTGTTTTTTGTTTTTCTTTTAGATGGAGTCTTGCTCTGTTGTACCTCGGTTGGAGTGCAGTGGTACGATCTCGGCTCACTGCAACCTCTGCCTCCCGGTTTCAAGCGATTCTTCCACCTCAGTCTCCCAAGTAGCTGGGATTACAGGAGCCCGCCACCACGCCAGGCTAATTTTTTGTATTTTCAGTAGAGATGGGGTTTCACCATGTTGGCCAGGCTGGTCTCAAACTCCCAACCTCAGGTGATCTGCCCGCCTCGGCCTCCCAAAATGCTGGGATTACAGGCATGAGCCACCATTCCCGGCCTACTGCTGTTTTCTTTTTGCAATAAAACAGAATGTCTGCAGCCTGCTTGGGTTGAGCAATTTTCTCTCTGACCATGATACTGAGGGTTTGGTCTGCTAGAAACCAACATGGTGAACTGAAAGGGATGCAGATCAGAACTGGGCCCCAAAATGGTGCCTCTGCCAGACCTGGCTGGGTGATGGGGATAGGTCACCTATCTTCTCTGAGCCATGGTTTCCCCATCTGTCAGGCTGAAAGAGAACCTGGCTGGCACATTTGGGTACATGAGTGGGACTCAATGAATGAGTTTCCCTTCCTCATCTATGAGTTGAGGTCAATACATGTTCTGGAAAAGTTTTAACCAGAAAGATCTTGGATGGCAGTTTCTTGGTCTGATGGAGACACAGTCCCCCTTCCGAACTCTTTTTGATCTTGTGAAAAGTGACCCAGCCCCATATTACACACACATACTGGGTTCTAGAAAGGGAACCTTAAAACATTTCAACACTAAATGTTCCCTGGAGGCTAAACCTGAGTCTGGGACCTGCCTCAAGGCTGTTGCCCTGTGACCTTGGGTGAGGCACGGACCCTCTCTGCTCCTCTGTTTCCCGGGAGACAGCCCTGGGCTAATGACCCCCACTTCCAATGGGACCAGAGGAGCAGGTAACACACACATGCTGTGGGACCACAAGGCCATTATCAGCAACGGCGGCTTCATGTAGCAGGGTGAGGTCAACTGGGCAGAGAGAGAAGCTTACTCTTGTGTGAAAAGCTTCAGTACTGCACATGGAACAAGCCCAGGGCCAGTCATCCCAAGCAGTAGACCCTATGACCTCAGCCATGTCACCGTCTCCAGGCCTTCATCTTCTCATGTTTCCATGAGGGTATTCGATGGGACAGTCCCATTCTAAGAATCTGTTTTGGAGGTGGCTAGACTGTGTCCTGCCAATCCCTGGGGTTGTCCTGTAAGGACAGGCATCCTTGAGTTTGTAGATTGATTCTGTAGGTCTCAAGCGGGCCTCTCTCTCAAATAGCTAGATCTTGGGCTTCATTCATTCATGGGCTTTCTGCTTAACATGTATGTCAAGAACAGACTTAAAAGGGAATTGTTCTAGAAAGCAGACTGGCCGTGGCTTCTTGGCCAGTGACCAGGGTGAGATGAGCTTGCAGGAGCCACCTAGAGCAGCTCATCCCGTGATACAACCATAATTGTGTGGCCAACTATCTGTTCTCACGCATGATCTCACGCATGAAGCTCTCTTGCATTTCATGGGAAGTGCTAGGACCCCACTTTGTAGGAAGGTGTCATGGAGTTGCAGAGAGAGGCAGGACTTTGCGGCCTAACAGCCTGGGTCAGATCCCAATTGCACCCCTTGCCCATTGTATCTGAACTTGGGCCAGACCCTTGGCCTCTCTGAGCCTCAGTTTTCTCATCTGCACACTGGGGATCATGACACCTACCTCTCAGGTTGTTTGGAAGACTAGAGGGCAGAAGGTGCAAAGTAAAGGCACCTGCAGAAAGGAGAAGAAGGGGCCCCATCCCTAACTTTCCCTTCTAACCTGCCACCAAGGCATCCAGCTCTCCTGATGTCTTCCATCTTCTCAGGAATGCTGAGCAGGTTTGATCTCGGGGATAGCAGAGACCAGCACTAGGCTGTCCCTTTATTCACTGCCTCTTGTATTCATTGAATGGCTATTACTGAGCACTTACTGTGTACTCTGTCTAGTGCCAGGTCCTGGGGATAGAGAAATGGAGAAGCCCCATGCCTTGCTTTCAAATGTTTATTATCTAGAAAGGAGAGAGATGTGAACAATCGCTGAGTGTGCAGGTGGTGGGAGACACACATCACAAGAGCCCACAGAAGAACAGGGAGGGCCACCCTTCTATAAAGCAGAGGGTTTGGGTGCCAGGATCCAAGGAACCTTTCCACCTGCTGAATGGAGAGCAGTAGCCAAAGGAATTCCCCTGAGCCCTGTGTTTGGGGATCTTTGCCTAAGTTAATGCTGCATGCGGATGGAAAGGTCCTCACCGGCCCACCCTGCCACTCTCCTGCAGTGGGCCTCAACTTCCCGCATGGGTCTTCCTCCCGAAAGCCCTGAGCTATGACCCCATACTCTGGGACACACCATAAGCCCCAGTGATGCACAAGCTGCACACCTCATACGAAGGCTATCCTCCTCTGCCCCTCCAGTTAGCGTTTGGTGGGAGCGCACAGAAGCCCCCAAGATCCCCCACCAGAACCCTCAACCTGCAGACCCCAAAGAAAGGCGCTTCTAAAGGCAGATACCACTTCACAATCCTCCACAAACCTCCCCTCTCCTGCTGCCTTCCAGCTTTCTTCCTTCCCCCTGCAAACACACACACAGACACACACATACACACAGAGACACACAAACATACACACAGACACACACATACAGAGATGCAGAGACACACACAGACATACAGAGACACACAGACACACACATACACACACACAGAGACACACATAGACACACACATACAAACACTGTCTCACACGCATGCCTCCCCTTTCAGCAGTCTGTCTTTCACACGATTGAGTGTTATTTCACAGAAAAAGGGAATTCTGGAAGAAAGGGCTAAGATTGCCTGTGGATTGGCGGGTAACTCCTGGTGAGTCACCAGACCTCAGAAAGACAGCGCATGAAACTGTCTGCCAAGGAGGTGGAGAACCGGCCCCCAGAGGCTCATCTGATCCTTTCCCTCCCTCCTCTGCAATGAAATATCAGGGAAAGGGCAGTGGGGTGAATTATGTGAATAGATGCGGTATTTTATGAAATACAAGAAGAAAAATGCTCTAAAACCCATAATCATAAACACAGCATATGGAAAAATGAAAGCGCTAGTTTTGAGTTAGAAGCATCTTTTATCTACTCCCACTCCCTCCACTTTCTGGTCAATATTAGATACATAATCAGAGAAATGCTTAAATTTCACCAAAGGCTTGCTTGAGTTGGAAGCTTGATTTTTTTTTTTTAGAAGAAATTCCCCACCATCCATTCTACTGCAAAGATTTTCTTTCTCAAGTGCTTTCACCTGTCAAAAGCCCTCTGTCCAGATACTTAGCAGATCCCTCCACTCTCTCATTCTGCAAGGCAGAGGGAAGAGGAGGCTACATTGAGTGAGTGTCTACCATGAACCAGGCTCAGACACAGACATCTGGCATCTCATGCCGGCCTCTCAGAGGGGCTGCGAGGACAGTGGGCTGCCCACGGGCTCTCGGGTTCAGAGAGGCAGTGAGCCTGGCTGAAGGGCACCAGCTAGGAAATGGCAGAGCCAGATTCTGCACATCCCCAAAGCCCAAGACACCTCCCTACCTCCCAGACTTCTCCATTTGAGTATATGCGCCCTGACGAAAAGCAGAGAAATGCGATGCGGGATATTTTCCCCACAACAAACCCAGGTTCAAACTCAGGTGCTCTCGTGCTTCCGAATTTGTTATTCTGCTCCTAGAGACAGCCACGAGAAAAACTGCTTGGCCACGTTTTTCTATTTGACATATTCCCTCCCTCTCTTTCTCCCTCTCTCCCTTCCTTCTTTCTTCCTTTTCTTTATTTCTCCCTCCCTTCTTCTCTCCCTTTCCCTCCCTCTCTTCCTCCCCCTTTCCCTCTGTTGATTATTAGTCTTTCTCTTATTTATTGAGATCAGACATATACCATAACATGCACACATCTTTCTGCTTGTATGAATTTTTACATTAACTGTCATGCACGGCATAAGAACATTTCAGACAATGAGTGACTGCGTATACGACAGTGGCCCCGTAAGACCGTAACGCTATATTGTCACTGTACCTTTTCTGTATTTAGATAGGTTTAGATACACAAATACTTACCACCATGTCACAATTGCCTATGCTATTCAGTGCAGTAACATGCTGTACAGGTACGTGGCCTAGGAGAAATAGGCTGTACCATATATCCTAGGTGTGTAGTAGGCTGTGCCATCGAGGTTTATGTAAGTACACTCTATGATGTTTGCACAACAAAATCATCCTTGGGTGATGCATGACTGTACAGGCATCCATAAAGTCACCGCTCAGATCAAGGTATAGGACAATTCCAGGCTCTCTCACACCCCTTCCCAGTCACCCCTTCCTGGTTTCCCACCCCTCGCCTCCCCAAGTTAGATAAGGACTATCCTGATGGTTAACACCATCGATGGGTTTCACTGGCTCTTTTTTTTTTTTTTTTTTTTGAGACGGAGTCTTGCTCTGTCACCCAGGCTGGAGTGCAGTGACACCATCTCGGCTCACTGCAAGCTCCGTCTCCCGGGTTCACGCCATTCTCCTGCCTCAGCCTCCTGAGTAGCTGGGACTACAGGCGCCCGCCACCACACCCAGCTAATTTTTTGTATTTTTAGTAGAGACGGGGTTTCACTGTGTTAGCCAGGATGGTCTCGATCTCCTGACCTCGTGACCTGCCCTTCTCGGCCTCCCAAGTGCTGGGATTACAGGCGTGAGCCACCACGCCTGGCTTCACTGTTTCTTAAGCTTCATCTAAATAGAGTTGGGCTCCCTCTGCTCATCTTTGTGTCTGTGAAATTACTCCTTCTTTTTGCATGCATCAGTATATTGCTCTGATTTATTGCTGTGTAGTTTTTCCATTGGGCAACTGTGTAGGGATAGCTTGGTGATAAGTGAGTAAATAATTAACGAGTTTTTAAACTCCGAATGGACATTTGTTTGTTTCCAGTTTTTAGCTAATGTATGCAATGTTGCTATGAGCATTATTGCACCTGCCTTTCAACGGATATAAACACTCATTTCACTGGGGTATATGCTGAGAGTAGAATTACTAGGTCATGATGTATAGGATGCTTTTATTGATTACTGCTATTCTTATTCCAGCAGTGATACACATTATTGTAAAGAGTTAAATAAAGAAAAGTTAGGCTGGGCACAGTGGCTCATGCCTATAATCCCAGCACTTTGGGGAGGCTGAGGCAGGCGGATCGCCTGAGGTCAGGAGTTTGAGACCAGCCTGGACAACATGGTGAAACCCCCATTTCTACTAAAAATACAAAAATTAGCCAGATGTGATGACATGCATCTGTGATCCCAGCTACTTGGGAGGCTGAGGCATGAGAATCACCTGAACCTGGGAGGTGCAGGTTGCAGTGAGCCGAGATCGTGCCACTGCACTCCAGCCTGGGCAACACAGCAAGACTCTGTCTCAAACAAAAAAAGAAAAAGAAAAATTAAACCCCACCTCCCCAGACCCATCCTTCCTGGGTTAATCTAATATGCTTCTCTACATGTTCATGCAACATACATGTACACATGTTCAACACATATGGTGTTTTTGCATTTCTTTCTTTTTCTTTTTCAAAAACAAAAATGAAATCACTCTCAAACACTACTTGGTGACTTGCCTTTTTTTTTTGCTTAAACTTTGCGTATGTTGGCCATTACCAGACTGATCCATATATGTCTACTCACTCTGTTTAATAGCTATATAATGTCTGAGAATATGGATATACAATTATTTGTTCAATCAGCATCCTCTTTTGACGGAAGTAATTTCCAGGTTTTTCATCTTGACACACAATTCCACAATGAAAATTTTGAGACAGATGTCATTTAGTACCACTGGGGCTTTTCTTGTAAAGCGTAGATTACAAGCATTGCCATTTCTGGGCCAAAGGATATGTGTGTTTTAAGATGTAATATATCCAGGCCAGACATGAAAGGACAAATACTGTATGATTCCACTTATATGAGGCAGCTAGAATAGCCCAATTTATAGAGACAGAAAGTAGAAAAGTGTTTGCCAGGGGCTGGGAGTGGACGGGAATGGGGAGTTGGTGTTTAGTGGGGACAGAACTTCTATCTGGGAAGATGAAAACGTTGTGGAGGCAGATGGTGATGATGGTTGCACAACATGGTGAATGCACTTAATGCTGCTGAATTGTACACTTAAAAATGGTTAAAATTGTACATTTTGTGTTGTGTATATTTTACCACAATAAAAAATTTAATAATAAACATAAACATTTAACATATCCAGCGATGACTTTCCTTTTTTTTAAATTTTTATTTATGAGACGGAGTGTCGCTCCATCGCCCAGGCTAGAGTGCAGTAGTGTGATTTTGGCTCACTGCAACCTCCACTTCCTGGGTTCAAGTGATTCTTGTGCCTCAGCCTCCCAAATAGCTGGGATTACAACAGGCGTGTGCCACCACACAGGGCTAATTTTCTGTATTTTTTGTAGAGATGAGGTTTCACTATGTTCGACAGGCTGGTCTCGAACTCCTGACCTCAAGTAATCCACCTGCCATGGTCTCCCAAAATGTTAGCATTACAGGTGTGAGCCACTGCACCTGGCCCCAGCAATGACTTTCTAAATTCATTTCTTTACCAAGTTTAGCAGACATTGTGGTGTCCCAGCCCTGTCTCTTCAGCACCGCTGGTTCCACTATATTCCAGCAGCATCCTACTGCAAGCACCCAAGACTGTCCACCTGCAGGCTTCCTCATGGCCCACCTGGTGGAGCAGACAGGAGTCCTGGGGAGAGGATGCTCCTGGGAGCAGCCCTCCACCCATGAGTGAAGAGAGGTAGAAGGAAATGCCCCCACTTCCTTGCCCCTCGGGTGGGACACAGTTTGCATTCTCCTGAGGTCCCCAGTGGGATTGAGCTTCAAAAGCTGCAACGATAGCTTACTAGGTCATGAACCTTCTGTTGCTTTTCTTGCCTTCTCTCTCTCACTTCCCCACCCACTGCCTTAGCTGTACTTCCTGGGATTATTTCCCAAATCAACTGCAATGCTCACATCCTAGTCTCAGGGTCAGCCTCTGGGAGACCCAACCCAAGACACCAGCTACTGAACAGCTGCCATGACCCCAACACTGTACTCTGCCTTGTGGAGAAGACACAAGTGTGTCAGCTCACTGTACAGCCAGGTGCAGAAACAAGATGCCCATGGCTTGCCAGGAAGCTCCTCCACCCCATATCAGGGAGCAAGTTAAGGCTGAAAGAGTCCAGAGAAGAGAATAACCTCAGAGGTGGCCATATCTTGGACATCCTGGGAGACTTGTGCAGGGCAGCACCTATGGTGGGAAAAGATGTGGGGAAAGAGAGAGGGTAAACCGGTCAGGAGGCCTGGCACATGCAAAGGTCTGGGAACTGGAACACGCAAGCTCTATGTAGCGTAAGGGATGTCTTGGATTCAGCCATGGGCTTGTGACTTACCTCTGCTTTGCAGAAGCTGGGAGGGTGGGGGCAAATCACTTGGATGCTTGGAGCCTGTATGCTCTTCTCTATAAAATAGAGGCAAAATGGTGCCCACCACTGGAGTTTCTGGGAAGATCTAGCAAGTTGGCCTGCATGGACGTGCTTTGCAAAGTGTGATGCAGATGGTAGTCATTTGGGTACATGCTTCCTTGAGAGGGTGGACATCTGTGCCTAGGGGCTTAAAAGGCTGCCATAAGCCCCCTACTTTAACCCCCCACCCCACCATACACACACACACTGCTCAGAGCCATTTGGAGCAGTGGGATTCTTGAAATGAGAGAGGTCACAAAAGGCTGTCATTTCTAGTGATCTTTGTGCTATAATGAATAGTAAGGTTGCATTTTTAATGACCTTGCCAACATGACCAGAATGCCCCTGAGCAACACAGAAAAAGGATTTCTTACTAATTTTATTTTCCCCCAATCTATGGACTGCCTGCAAAGTGCCTGGCATGGTGCTTGGGCTACAGGAGACATGGAAATAAAGAGCCGCACGCAAGCCATGAGTAGCTCACGTTCTGCTTGGAGATGCAGACTGTAAACAGCTGGGTGACTTTGAGTAAGCCATCTCACTGCTATGAGCCTCAGCTTTCTCATCTGCGAAATGGGGAGAACTCCATCAGTCTCACACAGCTACTCAAAAGATTGAATCAAGCTGATAGATGTGAAAGAACCCATCAGGCCCTTGCCTGGGAGCCCAGGAAATAAGAATTATGATAGCCCACTCTGTGCTCACAGTCATGGAAGCACATGACAGACACGCTGAACCCAGAGCTTCAGCCTTTTGGGGCCAACATTTGCAGAGTATCTTCCAGGCCTTACCTTGTGCAGGTGTTTTGCAGACATTATGATTGGAAACACTCAAGATAACAAGCTGTGGCCTAGTCAGTTCTATGTTATTGATAAGGAAGCTGGGGCCCAGAAGGGTGGAGTGATTTGCCCAAAGCCACACAGTTCACAGGTTGCTGGAGCCAGGATTCCAGCCCATGTCCGTCTGATTCTAAGGCCCATGCCTGCCCACGTGCTGCTATTGAAGTCTCCTGTGTGCAGTGTCAAAGCCCTGACATGATCACTCCAGAGGAAGGTCACTGTTGAGCCCTCCCTTCTCCTCTCATCCTCATACTCTGGGTTGACAACTGGGGGCTCAGAAAGCATCAAGTTCTAGAATGCTGGAGTTAGGAGGCTGTAGGAGTGTCTAAATAAACCAATCCAACCATTATATAAGAAAATGTTCTAAAATTGATTGTGGTGATGGTTATACAACTTTTTATTATACTCTGAATTTTTATTACAGTTTTTATTATACTTTGAATATGAATTTTATACTTTAAATGGGTGAATTGTATGGTTTGTGAATTATATTTCAATAAATCTTTTAAAAGGTAAAAAAAAAAAAAAAAAATCTACTGCATGCTGGGAGCTCTTCCGCACACACACCGTGGCAGCAACAGACTCCATCGGGCTCCTTCCCTGCCCTAAAGCAGACGACAAGGAACTTGGAGCAGCAAGCAGATCAGAGCTTTGAGAGTCACCAAGACATTTTGCAAAAAGAAAGAAGGGAAGAGGAGGAGGGGATCCATCCTGCCTGAGGGCTGGGGGCTGGCTTTTTGCAGAAGCTGGTTTAATAAGTTGCTGAGGGATGGGCAGGCAGGACCTCAGCAGGCTTCAGGGACACTGGGCAGTGCAGGAAGAGGGGCTCATATGAGCAGGACACAGAAGAGGGCTGTGAGGCTGTTTCCCCCTGTGGTGGGACTGGGAAGGGAGGACAGGTGGAAGGGAGGGAAGGAAGAAATCTAGAACAAGAGAACAACATCAGATGCGCTATGGAGTTTGGACTACATTCTGTTGAGTTGAAGGGAGCTTCTGCAGTTGAGAGCTAGGGCAGGAGGACAGAGACAGCTGGCCTCAGGGACAGAGAAGTCAGCTAGAACATTTCTCTCCATTCCCTTGCTCAAACTACTCCCTGGGACAGAAGGGATGGTGCAAGACAGAGAAGGGGATGAGGTTGAAGTGGTTAGCAGCAGGAGGGAAGTTCAAAATATTTAGCAGCCGGAATGATGTGGACATTGACCAACCAGGTGGACATCAGCTTTAACCAGTCAACACAGAGATGCTGGTATGAGCTAACTGGACACTAGCTCTGATTGGCTTTAGAGGGCAGCATTGACTTAGGGTACCAAAATGGTTCCCCAGGACCTTAACACTTTTTCCCTTGATGCGATTAATCTAGAAGAGTCCCGCTGTCTTAGAAATGTCCACTCTGTCCCAAGTGAACAATGCCCTCTTTATAACATCTGTTGAAGGGCTCTCTGACCTGGTACTGCCAGAGAAGATGCCCAAAGGCTGGGGGGCAAGGGGCACACCTGTTCACACCTGCAATAGCATCACCTTAAGGAGCTGGGAGCAAACCAACCAGGGGCCACCCGATGACAAAAATGAAACATGTTGGGTGACTCGTCTTTGCTAGTGTTTGAAAATCCGTCAAAGGTTTTTAATTAAAGTTAAGAGGATCTTTGAGGAGCCTGGGCCTTCCCGGTCTATGAATGTGGGATTAGTTCTGGGTGGTGGGTGGTGGGTATGAGGTCTTATTTAGGAGATTGTCTGAGAACCTAGCACATTGACTTTTCCTGGGCTCCATTTCTATGAGGATTTCTAACCCCCCAGTGGGCTTAATCTTTGCTATTTACTTTGCTGTGAATACCCAAAGTCACCAGTTTAAGTTCTTTTAATTTTTCTCTTTAGAACTCAGGTCTCCCAACCTCTAGTCAAAAAGTATTTGTGTTACCCCCTAAGGCCTCCTCTTGTTTTTTAAGAAAACGGCCAATGATCCTTGGAATGGCTGACATTTTTTCTAACATTTGCTTACATTTTTAACATATTTTTACCCTGTCCTGACTTCCTAGTTCCAAAAGGCATCTGAATTCCTGTGGTTCTATCCGACTGGCCTGGTAGCAGCACCGATTTAATAGATAGGCCCAGCTGTAGAAAACCCAACACAGTGAAATGGAGACATTGGAATTTAGAAAACAGAATCCTTGAGCATTGAAAGAAAACTTGCGTTGTAAAAGGATTTTCTCCTTCAACAAAGCTTTCTTCTGGATTAGCAGACCCACTTTACTGCATGAAGGGTCTGGTCAACCAAAGCACGTCCTTTGCACCTACTGTGTGTCAAGCACTGAATGAGGCATTAGGAAGAGCTACAAGATGATGCTATGGTGTGGAACAAGCTATCATAGGAGCAAGGACATGGGAGAGCAGGGAACAGAACAGTTAATCAACTACTGCTTCAGAACACATGATTCTCAACTAATCTCCCTGTCTTCCTTCTCTAAGCCCCATATTCCTATGGCAGAGACCTTACCACTGTTACCTTGAGTGAGAATTGGTTGGTAGAGGTATCTCAAGAACAGTAGTAAACGTTTATCTCTAATCCCTTCGTCCTTAGCTCAGTGACCAGCACATAGTAGGTGCTCAGTAAATGTTTGGTGAATCAATAAATCAACAAGCAAGTGATAAGACTAGGGCAGATGGTGGCACCAGAATCTAAGACCTCTCCCAGCTGGGTTCTGGGGAGACTGTTACAGCATGAGCCAGCAGAAAACAAATTCTACTTCTTAAAAATTCAAATTTCATGGAACATTTTCAGGCCCTGGGTGTTCCAAAATTAGAACTTGGTGTTAGATGGAGGGGGAAACTGCGATGATCGGTCCTGGTGTGGGCTAGAGACAGGAAAGTAACAGGAAAGGCCACTTATGGAATGATTGAGTGGTTGGCTGATTCAATCAGGAGTTTGTTGGAAGAGCTCTGGAATTTTCCCACTGGAGAATGCAGGCTGAATAGAATGGGGTTCAGCAGCAATTGAAGATGGCATCTGAAACCCCATTTGGATTTTGCTTTTACTCTGAGGTTTGAAAACCATTAGCATGTGCTCACTAGTTTCCAGGGCTCTCCCAGTGCAGCTCCCCAAATTTCATGCTGTTCCCAGAACCACAGAGCATTCAGGCTGGAAGGGTCTTCAGTAGGGTGGCCAACCATCCTAGTTTGCTCAAGACTGTCCTGGTCTTAGCACTGAAAGTTTCATGTCCTGGAAAAACTGAGACAGTCACTTTAGTTTTAGAGACTATCAACGGACCCAGACAGACCAAGGTTCAGGCCTCAGGACTTCCACCTCCTGGCAACATGATTTCAGGTAAGGTGTTTTGTCCTTCTAAGCTTTGGTTCCTTCCTCTTTAAAACAGGGAGTGTAACAGAGCCTTCCTAGGCACTGCATGTATATCAGATGGCACAGAACCTGGCCCCTATGAAGCAGTCAATAAATGATAGTTGCTATTATTATTGTAGTAATTATTATCATTGTCCTCCTCATCATTATTATATTCCAAATGCCTCATCTCACAGATGAAGCCCAGAAACAAAACTGGTTGGTCAAGGTCTCCAAGTGGGGCTTAGTGGAAAAGCCGGGACTCAAAGCAATACCTGTGACTCCTAATCTAGTGCTCTTCCTTAAACCAGACCAATGGAGTCATGGGCCCCATCTGTGCAGCTTTCAGGCCAATGCCAGCCACTCTCCAGGACACATGCTTGTTTCATGTTCAAGGGCAAAAGCCATTGCAACCGTTGGAGCTCTTCATTCATAAGCAACAAAAACAGGTTCTTGCAAACCAAGAAGAAAGAGAGTTTATGGGAAGAACATCGGGTCTCCAGGGACCACATGGCAAGCTGAGGAGCCAATCTGGAATAGATGATAGATGGGTCAGGCAGGGCAGGATGGCACTGCTGGCAGCAGGGACGTACAATTTTTGCACCAAGGTGCTGCCATGAGAATGAGTGAACTCCAAAGTTGCTCCACCCTTGAGATGACCTGAGAGTCCAAGGTCCAGGACAGAAAGCGCAGCTGACTGAACTGCTTGGCAGGGGTGGGCGGGGAAAGATGAGTGGGACAGAAGGGGCCTCAGGGTCTCCTCTGTTTCTGCAGTGGGAGGGCAAACCCCAGGACTTGGTCCCCTATCAAGACTGCACTCTAAGGAGGTGCCCCAAAAAGAAATCAGAGAGCAATGAGGGAGGGAAAATGAGTGTTAGGTGGGTGGCCATAAACAACAACTGTCTACTCTAGCTATGAGCTTGGTGAAGGTTGTTCTGCAACTCAGTCTGGAGCAGTTAGATTCTGGCCTGAACTCAGTCCCATTTCCAGAAGGGACCTGCCCGAGGGATGGGATGTATTCATGTCAAATAATCCCCCCGCCCCCGTTTTCTTCTCTTGCTACCACTTTCCCTCTCCAATGTGACACTTTTTCTCCCAAGGGCCACTTCCTTTGCTCTCCCAGCCTGATTTGACTTCCTCAAATGGGGACCCCTTTGCCCAGGAAGCCCATTTTTTGGCTGGACTAAGATCACAGCTGGCTGCAACCTTTGAATTGCATAAAACCCAAGTCAAGCTCTCTCCTTGGAACAAAGTTGCTGCAATTTGGTGAAACCACTGTAATGAAACAGTAATAAACATCCAAGAAACTCTCGGTGTGAACAGGGACCAGAAGGCTGTTTTTCTCCAAATGGGTCCATTTTCACTTTGTCTTTTTTCAAAACGTTCATAGTGATGACTTGCTGAAAACCTGGACTACACCGTGTTGTTTTGAAGTCTAGGCTGTCTTCAATTTTTTTTTTCTTTTCCTCCCTCTGATTTAACTTGCTGGGCGCCTCTGGAGTCTGGTATTAATAATAAATATTATTGCCGTGCATCCTTAATTTTCCCTTAATTTAATTAGAGAAAATGTAATAGCCCTTATGAAAACAATATACGAGTTTTCAAACCTAATTAACATGATACCAAGTGCGCAGGTCACGAAAATTGTTGTTTTCTCTGGAACGCTTCCATGCAAATAGATAAAAACAAAACTGCATTTAATTCCACAGCCTCGGCTAACAGGCAAATCAGAGATGACGGGCTCTCGCCCCAGGGCTCCGTCTGCCTGGTAATAAATACTTTCCTTTTGTCACGATTCAAGGGAGAGCCAGAGCGATAGGCGAACCCTATCAAGTATTCCGAGGTGGAGTCAAGTCAGCCATGACCGGGGTTCAGCCGTCCCCGCTTTAGGATGTTGAAGCCGAGAGGCAGCCCAGTTGGAAAGGAGCCTGGCCTTCCAGGGAAGGCCCCCGCGCCGCCTGTGGTGCTTTGCGTGGCGCACTCCCTCCTTCGCTCCGGTCAAGGCTGGTCTGTCCCGGGGGCAGGGCCGCCCTCCATCCTCCTCCAGTGGGTTTCTCTGGGCACGGGCCGCTGGCCCATCACCAGGCAGAGCCAGGACGCTAGACTCCAGGTTTTCTCCTCTGCAACTTCCCGAGCTTGGAACGGGCTTTTCTGGGTGTTCTCCAAGGCTGAGCAGGCGGCGCCGCCAGGGAGAGGTCTCCCCTCTAAGTTTGCGGTGTGGGATCTGCCAGGGTCCTCCCCAGCCTCCCCACCATGGGCATTTAACCTCACTCACTTCTCAGAAGACGCCTCTCCTTCCTTCCTTTCAGCAGCATGCCCCATGCCCCATTCCCCACGCCCCGGAAACTCACCCCACTTTCCTTTCCTGGGTGAGATCCAGGCCCCCTCCCCTGGAGACCTGGGCGCTTCTCCCACCTCTGGGAGGCTGGTGTGGAAAATGGAGGTAGCAAGAGTATCCACCCATACAATAATAAGTGGGGGAAGGCTTAGCATGCAGTAGCGCTTTATAAATGTCACTTCCATGTTTTTCTCTGGGTCTCACAACTTCCACTCATTTTATGCAAAGTCTGAATGTGTGCTGGGACAAGCCCCCACCCCACCTCCTTTCTTCACTATCATAAGGCAGCCCCTGGGTCCCTTCCTCACAAGGGCTTTTGGAGAAGCAGCTGGACCTTTGCATTCAGGTGGTGTCCGAACCAGGGCCCTGTAGGTGTAGAGGGGGAGCCCAGGACAGAGGCTTCAGAACCCAGGGAAGAACCAGCGTTGCTGGCACACATGGGGAGGGGTGGGGTAGGAGACCCAGAAAACCAGACCCAAGCAGGAGAGAGCACGGGCCAGGCTGGGGGATCCCATCAAGACACCAAGCTTGCAAGTGACCAAGAAGAGGGTCTCTCCCAAGCCTGCTGACTCCAAACATGGGGCGGCCTCCTTTGTTCATTGTCCTTAGACAGATGACTGACCATCTAATTATGAGACATCGAATCAGAAAAGAGTTTCATTGACGGCCAAACATGACTATGTTATTATGGTATTTATTATTATTGTTTAAACGGTAGTTATTGTATTTACTTATTAATAAAAACAATTAATAATAATAATGCATGTATGTGTTACAGTAAATGCACTACAGTTTAAATAAAATGTAAATAAATAAAATGCACTTTTGTTAAAAATATATTACCTTGTAAATGTATCACAAATGTTTTAACGCATGATGAAGACAAGTTTGATCACTCTTAGCAAGTTCGAAGCTTCCTTTAACTGAATTGTATGTGTTTGTGTGTGAGTGTGTGTGGTTGTATGTGGTACAGAGAAAAAAACACCCATGAATTGAAGAAAAAAGGACACCCATGAACTGACTTTTCATAAACAGACAAGATTAAATATACATGTTTTCTCCCCTCTGTTTCTCTCTCTCAAACACCTGAAATGACAATCAAAGGAATAATGAAGAAATGGACCCACAAAAAGCAAGAGAATTACACAGATGGGGGAAAGTAGGTCCCAGAGTTGACCAAAAATAATTGGATGAGCAATAGTGACTGACTTGGCGGAGCAGTGCTGCCGGGGTGTGGAGGTGGAGGAGGCCAGCTTTAACAATCAAGCAGATGCAGAAACCAGGCTCCCAAAGACTCAGACATTGAAGGTTTACAGGTTCCTCAGGGGGCTGGGGGCAAAGCATGCCTTGAAATAAGAAGCTTGGTCCAAAAGCCTGACGAAGAGTGGCTGGAACCCCAGCTTCTCCACCAATGTGCTCCACCAGGCGGCTCCTGCCATACACACAGGTGGGTCCTGAAGCCTCTGTCTTGGCAGAAGAGTAAGGGTTAATCTCAGAAGAAACAGCCAGAGAGGGAAGAGACCCAATACCACCAGGGACAACCAAGGGCAGGGTGGGCATCATATTGAAAATGTGGGATTGAGGTTGGGCACAGTGACTCACACCTGCAATCCCAGCACTTTAGGAGGCCGGGGCAGGTGGATCACTTGAAGCCAGGAGTTGGAAACCAGCCTGACTAACATGTTGAAACCCCGTCTCTACTAAAAATACAAAAATTAGCCAGGCGTGCTGGCACACACCTGTAGTCCCAGCTACTCAAGAGGCTGAGGCTGGAGAATCACTTGAACCCAGGAGGTGGAGATTGCAGGGAGCCGAGATCGCACTATGACATTCCAGCCTGGGTGACAGAACGAGACTGTGCCAAGAAAGAAAAGAAAAGAGAGAGAGAGAAAGGAAGGAAGGAAAGAAGGAAGGAAGGAAAGAAGAAAGGAAGGAAGGAAAGGATTGAATAAGAATTAGTGCCCTAAATGGTGGGACCCCGTCCCTCTCCCCTTCAGGCTCCCAGAATGCTGCAAGCCAGGTTTATCCTCCACAAGTGTGAGCTTGGACGAGACTCCTCCAGGAAACTGACTATTCTGAGAAAAAATAGTGATAGCTACTCACACTCAAGGGTCCCTCAATGAAACAGCCATAAGTCTAAAGAAGCCCACCAGTCAACAAGCTCCACCCCTGCATCCAAAGCTTCCAGTCAACTTATTAGTGCTTTGTCCTTACATATGAACATATGGCCAAGGATCACCAGGCATTTGAGGAAAACGCTAGAACCAGCCAATGAACCAGTGAACAGGACAAAGGGATGTATAGGAAATAGAGATTTCGATAACACAGATTCATATCCTTAGAGACATAAGAGGAAATATTGCATCCAAGCACAGGGTATCATTTAGAGAGTTCTTGGAAAGTAAAACCTACTTCAAATAAAAATTCAGCAAAGTATTGGAAGATATAATTGAGGTAATCTTCTGGGAAATGTCACAGAAAGACAAAGACCTGGAAAATAGAAAAGCCAAGGAAATTAGAGCATCAGTGCAGGAAGTTCAATATCAAATTATTAGGATTTTTACAATATAAGATAATTAAAAAAAGAGAAATAAAGAAATACCAAAAAATGTGATTAAGTTTTGCAGAATATAACCAAATGAGTTTCTGGATTAAAATGGCCCACTGAAGACTTAGCTCAGGTAGGACTAGAAGACCCTCACCAAGACACATCATAAATAAATTTTAGAAAATCAGGGATAAAGAGATCTTATATGTTGCAAGAGGAAAGATGGGGGAAGGTCATATACAAAGAATCACAAATCACAATAGCACTGAATTTCTCAATAATTGGAAGGTAAAAGATGATAAAACAATGCCTTCAACATTCCAAGAGAAATTACTTCCAAACAAAAATTATATACCCGGACGAATTATCAACTGAGTGTGAGCATAGACTAAAGACATTTTTAGATATGGACAATGTCAAAAATGTACTTTCATTAACTATGTCTAAGGAACCTACTGAAGGATGTGCTCCACCGAAACAAAGGAGTAAGTAATAAAAGAGGAAGGCATGTGTCTTAATCTGCTCAGGCTACCATGTTAAAATACTATAAACTGGATGGTTTAAACAATAACTGTATTTCTCACAGTTTTGGAGGCTGGAAAATCCAAGATCAAGGCATCTGCTAATTTGGTGTCTAGTGAGGGCTTTCTTCCTGACTGGCAGACAGTCAACTTCTCACTGTGTGCTCATATGATGTTTCTTTGATATGTGCACATGGAAAAGAGGAGAGAGAGGAAGAGGGAGAGAGAGAGAGAGAGAGAGAAAGAGAGAGAGAGAAAGAGAAAGAGAGAGAGAGAGAGAGATCGAGAGAGAGATCTCACTCTTTTTATAAGGCCACCAATCCTGTAGGATTAGAACCTCATCCTTATTACCTCATTTTACCTTCTAAAAGCCCTATCTCCGAATATAGTCACATTTGGTGTTAGGGCTTCAACATATGAATTTGGGAGGAACACAATTCAGTCCAAGCAACATGGAATCCATGAAATAGGTAATTTAACACAGAGAGAGACTAAGCACATTTTCAGGATAACAGCCAAACGATAGGTCTAGAGAAAAACCAGCCCAAGAGCTGAGGATAGAAGGCCTCTGCAATTAATAAGAAAACTGATCAATTACCCAATGTATTTGATTGTATCAAGAGAAAGTTCAAACTTCTGGCAAAAAGTTTGGGATATATAGAAAAAGACATTAAAAATAAAGAAATAATTAGCTACTCAATAAACAATAATTAATATTAGGAAGGAAATTCAATTATAGTATGCTATGTGGCTTAGCAGTGAACAAAATGTATATTTTTTTTCACCTATGATCATAACACTGTCAGAGCATTGAGGTTTGCTCTACATAAAGCATCACCCCTTCACTCCCAGGAAGAGTGTCCCCTTCCTCTGTGCTCCCACCTCACTGTGCTCCCATCTCTCCCAGCTCAAAACATATGACTGTATTCCTGTCTACATGTCAGCCCCCAGCTCCCCTCCTTGCCAAGACTGCCCCTGTAGGGCACACATTTGGTGACTGAGACAAAGACTAGACACAGTAGAGTGTTGTAGCATATTAGAAGTTGTGAGAAAAAGAACACTCAGCACAGGGTGAGGGGAGGCTTGGGCATGGGAAGACGGATCAGTCTGCAGTATTAATCAGGGTGGTCAGAAAAGGTCTCTGAGAAAGTGAGCGTAATGGTTCATTTTATGTGTCAACTTGCCTGGGCCATGGGGTGCCCAGATTAAATATTGCTTCTGTGTGTGTCTGTGCGGGTGTCTCTGGATGAGATCAACATTTGAATCAGTGGGCTCAGTCAGGTAGATTGCCTTCCCCAATGTGTGTGAGCATCATCCAACATTGAGCACCCAAGGAAAGAGCTGGCAGAGCAAAGGACAGAGGAGAGAGGGATTCCCCTTCACCTTTTTTTTTTCCTGCCTGTTTGACCTGGGGCATCTCACCCCAGCTGACTCTCAGGCTGGGATTTACACCAATGGTTCCCCTATTTCTCAGGCCTCCAGACTCCAACTGAATTATACTATCAGTTTTCCTGGATCTCCAGCTTGCAGATTGTGGGACTTCTCAGCCCCATAATTGCATGAGCCAATTCCTCATAATAAATCTCTTCCTATATATTTCCAATTGGTCTGTTTCCCTGGAGAGCCCTGGTTAATGCAGTGAGCTTTGCACAAAGACTCAAGACAAGCTGCTTACTGAGGGAAAAGAATTGCCAGCAGAGGGAAGGGCTAGGACAAAAGCCCTAAGCAGTGGGAAAGAAGAAGGAATGAGGATACAGAAATAATAAGGTCAAGGTCATGAAGGGACTTTTAGCCCATGGGTAAGAACTTTGACTTTAACTCAGAGGAACTAGGGAGTCATTGAAGGTCTCTGAGCAGAGGATGGGCCTGGTCTGATTTATGACTGCAGAGGGACCAATTAGATGCTGTTGCAGCAATCCAGATAAGAGATGATGGGGGCTTGGCCGAGGTGGCCACACTATGGTGGAAAGAAAGGGTTGGATTCTGGATGTATTTTGAAAGAATGAATGAACGAACAAAACTAGTTCATATGAGATTCTATTTGACATTAGATTTTCTTCTGAAATCTGGAGAGCAATAACTTCAGTTTCTTTCTTTTTTCCTTCCTTCCTTCCTTCCTTCCTTCTTTCCTTCTTCCTTTCTTTCTTTCTTTTCTTTCTTTCTTTCTTTCTTTCTTTCTTTCTTTCTTTCTATCTATCTATCTTTCTTCTTTCTTTCTTTCTTTCTTTCTTTCTTTCTTTCTTTTTTTCTTTCTTTCTTTCTTTCTTTCTTTCTTTCTTTCTTTCTTTCTTTCTTTCTTTCCTTCTGGAGTGCAGAAGCACAATCACAGCTCACTGCAGCCTCAACCTGCCATGCCCAGCAATTGCATGTCACCAGGCCCAGCTAATTGTTTTATTGTTTTTTGTAGAGATGGGATCTCACTATGTTGCCCAGGCTGGTCTCAAACTCCTGTGCTCAAGCCATTCTCCTGCCTTGGCCTCACAAAGTGCTGCAATTATAGGTGTGAGCCACCCAGCCCAGCCTTAACCTCAGTTTTAAATTTTGGACTGGGGATAGCTGTTTTCTTTGACACTCATGGTCTGTTTCCTTCTGGGCCTCAGAGTTTGAGAGTCTCTTCAATCTAATCAACCTGGTCCATCATCTTCTTGAGAAAGCAACACCCAGAAGGGGAGAGGACTTGTTCTAGGACCACTGAGCTGAGCCTGAAGCCAGGACCTCCCACACCTCTGCTACCGCCTCTCACACACATCTCCAGAGGGTGTCATCTGTAATTCTGAAGCCAGAGTCCTCCCGGGCCCTCCTGGAGCCTGCCCCAGGGCCCAGTGATGGCATAAGGGCTGGGCAGTGGCCCTTGGTCCTGACATGGGTGTGGCATTTGATTGGCTCTAGTCCCAGGTCTGACAACATGCGGAAGAGCAGGAAGAATAGAGAGGAGCTGCCACTTCCAGAGGGCCTGGCTGTGTGCTGGGCTCCACACCACACACCTGCCCATCCATCCCTTTCAATTTGTGCAACCACCCTCCTTTCCAGATGAAGAAACCCAGGCTGATGGAGACCAGGCAATTCCCTACAGTGATCCACAAGCAGATAGGGTTGGAGCTGGAATGAAACCCAGGTCCACTGATTACAAAGCTCATGTGCTCTCCCGAGAGCTTAGGGGAGGTCTGCCTTTGGGTGAAGTCCCCACCCTGGGGTTCACCCCAACTTGACATGGAGGCTGCCGAACTGTCAGGGATCTAACCTGAAGCACAGCGTTGGCCTGCATGGTTTAGGGAAAACCAAATGATAGGCAAGAATTGCCACGCGATTCCCAAGAGCTGCCTGTCACTTAGACCTGCCAGTTCATTTCCTGGAGGTGTCAAAACTGGGAGTCCTGTGAACGGGGGACATTCCGAGTCCCTGGGAGGGAGGGATGCTGGTCTAGCTTTGCTTCCCTACATGCTCCTCTGGCTTTCAAACACCCTGGCTTCACAGCCCTCCATGCCTCTGCAGCAGCACGCAGGCAGTGCACACTCATACAAACACCGCATACGGCTCCCACAAAGATGGTCATATGGGCTGCAGCTGGGACTCACAAGTTCCTTTCTATGTGGTCTGAAAAGCAGCCGGAATCATCCATGCCCTGCCTCTCCCACTGACCTTAAATTGGTAATGGAGGGGAAATAGCAGATCCAAGTCAAATTTCTCTTTTCAAGATAAAACACGGAAGCTTTGGAGCCTGAGGACCAGAATCTGAGGACCCGGCTCTCCCTTTTCCTTTGGCAATTTCTTTTAGCTCTCGGAGCGTCAGGTTCCTCTCTTGTACAAAGGAGGCTTGAGGGGCTGTTGTAGAGATTCCTAACAGAATGCAAAGTCGCCAGCAAAGTGCATGGCACATGGATGCTCATCCTTAGATCTGGGCATGCTGGAACCTTAGGTGAGGAATTAAAATTTTGTTATGGAAGGACAAGAGTCTTCTAATTTCTTGCCACCCATGATCAAACTTTGTTTTTAACCTACCTTGCACTGGAATAATACACTTTAATCAACATGTATTGTACGTTGTACATGTTGTCCCTGTAAGCCTATGAATTAGGCATCATTATTTCTATTTTATTTTATTATTTATTTATTTATTTATTTTTTTGAGATAGGGTCTCCCTCTGCAGCGCAGGCTGGAGTGCAGTGGCACCGTCATGGCTCACTGCAGCATTGATCTCCTGGGCTCAAGAGATCCTCCCGCCTTAGCCTCCCTAGTGCTGGGACTACAGGTGTGTGCCACCAGGCCTGGCTAATTTTTTTTATATACTTTTTTTATTGATGGGGTCCACTATGTTGCCCAGGCTGATTTGGAACTCCTGGGCTCAAGAGATCCTCCTGCCTCAGCCTCCAAAAGTGCTGGGATTATAGACATGAGCCACCGCACCCAGCCTCTTTTTATTTTAAACAAAGGGACAGACCTGTGTGGTGGCTCATGCCTGTAACTCCAGCACTTTGGGAGGCCAAGGCGGGTGGATCACCTGAGGTCAGGAGTTTGAGACCAGCCTGATCAACATGGAGAAACCCCGTCTCTACTAAAAATACAAAATTAGCTGGGCGTGGTGGTGCATGCCGGTAATCCCAGCTCTTTGGGAGGCTGAGGCAGGAGAACCGCTTGAACCCGGGAGGTAGAGGTTTTGGTGAGCCAAGATCACGCCATTGCACTCCAGCCTGTGCAACAAGAGCAAAACGCCACCAAGAAAGAGAGAGAGAGAGAGAGAGGGAAGGAGGGAGGGAAGGAAGGAAGGAAGGAAGGAAGGAAGGAAAGGAAGGAAGGGAAGGAAGGAAGGAACACTATGGCACAGAGAGGTTTAAAGTCACACAACACGTTGATGGCAAAGGAGGAGACTTCAAACCCAAAGCACAGGGCTGCCTCGCAGTAAGAATTGCCTGCATTTGCTGAGTGAAGACTCAAAGCCAGATCTCTAAGAAGGATGATGATTATAACATGGAGGGGGCGAAGCGGGAGGCAATACCAATAGCTACAACTTATTGAGCACAAAGCCTCTCCTGAGGCTTTCTGTTCCTTTCTTCCTTTCAGTCCTTCCAGCAACCTCATTCAGCAGGCAGCACAGGGAGGATCGGGACAAGATGCTGGTGTATCTGGGCTCCCTCCCTACTCTTTCACGTTCTAGCTGCATGACCATGGGTGATGCACTTCTCCTTTCCGTGCATCAGTTTCCCGACCTGGAAAATTGAGCTAATCATTATACCCTGCTCTGAGGGTTCGGAGGAGCTCTTGAGTTATCCATGGAGTGCTATGGCTGCGTCTGAACTGGAGCAAGCGCTCCACAGACTGAGGCTCACAGACAATCGCCAAGGCTGGTCCGCTCATCAGTGAGATCTCTTGTCAAATAAATCAAAAGGCTCAGAAGCCATCACTGAGCACTTGTTGTAGATGAGACAGTGCAACAGGTAGGGGAAGAGATGCAAAGGGAATGCTTCTCAGCGGCATTCACTTGCCACCCAACTGCTATGGACCACATCGTGTTCCCCCAAAGTGCATATGTTGCAGCCCTAACCCCCAATGTGACTATATTTGGAGATAAGGGCTTTCAGGAGGCAACTAAAGTTAAATGAGGTCATAACGGGAGGGCCCTGATCCAACAGGGCTGATCGTTTCAGAAGTAAAGGAACAGAGAGAGAGAGAGAGATCTTCCCCCGCTTGTGAGCACGTAGCTAGAAGGCACCATCTACAATCTAGGAAGTGAGTTCTCACCGGAGACCAAATGACACCTTGATCTTGGACTTTCCAGCTTCCAAAACTGTGAGAAAATAAATCTCTGTGGTTTAAGCCATCTGGTATGTGGTAGACAGTTATGGCAGCCCAGGTGGGGTTAATACACCAACACAGTCAGATCTGGCAGCAAAGTAGATATTGGATGGGCAACAGCAGTGTGTGACCCCAAAAGCCAGGCAATGCTTAGTGACAATGAAAACATGAGACATATTGCTAAGGGATGGTGTGGAAATAAACTTGAGACAAAATGAAAAGGCAAGCGATGAAACAATTCAGAAAGCATAACCCATTCACGAAAACCAAAATACCACGCACACACAAATAGAAAACAATTTTGTGTATTTCTTTTTTTTTCTTTTTTTTTTTGAGTCAGAGTCTCACTCTGTCACCCAGGCTGAAGTGCAGTGGCATGATCTTGGTTCACTGCAAGCTCCATCTACCTGGTTCATGCCATTCTCCTGCCTCAGCCTCCCGAGTAGCTGGTACTACGGGCGCCCGCCACTATGCCCAGCTAATTTTTTTTTTTTTTTTTTTTTTTTTTTTGAGACGGAGTCTCGCTCTGTCACCCAGGCTGGAGTGCAGTGGCGGGATCTCGGCTCACTGCAAGCTCCGCCTCCCGGGTTCACGCCATTCTCCTGCCTCAGCCTCCCAAGTAGCTGGGACTACAGGCGCCCGCCACTACGCCCGGCTAATTTTTTTGTATTTTTAGTAGAGACGGGGTTTCACCGTTTTAGCCGGGATGGTCTCGATCTCCTGACCTCGTGATCCGCCCGCCTCGGCCTCCCAAAGTGCTGGGATTACAGGCGTTAGCCACCGCGCCCGGCCTTTTTTTGTATTTTTAGTAGAGACAGGGTTTCACCATGTTAGCCAGGATGGTCTCGATCTCCTGACCTCGTGATCCACCCGCCTCGTCCTCCCAAAGTGCTGGGATTACAGGCGTGAGCCACCATGCCCAGCCAACAATGCTGTGTATTTCTATTGGATCTTATTTAAGTATGTAATGTACAGAAAAAGGTCAGCAAAACTAGAATCCTCAAACTAATGTTCTGATGAGATGGGGAGGATAGAGAGAGGGGATCAAGAAGGACTTTAGCTTTATTTGCTTTTTGACATCGAGAATATATTAATGTATTAAGTTACATGAGGACTGCAAAAGCAATAAAAATTTACCAAAAAAAAAAAGACGGAGAAGCAGAAGAAGGACCGTCTGCTCTGAGGTGAGCTTTGCCTCCATCACACACATAAAAGCCTCTGGCGTAATTTTCTAATACCTCTTCACCCCACACCCCGTTACATCTCTTAAATGAAAGACTCTTTTGGAAACAGGAAGAACTGCAAAGAGGATGAGAGGGTGGTGAGATCCATTAGATAGTCTGAAGAGAGGAGAGGAGGGCAGCAGCAAATGAGAGCAAGCGATAAGGAAGAGAGGACATCTGATCAAAGGCTCTCATGTACGTAAGAGGCATTCATATCTGACGCACGTGCTCCCGTTGAATTTTCACTGCAGCCCTGCTGAGGGTTAACCCACTTTGCAGACATCCAGTCCCCCAGCCCGTGGGCCCTTCAGACTGCCTCCTGCTAGCTCTCTCTGAAGGGCCATGCAAGCTTCCTCCTGCTACCTCTCTCTGAAGCACAGATTCCTCCGCAGGATGCAGCCTGGGTTCCGGGGTAGATGCACAGGGATGCTTTTCTCGGAGGGCTCACCTCTTCCTGAGTCACTCCTGAGTCACATATCACGATCCTACTTGTGGGCTGGGCCCAGGGAGGAAACTCAAATCACCCAGAGGCTAGGCAAAGCTATATGTCACAATCCCACCTGCGGGCAGGCCCAAGGATGAGTCACAATCCCACACATGTCCCAGGTCCAGTCTCTCACCTGAGTCAGTCAGTCCCTGCCCTGAGCCTGGTACTGCAGAAGCCACTGCAGCCCTCTGTCCTCTGCCTGCTGCTTCATGCCCTGGGCGATTGGGTGGCTTCTGTGTCTCTGCAGGCCCGGTGCCGGAGAGGAGGTGGACACCTTTGAGCAGAGCCAATGACAGCCTCACTGACCGAGGTGTGTCATCTCCCAAGGAGACTGTTTGATGGGGGCAGAGCTTCTTTGGGTATAAAGGACCCGGTCCAAAGACAGGTACCAAAAGGTAGTCTCTTCAAATGGTGTTTAAAAACCAAAAAGGAATTGGGAAACCTATAGCGTCCTTTGCACAAAAAGTGGCTGATAATGTTTTTAAATGCAAAGGAGGGGATTGAACACAAAAGAAAACAAAAAGCTATATTCTTGATGCTGCTGTTTATTTTAATTGCAATCAAGGGATGAGTGTGGTGGAAGAAAGGTAGGTATAGCAAAGGATGTTCACTAGAATTAAGTCTCCTCTCCACCCCAGGAGTAAATGTCATGGCCAGTCTCTTGTCTCCATACACACACACACATCTGCTTTCTCACACATCTGGAAGTAGACTCTACACACCTTTCAGCATTTTGTTTATTTTTCAATGGACGATATATAAATAAAATAAAGAAGAAAATAGTTTCCCACTCCAAGTCTTCTCAAGACCTGGCCAGACCTCCATCTAAGAAGAATCATCTGAGTTGCTCGAATACACTATATAAAGAGTACGAAGAAGGGGTAAGGATCGTCTGCAGAGGCCCCTAGGACAAGCATGTGGAAGAGGAACCCTGGGTCTCCAGGAAGAATTCCAAGATGTGGCTGGCAGGCAGCAGCACTATTACCAAAAAAAGATGTAAAATGCATGGAGGAAGGGGGTTGGTTCTGCATGGGAGCATCAGAAAGCCGGGGCCATGACATGCTGCCCTGTCAGGCTGGGGGACACTGACGGGAGGCCCGCCTGGGTTCACGTAGATATGGAATCACAGTTTTACAACACAGTGGCAGGAGCTGGTACAGAAGGAAGTCTAAGGCTTTTCAGGTTTGAGAACGACATCGCATATAACACTCCAGCACAAGCCGAGGCAGTCTCTCCTAACCAGACACATTCATATTTCACCAGAAAATGTTCTAATAATTTTTGGTTCTCAAACCTCTTTGAATCTCAGAAACGCATAGAAGGGGTTGTGGACTTCAATAATGGACCCACTTCAAAAAGAAACATCTTAAATCGAGTAGGAAGGAATGGGATTCAAGAACAAATGAAATTAGTAAACACGTTGCTGAACCTAAATCGACATTGTTGGTATAAAACTAAAAAAATTATGGTTTGATGGAGTGTTTTTTTTAAATACAGGAAGGAACTGCAATACTTGGCAAATATCAGAGAAAATGGGGAGGCAGAAGACCAGAGTTAAAACCTAACATCATTGTGTTATCTTGCAGGATGATAGGAACAGTTTTTTACTCAGAAGTTAAGCATTCAAGTTGGATAAAGTAAGGCTGAACACTAAATTGTAAAAGAACACAATATATAACTTCCAAACAATTAAAAAGGAGAAAGAAAGTAATCAAGGCTTGATTTAATGTAGTAAAGCAGGACAAGTGAGACACAGTGGAAAATCGTAGTAAACAGGGTATACGGAGCCAGATGGCAGAAGTCTGCCCAGCCATATGAATAAATGTAAATGGATCAAACTCATCCACTAAAAAACTGAGATTTTTTTCAAGCCTGGGCAACAAAGCAAGATCTAATCTCTCCAAAAAGAATAAGAAAATTAGCCAGGTGTGGCACACACCTGTGGTCCCAGCTACTCAGGGAGCTGAGGAGAAAGATCACTTGAGCCTGGGAGGTCAAGGCTGTAGTGAGCCATGACTGCACCACTGCACTCCAGCCTGAGACAGAGCAAGACTCTGTCTCAAAAAAAAAAAAAAAAAAAAAAAAAGACTGAGTTTTTTTTCAGATTGCACTTTTAAAAACCTAATTATATGATGTTTAAGAGATATATCTAAATTATGGTGCCATAGGAATAAAGAAAATAAAGGTACAGAGAAAGATATCCAAGCCAAATAAATACTAACCTAAGGAGATCTTGGGTCACAATATTAATATCAGCTAAAGTAATCCTGAAGGTGTTATTTAACTGTGTCTCAGTTAATAGAAAAAGGCCAATTAGCCATATGAAAAAATCTCAACTTATAAAATAGATGAACATCAATATATTTGTCCCAGGCTGCACATTGCAAGGGAAATTGTCTGCTAATGTATCTATATTGTCCACTAGACTCTAAGCTCCTGGGAGGAAACAAGCCATGTCTTATTAGTAGTAACTTAGCCCAGGTCTGACTTAGGGGATTCTTAATAAATGCTTATTGAATAAACCAGTGGTTCTCAAGCCTGGCTGCACATCAGAATCTTCTGGGAGTTTTAAAAAATACTGAGGCTTGGGCCCCACCCCAGACCAATTAAAGGAGAATCTCTAGGGTGGGACTTCAGTATAGTATATATATATTTTAAAAGCTCCCCTGGTGATTCTGATATTTGGCCAGGGTTGAGAGCCGCTGGAATAAATAAATGACTGAATGACCAAATGAATGAGTGTCTCTTTGATTTACAAAAGAATTCATTGCAGGATTCCTTTTAAAAGCACATTCCCATGGTGCATTTCAATGTAATTTGATTTTAAGAAATTTGATTTACACCCAATATTGCTGGGGCAATCTATTTTGTAAAGCAAGGAACATCTGTATTATCTATCCACTTCTTTTTTTTTTTTTTTTTTTTTTTTTATGGATTTGGGAATAGTCTGTTTCTCCATTTAGAACTGGGCTGGAGACTTGAGCAAAGATTGGATCATTTCCTGTTCTCGGAAAAAACGCTTTCTCCCACTCTGGCATTCAGAGACCATTTCCCGGCAATGTTAAGCATGTGATTACTTAATGAGACACTTAAAGCAGTTTTGAGAAGTATAAAAACGTCGTGGTCTGGGCTTCCTACTCCTGATGTTACATAAGTAACACCAAGAATTCAACTCAATCCTGCCCCCACATATTAGGTCTCTCCTGTGTGCCTGGCTCTGTGTTAGGTGCTAGGAGTAGACAGGGAGATAAAAGTCCACTTAGAGCAAACAGAAGGCAGAAAGCAGGATAAAAGGATGTCCAAGGCCGGGCGCAGTGGTCCTCGTCTGTCACGCAAACACCTTGGGAGGCCAAGGCAGGTGGGTCACTTGAAACCAGGAGCTCGAGACTAGCCTGGACGACATGGTGAAACCCCATCTCCACAAAAAATACAAAAATTAGCCAGACATGGTGGCATGCCTGTAGTCCTCCCAAAAAAGGACGTCTATGTGTAAGGTGAGGCGACAGAGATGCGCTTTCCCAAGTAGCATCAATACGAAGACAGATCCCTATGTTCCGATTAAGTCTCAGGTGGGCTGGCAGGAGAAACATCTCACAGAGGAAAGAGCCCTGGAGCTCCGTCTTAAAGGGCGTGAAGGGTTTCTACCATGGAGAAGTTGCGGGAAGCTCGTTGAAGCACAGGGAGCAGCACGAGGAGTCTGGGAAACAGCAGCAGAGGAAGGGTGATCTGTTGGAATATTTCCTGGTGCCTTTCTTGAGACTCCCCTGTGGCCGCCTTTCTCCCAGGGCCCCAGCCACCAGCCACATGGGACATCGACTACTCCTTCCCTCCAATCTCTGCTTTCGCCAGTGTATTATCTGCTCCCTAGGGCTGCCATAACAAAGCACCACAAACTGGGTGGCTTGAAACAAGAATTTGTTCTCTCACCATTCTGGAGGCTGGAAGTCCAAAATCAAGGTGTTGGCAGGGCCCAGCTCCCTCTGGATCCATAGGAGAATTATTCCCTACTTCTCAGAGTTGCTGCTGCCGCCGGTGATCTCTGACCTTCCCTGGCCTGTGGCTGCTTCATTCCATCTCCTGTATTCACATGGCATCTTCTTCCTGGGTGTTTTCACATCCCCTTCCCTCTTTCTGTGTGTCTCTGTGTGCACATTTCCCCTTTTTATAAGAACGCCAGCCATATTGGATTAGGGCTCACCCTAACAGCCTCATTTTAACTTGATATGTTTCTGCAAAGACCCCGTCTCCAAATAAGGTACCGTTGTGAGGTCCTGAGGGTTAGGACTTCGGCATGTCTTGTTGGGGTACACAGTTTAATCCATAGCAATCATAAAGTCTGAAAGATGACCCAGTTTTATTCTCACTTCTTTCCTTTTCCCAAATTTTTCTCTGCCTCCAAGCAATTAGGATTTCTCCTTTCCCCCCCAAAAAAAATTATCAGTCTTCTACCTCTGTCTCCCTCCTCCCCCCTCCCCCCCTCCACCTTCACTGCCCACAGGATCCCTTCAGCAACCCTGGACAGTTTGGGCAACTCAGTCTCATCTGCAGCCTTGGTTTCACACAAGGTACCGCCTGTCTTGCTGTCTTTCCCTCCTGGTTCCCATAGCTTGGTGGGCACAGCGCACCTTTGCCTCCAGCAGGGATTGGAAACAGTACTTCCTGTGGTGATCAGCTTCTCCACTGGGCCAGCTGCTTCCACTGCACGCTGTCCTTCCGTGCAGCCCTTTCATGTTTTTGCCCTCACCTCTGGGACCATTCCATAGGCTTCCAAATCCTCAATCTCCCCCCCTGTCAATAGCAGCATCTTAGAGGTAACCCCAGAGCTTCCCCCACGACCCCTCTGTCCTCTTCTTTCCTCTCTGAGATAATCCGAGCAAAGTCCAGTCTTAACTTGTCGGCCTCTGTCCTTCACCAGGATCTCGGCTCCGCCTTCATCTGTCTCCTGGTACATTCTTGAGTGTCCGCAGCCAAGGCTGTATTTTTTTCTCTGCTTCCCGCTTCCTTTTCCCGTCACCTCGGCTTGCTCCCTGCCCTCTCCCTTCATTCCTCTGTCTATTATTTACATAAAGTTCCTTTCCACGCTCTTCATCCTATGGAGAGATTCCCTGTCGAGGCTCCAAGGGTTAACGCACCTTCTGGAACATGGCTTGTGATGCTTGATCTTTGCTTGGTCACCTCCAGCTGTCTCAAGGGGTGCATCCCCCTGCTGTGGGACGTGCCTGGGCTTTGGCCTGCAGAGGCCTGGGTGGAAATTCTACTCAGCCAAGGTGGCAAGGGTCCTCTTTAGTGATAAAGAGCTTGGCGTTGGCAGCAGACAGACCGGGGTTTGGATTCTCACTGTCAGTTGTGTGACGTTGGCCAAATTCCTTAACTATCTCAGAGCTGACTTCCTAATCTGTGCAAACAGGGAAAGGTAGCACCTACATCATAAGTGTGGGAGAGTAGTCAGGTCCCAGCAGGAGATGCTTGGCAATTTTGCAATAGGACAGTTCTAGGATCATTCATTAAGAGTTTATAGGTGCTGGAGAGGATGTGGAGAAATAGGAACACTTTTACACTGTTGGTGGGACTGTAAACTAGTTCAACCATTGTGGAAGTCAGTGTGGCGATTCCTCAGGGATCTAGAACTAGAAATACCATTTGACCCAGCCATCCCATTACTGGGTATATACCCAAAGGACTATAAATCTTGCTGCTATAAAGACACATGCACACGTATGTTTATTGCGGCATTATTAACAAGAGCAAAGACTTGGAACCAACCCAGATGTCCAACAATGATAGACTGGATTAAGAAAATGTGGCACATATACACCATGGAATACTATGCAGCCATAAAAAATGATGAGTTCATGTCCTTTGTAGGGACATGGATGAAATTGGAAATCATCATTGTCAGTAAACTATCGCAAGAACAAAAAACCAAACACCGCATGTTCTCACTCATAGGTGGGAATTGAACAATGAGATCACATGGACACAGGAAGGGGAATATCACACTCTGGGGACTGTGGTGGGGTGGGGGGAGGGGGGAGGGATAGCATTGGGAGATACACCTAATGCTAAATGACGAGTTAGTGGGTGCAGCGCACCAGCATGGCACATGTATACATATGTAACTAACCTGCACATTGTGCACATGTACCCTAAAACTTAAAGTATAATAATAATAAATAAATAAATAAAAATAAAATTTAAAAAAAAAAAGAGTTTATATACAAAGGGCCTGTATACAAAGGGTCTATTTACAAAGTGGCGGTTGCAGCTGTAACTACCCCAGGCCCTAAGAAATGGGGATGGGGCAGGCAGCAGGGAGGTAACTAGAATTCCAAATAACTGGCTGGTGACTCTATAGAGTCGCCATCTTGAGAGATGGGAAACCCAGGCCAGGGCAGGCACCAGTGGGTGCATAGCCTGATCTCTTCCCCTCCCACCCACCTGTCTCCTGCTGCTGTGTCCCACTAGCTGAAACCCTCAGGAGGCCAGAGGCAAGGGGTTCCTGGCCATGGATCCATGGAGGTCAGCCGACAGGGCATTGGGGTGCAGGGAGGGTAAAAAGATTTGGGGAGGCAAATGGATGAATCAGCAGTTTTGTAAATCAAGGTAAGGCATGTAAAACCCAGCACCTGGTACCTATTAAGTTAATAAATGTGTTAGCAACTTTTCCTGTCCTGCTCCTCCTCCTCCTCCTCCTCCTCATTATTACTGCTCACATCAAACCAAGCATGGTCTTTCCCAACTTTTCTCTCACCAATTCTAGCTTTCCAGCAAAAGGAACTGCCAGAAACCTCTTCCCCTTGGATTGTTGACAAGTGTCTGCCAACTCTCAGTCCTATTCAGAGACCCACCCAGTGGTTCTACCCTGGCCTCAGCCAGTTGGACCAGGGATGGGCACTCAGCCCTCATAGGCAAAGAACCACCCAATGGGTCCGCCTCGGCCTTACCTGATTGGACCAGGGGTGTGTGTCTATGAGGCTGTTGGATGGTGATTGGCCAACCCCACCAGCTCTCTCTCAGAGGACCTGCCTGTGATCTGTTTAGAGGCCGCACTGGGGTAACAACAGTAGAGATGGGAAGACCTGGGGGGCCCTCAAACCCCAGAGCTACTACTCTCTGCCAAAAGCTGGTCCAGCTCTCCCTGAGGCCTGGTGTGACAGCACGGAAATTTTCCTCATCCTCCTACAATAACCCACATCAGTGAGCCTGTCTGGGTCAGCTGTGACTTCAAAGCACTGAATTAACACAGCATTCGAACCAGAATTCCTAAATTCTTCTCAAACACGTGTCCACGTTGGCCCCACGGCAGAGAAGCAGGAGGCCCGGCCACAGCCCAGGTGCTGCTCCTGAGGAAGCGGCTGACGTCTCCTGACATGGAACACCCTCCTCTCCCTGGCTCGTCAAGGCACAAGGGGGTAAAATGAGGCCCCTTCAATGTGTAAGGACCTCTCTTGACAATGTAGTTACTTGGTTTGTTATTCTTATAATCAAAGGGACCCACTAATACGTTGAAGGAATTTATGCAAAACAAATATTGAACAAATATTTAAGCTACACTGAACCAAGTGGAGAGCAGAGCAACCAGCTCAGGCATATTTATTCACCCTCACTGGGCAATTTTCCATACCTTTTTATAATTAAGTACTGTTGTTTTCATCTCCAGATCCCAAATATTTTACTCTCTGACACATCTGTTGGACATTTGATGTATGTTTTCTCCTTTCTCTTTCTGAATGGAAAGCTGGTCACATATAGTCCAGCCTGCTCTTTGTTTTTGAGGAGAACACTGAGTCCCCACAGGCCTGGTAGGTATATTGCACATTACCTGAGTTAGAGGCAGAGAAGAGAACAGACTAAGGGCCCAGGACTCCTGATCCAGTGTTCCTGCCAATATCCCATGCTATCCTTTTTATCTGTAGGCAAGACGTCCCCAGCTATGGGATCTTGGACTCCTGAGCCTGCTCAGGCTTTCAACATGGGTACCAAGGCCACCACCTCCTGGAAGCCCCTCCTGATGACCTCTCTAGATTTGGGGTTGCACAGTGCTTTGTCCGTAATGCTTCTATCTTTTAGCATCGTCAAATGTCTTCATGCCTTTTACCTTCTATTGGACTCCAAGTCCTCTGAGGTCAAGACCTGGGGAAAATCGCCTTTATATTTCCCTACAGTGCCCAGCTCAGAGCCAATGTGTGTTTATTGGGTGGATGAGTGAATAAATGATGGAAAGACTGAAAACAGCAATGATTCTGCTGGAAAGAAAGTAGCCAGCTTAGAATTGGTAGAATTGGTAGCCAGCCGTGATATGAAAGGCAATGCAAGGTGGAGGTGAAGGGCACGCATTCTTGAGTCACAGGGACCTAGATTCTAACCCCCACCACTCACTAGTGGTGTGAGCTTAGGCAATTTTCTTAATCTCCCTGTGCCTCTGTTTACTTGGGTGCAAATGAAGATAATGTGACTCTTTCCTTTGTGTTGTGAGAATTAGGTGAGAGAATGCAAGTAATGCACTAGCCCCTTTCCTGGCACATAGTAAGTGCTCAATAAACACTCATCATTAGCCCATTGTTACTGTTGGAAGTTGGCTATCATCCCCACCTCAAAAGCTTTGTTTCTTCTCTGGGAAAACAAGAACCTACCTTCTTCTAACACTTCATTTTTTTTCTATGTTTCACTGGAAGCTTAGGCACTGATTAAATCTAGTTCCTCTCCTTTCAATTCTTCTTGATGGTGTTACCCACCTTCTAGCTCAAATTCAGAATCTTTTTCTTTTTGTGTCTGCAGTAAAGCCAGTGGTACATGCTTACTGGGTCTTCACCTTGCTCCTGGAGCCTCCGTATCCTGGTCAGGGCTGGGAAGAGGGGAAGAAAACTGAGGCCCTTCCTTGCCTTACAAACAAAATTTAAAGGAAAACTCAGGAAATAAAGATAAAAACTCAGGAATAAAGATAAATTATATATATACACACACATATGTATAGTGGTAAAATATGCGTAATATAAACTTTGTCATTTTAATTTTTAAGCGTATAATTCAGTGGCATTAAGAACATTCGCAGTGCTGTGCAACCACCCCCACTGTCTATTTCTAGAACTTTTCATCTTCCCAAAGAGAAATTCTGTACCCATTAAACAATAATTCCTGAGGAAAATATGTTAATGCACTATTTTTAAATTTTATTTATTTCAATAGTTTTGGGGCTACAGGTGGTTTTTGGTTACATAGATAAGTGGAGATGTCTAAGATTTTAGTGTACCCATCACCCAAGCAGCGTACATTGTATTCAATATGTACCATTTTATCCCTCACCCTCTTCCCAACCTTCCCCTGAAATCCCCAAAGTCCATTATATCATTCTTATGGTTTTGCATCCTCATAGCTTAGCTCCCATTTATAAGTGAGAACATATGATATTTGGTTCTCCATTCCTGAGTTACTTCACTTAGAATAATGGCCTCCAGTTCCATCCATGTTGCTGTAAAAGACATTATTTTGTTCCTTTTTATGGCTGAGTAGTATTCTATGGTGTATGTATACTACATTTTCTTTAGCCACTCAGTTGACAGGCACTTAGGTTGGTTCCATATGTTTGCAGTTGCAAATTGTTATGCATTATTTTTTAAAATTTGAAATGAATGCAAAAATTTATGATGAACAAAATACTAAAATTTTAAAGAAAGACAGTATCAGTTAGCTAAATTAATTAAAAATTCTTTAAGATTGTCATTTGGCCAAGAGAAATTGACAAACGTGGCGATTCTCTCCATTAAAACTGAAAATGAGATGAAGAAAGAAATTGATTTTTTAAAAACATAACTGATGGCCAGGCGCGGTGGCTCACGCCTGTAATTCCAGCACTTTGGGAGGCCAATGCAGGCAGATCACGGGGTCAAGAGTTCAAGACCAGCCTGGCCAGCATAGTGAAACCCTGTCTCTATTAAAAGTACAAAAATTGGCCGGGCACGGTGGCTCACGCCTTTAATCCCAGCACTTTGGGAGGCCAAGGCGGGCGGATCACGAAGTCAGGAGATTGAGACCATCCTGGCTAACACTGTGAAACCCCGTCTCTACTAAAAATACAAAAAAAAAAAAATTAGTCAGGTGTGGTGGCGGGCGCCTGTAGTCCCAGCTACTCGGGAGGCTGAGGCAGGAGAATGGCGTGAACCCAGGAGGCGGAGCCTGCAGTGAACCAAGATCACGCCACTGCACTCCAGCCTGGGTGACAGAGCAAGACTCTGTCTCAAAAAAAAAAAAAAAAATTAGCCTGGCATGGTGGCATGCACCTGTAGTCCCAGCTCCTGAGGAGGATGAGGCAAGAGAATCGCTTGAACCTGGGAGGCAGAGGTTCAAGCCCTTTCACCAGGCCCCTTCCCCAACACTGGGGATCACAATACAACATGAGATGTGGGTGGAGACACAGAGCCAAAGCATATCAGCCCACATGGCCACGTGTTCATTCTTTCATTCATACACTAAGCATTCATGGAATATCTACATGCCAAGCATAGGGCAAGGCATTTGGGACCCAGAAAAGAACAGCACCAAAGCCCTGTTGTTGAGAACCCAGGTTAGAACAGAGTTGATTACAGTGCAGGTGCCTTCACAGGGCGGACGGCATAGAGCAGGTGGTGAACATATCTGTCTGGAGTGTGAGTTACCTTTGACTCCTCCCTCCTCTTCATTCAGGCTGTGTGACCTCTGTGGCCTATGACCTTGCAAGGGAAGGCAGGCTTCAGTTCTCTTCTTTCTGACTCTCCTGGTCATCCTGTCTCAGAGCCAGGCGTGCAGCCCCTCCATCTGCCAGCCCTGAGACCTCACGCAAGTCAGTCAGCTTTCAGGGCCTCAGTGTCTTCCCTTTCAAAGTAGAAAGCCCTTTTCCCTCACAGCTCCCAGGCGTCTATGAAGCAAATCAGCTAAGTCCTTGTAAAGTTCATATCCATGTGAGGGAGCGATATTGTGAGTGGATTGATCACTCCGTAGATGCAGCACCAAGAGCCACTGTTACACAGATAACTGGTTATCTAAAAGTCATTTGGCAAATGTTTGCTGAGCGCCTACTGTGCACCTAGCCTAGTGACATCTGTGGCATCTTAAGGTTTATCAAGCATTTTCATACATCCCATTTTTTATTCTTCTAGAAGGAGATGACATACTAAGCCCATTTTTACAAACAAAGAAACCGAGCCTCAGTCACATTGAACCCAAAGTCGCTTGACTATTTGGGGGCACTCTGAGATTTACACATATCTCAGACTCTATGACCAGTTCTCCTTCGGTTATATCTCAAGGCTCCGCAGGGGCCTGCCACCCACCTCCCCCTACCCCCAGTCTGGCCTTGGAAAGGGATTCCAGGCAGGAAGGAATTTCCGTGGGCCTCTTCCTGCCTGGTCCAGTGCCCCTACCTATGCCCATGGGACTCTGGGGTCACCTCTTACGCTCCTCACTCTAGTAGCACAGCAGTGGCATCTGGCAAGAAGAGCTTTGGAAAAGGCAGGCCTGGCCTCCAGCCCCACCTGCACTTGGCTGGCCTTGACCTTGACCTCCCCCTGCTCCTCTGCACAGTAGGAAATAGGTCTTATGGCACAGGGCTGTGGTGAGTGCTACACGGGAAGGGGAGGGGGGTCTATATTCAAAAGGACCTGGCAAGGAGGTTTCTGTTCTATTCTTAATAACAGAAGTCTCATCTTTACCTTGGTCTCATCCATCAGTAGGGTGGGGACTGCATGGCCACTTAGCAAAGTAAGTCCCTCTGAAGTAGGTCCCTGCTTCTGCCTGCAAGCTGGGTTAGAGGAATCACCATTGCAATCTGCTCTAGAGTCACCCCAGTAGTTTTCTGATTTACAGGTATCTGTGCCTCCTTGCTGTGTTCCCAGGGGTGTGCTGGGCTCAGTAGAGCATCCAAGGTAAGGCCTAGTTACTGCCCTTGGAAACTTGCAGCCTGCGAGAGGAGGCAGGAGCAAGCTGATCTGACCAGCAAGGACCTGACCAGCAAGCAGGTCACACAGCCTGAATGAAGACTCTCTTGGGAAGCAATCTCTGCCCTTTCTGACAATGTTAGAAACTGCTGACAAACTTCACCCCACCCTCCTGAGGGATGCTTGCTCTTTGGGTAGTGTGTGCTCTAAAAGGCTTCCTGGAGGAGGAAGAGGTTGAGAGAGAGACGGGGTTTAGTGACTTCCTCCATCCTGACTCTTCGGGGTACATCCACTTCTCTTTTGAATCAAACTTTACTTCTTTCATCTCTTCACCAAACTATTCTTCATCCTCCAAGGTTCAGCTCAAGGTCCTCTCCTCCAGGAAGCCTTCCTGAATGCTCACAGGCTGAGTTTGAGGTCCTCTCCTCTGTGCTACTACAGCATCCTCTGTTATATCTATAATCATAATTTCAAAAAGTAATCATAGTTATTGCCTGTTTGGTACGTATTTTATGCTGTGTTCCTCACCTCACTGCATCCTCCTAATTTCCAAAGTGATGTAGGAACTTTTACTAATATCTCTATTTTGCAGATGAAGAAACAGAGGGTTAGTACATGGCAGACCTGAGCTTTAAACTCAGTGGCTGATCCCAAGGCCTCTCTCTGGACCAGCACCGGCAGGCTGTGAGAGCCTGGACCCTGCCCTCTTCACATTCACATTCCCAGTCCTCAGCACAGGGCCTGGTCTGCAGTGCAAGCTCAGAAAATGATCTCTGGATTAAAATGTTCTCTAATGTTCTGCCCATCATGTACCGAGCACAGGTGGGAACTTGGTGCCTGGAGATACTAGAATCATCTGATCTTCACCAAGGTTAGCATTCCCATTTCACAGAGGCATTAATGGAGAGTCAGAGAGACCAATGCAGAGTAGCCAGCACATGGTATGCCCTCCATGCCTCTACAGTTTTTCCTGCTGTCACACTTCCTCCCCACCCTCCTGAGCACAGCACATTCTTTGGGCAATGTGCACTCTGGGAAGGCTTCCTGGTGGAGAAAGAGCTTGAGAGGTGATGAAGGTTCATTTCCCCCCCGGAGATGCCGAGGCATCAAGGAGGAACACCACCTTGCAGCATTCCATTCCATTTCATTTTTTCAACCCCCTTTCTGGGGTTTAGCTGTTGCACACAAGCCTTCATTTACTGTCTCATCTGCAAAACGGGAGCAACAATATTACTAACCCCACAGGCTTGTTTCAATGCAATAATGAAATAATGGGAAATGAAATTGCTTTGTAAACTGTCAAATGCCATACAAATGTCAATTGCTGTTACGTCGGCCCCACTGGCCGACTTCGCTTCCCGAAGCAGTGCTGTCTGGGCACCCCCGTCTTGCCTCGTTTCACAGGAGCCAGCTTGGAGTCGGGTCTCTGGTCATACTGCTGTTGTCTTGTAATCACATGGTCCTGAGGTCTGTCCCCTCCGTGCACTGTCCCTCTTGGTCCTTCTAATGGGGCTTCTATGAAGACTGTTGAGAAACGGTTCATTTTCTCAGGGCTGCATTCTTGGGTGTGGTGAAATATACATAGACTAACATTTGCCTTTTTAACCATTGTGAAGTGTGCCATTCAGTGGCATTAAGTGCATTCACACAGTTGTGCAACCATCACCACAATCCTTCTCCAGAGCTTCTTCATCTTCCCAAACCAAAATTCTGTACCCATTAAAACAATAACTCCCTATTTTTCCTTATTCCCAGCCCCGGGCAACCACCACTGTACTTTCTGTCTCTATGATGTTGACTGCTCTACGTACTTTATATAAGTGGAATCATGCAGCGTTTGATCTTTTGTGTCTGGCTTATTTCACTCAGCATAATGTCTTCAAGGTCCATTTATGCTGTAGCACGGGTCAACATTTCCTTCCTTTTTTTTTTTTTGAGACATCGTTTTGCTCTCGTTGCCCAGGCTGGAGTGCAATGGTACGACCTCAGCTCACTGCAATCTCTGCCTCCCAGGTTCAAGTGATTCTCCTGCCTCAGCCTCCCAAGTAGCTGGGATTACAGGCACCCACCACCATGCCCGGCTAATTTTGGTATTTTTTGTAGAGATGGGGTTCCGCCACATTGGCCAGGCTGGTCTCAGACTCCTGACCTCAAGTGATCTGCCCGCCTCAGCCTCCAAAGTGCTGGGATTATAGATGTGAGCCACCATGCCTGGCCAAAATTTCCTTCCTTTTTAAGGCTGAATAGTATTCCTTTGTGTGGATACAGCTTTTGGCTATTCTGAATAATGCTGCTATGAATATACCAGTTTGAATCCCTGCCTTCGATGCATTTGGTTATATATCCAAAAGTGGAATTGCTGGATCAAATGGTAGTTCTATGTTTAATTTTTCAATGAACCACCATACTCTTTTTTAAGCCAGCCATAGCATTTTACATTCTTCGGGATTGCATTTTACCAACTCCTCTGCCTATGTACTGAGCACCTATTTTGTGATCGGCGTGACCTCTGTTGAAAGCCTAGATAAAAAATAACATTTAAAAATAGGAAAGACTAAGGGGAGGAGTCATTCAGTGACTTACAGAAAACACAGGAGGAGCAGACAGAAGTTCAAGGTAGAAATGCTGAGCCTGTAACAGCGCCAACGTGCAGAACTTGTTGCATGACGGAGCTTTTGCGTGTACTTGTAATCATGGATAATTTTATTACTTTTTACCAGATGCCTGTTAAATCCCTTCATATAAAAAGCAATGATTTTTCTTTTGCCAAAGGACTTGAGAAATGCCTATTCTGAAACCATGAATACCAGGGATACCAAGCAGACAGCAAAACCCCCAATGCAAACGTGTCTAGCTTTCCCAGTAAAGAATATTACAGGAACAGAGGATTTTTTTACATACTCATAAAATGATTATACTTGTTCTGAGAATTTCCTGGTTTGAGTATGACTGTTACAGACTTATTTCATAAGTTGATTTATTTTATAACAGTATCTGCAGGGACCTGTGTTTTAATTCCAGTTGGCTTTTTAGTTTTTTTTTGTTTTCCTTTTCCCATATCACATCTGAAAAGTTTCTTTCCAGCATGCTGCATTTAGAAGTGGCTAGAACTGTAAAAGGTCCTTGGTACTTCGAAACCCTGTTCATGTTCTCGGCTGCTAACATTCCGTTTTGAGATTGTCCTTGCCTTGAATATTCATTGGCCATTTCTGTTGTTGCATTTACCAAAATAAAATCTACTTCAGCTTGTTTCTCTCTGGGAAAGGGCTGGTGAGCAGCTTTCTGACAGTTGTATATTAAATGCAGGTGGCTTCATGAATGCACTTTCTGTCTGGCTCAGAACATTAACCATAACCCACAGTTTCTTCCAAAGGAACTGGAATGAATTAAATTGTTTAATAAAACCTTACTTACCTGGATAAACTCATTTCTATTTTGCATTTGGATTCCCTAATGCATCTTTCCAGATTGTTATTTGTAAAATAAAAAGCTAGACGTGTTTACTTAGAAAGCCAAACATCGGACTCTAATCCTGGTTCCTATCCAAGTTCTTTGCAACATCTTTTTTCACATTTCCTACTACATTATGAACCGTTGCATATTTCATTTAGCACGAATTGATCACTCCCACCCCAGGTCCAAATTAAGATTCACTTAGGCATTGCATTTTCTTTTTCTGCATATGTTTCTCTCCATGGCACCTCTGAAATCCGTACTGTTTCAGACAGAAAGGAGCCCAAAGTTGCATATTTGCAAATTCATTTTAAAGGAATGTCCTTGCGAGAAGGCCTTGTCTGACTTCTGGATGAAGTTCTCCAGAATTATCAAGGGTCCCTGTAAGGAGCTGCTTATAGGGATGTTGTTATACTCCTTATAAAATCATTCCAGAGCCAACATGGTAGACTAAGCTGATCGTTTAGTTCATACGGAAAGCTGGACCTGAAGGATCAACCATCTTTCTCCATAACCTTGGCAAAGCAGTTTCTGGCACATAGTAGGCCCTAAGTGAGTGCTGGCTAAATTGACTACTGAATAAATAAACAGTGAGGATAACTGACTTCTTTTTATTTCCCCTTCTTCCCTTTTCCAGAAACTCACTCCCAAATTTTATGCTCAAATACAATTAGCTATATTAGTGCAGATATTCGATCTAATTGCACCCTCTCTTTCTTCTGAAAACTTTAAAATTTCTAGACAATTTTATTATTCACCTCTCTTGACATAAAGTACTAAAGATAAGCTCCTTCTAAGAGCCAATATTCACTGAGCACATACTTTTTCTGATGTCACCTTCCTTAATCTGCTCACTGACCCTGTGTGCCAGGAATCAGTTCTCTATGTAATAGATGAGGAAACCTCAACATTTTTGTCCTTGATTTTTTGAGCAAGCTGGTAGCTAACATGTTTATAGTGTTTACTGCGTGCCATGTTTACTGCATGCCATGCACTGTGCTGATTATCTGACTTAATACACACACATACACACAGAAATTCACGAGGAAGGTATCCTTGGCATCCCCATTTTGTGGACGAAGAAATTGAGACTTGGGAAATAATTAGTTGAAGCACACGCAGCTTAGAAGTGGCAGAGACTGGCTTTGAACTCAGGACTCCTACCTCCCAGGCCGGTGCACCCAACATGATTCCTAGGTGTAGTGCAAGATCGCCAATTCAGCCGCATTTTCATCCAGATGCAAATGGTTCCTTCTCATACTGCAGCAGCTGCCTACGGACCACTGACTGGGCTTAGGATAAAATGAAGTGGATATTATTGCAGAACAAAGTGGTTAATAGACCAGGCATCACTGCAGCAAGGAATATGACTGCAGGCTGCACGACCTCAGCTTTGCTGTGTGTGTCAGGGGCTGTTCAATGGAAGAGAAAGGGTGCTGGCTGGGCTGGAGGGCCGCCACGCAGTTCTCACCTCAGGCAAGTGCCTTCCACACTTTGAGAATCATCTCCCGATGACAGGCATTGGGCTGGATGTCACCCAGGCTCATGGCAGCTTGGACAACCTTCTCTTCCCCCTCTGGGCCTGGCCATTTGCAGGGGAGTCATTCTGAAGGCCCCCCTGCCCCCATCTGCAGGCCTGCTGCACACAAGTCCTTCACGTCAAACTGCTTGAAAAACTCGACAGCAACATCGGAGATGAGGTGCTTGAGGTTTATCAAGTTTTCAAGATTACACCTCCATAAACCCTTTACAAGGCCGCTCAGCACCAGCCCTCGGAGCCTCCCCGGGCATCGCTGCCACCTCTGGCAGGCGCCAGCAGAGGCTCAGGAAGCCAGACAGCCCCCCACCCACCCACCCACCCACCGATCAGACCCACAATGGCACTGTTAGGAGGAGGGGGAGAAAGCACAGCACTGGTTACCTTATAATCAAATTTTCGCTGCACTCTCTGACAGGTTTTTAAGTCACTTAAGGGATCTATTTATATGTGAAAGCATCAGCATCGTGCAGTAAATCCAACCACAAGCCAGTCCCATATTTTATTAAGTTTAAGTTCAGTGAAAGTGCAGAGCAAACGAGGGCCCTGTGTCTCTCCGTTACATCTGATTTGCGGTTCCCATAAAAAGGCCCACATGCCGCTGTTTCAGATGTGTTTTGGATTGAAAATAGGATTAATGTGCTAAAGTGTGATTAGAATGGTTAAACACGATTAATTGGAACAGACTTCTGCTGCCAAGGGAGCTCCTCCGAGGCTGGCCCCGCTCCAGGTTACCAAGTGAACAAAGCCGACCAACTGTCCAACCCCTTCCACGTCTCGCCTCACGTGCCTTGCCCCTTGCATTTTCTCATCGCCAGCCTGTCTCAGGGCAGATTAAATGCAGCTGAGAATGTTGGGCTCACTCGGCGGCGGGCGTCCTCCGGGAATAGGCAGGAACCTCGGCCCGGCCTGGCCTTGGCGGTGCCGGCCGAGGGCTGCCGCGCACCGGGGGCAGCGGGCCAGGTGGCTGGGCTGGGGTGGGAGTAATTTGGGTTTTTTTTTTAAATGATCTATTAAACCCCTGAACTTTAATCAAGCTGCTACCACACTGACGGTGCTGATTTACTCGAGGAGCCAAGGGGCCGGGCCAGGCGCAGGCCACTGGGGTTGGCGGGAGGGCCAGGGCCGCCTGTTCAGGTCACCCGTGGCCCCCGGGGGCTTGGTCCTCAGCCAGGGGGCTGGACAGAGGTGAACCTGCCTCCCAAACACAGACGGAGGCTTTCCAGTGGAGTCCAGCCAAGCCTGCCCCAGGCGGCCTGCCCGTGGGATTCCCTTGGAGGGGGGGGCCCTCTCGGCGGGTGCTGGTTCCTCCACACTGAAGTCACCAGGAAAATGTGGGGTCTCCCAGGCGGCAGCTGCTCCCGAGTCACCCGTCCCTCTAAGGCCAGGCAGACCGAAGTGACTTTCTCAGAAGTCCCTCAGGATAAACATGTTTAAAAGTGGCGTTCCTCACACCAGGGAGCTTGAAAGAGCTTCTTAAACAGTGAAGAAGAAAACTTCTTATAGGCCCAGAACTTTAGAGCAGGCTGCCCCTTTAAAAGGGTCGCCTGGATATTAAAGGGAAACAGGTCCTGGGAGGGACCCATTTCCCCAGGTCCCGGGCTCTGTGTGCCACGCAACTGCTGAAAGTGTGAGGGGCTTTACGGTGGTAAACTCTGTTTTTATCTCTCCCTTGGGTCCACTAAATAAGGAGGGGTGTGTATGAGAGAGAGAACGGCTGTGTCTGTGTGGTGTGCATGTCTGTATGTGCGTGTCTGTGTGGTGTATATGGTGTGTGTGTGTATCTGTGTGGTGCGTGAGTCTGTGTGTGTCCCTGCACACCTACAGATTGTGTGAGTCTGTGTGTGTGTGTCTGTGTATATGTATCTGTGTGGTGTATGGTGTGTCTCTGTGTGTGTATATCTGTGTGGGGTGTGTGTGGGCCTGTGTATTCATGAATGTCTATGGTGTGTGTGTCTGAGTGTGTCTGTGTGTGGCTTGTGTGTCCATGTGGTATGTATAGTGTGTGTGTGTCTGTATGCTATGTATGGTGTATGTGTGTGTGTGTCTGTGTGGTAGGTATGGTGTGTGTGTGTCTATGTGGCATGTATGGTATATGTGTGTATGTCTGGGGTGTGTCTGTGTGTGTGTGTGATGTATATGACATATGTGTGTGTTCATGTGGTATGTGTATGTGTCTATATGTGTGTGTCTGTGTGGTGTATATGGTGTGTGTGTGTATCCGTGTGGTGTGTGAGTGTGTGTTGTGCCCATGCATGTCTATGGGTTGTGTGTGTGAGTCTGTGTGTGTGTCTGTATGCACATGTGTCTGTGTGGTGCATGGTCTGTATGAGTCTGTGTATGAGTCCATGCATGTCTGTGGTGTGTGTGTGTGTTCATTGTATGCATGTGTCTTTGTGTGGTGTGTGTGTCCATGTGGTATATATCGTGTGTGTGTGTCTATGTGGCATGTATCTGTGTGTGTGTCTGTGTCTGAGTCTGTGTGCATGCATATCTATTGTGTGTGTGTGTCTGTGTGATGTGTATGGTATATGTGTGTGTGTCTGTGTGGTATGTATGTGTGTGTCTGTCCGTATGTGGGTCTGTCTGTGTGCATGCATGTCTATGGGGTGTGTGTGTCTGTGTGATGTGTATGGTGTATGTGTGCGTGTCTGTGTGGTATGTATGCTGTGTTTGTCTCTGTGTGCCCATGTATGTCTGCAGGTGTATGTGTGTGGTTGTGTATGTGTGTGTGTGTGTCTGTGTGGTATGTATGTGTGTGTCTGTCCGTATGTGGGTCTGTCTGTGTGCATGCATGTCTATGGGGTGTGTGTGTCTGTGTGATGTGTATGGTGTATGTGTGCATATCTGTGTGGTATGTATGCTGTGTTTGTCTCTGTGTGTCCATGTATGTCTGCAGGTGTATGTGTGTGGTTGTGTGTGTGTGTGTGTGTGTGTGTGTGTGTGTGTGTGTGTGGTTGATGGGGAGAGACTGAAAGCAGGAGTTGGGCCTTCCGGAAATGTCAGCTCTTCTAGGCTTCAGCTTCAGGCAGGCTGAAAGCATCGAGGCAAGAGGAAGGTGGCCATATGAGTTCTGGTCTAACCCAGTACTCTTGGGAGTAAAAGATGCCAGTTGTCACCACACACAGACTCACACATACACACCCCAAACAGATATAGATGCATACACCATACATGCAACGTAGACACACACACCATACATACCACACAGTATGCACATACACGATACACCATACACATCACACAGACACACACACCCCATAGATATTCATGGACACAGACTCACACAAAGACAGACACACACATGTACTGCACAGACATACACACATACACCATACACATCACACAGACACACACACACTATACATACCACATGATCAGAGGTGTAAACAGGAGCTGAGTGGGCGTGAGGACCCTGCAGGAAGGTAGAGGCCCTTGGGGACACTCTAGGCCACAGTGGGAGAGACCAAGCCCAGAGAGGGAGGGTCAGTCGGAGATAACATGGGAGTGGGGGCGGGTGAGCTGGGTGGAAGCACCACCACCGCTCTTCTCAGGGCCTTATCTCCAAGGGTCCCAGGCAGCCTGCACTTGTTCCATCCCTGCTTTTTTTAATTCTCACTCCTTCCAGGACTCTCCCCTTTTGGATGCGCCCCACACCCCACATGGCCTCTGCCAGTCCTTCAAGGGCCCGTCCGGCGGTTGCTACAAGAACGTTTATCCAACCAACCCCCTGCATCTCCAGGGCACCCGCCCCAGGGTCACGCCAGGCTTGTCATGCATCTGCATTGGCCCCACCTGGCACTGTCGAGATGGCACAGCTAAGGCAGCTACCAGACTAGAGAGCAAGGGTCGGGACATTGGTCCATTTCCCCACCTGGAAAATGGGGACAATATTCCCCCAAATTCAATACTCACAATTTTTATAGAAATTTGGCCACATATCAATTCAAGACACATACTTAATTAGGGTATCTTTCTTTCTTTCCTTAAATTATTGTTATTAAAGCAGTGTTGGGTCTCCCAGTGAAAGATGTGTTAGAACTGAGAAAATTCAGAATAGCCACTCTCGTGAGGTTGTTCTGTAGATTAAATGGCAGAAAACAGCACAAGGGCAGGCACGTGCTGAGCTCTTGTGAACACTGGCCATCACCATTGAAACCGCAGTGAGTCTGGTTGAGCCCTTGGTGAACATTGGCCATCACCATTGGAACCGCAGTGAGTCTGGTTGAGCCCCTGTGAACATCGGCCATCACCATTGGAACTCCAGTGAGTCTGGTTGAGCCCCTGTGAACATCGGACATCACCATTGGAACTCCAGTGAGTCTGGTTGAGCCCCTGTGAACATCGGCCATCACCATTGGAACTCCAGTGAGTCTGGTTGAGCCCCTGTGAACATCGGCCATCACCATTGGAACCGCAGTGAGTCTGGTTGAGCCCTTGGTGAACATTGGCCATCACCATTGGAACTGCAGTGAGTCTGGTTCTGCATCTGTTTCCCTCTCATGCTGGGAGCTCTTTGAGGCAGGGGCTGGGGGTGGGGGAGTGGCACATCTATATCCTCTATTCCCACACATGGCTGGGTCCCCACTGGTGACTGGAGGTTTCTCCCTGAGTTTGAAGAGACTCTGCCCACCCAGCCAGCCAGGGGCCCTGCCCAGGGAATGGGTAGGGCTGAACTCTGCATCCACTTGTTTGTTTTTCTGAAAAAATACGCATCCTGGAGATGTAAGCTCTGGAAAGCTGTCTGCCACCTGGCCAAGGGGACCAGGAAAATCGAGTTGTTTATGGGGTTTACACACAGGAAGTCTTCCTCAGCACCTCGGGGTCCCAGCCCGGGATTCTGCTCAGCCCCCTGCAGGGGTCAGTTCTTTCCACCGAAAGGGGTTGGGGTGTCCCCAGGAGACTTTCCTGTGCTCTCTCCCTCCCATCCCCCACTCATCACAGCACTGTAGGGGGCAGGGGAGGCTCCTCTCAGTGGCACAGTGGCCACACTGGCTGCAGGGTTTTTGTCCACCCCTGGGCAGGCCGAGGCCTCTGTACTTCCCCGGCAGGCGCACCCAGTGCTCAGCATGGGGCTGGCACCCCTCCATGTGTGCAGATGAATGCACGATGAGACAGATGGGAAGGGTGAACTTCACACCAACATGGTGAAACCCTTTCTCTAATAAAAATACAAAAATTAGCTGGATGTGGTGGCGCATGCCTGTAATCCAAGCTACTCAGGAGGCTGAGGCAGGAGAATTGCTTGAACTGGGAGGCGGAGGTTGCAGTGAGCCGAAATCATGCCAGTGCACTCCCGCCTGGGCAACAGAGCAAGACTCCATCTCAAAAAAAAAAAAGAAAAATATAAATGTAATGATGCATATATACTACTAATAAATCCAGCCCAGATTATAGTCATCTTTATACCAACACAGTTGTAAAATAGAATTTTTATTTTATTTTTTTCTGGAGGAAGCGGCCCACAAAAGTCATAATGCAGCCCAGAACAGGAAGCCCACGACGTACCCTCAGTGGGTTGGTAAATACCGCCCAGCTGCGGCAGTTGCTGGTGGGCCCTGCCCTGTGTCACCCCCACCTCCTCTGACCAGCCTGTGGCTGGGGCAAATCCATCCTGCCAATGCCTGGGCTTCCCACACAAGCACTCACTATATCTCAGTGTTTCTGCCACAGAACTTTCTAGAAAGCTGAGGTTGTTTTCACAGCCTGCAAGCAGGGACAGCAGGGAAGTGTGGCATTATTGCCCTGAGGACATCACCTGAAGGGAATGGGAGCACTGGGGACATGTCCTGGGCTCCCCTCCTCTGAGGGACAATCTGTGGTATGTTCCGCGTGGTTCTTCGAGGGTCCCCAGTGCACCTGGTGCAAGTCGCTCACAGCAGAGACCAGAGTGATGGTCACCTTGTTGGCTTCTTTCCCTCTTGTCTCACGCTCCTCATGCCTTCTTGCTCCCGGGATCACTTCCTTAGTCATTCACCTGCTCCAAGGCCCAACATCTTGTCTCCAGGCTCTGACTTCAGGGAACTCAAACCAAGACAGCCCTTTATGGTTGGTTGTGGCCCAGGGCATCAGGAGACAGCGACCTATGGAGTCTCTCCACAGCTAGATGAGGCTGTCAGTTTGGTACCTTCTACAGAAAAAGCCTCGGCTGAGAAGGGGGCAAATTTATAGTTGGGCCTGATGCAGTGGCTCATGCCTGTAACCCTAACACTTTGGGAGGTCAAGGGGGAAAGAATGCTTGAGTCCCAGAATTCAAGACCAGCCTGGACAACATTGCAGGACCCTGTCTCTACAAAAAACTTAAAAAATTAGCCAGGCATGGTGGTGCATGCCGGGAGTTCCAGCTACTTGGGAGGCTGCAGTGGGAGGATTGCTTGAGCCCAGGAGATAGAGCTGCAGTGAACTATGATCACACCACTGCATTGAAGCCTGGTTGACAGAGCAAGACCCTGTCTCAAAAAAAAAAATGCATTTCAAACATTTCCATGGGCCATGGGCATGGTGCCTACTGAGACCAATGGAGAAGGCAGCCCTGTTCCCGTTGTGCATAGAAGAATCCCAACTCTTGTCACATGGCCTGCAAGGCTTCTGGTCTCAATGCTGGCCTCCTCTGTCTGTGAGCTCTCCTGAGCCTTTCGCCCCTTGAGACTTCAGCATGGCGCCATCTCAGGTCTCAGCCTACATGTCACCTCCCCTCAGAGGCCATCCTTTTATTATCTCCCACAGCATCCACTTCTGGCCCCTCACAGCACTAGCCACCCCTGCAATTACATGTGAGTTAATCTGCTTGGTTGAATGCCCATCTTCCCATCCTGACTGTAAGCAACAAGCAGGCAAGGACGGGGTCTGTGTCATTCACCGCTGTGTCCCCAAGGCTCAGCAGGTGCATGAAAGGCTGTGCTTCCCAGAGCCCCTTCAGGGAGCAAGGACTTGTTCCCAGAGGCTGAGAGAGCCTGCAGCAGACAAGCTTCAGCTGCCTGCGCTTTTGTGGGAGAGCTCCCTTGCCCCAGGCCTCCCTCCTTCCAGGACAGCCTGCATCCGGTGACAGAACAACCTGGGTCTAAAGGCCCAGCCCTCTTGCCCCATCTGGGGCAGCTCTGACAGGTCATCCATCTGCAGAGCTCCTAATGGTGGGGGCTGGGGCCTCTGTTGGGCCCTCATCACAGCCCAATGTCTCCATCACCCAGTGCTGATCCTAGTGGCACCCCCACCAAACTTCATCTCCATCTCGGATTCTCCCTCCCCAGCATCCCCTGGAAACGATGACCTCTGAAGTTGTGGCCATAGTATAATATGTCAGAATGATGAGGTGGGTCTCTATCAAAAGGAACAGGCATTTATTAGCAGTCTGCTGGCATTTTTCATTTGTATCCATGGAAGAGATTTTTTAATAGTGTTCCTTGAAGCCCCCTCGGGGCTATCATGAGGGGGCACTGAGGGACTTTATTCTGAAAGGGTGATTCACGCACCTCCTCCTCCCCATTTCCATTCAAGCAGCTGTGCTCTATTCCAGTTATGCCCTGGGCATTTGCATCCAATTTCATTTGAAGAAAAGGCTCTGCCATTTTTAAAAAGTTTAAAAACCACTGACTTCAGTAATACAATAATGCTACTGATGATAGTGATAGCAAATATCCACCCAGGGTTTACCTGCGCCAGGCACGCTTGTCGTGAATTTGCTGATCGGGTCCTCGCGTCAATCCCACAAGGTTGGGCACAGTCACCACCCTCATCTTATCATGCAGGAGACTGAGACACAAAGATGTTAAGTGACCTGTCCAAGGTCACACAGCTAAGAGCTGATAGAACTGGCTCTCTACTGGTGTTTTATAGCATTTGATCCCAGAAGCTGATGAAGATGCCAGATTCAGGATCACAGTCTCTAGAACACAGCTAGTCACATCTCTCTTGAATCTGTTTACAGGAAAACACCAGCTTGTTTTTGAAAATCAGAAGCTGGGCAAGCTCTTTCTCTGCTCTTCACTGTTTCTTCTTTCCCTGTGGCAGAGAGGGGCAAGAATAAGCACCTACTCACTGTGTTTGAATCAGGGGTGGGAGCCAGGGAGAGGCAGAGAGCAAGGAAGACAGTAGTTGAGTTTTTAAAAAAATTATCCCAACAACTCTTTGAGAGTCCACACATGGGGAGACTGGAGAGGTGACTTGCCCAAGGGCATATGGAACACAGTGGCTTGCAGCCTGCAAGCCAGACCAGGGCTCTGTCCATTTGGCAGATGGCTTCTCTCGCGTTCAGAAACCTCCACAATGAAGATGAGACCTTGGTCCACTGCATGTGAAGACCCAATCAAAGTAGGGGGGACATTTGTCCTGACTGCACCACCTGGGCGCTGAGCTCTCAGGAAGCCCAGTGGGATCGTGCTGCCAAACTCCATCAAATCCAGTGTCCTAGTGTGGTTTATTCAGTGTTGAACTAAGGTCTTGAGGCCTCATCAAGGAAAAAGGCCAAAGTTTCTCAACTTCCCCAAAGAGAGATGCTTCAGCCGAGTTTGGCCTGCATTCTCCTCAAGGATCCAGGCACAGCAATGATAACACTTGGGATTTCTGCCCGGCAGGCCTCACCCAGCTCCACCGGACTCTACCCAGGTTCCGATTTAGCTCGGAGCTCCACAACTCAGGGGCTGTGTTAGGGGGCAGGCCTTGGGGGTTCCCAGGGAGGAGGGCCCACCTTCAGCCTCCTTTCCTGCATACAAATGTGGAGCAGAAAAGAAGTTGCCTTATCTAGAACACTTAGCCAGTCATTGGGTTAGAAAAATGGGAAGAGACTTAACTCCTGCAGGCTGTCACTTCCATTTTATTTGAATGTCTCTTTTCTTGCATTCTCTGCCCACCCTGGCAGGGTTATGGCTTCTGTGGCATTCTTATACGATGATACAGGGATGTTTTATTCACGGAATCCCTCTCCGGGAAGAATTGTATGTGCTGGGGACCGTTCAATGAGGAAGGCTGGTTGAATGGGACATGAACCAGCTTTCTGGTCAACCTCATTGTTTCCCACTGGAGTGTATCTAATTTCAGAAAAAGATAAATAAGCCTGAGGTTTTGAGTGGGCTGTGTCACCTCTTCTTGGGCAGATGTGTGATTTCTGTAAGGCCTTGGCCATATTCAAATTAGGGGAACCCTACCTCCATCCCCTACACACACTCCTGTCTTGATGGCCCTCCTGGGGACAAGGTAGCCCAGGTGGGAACACTGGTCCCTATAATCCCGAAGGAACCATCAACTGGGGGACATCCTGCAAAGCCAGGACACTGCATTCTATGCACTATTTCCCCATGGACTAGAGACCCCTCGAGGGCAGTGGCCTGCGGCACAGCAGGTCTAGGCCCTCCTCCCAGCCTGCCCTGGCTGAGCTGCTGCACTCAAGACTGATGCACTCGTCTGGCTGCCTCAGGCTGCAGTCTGAGCTATTCCCATAGGAATCACGGTACCTCTCTCCCTAAAACCTGGATTCCTCACCTGATAAACGGGGATGGCTGGCCCAGTTTTCTCTCCCTCATTTATTCAAGAATTTGGCTGGGCACAATGGCTCACGCCTGTAATCTCAAAGTTTTTAGAGACCGAGGCGGGAGGATCACTTGAGGTCAGGAGTTCAAGACCAGCCTGGCCAATGTGGTGAAACCCCATCTCCACTAAAAATACAAAAATTAGCCGGGTGTGGTGGCACATGCCTGTAATCCCAGCCACTCGGGAGGCTGAAGCAGAAGAACCCGTTGGCCCGGGAGGCGGGGGTTGCAGTGAGCGGAGATCACGCCACTGCATTCCAGCCTGGGTGACAGAGTGAAACTCCATCTCAAAAAAGAAAAAACAAAAAAAGAATTTGTGGCCCTTTCACAGTGTGCAGGCACTATGTGGTTGTGACCTGGGGTGGGGAGCATGGTGGTGACAGAGACAGGAACCCAGGCTGCCCAAAACAGGAAGGCATCACGTCATCATTTCATGCTTACGCTTTATCATCTCAGAGCAGTGTTGGGTCCAAGGGCCCCTGGTATCACTTCCAAGACTTAATGTAACCCCCAAATTTTCATTCATTCCACAAACATTTCCTGATCCCCTTCTATGTGCCAAGCACCATTCCAGGCAGCAGAGATACAGTCCCGAGTAAATCAGACACAAAAACAAAATAAATAAGTAGATGAAACAAATATGTATTATGGGTGAGATTGTACGTTATAAAGTGATCATAGTATTTACGTTGTGAGTGATAGGGAGTGTAATAGTATATGAGGAAGGGATAGAAACTACATGAAAAAGTAAAAACAAAGGGGGTGCTGGGAGAGGTGGGGGTGTGGGTATAGATATGGTGGTCAGGGAAGACCTCCCTGAGAAGGTGGTGTTTGAACAGACTCCAAGCAGATGAAAGAGTGAGCTACTCAGATACCTGGAGGACGTGCGTTCTAAGCAGAAGGAACAGCATGCACACATGGCAGAAAAGCATCTGGCAGGTTTGAGAAATAGCAAAGAGCTCAGTGAAACTTAACCAGAAGCAGGAAATGAGGCCAATCTGAGAGATAATGGGACCAGATCATGCCCAGCTTTGCAGCCCTTGTGGTGATGTTGGCTTTTGCTCTGTCTTTCAGCTACTCAGTCTTCCCACAAGCCACAGAGAGAGGTAAGAAAGGGAATGTTCCAGCCCTGGGCTAGCTGCTCTTACCACGTCACCTTCCCATGGAAGGTCAGAGCCTGGGAGAAACCTTCGTGGAAGTCCAGCCTGCCTCTGTTCTCCACTGCCCTAAATCAGGTCTCCGGGGAGACCAACTCTGAGACAGAGACATGGATGCAGGGGGGTTGCTGATGGTGCTCCTGGGAGTCACGAAGAATCCCTATGGGGGCATGAGGGAAGAGGACTGGCGGAGGGAAATGTCGAGTAGTGATGCAGCCACAACAAAGGCCTTGGCCAGATTCTGCATGGAGTTCTGGAGCTGGGGTGGCCCCGTAGAGAGCCTTTAGATGTGGGCTGTCCCCCAGGAGGGGGCACAACTTGAGGCAAAGCCACTCCCTTACTGAGGGCAAGTTCTGGAGAGGGACTCACAGAGAACCATTGGCTCCAACTCTCCCGGCAGCTGGCAAATGAGTGCCTCGTATCTGTAGGGTGCTCTAGTCTGCACTCCTAATGTCCACTTTACCTACTATGTTTGCATCCTCCTATACCAGGTGGGCCCCTGCCTCTCCTTGCACACCTCCAGCATGCACAGGAAGCTCAGTAAGGGAGCCAAGGGACCCTGTCCAACTCAGACAGCTGGGACCATAGAAGAGTCGTCATGGTTGCAGGAGAACCTGCTCAGCCCTAGCGCCCTAGCTGCATGGCTTGGGTGAGGTACTTTAACCTTGAGGAACCCCCAGGCTCCAGGTACTGTGGAGTGGAGATAGTCATTGTTGTTGGCTGACACTTGCTATAGTTTGAATATTTGTCCTCTCCAAAACTCATGTTGGAATTTAATCCCCAATATGGTAATATTGAAGGTGGGACTTTTAAGAAGTGATTAGGTGATGAGGGCTGTGCCCTCATTCATGGATTCATCCATTCACAGATTAATAGGTTAATGGATTCATGGGATATTATGGGAGTGGAACTGGTGGCTTTATAGGAAGAGAGATCTCAGCTGGCACATGAGCACACTCAGCCCTCTCTCCGTGTGATGCCCTGAGCTGCCTCGGGACTCTGCCAAGAGTCCTCACCAGCAAGAAGGCCCTCACCAGATGCATCCTCTTGATCTTGAACTCTCAGCCTCCGTAACTGTAAGAAATGTATTTTCTTTATAAATTACCCAGTTTCCAGTACTCTATTATAAGCAACAGGAAACAGACTAAGACAAATCCCCAAAGATGTCCATGTCCTAATCCCCAGGACCTGTGAACATGTTAGGTTATATGGTGGCAAAAGAGACTTTATAGAGGTCTCTGTAAGGATCTTGACAAGGGAGAGTAGCCTGGATTATCCAGCTGGGTTCAATACAATCAAAAGTATCCCTATGGAGGGAGGCAGAGAAGGCAGAATTCCAAGACTGGAAGATGCTACATTGCTGGCTTTGAAGAAGGAGGATGGGGCCACCAGCCAAGGAATGCAGGGAGCCTCTAGAAATTAGAAAAGGCAAGGCAACAGATTCTCCCCTAAAGCCTCCAGAAAGAACCCACACCTTGATTTTAGGACTTCTTAATACTGTAAGATAATAAATTTGTCTTGCTTTAAGCACTAAGTTTGTGGTAATTGGTTACAGCAACAATAGGAAACTAATAGTTGAAACTAATGCAGGATTTTCACAAGGGTTGGCATTCATCATAAATTTATATAATAATATTAGTGGCATAATATAAGCTCTGAAACATAAATTAGTTCATAAATGTCTGCATCTTTTCCTCTTCCTCACACTGAGTTAACCCCCCTGCCTACAGCTCCCACTATCCGTCCTGACAAGGCCCTTTGGCCCTGGGGTCACCAAAGCAGCTGTAAAGACCAGTCCACAAAATCGGGAGTATAAGAATATCATGCTTCTATTTCCACAAATCATCTTAGTTCTCATTCAGTACCCCTTCCACTAAATTCCCATCTCATTATTTCTTTTTTAAAAAATGGTTTGTTTGGTTTTTTTCTGAATTACGTACATGCACAAATACAAAAGTTTGCAGTGAATGGCAAACCCCTCTTCCACTCCTTTACCCCAGTCACCTCCCTAAAGGTAGCCTGCATCCACCTGGAGAGCCCAGGTGCCTTCTCGAAGTCCTGGAATTGGTTAATAGTGGTGGTTTGCATGGACCCAAGTCTCTCAATCCACAGCAAGCCAACACATCTTGAAAGGCAAACCATATCCTGACTTGATTTGGGTTGGGTGGTATTATTTAGTCAAGTCATTTGTTCATGCAACATTAAAACCCTGATGAATATCAGGTCAAGGATGAAAGGATAGGCACCCAAAGAGCTCTACATTTGACACGTGGCCAGTGCAGTGGAGGTGTGTTGTCAGGGTAGAACACATGGGAATTTGAAGACCAAACAAAAGAATGGATAAAAGAATGGAAAATATCTTGTTAATAGTTTTTTACATAGATTATATGTTAAAGCAATAATATATTGGTTATCGTGGGTTAAACTATATTACTAAAACTAGTTTCATGTGTTTCTTTTTACCTTTTTTTTTTTTTTTTTTTTTGAGATGGAGTCTCGCTCTGTCGCCAGGCTAGAGTGCAGTGGTGTGATCTTGGCTCACTGTAACCTCCACCCCAACCTCCCGCCTGAGTTCTAGGGATTCTCCTGCCTGGGCCTCCCAAGTAGCTGGGATTATAGGTGCCCACCACCATGCCCAGTTAATTTTTGTGTTTTTAGTAGGGATGGGGTTTCACCATGTTGGCCAGGAAGGTCTCTATCTCTTGACCTCATGATCCTCCCACCTCAGCCTCCCAAAGTGCTGGGATTACAGGCATGAGCCACCATGCCCAGCCTCTTTTACCTTTTTTTATGTGCCTACTAGAAAATATATGGCTGTATTCGTTCGCTAGAGCTACCGTCACAAAGTACTGCCAGTTGGATGGCTTAGACAACAGAAATTTGTTATCTCAAGTTCTGCAGGCTGGAAGTCTAAGTTCAAGGTGTGGGCAGGGTTGTGTCCTTCTGAAGCTGTGAGGGAGGACCAGTTGCAGGCCCCTCCCCCAGCTGCTGGTGGTCACTGGCCTTCCTTAGCAATCAGAAGCATCACCACAATCTCTGCCTTCACGCTCACGTGGCATTCTCCCTATGTACTATCTGTATCCAAATGACCCCTGGAAGACCCCAGTCCAGTGGGGGAACAGGCACAGGGCAAACAATGGCCACAACATGCCCCTGGTGCTCTTGTTAGGAGTTGGGGAGGAGGAGGGAAGTGGGGAGCAGGCCAGGGAGAATTTATAGAGAAGCTGCTCTAGCCAAATCTAGAGAGGCGAGTCACTGCTTGCCAGGCAGAGCTGGTGGAGAAGGAACTCTGGGCTGAAGTAGCAGCCATGCCAAGTCCTAGAAGCTACTGCAGCCTGGTTCTACCTTAAAATGTGATAAGCAGAGGCTGAGGCTCCCTGAGGCTGTAACTGGGAGGGAGGTACAAATGGGAGGGACCTCCGAGGCAGCACAGGGAAAAGAGGAGCTCACCGTAGGATCTCACTTCCTCCTGCCTGAGACCTTCGAGGCAGCACAGGGAAAAGAGGGGCTCGCCGTAGCATCTTACTTCCTCCGCCTGAGACCTCCGAGGCAGCACAAGGAGAAGAGGGGCTCGCCGTACGATCTCGCTTTCTCCCGCTGCCTTGTTGGGGTGAGCCTGTCCTCACAGTCAACTGCATTGGCTCAGTGTTCATCCAAAGGATTCCTCAGCCAAGAGGATGAAGTTCAACAGAAGAACATCCTCAAGTTAATAAGAAGATAGGGCCAACTAAAAGAAAAAAAGAAAGGAGGAAAATGTGGATAAAATAGAAAGAGTGAAAATAACATTAAAGTTAAGTACCTGGATCATCGAAGTTTAAAACTCAAATCTCTTTCACTCATCTGTCAAATCAGGTTATTAATACCTGTGGGGCAAAACTGCAGTGGGACGTCCTGAAGCAAAGCATCAGCATGTGCCTGTTCCACAGCAGACGCTTCATAACAGGGTGGCTGTCATTACCAAGGCAGACCGCAGACAGCTACAGCTTAATCGAAGAGTTGAAAGGAGACTGTGAGAAGATAAAACTGTGAAAACTGTGAAATATGGTTCAATGATTCAAAAGAGACCAAATCACCAGTGTAATCACTTAGGCCCCAGGAGAAAAAGGTATAAAACCCAAACTAGAGTTTTGTTTTTTCCTGTTTTTGCTTGTTTGTTTGTTTTTTTGTTTTGGTTTGGTTTGGTTAAAAATGAAGCAGTGGACGTCATGCAGACACAACTGGTGTTCCCCAAGGTAAGGTCACTTCCCAGAGCTGCAGATCTCTGTTGGCTCTGCAAGGGCTGTCCCAGGGAGAGGGGAGGGAGCAGCGTGGAAGGCAGGACTCTTGGCTACCCACCCTTCCATCCCCACTTAGGATTAGGTAGAGGGAGAAGACAGGTCCTTCAGAACAGGCCCAGGGAGCTACCAGCCAGCTCCCTCTGCAGCACTCTTGGCTCAGCACACCAGATGCAGGGCTCCTGGGTGGAGCTTCAGACGCTACCAGCTTCTCTCTGCTGCAGCCCAGGGGACACCACAAACGTCCCCAACTGAGCCTACAACATTATCAGAAGAGGCAGAGGGCAGACCCCATTGAAAAGCCCTCCTGAGTGACCCTACACATCCTAACTGAGCCATTTTGGGAGGTAACGGGCTCCCTCAGCGCACACTCACAGAGACCTCCCACTGGGCAGGTGTCCCTTGGCTCTGATGCCCCAGGGTTTGGGGCCAAATCACTGTCCCCTGTTCCCAATTCTAGACCGTTTGACCTTACCATCGACTGTCATCTTTCTCCTTAAGGATACTCAGACAGAGGTGCTGTCTACACACGACCACCTCTTCCCCACAAGCAGACTGCTATGGCTATTGGAAGGGAGGCAGGCAGGGTGTCCAAAGGAATTCAGCTGTGGCCTTGACAACCCCCAGCAAGTCCTGCCCCCCTCTGTAGGCCTCAGTTTCCCCAGTTGCCAAACAAAAAGGATAAACCTCAGCTTTGCCCTCTCCAACTCTCTGAGTCAGCAGACAAGCCCGTCTGACACCCCTTTTCCTTTATTACACAGGAACAAACATATGCTGCCCCTATTTCTGAGGCAGATAGCCCCTAACTGGGTATACAGTGGAGTGACCAACCACCCCAGTTTGCCTGGGACTGAAGGTTTCCCAGGTGTGAGACTTTCAGCACCAAATCTAACAGTCCCAGGCAAGCCGGGTAAGTTGGTCCCCCTGCCACAAGAGTAGGATCATCTTTTTCCCCCTCATCTGCATTTCCAGAGGGAAAAAAAAACACCGTCTCCTGGCTGGTTTTCTCAGGTTAGTTCATTACCACCAACTCTTTTAGGGGGAAGATGACAGAAAATAAAGCCTTTGCCTGAGGTCAGATTCATAGCAGTAGCCTCTTCACCATAAGAGGAAAAGATGAAAACTCATGGATGCAATCATATATGAGGTTAAAAAAAAAAAAAAAACCCACATGCACACCTATACCCACACCCCGAGGGCCGGGGCAGACAGAAGCCTGCCAGAGCTGAGCAAGGCCAGGGCGGAGGGTGTAGCACACTGCAGCAGTTAGAGAAACAGAGGGCTCTTAGCCCCAAGTGTTCCGGCTGGCCTTGGCCTTCTGTAGCTGAAGGGCTGGACAAGAAAAGGGAATCGAGACTTCCCTGAGGCCCCAGACACAGGCCTGCATTCATATGGAGAGGGATTCAGATCCGCAGGACCTGCCTGGCCAGCCTGTCAGCCACGGAGCGGGTGACAACTCATAGCTTGTGAGCTCCACATTTGACACGTGGCCAGTGCAATGGAGGTGTGTTGTCAGGGTAGAACACATGGGAATTTGAAGACCAAACAAAAGAATGGATAAAAGAATGGAAAATATCTTGTTAATAGTTTTTTACATAGATTATATGTTAAAGCAATAATATATTGGTTATCGTGGGTTAAACTATGTTACTAAAATTAGTTTCATGTGTTTCTTTTTACCTTTTTTTTTTTTTTTTTTTGAGATGGAGTCTCGCTCTGTCGCCAGGCTAGAGTGCAGTGGTGTGATCTTGGCTCACTGTAACCTCCACCCCAACCTCCTGCCTGAGTTCTAGGGATTCTCCTGCCTGGGCCTCCCAAATAGCTGGGATTATAGGTGCCCACCACCATGCCCAGTTAATTTTTGTGTTTTTAGTAGGGATGGGGTTTCACCATGTTGGCCAGGAAGATCTCTATCTCTTGACCTCATGATCCTCCCACCTCAGCCTCCCAAAGTGCTGGGATTACGGGCATGAGCCACCATGCCCAGCCTCTTTTACCTTTTTTTATGTGCCTACTAGAAAATATATGGCTGTATTCGTTCGCTAGAGCTACCGTCACGAAGTACTGCCAGTTGGATGGCTTAGACAACAGAAATTTGTTATCTCAAGTTCTGCAGGCTGGAAGTCTAAGTTCAAGGTGTGGGCAGGGTTGTGTCCTTCTGAAGCTGTGAGGGAGGACCAGTTGCAGGCCCCTCCCCCAGCTGCTGGTGGTCACTGGCCTTCCTTAGCAATCAGAAGCATCACCACAATCTCTGCCTTCACGCTCAGGTGGCATTCTCCCTATGTACTATCTGTATCCAAATTTCCCCTTCTTTTGTTTTTTACTTTTATTTTACGTTTGGGGGTACAAGTAAAGTTTTGTTCCATAGGTAAACACGTGTCACAGGGGTTTGTTGTACATTTTTCATCACCCAGGTATTAAGCCTGGAACCCGATAGTTGCCTTTACTGCTTCTCGCCGTCCTCCCCCACTCCATCAAGTAGACCCTGCTGTCCATTTTTCCCTTCTTTGTTTTCATGAGTTCTCATCACTTAGCTCCCATTTATATGTGAGAACATGTAGTATTTGATTTTCTGTTCCTTTGTTAGTTTGCTAAGGATAATGGCCTCCAGCTCCATCCATGTTCCCGCAAAAGACATGATCTCATTCTTTTTATGGCTGGATAGTATTCCATGGTGTATATGTACCACGTTTTCTTTATCCAATCTGTCATTGATGGGCCTTTAGGTTGATTCCATGTCTTTGCTATTGTGAGTAGTGCTGCAGTGAACACTCACGTGCATGTGTCTTCATGATAGAATGATTTATATTCCTCTGAATATGTACCCAGTAATGGATTTCCCTTTCTTATAGGACACCAGTCACGTTGGATGACCTCATTTTAACTTGATCATAAAGACCTTATCTCCTCATAAGGTCACATTCTGAGGTACTAGATGCTAAGGAGTCAACACATGAACATCGCAGGGACACAATTCAGCCCTAAACAATGGCTCACCTCCTATTTCTGGTGGACAGCACTGCAGTTGCCTACAAGTAAGCTTAGTGAACCTCGCCCTACGCGTTCTCCCACCAACCTTTGGAAATAGCTGGCTCACTTCTGGGAGGCTCAGGCTGAAAGGACTCATTTTGTCAATTAATTCTACAAATCACTTCTGAGAGTCTAGTCTCTGCTAGAATCTGGGCTGGATTCTGAAAGTGAGCAAGTCCCAGTGTGAGCACGGCTCAGGGGTCAGACAGATGCCGCCCCTTGTTAGCAGAGTGCTTACAGGCAAGTTGCCTTGGCACAGCAGCTTCAGACTTGTGTGATGAGAAAACAGAGGCTTACCCTCCAATGTGCATGCCGGCGCCTTTGAAAGCGATGGTCACACAGTAGCCACCTGCTTCCACCACTGCGAGCAGTGAGGTCCCTTTCACAGGTGGTGTTTAAGCAGAGGCTGGGTGATCTCTTCTCAGGAAGGCTCTTCTGTAGTCACAGGGCCCACTGGATAATCCAGGGTCATCTCTTCATCTCAAGATCTCTCATCTCATCTTCAGTCTCTTTAGTCATATAAGGTAACACTCACAGGTTCCAGGGATTAGGATCTGGATATCTTTGAGGACCATTATCCAGCCTACCACAGAGCCCCTAGGACTGGCCAGGCCAATCTGCTCTTTCAAAAATGGGGAAACTGAGGCATATAGCATGTTGTGCTCAGCCAGTCTCTCAGGGAACTGGCTACAGGGCTGATTCATGGTGACCTGGGGCTGGGAGTTTGTGCCTGCCTCTGTATGGGACAAGAGGGCACAAAGACCACCTCGAGGCAATGGGGTGGGAGGAGACCACCTAAACTCTGCTTGGCCTTTGCTTCTGGGCCATAGGGAGAGAGGCAGGGAAGTGCTTGGCCAGTGTCTAAGAGCTGCCTCCCTGGAGCCAAGCTGCAATTCAGTGGTTTTCAAATGTTTTGGTCTCATTCTTAAAAATCATTGAGGACTCCAAAGAGCTTTTGTTTATGTGGGTCATACATAGCTATAAACATTCACCATATTAGAAATTAAAACTGAAAAATGTAAATATATATACTAATTCATTTAAAATAAAACATAAACCTGTGCATGTTAACATGCATATTTTAAGGGAAAAAACCCCTATAGTTTCTTTTTAAATGTTACTTATTTAATTTTTAGAGATGGGACCTCACTCTATCACCCAGGCTGGAGTGTAGTGGTGCTATCATAGATAACTGTAACCTTGAATTCCTGGGCTCAGGTGATTCTCCCACCTCCATCTTCCAAGTAGCTAGGACTATAGGCATGTACCATCAAACCCATCTAATTAAAAAATATATATATATATATTTTGTAGAGACAGTCTCGCTATGTTGTCCAGGCCCATTTCAAGTGATCCTCCTGCCTTGGCCTTCCAAAGCTCTGGGATTATAAGAGTGAGACACCACACCAGCTTAAAAACAACTATATTTTCTAAAACAAAAAATTTACTGAGAAGAATGACTGTTTCACACTTTGGCAAGTCTTTTTAATGTCTGGCTTAATAAAAGAAGAATTCTCCTGTCTGCTTCTGTTTTCAGTCTGTTGTGATATGTTGCATTGATTGAAGGATATAAAGAAAATCTAGCTTCACCAAGATATATAATTGGAAAAGGGAGGAGTATTATAATTGCCTTTTCAGGTAATTGTGAATATTTAGTTTTGATTGGTACATCAGCATTTGACAAATGTCAGTTTCTTTTAAAATTTCAATGTGGAATCTGAAATCATGTCAAAATGAAATTTTTGTATTCTGTTAAATTACAAACCATTGTTGTATCTTGAATTTTAATGGCTCTTTTATTCATTGATGCTTTTGCAACGTCACACATTGGTCACTTGGAAAATATTGGTTCACTGAAGTATGTCGAGATTCCAAATGTTGACACCTTTTGTCATGCAATATCAAACAGTCTCGTTCATTAACACTACCTCCAAACTCATTTTTTAAAAGTTTTTAGGTGTTGGGAAACACTTAATTATGGATATAAATTTTCCAAAATTCAAATTTTCCTTGAAAAGTTTGAATTTTTTTGTTGGCAACAAATACTGTCCATTGTTTTCCTTGAAGTGACAGGCTCACTTCATTCATTTTCTCAAAAATGTTTGCCAAATGCCCAAGTCTAAACAACCATTGTTTGCTTATCAGTTGTTCTTTCAAGAAAAAAAGGGGATTCTATGAAATAAGAAGCTGTTCATCTCTCACAACTCAGACATGCACCTGTGTGTATGAGAAGCACCCTACGTCCACTTCCTGCTTAGTCGCATAGAACGTTACAAAGACATGCAATCAAGGGTCAGGATTTAATAAAATTAATAAATTGTACTGCTTCATCAAGGATATTCCGGGTGATGGCATTTTCAGTTCACTCTTCATTGCCAGGCAGCAGAGAGAGTTTGAGCAGTTAAGTGAAGGTGATGGGGACAGTTGTGCCACAAGGCCCCGGGAGAGAACACGTGGGTGTTGACCAAAAGCCAGTGGGACTTTAGACAGGACTTCCTTGTAGCTGGGAGTGCTCGGCCCTGGCTGAGCGGTTCGTCATTGGCTTCTCTCACTTCAGTTTCACAGGAGCCCCCTAAGGAAGGAGCTACAATTATGTCCCTCTAGTGAGGGCTTTCTCACTCTGGCATTTATCTCCATGACATGGGGCACTGTTATACTCTAAGTACCAGAGCCCACCCCAGGCTTTTCTCTGTCCCTGGCACTGAGCTCAGGCACCTGGTTGGGGAGGGGGAACTGGCAGCTTCAATTCCGAATTGTGTGTCTCTGTAAGACAGGCTGTTTTCATTCTCTTTACCAGGATCCACAGAATGGGAAGAGTTACTAACCGTCTCCAAATGTCGGTTCCTTTCCTCTCCCTCTGCCCCCTTTCTGAACACCCTGCATAACCCATTCCCCAGCATGCCATTTTACAGAATGCCTCTCTGGAAGGTCAAAGAGGGGAGGTGATCGGCCCAAGGTCACTCGGTGATTTAGAGGAGAACTGGGATCAGAACTTCTGACTCCAGACCCCTGGACAGGACTCTGTCCTCTAGAGATTCTGTGTGATATATATACATATTTTTTTAACACTGGATTGTTCTTAGTTGGCTTCTTTTGTGTGATAAGTTCTAGCTGAAGACTTGGCTTAAGATAAAACAGCGGTTTGGGCTCTTATTCTTTGGAGATTATCTTTCCCCCATTCTGCAATAATCAATATGTTTCAGGTCGGGTTGTCCCAGGGGAGCACACAAGAACAATCAGAGTGATTGACTATAATGGGTTCAGGGCTGGCCCAGTTAGAGTCTTCCCTGGGACTTTGGTGGAACTTCAAGGCAAGACTATCATTTCCTCCAGCTTTGGAGCAATCCGGATAACAGAGGCCCGGGGCTGCCATGGAGAAAGCCTATTGAAGAATGAAGACAGTTGAAAGGTGGGGGAAGTCCAGCTGACATCATTTGAACCTCTGGGTCCATTCATGCCAGAAGAGACCACCCCTTGGACTTCCCAGAAACTCAAGTCAACACATTTCCTTTTGTGAATCCAGCCAATTTGAGTTAGGTTCTGATAATTTACAAAAAGAAGAGTCTCAACTCACACACACACACAGCACATAGGTAAAACCTGTTCCAAAGTCTGACATCTGGAAAGGGCAATTCTGGGGCTCTTTGAGGGATGTCAGAGGCCTTCCCCTACAACCTCACTACCAGGTGAGAGCGAAAGCAAGTTTTGGGTCAATTTTTGCTCACGTGTCAATATTTACTAGCAAGCAGTCACAGAAGCTGTCCTAGAACTGTTCCGTGGCTCCAGGGAAGTCCAGGCTTTATTCTTTTAGGGACTCTTAGAGCAGACATGCCCATATTCTAGCTGTAAGATTCAGCAAAGCTTGACAAACTCCAGTAACCAATTTCCATGAGCACCCAAACAGAGACTAATTTGGAATCACACGTCTTGGGAAGAACTACAAAGGCTGAAGATCCTAACACTAAGGTTTCTAGATTCTTCAAGATGAGTTATGCCCAGGCAGGACAGCCTAGGCAACAGCCCCAATGGTGAGCACCCCTCATTTCACCCACAGAAAATCATTTCTAACATATGTCATGCTCTGGTTTTCACTGGAGATAAAGATGGCAAAAGTACTTCTAGAAGTTTCTTAGAAAGGTGAAAATTCTTATAAACTTCTAATTTTGGAACAATTTTAGAAAAGTGGCAAAGATAGTACAGAAAGTTTCCATTAATGTACCCCTCACTCGGTTTCCCCCAATGTGAACAGCTTACATTACTATGGCACATTTGCCACAACTGATGAACTCACATTGGTACATTACCATTAACCAAACTCCAGACTTTACTCATATTTCTCTAGGGTTTTCCACTCATGTCCCTTTTCTCTTCCAGGGTCCCATCCAGGAAACCACATTATATTTAGTCATTGTGTCTCCTTAGGGTCCTCTGGTCTGTGACAGTCTCTCAGTCTTCCCTTATCGTTAATGATCTTGACCCTTTTGAGGAGTGCTGTCAGGAGTTTTGTAAAATATCCCTCAATTTGGGCTTATCTGATGTTTGTCTCATCGTCAAGTGGGTGATTCGTTTTGGGCAAGATTGCCACAGAGGTGAAGTTACCTATCATCACATCATATTAAAGACCTGCACCTTCAACATGCCCCATCACTGACGTTGATGTTGGTCCCTGGTAAAGGTCTTATTTGCCAGTTTTCACTGTAGTTCACTGTCTTCCCCCTTTCTATATTCTATATTTGAAAACAAGGCAGTAAGTCCAGCCTACATTCGAGGGTGGTGTGGGGGGCAGTTAAGCTATCTCCGGGAGGGGGGCTCTTTATCCCCGCTCCCTTGAGTGTGGACTGGAAGCATTGCCTTCTTCTCGTCAGTGAATTCTTCTGATTTCTAAAGGAACATTTATCTCCTCTCCCCCGTTTGTTTATTTAAATCAGTATGGACTCATGGGTATTTATTGTATATTTTGGGCTACAATCCAATCGCATATTCTGAATTTCATGGCTCAAATTGTTCCAGCTTGGGCCACTGGCTGTCCTTCCAGGTTGGCTCCAGAAGGTGCAATTTTGATTAGTTGCTTCACATAACTACCTACCTCTGCAGTGGGTATTTTCCTGAATAAGGCATGTTTCTGGCATTAACAAGTGGTCCCTAGGGTGTAGATTAAGACTGATCAACCTAATGGCAAGCAGACTACATACGCTTTGCATCTTTTGTATTCATTTAACTTGTCTGTTAACGCTCATATAATGTACCATTGAGTAGATAGACCACAGCATCATAACTCTTGTGGTCTGCTGTTTTAGAGAGCACTGATATGAACGTTTTTGTGCATTTTGACATTTATATTTATTTTCTCATGCAAATGGTTAAATTTTAATTCATGTCACTTTCTAAAGGGGTTTTGGACTGCCCCAACAACGCAGGGTATAGGGTTACCGAAACTATTATTGTAAAACAGATGAAACAAAACTGCAAATAAAAGGAACTGTAGACTGCACCCTCACAGACACATACAAACATGCAAACATTTAGCCAACTCCCACATCTGTGTCAAGCTTGCTATAGCATTTTTCAAACTCAATTACATGCTATATAGCGGGGAGGTTGACCAGAGGATCTATTAGATCTTCTAGGGCTCCCCTAGTTCTGATCTATTATGATTCTATCTGTGGAGTATAAATATCAACATTTAATATATAAACAATTTGACATATAAACATTATTGGGCTTTTTAGGGAAAAACCCAGCCATTTCTCTGGGAAGATAGCATAATCATTACATCGTCTCCACCGCGTAGTATGATATCCCCACCTGCCAGTCATCACCCTTAGCGCTTTACATCCCCACTCTTAGTAAATCTTGCTGATATTCCCATTTTGCAGAGGGGAGCCAGAAAGCTTGCCCGACGACATGACCTCTGTCACACCTCCCAGCAGCACAGCTGTGGCTGACCCATGTGTCAGCCTTCCCCATCGCTGCAAACTTCTTGAGAGTTGGGTCTGTGTCTCCTCCCTTCTGCTCCCCAGTGCCCAGCAGAGGCCCTGGCACACAGAAGGGGCTCAACACACCCCAGCTGAACAGTTGAGGCAATAAAGCAGAAAGTAGAGATCAGGATATACGCACCGAAAAATCTAGTAACAAAATCCAAAGTTAAAAAAACAAAACTTGTACAAAGAATGCAGTAAAGGGGAATGGAAGAAACTGCGGTACAGAATAAAAAGTTTTGCCCTTGAGTCCGAATCCTGGTTCATATCCTGAGTGTCTGGGCCTCTCCGACCCTCAGTCTCTTCCTTGGTAAGGTTACTGTGATCCCTCCAACCTTAGGGGAACTGTGAGAATTAAAAGGAATTGACAGAAGTGTCCAACACATCGTAGATGCCCAATAAATTGCAGGCGTAATAATTTTATTTATTAGCCAAGTTGCCTGGAACAGTCCTCTTCACTCCTCTGGATTTCTATAAAATGGAAATGATAAAGTGGCCTCTGAGGATTACAGTAGGGTTAAATGAGGAAATGTGGACCAATTCCTCAACATGGTTCTGGACCTTGGCAAGGGTTCCGTCAATGTTTGTGGAATTTGCCTGAAAAGATATGTAACATACGGCGACTGTTAATCTCTTCATTAAAAAGAAAACCTCACAAGATATGCCAAAACTACCAACGAGAAGTCCAATCAAACTGGGTCTCTGGTGCCAAAAACAACAGCTGAAAGCTTCAATTCAGCAGCGTGCGGTCAGACTCTGGTGGGTGGACACAGCCGCAGACCCTAAGCTGTGAAGTGCCCAGCCCTGGGAATCTGACCTGTTGCCTCCTTCTCTTGAGTCCCTGGGCAACTACCAATCTCCCTTCCCACTTTTCCTTCCAGAAACTACTTTCCACCGGCCTGTTAGACAAGTGGGAGCTTCTCTCTGGTTTGTATAGTGCAGAGCTGAGAGCACAGCCTTAGGGATCTCAGACAAGCTTGGGTGTTATTCCAAGCTCTGCCACTCCCTAGCTGTGTGGTCTTGGGCAAGTTACTTAACCTCTCTGTGCCTGTTTTCTCATCTGTAAAATGATAAAAATGCTCCCTACCAGAGGCTTGATGTGATGATTAAATGAGCTAATGTGTAGGAAGCTGTTAGCCAGTGCCTGGCACAGAGAAGCAAACAATGCATGGGAACGATTATTACTATTAAGTTGGTGCAAAAGTAATTGCGGTTTTTACATTAAAAGTAATGGCAGAGGCCGGGCATGGTGGCTCACGCCTGTAATGCCAGCACTTTGGGAGGCTGGGGTGGGCAGATAACGAGGTCAAGGGATCATCCTGGCCAACATGGTGAAACCCTATCTCTACTGAAAACACAAAAATTAGCTAGGCATGGTGGCACATGCCTGGAGTCCCAGCTACTCAGGAGGCTGAGGCAGGAGAATCTCTTGAACCCAGGAACAGAGGTTGCAGTGAGCCAAGATGGCGCCACTGCACTTCAGCCTGGTGACAGAGCGAGACTCCACCTCAAAAAAAGAAAGTAATGACAGAAATCCCAATTACTTTTGCACGAACCTAATATTTACACGAGGAAGCTTGCAGACAGGACTGGTGATATGCAAAGCCGTGCATTAGGTAGGTGCTCACTAAATGCTTTTTGAGTGAACACAGGCAATGAATGAATAAATGTGCATATGAATGAATGACTCATGCTAAGGTCCCTGGCTCACACTCTCCCATTCCCCCTTAGGGCCTCTCCATCCCTTCTCCTGCCCTCAGTTTCCCTCTGGGCTGCCTGTCCCCTACCCAGCAGTCTTGATCGCTGCACTCCTCAACTCTTTCTGAGCTGTCCTGTCCTCTCTACCTTCCATCAGCTGTGGCCTGGGTAGCTGGTGATGGTTGGTAGAACTATTTTGGGGCTGGAAACCCGGCAGAGTCCACCCTCCCTTTGTCACCCCAAGCCTCAGCTGGCTGTGCAAGCCACAAGCCGAGGGCTGTAGCAGGATCCCTCCCCCAGCCCATCCCCATGCCCCTGACCTGGTGCATATTTCAGAGTTGAAATGAAAGGCAAGAGGTGGGCTTGGCGAGGACCGGATAACCCCGGAGGAACTGCGAGGAATTATAAACAGTGTCACGTCAACTCCAGATTGAGCCTCAGATCCCGACTTGAGCGCGAGGAAATGGGGCTGTGACAAGGAGACGCTTCCTGCCAGACGGATGTCCAGAGGTGTCCCGAGAAGGGCATGATGACACGCAGAGGCTGAGCTGGGTGGGGAGGGCTGCTTATGTACTGCAGGTTTTGCTACGTGCCATTGAGGGGGAGCCTTTGAGGAGGGAGTGGAGCTGGAGATAGGGTCCTCATTACCTTCGCCAGTAGTCACGGAGCAGGGACATCCTCCAGGAACTCCCAGGGTCCACAGGGGACCTAGCATCCTCCCAGGGAGACTCCTGCCAGGTTTAAACATTCCTGAAGCTGGAGAACAGCCCCCTTACCTCCCCCATCCCCACATCTTATCAGGCTCCTGGAAATTCTGAGCTCTGGTGGCGTCAGAAAGTTTGGGGAGAGATTCCAGGGCACATATTTGAACCTTTCACTGCCTCCCTGCAGTGATGGCTCTAAGACGCATGAGACTTACCTCTCTAGGGAGACGTGCCTGCAGGAAGATGAAAATGGGAGATTTCTTGATGACTTCCCCGCTGGGGAGAGAGAGCTCACTACCAGCTCTGCTGACTGCAGACAGCTCCACAGGCCCCCAGTGGGTCTGCCCAGAGCGAGCAGCCCGCCTTGGCCTTGTCTCAGCAGACACTGCCTAGCAGCCTCAGGGTGTGGCCCGAGGCAGACAGCCTGATTGTCATCACTCATCAGCAGGCGACAAGTCGCTTAACCTCCAAACCTCAGCTTCCTTGTCTATAAAATGAGAATCATTTTATGGAATAAATTTTCCAACACATGAGACCCATTCCCCGCCACCACCAGCAAAAAATGTACCCAAAACATTCCATCACCAGTACTATAGCACTGAGGCTGAGCCTCGAAGCCATCAAATCATGAATTGGCAACTGCAGGTCACACCATTTCCCCATCTCTTCAATATTCCGTTTTCTGCATGAACAAAATTGTATGTTTTCCAATCATTTTCAATGCAAATGTTTTTTCAAACACATTTCAATGTTGTTCAAAAAAGGTAAATTAGAATGTATTTTATCCACCACTTTGTATCCACAAGGAGGATGACAGGTTGTGACGATTTGAGGAGATGACATTGGGGCCAGCACGTTATATATTTATTTGTCTTCTAGGTTGGTTACACACATCCTCGGTGCCAGGCCCTAGAGCCCAGGGATGCTGCAGACACAGTCTCCACATCTCAATGCCATGGTCTTAGAGGAAGATGGGGGCGCTAAGAGATGGCAGATACATCCTATGCTGAAAGTGTTTGGGTAGCGATAGGGATCCAAGGCTGTGCGAGTTCACATGTACATCCACCCGGGGTCCCTGACTCAGGAAAGCCTTCCAGGGTAAATGACATTTGAGCTGATCGTTAAGGATAAGTTGACTTAAGGGTAGGGAGACATTTTAAACAGAGCAAACAGCAAGTGCAAAAATAGAGGGGCATCAGAGTCTGACATTTCACACTGTAAGACATTTCCCCATTACAGCTACTACTTCTGATAGTAATCACACAAATGGTAATAATTCCAGTGAACATTGACTGCTTACCTACGGTGCATCTGGTATTGTGCCAAGCATCATGCAGACATGCCCCATGTGATCCTCACCATAACCCAGTGAGATACAGTCTCCAGTTGTCCCCATTTTCCAGATGAGGAGACGGAGGGAGGATTTGCAGCTACACCTAGGTTGTGGAGCTGGTGATCCCAAGCAATCCGACTTCGAGCCTGTGATGTTGTCTGTTGCTGCTGTGCTGCTTTGGGAAGAGAGAGGGATTCTGTGAATTTGCTCTCACTTAACCAACCCAATAACCCTTGGAGGTAGAAGTATCTGCCTCTCATGTTGCAGGTGAGGGGTCAATGGCTCAGAGAGGAAGAGTGTGTGGCCCAAGCTCACACAGTGGCGGGAGGCGGAACAGGAGGCAGAGCCAGAGCAGCCTCCAAGTGTGGACTTTTCTAGACCATCTGAGACGAACACGGTCAACAGCTTCCTTGGTTGGCTTATTCTTTATTTGTATCAGAAAAGAAATTAATTTGAGTAGAAGTCTCAGCTGCCACTTCTTGACCCTACAGAATGAGGCTGGGTTCCTGTCGCTCTCATCTTGGGCTTGCTTCTCAACCTGCGACTTCACAGAACCCCAATGTCCACTCCTAACCCTAGGTACCTTATGTTCCCTCCTGCTTCTGTACCCACAATTCATTGACCCTTCTTCAAGGCCCCGCTCATAAGCCACCTCCTCCAGGAAGCCCCTTGCCCCTGCCCCCACCCCAGCCAGGTGAACATGAACTTGTCTTGCATTACCACCCCCTTGCATCTCCTGCTTGGTCCTTGGCTGAGGCAAGGGGATTCTTCAATGAGGCAGCCTGGATTCAAATTCTGCCCTGGCTCACCAGCCATTACCGTGGCCACTCACTTGACCCCTCAAGCTCCAGTTTCCCCATCTAATAAAGGGGGAGAGATACTAGTAAGATCAACCTCACAGGACACTGTAAAGGCAAAACGAGGTAAGTACCTAGCACAGTGCTTGGCTCAATAGATGTTAGCTGCTGTTGCTCACAGCACCAGGGAGTGGGTGAACACTGTGTTCTAGGACTGAGTCTTAGGAATGAATCTCAAGCTCCCAAAGCCAGGAGTCCATAGTCCTGGGAGTCCAAGTCCATAGGAATCTCAAGCTCCCAAAGCTGGAAACACTTCTTGGCTTCCCTGAATCCCTTGAGACACAAGGGATCATGAAGGAGACACAGAGTCGGGAGTCAGGGAGGGTGCAAATCTCAGCTCTTCTACAGCCTTGCTGTGTACATTTGGGCATGTTACTTAACTTCACTGAGCCTCCATTTTTTCAACTGGAAAATTAGAATATCTATCCCTACCTCATGGGTTGTTATGAAGAAAAAAAAAAGACTCGTTCATGCATTCATTCATCAATGGAGACATTGAGCTCCTGGTTTGTACCACACACTGCACTCAGGGCTGGGGATATGATGGTGAATGACACACAGGCCTGGTCTTGAGAGGCTCATGGCCAGCCCATCGCACTAGACGACTCCTGCACCAACAGAAGTGCTTGCAAGGCCTCCGAGTGCACTTTCCACACAATATGCAGAAGAGTCAGGAGCTGAAGCCAGAATCCACTGCGCTTGTGCGAGGCACAGCTTTCCATCTGCAGCCAGCAGGGAAGGGCCGCTGTGGATATTCCATTCCTTTTTTGGTTTTTATTTTTTTATTTTTATTTTTATTTTATTTTTGAGACAGAGCCTCCTTCTGTTCTGTCACCCAGGCTGGAGTGCAGTGGCATGATCTCGGCTCACTGCAACCTCCACCTCCCAGGTTCAAGCAATTCTCCTCCCTCAGCCTACCGAGTAGCTGCGACTACCGGCCTAAAAGAGCTGGTTTGTCTCCCGGGGCGAGATACAACCCTTGGTGTTTGGGGTGTCAAAAAAGGAAGGGCAAAAAGATATATTTTCCAACCATGAGGGTTTGGGCAGAACCCAAAATGCACTTTGCCAAGCAAACAATTCCCCTCCATCTTGGAACCCGTGGGTGCTCCAGAGAGATTTTATCTGTATGTTTCTGTTTCATCAACACCTAATTTATCAAAATACTGCATGGAAGCACCAGGGCCCTGGGCAGCTTCTGCCCTCCATGAGACATTGGAGTCCCCAAGTGTCCCTGGGGCTTATGTACGGCATGTGAGGTGTTTCTCTCCCCTGCTTGGTGCTGTGTTGTGTCACTAGGCCCCACAGAGCACTGCTTGTACCCACTGTCCCCAAAGACTCTCTCAAACTTGGTTCCTGCATCTTCCAGCCCTGATTCCATTTTCTTTGTAAATCAAAAAGAGCTTCAGAATAAGAAAAAGGAAATCCTCACCCTATTCCTCCTAGGACCACGCCTCTACATGCACACGTGCACACACATACAGACACCCCATGCATGGCGTTGACTGTCTCTTCCCAACGAAGTGTCACTCCATTAAGGCAGAGAATTCTATCCATGTCGTTCACTGCGGTATCCCCAGTGCCTGCAACAGAAGCTGGCACACAGTAGGTGCTTCATAAATATTATTGCAGGAACATATGAATGAATGAAAAAATAAATGGTAAGCTTTCTGGAGCATCTCTGAGGGTGAGGAAGAAAGTTACTCACCTCTGTTGAGCACCTACTATGTGTCAGGCACAATGCTTGATACTTTACTCAAGGTCTTCTTTCTTACAACCATGTTGTGATGTGGAGTCACTATACTCATTTTCTGGAGGAGGAAACAGGCTCAGGATAAGTAACTTGCCTGGTGAATGACACACAGCTGGTAACGGTGAGAGCGAGGGTTTGCACATAGGTCTGTTGGACTTGAACAGCATGCTGCTTCTCCTGGGCCGTGTGCCTCTATTTTTGAGATCAGTGAATAATACAGAAGTGCCAAATCCATGACAAGTCACATCACTGGCTCCCCATCAACCTAGACCCCCTGAGAGAAACCGCACTGGAATAAACACGGGACAGACCACACACTGTGGTTAAAATATCAAGGCTGCATCTCAGTAGCTTGATGGGCTAAAGATTCATTTCTCACTTGTGTTTCTCAGCCTGGTGTGGGTTGGGTGGCCCTCCTGGGTGGCTTTTCTCAAAGAGGGGACTCAGGTACCTGGCTGCTCCCACACTGTTGCTACATCTTATAGAGCACACAGTTTCCAAGGTTGCAGTGGAAAGGTGTGAGAGGACTGGAGGGCAGTGCCAGATGTTTCTAAGGACAGCTGAGAAGCAGCAAGCAACTTTCACCCTAACTCCCTTGGCCAAAGCAGTCGCTGACCCAACCTAACAGCAAGGGGAATACAGTGTTCCTGAGAGTTCAGGGAGACCCAGCTGGCTGAGCCCAGGGCCCTGCAGCTCCACACACCTGCCCTAGGGGGTCCTATCTCTCCGTGTGCCTTCAAACTTCCCTCACCTGGCCTTGCTCAGTCCTCAGAGCCCCAGGAACAAGACAAGCCCAGAGACCCTGGCCACATATATAGACTTCTGCCCCTGGATCCCAAAGCTGAAGCCAGGGACACCATGAACACTTCCTAGAAGCTGAATGAGCCTTTTCTGGGACCTCTCAGGAGCCTTCTCCCAGCCCACAGGAGCTGCAGGGAGCCCCTCATCCCATGCAGTCCTGAGCCCTGGCCCCATTCCTGCTGCTGCCAACTTTGTGGCTCCAACCAGGGACCCTATCGTAGTGTCCCAGAGCTCCAAGATCAGCTCATCCCACATGGAGGCCTCCCCCTGGCCCTCTGGGACGCTGGCTAAGTGTGGCTCCTAGAGGTCCCCCTAGTCTGCACAATTTCTGTTGTGGGTCTAGAAGCAGGATGTTCAGTCTAAGCTTTCAGAGATTTATCCATCCATTCATTCATCCATCCATCCATCCATCCATCCATCCATCCATCCATCCATCCACCCATGCATGCGTTTTTCAATCCATCTATCCACCACTCACCAAAACCCTGGATCTCTGCCTGGCTCCTGGGTCACCAAGGCCAGATTTATCATTAGAGGTTGGCTCACACAATTATGGAAACTGAGAAGTCCCATGATCTGACATCTGCAAGCTGGAGACGCAGGAACGCTGATGGTGTGGTTCCAGTCCAAGCCCAAAAACCTGAGAACCAGGAGAGCCAATGGTGTAAGCCCCAGTCTGAGTCCAAACACCTGAAAACCAGGAACTCAATGAGAAAGGAAATTTCTCCTTCCTCTACCTTTCTGTTCTACTCAGGCCCTCAGTGGATTGGATGAGGACTATGAAATTAACCATCACAGTGGGTTCTTCAGAACACTAGCACCTTGAGATGCTCTGCCTCAAAGTGGCCCCCAACCAAGTAACTTTGGGAACTATGACTGTAGGCAGCCACCTCCCTCTACCCCATTCCACCTTGCATTACAACGCACCTTAGCCTATAAAGGCTCTGAAGCAAAAAGCCTGTTTGATTTAATTTTATTTAGCTTGACACCTTCCAAACTTGGACCACACACTTAGTACTCATTACCTAGTAACACTTTTATGGACAACAGTTTGGGAAATCTCTCCTAGACAATTCTAGACTCAGTTTTAGAGATGAATCACACCTCACCCCTGTTCTGGATTGCTCTCCTCTCTGGTGGGGTAGATGGCAGACAAATATAAGCATGATCAGTGCTTGGCCAACCAATGTCTTTCAATAAAAAATTACCCTCCCATCTGCTTAATTTTTAGATAAAATTTATATTTATCTTACATATTATACATGCATTTGTCTATGTGTTTTTTCTCTGGTCCCCTCTGTGTTAATCTGTCTTGTGCTGCTGAGACAGAACACCTGAGACTAGGTAATATATAAAGAACAGAAATTTATTCTCTCACGGTTCTTCTGGAGGCTGGGAAGTCCAAGATCAAGACACAGACAGGTTAGGTCTCTGGTCTCAAGATGGTACCTGGTTCCTGAGTCCTCTGGAGAGAAGGAACATTGTGTCATCACATGGTAGAGGAGCAGAGGAGAGTGAGCACACTCCTACAACCCCTTTTTTTAGTGTCATCAGTCCATTCATGAAGACAGAGCCCTCTGGACCTAAACACCTTCCATTAGGCCCTGTCTCCCGCACTGCTGCACTGGGGATTCAGTTTCAGCATGGGTCTTGGAAGAGACAAAAACATTCAAACCACAGCACCCCTTCCCTCTCACTAGAACAAAATCTCCACAGGGAAAGAGTTGAATCTGTATTGTTTACTGCTTTATGTCCACACTCCTTCCTATGTCTAGGATAGTGGAATAGTGTTTGGCGTATACCTGGTGCTTACTAATTTTTGTAAGATGACTTTGTTCATAGAATAGAATTAGCCCATTGTCACGTGGCAAGTACATGGTGAGGCCGAGATTTATTTTTATTTTTATTTATTTATTTACTTATTTTGAGACGGAGTCTTACTCTGTCACCCAGGCTGGAGTGTAGTGCATGATCTCAGCTCACTGCAACCTCCACCTCCCAGGTTCAAGCGATTCTCCTATATCAGCATCCCAAGTAGCTGGGACTGTAGGCACACACCACCGTGTCCAGCTAATTTTTGTATTTTTAGTAAAGACAGGGTTTCACCATGTTGGCCAGGCTGGTCTCAAACTCCTGACCTCAGGTGATCCACCCGCCTCGGCCTCCCAAAGTGCTGAGATTACAGACATGAGCCAGCTCGCCCAGCCAGGGGTCAAGATTTGAAACCATGCTGTCTGACTTTGGAGTCCATACACTGACCACTCTGCTAACTGCCTCTCACCAGCACCAGGCTACAATGAGTAAGTGCATAAATGACCTAAAGCCTCTTTTTTTCTTAAAAAAAAAAAAGTCCCAGCTGCCCAAACCTGCTCCACCCCAGTCTCTACTCGAGACCTATGTCAGTTTCTTTCCATACCTGCCTCAGACCCTGCCCTTAGGCCTAGCACCAGGCTAAGGATCAGGTCACCCAAGACCTGCCCAGTGCTGCTATTGAGTCCCGGCAATAGAACCTGGGGGTGACCCTTGGAGCAGCCTGTGCTAGATTCTCCAGGAGGAAGAGAATTCAGCTGAAACCCCCAGAAATCCAGCTTGACAGCTTCCAGCTCGACAGCTTCCAGCTCTGTCCTTGAAATAAGATGCCAAATCAAGTTGTCAAGTAGAATGACTTGAAATTAACAAGTCTCCTCCTCCCTCCAGTCTAATAAAATAAGAGGGTGGAGTGGAAAGGGGCTTAGTTCAGAGCTGGAAGCGCTGGCTCTGCCCAACTTTTGTGCTGTCTCTGGGCCATGGCTTCCTTGGCCTGCCCTGCAAACATTTTCCACTGGAAACTTCCACAGAAATAACTGTTAGTAGGTGGGTATAATACTCGCTAGCACAGAGGCATGGGCAAGATGCCAAAGATCCCAGAGCCAGGGGTCCCCTGCCAGAGAGGGTCAGGGGGGCTTCTCAGAGGCTCAAGTACCTTTGATTGGAGTGTCCAAGGATGATTTGGAAGTTTTGAGTTGCAGATGAGGCTAGAAAGGAAGGTTAAGGCAGATTGTACAGGCCTTGAAAGCCAGGACTTTCTCCTGCAGGCAACAGGAAGCCACGAAGGTTTCAAACGAGTTCCTCTTGGGCTAGCTTTCCATCCAGTATTAGGATTAGATTCATCTGTGACTTGCAGAAAACTCAAAAGAACAGTGGCTTAAACACACAGAATTTGTTGTTTTCCAGAAATGTGTTCTGTCCAGATACAGGCAGTCGGGACTGGTATAGCAGGTCTGCAGACCTCAGAGACCCAGGCATCTTCCTTCTGCTCCCCCTACCTCTATATACGGCTTCACCATCTCATGGCCCAAGATGGATGTTGGGGTTCCAGCTTTCACATTTGCCTTCCTGGCATCTGGACAAAGGAATGGGAAATAGACTGTATTAGTCCATTTTCATACTGCTATAAAGAACTTCCCCAGACTGGGTAATTTATAAAGGAAAGAGGTTTAATTGACTCACAGTTCCATGTGTCTGGAGAGGCCTCAGGAAACTTACAATCATGGCAGAAGGCAAAGGAGAGGCAGGCACCTTCTTCATAGGGTGGCAGGATGGAGTGAGTGCGAAGCAAAGGGGAAAGAGACCCTTATAAAACCATCAGATCTCGTGAGAGCTTACTTGCTATCACAAGAGCAGCATGGAGTAAACTGTCCCCATGATTCAGTTACCTCCACCTGGTTTCTCCCTTGACTTTCGGGGATTGTGGAGATTATAATTCAAGATGAGATTTGGGTCGGGACACAAAGCCTAACCATGTAACAGACACAAAGGGCACACCTCCTGCAAAGCTGGCTCCTTTGAAAGAGTTTTCTCAGAAGCCCACACACAACTTTCACTTATTGGCCAGAACTTAGTCTCATTGCTACTCTACCTGGAAAGAAGAATAGGTCATGTAATCTTTGTTCTTAGTAGTAATTTGCCTTGTTACATAGCAGAGCTCTGTAACAGAAGAGTATACTAAGAATGGATATCCAGCAGGCATCTGGCTACATAGGCTTTGGACTTCAAGAAACAGAATACCTGACACCTATCCTTTAATTCTTCCTTAACAAGAAGTCCCAGGGTTGGATTGCTGATTCAGCAATAACATCAGATTTTTTTTTTTTTCTAATCTTTGCTCTGCCATCCTCAGGGTTTGGGTATTGAGTTATTATTAAATGATTATGTTTACAAAACACTTATGCTACATAAAAATAAAATAAAATCTATTAAGTATATCAACTCACATCACAACATGACTGCCATAGCTCCAGACATCACATCCTGTCCCTACATCCCATGAAGTAAGACAGGAGAGAAGCCATTATCTTCTTTTTTTTTTTTTTGCCAACAAAATGGCTGCCTCCCCCAGGCCTCAGTGGCTGTGCTGGCTGTGAAGCTTCAGAATCGACCCTCTAGCATGTGGGCAGCCCCAGCACTGACTGGTAATTGCATCAGATGTTTTCCTTTTCTGCCATCAAGAATGCTCATTTCACCAATCCCCAAGGGCACAGGAGGCTCCAAGCAGAGAGTGAGTCAGGAATTCTATGTTTTCACCTTGGCCTTAGCTTCTCAATTTATCTTGTAGTTTCATTAAATCCTGCACCACATACCACAGACTTATTTCTAATCTAACGGCCTGTCACAGGGATCCAGGACATTACAAACACAGAATGTTCTTTGCCTGATTTTCTTTCTTAAAATCAAATAACTCTATTCACCACTCTATCCCTGTGTCTCGCACGGTTCACTTAGATTAATAACATTTGAGATTCTGCCTATTAGGTATCGAAAGCAGCGAGCAAGAGCCTTCTGGCCAATTCCAATTCCAGATACTGCACAATGGAAACTATTTCTCCCCGACGCTGTTGCCAGTAACAAGCTTTTCTCTAACGGCTTAATTAGGATTCAAGATTGTGTCCAGGAACCCAGAGCCTCAGAAGGAGCCAAGCCGGCGTGTTTACAGACTTCTGTGTTCAGTTCATTCCTGGTTTTGTATTTTGCAAGAGGAGGGAAAAGGAAACGGCTATGTAAGGGAGACACAGACAGAGACACAGAGAGGAAGAGAGAGAGAGGTGGATTTTTAATGACAGGAGGAAGCCCCAGATATGGTGAATATGGAGTTAAGTTGGTGGCCAGTCAAGAAGGTGGGGACAGTGAGAATGCAGAGGGAAGAAGGTACCAAAACCCAGAAGTGGTCCAGACAGAACACAGAGATCAGAGCTTCCTTTTCATCATCTGCATGGCAGTGACAAGAGGTCATGAACCTATCCTCCCATTACCAATGGGGACTGAACATGGGGAAGAAGCCTTGTGTTTAAAAGCAGCGAGACTCGGGTAAAATTTTTTCTTTGTTCCTTCCCAGCTGTGTGATCTTGGATGAGTCACTTCACCTCTCTGAATGCTAGCTTCTTCATCTGGGGAATAATAACATTGTTTTATGGAATCATTGTGAGATTTAGCAAATAAGTATACAATAAGTATTTAGCAAATAAGTAAATAAATTTAGCAAATAAGTAAATAAATAAATTTAGCAAATAAGTATGATTTTTTTGCAAAAAAATCATTTGACATTGCCATGGCATGTGGGGGGCCCTTGGGAAATATGAGTAGGGATGAGTTGAACCTTAATTCCCTGGACCTTTGTGTTACCCTAGATACAATGGTCCAACCTTAGAGCTAGAAAGTGGACAAGCCTTGAAGGAGCTGTGGGTACAATTTACGCTTTCATGGCCTGTTTCCTCATTTATAAAATGGGTTAATAATAGTGTGGTTTAAAACACAGAATGCACGAAAAGCTCTTAGCTCAGTGCCTGGCATGTACTAGGTGCTCAAACCCGAGGATGGGGAGAAAATTGTCTGCTCAAAGCCCATTATTGTACTTACAGGGAGTCTGAGTCCCAAGGGGGAGATGATGTCACTGATCCACAACAAATGAATGGAAAAACTGAATTCTAACCCCTATTCTTCCATTAATTTGACTTTTAAGATGCATCAAAGGGGATCAATAGAAGCCAGAATAAGCATGAACCCTTGACAACATGCTGGTGAGGAACACTTTGGGAATAATAAACAACAAAATGAACAACTTCAACATAGAAAAAGCAGACACCAGAAGAGACATCCTCCTGGGAATCTCAATTTATATCAGCTTGTTTCGTTATCACAATTGAAATGACCATTTAAGTCAGTTTTCTGATTGCTCTTTGAAAATGTCATTTTACATTCAAACCAGTCCCTGGAATCTAGCACTAAGTATCCCATGTCTAGGGATACTTCTAGCCACAGCTGCAAACATTTACACATGAGGACGTTCACTGCAGACTTCAAAATCACAAGACATGGGAGGCACCCTATAGGTTGGAGAGTTGTTTAAGCAAAGTGTGGTAACCCAGATGGCAAAATGCAAGGCAGTTATTAAAACTGACATTTATCCTGGCTAACACAGTGAAACCCCGTCTCTACTAAAAATACAAAAAAATTAGCTGGATGTGGTGGCGGGCGCCTGTAGTCCCAGCTACTCAGGAGGCTGAGGCTGGAGGATGGCGTGAACCAGGGAGGCGGAGCTTGCAGTGAGCCAAGATTGCACCACTGCACTCCAGCCTGGGCGATGGAGTGAGACTCCGTCTCAAAAAAAAAACAAAAAAAAACCCTGACATTTGTAAAGTATTTTTTTAATGAATCAGGAGAAACATTTATGATGTGAAGAAAAAAAGGCTAGGCATGGTGGCTCATGCCTGTAATCCAGCACTTTGGGAGGCCGAGATGGGAGGATCACTTGAGCCCAGGAGTTTGAGACCAGCCTGGGCAATATAGTGAGACCTTGTGTCTACAAAAATAAAAACCAAAAAATTAGCCAGGTGTAGTGATGCGTGCCTGTGATCCCAGCTACATGAGAGGCTGAAGTGGGAGGATTGCTTGAGCCTCGGAGGTCGGGGCTGCAGTGAGCCAAGGTAGGAAGATCATTTGAGCTCAGGAGTTAAGAGACCAGCCTGGGCAACATAGGGAGACCCCCATCTCTACAGAAAAAAAAAATTTTAATTAGCCAGGCATGGTGGTGCACAGCTGTAGTCCCAGCTACTTGGAAGGTTGAGGCAGGAGGATCACTTGAGCTCAGGAAGTCGAGGGTACAGTGAGCTATGATGGCACCACTGCACTCCAGCTTGGGTGACAGAGCAAGACCCTGCCTCAAAAAAAGAAAAAGAAAAAAGTTACAAAGGGACACAAAACTGTGCATTATAATGATTTCAACTGTGTAAAATATGTGTGTATGTGTGTGTCTGTGTGTGTACTCAGAAAAAAGACTGGAGGGAAGATATACGAAACTGGTAATGCTACCTATACCAGGATGATAAAATTAGAAGCGATCTCTAACTTTCTCTACTTATTTATACTTTTCTGCATTTTACAAATTTTTATAGTGAGTATACATTACTTTTACATCCAGAAAATACCATTTAAATGTTAAATAACATACAAAAGGCAAACATAAAGTGAATTCCCCTAGCCCTTAACAGTTTCTTTCCTCACTCCACCAAGCCATTGGCATAAAGAAGGGTCTAAAGTCCAGTTTACCATCCCACGCAAGATAAGTAAGTGCCTTATACATTTGAGGGCTCAGATCTTTGTTTTGACCCGGTATTAATCTGAGCAAGATTAAGTATTAATTATTAATTATTAATTTGAGCAAGGCTCAGGGATAGTAACAGTTCAAAAAGGAAAGAGAAAGTGCACTTTCAAAGCATGCAAGGGAGTCAAACTTTAGAAGGATCACCTCACCAAGCACAAAACAATTAGAATTTAAAAGGAAAAAACTCACAGAATTCCCAACATTTCTGTTACCTGTTGCTATATAACCACCTCAAAACGTAAAGGCTCAAAACAACATTGATGTATTATTTCTCATAATTCTGCATGTCAGGGATTCAGGCAGGGCTCAGCCAAACAGTTCTGCTTCATGTGGTGTCAGCTGGGCCCACTCAGTCAGCTGGCTTCAGCAGGCTGTGGGTTGGAGTGGCAGGTCCAGATGTCACTGATGTGTCTGTCACTGAGTACTACTCCACGTGGTCATTCTCTCTTGTACCTGCTCACACTCCCTCTCTCTGACTGGCTCACCCTGCCCCACCCGCTGGCTGGCTCTTCCACAGCACAAAAGCATGTTAGTATTGTTCCTCTTTCTCTCTTAAGCCTTTTTTTTTTTTAATAGTAAGGTTTGGTCAGTAGAAAAAAAGGGGCCTTCATTTTTAAGCCTTCTAGGATTATGAGGGTTCTGGGCAGATATTCTCAAAATAAAGAATAGCCAATGCCTTTGGGAGCCCAGCAAGCTTTCCCATCCTTCTTCTTGTGATAACAAGCACCCTGATCATTGTAGAGTGGGTATGTAACCTGCTAGTTCTGGGACCCACCCCAATAACTTTCTTAGCCAGGGCAGCCATAATTTCCCTTTCTGCTTGAGCCAGTGTGAGTCAGGCTTCCAAAACCTGCCAGCCAAGAGTCCTGGTAATTCAGATCTCAAGAGGAAGAGAGATCCAGAAGGTCAAGTACTATGCAGCAAAGTAGAGGAGAGAGGGAAGAAACAACAGCCAGAAACAGATCATTCCTGAGCCACTCATCAGCCCAGGACAGGGTCAGAGCAAAAACCCAGCCTCCACTCTTCTCAGTCATCACTTCCATCAGAGGGACACATAATCATTTCCTGTAGGAGGCAGGAAATGCCGTATTGCCTAGGGAAATAGAAAATAAGCAACAAGGCAAATACAACCAGAGCCATCAGTGTTAATTCCGTGGTCTTCCAACCAGCATTCTGAAAGTGCATCAATATTCATGGTCTTGCTGTCTTTTATCAGACTTCTGACGGGTAATTACGCCTGTGTAATCGTCATAAAGTTACCTAGCCTAAAGACGGACTCAGACTGGTGCCTGCAATACTAAAATCTTACTTGAAACCAATTTTTGCTTTGTTCTTATCCAGTTTAAAATATACTTGCATTTCTTTTTTCTCTTAGGGAGTAAAGTGTAAGGGGTATTGTAGGCATTTAGGCACCCCACCTGTTCCAAACTTTTAGGTAAAAAAATTTATCCAAAAGGAAGTAGATTTGAGAGGCTGAGGCAGGAGGATCACTTGAGACCAGGTGTTTAAGTCCATCCTGGGCAACATAGCAAGACCCTACCTTTACAAAAAATAAAAATATTAGCTGATTATGGTGGTGCATGCCTGTACTCCCAGATACTTGGGAGGCTGAGGTGGGAGGATTGCTTGAGCCCAGGAGCTCTAGGCTGCAGTGAGCTACAATCACACCACTGCACTCCAGACTGGGCGACAGAGCAACGCAATGCCCTGTCTCTATAAAATAATAATAAATAAAGGAAATTTTAAAAATAAAAATAAATTGGAAGTTGTCAGGTGGAGTAATTTTACTATGATCTTGTCAGTAAACACCAGAATACCAAGTGATTAGAGGACTTTCAAAAGATATTTGAAATTGTCCAAATGCTTCCACATTCATATACTTATATACACGCAATGATGGATGAATATCTTAATAGAGCAACACACTGAAAGGGCAAATGTATGTGCAGTTATCCTTTGTTCTTAAAAAGATATATTTCCTAGGAAGACTGTTAAATTGTAGGTGGTCACTTTTTACCTGAAGTTGCAATGACAATAAATATCATTATAAAAGTTTTGGACTTTTTTATATTAAGGGTATAAGGCATCGGCTGGGCACGGTGGCTCACGTCTGTAATCCCAGCACTTTGGGAGGCCAAGGCAGGTGGATCACCTGAGGTCGGGAGTTAGAGACCAGCCTGACCAACATGGTGAAAACCCGTCTCTACTAAAAATACAAAAAGAGAATTAGCCAGATGTGGTGGTACATGACTGTAATCCCAGCTACTTGGGAGGCTGAGGCAGGAGAATCTCTTGAACTCGAGAGGCGGAGGTTGCAGTGAGCCAAGATCGCACCATTGTACTCCAGCTGGGCAACAAGAGCAAAACTCCGTCTAATAAAAAAAAAAAAAAAAAAAAAAAACAAACTATAAGGCAGAGTGGCTAACTTCCTAATCTCAGAGAAAGAAGAATCTATCCTCCCCAACTCCTGATGGTCAACAGTAACAAGTAGAGATCACAGGCAGTCTCCCCTGTTGGCACTCCAGGAATGGCTCTAGTCAACAGGTGGTTGCTATGGCTTGTTTGAGAGGTAATTATGCAACTTTATTTTACCCTCAGGTAAGAGAACGCAGGCATTGTATTACATTCCTGACTTGAGCTACTACTGAATCTTTGATGCAACAGCCAATACAGTTCACAAAGTAGCATTAAAAACTTAAACCATTAAATTAAACCCAGTAAAGAAAAGAAGCAACATAAATGACCACCAACAGAGGGATGACAACATAGACTGAGATAAACTCATACAGTAGACTGCAAAGCAATAATTTAAAACATTGAGAATAATTAAAATATTGCAAATCATCAAAAATAATGATTATTATGGGAAGATGTCCAAGGCATATTATTGAATGAAAAGCTGAGTACAGAATGGTAATAAGAAACAAAGAAACAAACAAAAAAAACCATACAAGCACACACACATAGATGATGTTATACTATGTACATATTATATATGTATGTCTATGTGTGTGTGTGTGTGTGTGTGTGTGTGTGTGTGTATAGTGTTATATAAATGCATGGATACAAACCAAGCTGATATGGTTTCTTCGGGGAAGTCAAACAAGAAGCAGGATTGGGTTGAAGTCAAAACGAACTTTAGCCTTGTCTATAATGCACTCATATTTATAGATATATCATGTTGTATATAACGTATTAATATGTTATTTGTATAATAACATTTTAAAAAATAACCACTATAAGCATAAATGGGGACTCATAGCAATTTAATTTTGCAATCATTTACTTCAACATCCTTAATTTAGAGTCGAAGAAGCCAAGGCTCAGAGAAGAGAAGTGACTCGTCCAAGCCCACCTTGGGTTTGGAGTTTGAATTAAATCCCCCAGAGTTCCAACCCAGCCTCCTCCTACCATGTCACTCTGTGTCACTCAATAGGGCTACCAATCTATGTTCTCAGAGGATGCACACAGAGGTGGAGAGCCTGGGCCTGCAATGACCTGGTCCCATCTCCCTGGTCATTGTCAACCTGTCTGGTCAGCCTCAGGATGCAAGGAGAACACGGAACCAGGAGGAGGAAACCGACTTGGGGTGGTTCTCTGCCTTCACCTCCTATGTGGCCTTGGGCGAGTGGGTGACTGGCTTAGTGGACTCCCTGCTTCCCTCCAACCCTCAGTGCTACCCTCTGTGAACTTTGCCTGTGGCCCCGTCCATACACAACATACCCTTCGTATGACCCTAGATCTTTTCCTCCTGTTCGTAATTAAGAGAAGAAACCACCAAATGAGCATATGCGTAAATATATGCAGTAATGAAGTCTTTTTTTTCTTTATGTGAACTATTTTGGCCTAATTCTTTTTTTTTTTTTTTTTTTCAAAAAGAACGGCTAATATTTCATGAGGAGAGATAAGATCTTGCTTTAATACGGTTAGCTTCAATTGACCTTGAACTGAATCTACAAATTTCTTAGAGGTGACCTCTTCATCGATGCTTGATACACATTCACAAATAAATGAACTGAGAAGATTCCTATTTAGATAACTAGTCCAACAGAGGATCCAAAATAAAGGCAGATGTCCAGGGCTCATGAGGAGAGTTGTAGAATCGTGGAATCTTAGAATAACAGAGTTTCAGAATGACAGAATCGTAGAATCTTAGGGTGAGTGGCAGAGTCCAGAGCTGGAAGGGACCCCTAAAATGAAAATAATTAAAGATGACTACACTGTGAGCTCCTTAGGGAAGGGATCATGTGTTGGACATCCCTAGATCCCGGCTGGCACACAGTAGGAGGTATTGTAAATAGTTCATAATAAGTGAACAATTAAGTGTTGAGGAAGTAAGAACACAAGGAATCACTATTCATGCATTCCTTCACTCATTCAGCAAAGCTTTACTGCACACCTCCTTTGTGCCAAGCTCTGTGTAACATATGGGCACAGAGATGCATAAACCCAGATCTTGCCCTCGAGAGGTCTCTGTATAGTGACAGTCACTGGGTGCAGGAGGATTCTGGGAGGATTTTCTCTTATCTAGCCCCCTTTTTCCTACCTAAGCTGCTCCTTCAGGAACCCTGTCATCTCCTTGGACCTTGGACCTTTTACCACCAAGGGAAATCTTGCTTGTCCCTGAGCAGGACAATCGGTTAAGCGTTTATCAGCAAAAATAACAGAAGAAAATAACATTTACAAAGAGGAATATAGCCCCCAACTCAATCATTTTATGCTTTCTTTCCATACATAGTTATAGGTCTTAATTAAAATAAGCATACGTATTTGCCACTCAGTATGTCCCACATTTTTTTTGTTTTGGTGGCAATCTGAACATAGGTCAAAGTTTAAAGGAATATGAATCTATGGATTCTAACAATCATCTCCCACTAAACTTCAACTGTTAATAATTACCATTGACTCTAACTCTGGTTTTCACCTGTGTGCACAGCCCAGCAATGTTTCTGGGAGATTGTAATAGATGTTCTATAGGAATGGAAGACTTTTGCCACCAGATAGGTTTGGAAAATGCTAAAGTAAAGCTCAACACATTTCTTTACTACAGGACTTCTCAGAGCATTTATTATGTCAGAGCTTACGGTGAATCTCTATAGGGGGCATAAGTACAGCTTGTCTCAAAGTAATTTGACTGCAGAATTCTTTTGGATAAATCCTGAACTGGTGACACAGAGCAAGCAGAGTGCAGATGGGACCAACAAGCCAATACATTCACAGTGTTACACGAGAAATCCCAGGGAAGATGATGCTCCTGTGATCTTTTTCATCCATGCATCCTCTTCATCCCCACCTGGGCTTTTGTCCAGCGGAGCTGCCCTGGGCTGCTGTGGACAATCACCTCTGTCATTCATTCACCTCTTCTCATGTCCCTCCCTCTCCCTGGGAAGCTGAGCCTTTGCTGGACTCATTCCCGGCTCCCCAAGCCTAAGCCAGAGGAGAGCTGACAGAAGAGAATAGAACAATATATTTTGGGAGGAAATGTTGGTTTTGCAGCATGGCTGATGCTTGGCATGGCTTTGGGAACTGACAGGAAATGAAGATGAAAATGTAGAGACAAGAAACAGATTGGGAAAGACATGGAATGTCACTTTAAGGAATGTGGGCTTTATCTGAAAACAAAGCCAACCATTGCCAGGTTAGCAGGTCAATTCATCTTTCCACAGGGGAGTCCCATGGCTCAGTCCTTCCCTTCATCTGAGTCTCTGCTCCAAGGATGCCTCCTCAGGATGACATCTCTATCCTGCACTTGCTATACCCTCTTCCTGCTTTATTTTCTTCAGAGCGCTTATTAATACCTGACATCATATTTTCATGTTACTTTTGTCTTTTATCTCTCTCCCCTGCTGGCAGGCAGGCCTCATGAGGCCAAGGCACACTGGCATGTTCACTGATACATCCCCAGCACCCAGCACGGTGCCTGCACACAGTAGGTGCTCAATAAACATTGTGGAATGCATAAAGGATTTTAAACAGAGAAGCAATGTGGCCAGGGGATTCTTAGGGCAATCTCTCTAAAAGCCATTCTTCATGGCACTATTGAAAAGGTGAACATTTCATTTAAAATAAATATATTACTTGCAGAAGCACAATTCCATCTAAATGCTTGCATCTATAACATTTAATAAAGAACTAAAAAAAAATCAGAAGACTGACTGGGTGCGGTGGCTCACGCCTGTAGTCCCAGCACTTTGGGAGGCCGAGGCGGGCGGATCACGAGGTCAGGAGATCAAGACTATCCCGGCTAAAACGGTGAAACCCGGTCTCTACTAAAAATACAAAAAATTAGCCGGGCGTAGTGGCGGGCGCCTGTAGTCCCAGCTACTTGGGAGGCTGAGGCAGGAGAATGGCGTGAACCCGGGAGGTGGAGCTTGCAGTGAGCCGAGATCCCGCCACTGCACTCCAGCCTGGGCGACAGAGCGAGACTCCGTCTCAAAAAAAAAAAAAAAAAAAAAAAAAAAAAAAATTAACAAAAAAAAGAGAAGTGAGACAGTGAAGGAAAAGAAGGGTGGATTATTAAGCATGTTACTACTGGCCAAACAGAGCTCAACCCCACTGGGGAGCTCTGGAAAATGGTGCAGAATATATGCCTGAGCTATCCCACCTTGGAGGTGAGGGAGCTGAGGTATTTATCCATCAACTTACATTAGCCATTGTTAAGGGCTGCTCCTCCCAAGCATTAATTCCTCAGCATTTCGAGCCTGCCTCACTTGCCTGCAGAGCTGATAGGAAGCATAAAGGGAAAGTCCTGGGGCAAGGAGTGCAAATAGTTGGGAGATGGGCAGGCATGAACTGAAATGGTAAGGGCATGGGGATTAGGGCAGGGCAGTGATTGTATTTGCTACCCTGCTGTTATTACTATCATCGAGAATAGCCAACATTTAATAAGCCCTTTCTTTCTTTCTTCCAGGCAATATTATAAGTGTTTTACTTGTGTTCCCGTGTTTAATCCTCACGACCAGTCAGTCAGTGAGGTGTGTCTTACTGCTATTCTGGTTTTGTAGATGAGACAACTGAGGCTCAAGTTCATGTGGCTAGATTTGAACCCCGGCTAACTTTACAGCCCATGCTACTAAATACACTGCCTCGACTCAAGGCACACACAATGACACAGCTAGTTAGTGGTGAAGTCAGATTCAAATCCTAAACTCTAGAGCATCTCATTATTGCTCAGTGTGTATTTTAGTGCCATCCTTGGCTACGGCCTGTCCTGGGCACAAAGTGATCTTATACAAGCTGCTTGTGCTCTCTGACCTGAGTTTCTTTAGCTGCAACATGGATTAAAAGGCACAACTACTTTATAAGATTATTTTCAAGATAAGCAAAAAGGTATATCAAGTTCAGCAGTTGGGATACAGAGTATTCTCAGTTAAGAAAAAAAAGGTATTATGTTTTTCCCCCCTGTAGAAACCTTGGTTTTCTTGTCTGCTAAATAGAAAATATAAATCTATCTCAAAGGATGTCTTGGTTATCAAGTGAGAAAAGTATTTTCATAAAGACAGGCAATTGGAAACTGAGAAAAGTTATAAAATATTTTTGAAAGTTGAGAAGGACTTTAGTTCTGACCCCTATCAATTTATGTTATTCCAAACCAGAAAGACAATTCTGGTAATATGACAAAATGGGGTTCCTTAACCAAAAGCTCACACTAGCTCATCATCAATGGATCTAAACCAAGAAGAAATCTCTGAATTGCCAGAAAAAGAATACAGAAGGTCGATTATTAAGCTACTCAAGGAGGCACCAGAGAAAGATGAATAACAATTTAAAGAAATTTTTAAAATGATGCAAGATATGGATAGAAAAATCTCCAGAGAAATAGCATAAATAAACAACAATCACAACTTCTGGAAATAAAGGACAAACTTAGAGAAATGCAAAATACACTGGAAAGTCTAAGAAATAGAATCAAACAAGTAGAAGAAAGAACTTTAGAGCTTGAGGACAAGGCTTTCAGGTTAACCCAATCCAACAAAGACAAAGGATAGTTTTTGAAAAAATTGAACAAAGGCCCCAAGAAGTTTGGGATTATGTTAAATGAACAAACCTAAGAATAATTGGTATTCCTGAAGAAGAGAAATCTAAAAGTTTGGAAAACATATTTGAGGGAATAACCAAGAAAACTTTCCTGGCCTTGCTAGAGATCTAGACATCCAAATACAGGAAGCTTAAAGAACACACAGGAAATTCATCACAAAAAGATCATTGCCTAGGCACATAGTCATCAGGTTATCTAAAGTCAAGAGGAAGGAAATAATTTTAAGAGCTGTGAAGCAAAAGCATCAGGCAACCCAGAAAGGAAAACCTATCAGATTAACAGCAAATTTCTCAGCAGAAACCCTACAAGCGGAAAGGGATTGGGGTCCTATCTTTACCCTCCTTAAACAAAACAATTATCAGCCAAGAATTTTGTAACCAGTGAAACTATGCTTCATAAATGAAAGATACAGTCTTTCTCAAACAAATGTTGAGAGAATTCACCACTACCAAGCCAGCAGTACAAGAACTGCTAAAAGGAGCTCTAAATCTTGAAAGAAATCCTCAAAATCACCAAAATAGGACCTCCTTAAAGTATAAATCTCACAGGACCTATAAAACAATAACACAATGAAAAAAAAATCTAGGGCATTCAGGCAACAACTAGCATGACGAATAGAATAGTATTTTGCTTCTCAATATTAACGTTGAATGTAAATGTCCTAAATGCGCCACTTAAATGATACAGAATGGCAGAATGGATAAGAGTTCACCAATCAAGTATCTGCTGTCTTTAAGAGACTCACCTAACACATAAGCACTCAGATGAAGAGGTGGAAAAATATATTCCATGCAAATTGACACCAAAAGTGAGCAGAAGTAGCTATACTTATATCAGACAAAACAGACATTAAAGCAACAACAGCTAAAAAAAAAAAAAACAGAGGGATATTATATAATGATAAAAGGACCAGTCTAACAGAAAAATATCACAATCCTAAATATATATTCACCTAACACTGGAGCTCTGAAATTTATAAAACAATTACTAATAGACCTGAGATAGATGGCAACACAGTAATAGTGGGGGACTTCAATACTCCACTGACAGTACTAGACAGGTCATCAAGACAAAAAGTCAACAACAACAAAAAATGGACTTAAACTATACCCTAGAATAAATGGACTTAACAGCTGTTTACAGAACATTCCACCCAACAATCACAGAATATACATTCTATTTAACAGTGCATGGAACTTTTTCCAAGATAGACCATATGATAGGCCACAAAACAAGTCTCAATAAGTCTAAGAAAACTGAAATTATATCAAGTACTCTCTCAGACCACAGTGGAATAAAATTGGAAAGTAATTCCAAAAGGAACCCTCAAAACCGTGCAAATACATGGAAATTAAGTAACCTGCTCCTGAATGATTGTTGGGTCAACAATGAAATCAAAATAGAAATTAAATAATTATTTGAACTGAACAATAATAGTGACAGAACCTATCAAAACCTCTGGAATACAGTAAAAGCAGTGCTAAGAGGAAAGTTCATAGCATTGAATGCCTACATCAAAAAGTCTGAAAGAGCACAAAAAGACAATCTAAGGTCACACCTCAAGGCACTAGAGAAACAAGAACAAATTAAACCCAAACTCAATAGAAGAAAAGAAATAAATAACAAAGATTAGAGCAGAAATGAATGAAATTGAAACAAAAGAATACAAAAAAAAAATGAAACAAAAAGCTAGTTCCTTGAAAAGATAAAAACAATTAACAGACCATTAGCGAGATTAACCAAGAAAAGAAGAGAGAAGATCCCAATAAGCTCAACTGGAAATGAAACAGGAGATATTACAACTGATAACATAGAAATGCAAAATGTCATTCAAGGCTACTGTCAACACTTTTATTCACATAAACTAGAAAACCTAGAGGAGATGAATAAATTCCTGGAAATATACAACCTCCTAGACTAAACCAGGAAAAAATTGAAACCCTGAACAGACCAATAACAAGCAGCGAGACTGAAAGGGTAATTTTTAAATTGCCAAGAAAAAAAAGTCAAGGACCAGATGGATTCACAGCTGAATCCTATCAGACATTGAAAGAAGAATTGATACCAATCCTATTGACACTACTCCAAAAGACAGAGAAAGAGGGAATCCTCCTTACTTCATTCTATGAAGCCAGGATCACCCTAATACTAAAACCAGGAAAGGGCATAACAAAAAAAAGAAAACTACAGACCAATATTCCTGATGAACATAGATGCAAAAATCCTTAACAAAATACTAGCTAACCAAATCCAACAGCATATCAAAAAGATAATCCACCATGATTAAGTGGGTTTCATACCAGGGATGCAGGGACGGTTTGACATACGCATGTCAATAAACATGATACACCACATAAACAGAATTAAAAACAAAAATCACATGGCTATCTCAATAGATGCAGAAAAAGCATTTGACAAAATTCAGCATTACTATAGATTAAAACCCTCAGCAAAATCAGTGTAGAAGAGACATACCTTAAGGTAGTAAAAGCCATCTGTGACAAACCCACAGCTAACATTATACTGAACAGGGAAAAGTTGAAAGCCTTCCCCCTGAGAACAGGAAAAAGTCAAGGATGCCCACTTCCATCACTTCTATTCAACATAGTACTGGAAGTCCTAGCCAGAGCAATCAGACGAGAGAAAGAAATAAAAGGCATCCAAATCAGTAAAGAGGAAGTCAAACTGTCACTGTTCGCTGATGATATAATTGTATAGCTAGAAAACCCTAAAGACTCATCCAAAAAGCTTCTAGAACTGATAAATGAATGCAGTAAAGTTTCAGAATACAAAATCAATGTACACAAATCAGTAGCACTGCTATTCACACCAACAGCTACCAAGCCAAGAATCAAATAAAAAACTCAACCCCTTTTACAGTAGCTGCAAAGCAAAACAAAACAAAACAAAAAAACAAAAAACAAAACAAAACAAAACAAACAAAAAAATACTTAGGACTATACCTAACCAAGGAGGTGAAAGACCTTTACAAGAGAAACTACAAAACACTGCTGAAAGAAATCATAGATGACACAAACAAATGGAAACACATCCCATGCTCATGGATGGGTAGAATCAATGTTGTGAAAATTACCATATTGCCAAAAATAGCCTATAAATTCAGTGCAATTCCCATCAAAATACCACCATCATTCTTCACAGAACTAGAAAAAACAACTCTAAAATCCATATATGGAACCAAAAAAAGAGCCTGCATAGCCAAAGCAAGACTAAGCAAAAAGAAGAAATCTAGAGGCATCACATTATCTGACTTCAAGATTTACTATAAAGCTATAGTCACCAAGGCAGCATGGTACTGGTATAAAAATAGGCACATAGACCAATGGAACAGAATAGAGAACCCAGAAATAAAGCCAAATACTTACAGCCAACCAATCTTTGACAAAGCACATGAAAACAAAGTAGGGAAAGGACACCATATTCAACAAATGGTGCTGGGATAATTGGCAAGCCACATCTAGAAGAATAAAACTGAATCCTCCTCTCTCACTTTATATAAAAATCAATTCAAGATGGATCAAAGACTGAAATATAAGACCTGAGACCATAGAAATTCTAGAAGATAACATCAGAAAAACCATTTTAGACATTGGCTTAGGCAAAGACTTCATGACCAACAACCCAAAAACAATGCAACAAAAACAAAAATAAATAGATGGGACTCAATTAAATGAAAAAGCTTCTGCACAGCAAAAGAAATAATCTGCAGAGTAAACAGACAACCCACAGACTGGGAGAAAATCTTCACAAACTAAGCATCTGACAAAAGACTAATAGATAGAATTTACAAGAAACTCAAATCAGCAAGAAGGAAACAAACAATCTCATCAAAAAGTGGGCTAAGGACAAGAATAGACAATTCTCAAAAGAAGATATATAAATGGCCAAAAACCTATGAAAAAATTCACAACCTCACTAATTATCAGGGAAATCCAAATCAAAACCACACACAATACCACTGTACTCATGCAAGAATGGCCATAATCAAAAAATTAAAAAGTAATAGAGTTGGCATGGATGTGGTGAAAAGGGAACACTTTTACACTGCTCGTGGGAATGTAAACTAGTACAACTACTGTGGAAAACAGTGTGGGGATTCCTTAAAGAGCTAAAAGTAAATTTACCATTTGATCCAGCAATCCCATACTGGGTATCCACCTACAGGAAAAGAAGTCATTATTCAAAAAAGATATTTGCACACACATGTTTATAGCAGCACAATTCACAACTGCAAAAATATGGAACCAGCCCAAATGCTCATCAATCATTGAGTGGATTTTTAAAAATTTGGTATATATTTTAAATGCTTAAAAATTTGGTGTGTGTATATACACACACACACACACACACACACATATATATATATATATACACACACACACACACACACCAAATTTTATATATAATACCAAATTTGGTATATATATATACACACACACACACCAAATGTATACTGTATACCAAGTGTACACTGCTTGAGTGATGGACGCACCAAAGTCTCGGAAATCACCACTAAAGAATTTATCCATGTAACCAAACAGCACCTCTTCCCTAAAAACCTATTGAAATAAAAAATTAAAATTAAAAAAAATTTTGTTCTTCCTCTATCTAGGACAATCTTATTCATTCCCATGGGTTTCACTACCATCTACACAATTTCAGGTATTGTATTTTTCAGGTTTGTTTGTTTCTATTTCTCTGATTTTTTTTATTTCATTCATTAAGTGCATTTTTTTAACATCATTGAACAATAATAACTGCCTTAACATCCTTGTCCGCTACCTACCATGTTGAGGTCAGTCTCTATTAATTGTCTTTTCTCTTCAGAATGGGTCATATTTTCCTATTTGTGTGTCAAGTAATTTTGGATTGTGTTATAGACATTGTGACTGTCATGTTATTCTTGTCTATTATAACTGAATTTGGTTATTCCTGAGGAGACTGCTGATTTTTTGTTTGTATTAGCAGGCAATGTTAACATAGGTGGGTGCAAACTGAAAACTCTGACACAGGCGGTAGCTCAAATCTCAGTTTAGCTCTTTCATCCTTAGCTGAACTACTTGCAGTCTGTCCTGCAAATGCATGGTTCAGCGGTCCACCAGAGATTTGAGTTTATACACAGATTGTGGTTCCCTCTTTCTCTAGGTCTCTTCAGAAAGGCTGTAGGTTTTCTACTGGTATTTTATTGGCTTCGTGTGGGTCATTTGTGGTCTGCTTTCAGGCTAAACACCAGATAGGCAGAAAATTCACCCTATGCCATTTTCTTCTTCCAAGTGTCTATTCCCCTGCAGAATCTGCCTGCTTTTACTCACTCTTCAGTACCTGTCTTTACATAGTTGTCTTTTTATTTTTTTATTTTTATTTTTTATTTGTTTTTTTTTTGAGATGGAGTCTCACTCTGTTGCCCAGGCTGCAGTGCGGTGGTATGATCTTGGCTCACTGCAAGCTCTGCCTTCCGGGTTCATGCCATTCTCCTGCCTTAGCCTCCCGAGTAGCTGGGGCTACAGGTGCCCGCCACCACACCCAGCTAATTTTTTGTATATTTAGTAGAGACGGGGTTTCACCATGTTAGCCAGGATGATCTCGATCTCCTGACCTCGTGATCCGCCCGCCTGGGCCTCCCAAAGTGCTGGGATTACAGGTGTGAGCCACTGCACCCGTCCCATAGTTGTCTTTTACATTGTATTCTGTTTTACCAAAAAAGTGCCCCCATAGCTTACCATGCAGGGAACTCTGATGCTTCCCTTTCCATTTGAAAGTCATAAATACATACTTCTAGATTCACTCCATCAGCCATCAAAGAGCCTATCCAAAATTATTTTTTTCTAGCCAATTCAGAGACTTCTACATTCATTTTCTCATTTGTCCATTTACTCATTCTGTGATAGAAAAGCAGAAATGTGGTTTGTAAAATCCCAGCCCCAGCATCATATAGAATGCATTTGGAGCTGAGGGACAACACTTGGGTGAATTGCTTCCCCTCTCTGAGTCTGTTTCCTCTTTTATAAAAAGTTGGATGTTCAATTAAGCATTATATACAACAGCAAAAGAAAAAATGAAAATGACTTTAAGCAACCTAACTGGTAAAAATAATTATAGTCAAACTATATCATAGAATATAGCATATTTGTTAAGAATGATTTGGATGAAGATGATGTGGGAAATGTTTTAAATTATATGGTGTTAATATAATAAAATTATAATAAAACAAGTTATAAACAGGTAAATATAACATAGGATCCCAGTTTTGTTTAAAAATATACATAATATCCTTTGAAAAAAGACTAAAAAGATATATGACCAAATGTTTACAACTGATATGTTTTCTAGGTAGGATTATAGGTGATTTCTAGTTTTTTCTTTATTTTCCAATTTTTCTAAAATTAATATATCTTAGGTTTGTTTCAAGTAAAAAGCTTTTAAAATTTTTTAAATTAAAGGGGTAGGCTTATCACCAAAGTCTCTTGCAGCCAGAACATTCTGTGACTCATTGATTTATTCAGATGTATGTATTGAGCACCTACTGTATACCAGCCACTCTGCCAGGTACTGGGGAGAAGTTAAAGATGATTAAGATATTATACCATGCAGCTTACAGTCTAGAGGGGAATCGAACACATCTCATTCATTTTTAAAGCCCCAGTATTTGGCTCAGTGCCCCAAACACAGCAGTTGCCCATTTGATGTTTGTCGAACAAATGTTTATTATAATCACCTATCTGAAAATCAAAGCAGAATATCTACCTGAGACAAGGAGATACAAGGGGTATATATGGGGGTGCCGTGGAGGTAACCAGAGGGAATAAGGGCTGCAAGGGGAGGGGCATGTAGACCAGAATGTGAGATGTAAGTGGAAGGTCCAACTTGCCTGTGTGTGTTGGGTGTAGACAGGAATGGAGAGACCCACCCCCTTGCTAGGATGTTCTTCGATGGTCCCCAAGAACACCTAAGGTGATCAGAGGTTCCCTGCATTCCTAGGGGAGGTCAAGGAACCAGGTCCCTCCCTCTGCAGGTAATCCCTCAAGCCAGCATCCTTCACTTGCACGAAGGAAATGCATGTCTCCTGATATATTTCCATCTGAGTGAGAGGCAAATGGACAAAAGCAGGTTGGCCGCTGCGCAGAAGATTCCCACATCTAAGCCACGGACCCTCCTTTGCCCCAGCTCCTCTGTGTGGTGCCTGGTGAGGCTTCAGGTGGCTGCCACTGAAGGGAGGAGAAGACGAACACCCCTTAATTAACAACCTGAGCCAAATTGGAAACAGCTGTGAATAATTAGACAATTTAAGTGCTGTGAAGGAGGAATAATTTCTGTAGCCTTCATAATAAATCTTATGCTGTCTCAGTCCCTAGGTTGGACTTGAACTTTTTTTTTTTTCCAGGGGTGAGTTAGCACATTACTCATAAAAGAAACAGTATCCCTTTTGTTTTGGCTGGGTCTGTTTAGTAACAAAAGAGCCTATTGCAATTATGGGGGCAGCACCGTGACAAAGTGAGTGCCCCCATCTGACCGGGCTTGCAAACTTTGTGGAGAGGAGGGTGGCAGCTCCCTGACCCCCTGCCCTGTCCAGTGTGCCTTGATTTCCACTCTAGATGATCTTTGCTTTTAATTGGCTTCAGATTTTGGAGATCTTGGTGGAAAAGATACAGTGCCCAAATGTGTTCATGTCAAAGAAGGACCTCGAGTCCCTGCAGGGTTGAACTTTTACAGGATGCTAAGCCACACTTCTGAGAAAGAGAGAGAGAGAAAAAAAAAAACCAATGCTTAGAATTAAAGAGTAGGAAGAGAATCAAGAGGCCTCTAGATCAACCCCCCCATTTTAGAGAGGAGAATCAAGACCACAGGGAGGAATTGATGTGGCTGAAGCCACCGCTGAATTTGTAGCAGAATCATATCTAAAATTTGACCGCCCACTTTGGATACTGCATAGCAGTTTTCACAGATTAAATAATCAAAATCACTTGAAGCTCCCTTAAAAGGTTATAAAGCAGCTATTTGAGCATACCACAAGGATTAAGAGTGTGAGCTCTGGGGCCAGTCCTGGTTTCTAACCCTGGCTGTGCCCCTTCCTAACTGTGATTCTGGATAAGTCATTTTACCTGTCTACATTTGGTTTACTCATCTGTGAAACAGGTACAAAATGGCTTCTAAGATTTGTCATGAGGATTGATGAAATAATGCATATTATAATTTCATTAAATATAGCTGCACGCATGCAGCTGAGCATGGCTAGGGAAAAGCACATAGCCATGCTGGCTGGGCTTTTCTTGTGTATTAGCCCATTTTCACACTGCTGATAAAGACATACCCAAGACTGGGCAATTTAAAAAAGAGAGAGGTTTATTGGACTTACAGTTCCACATGGCTAGGGAGGCCTCACATCATGGTAGAAGGCAAGGAGGAGCAAGTCTCATCATATGTGGATGGCAGCAGGCAAAGAGCTTGTGCAGAAAAACTCCCATTTTGAAAACCATCAGACCTTGTGAGACTCATTCACTATCACAAGAACAGCCTAGGGAAGACCCGCCCCATAATTCAATCACCTCCCACCAGGTTTCTACCATTACACGTGGAAATTGTGGGAGTTACTATTCAAGATGGGATTTGGGTGGGGACACAGCTAAACTATATCACCTTGAATTCATGACCCTAACCCTCAGCTGAGCTCTTGGAGTTCTCAGCAATTCTTTTCCATTTTCCTAATCAATCCTCTGGCAGAAGATCATCACATGTCTTCCTTTTTCTCAAATTGCCAACACCCTCTCCTCCTTGCTTGCTCTCAGCTAATGACTTTACATCTATTTTATTACACTAGAATGAATTTGAAGCAATCAGAAGATAATTTTCAAATGGCCCTCCATGAAATTCACCAACTTACCTATACTCTGCTTCTCCTCTTGTTGAAACATATGAATTCCAATACTCTTAGCTAAGCCATTTCTTACCTTATACTGGATCAAAGTTCAGAGAAGCTAAGTTATTTCCCCAAGGTTAAAAGCAAGTAACTAGTAGAACGAACATTTTAATCCCAATCCTATTAGAAAGTGAGCTCCGAGAGATCTTTTTCTCAGTACCCAGCAAAGAGCCTGGAATATGGCAGATGCTCAGTAAGTGTTGGTGATGAATGAATGAACAATCTAAGACCTCAGTGGGTTTCCCATGACACCACTGACTTATCAACTATCACTTCCCATCTCTCTGTCCTCTCAAGAGCAGAGGTCTCAGAACTGTGTAAAGAGGTAGTAGAATGGAGGCTCTTGCTAAATCCACTAGCAGAAAAATGGTGAGGGAGCTTGCCACATGTTCACAGCCCTCGGTAGAAGAAAAAAAAAAAAACCTTCTAGAAATTGCCAACCTGAGCCAAATTTTCTTCCTCCTAAGACATTTGAACCCTAAACTGACACATTAACATTAAGACTAGCCTGGGACAAGTGAAACTTGCCAAGATCATTCTGTAGAGACAATTTTATAACACAAAGTGCATGGAATTCCCATAGGAAACAATTTCTATGAGAGATGTTGCAATCTAAAATTACAAACCACAAATGAATGAACAAATGAATCACCTTGAGGGTAAACAAGAGAACTGGTATCCCAAGAACCAGAGAGAATACTCTGAAAGCAACTATATTAAAATACCATCCTGTATCATAAGTATGATAAGTATACTATGTCATTTATCCTCTTTAAGAAAATGAATCCAGATTGAACCATTTCTCTCATTATGATACCAATGAGAGAAATGGTTCAATCTGGGCCAGGCTTATACCTGTAATCCCAGCACTTTGGGAGGTGGCCAAGGCTGGCAGAACACTTGAGGCCAGGAGTTCAAGACTAGCCTGGCCAACATGGCAAAATCCTGTCTCTATTAAAAATACCAAAAAATTAGCCAGGCATGGTGGCATATGCATGTAATTCCAGCTACTTAGGAGACAGAGGCATGAGAATTGTTTGAACCCGGGAGGCAGAGGTTGCAGTGAACCAAGATCATGCCACTGCACTCCAGCCTGACCAACAAAGCAAGACTCTGTCTCAAAAAAAAAAAAAAAGAAAAAGAAAGAAAGAAAAAGAAAAAGAAATGATTCAATCTGGATTCATTTTCTTAAAGAGGAACCAGTGGGATTAAAGGCCCAACAAGCCACAGATCACTGGACCTAGAAAAAACACTTACTCCACCCAATTTCAGTCATTAGCATGCCACCTTTACAATTTTTGCAACATCCATTAATAATTTATATTATTTACCTATTTTTTAATTTGTTACCTCCCTTTAAAATTTTTTATTAACTTTATTTAAAGGGAAATCACAATGATGCAGTAATCTCCACAAAATCATGGGTTTGATGTACTATTTATGTTGTTTTATTAAACATTAAAATAAATATATAATCGTGATAATTAACGAAATACTTGTCTATGTACTAAAAATTATCTCACACACCACCAGTGGCACATCAACCAAACTTAAGGAAATGCTAGCCTATGGCAAACCCCTTGTGTCAAAAATAGGAAAGTGAAACTCTGCCACAGGTCATAGAGCAAGTTCAAGACCGGGCCAAGACTTGAACCCAAACACCTGCCTCTCAGTCAGGGGATTGAGTCCTGTGTTCTGCGTCATGGTGTCATTCATATTTTTTCTCACATAATTTTTAAGCCTGTTTGCAAAAGTCAGAAATTCTTTATACCTTTTCCAAAATAAATATATAAATGGTCTTAAAAAGAGGGGCAGTTATTTCCACTAGACATTTATTACTCCTCTGTAAATTAAACCCATATTCATGCATGCTAATGAGCTGGGAAGTGGGCAATAATCCTTCCCAATGAAAGGGGAAGCAAGTCTGGGGGGAAGGCATTAGAGTCATAATATTGCTGAAGTCACAGTTAATTGAGGATCTCAAAGGGTTTCATTAATGTGAAGTCATTCATAACACCTTGAAAGAAATCAAAGAGAGCAAAATTTCCTTTACCACTAAAATATTCGTAATGTATGAGTGAGCTGGAGCCTGACTGCTTTGAACAATTGCATAGCAAAGGAGATGTTCAGGGAATTTTCTTATTAAGCTCAGATTACAACCAACTTTCGGTTATCTCTGAGAGCAAAATTTCCAGCCCCATCCACACACTTCACTTCCATTCCTCCATTGCCACCACTGCTTGCTGCAGGAAATTTCCAAATAAAACATCTCAAGTGAACTATTCCAACCCTGTAGTTATTCAAGGCCCCTCTCAATTAGGTCTCACTGGCCTTTCTGGGCCAATGTCCCACCACTTCCTCCAACACCCACACTGGACTTTCACTTATGCTTGTATGGGTCCTACAGGTTCCAATTGCCATAAATACATCTCCAAATTGCAAGGATATAGCACAAGAGAATTTTACTTCTCACTTCTTTAATAGTTCAATGTGAGTGTTTCAGTTTGCTGAGAAGCTTTCCTCCATGTGATGATCCAGGGATCTAGGTCCTTTCCTGCTTTGAGGCTCTATCATCCCTGGGAACTCAGAATTTTCTGTATCCAGCCAGCAGACAGGGAAAGAGTTCCAGGACATGGTAGACTTATTTCTTAATCAGGTCAACCCAGGGGTGGCAGACTTCTCTTGTGCTTACATGTCACTGTCATTTTGACCCTCCAGATGGAAGGAAGAGGGTCCTCCTTCCTCTTTCTCCTGCTGTACCTTCTTCACCACTTGAACTCCTATTCATCCTTCAAGGCCCTATTTATCTTCCAAATACCTTCTACTCTGCAAAGCTGTCACTGTGTCCTTGGCAGGATTAACCAACCTCTCTTTCTTGTTTCCACAGTATTCTGAACATATCTCTACAGGACACACATTAAGTATTCAAATATTTGCGTGTCCTGACACCTGAGCCCAGCTAGGTCTGTGTCTTCTTCATCTTGTGTCACTAACAACACCTGGCCTCATTTCCATTAGAGGGCAGTAGGCATGGTTATTGAATCAAACCACTATACGCTCATAAAATTCACTAATAAGCAGCATTTAGTAAGTTGTTAGTATGCTCCCAGAACACACATCTCAGTCTCCACAGTTCAAGTCTCAGATGCGGAGACCTCCACATAGGTCTCCTCGCTCTAGCCACCAGTGTTGAAGCCTTGCTTGTCCTGTCTCCATCCCCACCATGGACAGAAGTCAGCTGGATGGGTGTCCTGTGGAGAAAGTGTCCACTTTCTCCAAAAGTGGTGCCTACTTCACAACTTTTCAGATCCTGTGTTGATGATTGTTAGGACTATAATAAAAAAATAGCCAGGAGGTCCCATGAAAACAAGACTATGAGACACCTACAGAAAGTCATCAGCAATCTTGCTCCTTTGCTAGACTGTTTCCCAAAAGACAGAAGCACAGGCTTGATGCATGGTGTTGCCACTGGGACCCCAACCACCCAGTTCACTCCCACTGCAGACAGTAGGCTTGCTTTCTCTCCTTCCCATCTCCATTCACACATCCCAGGAGAACAAGGGATCAGGAACTGCCCCTCACTCCAGAGCCCATCTCCAAGGGGAAGCTTTGTGGTTATTACCAGGCAGCAAAGCCTTGTGGTCCTGTATGTGGGATCTGGGCCAGACCTCCTGGATTAGAATCCTGTCTGCCTCAGAGGAGTTTCTGGATCTCAGAGAGGCAAGGATTCCTCATTTGTAAAATAGGATAATAGTATACCTCCTTCCCAAGTTGTTGTAAGAATTAAATAAGGCTACATATAAAAAGTATTTAACTGGTGCCTGCAGTGCCTGACACACGGAAGCAGGGGATGCCTAGAAGGACCAATCCAGGTGTTCTCTCTTTGTGGATTGCCCTTGCCCTCTTCTTTCTCACTTGTGCCCAAGGGCAAGTTTATCTGCCCCACCCACATCAAACCAGACACCAAGGTTCAGAGACCTCCAGCCGGGATGCCAGCTGAAGTTTCCCTGAGGCACCACCTTGGCAGGGGAGTGCGGGAAGGTACTTTCTTTTCTCAGAGACCGGAAGCAACTGGACCCTGCGGGGACAGGAGTCAAGGGAGAGAGTGGACATCTTCCGCTGCCAAGGATCGGGGATCAAAGGGGAAGGGGGTCGGAGAACATTCCTGCCTCCCACTGTTGGTAACTCCCTGGAAGGGGGACAGAGATGCCCGGGGCAGGGTCCCCCAGAGCAGGGAAGCAACTGGAACCATATTAGCTATGTGTATTACTATCGTTAGTAATAAATAGCCTGGCCCGCTACAGAGACCTGAAAGAATTTGAAGACACTCAGAATAGCAAAAACCCTTAGAGAGGGGTGGAGGAGCAGTTAGGTGGGTTCCTCAGAACAGTGGTTCTCAGCTTGGAGCACACAGCAGAAGCCCCAGGAGACTTGTTGACATAGACTGCTGGTCTCCTCCAGGAGACCCTGGCCCCGGAAGTGGGATGTGCCTGAGGGTTCTGCATGGCTACCCAGCATCACCCAGGGGCTGACACTCCATGGGCCCGGCCTTGAAAATCCCTCCCAGTCAGTGGGGTTTGGCTGCACATTAAAATTATTGGGGATGGCCAGGCGTGGTGGCTCAAGCCTGTAATCCCAGCACTTTGGGAGGCTGAGGTGGGTGGATCACCTGAGGTTGAGAGTTCGAGAGCAGCCTGACCAACATGGAGAAACCCCATCTCTACTAAAAATACAAAATTAGCAGGGCGTGGTGGCACATGCCTGTAGTCCCAGCTACTCGGGAGGTTGAGGCAGGAGAATTACTTGAATCCAGGAGGCAGAAGTTGCAGTGAGCCGAGATCGCGGCATTGCACTCCAGCCTGGGCAACAAGAGCGAAATTCCGTCTCAGGAAAAAAAAAAAAAAAAAAAAACTATTGGGGGTGTGTTTATTAAAAAAAAAAATTCCGTGCCTGGACCCCAGACCCAAAGATTCTAATTTTTAAAATCAGAATTAAAAAAAATCTCCCCCACCCTCTAAGGGCTGAGAACGACTCACTGTGTTGCAGGCAGTCAACAAATGCCTCCTGGGCTTTCTCTGCCCAAAGACATTTCTTCCAAAAACCTTTCCTTCTTCAGATTCTGTTACTAATTCTACAATACAGCATTTGGGAGTAGGTGGTAGTTTTTTTTCTCACAACCCCTAGAATCTACAGAAGTATTGGTTTCACTGGAATTATACCAGTGCTTCCGGGTAATTCTTTGATGATAGGCTTGTCCAGATCCACAATGGGAATACCTGTGTGGCGAGGGAGGGTAGAAAACAAAACCCCGGGGCTGCCTGCAGTACTGGAGCTGGGGAAACATGCCAGGTGTGGCTGGTGGGACCATCACAGCCCCTTATCCTTCAAGAGAAGGGGAGGGTGAGCCCTCACCCGCAATGAGGCAGTGGAATTTCAGAAGCGAACTTCTCAACATCAAGCAGCAGATTTGGGGGCAGCAGAGGAGACAGGGCAGGGACTCTGTGGCCGTGGGTTCATTTCTCAGGACTGCCGTAACACATTACCACAAACTTGGCATCTTCAAACAACAGACATCTATCCTCTCACCGCTCTGGAGGCCAGAAGTCTAACATCAAGGTGTTGCCTGGCCGAATTCCCTCTGACGGTGCTCGGGGAGGGCCCAGCTTCTGGTGTTCCTAGGCGCTCCTGGCTTGTGGCTGCATCACTCCAATCTCTGCTTCCATCCTCACATGGGCTTGTCCTCGGTGTCTGTGTCTTCTCCCCTGTCTCTTATAAGAAAACTTGTCATTGGGTTTAGAATCTTCTGGTTAATCCTGAATAATCCCATCTCAAGATCCTTCATTACATCACATCTGCAAAGACCCCCTTTTTTTCATATAGGGTCCCAAACACAGGGTCCAGAGGTTAGAATGCAAATAGATATGGGGGCGTGCAAGTTAACCTGATACAGCCTCTATCTGCAAAGATATGCAGTCTGCAAAGAAATGTTTGAATCCATGTTGCCTGTGTTCTTTCTCTCTGCCAGCTATGTTGCAGGTTTCAGAATCAGTAACATCCTAGTTTTAGCAGTGGACAGAAATAAAGAGCTAGGAAAGAAGAAACTTGGGAGGCCGAGTGGGCAGATAACTTGAGGCCAGGAGTTTGAGACCAGCCTGGCCAACATGGCGAAACCCCATCTCTACTAAAAATAAAAAAAAACTAGCCAGGCCTGGTGGTGGGCGCTCCCAGCTACTCGGGAGGCTGAGGCAGGAGAATCACTTGAACCTGGGAGGTGGAGGTTGCAGTGAGCCAAGATGACACCACTGCACTCCAGCCTGGGAGACAAAGCAAGACTCCGTCTCAAAAAAGAAAAGAAAAGGAAGGAAGGAAGGAAAAGAAAGAGAAACAAAGAAAGAAAAGAAAGAGAGAGAAAGAGAGGAAAGAAAGAAAGAGAGAGAAAGAAAGAAAGAAAGAAGGAAAAAAAAAAAACGAAGGAAGGGGAGACAGGCAGAGTAGGAATAGACCAGAAAGAACAAGGGCTTCCACCCTATAACTAAATCCCAGAGTCCTGGGTGGCCAACTGATATGAAAGACATGATCTTCTACTGAGTAAGGACCATGTTGCCTTTGACCTTGCTGTCCTCTCCCTGCTCTGCCCTCTCCACTGCTGTCTAACCAGCCACATTCTCGCTGTACTCAGGACTGAGCTCCAACACCACCTCCTCCAGGAAGCCCACCAGCTCTTCAGCCCTTCCCCTGGGCTGAGCTGGTGATTCTCTCCCCTGACCCCCAGGGTTCTTGATTTGGAGAAGGAAGTAGGAGGGGGCCCTCAGAAAAGCAAGGGGTCAGGAAATTGGACTCTGCTAAAAGGCTGAAGATGAAACTTGCCAAGTCACTGTATAGAAATGTTTCATGAAATGTTTCCAGATTATCTAAGCAAAAGAGAGACGCTCCCTTCTATGCTTTCTTCTAGTAGCATTCAGTCAATTTGATTGGCTTTATCTGGGAAAAAAAAAAGTCATGGAAAATACTAATTTCCCACTCTACTGAGTTGTTTGCTTGTTTTTTTCAAATAAGAAAATAATGTCTCACAAAATCTGGCATGCAGCCATGTAAATTAGTGACTAAAGCCAGGACAATACCATTTTTACAAATGCTCAGGTCACAGGCTCTTACGACATTTGGGGCCACCCCAAGCTGGGCAGAAATGCCCAGGCCAATCCCCGGCAGAGCTCGGCGTCAGGCTGGAGCTGGGCAGGGCGTGTCCTCAGCACACGGTGCAGTGGCTCCCGAAGACTCTGCAGCCAGGGGTGTCAGCAGCCTGCCCTCCCCACAGCTATTCTCCGTTGAAGGGAGGTCTGAGCGGCCACCCCAAGGCTGCCACCCTTGTCATGTAAATGGGGATTGGGAAATGGGATTCCACCAGCGAGACCTGGGAAGGCAGGAAAAAGCATAAGTCAAAGCTTGTGAGGGTAAATGTGCAAGGCAATGTGCAAATGTTCATTTGGGGGGATCCGCTCAGGATGGTTTCAGGGGACACAAGGGAGGGGTGTTTTGAGGCTACACCACAGCGCTTGGATTTTATGCTAAGGACAATGAGGAGCCGACCAAGGTTCTGAGCATCACAGTGACATAATCAGATGGAGGCTTTGGGAAGACAATGTCACTCATGATGCAGAAGCAGTGAATACTAATACATTGTATTTTGTAAACAGAAAATTTGGGTAAAAACAAAAATTTTTCATTAAAAAACATGAATAACATCCAAAGACAAACTACAAAGAGGGAAAAACTATTTGCAACTCACATCACAGAGAAGGGGTTGCATTCCTTCATTTCCAAAGGGCTCCTGAAAATCCATAGGTAAAAGACCAAATTCTGAATAGAAAATTGAACAAAGGAGGTGAACAAATAGTTCACACAAAAAGAAATATAAGATGGCTTTTAAACATATATCAAAAGATGCACAAACTCACTCTTGATAAAAGAAATGCAAATAAAAGTACAATGAGATACTATTTTACCTACTAAATTTACAAAGATTAAAAAACATATTTTAACCTATGCTGGTTGTAGGGGAGCACTAATCTCTAGCTTTGTGAAGAACGGTTCATCAATATGCGTTCAAAGTCAAATGCATGTTCTCTTGACCCACCAACTTGCTTCTAGGAATCTGTCCTGTAGCTACACAAGAACCTGGGTTTTCATTTGTAATAGGAAAAGACTGGAAGCAATGGAGAACTCCATTAACAATTGGGTGGTGGTAAGAACAATGTTATGGGTTGAGACTTGTCCCCAAAAAAGATGTGTTGAAGTCTGAATCCCCAGAACCTCAGAATGTGACCTCATTTGGAAATAGGGTCATTGCATATGTAACTGGTTAAGATGAGGTGGAGGAGGGTGGCCCTTAATTCAATATGACTGATGTTCTAGAGAGAATGCCTTGTGATGATGACAGGGAAACACAGGAGGAAGGTGGTCCTGTGACAACGGAGGCAGACATGGGAGTGGTGCAGCCACAAGCCAAAGAATATCAGGAATCTCTAACCACCAGCGGAAGCTAGGAGAGATGTGTGGAGCAGATTCTATCCAGAGTCTCAGAGGAAGCACGCTCCTGATCTTGAACTTCTGGCTTCCAGGGCAGAGAATTCTTTTTGTAAATTTCTATTGTGTAGGCCACTCACTTTGTGAGTGTATTAGTCCATTCTTGCATTGCTATAAAGAACTACCTGAGACTGGATAATTTATAAAGAAGAGGTTTAATTGACTCAGAATTGTACAGGGTGTGCAGGAAACATGGCTGGGGAGGCCTCGGGAAACTTACAATCACGGTGGAAGGCGAAGGGGAAGCAGGCAGGACTTACATGGCCGGAGAAGGAGGAAGAGAGAGAGGGGGAAGGTGCGACACACTTTTAAACAACCAGGACTCGTGAGAACTCACTCACTATCACAAGAACAGCGAGTGGTAAATCCACCCTCATGATCCAATCACCTCCCACCAGGCCCGTCCTCCAGCACTGATGATCACAGGTCGACATGAGATTTGGGCGGGAACACAGACCCAAACCATGTCGGGGGGCTTTGTTACGTCAGCCCTAGGAAACTAATACAAACACACCTTCTCGAGCTGCAGCACTACCTGGGTTAACGTCCCCCAGCTCTGCCACCCACTAGTTCTGGAGCCTTAGTTTCTTAATTTCTCTAAGCCTTCATTTTCTCATCTTTAAAACAGAAATAACAATACAACCCATCTCCTAGGTTGCATTTAGGTTAAATGAAGTAATACCTGAGAAGTTCTTAAAGAGAGGCTTGCACAAAGAATACAACCGTATCAGTGTCATTAAATATGAACAGCTGCATTTCAGAGTAAGATACAGTGCACGTGTACAGTAAAATGCTAAGCAGGCCTTAAAAGAATGCTTCAGATCTATGGGCACTGATATGGGATGATGTCTAAGCTATATTAAGGAAGAGAAAGCAAGAGGCAGGCCACCTTGCATAAGTTGCTCCCATTTGTGTAGGAAAAGACAAATACAGTGATCCTGTGTGATATGCAGATTTTGGGGTTAACTGGTAACAGTGGGTGTCTCCAAGGGGCAGCGGTGGGCCATGGGGACAGAGGTGGGAGAGTGTCTAACTTTTCACACATTTATACTTTTGGAAGTTTTCATCTTGTACATGTATCACCTCTTCATAAATTAAACGAATCAAACATTTGAAAGAAAGACCCTGCTGGCACTCACAGGAAAGAAGGAACAGATTGGTGGGGCTGGCTAGGATTCGGTGTCATTAGTCAACTGGGAGATGATTCAATCCTGACTCTGGGTGGTGGGTTCAGATGGAGAGGCAGGAATGTGGAGAGAGACTCAAAAGGTGCTGAGGGGATGGGCTCCCCGCAGAAGTGAGGGACAGGGAGAAGTCAGGGACCAGCCGGCGGATGGAAGAGCCACCTGCCAAGATCAGTGTCTCGGGCTATATGGACTGCTGTCACAACAGACCATGTACTGGGTGGCTTACTAACCACAGAAATTTATTCTCACAGTTCTGGAGGTGGGGAAGTCCAAGATCAAGGTGCTGGCAGATTCGGTGTCTGATGAGGGTTTGTTTCCTCTTAGACCGCCATCTCCTCACTGTACCCTCACCCGATGGAGGGGTGAGAACAAGCTTCTGGGGTCCCTTTTATAAGGGCACTAATCCCATCCATAAGGGATCTGCCCTTCTGAACTGGTCACCTCCCAAAGGCCCCACGTCCTAACACCATCACCTCGGGGGTGAAGCTTTCAACATATAAGTTTTAGGGTGACACAAACGTTCAAACCATAGCAGAGTTTGGGATGTGCAAGGTGAGCAGTGGAGTAAGGAAAAGGTATTCGCTCCTCCTTCAGAACATGCCTTTTAGCTTCTTCTACATCCCTATTTGGTCTGTAAGGCTTGTTTTCCACTCTGTCTCAGACACACGGACCTCTTTGGTGTTCCAGAAAGGAAATCCAGCTTGGACAGAACCAGGCTTGTCTCCCAGTCCCACCACTTTCTGGCTGTGTCAGCTCACATCAGTCACTCAGCCTCTGAACTTCTTTATTGAATGAAGTCCTATCTAGAGAAAGAATGTGTGGGCTACAGGAGGTGATCGACAATAGTATTGTTTCCAGTAATAACTGTTGCCATAAATATGTACAAGTTACTTTTTGCCTAAGAACTTCATATGGATATGTAAGCAGGCTTATTTTTAAATCTGCGTCCGTTACAGTGAAAATAAAAGTTGGCTTTGGCTTCTGTAAAAGGAATCTTTTGAATTCCAAAGAAAGAGGCTCTGGAATTCAGAGGTTTGTTTAAAATGGGCAATCCCAGGAGTCTGCATCTGCTCCCGGCATCACAGGCAGGAAGTATCGCTGTGAACAAGATGCCAGGCAGGCAGGCACAGGTCCTCAGACAGAAATGGCTGGGCGCTAACTCGCCGATAGCAACAGAGACAACAGCAGCTTCCACCCCTTTCTGGGGGCCAACCACATACACCCACTGGGTAGCCCCTCTGTGAGAAAGCTTTACCGATATTACTACCATGAATTCCAACTTCAATTAGCAAATTCAGTCCTAGAATTTCCAGTTCAAAGATGGAAACATTGAGGTTCAGGGAAGTTACACAGCAAGTCCAAATTCACACAGCTGGACTGCAGGGCTGAGGCCAGGTTTTAAATTCAGTTCTGCTTGAGTCTGTACTCCTGACCACTATGTTATACCAGGCGGCTTCCTGTGCAACTGCTGGCTGGGAGTGGGCCACCTTTCAGAGCTGGGGGTCAAGATCTTGAGCCTTGTTGCAGTGTTATGGCGGTGGAGAGGGACAGGAGAGGCCCGGAGACAGCACCTCCTCACCTTGGCTTTTCCCTACGCCTGAGACCCTGTCACTACTTCGTCTGAAGTACAGAGGCTCTAATAAGACTCTCCTGCATCCTTCTTTCTTCCTGGAAATTACATTAGACAGTTTCCCCAATGCATGTCCCATGGAACACCAGTCCCTCCTGCCGTTTTCTAGGAACCAGGCAAGAAGGAGTTCTGTGAATGAGCTTCCACCAAGAATTCCTGAAACAGGCTTCCACAGAGCCCCTCAGGGTAAACACTGGCTCGAGCAACAGCCCTAATCCTTTTCTAAGGCACAGAGGAAGTGGCCACGAACATTTAGCTCTCTGGAGTCACTGCAAGAGACTGTGAGAGCTGGCACTGGGTTGGGAGGGGGTGGCCAAGAAACCACCTGGCTCAGGGACCATGGGCTGCGCACGGCCAAGGGGCTACTGTTTCTAATCAGCAGGTGATCAAATATTAAGGGTCAGGAGCAGGGACAGAAAGGGAGGTGCAGCTCCTCCCTAATGAGGCCTGGATGACTGTCAGTGGCTTGGCAGAGGGCCCTGAGCCCTGGGTGGACACGGCCCTAAGTCATGAGTAGCATCACCCTTGTCACTGCCACGGGCCACCCCTGACTCTCTTGTGCCTGACCCAGAGGCTGGGCCTCAGGCCTGGCTCTGCCTTCGAACACACCAGTTTTGCATCTATTTGTAACTTTACTTCACAGCCTATATATGTCTCTGCTCATTGAATTCTCCTTTGAACTTGTAACGTCTTACTGATGGCTTCAATAACTATCAAGTTAAACAAAATCGCTGACATATGGTCATTTCATATATTTATTTTTATTATATTTACTTTCATCTTATTTACATGTCATATTTTTTATCTCCTTTATCAACAGTCTCCTTTATCATCTTTTATCATCTATTAATCTACTTTATCATCTCCTCTTATAAACGGTCACAAAAATTTAAACAGAATTCCAGCCCCTTTTTCTATTAATTTTTTCCTCTTGGTTTCCTTAAGTTTGTGGAGTGCTCTTTCTCACTTCTTGACTTAAAACATTAGTTCATTGATTTTTATTAATTCTCATTTAACAATTGAAATTATTTTATGCTACAGATGTACATCTTTGGTAGGAAGAAAAATGGCCCCCACAAAGGTATATTTACTTCCTAGCCCTCAGAACCTATTAATATTACCTTCTATGGCAAAAGAGTGAATATCGCTTTATGTGGCAAAAAAATTGATAAAGTGATCCTAGGTTATCTGGATAGGCCTTAGATGCCATCACTTGCAGCCTTACAAGAGAGATGCAGAGAGAAATTTAACGTGGACACAAGAGGAGAATGTGAGGCCAGGCGTGGTGGCTCATGCCTGTAATCCTAGCACTTTGGGAGGTCGAGGCAGGAGGATCGCTTGAGCCCAGGAGTTTGACACCAGCCTGGGCAATATAGTGAAAACTTGTGTCTACAAAAAGAAAAAAATTAGCCGGGTGTAGTGGTGCATGCCTGTGGGAGCTACGCGGGAGGCTGAGGCAGAAGGATCGCTTGAGCCCAGGAAGTCAAGGCTGAAGCGAGCTATGATGGCACGATTGCACTCCAGCCTGGGTGACAGAGCAAGACCCTGCCTCAAAAAAAGAAAAGAAAAGAAAAAGAGAAGGCGATGTGAAGACGGAGGTAGGTACTGGAGTGAGGCAGCCTCCAGCCCAGAGGCTCTGGGAGAGCTCCCAGAGCCACATGAGGAAGTGTGGCACTGCTGACACCTTGACTTCAGGCTTGTCAGTTTCAGAAGGGTGAGAGAACGCATTGCTGTTGCTTTATGCAGCTTGTACAGCAGACACAGGAAACTAATACATCATCTAATGCAGACTTGGTCAAGTTGCAAGTGTTTCTGTGTATTGGGTGTTCATTTTCAATATTTTCTAGGTGGTCTCCAATTGCAGCTTTTAGTTACGCTCTCATATTTAGAAGAAAAATTCTGCCCATTCTTTTTAAGTAGTTCTTGTTAGTGGCTTTGGCTGATAATGTTTAGCGTGTTAGTATATGACATTATAAATTGGGATTGTCCTTTTTGGGGATTTATCCATATTTTTACTATGGCAAAATTTATTATCAATGTTTTTAATGTTCCATGGGATTGGAAAAGTTGTAAAGCAACTTATAAGAGGAAGTAAATCCATCCATCCATAATTTGTATCATCCAAGTTCCTTGTTTTACCTACTTGGTCTTAAATGATTAAGAGATGTCTGTTAAACTGTTCTACTCTTAGCATGTTTGTGAAAATTTCTCTTTGCTTGTTTTTTAGATTTTAATACTATTTAGTACATCCCATAAAACTCTGGGATTTTGTTTTCCTTGTTTTGTGTTCTTTACTTCTTTATTACCCTCGTAATTTTTTGTAGTTTCTCGATCTTTTTTTCTCTGTTACAATTTTTGGAGAAAAAAGAAAACAAAACACATTTCCTTCCATCTTTTTGAGCCATTTTGTTTTACATGAGTCCCATGGAGAAAGTATATAGCTTAATTTTGATTTTAGTTTTTGTATCCAATTGTAACCAATTTTGTTTTTGTATCTCATTCGGGAATAAGCATGAGGTTTAACCCCTTTACACTTAACTGATATTTTTGTTCTTGTTTCTACCACTTGTTTTACTACATGTTTTAAAATAATTTTTCTGCTTTCTTTAGCTTTGACTTTTTTTTTCCTTTTTTTCCCTCTGCATTTGCTCATGTAAACAGGAATTTTTTTCTATGACTGTGAAGGTGTACATGCCATTTTTAAATCTTCTGGACTCACTGATACCTACCTGCTCCTTCCAGAGCTGTCTCTTCACTGACACTCCCAGCTCTGTAGTTGGGGTAGCCACCCCTTTGTTTATTCCTATAACAAATACGTAATGAATCCATGTGATGTGCCAGGCATAGTGCCAGTCCCCAGGAATCAAGTGAACCATGTCCTGCAGCTCCTGCCCCTTGGGACAGATGGTCTGGTGGTGGGAGAGAGACCTTAAGCTAGCAATTCTATTAATAATTATTTTAGCACAATTGCAATAACCATACAGCTGCCTTCAAATTCTATGAACGTGTAACAGTTGGAGGAAGACATATATGACTGGCTTGCAAATACATGTCTCTATATAAAGGGTCTCAGAAGGACCCAGGTTTCAGCTGCTTACATCTTACAAGCTGTGATGCTTTCTGGAAAAGGCTCACTGCACATAGGCACTCAGAATCATTTTGGAATCTGCCCTCTGCCTGCTGGAATCCATTTCTAACCCATGCCTGGCACTCTCCCCTAGCTACCAGCTGGTGCAGGGTCTTCCCTGTTTCTACAAACCATGCTTATTTCTGTGAAGGCCAGGAAGAAAGAATCACACGCTATGCGCTTTACTGGAAAGATTAAAGATTTTGCTTCCTTGAAGGCCTGGGAACTAGCACAGCGACTAGCTATTGAAATAATGTATTCACCAGAATCCTTTACTGTAAGCTGCCTCAGCCCTTTGGGAAGAGGAGAGGACATAAGTAATAAATATATTATTATAGTCCTGACTCAGTCCTTAACTCACTCTGCAACCCTGGGTGAGTCCATCGGTAGACTTTGGTTTTTCTGCCCCATCCTGATGTGGCATGACAGATACAGAGTCAATGAGTAATTCATGCAAGTCCATGCACCTCAGATTTTGCCCTAGATCTGGGGACAGCAGGAGAGGAGGCTGGGGGGCAGGAATTAGTGTTCACTGGGGGAAACACTGTAGGATGTTCCAGGAGAAATCTGGAGATTCCATATGCAGAAATAGACCCAGAACGAGTTCCTCATCAGGCCTCCCAGGAGACAAGTGGTTGGGGGATCGAAGCAGGCTCAGGAATCAGAGAGGGAGATGGAGTTTCATAGGCACACACAGGCCGCATGGGCCTCTAAGACATGGGGCTGAGGTGGTCCCTTGGGCTCTGCCCAGCTCTGACGCTGTGGCTCTCCAATCCTGATTCATCTGGTGTCCTGAGAACACAACGTGGGGACGTGCCCACCATGGCTTCCCATTCAGCTTTCCACCAGGGTCAATTGTTGCAACTACACCTTTCCAGCGATACCCCCTTGTTAATGTCAAACTAGTTTTCCAAGAGGCTTACCCAGAAAGAAGAGCTTATGGAGGTTGGGATCAAATCAAAGCCACTGGGGTCAGCAACTGTGTCAGCTCCCTTAGAGAGGGTGTTCAAGTGGCTGGTGCAGGCAGCAGAGAAGGGGGTCTCAAGGCTCAGCTCAATTGAAACAGCTCTGGTCCCTCAATAGCTGTTTCCCGGCCCATCCCACAAGCCCAGAAGGCTTAACAAGGACATGAATATGAACCTGGCCCTCCTTCTGCCCTGTTTCTGTCATAGCCCTTCTACCACCCAGCTAGGTGGCTCACCACCCAACTATCTTGCAGGCAAATATATGAACAGAACATCAGCTTTGGGATGGGAATAGGGAGGCAGGAAAGAAAAAAAATTCACCCACATGTTCTCCAACTCTACCTTGCCCCAAATGTAGCTCTTAACAGGAGGCACCATTAATAACTAGAGCTAACTGCTAGCTAAGATTTTTCTCTTTCTTTTTCTTTCCCCTTTTTCTTTTCTTTTTTTTTTTTTAATCTGGTGTTTATAATTCCAATTGGTGTAAAATTTCCTGATGGTTAACACATCACATTACCGACACTTTTGAATAAATGACTCATTCCCAAATAATTGACTAGCTTTGTAATTTGGGAAGTAAAATCACATTTACGAGTCCCTGGAGTGGAGGGTCTATATTTTTGTGCATAAAAAGTAGATAAATCATAAAAGCGAAATCTGCAAATACTCCCATTAGCCTTTGTCCTCGCATTAAGGCAGCGCCTCTTAAAAGGGCACAGCTGCCTAGAATCACCAGAGGGCTTTATACTCGGGCCCTGTTTTATCTTGATGGTAAAATTACATGTTGGTCACTGTAATCCCGTGTCCAGTGGGCCGGCGGCACTCCATGTCCCTTTCCCAGTCCAGCTTCTCATTCCCATTCAAACCATCCAGACCACATTGACTTTGGGTGCTTTGTGGCCAAACATGGAACCCCATCAAGAAGAAACACGCCTCCATTGCGACAGATTCAATTACCAGCAGCATCCACAAATAATAAATAGGGGCGTTGTCAATTTAGGGTTCAACAAGCCCCCCACATGATCCTAATAAGACCTGACAGGGATTTTTTTTTTTTCCTTTTCTTTTCTTTTCTTTTTTTTTTTTTTTTAGTAGTTGGGAGTCAACTATCATGACTTTGTTTTAACTACAGACGCACATGCATTTTTCAGTATATTCATTTTTAAGGGCAAAAAGTACACATACAACCGAAAATGCAGACTCAAGCCTGCGCTATTTTGTGCTGAACTCTAATTGTATTTTTATGTGCTGTGGATTTGAAATCTAGAAGTCCTGGGATTTTAAGCCTCAGGTCCTTTTCCCACTTTTCCAGAGTACTATAAATTAGTGTAGTATGCTTGAAAGAACCCCTAATTGTAACTGCTCTTGTTGACATATCAACTTGAGGCCGCACAGAGCTGGCTTAGAGGCTGCTGCCCTTGGTTTTGTAGTTACCCTGCATTTCAAGGGCCTGACAGATCCGGTGCTAAGATGTTCTGAATTAGATTTGAATTACAACCGCTAAATGCCCTTGTCAAAGATTGTTAGTCCTGACACTAGCCATGTACCTTGAGCTGACTGTTCCGATGCAAGGCCGACGGCTTAAACAAAGACATGCCCCCAAGTTTCATTCCGAATTGTCAAAACGTAATTGAGTTAAAAAGAGCAACTACAGCATAAGAATTGCAATCTTCGCTGCTTCTTTCTGCTTTGAAATAAATCCAGGGGACAATTTAGCGGCATCAGAGGCACAAAACGAGAAGGGTGTTTTCCACCAAGATGTGGGGTTCTAAAAAAATAAAAATCTAAACCCATCTCTGTATTCCAGGATGAGACTAGCCGAAGACCTTGCTGAATGCCTTTCAGTTTTGGACTTAGTCCATCCCATGTGAAACAAGTAAAAATAGCCAGCTAGAGAACTGACCCAGCAGAGTGCCAAGTCCATCGCTATCACTCAGCCAATGTTAGGCATGGTAATGAATGAATAAATTTTAAGAAAGATCAACAGATCGTGGGTAGAAAGATGGAACGTTGAAGCCAGGCAACCAAACTTGAATTTTCTTCTTCTTGCCAGATGTGTGATCTGACCAATTGCCTACCTTTTCTGAGCCTCTGTGTCTTCATCTGCAAACATGAGGACACCCAGGATACCCATGACTGCCTCCCAGAGTATTGAGTGAGACCATGGCTATAAAGCTGCATTGGCACATTGCAGCCAGCTGATTGGTTTTCTTTCCTTCTTTAAGAGATTGCCCACAGCAGGGCTTCATGAAGCTGTAATGGGAACTTTCAACCAAAATCCACAGAGCAGCAAGGCCTGGAAAGGCTGCCATGTGAGTGCCCAGCTCAGAAGCCATGAAAGCTAAGCAGCACAGACAGGTGGGCAGCTGCTGGTGTCACAGGAGGAGTGGTAGCGACCGTCGTGGTTGAAGAGTGCCTGCTCCATCTGAAAAATCCCCAAATTCCGATTTCAAACACATCATCCAAAACAAATTTAGCTGCGTGAGGACTCAGCCAGGGGCCAGCAGTTTGCAGAGGATTTATACCTCAGTATACTTAAGAGAAGGCATCTGGTGAATTGAAAATCAAGTTGCCAGATAAAATGTAAGCTCTGCTTCCCCCAGTTATATTTGAATTTCAAATAAATAATTTTTTAGTATACATATATCCCAAATACTGCAACGGCATATTTAAAAATTATTTACTATCTAAATTTAACTTTAGTTAGGGGTCCATTTTTTTCCCTGCTAAATATGGCAATCCTCATTAGAAAAAAAACCTAGAACTGGCTGGGCACAGTGGCTCATACCTATAATCCCAAAACTTTGGGAGGCCAAGGCAGGCTGATCATCTGAAGTCAGGAGTTTGAGAGCAGCCTGGCCAACAAGGTGAAACCCCATCTGTACTAAAAACACAAAAAATACCTGGGCATGGTGGCGCACACCTGTAATCCCAGCTACTCGGGAGGGTGAGGTGAGAGGATAGCTTGAACCCGGGAGGTGGAGGTTGCAGTGAGCCAAGATTGCACCACTGCACTCCAGCCTGGGTGACAGAGAGAGACTTCGAAAGAAAGAAAGAAGAAAAGGGAAGAAAAGGAAAGAAAGAAAGAGAGAAAGAGAGAAAGGAGAGAAAGAAAGAAAGAAAGAAAGAAAGAAAGAAAGAAAGAAAGAAAGAAAAGAAAGGAGAGAAAGAGAAAGATTAAGGAGAGAAAGAAAGAAAAAGAAAAGAAAAAGAAAGAAAGAAAGAAGGAAAGAAGGGAGGGAGGGAAGGAAGGAAGGAAAAAAAAGAAACAGAGGGAAGGAGGGAAGGAGGGAAGGAAGGAAGGAAGGAAAGAACGAACGAACGAAAGAAAGGAGGGAGGGAGGGAAAGAAGGAAGAAGGGAAGGGAGGAAGGAGGGAAGGAAGGGAAGGAAAATAAAGAGAAATAGCCTAGAACTGGAAGTAAAAAAAAGACAGGAGGAAACCCAGCTCCAACTTAGTCATGCATTGAACCTCCCTGAGCCTCAGATTCCTCAGCAGTGAAATGATAACATCAGCCTTGAGTCCCAGGGGGAAGAAGGGGCATGAATCCCGATGGCCTTGGGTGCTGTTTTACTTGAACATGAAGCGCTCTGCTCATGTTCACTGTGGCTATTTCAGAACCGGCAAGTGCCATCAAGATGCCAAGCGCAAGAGGCTGTTTCATTCCCATAGAGATAAGTCCCCGCTCCTCCCCTTGCTAAGGAAAGTATGCAGCGTCTCAACTACACATGTATTTCTTAGCAGGGATGGAAATAGCAAGCTCTCAAATTGCACCTCGGATTCTTGGACTTGGAACAGGGAGCACAAATCCCGGCAGCTTAATATGAAAAAACAAAACAAAACAAAAAAAACACTCCGGAGAAGACGTTCCAGTGGCTTGTTTGGGGATCCCTCATCCAGGGGCGAAGGAGTGTGATGAGAAATGAGGTTCTCTGTCCACATCTGGAAAGGCCATCTCATGCTTCCCTAGGGAAAAGCCCGAGGCGCCCAAGGAATGTTTGCCCTGGCGAAAGCCGAAAAGGGGAAAGAAAAAGCAGGTAGCAGAGAGGGACAGAGAAGCCACTAAAACGGGAGGTTCTCACTCAGCCTCAGACTTCGATCTGGAGGACCGAGAACAGCTGCCCTTTCCTCTTCTAGGCTGCAGAAAAATCGCTTCCATGCTCTCAAGTAAATAAATGAGAGGAAAAACAATCATTTTTGTGGGTCCTGCATAAAGCCCAAAGCAAAATGTCCTCCTTTAAAAAAAAAAAAAAAGCTGAAATGATGAAGTATGCGTCTGCAATTTTACCTACTGGCACGCCCCATCGGATAAACAGGGTTTTATGAAGGAAAATTATTTCTTGGTTAGAAAACTCCAGACAGATGAAAGAGAGACACTTGTCTTCAGGCCCGATAGCACCAGCTTTGAAGCCACAGGTTTGAGGGAATTAGCTCAACCCAGCATCCCTTCACTCTGTTCGTGGCGTTAATTTCCGATTCCATTAAGCAGCCCATCGGCTCGCAGCCTCCCCTCCTCCCCTCCCCGGGCCTGATTCGGATGCAAGTCACAGCGCCGGAGTTCAAGCTGCTGCCTCTTAAGAAGGCCTATTTTGACACAGTAATTACAGTGCTTGAACGATGCTTTACATTAGAGTATAAAACACTCATTAAATTAAAATTCTTCCATGAAATCATGAAAATAAACAGTCTGTCCAAACTGGCATCAACAAATTCACAGGGTGCCTCTGCGTTTTCTCAGCCCGGGCTAGCTAAGGGCTGCATGTAACCACGAAGTGTGAACGGTTCACATTCCTTTGAAGGCCGCATTCTGCTTCTTTTTAAGATTATTGCTTTAATTGTTTTTACAACTTGTAAGATTTTAAAGCTATTAAGCTTCCAAGTTGGGAGTGGGAAAACTTGAAATGGGGACCATGGTACCCGGCCCAGGGTGGGAGTGGGGGTGGGAGACAGGTTACCATTCCCAGCCCCCAGACCCTTCTGGGACAATTAAAATGCAAGGGACAAGATGAGATGGGCAATTTCTCCATGGCCCCTTGAGGGATGGAAAATAAACCTCACATTTCAAAGAATCTAGATAGGAGAGGAGGCAGCATGGTTGCATGAAAAGGGTAGGGCACTTACAGCCAGCCAAACCGGGCATGAACTTGGCAACTGATCTCTCTGAGCTCACTGTAAGATAAAGTGAGGATACCCAGGATGCCCATGCCTACTTCTGGGTAGGTACTTGCTGGGACTACAGGCATTTGCCACTGTGACTGGACACAACTGTTACTATTAAAACACATTATTTCTTCCCTCCAATTCTTCCCCCTACTTCTCAGTCTATGGCTGTGTGTAAAATAAAGATAAATGAGTACAGTGGATCTCATGATTTGTTGGAGTTACGTTCTCTAAAGCAGCCGCAAACACCAAACTAGCAAACACAGAACCACTTGCTCCTAGGAGAAACACAGGCTTAGGTTCCTACAAGCCTCGGGTCACGTTTTTGTCAACTGATCAATACATAACCATGTATTATGTGTTTTGCTTCAAGACATCGTATTTAATATATGTTGTTGATGTATTAACATTCAACTCAGGGCCAACAGCCCAGCCAACTCATGCCTGAATGACGCTCATCTATGAGCTACATGTTCTCTGCGAGGCACATCACAGCCTAGGAGCTTGGGCTCAGGAACATTAGACAGCACTTCTGCATTGCACTTGGGAGCCATTTTTAAACAGCAAAATCACCAACAAAAAGTGCTAAAAGGCAAACAAAATGTATAGCACTAGATACATTGCAATGAGGACACTTGTTTGCCGTACGGAAGCTGAAAGACGAAGGCAGAGAGCACGTCGCTGTGTTCATCCTCAGCTGGGAACATGCAGAGACTCAAATTATTCCCTACTCGGCCCATGTTGGTGAATGACTCCAAAAACAGCACTGAGGTTACAGATAAATTGTATCAAGAAAGCACATTTACCAAAATAGGATCTATGAGCCATGAGGATCAATTGTACTTTATGGGCATAAACAGGGGGGGTGCCACTGCTTTCCAAGCAGAAATGTCAGAGAAGAAAGTGGAGATGACATGTGAATGTGTGTCAGGGAAGAATCAATCTTGGTGCTGCTCCATGATACCTACAGAGACAGGAGCAAGAGAAGAGTGACAAGAGTTTGATCAAGTTGAAGACAAGACAGATGTTAAGATGCAGGTGTCTAACATTTTATTTAGCACCACGTGTTGATGGGTCAAAGGCTTTGTCTAAAGGCAGGGAGAAGATGCTCTAGAAAGAGAATGAAATTGAACAAAGATAATTTGAGGTTTCTGGAGTACTCAGAAAGAGCAACCGGGGAGGAGAGGAGAGCCGCAGCAGGAACTGGCGCTGAAGCCCCAAAGAGGCACAGCCAGGGTCAGGTCCTCCCCGCGAAGGTCTCATATTCCTCTTTGGGCTGTAGGCTTCACTGAGCTACCAGGGCTGCAACCACCCTGTGCCCCAGCTTCCATCTTGCCTTTTTTGGGGAATCCAGATCAAGGTATGGACCATGGAGAACAGGCCAGAACAGAGGTGATGAGATGTAGGGAGCTTGGAGAATTCAGTGGAAACAGAAGCTTAAGGTTCACAGAGACAAACAGATGTGTATACCCTCCACCAAGATTCCCCAGGGAAATTGGGTGGAGAGTGATGACAGGGTCCCACCAGATGGGAGGCAGGGGTTCAAGCCACTGTCACTTGCCTACACAAAGGAAAGATGACCCCAAAGTCAGTATTACGGGACACCCAGGAGGCTAGTTCTTGGGACATATTGAGTTGCTATGAAGATTCAGGATAACTTATACAAAACACTCAGAATATAATGGTGTTCTATAAATCGGAATGTTATAGGTACAACTGTTACTACTTTTTTTGAGACAAGCTCTCGCTCTGTTGTCCATGGGTGCAGTGGCGCAATCTGGGCTCACTGCAACCTCTGCCTCTCAGGCTCAAGTAAACCTCTCACCTCAGCCTCCAGAATAGCTGGGACTACAGGCACGTGCTACCATGCCCAGCTAATTTTTGTATATTTTGTAGAGGCAGAGTCTCGCTATGTTGCCCAAGCTGGTCTCAAACTTGTTGTCTCAAGCAATCTGTTCGCTTTGGCCTCCCAAAGTCCTGGGACGACAGGCATGAGCCACCGTGCCTGGCCACAACTGTTATTATTAAAACACATTATTTCTTACCTCCAATTCTTCCCCCTACTTCTCAGTCTATGGTAACTTCTCAGAACAGAGACTGTGTCTTAGTCTTCTCTGGATCCCTAGTGCTTAGAACAAAGCCTAGCCCATGGTAAGTGCTCAGGAAACATTTGCTGAAAGAATAAAAGAAAATGAGCATGGGTTTCATGAAGATCGTCACCTGCCTTCTTAAAGGAAGCATTGCTTTGCTGGGAAGAAATTTGCCAGGCCAATAGTCTGGAATATATGCCCAGTGTCTACAAACCTAGCACCAGAAAATAACCAAGATCCCCCTCTGGACCTAGGTTTTCCTACCTGGGCTGTGAAGAGCCCCAGGATATCACACAGGGGGCCTCAGGTGGGCTCTGGAAACCAGAAGGAGGGATTAAGTGGAGGAAAGCCAGGCAGGCATGGTTCAGGAAGACCCACTTAGCCTCCACTAGCCATGCAGCAAAGCATTAAGTTTATTAGATTATTCATTGGAATCGCAATGTCGATATTCTTTAACAAAAAAAAAATCCTTGCTTAAAAAATAATAAAAGACACACTTAGACGCCACTGACATTCAATCACTTAATATTGGAGAGAAAAAAACTGAGATTCAGAAAGTGAAAGTGACTCAACCAAAGTCCCAGAGCAAGAAAGGGACAGACTTGGGCCAGAAGCCTGGTTTCACCACACCACTGGATGGTCTTCCTGGAGTGCACCTCTTTAAGTATTAGTTTATTGTTTTAGTCAGGATGGGATAGGCTAAGCTGTTGTAACAAACAATCTCCAAAATCTCAGTAGCTTAGCACAAAACTTTCTCACTCACACAGACTCTGATGCAGGTCTGGGTGATTCTCCAGGGCAGCCGCTCTCCATGTGGTGACTCAGGATTCAGGATGCTTCTTTGGTGTAGCTGCACCATCTCAGCATCAGTCCTCCCCCATTATCACCCCTGTCTGGGAAGGGAGAGACAGGAGAATGAATCACACAAAAGCTTCTTTTCACCACCTCAGCCTGGAAGTGACAGACATCACTTCCACCCACATTTATTGGCAGCTGTAGTCATGTGACCCTGCCTAACTGCATTGCAGTTGGGAAGTATGGTCTTCAAATGCCCAGGGAGGAGAAAAGAACTGGTTATTATGTAGGCACTGGTCATTCTGACCAGGTCTGAGTTTTTGTTCAGTCCCCAAGAAAATGGAAAACCTTGGGCTTGGAGTCAGAAAACCTGAGTTCAAGTTCTAGTTTCACCAATTTGTGACTATGTGATCACAGCCAAGTCAGTACAGCACCCTGCTGAGCTTCATGTTCCTCTTGAAAATGGGTGTAAGGGTAATGCCAACCTTCCCTCAGGAGTATTTTGAAGTTCAAAGCTGAGGCACATGGAGTTGACTTGAAAATTACAATGAGCTCTACAAATATTATTTACTCTAATTGCTATCCAAAGCTTAGGCCTTTGTCAGAGTTAAGCCAGAGAACTGTTGAGTTCAAAAAAACATATAATCGACTCTCAAACAAGTTCTCCCTTGACAAAAAGAATCAGCGCAGGGCAGAAAAGAAGCTCACATTCCTATGGATACTTGAGAAAGATCCAGAACTGTAGCCCACCAGAATGGAAAGAACTGTGATGACTCTCTCTCCTGCTTCTCGTTGTACAGAAGGGGAGACTGAGGCCATTATTAAAATGCTGTCCCTAGAAAGAGAAATACTAGCATGTATTAAGGACTGCTAAATTATCCCCATTTTTAAAATAATCATTTTGGGTTTTTCCCATCTTGTTCATCCTCAATCTCCTTATAATGCTTAGCTGTCAGAGAAACGCAATTGTGACTTTAAAAGCATTAATGGTATTCAGGGCTGTTGAGCATAAAATAATACAGACATGTATATATCTCGCTGGTCTGGACATAAACCAGAACAATATTTCTGGTTAGATTTACATTAATATCAATATATCAGGAAACTTTGACCCAGTAATTCCACAGTGGGGAACCTATTTAGAATATGTACAAAGAAAAAGTCACACACATAGACGCTAACCATAACAGCTTATATAATAGTGAAAAATTAAAAACCCTTTAAAAATCCAACAGTAGGGAACCAATAAAGATAAAATGGTAAAATATTATGCAGCCATTAAAAATCATAGAGTTTTTAAGGAAATGAGAATACGTTTCTGATAAAATGTTATGAAGAAACAGCATCTAATTACTTTCTTCAGTTTTAGTGTGAAGATACTATGAGCCAGGCTACAAACTGAGCTCAAAAGTGTTCATTCATTGCCTTATACATTAATTCGACAAAGATGTATTGGTGGCTGATATGTGTCAGGCACTCTCTTAAGATCTGGGACACAAAATCATCCACCTACTTATCCATTCATTGACTGTGTTTGTTAAATGTGTATTAGCCAGGCACTATGCTAGGCACTAGAAAGCAGAATTGTATATAAGTGTGTAAATAATACCAATGCGAAAAAAAGGCCATACTAAAACCTTCTTAGGTATTAACTCTGGGTATGGGATTCTGAATGATTTCAAACTTTTTTCTTTGTATTTTCCACATTTTATGGAATAAACATTTATTGCTCTTGAAATTGGGAACAAAATATTGAGTAGAAGAAAAATGTTAAAACCTGAAGTGGGGCATAGTTGTAAACCTGAGTTTCAGGAGAACTTGTTGGAGGGGACAGCGGACTCAGATGCAGACATTGCTTTCTGGCTCCAGAACAAGTCCCCATTTGTCTCTTCACCTGCCTTCTGACCCCTGCAGCATTTGTTTTCTAAATGAATGGAGTGCACCATTTCCTCCCCACTGCCGCCATGCTTCTCACCAAAACAAAAAGATCAGGGAGCTGCTAGTTAAATAGGTCTGGATTTGAATTCTGCCTTTGCTACTTAACAGTCATTAGACCTAGAAAAAAAGTGTTTATGTTCTCTGGGCCCCTACTTATTGATCTGTAAAATGGGTATAATAATACCTACCTTGTTAGATGCCCTTGGCAAGTATCTTAGTCCATCTGTGCTGCCATCATGAAATACCTTGGACTGGATAATTTATAAACAACAGAAATTTATTGCTCACAATTCTGGAGGCTGAGAAGTCCAAGATCAACGTGCTAGCAGATCTGGTGTCCAGTGAGGGCTCTCTGCTCATAGTTGACATCTTCCATTTGTGTCTTCACATGGCTGAAGGGGCGAACAAACTCCCTCCTGCCTCTTTTATAAGGGTACAAATCCCATCCATGAAAGTGCCAGCCTCATGACTTAATCACCTCCCAAAGGCCCCACCTCCTTATACCATCACATTGGGGGTTAGGTTTCAATATTTCAACTTTGGGGCGACACAAATATTCAGATCATAGCAACAGCTAAGGCATATATTGTATATAGGGCACCTAGTGTATGTCTAACAGAGTTTAGCATGTTTTATTTTCCTCTGCTAAACATCCCCCATCCTTCATTTCCTCTGGGAAATACAAGGATTTATGATATGGTATTCTAAAATATCCTTAAGAATGATTAACAAATTAGAAATATTCCAGGAGCCCACTGGTGGAGTTCAGGGCTGATGTATCATCCCATGATATCATCAATGACTAGAGTCTTTCTCCGTCTGCTTCTCCAGCTTAGGGGGTGGCTTCCATCCTTGCGGTCTCAAAATCACTCTTTTTTAAACCAGAAAGCAATAGTTTTCCCAGTAGCCTGAAGATACAGGCTACTATTTGCTCCTCATTGAGTCAAAGAGCAACGCCAACTACAAGAACATCTGGGAAACTAATTTTACACTGGGGCCATTGCTACCCTGAACAGAATCTGAGGATCTGTTTGCAAGGAAGAAGAGGAGAATGATATGGAGTAGGCAACCATGTTTGTTTGCTGGGAGTTGATACTCATCACCAGAAATGTGGCTCTGGGACCCTGTTGTAAAAAAGAAAAAAAAAACCCAAAAGATTTTATATATAAAAATATTTGTTGATGAATTATCTATAATAGTAAAAAAATTGAGAACAACTAAGTACCCAAAAATTAGAGAGGTAATCAAGTTACAGGGTATATTCACTCAATGAAATATTATGTAGCCGTTAAGATCATACTTAAGAAGACATGAGGCAAAATGTCTTCTTAAGCACAATCTTAATGGAAAAATGCTTATGCCATGATGTTAAGTGAAAAAGCAGAATGTACAACCATCTCTGCTCATTCCTAAAACTATGTGAAATATGTATGCCTATGGAAAAATACTGAAAGGGACTTAAAAAATAGTAGCTCTCTGATGGAATGGTGATATTATGATCAATGTTTTTCTTTATTTCAAAATTTTCTGCAATGCTGCTAGATTATTTTTTCAATTAAAAAGCTATACATAAAAATTCGATTAAAAAAAAACCCTAGCAAAGAAAAAGAGAATCAAATATTTGTCAGGTCCTGAAGGGGTGATTATTTTCTCAGCTTTGAAGCCAAAGAGAAAATTTCAGATGCAAAGTAAAAGCAAGTGTGATGAAACGAAATATAAACATGCAAACAAATGCAATCCTTAAGCAATCCGCTTTATTTAGCAAAAGGAATTGTTTTAACAGTAGAAAAACTGCTGGCAAAACTGCTGGCAATGTTATGTTGTAACTCAGATCCAGTGGCAGAAGGAATGGGCGTGACCTTTTTGGAAAGCAATTTGGCAACATATCTCAAGAGCTGTAAATATTATCCTAGGCTTTAGGCTGATATCACCACCCTTGAGACAGCATGCTAAAGACATAACCCAATAGAAGATAAAGCTGTGTGCATGTAGATGTCCCTTGCAGTGTTGTCTATGACGCAACACTTGCAGAGCTATTCATTACATGCTAAAGATTTGGGACAGTGTGCACAGAACTCCAGGAAATGCTATTCAGCCTTTGGTAGGATCACTATAAGGACAATACTGTAAACTGAAAATGTGTTTTGACATAGTAATACATGTTTAAAAATGGAATCCACAGGCCTCAGGGCCCAATTATTCAATAAATCTTTATAGCTCACTTTCTGTGTACTAGGTGCTGGGGATACACACTCACATTGAAGAGTGCAGGGCTCTCAGCAGGCAAATAGGGCTGAACTTAACCTAGTCTGATGTGCAACAATGTGACTGTGCATGTGTGTGCACACATGTGTGATGTGTGTAGTGTGGAGGGTGTGTGCAAGGGTTACACAGGAACGTCCAATGTAGGATTATGAATTATTTTTTCCATGTTCAAAGTTTTCTTAACATTGTTACATTGCTTTAAAAATAAAATTTTAAACTTCCAGAATAAAATAATTCTGTTCCTATTCTCCAAGCACAGGAAACTGAGGAAGGGAATGTATCTGAATCATTAAAAAATGTAATCTTCATTCCAAAAGTTGGGTGTGTAGGCAATTATGAGCAAAGGCTCAGCCACCATACCACTGTGGGAAATGTCACCAGTACTACTGAGGAACTAAAAGTTGAATGAATTTAATTTTATTCACATTCAAAAACTGAAGCAGTGTAAAATGTTCTCTGTCAAACACTTTATTACATCTATTAGTATTAACATTAATTAATATTAAAATTAATTATACCTGTTTCTTTTTTCTCTTTAATTGCAGCTACTAAAAATTCTAAAACTGCATATACACTGTCCATTATCTTTCTATTGAACAGTGATGTTCTAGATGCTAAGCTCGTGTCAATTATGCTTTCAAAAAATCTTTTCTAGTTTGGAGCTTGTCTTTTCACTTTTCATGAAATCTTTTGATAATCAGGACTTCTCTATCTTTATGACCTTTGAGTAGAGACAGATTTTTAAAGATGACACCGAAAAACAAACTGCAAGCCTTAAAAGAAAAGATTGATAACTTTGACTTCATCAAAATTGTCTCTTAAGTTTCATTCTGAAGCATTAGAATGTTTGCCTTGCATATTCAAGTGTGTGATCCTTCTGTGGAGTTGGGACACATTTCTTTTTTCAGTTTAAATTGCCAATTGCTCTAACTTCATTTATTGACTAGTGCCACCTTTCTTTCCTTTGCTCTTCCTGCCAACGTGTCACATACCAGGTCTGTACAAGGCATTAGTTTGTTTCTGAATATTTTTTCTGTTCCTTTGGCCTATTTGTCTGTCCTTGCACATATGCCACACTGTCTGAATTACAATCATTTTACATTCTTGATACCTGCCAGGGCAAGTCATCCTGATTGCTGTTTCTTCTTCAGGAGGCTCTTTGCTGTTCTTGGTCTTTGGATCTTTTATATAAATTTTAAAATCAACTGTCAAATTTCTTCCAAGAAAAAAAATAGTAAAAAAGAAAACCTCTCAGAGTTTGATAAAAATGGCTTTGGATGAATAAGTCAATTTGGAAGAAACTGATGTTTATGAAATGTTACGTCATCCTATCCATATCAGTGTTATGTCCCTCAATTTAGTTAGTATTTTTAATGCCTTTCAATATATTTTTATAGTTTCCTACTTAATTTTGAACTATTTTGTTTGTTCTATTCCAAGGTACTTTATTTTTTGTTGTAGCTGTAGATACTATATTTGTATTGCTTTTCTAACTGTTCACCGTTGATATATAAAAATGTGACCAATATTTGCATAAATTGCTTTTATATTGAGTGTATAATTTGCTAGGGTTGCTATAACAGAATGCCACAGACTGGGTGGCTTAAAGAACAGAAATGTATCACAGTTCTAGAGACTCGAAGTTCAAGATCAAGGTGCCTCCAGGCTTGGTTTCCGGTGAAATCTTTATGTTTCTATTGCAGACAGCTTCCTTCCTGCTGTTTCCTCACAAGGCCTTTCCTCTGTGTGCACATGGAAGGAGGGAGATCTCTGGTGTCTTTTCCTCTTTTAATAAGGACACCAGTTCTATTGAATTAGGGCCCCACCCTTATGTCTTCATTTAACCTTAATAACTTCATTAAAGGCTGTATCTTCAAATACAGTTACATTGGGGGTTAGAGTTTCAACATATAAATTTGTGGGGGACTCAACTTAGTTCACAATATCTAGGAAACTTGCTAACCTCTGCCATTAATTCTGATAAATTTGTGCAGAGATTCTTAGGTTTTCCAGATGGATAAGAATATTATCTGTGAATAATGACACTCCCCTCTCTTCCTTTCCAATATTTATGCAGAGTCACTCCACAATCCATTTGTTCTGCCGTTCCTTTTTAGTCCCTACCTGAGGTTGATCTGTCACATTCAAGTGCTTCTTTGAAATACTGCTTTGATATTTCCACCCAGGAGAGAGGGTGAGTTTAAAGGATTTTCCCAAAGTCACATGGCTAGTGAGTGCTGTCAGGGGACTAAAACCCAAGATTGCTGCCTCACGGTTGGGATCACGGAAAGGAGCATGGTGGAGATCCTACTGCTGGGGAACTGAGTGGAGGGAAGGAGTTGCCTTTGATTCTTTTTTTTTCTCCTTGTGGCAGGCAGCTTCCACAATAGCCTCAGTGACCCCACCTACTGGTACCCATGCCCTTGTATAATCCCTTCCCCTTGAGAGTGGGCTGGATCTAGTGACTTACTTCTAACAAATAGAATATGGCAGAAGTAGTGGAATGTCACTTCTGAGATTAAATTATAAAAAAAGACTGTGGCTTTCATCTTGGATGTGGGTTCTCTCACTGTTTTGGGTTGCTTGCTGTAGGGGAAGCTTGCAACTGTGTTGTGGGTCACTCTATGGAGAGGCCCAGATGATGAGAACTGAGAGAGACCTCCAGCCAAGAGCCAGTGAGATGCAGAGACCTATGAGAGTAAGCTGACAAGCAGATATCCCTCCAGTTGAGCCTTCAGATGAGACAGCAGCCACAGCCATGCTCAATTTTCTGACCTATAGAAACTATGAAATAACACATGTTTATTGTTTTAAGCTGCTAACTTTTGGGAAATACCAGGTCAATATTATTCATGAACAGAAATGCAAAAATCCTAAACAAAATATTAGTGAACCAGATCCAGAAATGTATAAAAAAAGAAAATATATATAATTTAATCTACATCTAGTATTCCAGATATGCAAAGCAGAATCAACGTTAGGAAATATATTAGGAAAATTCAACATATTAACAACTTAAAGGAGACAAGCCATACGGTGATCTCAATATTTGCAGATAAAGCATTTGATTAAATTCAATTAATGGTAGAAATCCTTAGCAACTATGAAGGGAATTTCCTTAAGTTGATAAGGAGTATCTGCCAGAAATCTGTACCAAATACCCCACTCTATGGTGAAATGTTAAAATCTTTACCTTTAAATCAAAATAAGACAAACATTTCTGCTATCATTGCTTCTATTTAACATTTGCTGGAGGTTCTAGTCAATGTAGAAAGTAAGGGAAGAAAGAAAGGATGTAAATATTGGAAGGGAGGAAACAGGAGTATTGTTATTCACAGACGATATTCTTGTTCATCTGGAAAGCCTCAAAGAATCTCTGCACAAATTTATTAGAATTAACAAGTTCAGCAAGTTTGCTAGGTGTTATTGACTAAATTGTATGTGCCCAAAATGTGTATGTTGAAAAAACTAATATTTAATTTTAAGCTCATTAATATATAAGCAAATGTTACTGAATAAAATCTGACACACACTCAAAGGCAGTGGGACTGTGTGTGTAAATGTGTATGTGTTAGTCCATTCTCACATTGCTATAAAGAAATACCTAATACTAGGTAATTTATAAAGAAAAGAGGTTTAATTGGTTCACGGTTCTGCAGGCTGTCTGGGAAGCACAGTGGCTTCTGTTTCTGGGGAGGCCTCAGGAAACTTATAATCATGGTGGAAGGCAAAGGCGAAGCAGGCATGTCTTACGTGCCCAGAGAAGGAGGAAGTCACGGTGAGGGACTACACACTTTTAAACAACCAGATCTCCTGAGAACTCTATCACCAGAACAGCACTACGGGGATGGCGCTAAACCATTAGAAACCACCCGGATGATCCAATCACCTCCCACCAGGCCCCACCTCCAGCACTGTGGATTACAGCTGAACATGTGATTTGGGTAGGGACACAGATCCAAACCGTATCAGTGTGATTGTGCATAAATGTAAGTAAACCAAGGGAGTGAACTGAGGTCCCCAAGGGCCCAAGGTGCATGTGCAAAACAGAAAGAAAAATACTCAACTGGGATGAATCGAGGCTCTGAGCCTGATGGCGATGTGGGAATCTAGCCCCCCAGTACCCCCAGAAACCGTAAAGTGGGCACTGCATTTACACAGAATATAGAAGGGAAGCTTGCAGCTGTCTTGTGTATCTTTATGCCCATGGAATCCCAGCTGATACTGAGGTTTTTTTGGACGTCACAATGCTTCAGTGTTCAAAGAAAGTTGTTTTCAACGCCCTTTACAGTTTATTCCATATTCAACTTTTCTGAGGTGAGAAAGGAGATAGGTGTCTCTCAGCATGTCTTAAGAAGTCCTCTCCTTCCTGAGAAGGAGGGTTCAGGACCATAGAAGTTTTGGGGAATCACTTCTTCCCAAGGAGGAGCAAAGGAGCCTTCCAGTTGTCAGGGGAAACTGAGTTCCTGTTCCTGGTATTATCTCTCCTCCTTCTGGTTTTGGTGGTATGGGCAGTCTTAGGAGCCTCACTATCCCTTCTTCTGAGATAAGCTGGATGGGGTTGACAGCCATTGAGTGGGGCAGGGACACCTCCAACTTAGGGCCCACAGGCAAAGCTCTGGAAATCCCTGCCTGCTCTCCACTGGAAAACCGCAGTCCTGTGGTAGGAAGCCTCAGCCCGGGACCCAGAGAAAGGGTGATGCAATCCCAGTGGTTGCAAACATTCTTGGAACAACTCTGTTCCATCGGAGTCTGCAATTATGGCTGCTAGGGCTTTGTCTTAAGCTGTTCCAGGAGGTGGCCTGCCTTGGTAATTGCCCGGTTTTATCTCAAGCTACAGATCTGGAGCCTGAGCTCCCAGCCTTATGAAGTTACAACCAATGTGATACTTTTTCCATGTGCATGAAACAAGTCTGAAACATATACATATGTTTTATCTTCAGCTTGTGAACATGTAAAAACACCAGTGATTCCAAGAGTCATCTAAATGTATATTTTATTCACCCAGGTTTTGCAGGCAATCTTGGGTTCAGAGGGAGCTGTTTCTATATACTTGTCATGTCATGGGAACGTCTTCGGCACCATGGAGGGGTTTCCTTACCTCCGCCAGCCACACTGGTTGATGGTGGACACCACTGGGAGACAGCCACCTCTCCCCAGCAATGGCACAAGCATTCCACACGGGGTCCACTGAGCTGACTCGTAGTAGCCGCAGCATCCCCCTCTGGGCCAGGGCCTTATTATTTTTAATTCCTGCTAAACAATCTTGATGGATCCACAGATGTAGAACACAGGATCTGCAGGCCCCATCCATTAGGAATAAGGAGCAACCTTTAGGCCTGCTTCTGAGACCTCTCCTTGCTTCTCATTGGGAGAATCAGGTCATGCACTCATCTCTAGATCAGTCACTGGCAAGAAAAATTAGATAAACTCAACCAGCTCAGTCCCATCAGGATTTTCTCCTGACTTACCTCCATGGAGCACAGATACCAGGATGGGGAGACTGGATTTGACATTGGCAGCCAACAGAGTCTGCAGTGCCAATCAAGGCAGCCTGATCCAAAGGTGATGCTCTCATTCATTCATTCATTCATTCATCCACTTGCCAAACACATTCTAGGGCCAAGCTCTGTCCTAGGTGAGAAGCTACAACAGTGAACAAGGCATGATTCTTCCCTTTCAGGGGCAAGAGAGACAGACACATAAACCTTCCATTTCAAAGAGCAGGTGGGTGCTATAACCAGGATGAGCCTGGATGGTAGGGAAGCCCACCAGTGGGGCTTCCTGGGGAAAGACACTTCTAAGTGGAGACCTGGGAGTAAACAGGACTAAGAAAGCAGAAGGGCCCATCAGGGAGGACAGAATAGGGAGGAAGAGAGCAGAGTGTGAGCAGGCAGTGTGAGGGGTCAGGGTGGCCAGGCAGGCAGGGGGCCTCGAAGCCTGGCAAAGAAAGGGGAAAAGGGCTTTATCCTGAGCACAAAGGGATCCCAGAAGGGTTTTAAGCCAAGGAGGGATGTGTCAGAGAAGAAGGAATTCATTTCTCCAGGAAGGATGACGTGTCAGAGGCATTGAGTGGCATTTTTTCGGGACCTGAAAGATGAGCAGGAATTCCAAAGCCACATGGAAAGACCAAAGGCATCCCTAACTAAGGAGGTGGTGCTGGGAGCCACAGCAGGTGGTGCAGGGGAGCAGGCTGAAGAGGGACCCCTTGAGTAAGACTAACGATGGTTTTCAAGGTCATGGATGTTTTATTGGAGCCAAGGACTTCTTGACACCCTTTCATGAGTATGGCTGAGTGTAAAGAAACAAAGTTCCCTCCGTAATAGTTAATTCACCTTTGCACAGCACATAGAGTTTGCAGAGCACTTTTACAGGATTGCTTCAATAATCCTGCCAGGGGCCTGGGCAGAAAGGGTTATTCCCAGCCAGTTGACAGCAGGCTGAGATTCTGAGCAGTTCTGTGGTTACAGCCACCCAGCTGGTAAGTCCTAGAGTGACGATTTGCACATAGGTCTCCTGGAGGCTCATGGCCTTCTGCCGAACCACTTGGCCTCCCTGTGTCCACAAACAGAGGGCTTCCAAAAAAGGGGTCAATTGTGAAGCTATAGGGTGTTCCAGGCTACCCCGTCTGGGGAAGAGGGCCCTGGGGAGGGGACACAAATAAGCCAGGCAGAACCCTGGAACACAGCAGACCCCCAGAGTGGTTCCCCAGGGCAGAGGGCAGCTCGCAGCCCCAAAGCCACCGGGTGGAAGAGTGAGCACAGAGCCCTTGTCCAGCCCAGGTCGATGGACAGTGTCACGATCAGTGGAAAGGCCATGTCCATTCAACATTGTCTCCTGCCTTCCCATGGCTACCAAACCTCAGCTGGGAAAAAGGCCTCATTGGGGAAACTGAGGTAGGCTGCTGGGTTTCACATGTCATGGCACCTTTCCCACTGGAAGGTGTCGTCAAGCACCCACCTGCCAGTCACAGGCTCCAGCCATCACCAAGGAGAATGGGGAGAAGGAACATGAGGGCTTTCTCCGTGTGTGCCCAATATGAACTTTCTAGCCGAAATTATCTGCACCCCCCAACCACATGACAAATTCAATTCAATAACACTTAGCAAATATATATCTGGCACCAGAAGGTGCCACGCTTGGTGCCAAGCACCACTGGCAATGCAGAGCTTGGAGAGCTAGCGTCTTGCCCTCTAGAAGCTTCCAGCAGGAGAGACTGAGATAAACACACAACATTGCCCTGAGATGACCCTGCCATATGTCTAATTCTGCCACACGTCAAGACTGCAAGCTCCTAGGGGTAGGGACTGTGCCTTTACCCTCTGTATCTCCAGGCTTTGGCACGTGACAAGTGCTCCAGAAACATTTATTATACAAATAATACTGAAGTTAGGTAATTTAATTAAGAATTTTGCCCAGGGTCATAAAGCAAGTAAACCGTAGAACAAGCATTTGAATCCTCGGTGTATCTTTATTTCCCCTTCCTTTTCTCCCTCCTTTCCTCTTTCTCTTCCTCTTCACCACCCTCCTCGTTTGCCTCTCAGTTACCCCAAACAAGAAAGGAAGGTGTCCACCAGCAGACCCTAGAAGGCTTCTTCTCTGCTGACATGGTCCTAGGAACCATTCGTCCAGAGGCATCTGCAGAGGTTGCAGGGCCTGGTTGGGTACATGTTTTCTACCAACAGTTCCCAGAGTTCCAGACACCTGTTGGGGTCAGGGCCCTTAAACCAGGATGTGAATAAAACAGGCATCTCCAAATCTGCAGCTCCAGAGCCTTCTCAGAATGATTCCTGTGGACCCCAAGGCAGCACGGGGTGCAGAAAGGCCCTGAGTCTTGGGCCTCCACCCCCCATTCAGCTCTTACTAATGCCTGCCATTAGTAAGCTGCTGAGGTGGAACGCTTTGTGCCTGAGCCCCAGGATCTCACAGCCTCCACTAGAGGAAGCTGCAGGTCAGTCACCTGCCCCACTGAGCTTCAGCACCTTCATCTGTGAAACGGACAGAATGAGGCCTGGCCCGCGTACTTACCTCCAGAGAGGATTGCCCAGTGCAGGTGCTCAGTAGATCTTAGTGGAATGAATGAATGGATGAACAAATGAATGAATGGAGGAAATGAGCAACAGTAAATCCCATTGTACATAAGGGAAACATCAACCCTATATGCTCTTTCTGCCTCTCTCTGCCAAGGGCTCAGACTCTGCCATTACTGTAGCATCATCAGAGCTGAGTATGTTTACAGGTAACTGGAAACCAAGGCCCAGGCAAGCCCTTGCTTGTCTTCACAGTGTGCCACAGAACATAAGTTTTAAGGGGGTAATCAGATCGAAATCACCCAGGGGTGACTGGCCCCTGGTACAGTAACAGGGCATCCATAGATTTATCCACGTTCTTTTAGGATTCTAATCATGGCCTGGGCATTTTAGACCTTGGGCTGCTGAAGAAGCCCGTAGGGGCCTGGCAAAGATGGGGGCTGCTACCGAGTTTACTAACTTCATAATTCCATGACCTTAGCCCATTGCACAGGAAAGAAAACTGAGGTGAGAGAGATTATTGCAGAGGAGCCCCAGCTAAGGCAGGAAATGACTGCACTAGGTGTTCCGCCCAGATCTTCCCAAATGCCTGCAAAGCCAGGTAGGGACAGGGCAGGTGTCCTGGGGCCTCTTTAAGAAGTCTTCTTACACAGATGTCTTAACCTTGGCAAGCCTTGGTTTTCTCACTTACGTAATGGAAGGAAGAGCAATGATACATGCTCCTCCCAGGCTATGAGGAAGGTATAGTAATTATGAGGATGAGAGCACTTTATAAACTGTAAAGTCATATACATGTGCCTGTGTGTTACCAAGTCCATTACAATATCTCCCAAACTGCTCAGACATGTCCAAATACAACTCCTACTTTCCGCCTCAAAATTGATCCTACTGTATCTTCTCCCATCTTAATGAATGGCATGAATTTTTCAGGCCCAAACCCAGGAGTTATCCTTCATTTCCAACCCCCTATTTCCCTCTCCAGCCCAATCCACCAGCAAACCCTTGGAAATATCTGTCTAAACAGTTCATTTCGCACAACCTTTCCCTGCTTCCATCACTGTAGTCCAAGCCATTACCATCTCTACTCTGGAATCTATTTAAAAACAAAAAAAAAAAAGCTTTATTGTGATATAATTTGCATACAGTTCACCCACTTAAAGTGTACAGTTCATTCTATTTCTGTGAAGAATGTCATTGGTATTGACAGGGATTGCATTTTATCTACAGATAGGTTTGGGTAGTATGGACATTTTAACAATATTAATTCTTCCAATCCATGAACAAGGCATATCTTCCCATTTGTGTTCTCTTTAATTTCTTTCATGAATATTTTATAGTTTTCATTGTAGAAACCTTTCATCTCCTTGGTTAAATTTGTTCCTAGGTGATTTTTTTGCAGGTATTATAAATGAGATTGCTTTCTTGATTTCTTTTTCAGATAGTTCACTATTGGCATATAGAAACACTACTGACCTTCGTATGTGGATTTTATACCCTGCAAGTTTACTGAATTTGGTTATTAGTTCTGACAGTTTTTTTGGTGGCGTTTTTAGAGTTTTCTACATATAAGATCATGTCATCTGCAGACAGGAGCAATTTGACTTCTCCTTTTCAATTCCGGTGCTCTTTATTTCTTTCTCTTGACTAATGCCTCTGGCTAGGACATCCCCAGTTGTATGTTGGATAAAAGTGGTAAAAGTGGGCATTCTTGTCTTGTTCCAGATCTTAGAGGAAAATCTTTCAACTTTTACCCATTCAGTATGATGTTAGCTGTGGCCTTCATATGAAACCATAAAAGACCCCAAATACCCAAGCAATCTTCAGCAAAAAGGACAGTGCTGGAGGAATCACACTACCTGACTTCAAAATATGCTACAAAGATATAGCAACAAAAACAACATGGTATTGGGATAAAGGTAGACACATAGATCAACTGAACAGAATAGATAGTACGGAAATAAATCCACCCACTTACAGCCAACTGATTTTCAATACACACTGGGGAAAGAGCAATCTCTTCAATAAATGGTGCTGGGCACACTGGATATCCACACACAGAAGAATGCAATTAGACCTCTGTCTCTCACTATACACAAAAACCAACTCAAAAAGGATTAAAGACTTAAATGTAAGACATGAAACTATAAAACTGGAAGAAAACATGGGAAAAATCCTTCAAAACATTGGTCTGGGCAAGGATTTTTTAAATAAGATCTCAATAAAACAGGGAACAAACCCAAAAATGGACAAATAGGATTACATCAAACTAACAAGCTTCTGCACAACAAAGGAAACAAAAGAGTGAAGAGACAGTCCACAGAATGGGAGAAAATATTTGCAAACTATGCATCTGACAAAGGATTAATATCCAGAATATATAAGGAATGCAAAAAACTCAATAGCAAAAACAAACAAATAATTCTATTAAAAATGGGCAAAAGACCTGAATAGGCATTTCTCAAAAGAAGACATGCAAATAGTCAACAAGTATATTTTTAAAATCTCCAATATTATAAATCATTGAATAGGCATTTCTCAAAAGAAGACATACAAATTGCCAACAAATATATTTTTAAAATGTTCAACATTACAAATCATTGAATAGGCATTTCTCAAAAGAAGACATACAAATAGTCAACAAGTATATTTTTTAAATGTTCAACATTACAAATCATTGGGGACATGCAAATCAAAACCAAAATGAAATATCACCTCACACCTCCTGTCAGAGTGACTATTATCAAAAAGACAAGAAATAAATGCTGGTGAGGATGAAGAGAAGTGGAAACTCTTATACACCGGGAATATGAACTAGTACAGCCACTGTGGAAAACAGTATGGAAGTTCCTCAAAAAAAAAAAAAAAAAAATAGAACTATCATATGATCCAGCAATCCCATTGCTGGGCGTTTATCCAAAGAAAATGAAATCAGCATTTAGAAGAGCTATCTGCACTCCCCTGTTTATTACAGCACCATTGACAATAGGCATGATACGGAATCAACCTAAGTGTCTATCAATGATGAATGGATAAAGAAAACGTGGTATTTATACACAATGGAATATTACTCCGCCATAAAAATGAGAATGAAGCCCTATCATTTTCAGCACCATGGATGAATCTTAAAGACATTATGGAGGTCGAGATGGGTGGATAACTTGAGGTCAGGAGTTTGAGACCAGCTGGGACAACACAGTGAAACCCCGTCTCTACTAAAAATACAAAAAAAAAAAAAATTAGCTGGGCATGGTGGAGCATGCCTATAATCCCAGCTACTCAGGAAGCTTAGGCAGGAGAATCGCTTGAACCTGGGAGGCGGAGGTTGCAGTGAGCTGAGATCATGCCACTGCAATCCAGCCTGGGCAACAGAGTGAGACTCCATCTCAAAAAAATAAAATAAATAAAAATAAGTGAAATAAACCAGGCACACAAAGGCAAATACCACGTGATCTCACTTATTTGCAGGACTTTAAAAAGTTGATCTCATAGAAGTACAGAGTAGAACAATGGTTACCAGAGGCTGGGAAGGACAAGGGGAAGAGAGGGAGGTGGAGAGATTGGTCAGCAGATACAAAATCACAGATAGACAGGAGGAATAACTTCTGGTGTTCTATTGCACAGTAGGGCAACTATGGTTAATAATATTTATTGTATGTTTCAAAATAATTAGAAGAGAGGATTTTGAATGTTCTTGCCATAAAGAAATGATAAATGTTTTTAGTGTTGGATACACAAATTACCCTTATTTGATCATTACACAATGTAGACACATATGGAAACATCACTGTACCCCATAAATATGTACATTTATTATGTGTCAATCAAAAATGAAGTTAAAAAGTGTACATTCCAGTGGTTTCTAGTATAGTCACAGAGTGTACATATATCGCCATGATCTAAATTTAAAACATTTTCACCCAAAGAAAGAAACCCTCTCTACCCATTAGCAATCACTCCCCATTTCCCTCCCACCTCTACCAGCTCCAGGCAACCATAAATCTATTTTTAGTCTCTATAGATTTGTCTGTTCTGGGTATTCCATATGAATGGAATCACACAAGATGAAGTATTTTGTGACTGGCTTCTTTCACTTAACATAGTGTTTCCAAGGTTCACCCACATTGTTGCATGGATCGGTACTTTATTTCCTTTTGTTGCCTAATAATATTGCATTGTATGGATAGATCACTTTTTTTAATTCATTTATCAATTGATGGCCATTTGGGTTGTTTCCATTTTCTGGCTACTAGGAATAATGCTGCTGTGAACATTCGTTTACAGACTTTTGTGTGGATGTATGTTTTTACCTTTCTTGGGTTTATACCTAGGACTGGAATTGCTGGGTCACATGATAACTCTGTTTAGCCACTTGAGGAACCAACAGACTGTTTTCTGAAGTTGTTGTACCATTTTACATTCCCATCAGCAATGTATAACGAAGGTTCCGTCCTAGTAGTGTGAAGTAGTATCTCACTGTGGTTTTGATTTGCATTTCTCTGGTGAATTATGATATTGAGCATCTTTTCATATAATCATTGGCTACTATATATCTTCCTTGAAGAAATGTCTATTTACATCCTTGGTCTGTTTTTTAATTGGGTTTTGTCTTTTTATTGTAAGAGTTCTTTAAATATTCAGGATCCAAATGCTTGTCAAATCTATGGTTCGTAAATATTGTCTCCCGTTCTGTGGGTTGTGTTTTTTATTATTTTTTATTGTGTCCTTTGTAGTACAACGTTTTTAAATGTTTATAAACTTCCGTTTTTTTTTTTTCCTTAGGCCACTTGTGCTTTGGGCAGGATATCTAAGGAGCCTTTGACTAATCCAAGTTTACAATAACTTATTCATATATTTCTTAAGGTTTGTATAGTTTTCGCTGTTACATTTAGGCCTTTAATCCATTTTGTGTTAATTTTTTGATATGGTGTGAGGTAGGGGTCCAACTTCATTCTTTTGCATGTAGATATCTAGTTGTCCCACCCCCGTGTATTGAAGAGACTATTTTTTCTCCCATTGAATTATCTTGGCACCAATGTTGAAAATCAATTAACTGTAAATTTGAGGGTTTATTTCTGGACTGACACTTAATTCTATTCCTTTGATCTATATGTCTGTTCTTATGCCAGTGCCACTCTACCTTGATTACTGTAGCTTTGTAGTGAGTTTTGAAGTCAGGAAGTGTGAGTCTTCTAACTTAGTTCTTCCTGTTCAAGATTGTTTTGGCTATCCTGGACCCCTTGAATTTTCATATGAATTTTAGAATCAGCTTATCAATATCGTAAAAAATACCACCTTGGATTTTGATAGGGATTGCACAGAATCTGCAGACCAATTTTTGCAGTATTGTTATCTTAATAAAGTTAAGTCTTCCAATGAACATGGGATGTCTTTCCATTTATTTAAGTCTTCTTCAATGTCTTTCATTTCATTTTGCCATTTTCAGAGTATAAACTTCACATTTCTTTTGTTAAACTTATCCTTAAGTATTTTTTATTCTTTCTGATGCTATTATAAATAAAATTGTCTTTTAAATTTCATTTTCAAGTTGCTTATTGCTAATTGATTTTTGTATACTGATCTTTTACCCTGCAACCTGGCTGAACTTGTTTATTGGTCCTAATAAGTTTTCAGAGGATTAGTTGGGAGTTTTACATACAAGATCATGTCACTTGAAAATATAGATAATTTTAATTCTTCCTAATTGGAATGACTTTTATTTCATTTTCTTGCCTGATTGCCCTGACTAGAACCTCAGAATGCTGAATAGAATGGGCAAGAACAGAGATCCTTGTTTTATTTTTGATCTTATCAAGAGGGCATTCAATCTTTCACCATTAAGTATGACGTTGATTGCGGGTTTATCATAGTTCTTTATCAGGTTGAGGAAGTTCCCTACTATTTCTAGTTCCCTGAGAGTTTTTAATCATAAAATGGTGTTAGATTTTGTCAAACGTATTTTTTGCACTTACTAAGATAAACGTGTATTTTTTGTTCTTTATTCTATTTATAAGATGTGTTATATTAATTGACTTGGATATTGAATCAACCTTGCATTCCTGAGATAAATTTCACTTGGTTATGTTGTATAATCTTTTTAATATGTTGCTGGATCGAGTTAGCTATTATTTTATTGACGATTTTGCATTCATATTCATAAGAGATGTTGTTCTGTAGTTTTCTTTTCTTGTACTATCTTTGGTTTTGGTATCAGGGTAATACTAGCACCACAAAATGAGTTAGGAAGTGCTACCTCACCCCTCACCATTTTATAAAAGACTTTGTGAGGAATTGATATTAATTATTTAAATATTTGGCAGAGTTTGCATTCTGAGCTTGAGTATTCTTATGTTGTTGGGTGAAGTATTCTTTGCATGTTTGTTAGATTTTGTTGGTTTATAATGCTGTTCAAGCCTTTTATTTTCTTGTTTATCTTCTGTCTTGCGAAACTTCTACCTTATCAGGAACTGGAGTAAGGGTGATTGGGATCTTAGTAATATTGGCCTGCAGCCCCTGGGTTAGAGCTTCCACCCTACAAATTGGGGCTGGCTGTAGGACTTCCACCCTACGAACTGGGGAAGACAGCCCCAAACCTCTCAGCTGCTCTTGCCCGGAACACAGTCTGCAGCACGGAGCTGGAGGGGATGAGAAACGCTGGTGGTGGGCCCCTCCTGAGGGGGTGGCGGGTAGGGGTCCTGTACTCAACTGGAAGAGGAGAAGAGGGAGTGGATTGTGAATCAGTTGCCACAGATTTAGCAGATTAGTTTGAATAGATGTTTTCTTTCATTTGCTGTATGCCCTTAGGGCAATTATTAGAGATTTTAATAGCTGCTTTCAAATTTTTTTTTTCTTTTTTTTTACCAATTTTGGTTGTTTCACTTGAGAGAGGTCCTCCCAGCTCCTCACATTGCAATGTCAGCCACCATGCCCGGCCAGATCTGTCTTATTTCAAGAGGACAGAGGTTTCTGGAAGGTGGGAACCATGCCGTAATGCCCTCTCTCTCTCTCTTTCTCTCTCTGTGCCTCTCCCAGCACTTGTGTGACATGAAGCACACAGAGCTCCTCCATAAGGCCAGATGACCTCAATCATAAATCAGTGAATATCTCTGGGTCTCCCTGCAATTTAGACCCTTCACAACTGAGCACAAAAGAGAAAGAGAAAACCTATCTGTGCCTCAAGTTTCCAATCTGTTTCCTTTAAACCCACTGAAGTTTATATTATATAGGAGCCTCTTAAAGACAACAGCCTTCATCTCATTGAAATTGAGTCTGTAAATGCAAAACATTGTTTTAAATAATGAATTGGTATTTGAAATTCCTATATTTCAATATTCCTTTGATATTCCAAAATGAAATTTAAACTGCTGGGGTTTTCTGCATTCTTCGTCTTTCCTTTGATTTGGCTCAACTCGTTGCTTTGAATATGTTTGCTTTAATCACTGGACCATAGAGCAGGAGGGATGTGCATCTTGATGGGGGAGGGCTGGGGGTTCAGCCATCTGGGCCCAGAAAATGACTGCCTTATGCAAATCACTGGATCTTCCTGCTGGAACCCGGCTGCAGGGGATTTCCAGGCCCACAAGGAGGGGTGGACTCCCCTGGCTATACTCCAAGGGGGACACTTGAGCCCCTATCTTACAGTTCAAAGGCAGAAAAGGCAGCTGCAGCAGGGCCTTCAGCAGGTGCCAAACCAGGGACGAGTTCCCGGGACATCTGATGGGCATCTGATCTGCAACTCAGGTGGACCAAATGCCTGACCCAGGTTCTGAGGTGGGGAGATGGGGATGATATGAGTGGAATCTATCCTCATTAAGTTAGGCAGTTTCAGTCCTAAAGAAAGAGAAGGCATGATCTTCATGATCATGATGATGGTGGCAGTGACAATGTTGACGGTGTAATTAGAGTAATGATAATAGCTACAATGGCCCACAGTGATGAGGCACTTACCATATGTCAGGCACAGTGCTAAGTTCTGCAGGTGAACTGTTTTCTGAACTGTTTTGTTTTGCTCTCTAAACTGTCTCTATTTGCATTTTCCTAAAGCAGACTCAAAGAGAAGGACTAGGTGCAGTCAAGAGTGTCCCAGAAAGAGGAATAATGGATTGGGGAACAGAGAGGAGCTGGGCCAGTGAATGGTATGCTAATGAGCTGGTCACCTCTGTAGGCAATTGCAGCTCTATCTTGAGGGGGACCCTTTGGGAAACTATGTAAGGCAACTCAGAATTGTTCCATCCAAGGAAGGAGGAGGAGGCTGGTGCTTTTCCTCATTGGGTTCCATCCCCATTGATTAGGGGGTTACCACTAGTGATAGTAATTCCCCTGCAGTCCTGAATTGCAATTGCAGGCTGGGGACAAACCCCTATGGTGACCTGTGAGCCAGCGAACACCCTCTGTCAGAGCAGTAGATGGCCCAGGACCCTGAGAAAGAAAACTGTCCTCAGCTGGAATGGCCCACTGTGGCCACAGGTAAACTCGGAGACAGGCTAAGGAGATATGGGGCCAGACATCAATAGAAATTTCCACAACAATTTTTGCATAAGTATTTTTATGAACTCTATTTGCAGTAGAAGAAACTGAGGCTTAGAAAAATGGCCAGATGTTGTCCAAGTTTGTCCAGCTAGGAAATGTACCAAGAACCTCAACAAATATTTCCTCACCATCTGCGCTGTGTCTGACACAGGGGGGCAGATATGAATAAGACATAGTCCTTGTCCCCAGGGACATTATGCATGCAGGATGTCAAACACAAACCACTAGTCCTGAGTGACAAATGTCATCTAGAAATAAGCACAGAAGTTAAGGTAGGGGAAAGGGCCTTCTAACCCAGCCCAGAGGACCAGGAAAAGCTTCCTGGAAGAGGTGACATCTGTTTTGGGAGGGTGGCTTTTGCTTTATTTTATTTACATGTAAAGTGGTCCTATTTGTTAGGAAGAAATGAGAACAATCTGTATAAGTAAAATTAAGCTGGCACCACACCAGGTACCACCTGACTTGCCCATGAACCCTGTGGACCTTCCTGCAACCTCCCTGTCCTGAGCCATGGTAAACCTATTAGCCATCAGACCACAGAGAAGCCCAGCTCTCCACACGCCATGCTGGGCCCCTTCCCAATGTGGAGTCCAACTGCCATACATCCTTTATTTATTTATCTATCTATTTATTTATTTATTTATTTATTTATTTATTTTGACAGAGTTTCGCACTGTTGCCCAGGCTGGAGTGCAGTGGTGCGATCTTGGCTCACTACAAGCTCCACCTCCCGGGTTCACGCCATTCTCCTGCCTCAGCCTCCCAAGTAGCTGGGACTACAGGTGCCCGCCACCATGTCCAGCTAATTTTTTTTGTATTTTTAGTAGAGACGTGGTTTCACTGTGTTAGCCAGGATGGTCTCGATCTCCTGACCTCATGATCCACCTGCCTCAGCCTCCCAAAGTGCTGGGATTACAGGCGTGAGCCACCGCACCCGGCCCCAGCTGCCATACTTCTAAGCACGGGTTACTCTCAGAGGGACACTTGCAGCCTGACGGGCATCATTAAGGGAAGCTGGCACAAGCTCTGCCTTGAGTCAGGGAGGGGTAAAGAGGGTTGGCCTCCCAGCCTCACTTGTGGAAAGGGGAGGCCCCTTGGCTCCCCCTACAATGCCACTGATAGTTGTGAAGAAGGCTCACTCCAGAGCCTGCAGGAAGAAAGAGTGGGGATTTGGAAAGGGGGGGCCTTGAGTTCTAATCCTGGCTTCACCATTTCTCTAGTGACGAAACTTTCTTCTCATCAAGCCTGACCACTCCTGAGCTCCCACTCCACCCCAGATGACTTCAAGGCCTGGCACCCCTGCCCCAACTCCCCATGGTATTGCTCCAGGTGCCTTTAGGTGCAAGGAATAGAGGCTGAACACCAGTTAATCTGGGCAAAAGGAGGGCTATTGGTGCGCACAGGGGAGTCCAAGAATGGCCACCCTCTAGGCACAGCTGACTTAGGAGCACCAGTGTCAAAGAAGTGTATCCCACCTCACACAGGGCCCCAACAGCTCTGGACTCACCATCCCCCAGTACAGCCAAGGGAATGGTCTCCTTCTGGAAAGTTCCAGCCACAGGCAAAACAGCATTCCCATTGGCCAAGCTGGCTCACATGCCATCTCCACACTGTGGTCATGGCCAGAGGAAGCCGGCCTTTGTTTGGCCTGGTCTGAATCACTTCCCAGGGCCCAGGGTGGGGTCAGCCTTGGATGAACCCTGTGAACTGAGCCCAGGGAAAGGGCAGCTCCCCAGAAGAAATTCGGGCTACTGATACCAGGAGGAGGACAAGTGAGAGCTGGGTTAGAAGGAGGAAGCTGCCGCTCCACATGTAAAATGGTGGTGTTTTCAGGGAAGGACACTGTAGGACTGTGAGTCAGAGTTCTCCAGAGAAACAGAACCAATAGGATATAGATAGATAGAGAGATATGTAAGAGGGCATTTGTTATGCGAATTGGCTTATGCAATTATGGAGGCAGAGAAGTCTCACCATCTGTAGTTGGCAAGGTGGAGACCCAGGAAAGTGGTGATGTCCATGGAGTCCAAGGCCAAAGGCCTGAGAACTGAGGGTGGGGAGCACTGAGGTAAGTCCCGAAGTCCGAAGGCCAAAGAGCCAGGAGTTGTCTGAGGGCGGGAGAAGATAGATATCACAGCTGAAGATGAGAGAGAGAGAGAGAGAGAGAGAGAGAGAGAGAAAGGATTGGCTCTTCCTCCATCTTTTTGTTCTATCTGGCCCTCAATGGATCAGGGATGCCCACCACATTGGCGAGGGCAGATCTTCCTTATTCTAAGGATTCAAATACTAACCTCTTCCAAAAACGCATAGGCTCACCCAAAACAATGTTTCACCAGCCCTCTGGGCACCCCTTATCCCAGTAACATGCAGTGAATACTCATTGTTGTGTTTTAGTGAATGCTGCAGGGTCTAGGTGTTCGCAGAGATCAGCTAGCGGCTGACAAAGTACAACTCCACACCAAGTTCAACTTAAGTGCAGAGCCCAGGAGGGGACTGCCCAGATTAAACACCATAGACGCCCATCGTCACTCTTCCCTGCAGAAGAAAAGAATGTGAGAGTGAGTGGAGGGGGGTGTGTGTGAGTGTGTGGGTCTGAGTGTTTGTGGAAATTCATATGGGGACTTGGTAATACATGGCACTGAATGTGAGCTTGTGTGCCTGTGGGTGTGTAGGTGTGTTTGAACGGCTGGGTGTGGGGTAAGTGTGGGTATGTAAGTGTCTGGAAAGAAGGGTGCACTTGGGAGGGTAGCCTGGAGTGATTATGGGTGCACACAGAGTGAGTGGGGTCTGGCTAGCCAGGAGGACACACACAAGCCAGGTGCCAGCAAGTGGAGCTACCGTGGGGATCAACAAGTTCCACAAAATGCCCCCTTGTTAAACATGCAAGACCAGCCATGCCACCCAAGGTTACGCTAGGGCTAAGGGGCTCAAGGACAGAGCTGTGACCTGATTTAGGGAAGTGCCTGCCTGCCCCTGCCTTGTCCCCTGGGACTGGTCAGCGTCCCAGAATGGGAAATGGGTCCTCACTCATCCCAAAGAGGAAGCCTGGGGGAAGAGCATCTCTCGGGTTATGGCCCCAGGATCCCCGTGCCAATTTCCACTACCACTTTCCTAAGCCGAAATCCCCCCCTTTTCCACTGGGGGTTTCAGCCTCTGCCCAAAAGACCAGCTCCAGCCTAAATCCCCTAAATCCCACCCCCTAACCCCCGAACTGCAGACTCATCTTTTGCTTCTCTTTAAGCAGCACCTACCATGCTCCTGGGCTCCTCGTTTACAGGAGGGGGAAAAAAATCAAGCAACCATTCTAGGAAAGGGGTTTGGTCCACCTGGGCCAGGGTTCTAGAAGCCTGTGGCCTCCAGATGCTTTAGGAACAAGGAGTACGCATGGAGTAGGGCCAGGGGGACATTGCCCATGAGGGACGTGGGGGTCAGGATATGTGGCAGGGCATCGAGAGGGTAGAGGGATGCTGGTGGCGGGGGAATGGTGTCCAGAGACCACCCCACCCGGCATCCACGTTGAACTGCTTCTCATAGCCCCGGGCCTGCACCCTCCAGGTGGGAGTGACGGAGAGAATGTGCAGACATTGTGCTGTCAGTTGGTCTGATCATCCTGCCTGGCTCAAAACCCAAAAGGACTTGGGGCAGCATGAAAAGACACATAAAATGCAATATGAAAATGACAGGACGAAACCAGGGGAAACAAGGGCAGGAGGAACAAGTTGAAGCACGCCAACAATCATGAGGCAAGGCCCCCAAAACCCTGGTCCTGGGGGATCAGGCTTGGAATAGTCAAGCAGCCAACGTGTCTCAAAAGTCACTCCCCTAAGAACCACAGCATGGAAAACAGATGGGAATGGGCTGCTCCGGCCCTGGCTCCCCTCCCCCATGGCTGCTTGGCAAGAGTCCCACTGCTTGGGTACTCACAGGACATACGGCCAGGCACCAACCAGCGTCCTTATACCATCCCAAGAACCACGTCCAGGGTCACTTCCCTGTCCTGTGAGACCCCCTGCACTGGACATCGGGCACGTGCTGCCTCCTTTAATTCTCTTCATCCCATGAGATGAGCCCTGTGGTCATTCCCACGTCCCAGAGAAGGACACAAACAGTGACAGCCCAAGACTCAGACCCACACCTGGCACTACCATCCTATCATATCATCTCTCACCTCTCCGAAGGGCTGCCCTTGGGCAAAGGGAGGGACAGGTCCAGTGTATCCCCAACCCTAGATCGGAGACCTGGAGGGCCAGCATTACAGGCAGCTATGCTCACACATTGGACCCACCCACAGATGCACCGGTGTCCTTGGCAGGTGGTGAGTTGCTTGTCACCCAGGGTGTCCAACACTCCTGACCTGGAGCAGCACAGGGAAGGGGAGGCCAGAAGGCCAGATGGCTCCCACCTACCCTGAAACCCGTGCTTTCACAGCCCAGAGAACTCCCACTCCCGCCTGCCCACTCCTGTGCTCTGCGCTAGTGTTGAACTGAGTGTGGAGTCATGTTTTGTCAGCCACCAGCCAATCTCTGACAACACCTAGACCCGGCACCATTCATTAAAACACAGCAATGACTATTCACTATAAGGGGAAAGGGTGGGAGGGAATCAGTTTCCTTTGACTACTTACTTGCCTTACAGTGGACATCTTTCTTTTATATCCTTTCCATACTCTACGAGTTATTGACGTGAATTCTTTCTCATTTAGTGGTTTGCGTTGTCAGAGGGTAAAATCTGATGTGTAGCAAATGTCTCTGAGTTCACCAGTAATAACCCCTCAAGAGACCATGCTGAGGAAGTTATATGCTACCAAATAATAAAATATCCCCATCTACTTTCAGAAGCTTTGGACAGCAAAGAGAGACCGCCAGGACTCGGAAAACCTTCAGACAGATTCTGTCTGGCTTGTCCAGCCTTATTCACAGTGACTCCATACATCACAGAAGGGGTTGGCAGGGCAGGGAAGCCAGGCACAGCCAGATTTCCTCCATGTAAAATCCCATCAACTGAAAGATTTAACAACAGTGTTTGGAAGGGGGAGGGGGCGAGCAAAAAAACTCCACAATGCCAAACATACACGAAGATGGAAGACGTATCTGCACCAGCAAAATGGTAAAAAGTGGAGGGAAGAGAAAGAACACCCATTTGTATGAAGAAAATATGGCAGATTCCTGCCCCTTGAGACCTGCAAAGTCATCATTTCCAGCCCTCTCTCTGGGGTCATGCTTTTTAAAGCTCCAAAGATCAACATGTAGTATGAATCACCCACTCTAAAAAAGAAAGAATACTCCAGTTCCAACAAATCTAAGGGCCCTGGACAGCTAGCTCAGCACGAACCACAGTGCTCCGGGCTAGACACAATCCAGTCTGTCCTCTGAGCCCCCTGCACTGCCACCCACCTCACAGAGCATCCCCATAGCCATCCAGCACTGTCCACATGTCCCTGGATGAGAGGACTCTCAAGGAAAGGCAGGAAATTAACAAGCCTACAGGGAGCACAGGCCCCGTGTCAGCACTTTGCCAGACGGTGTCATGACAAGACTGAATGAGACCCAATCCCTGCCCTCAGTGAGAGGAGATGAAAAGACGATTGTAACTTGCTGAGTGCCTTTGTACCAGCCACTGAGCTGGGTGTCATGTATGTGATGTCCCATTTGATCCTGGCATCAGCTGCACTGAATAATGATTATCCCCATTCTACAAATGGGGAAATAAAGGCTGGGTGAAACTAAGTTACTGCTCCAAGCACGGGCAGCCAATAAATGGTGGAGCCAGAATATGAACTCTGCCCTCTCTCCAGGGCCCGTCCATGCTACTTCTGCCACCCCAGGCACCCCTTTCCCCACAACCCAGAGAGACATCAGCAGGCACTGGACAAGTACTCCACTCTCACACACACCCCAGCCCTCAGCACTCCCACCACATACTGCCCACACACTTCCACCTCCTGGACGCCAACCCCTCCAACATGTCCAATCTGTCCACTTCTCTTAATTTCCACTGATGAGATCTTAGACAGGCCCCCATGGTCATGGTCATAGGAGACCACCATGACCTCCAAATAGCTCTGAGCTTCCATTCTCACCCACGAAGGTCACGTCTCCACACAACAGTCAGTTCAGTCTTTGTAAAACCCAAACCTGAAAATGCCGCCCCTCTGTTAAAAATGCTCTAATGGATTCTTCTTGCCCTGGAGAAAAAATGTTCCTCCTAGGACCCGAATGATCTGCTCACCTCTCTGGCTGTCCTCGCCTTGGACCACTGAATAGCCTCGACATTTCTGCCTTCTGTTCATTCTTTCAATCCGTGCGCCTTTGTCCAACCTCAGAGCCCTCACACATGCTGTTCCTGGAATACCATTCCCCTCCACGAGTCAATGACACTTCATCTTCTTCCCTTCCTTGGACAAGGCTGCAGCAATCATCCCATCCAAAGTTTCATTCTCTCCCAGAACCCTGCTCTTTTTCCTTAAAGTTATATATGTTTTCCTGTTTATTTATTAAATATCTGTCCCCTCCACTAAGACATAAGCTCAAAGACATCTAGAACTGGATCTGTTTTGCTCACCGTTGTGTTGTTCATGGTGCAGCATTGATGCAAAATAAATATCTTGAGTGAATGCATGAATTAATGAATAGGAACAGCATTGCTACTCACCGTGGTGTTTCCTCTGCTAACTAGCTAGGAGTCGTTCCTTATCCCTGTGTCTCAGGCAGCCACTCCCAAATCAATGGAGCTGACAAGTTTGATGTAATTCAGGTCAAACAAACTGGTATATCTATACCGTGGACTACTACTCAATAAGAAGGAACAAACTATTGATGCATCCAACAGTTTGGACGAATGTCAAGGGAATTATGCTAAGTGAAAAAAGCCACTCTCAAAAGGTTACATACCGCATGACTCCGTTTATATAACATAGTCAAAATGACCAGATCACAGAGATGGAGAGGAGATAATTAGGCCTGTGGGGGCAGGTGTGACTGTAAAAGGAACACAGTAGGGAGTGTTCTTCTCATGACAGAACATTCTGTATCTTGATTGTGATGCTGGTTACATGACTCTATAGGTGGGATAAAATGCCATAGAGCCATACACAAAGACATACAGAAAAATAAAACCACATGAATGTGCATAATAACTGGTGAAATCCAAGTACAGTGTGTAGTCTGGTTAATTACATTGTGAAGAATGATGTCTGGTTTTGATGAAGCACTAGAGTTATATAAGATGTGTGAAGGGTGCACATGACACTTTGTACTGTTTTTGCAATTTCTTGTGAGTCTATAATTATTTCAAAAGAGACAGAAAAAGAAAAGGAAGATGGAATCCATGTGCCACCTCAGGGTCAGACTCTCTGTCCCCATCTGCCCTACTTCATGAGTTCCCATGAGTTCCCAGGCAATTTCTGCTCCTCCCACTGCAGTGCCCCTCAGTACCTGCCCCAGATGGCTACTTCTCAGCCAGGACACCTACAAATGACACAGAGCCATGGACCAGTCCCACTGTTCCCATGGACAGAAGAGACGGGTACCCACGGCCACACCTCTGTGGTGTGGTTGGGTAATGCACACGTACAAGTTAGGCACCCACGCCTGGTGCCTCATTTTGCACCAGATTCTGAGGGAGGGTCCAGTACGTTTTCATGTATCAGCCTCTAACCAGTTGTTACACCCAGGCTGGGGCCCTCTCTCTACATCTTAAAGGAGGCATTGGCAGAGATGGCCAGATGAGAAGCCCACGCTGGAAATCTTCTGTACACTCATCCTCATAAACCCAGAGATGGGCAATCTTTAATTGAACCAAAGAGGCCAAACCTTTCATCTATCAACTGTGCCGTTGGCCACAGGCAGAAAAGATGCTGGTTTTAGTTAAGAGTAGAAACTGTGCCAATGATCGCTGTATTAGACCTAAGATAGATGCACGAGGAAGCCTGCTGGGGTTTGTGGCTTGAGGATGAGATGGCAAGTCTGGTTTGAGCTCAGTCCAGACTCTGGTAGGAAAAAGCAAGAAAAAGAAAACAATTTCCAACTTGCGGCCACACAGCAAGCAGCAACTGCGTTTACTCCAAGACGAGACTGCAAGCGCAGTGTTGTCTTAACCCTTGGCTAGACCCTGTGCCTTGACTGTCCGCACAGGCAAAAGGCTGGCAGAGACCAGCGAGTGTCTCAGGTGAACTGGGTAACTGGATTGGCCTGGTATAGAGGAATGTGCCCTGGATGAGAGACCATGGGATACTAGTCTTGGCTCTGCCCCCTGATTCACCGTATGCCCTGAGCGAGACCCTTTCCTTCTCTGGGTCTCAGTTTCCCCGTTTTCAAAGTGCACTGACTTCTGAGGTATTCGTCCGATGTAAATGTTTACCCAACCAGGATTCTTCAGCCACAGCCCTGTGGGCACTGTGGGCACTTTGCGCCTGGGGAATCTCTGATGGGGGCCGCCCCGGGCACTGTGAGACAACTAGCAGCATCCCTGACCTCTACCCACTGGTGGATGAGCAGTGTCTCTCCCCATCCCACAGTGTGATTACCAAAAAAGATCTCCAGATACAGCCAAATGTCCCCTGGGGGGTAAAATTGCCCTGCCCTAGACTCACGGACCCTCCAGCCAAGGAGGAGGGAGGAGGCCCTGAGGACTCCTGCCTGCCGGAGGAAGCCATACACCTTCCCCCGAGACTCTGGCCCCCAGCTCTTCTCTGGCTCCCAGCTCTGCTCTGGCCCCTCCTACGACAGGGGCCCCCTCCAGGACAGCACTCTTTATTCCAAATCTCTCAAGTTCCCTTTGGATTGAGCTGCAGCGTTCTTCACTGTTTGAAACCATCTAGAACCAGCCTAGGCTCTCCCTGTGTCCCAGGCCACTGGCTCTCTGAAGACAACCCTTATCTTCTCCACTGCGCCCCTGGGGGAGGGCAGGTGCATGCCACTGGGAGGAGGGCGGGATCGGGGAAGCAGGGCACCCACAGGCTCTGGGAAGGGGAGGCCTCCCCACAACTCCCTGCCTTGCGGCAGGTTCTGCTGCCTCCTGCTGAGTTCATGCCGGTGGGCTCAGCGTCCTCACCTGCCGGTTGCCTGCCCCGCCCTCCACACATGCTGTGAGGCCCCAGAAATAAGAAGCCGAAAACACTGTACAAACAGTCCGATCCCTTCAGGGCGGTTCTTCTCCCCGGGCTTTGGATTGCACCTAAAATCCCCTGATCCAGAATAAGAAGTAGGCAACCCAGGAAGTCCTTTATCTGCAGGAAGCAGCCCATATCAGAGGGGTCCTTCGTGAGCCCAAGGCCCTGTCCCTGCCCATGCCTGGCATTCACTGTCATCCGGCAGGGAGCATCCACTGTGTCCTTTCATCTCGGTGATTCTCCGTCTTCCCCGTCAGGTCAGTGCTAGTCCCATGAGGCAAGCTCCTTGCCTTGTTCACACTGTCTCCCCAGCACCCTGACAACATGTCCCCTGAGAGACGTGTAGTACCCTTTTGTGACAAGAGTACACAAAACAGAACTCCTTGTGGCAAACAAGGAATCCGCCTTTCACCACGGGGAGTGGTCCAGGGGAAGCAACAAAGTTAGAACAAAGGCCCCATGGTGTGTGGCTTGGAGAAGCCCAGTGGGCTGTGTCCTGAGGATCGGGGTCAAACAGAGCAGCCATTCGGAGTCCTGATGATGTGGGCTCGCCACACATCATCAGGGGGCAGGAGGAGGAGACGGATCAATGCTAATGGCAGCAGTGAACCTGGGGGCACCCAGCCTCTCTTCCTGAGACGTGCTGATGTATTTATCAACTGCTATGACCACGTAAATTAATGTTAGTCAATACAGAAATACGAATTCGAAAGATATTTAGTTTGTTCTAATGTGTGTGGTATAGAAACTAGGTGATATTAACTGTAGTGGAAATGGCTCAGGAAACCCTTTTAGCAATTACCCAGTGGAGGGCTGTTTTCAGCAATTGTTGGGTGATCCTTCGACATGGCTGTTCCTAACTGATGCTCCTCTCTGAGCCATGATTTGACAGGAATCCCCAACTCTTCCAGCGGCCTGCCCTGTGAGAGCCACAAGGACCTGGGCCCCACCCCTGTGCTGTGGCCAGCAGGTGGATGGCAGCACTGCTCCTGCCCACCTGGACACACGTGCGAGGCCGTCTGACTCCCCTCATACCCCTGACCCCATCCCTACTGCTGCCCCACACTCCAGCCCCAGCCCCCCTGCCTATGCTGCCTCCCGGCCTCTGCCTCGGCCCTTCTTTCTGCCTGGAGTCCTCTTTCCTCGAGTGTTTACGTGAATGGGGCCCCCAGCTTTTCTGGGTTTTCTGCGCAGGTCTGTTCAACCTTCCCTGGCCACCCTTTCTAAAACCTTAGCACCTCCACTGCGGACACCCCATCCCTCTCCTCGGCCCTATCTTCTCCTTAGTGCTTATTCCAGCTGCATCCCACAGACTGAGTGAGTGAGTGAAGAACGCAGGCCGGGAGACTCCTTTGGGGACCCCAAAGGGACTCCGTGGAGTGCCCCCGGCCCCCAGGAGAACGCTGTTCTCCAAGAACTCTTAAGTCCACCGTAAGGAAAATGTAACAGGATTTTAAAAGGCAAGGGGAAAGACGCAGGAAGGGAGCTTTCCTGAGTGCTGGAATTTTCTACTATTTCAGCCATTTTTCACAAGAACCTATGAGACAGGTGTTTTCACTCCCACACCAGAGAGGTGAAAAACCAAGCCCTGGAGAGCTTAAGCTCAAGGTCCCCGGCTCCTTAACGCAGAGCCAGGGCAACCTCAGGTGCGCCCCACTCTGAAGTCCTGCCGTCTCTCAGACCCAGCCTCCACATCTAGGAAGCAGCAAAAGCGCAGAACAGAAGCCAAACTATCCCAGGGTGTGAGCCTTCTTCTCATCCGTGTCCCACCCAGTGGTCCCAAAGGTCCAGATCTCAGAGCTCTGGAGAGCAGGGACCTGATACTCTGAGGCTGCGGGGCCTGTGTCCCCCACCGACAGGAGCCAAAGGCCCATGCCCTGCCTGGGTTCCACACCCCCGGCCTGGGTTCCACCCCCGAAGCTGTCCGCTCCCATCAGGACGGGGCCTCTGACGTACAAAACCCAGGCCCTGCCTTGGACTGGTTTCGGGTTTCTACAACACAGTAAATCAGCGTGTTTTTATTTCTCCATCTGTAAACATCTCTCCATCTAATACGGTAACTGCTGTTTATACAGAGCTATAAAAACAGAGGTCAGAGCACAGTAAGATTATAGTCTTACTTCAATACATCCAATCCATAATAAAATACAATCTCACAAACGATCCAGAGGACCCGTTTAGGGGTTCCTTAAGAATTCATGTCTGTCATATGTAAGGATTCTATTCTATAATATTTTCCACAGCTGTCAGGACCCATTTAAAAGGCAATATCCTTTTGCTGGCATTTGATTTAGGCTCTGTTTATACCACGTGGAGGATTGTTAATTCTGCGATGTCTGACTCAGGGGTGTTTGATTACATGGAGGCCACCACCAACAGGGTGACACATGATGTAGTGTGAGACCGGGGAGCGGGGCTGCAGCCAGGCCCCTGTCCTGATGAGGTGCGTCTGCAGGGATGGGACTCAGCGGCGGGGAAATGAGACGCTCTGTTTTCCAGGCAGCCTGGGCTGGTGGCAGGAAGAGCTCTGGCGAGAGATGAATAGGACTTGGCCCAGCCATGCGCTCGGTGACGGGCGTGAGAGTTCATTTGCTGCTTGAAGATTTAGTTCCCAATTAATAAGTGGAGAGCCAGCCTGGTGCCTCAGGAGGTGTTCCGGGCTGAACTGTGTCCGCCACCCCCGCCCCAGCCCCCACCTTCTCCAAAAAGTCTATGTTAGGGTCCTAACCTCGGCACCTCCAAATGTGACTGTGTTTGGGGATGGGGCCTTCAAAGAGGTGATTAAAGTAAAATGAGCTCATACGGTCGGGTCATAATCCAATCTGACTGGTGTCCTTCTAAGAGGAGATTAAGACACAGACACGCGCAGAGGGAAGACCACGTGAAGATGGGGGAAGACAGCTGTCTGCAAGTCAAAGAGAGAGGCCTCAGAGGAAACCAGCCCTGCTGACACCTTGGTCTTGGACTTCTAGCTCCTGTATTGTGAGAAACACATTTCTGTTGTTTAAGTGCCCTAGTCTAGGATGCTTGGTGCTGACAGCCCTGGATAACTAACACTAAAGGGTCTTGGGCGGTTCCAGGATCCATGGACACTGCTCAGCCTTGTTTGACTATGTTTTTGTCATTAGAAGCAGCGCTGTCTGCGGGAAGGTGCCTTTCCTGCCCAGACTACTGAAGGAGACTGCCAGTACAAGAGGCTTTCACTCCCCTTGAGGGTGAAACCTTTGACCCTGCTGTCTTCCCTCCCTTGATGATCTCATTCCATCCCACACCCACTGAGGACCCCGAAATGTTTTACCCCAGCCCAGCCCTCTCCCCCAGCCTCAGAGCAAACATCCCACTGCTTGCTTCACAGGCCTTCCTGCGTGCCTACAAGTCCTTCCCACCCAGGGTGGCCAAAACCCCAATCCCGAGCACCCTGCAAACCTCCTCCCTTTAGTGGCTGTCACCATTTCAGAAATGGCACATTTCATTGCTTGGGCCAAATACCTGGAAGTTCTCCCACACTCCTCTCTTTCCACCACAACCACTCCCAGTTCATTGGCACCACCATCCCGTCAGCTCCCCTTCACCACATGTCCAGAATCCAGCCACTTTCTGCCCCCTCCAAGGCACCATCCTCATACAGCCATCATCATCTGCCACCTCCTAACCCCTCACTGGACTGTGATGCTTTCCTGTTGCTGCTATAACAAGTTAGCACAAACTTGGTGGCTTAGAACAGCACACATGTATTCTCTTACGGCTCTGGCGGTCAGCAGTCCAGCATGGGTCTCCCGGGTCTGTATGTAGGGTGTCGGTAGGGCTGGTTCCTTCTGGAGGCTCCGAGGGAAATCCATTCCCTTGCTTCCTCCAGCTTCTAGAGGCTGCCCACACTTGTGGCTCCTGGCCCCTTCTTCCACCGGCAAAGCCTACTGCGTGCACCCTCCTCCTGGGTTGTCAAATCCTTTCCATGGACTCTGCTTCCACTCCGGGCCCCTCTGCAATGTCTTCACCACTCACCTGCCTGCATGCTCCTTTTAAAATGCAAATCAGGTCTGGTCCCAATGGAGAGAGCCTCCTGGTGGCCTAAAGACCCCTGGTGCTCTAACCCCTGAGAGCTGTCACCTCTCCTGCCATTCACTCCTCAAAAACCCACTTCTCCTCACACTGGCCTTCCAGTTCTTTCTGGAACATGCCAAACATGCTCCACCCCGAGGGCCTTTCCCTTACTGTCCCTCTGCACACTTTCCCCAGAAACTAGTTCCCTGCAGGAGTCTGCCGAAAAGCCCCTTAGTCAGAGAGTTCCTCCCTGACCACACCACCTAAATTACAACCCAATCCTCCATCTGCAGCTCCCTCCATCTCTCCATCCTCTTCCATTGCTGCATTTTTCTGCATGGCATTTATCATTGTCTGATGTATACTTATTTGCTGATATTCTGTCTTCCCCACAAGGATGTAAGCTCTGTGGGAACAAGATGTGGTCCATCTTTTTCCCACTGCGTCCCCAGCTCTGGCTGGCACAGGGGGACATATACACATAGATGTGGTTGAATAGGCAGATGTGCATTTTGATTGATCAGTGGTTGAGGTTGAGACCTGAAAAAAGTCATTCCTGTGGTTCTTGAACCAGAAAATGTTTGAGTTAGAAGGCACTTCAGGATTGCCTTGTCCCACATAATCCATACAGGAGCTCCCTTGGGGTTCCGCCCAGCAGAGGGTCCATCTGCCCCCAGGTTCAAGAGCTGAGCTTCCCCCACTGCTCTAGGATGCCCTAGAAGGCATCTCATCTTTTGAGTTCTTGGATTCCAGTGAAGAGTCTGATATAGATTGGGTTGCATAGATGGATGGATGAGGATGTAGAAGGATATATTGGTGAAAGTAAAATAAAATGGATGGATGGATGGATGGATGGATGGATGGAAAAATGGATGGGTAAATGGATGAATAGATGAAAGAAAAATGAGTGTATGGATGGAAGGAAGAAAGAAAAGATGATGAATAGATGGATAGGTGGATAGAAAATGAATAGATAGGTGGAAAAATGGAAGGAAAAGGGAAGGAAGGAAAGAAAAGGGAAGGAAGGAAGAAAAATGGATGGATGGATGGAAGGATAGATGGAAGGGAGGATGGAATAAAGGAAGGAAGAAAAGATGATGGACAGATGGATGAGTGAAAACAGATAAATGGGTGGAAGGAAAATGGATGGAAGGAAGAAGGAAGGGAAGGAAGGAAGGAAAGAAGAAGGAAGGAAGGAAGGAAAGAAGAAGGAAGGAAGGAAGGAAAGAGAGAGGGAAGGAGGGAGGGAAGAAAGAAAATGTAGATGGGGGCAGATGGATGGATGAAAATCAGTGACATGGAGCTCATCCCATTCCAAGGCAGCCTGTGGTCACTGGAGGGAACTGGCAGACAAAAAGCCCTTCTTGGAGCTGCACTGATATGCATTTCCCTGTATTACAGAATTAGTTTGCCCAAGAACTTCCTTCTTTTCTTTTTCCATAGGTTTGCAGGCAGGAGAAAAGAGTGACAAAGTTTTTTCTTCCTCCTCTGTTCTATGCTCCCCGCTGATACCTCTGGTAGAGCATTCACCTACTGGGCTGTAGCCTGTTGGGTGCATTTTCCCCCTAATACCACAGGCTCTCAATTTCCAGCACAAAGCTCAGGACACCAGGAAACATCTGGTGATGGAAGGCTGAGGTCATAAAGGACAGCAATATCCCAGCCCACAGCAGGGTCCCCACACCTGCTGTACTGCATTCACTCGGTAGTGACTCCATTTCAAAAGGGGCCTCTCATGGGGTGGCCATGAGGAGCTGGAGCTTGTGAGCCCCTTAAAATGAAGGCAAAGTCATATACTTCACGTCTGCCCATTGCAAGAGTTCATCAAGAAAGACAGCACTGGTGTGTATTAAAAAACCACAATGTATTAAGTACCCGGCTCATATTTTCAACCATTTAACTCCCAGAACAAACCAGCATCACCACCCCCATTCTGTGGATAGGGGAAATGGAAGCTAAGTTGAAACTGGTTTGCCCACAGCCACATAACTAGTTCATGGTGGAGCAAGACTTGAACCCAGGTCTCCTGCCTGGCTCTGTCTCTGCACCTCCACAGCTGAAGGAATGAGAGGTGAGCCGCCAGCAGTTATGTGCAGAAGGGGCTGATAGCAGGACAACGTGGGCCATTACCAGGCTCTCATTTCCCCTTCATTCCTCTGGAAGTCACTGAATAGACAAGGCAGGGAGGGCTCCGACGACTACCTGGCACATGGAGGGTCCTGCACAGAGGGGAACTAAGGCGCATAGCAGAGAAACGGCTTGGCCATGGTCACAAATAAGAATGTGGCAGAAGTGGCCTGCTTGTAGGTGTCCTGTCCCCTTGACGTCGCCCTGTTTTGCTGTTCTGCTCCTACCTTCACTGGAGCCCATTTCACCCCTCCCAGCTCCCTGGCTGAGCCCCTCCTAGGCTACACTGTGTGCCCAGAGGGGTTGATTTGAGTCAGCCTCAAGCTGCACAATCCTGGGTGCTTCCTACTGACATTCACTCCTGGGAAGCCGGATTAGTCAGGGGTCTCCAGAGAGCAGAGAACAGAACCAATAGGAGGTGTGTGTGAGTGTGTGTGTGTGTGTGTGTGTGTGTGTGTGTGTGTGTGTAAAGAGATTTATTCTAAGAAATTGGCTCACATGATTATGGAGACTGGCAAATCCAAAATCTGCAGTGTAGACTGGCATCCTGGAGACCCAGGAAGAGCTGGTGTTCAAGGCCCAGTTCAAGGCCATGGGCCGCAGAATCCCTTCTTGCTCTAAGGTTGGTTTTTTGTCCTATGCGGGCCAGCAACCAATTGGATGAGGCCCACGCATGGGATGGAGTACAGACCGCTTTATTTAAGGTCCACCCATTTAAATGTCAGTGCCATTCAAAAACACCCCCACAGAAACCTTTAGAATAATATTTGACCATATCCCTATCTGGGCACTGCGGCCCATTTAAGCTGACACGTGAGATTAACCGTCACAGAAGGTAAAACACCCATCCCACAAGGAGCTCCTGGGATCCTCACAAACACAGGGCTCCACCCCTCGCCAGCCCTAGGGAACCTTGGACAAGTCACCTCATGTGTCTTCACTGTGCCCTCCACTGACGATGGGACTAAGAGTCCCCCACCTTGAGGCTGGGCCAAGGATCAAACAGGACGGTGCCCTTTATTACTCAGCAGAGTTGCTGGCATGCGGCGGTGACCAGGAGATGAGACTCAACAGCATCGTGCCCCTTAGGCTGCCACGCAGAGGGCCTGCCTGCCACCCCCCAGGCCCCGCCTTTCAGCTGCTGGTGGTCCTCTCTGCGTCTGTCACCTGTGGCTGATTCTTGAGCTCCATCCCCCGCCCTCCTCCTCGTCGGAAGCAGGCTGGCTGCAGCCTACCCTCTCTACTCACTCTCCAATACTCCCACCACTGGCTTCTGATTCAGCTCAGCCCTGGGGAAGTGTTTGTGTTAAGCTACCCCTTGTGTTGAAGACACCCCTTCCTGGCACCTGCCCACATGGTCCACATGGCCACCAGCACAGCCCCCTGGGGGCTGCTTTCCCCTACCCCTCACCACACAGGCACAGAGACACACATATGCACACCCACACATACACACAAGCACACAGGCCAGGATCAGCAGCTCTCCCGATGTGTAAAGAACATGTGGGGTGTGTAAAACCCCTTTTTGTCTCCATGGTGACAAAAGGGCTGCACCTCTTGGAGGACCTCCCTCCTGGACCAAAAGCAGTCACGCATCACTTAACGATGGGGCTACATCCTGAGAAATTCATTATTAGGCAATTCCATTGTGTGAACATCATAAAGAAGACTTACACTCTACGTAGCTGACTATATGCCTCGGCTATACGGTCTAGCCTATTGCATTGGGCAACATGCTACCATACTAAATACCGTAGGTGATAGTAATGCAATGGTGAGTATTTATGTATCTATCTCAAAACACAGAAAAGGTACAGTAAAAATATAGTCTAAAAGATAGAAAATGGTCCACCTAAGGCACTTACCAGGAACGGAGCTTGCGGGACTGGACGTTGCTCTCGCTGAGTCCGTGAGTGAATGAGTGGTGAGTGACTGGGAAGGCCTAGGACTTACTGCTCACTGCTGTAGCCTTTATCAGCACTGGACACTTATGATACGCTAACTATATCAAAAATATTTTCCTTTCTTCAATACTCTATTAATCTTAGTGTACTGTAACATTTTTACTTTATAAACTTTTACTTTTTAAAAACTTTTTTACTCTTTTGTAACAATACTTAGCTGAAAAGACAAACACATTGTACAGCTGTAAAAACTATTTTCTTTCTTTATATCCTTATTCCATAAGTTTTTTCTATTTTTAAAATTTCTAATATTTTTTTTTTGCTTTTTAAACTTTTGTGTTAAAAACTAAGACACAAACACACATATTAGCCTAGGCCTACACAGGGTCAGGATCATCAGTATCACCGCCTTCCACCTCCACATCTTGTTCCACTGGAAGGTCTTCAGGGACAGTAACATGCAAAGAGTTGTCTTCTCCTCTGACAACAGTGCCTTCTTCTGGGTACTTCCTGAAGACCTGCCTGAGGCTGATTTACAGTTAACTTTTTTAATAAGTAGAAGGAGTACACTCCAAGGCCAGGCGTGGTGGCTTATGCCTGTAATCCCAGCACTTTGGGAGGCCAAGGCGGGTGGATCACCTGAAGTCAGGAGTTCGAGACATGGTGAAACCCCATCTCTACTAAAAATTAAAAAAATTAGCTGGCTGTGGTGGTGGGCACCTGTAATCCCAGCTACTCTGGAGGCTGAGGCAGGAGAATCACCTGAACCCGGGAGGCAGAGGTTGCAGTGAGCCAAGATCCCGCCACTGCACTCCAGCCTGGGTGACAAGAGCAAAACTCCCTCTCAAAAAAAAATAAAAATAAAAATAAAAAAGAGTATACTCTAAAATAAGAATAAAAAGTATAGTGTAGTAAACATATAAACCAGTAGCATAGTCATTTATTATCATTATCGAGTATTATATACAGTCTCTAATCACACTTGCTAGACTTTTATACCACTGGGAGCCCAGGAGGTCGCCTGACACCAGCATTGCCGCAGACATGTGAGTAATGCTTCGTGTTACAATGTCACTAGGCCATAGGAAGTTTTCAGCTCCACGATAACCTCAGGAGATTGCTGTCATATATTCAGTACGTTGTTACCAAAATGTAATTATTGGATGCCTGAATGTAGTTCTAAAAATTATATAAGTTTGTTCAAAAATTGTTTACAGACACCTCCCCTGAGCCAGACACCGCGTGCATTCTAACCATACAGAGACAAAAAGAGAAAGATGCGGCGTTTTCTTCGTGGCCTCCTGATGATACTTGCAGAGACTGCGCCGGCTGAGGGGCTACATGGATGCCTGACACAGACCCGGGTCATCCCAGGCCAGGGCCTGGACAGGCGGGGCTCGCTCCTTCATTCCTGAGGGCTCACACTGAGCCCCTGAGTGTATAGGGGGCTTGGCGGTCATTGTCCTGGCCATGAGCTGCCCCTTGGACAGGCCCGAGGACTGTCCTGCCCTATCCCAACTTTGCTAGAGCCCCAGCTTCAGGCATGGTTGGTCAGTGACCCTGGGAATGCTTCTCCACGGACAGAGGAGTGGCTCCCTCCCTCTGAACGCAGCAGGACCCTAACTCCATGTCATCTGTCACCAAGCACATGTGAGGGCTCCTCTGTGCCAGGCCCAGGGACACTAAGAGGTGTCACCATGGCCCTGCCCTCAGGGAGAAGGATGAGAAACAAACCCACCCAGCAGATCTACCCTCCCAGGCTAGAGACTGCGTCAGTGCATTGGATCAAATGTACTCACCCTCCACCTCCACACCCTGTGGGGTGTCTCCTCCAAGACTGAGGCTCACAGATGCCTCCCAGCAAGCCCAGCTCTTACCTCCCAACCAATCACTCTTCTCCACCGGAGCACCAGGCCGAGGACCAGCTGGCATTTGGAGCTGCCTTTAGCAAAAAGATGTGTATAATCCCAGGAGTGCATGGGGCTGTCACTTCAGGAAGTTCCTGAGACCGAGGTCTGTGAGAGCGACAGTGGCCTCTCGGCTGCTGTTTCCCACTCAGCCCTAGGCATCGCCCCTGGCACCTGCAGAGAGGGAGAGAGGAATCCCCTACAGTATTTAAATTGGCTTTTAATCTCATTTTTCGCTGATCGTACATAGCTGAATGTGAGTGTAAAATAATGACCAGAGAGTGCAATGACACTGTAAGTCCCCAAATCCCTGTTCAGAGGGCTGTGTTCTGTGATGTGGGCTGCAGTTCCGTATGGGTCTATATGGGTCTACCATCTATTCTGTGATGTTTTGTGTATGAATGTGCACGCCAAGGGCTTCAGCCGTGCAGCTACGCCATGAGGGCTGCATTATACAAAATATCTAACCGCACAGAACAAGGTGACAAGGACAGCCATGGAGGCCACTGCCCACTGAGTGTGAGGATGGCCATGACACTAATCTCCTCAGAGTCTGTACAAGGAGCAGGTGATGGGAGGCCACCTCCACGGCCCATCCCAGCGCTATCACTCCTGTATACATGAAATGGCACAGGAAGGCTTCATGGCAGAGCCCATGGCTGATCCCAGCCTTTAGTTAGGGCCTCAGAGATGCACCATGATAGGTACGAGCCCAGGCGCTGACATCAGACAGACCTGGTTTCTAATCCTGGCTCTGCTCCTTACAGGCTGTTTGAGCTTGGAAGAATCAGTTACCCTCTCTGGGCCTCATTACTTTCATCTGCAAAGCAGAACAGATGACAATCACAGTGACCACACAGGGAGGGGTGAGGGTGAAAACTAATCACACAAGTAAAGGACTTACTGGTGGCCTGGTGCAGTGGCTCATGCCTGTAATCCCGGCACTTTGGGAGGCCAAGGCAGGCAAATCACATGAGGTCAGGAGTTTGAGACCAGCCTGGCCAACATGGTGAAACCCTGTCTCTACTAAAAATACAAAAATTAGTATGGCATAGTGGCAGGCACCTGTAATCCCAGCTACTCAGGAGGCTGAAGCAGGATAATTGCTTGAACCCAAGAGGCAGAAGTTGCAGTGAGCCAAGATCACACCATTGCACTCCAGCCTGGGCAACAAAGCGAGACTCCCTCTCAAAGAAAAGAAAAGAGAAAAGAAAAGAACATACTGGCAACTGCCTGGCACATAATAAGTGCTTCCTACATTGCTTATTTTATTGGTGTTGTTGAAACGTGTTCCCAGGGTGCGTGTGTGCAGCACCCATCTCTAGCAATCGGCCAGCCGCAGGCCTGAGCGGCACACAGCAGCATTTTGCCTGTGAAAACATTTTGGTGCAATTTTCTGACCCGCAAAAATATTTTTACGGTGGAAATGCATGTCTGGCTTGGAACTGCTCAGTCTCACTGGCTTGTTTAGCGTCTCAGGAAAATAAACAAAGGTGAATTTGTGGACACTAGGGGATGGACTCAAATCAAACAATGTGCCACTCGTCAGACCCCAGCGTACCCCCCTCCGCCCCACCCATCAGGGCAGCAGAACCTCAGACCAGGTCACCTGACCCAGCAGACTAAATAACCTCCTGGCGTCGCCTGGGAGGCCACTGAGCGCAGAGCCTCACAGCCTGGAGAGCCGCCAGCGCCCCAGGGCACTCATCCACCTTTCATTTCTCAGAGCAGGTGACAAAAGCCAGGGTGGAAAGGCAACCTACTCAAATCACACGGCAAGACTCTGTGGGCATATTTGTTAGTTTGTTTAGATGTGTCTAATATAATTTACTGAGCACATGCTAATTGTCTGAGGAAGCCAGTGCCATCCCTTTTTACCAGAGAAAAATGTGGTTTGGGGAGGTCACCTGGCATGCCCCAGGTCATGGTACACAGGGGCTGGGGCCTCCAGCTTCCTTCCTTCCCTCTGCAGCTGGGAAGCCTGTGCCCTGTTTTCCAATCAGCTGACTTTGTCCAGAGAGATGGTAGGAAATTAAAGAACAAGCAGAAGTCTTGACAAAAAAAAACAGGGTTCCCAGCATCATCATTTAGTAAGTGTGCAGCCATGGACAGCCCAGGAAGGGTCTCTGAAATCCACAGTCATCCTCTAAAGTGACAGGTCCATGTGGTGGAATACTACGCAGCAACAAACAGGAACCAACTATGAGCACACACACTGCAACCTGGCTGACTCTCACACACATCACATGGAGGGAAGGATGCCAGGCAGAGAAGCACTCTCCGGGCACATCCATTTATGTGAAGTTCAAGAGCAGACAAAACTCCTGGGGTGATGAAGGCCAGAACAGGGATTGCGTCTGGGGCGGGCTAGGGGCTGAAAGGATGCACGAGAAACAGCCCACCTCGTGGTGTCGGGGGTGGTAATCTGGGGTCTACACAGGCAAAAATTCACCCGGCTGCACCCCCAGAGATCCATGCTGTTTAATAATTGTAAACCAGGCCTCCACACAAATAATGACAATAAAATAAAACAATCATGACAAAAGTGCCTGCTTCACAGAGGTGAATTACGCCGTGGTAAGAAGGCAGCGCAACACTTCTTTTGTTGTTGTCTTGATCAGCATTTTGAAGTCACACATTCTGCCCCTTCACTTCCAGACTGACTGAATGACTAGGTAGATTCATTCGTAGCTCAGTCATGTATTCATTTATTTATTCACTCAGCACACCTGTGGGGCTCCAAAGACGGAACTCAGTGCAGGCACTGACACGATCTGGCAGGCATTGCAGCAAAACCTTCCTGGCCCTGGCGGGGATGGTGGAGGGGGAGGGAGGGGACAGGAGAGGAGGCCAGTCCAGCCGGGAAGAGATTAGAAGGCAAGGTCTTGGGTCTTCAGCTGGTTCCTGGCAAGTCCCTCCGATTAGATCATTCACCGCAAGAGTCCTACCAGAAGCTCTCCTGCTCACTATTTGACCACCTGAGATGCTCAGCGAGGTCTGCTCATGGCAGAGGCAGCCATGGAAACCACGGCCCTCACTTCTTCCCAGCCACAGGTGTCTCTCATGTGCCTCCAGGTGTGGACATTTGGAGGGACCCAGAAGGTCATCGTGGAGAGAAAGCTGGGCCTGGCCCAAGGCCACTCGTGCAGCCCACTGGGCTGGATCCACGTGGATAGACCCAGAATTAAAACACAAATGAGCAAACAAAAAACAGGCAAGAGTTCCCCTTTTGTACAAAACGTCAGTCCTGCTACTTTTCTTTCTCATTAACAGAACGATGTAGCAGCAAGTGTGCTAAGTGCTGGGACCTGGTGAGGAAGACACGACTGGCCCCTGCCTTCATGGCCTGTGATGTTGGGAGGTGGGCAGGGAGTTCCCGATAACTGCACAGTGCCAAACTCACGGTCACTGCTGTGAGCAGCGCCAAGAGGAAAAATCATGCACGGATGTAGGTGTCAGGGAGGCCTGGCCTCGTCTGCCAGTGCAGGGAGACCTCCAAGAGGAGCAGGCATTTCAAGGATGAGGCAGCATCAACCAGATGGCAGGAGGGGGTTGGGGAAAGTGCATAAGCAGAGGAAGCTGCATGTCAAAGGTGCTGAGCAGAGGCACGGATGAACAAGATGAGGCTGTGGTCCGGGGCGCGGGGCTGGTGCAGAGAAACTCGAGATGAGGCCAGACCCACTCAGGCCAGGCCCCGAGGCCTCAGCAAGGATCTGGGTCCTTGTGTGAGCAGTGGGGACAGGCTCAGAGGGCTCTGAGGGTTAAGCAGGAGCCCGGTTTGGTGAGAATTAGAGGTCTTACCACCTCATTCTGGCCTCCAGGTAGAGAGTGGCTTCGAGGAAGCAGGCAGGAGAATTCCAGAACCAGTAAGAGTCATCCAGGCAAGAGGGAGGAGGGTGTAAGCATGGGCTGGACAGAGACTGGGTTTCAGCCATCCTACTGTTGCCAGAGGGCTTAAGCGGGTCTCCAGACACTGGTGAGACACTCCAATCTCAGCTGGTGTCCATGTTCTTGACATTGTCACAAGAAAGAATTCAGGGATGAATCAGAATGAAGGGACAGGCAAGAAGCTTTTCTTGCAAAGCGAAAGTACACACATAAGACAGAAATGTTAACGTACTCATGAGAACTCATCAGGCACGAAGGAGTTGGGGTTTCTAATTTTATGGGCTTTTCTTATTAGGGGGTAGAATCATCATGAGGTTTTCTAGGAAAAAAAAAAACAGAGGTTTCTTAGAATCGTGGTGCCATCCATTTTTATACTAAATATGGGCATGCTGGGGATCTGTCAGGGTGCTGAGGGAGGCAGGTGTATGGTAATGAGCATGTCATTTGGTTTGGGGTGGGGCTCGGTTGAGACTCAGCCGGTCTCACCCAGCTCAGCACGCTCCTGTTTGTTAGGGTCTTATCAGCCCAGATTCCTCCCCGTCCTTGTAGCTCCTTTCTTTCTGTTCTGTGAAATTGCTGCCTGATATTTTCACACTTCTCCTGAGACCATCCAGTGTTGATTCCTATTTTGTGGTTGATTCTTTGGTTAAAGGGTGGGTAATGGGCCGGGTGCAGTGGCTCCTGCCTGTAATTCCAGAACTTTGGGAGGCAGATCACCTGAGGTCAGGAGTTCGAGACCAGCCTGGCCAACATGGCGAAACCCTGTCTCTACTAAAAACACAAAAAATGGCCAAGTGTGGTGGTGGGCACCTGTAATCCCAGTTACTCGGTAGGCTGAAGCAGGAGAATTGGTTGAACCCAGGAGGCAGAGGTTGCAGTGAGCTGAGATCGTGCCATTGCACTCCAGCCTGGGTGACAAGAGTGAAACTCCATCTCAAAAAAAAGAAAAAAAAAGGTGGATAATCATCATTAGATTATCGTTAAGTATTGTGGATAAGGAGGGGATTTCAGGGACCCCCAGTTCCCGGTTACTGCCGCCTTTCTCCCTTATTTGGGTTTGCCCGGGAGAGTCACAGACGTGTCACTTTTACCGGGATTTGGGCTGTTTTCTCTCCTTTATTTTGGGTTTTCTGATATCCTGTGGTTTCTTTCCCAAGGTATTGTTTTAGCTGTTGTTTGGGTTTTTCCATCCTCCTGCCACCACCCCATGCTATTCCCTTCTCACTAGCAGGTGTAATCCCCTGGGACTTGTTTCCCAGGCAGAGGTGGAGGGTCCAGAGAGAGATTCAGGATGATGCCCAAACTTCCACATGAAACATCTGAGTGAGGATGTTTGGGGGCCTCTCAAGTGCAAAATGTCCTCTTCTGTTATCAACACAGAACACTAGCATTTGCAGAACCTGTTTGGTGTGGTCACCCTAGCCGCTGTTGAAATCCGGGCTAAACCCAGGAGTGTTGGAGAAGGGAGTCCAGATCCCTTGCTCCCTTCCCCACCCAGCCAGCGCTTCTCCGACGGAACGTGAATGCAAGTCACCTGGGCATCTTGGTAAAATGTAGGCTGTCATTATGTAGGTCTGGGGTGGGCCCTAAAAGCTGCAGTCTAACAGCTGATGCTATTAATCCTAGACCACACTTTGAGTAGCAAGGGGTTATGCAAATGCTTCCCCTGTACCAAGTCAGAGACCACCCCAAGTTTCCAACCCATGGTAGAACCAGGAGTGTAGTCAGTATCGCCAGTTTTCCCCCAGCCCATCCCACCCTCAAAGGCAGAAGTTCTGCTTCTCTCTCTCAATCCTGTCCTCAGCTGTCCCCAGGAGTCCTGTGAGGTTGTCATTGGCATGCTTGTGACCATGTCTCCTGCCCACCTGCTCCAGGGCCCCAGGGTTTGAAGACATTAAGACTCCTGAGGCCTTCAAGGCCACCCTAAAGGAGTTCCTGGGCCCTGCTACAGTGAAGCTCAGCTGGTGGGCTCTGAGGGGCATCCAGGCAGACAGACCCAAGTGACATGAGGCACATGAGGGTCTGGACCAGGAGAGCCCTGGGCGGGAGGCGCTCCATGAACAGATCCTAGCAGAGGCCCTGGAGGTGGAGGACATTTGTTTCCTAGAGCTGCTATGTAAACAAACAAACAAACGAAACACAAAATGAGTGGCTTAAAATAATAGAAATCTACTCTCTCACAATTCCAGAGGCTAGAAGTCCAGAATCAGGGCGTCAGCAGGGCATGCTGTCTCTGGAGGCTAGAGAAAGAATCTTTCCTTGCTTCTTCCAGTTGCTGGCAATCCATGGCAATTATTGGCCAATGGCAGCCTCGCTCCAGTCTCTGTCTCTGTCTCCCCATAGCCTCTCCTCTCTGTGTGCCTCTCTGTCTTCACACAGCCTCTTATGGCGACCCCAGACACTGGGTTTAGGGCCCACCTTAACCCACTATGACCTCGTCTTAGTTTGACTACATCTGCAATGGCCCTATTTCCAAATGTGGCCACATTCACAGGTGCCCGGGGCCAGGACTTCAGCATATCTTTCAAGGAGACACCACCAAGCCACAACAGTGGAGGAACCCAAAGCAAGGAGGGGCCGGGAGCCTCCCACACTGCTCAGACAGGCGGCCCACTCACAAGCACATCACCTGCCGGCCCTCGACATCTGCGGACTAGCTAGAGGACTGCCCTCTGCTCCACCTCTCAGGGCCATCCAGAAGTGAACCCCTTGCCTGTAAATTCTGGCCCATTGGCTATAAACTGTTTGTAAGGTTTTAAATAAACACTTACAGCCCTTCTGAAGTCTGGTGACTCAACACTCACTCGGGGCTTTGGCAATTGTCAGCAAACTCCACAGCCTCAGACCCCGAAAACAAACCAAAGGGCAGAGCCACCCACAGAGGCCTGCGAGGAGGGTTCCCATGGCGACAGCCCAAACCAAGGTCCCTCCTAGCACCCTGCCAGGGCCAAACCAGCTGTGGGGATGTGGGGATGCAACTGAGGAAGGTGGGGAGGGGCACGTTCCTCTTCTGGCTGAGACGCTACCTGGAGGGTGGGAACTCAGCATCCTTCCCTTGCCAGCCTCAGTTTCCCATGTTGTTCAAAGAGGTCCAGTTCAGGCCTGTAATGGGATGGTTCAGTGAGAAGATTTTCATCCCCTCAGGTGGGCTGGGCCTGGAGACGAGCCCTTCTGTTTGCCATGATGGAAGTCATGGGACCTCAGTTTCCCTATCAAAAAGACAGATGGCTGATTTATCCCGTGTCACATCTGGCCGATATTCCTTTACAGCCCAGGTCATAAGGTGGCCACCTGTGCGAAAAATTAAGACCCCAGATGGGGTTAGTTGGGCTACCAAAGGGTGGGTTTTAAATGCTTCAAAAATAGTAGCCTGTATTTTAAAATGGGGAAATTGCATATGAAAAATCTGGATCTCAAGCTTTCCAAGAAAAATCGCATCTGGCAGCATGGGGCCGACATAGCCTTCTGGGCTGGGTTTGGCACCTGCTTCTCGGTGGGCACGTGCCAGGCCCCCTTCCCCAGGTTCCTTGGGCCCGAAAACCAGCCCTGCTCAACTTTGCCCCTCTGCTGCTGTTTCTTTATCACCAGACACTGATGTGGATCTTTATCAAGTAGGAAAGCAAGAGCTCAGTTTAAAAAGCAGAGAGTTTCTTTTCTTTTCTATTTTTTTTTTGTTTGTTTGTTTGTTTTGTTTTTTTGAGATGGAGTTTCACTCTCGTGGCCCAGGCTGCAGTGCAATGGCACGATCTCAGCTCACTGCAACCTCCGCCTCCTGGGTTTGAGCGATTATCCTGCCTCAGCCTCCTGAGTAGCTGGGATTACAGGCACCCGCCACCATGCCTGGCTTATTTTTTTGTATTTTTAGTAGAGATGGGGTTTTGCCATGTTGGCCAGGCTGGTCTCAAACTCCTGACCTCAGGTGATCCATCCGCCTCAGCATCCCAAAATGCTGGGATTACAGGTGTGAGCCACCACACTCGGCCAAAAAGCAGAGAGTTTCTAAAAGACTGGTGAGACGGGAAGAATGGCCTAGATATTTTATGGACACATAAGACTTCTCATCAGCCACCCAGCCAGCCTAGCATCAGTATGGAGACCTCCTAGGTTACAGTCCACCCACTGCTTTCCCCAGTGTCATGCTTCTGGAAGCTTCCACCAAAGTGCACCGATCAAAGTGGCCATTTGCTAGAGATTCAAGCACAGGCTCCAGGCTCCTCTAGGAGTGGGAACCCCAGACTGCACTCTCTCACTGTGAGGCCTCGGGCAAGTTGCTTAACCTTCCTAAGCCTCAGCTTCCTCATCTATAAACAGCACCTATGCATAGGAGAATGAGAGAGTGAAGTGAAGACAACGAATGAAAAACGATTCCCATGCTGATTGGCAGCTATTTGTGTTGTTACGGTTGTTTTTCTATTGCTGCTGTTGCTAGATGGCTTATGTCTCAGTGGTATTCTCCCACATGCAGACTCTGAGACCAGAATTCAGTGCAGATATTTTATGTGTGGAGGAGGCAGGATTCCAGGAAATACCAGTAGAGGAGTGGGAAAGTGAGACAAAGAAGGCAAAGCAGCCGGGAAGTCACAGCCACTGTGTTGTCATTACCTCTGTGACAACTCACATCCAATTGTGCTGGAGAGCTCCAGCCAACAAAGCAGTCACAAGTCAGAGTTCTCCATGCACCCCAGCCTACTAGCAAGGGAGCTGTGGTATTGATACGCCCACTCCCAGCGCTCAGTGGGTGAAGGCTGCTGCCAGAAGTTGTTCATCTCCTGGGGCTTTCTCTTCTGCAGCAGAGAAAGCCCTCAAACGCAGAAAGGATGCTTCCAAGTTTGGAAGCTGGGTGGTGAGTCCTGAAGTGTTCAGGGTGCGGAGATCTGGACAGGGTACCAAGAACGCCTGCTAGACTCATGCTTGTCTTTTACATGGATGCAAAATTTGCATTCGATTCCATCATATCCCCATGCTGGGTGTAATATAAAAATATATTGGTCTCCCCCTCCCCACCAAGAATGGAGGAAAGCTGGTATTATAGAAATGGCTATGCTTGCCCTGCATCTCCTATACTCCCTGGCATGCTTGCTGGACACAAACACACCTGAGAAAGCCATGACCCAGTGTGGAAAAACGGGGTGTACCTTATCTCATTTGAACCCCCTGTCACTCTTGTGCACTTGGCATGCATTATCCCCATTTCACAGGTAAGAAAACTGAGGCCTAGGGTGTTCAGTAATTTGTTCACACTAGTAAGGAGGTGAAACCCACCAGACAATGGCCCTTTAGCAGCAAAGACCCCATGGAGCCCAGGCTGTTCAGTGGATCCCCTAGAATCCTGTTCAGGGAAATAGCCCCGTGAGATCAAGGGTCTCCTGGGAGGGAGGAGTAGTGAAAGCTGACTTAGGTCTTAGAAAGACCCCTCTGGGGTCTTCCCTGCACAGGGAAGGGATCCAAACAGACTGAGCAGGCACAGGAGAGCGGCAGGACTCAGCTTCATAATCCAGGGAGACAGGCGGCTGTCTGGGCGCGAGTTCTGGCTGGGCTGAGGAGGAGGAGGGCCAGACCAAGGCCTGTGATGGAGGAGGAATTGGCCAGGCCTGGGGATCCTTGGGTAAGGAGTAAGGAAATGATTAGGAAGGTGACAGGCATGACTCCCAGTTTCCAGCTTGGGCAACTGGGAAGATGGTGGGGCCCTTTAATCCAGGAAGCAAGAGGAGGAGGAGGCGTGGCTGTGGAGGGGCTGCAAGACGATCAGTTCTCAATGAATTGATGTTGGAGGACTCCACGGGGAGATGTTCAGGACAGACATAGGGGTCTGGAAATGAGAGAAATGTCTCCATCCTGGAAACTTGTATCTGAGGATCCACTGAGTAATTAAGGCCATAGGAGTAGAAGATGTCACCAGAGAGAAGAAGGGAGGGGAGGGGAGGAGAGGAATGCCCAGGACAGAGCCTGGGGAGCCTCCTCAACCAGGGCCAGGCAAAGGATGTCTCCATGTGGGAGCCTATGCTGGGGTCCAGAGGCCCAGGGAGAACCCAAAGGAAGGAGGATGTGGCCGCCAAGAGCAGAGTGTTAGGCTCCTGGAGTCTCCCTGGGGCCAGCATACAGTGGTTGCTCTAAAAAGATTTTAGCCAGTCATGTTGGCATGTGTCTGTGGCCCCAGCTACTCAGGAGGCTGAGGTGGGAGGATCGCTTGATCCCAGGAGAGAAAGGTTGCAGTGAGCTGTGATCGCAGCACTGCACTTCAGCTTGGGCAACAGAGCCAGACCCTGTCTCAAAAATAAATAAATAAAATAAAATAAAAATAAAACTTTCTTGGTTGAAGAAATACATGGTTGAATTGCATTTTCATAGCGTTTTGCAGCTTCCAAGTTCTACCATAACCACAGGCCCATTTGACTGTTAGAAGAGGCAAGCAACACTGATTCCACACTACAAACTGAAAACCCAAGCCAGCATCAACTGCAGTGGCTGGGTGGAGAGCTGAGTTTGTAGGTGCTTCACTAAGTAATTTCTCTGGCCTTAATCCTGCATAACTGTTGGGCCCTTCCTGGGCTCCCTGCGGCTCTGTCTGGCCCTGGGGGCCAAATAGGGCAACTAATTGGTGCTCTGGGGTTAAGCACTTTCCCAGAGCCCAGCTCTGCACCCCCTCCCACCACCCCTCACACTCCTAAACACCAGGCTAGTTGCATGGACCAAGTGGGATATTTGCGTGTGAGAACTGATTGGTTTTTGACAAATCCAGCTTGGCCTCTTTTTAGCACCTACTCATCCCCCAGGGGCTGGAAACCTGATATTTTAATGATTTGCTCCAGACCCTTTAGGAGGTGGGGAGGTGATTTTTGTGGAGCTGAATTCCCAGTGGAGGTAGGCCTGGTAGATGTAATTAGCAGGTGAGGATTCCATGGGCTGGGAAATCAGGTGCTGTCAGCACAGGCATGGCCCTTGCCGTTAACCCACTTCAAATGCCTCTTCCTCTCATTTCCCGGCAATGTAGGGGTAGGCTTCCCAGCCTAGGGATAAGAGAGAGGCTTTAGGAGAGGGCTCTCTTGTCTTGGGACTGGACAAATTTTCCCCTCTGCTCCTGTTTGGTCCCAACTTGCCTGTTTTCCCTCAACCCTTTTTCTTTCTTTTCTAAAAGATTTTTTCTACATCCTTTTGATCCTTTCTTAGAATCACAGAATCTCAAAAGGAGAAGGAGGCTAAAGTTCTACCTCTTTGTCTTATAAATGCAGAAACCAAGGTCCATGAAGATAAAGAACTTATCCAATGTTACAGTTAGTTAATATGATCATTATCATCTCCACCATCATCATTATAACTATCATTATTGTTACCATCATCATCGTATCATTACCGTCACCACCATCATACTCATTATTTTCACCATCATCACCACCACCACCCTATCATCACCATCATCACCACCATCACCATCATTACCATCATAATCACCATTACCACCACCACCATCACCATCACCATCACCCCCAGCATAATCACCACCACAATGACCATTATCACTATCACTCACATCATCACCATCACAATCACCATCACCACTACCATCACCATCACCACCATCGTCATCACCATTACCACCATCATCACTATCACCACTACCGTCACCATCACCATCACCACCATCGTCATCACCATCACCATCATCACTATCACCACTACCATCACCATCACCACCATCGTCATCACCATCATCACCATCACAATCATCATCACCACTACCATCACCATCACCACCATCACCACCATCACCACCACCATCACAATCACCATCACCACCATCACAATCACCATCACCACTACCATCACCACCACCACCATCATCATCACCATCATCACTATCACTACTATCATCATCACCACAATTGTCATCACCATCATCACCATCACAATCACCATCATCACAACCAACCACCATTATGATCACCATAATTATCATCATCATCATCACCATCACCATTATCATCAACACCCTTATCACCATCACCATCAACATCATCACCATCATCATCATCACCATCATTACCACCCCATCATCATTTCTTTATTACCATCATTATTATCATCATTTGTTTGTTTATATCCAACATTATTCCCCCAAAATTTAGAGTGTCATAGCCACCACAAGATCTTCGGTCTCCAGACTCCTTCCTTAGGCTCCTCCTCCCCATCTCAGCTCCTGCACCCATTGTAGATCCCCACCCTCACACCACCTCTTCTTCCTTCTCCCCCTCTCCACACAGGAGCTGGCTCTACCATCTAGGGTCTTCCCTGCAATTCTCCCACCCATTTCCCACTTACTTCTCTTGCATACGCACTGCTTTTGAAACTCCCCTCTGTCCTCACTTCTTCCTTTTGCTTAGAGTGGGACTGAAACAGGAGGATTCCAGAGGAGAAAAATGTAAAGCACAGAAGATGAGGGGAAAACAGCAGACAGGATGAAAGTGGTGTGTGGAATGAAGTATAAGACTCCCAGGCAAACTGCTCCTTCGTCTCCACTGTCAGGCAGGCGGGGCACAGGAGCTGAGCCACTTGCCCTCTCTGCTCACTTCCCTCAGTCTCCTCATTTAGAGAATGGTCTGGAGAAGGGTGGGAAGGTTGATGCTGGAGGATCTGAAGGCCCTGTACAGCTCTGACATTCCACAATTCCAGCAGCATGAGGGGGAGGGTGGAGGCCCCAAGTCAGGCATCCCCTAAGGAGGGCAGAAGAAACACTCATCGCAGTCCTCAGGTCCCAATACATGCTCAGCCTGGGGCTGGGCTGCATCTCCACACCCCTCTGAGAGATTGCGGCTTCAGCTGCCAGCTCTCCTGCCAGGTCATTTCTTTTCTTGGGCACCTCTCACTGGAGCCTTGTTGGGTGGGGCCAGCCCGGCTTACGCATGGGAGGCACCTGTGCCTGACATCAGTAGGGGACAGGCAGGCTGACAGTGCCACCCTCCAGGCACATACCCTCCTGGGTGAGCTTCTGCCCCACTAAATCCCCAGCCTCTCCTCCTCCCACCCAATTTCCCCACTACATCCCCACTCTCCATCCTTCCAGCCTCTGTGCAGCCTGACACTTGGAAACGCAGGATCAACTTCTGCTGCGTTTGGCCAGAAAATGTCCCTCCATCACAGCTGTGTCTTTGAAAGGAGTTTCAAGTTCAAAAACCCTCCTCCACGAGCTTCCCAGCAGCAAGGAAGGCTGGCTTCCCTCCCCTCCCCTTCTGTCCCATTCCCTCCCCAGCGTAATGAACAAAGGGACACAGATGACTTCAAGATGCCCAAGGGCCCCTGTGAGGTCCCCTGTGAGTCTAGGGCGGTGACTCAGCCGAGGCCTGAGTTATGCCCGGCAGAGCAAGCAAATCTGACAACCTGGCCAGACCGCCTTCCCCTAATGAAGCCCTTCTTGAGAACAGGCCAAAGCCAGGATGACATCCAGGGGCCTGCTCAGTCATGGAATAACTGACCTGGCTGTGCCCCGGCCAAGCAGTCATCTCCCAGTCCGGCCTGGCGGTTCTGGGCAGCTCTGTTTGGTGTTCATGGCTCCCGAGGGCTAAGACATTTGGGAAAAATGAATCCAAGGAAGCCCTAAAATAAATGAGGGCACAGCCAAGAGCAGCGCCCCTTTCCCTCACTTGGGGACTGGGGGACAGCTGGCAGGGGGGGTAGATAATCACCTGTGAGACCCAGAATGTGAGAGAATGACAGATTTGTCTATTGCACCTGCCCTGCCTGCCAGGCTCACTGCTGAGAGCTCAGGCCAGTGCTGCCGTGGCTGTGGCCACCTTGGAGGTGAGAAGTGGCACAGTGGGGACTCCAGCCAGCCCTGTCTGACTGCAAAGCTCTGCATGTCTCCGTTATGCAGAGCTCGGACCATTCACTCCAACCAGCCCGCTCATTATAGCAACACAAGAACTAAGAGTCCCTGGGTAAGTAGCTCGCCCACGTCCTACAGCAAATGGAGGTGCCCAGTGCTGTGCGGTCCATGTGGAATGTGGGTAGAGCCTGGGGAAGAGATGGCTGAAGGAGGAAGGATGGAGCAGGGTGACAGCTGTGGGGACCAGCTGAAAAGCTGGGCAAAGAGGCAGGCAGAGGGGTGAGGGGCACAGAGGAAGGAGAGATGTCATCAAATGATGGGGGACTTGGCATGATCTGAGCCATGTTTTGTGTGCAAAACTTCTGGCAGCTGCATGGGACAGGGTTGGGAGGAGAGGAGAGCTGAGGACGGGGTGACCTGTTGGGAGCTACGACAGAGGTCCAGGTCGTCAGAGGCAGGGCAGAACCCAGGCCATGGTGGTGGAGGGACATGGGGGGAGCCATGGCTAAGGGAGACAGGGAAGGTGGCCTGAGGTTTCTAGAGATGCAGAAAAGCGGGACTACCAGCCAAGCAGGAAAAGCGGTGGAAACAATGGGAGCCCCTCGCAGGCGCTGGGCTCAGGGAAGAGCTGGATAGGCCTTGGGAAGACCAGGCTTAAAGGCCAGGCTGGAGATGTGGCTTCAGAATCCACGCGACACATTCCGCACTCATTTGTTTATTCATTCCATAAATCACGTGTGGAAAATCTCCTGTTTCAGGCTCTGGACTAGATGCTGAGGGAGGCGGTGTCTTGAGAATGGTCCTTGCACAGCAGGAGTTCAGATTGTCCCAGTCCCGTGGGAGACAGAACAGAGTCCTCGCCTTTTTCTTCCTCTCAGAAGGGACCCAGGAGCCCCCTGTCTATCCAGCCCACTCTCCCATCCCCAACCGTTCCCTTCAGATCTGGGGGCTGCTCTGGCTTCTCTGATATGAGCCCCACATCTCTTTTGCTTGGACCAAACCCTTCGGAAAGCCCTCACCTCTGCCCTGGGTGCGGGTTTCTCCCATTGCATCACTCTCTGTGTGCCTGGGTACACCACGTCCTTGGCCGAACTGGGTCCCCTCTGCGGCAGGAACCACCAACCCCCACACAGGGCCCAGTGCACCGAAGGTGCCCCAAAGTCAAAGATCATCTTCCCTAGCATGCCCAGGCACCTTACACCAGATCCCGACAGACAGTCACGAAACGGCTCCAACTTTTAAGTTTTTACTGACATATAATAGTTGTATATATTTTGAGGGTACCTGTGATATTTCGATACCTGTATACCATGCCAAGTGGTAATTTTTTAAAAAACAAATCAAAGCAACCCAGCTTCCCAAAGTTGAAGACGAAGAGAGTTCTTTGGAACCAGCACCTCCATTTTGCTTTCTTACTCATTCTGCAGCAGACTATGGCCATCCTGGGCAATAGAGAACCCAGAGACACAGAATCTGCCCCCAAGTGGTTTGCATGGAGCGCCAGGGATGTAAAGAATAAGGCTGATAACATGACAGGTGCACTGAGGAATGACCTGGTCTTCAACCAATGTGAGGAATCCAGGAAGGCTTCCCAGAGGAGGCACTGTCTTGCAAGCTGGACAGGGTTAGCCAGGTGGAGGAGAAGGCATTTCTGCAGACCAGAGGCAGAGAGGGTTGAAGCTGTGACAGTGTATGGATTAGCTCATTTGGGGACATCTGCCAACCTGTTCATAACATATACACTAAGCTAGGCTATTGAGTTGATCAGACCCCAGGTTTCCCACTTGCGTCATTAGTTCAAATCAGCAGTCCTTCTGGGCAACATTCCCAGCCTTAAACCATCTGGCACTGGCACTGGCACCCAGTCGACTTCCTCAGTCTGAACTCTGCCTGGAGAGCACCCTGCCCCCACCAAGGCCCCAAAGTCCTACCCAGCCTGAGGGACCACCTTGCCTTCCAAGGTGCCCTCCTGATTCTTCCCCACCACCTCCTCCAGAAACCATCACTCCCTCCTCTCAAACTTTGGGACACCTTTAGTACCTTCTATGGGGTGCAAACTGTGTTCTGGTTGGCCATTCTGGGTATTCAAGTGCTTCCTCACCCCTTTGGGGCAGGCAGTACAGCTCAGTGGATGAGAGTGTGGGCAGTGGTCATAATGTCCGGGGAAGGGGGAGGGAAAAACTGGAAAGCTTCCTGGAGGAGGTGACCAGACTGTGTCTTGAGGGGCAAATAGGAGTTTGCAAGACAAAGGAGGGAGAGAGAAGGAAAATTCAGGTACAGAAAGTAGCATGAGCAAATATTGCAGGCACGAAAACACTTAGCATATTTGGGTAATGGTAAGAAGTTGGGTGAGGTAAAAGTGTGGGGTTCAGGTTAAAGAGGACATAGAGTCCCAGGCCTTAAATCAAGGTGGACTGCCCATCTAGTGCCAAGGAGGTGGATCCAGTCCTGCCCGGCCCTAGACACCCGTTGGCTCCCCAGCCTTCTGGACGGCACATACCTCAGCTGGCTCAGCCACCCACCAAACGACAACGGCGCCTCTGCAGAGTTTTCTAACCTCCCCTCACAGAGGGGGTCTTTCTCGCCGGGCCCAGCTCAGTCCTCCTTCATGTGGGGGCTCCAAGTCTGTGATTCTATCAGCCTTCATTTTTTTTTTCCTTTCATTCACTCACTGATCATTATCCTCCAACCCTTCCGATGCTTCAGACAGGCCGTCCGTTTAATTTTGTAAAACTAAACAGCACGCTTGGTTTTTTCAGGATGCACTCTGAGCGTGATATGTTCTGCGGAATGTTTTTCAGAGCAGTGAAAAATTTAATTTCTTCCCCCAGCATCAAGATGTGTCAAACATAATTTATGCCTGGACATAATTCATCCCTAAAGATAAATATTGAAACCCAAGAGAGGAGAGACGGCTGCAGAATTTCCAGGGGTAGGGGAGTTGGAGAGGGGGTCTCCCTCCTGATGCCATCACTGAAGGGGTAAAAAAAATATATATTATGAACTAAACGAAAGTAAAGTAGCTCGCTCCAGGTCTGCTCCCAGCACTGCTGCGGAATTTTTTTTTTTAACAGGCCTCTTTTGTGTCTGTTGAACTGTTGCTCTGTCTTGCATAAAATCTCTAGCAATAGAAGTCCTCAATTAAAGTCACCTGCTGGTCTTTGTCAGCAGAGCTTGACGCTGTCAAATAATGCGGAGCCCCTTAAGCCAATACAAGTCATTAAGGAGGAGGTGAATTAGAGATCCGACATGGGGGACAGGAGCCATCCATAATCAATTGATATCTTCCTCTGCTGGAGGCGGGGCCCCGGGGAGCCCCGCTCCCCATCCTCATCCGCAGGGGCCTCCACCCCTGGATCCAATTAGACCGCGGCTCAGCGGGTCTGAGGTTGCGCTGAAAAGCCATCAGTAGGCGAACCCATTAATAACTCGCCAGTGCCCTGCGTATTGTAATTGTCAGGCTGCAATTTACAGTAATCCTCCGATGCAAAAGCCTAAATCGCTGCAGCTGATTGGAAATTCATACACCCATTTGAAAGAGAAAAACACAAGATGCATGGGTTAAAAGGCCAGAGCATGCAAGTGTGTGTGCTGAGTGACAGACATTTTAGTACTAGCCTGGGACCATATTTTAAAAGGTCACTGAAAACTCTTGGCTTGGGCCCTCTGACAAACAATGAACGTTCCATATATTTATTTGCCATCTCTTTGTTTTTACAGCAAGCAGAATAAATGAGTTAAATGACGTTGTGCGGGCCTGCATATTGTCAGCACAGGTTATAAGTCATTATTAAACTCCATCAAATCAAACCAAACCCGGTCAAGGCAATGAGACTAAAAGTTATTTGCATTCCTTCTGTCATAAAAAATCATATCCCCTTACTCAAGACTTTCGTTTCTTTATTAAATGCAGCCACAAGAGTATTTCAGGTCTGGCTATATAAGCTCAGGAAAACCTTCCCGGTATAACTCAGTGTAACAGCTTAGACCCGATTCCACTAAAAAGTCCCAGTTGAACGTATCTGGGCACTCAATCAAGACATACATATTACTTTTAAATAAGATTAGCCTTTATATTTTGCTGCTTAAGTTAAAACTTTTCATGTCATTCTCTACTTTTATGTAAACTCCAATATAATTCTGTTTTAGCAAAATACTTCAAATTAAAAACCTCAAGTCGAACACGTCCTTAACAAAAACTTTCTTAATGGCATCTCAACGTGTTTGCTGACACTAAGACACTTTTAAATAAGATGGATTTTCCCTCCATTTCCCTGCATTTGTAATTATGGCTGTGCTGCGTGCACCTTAGGTTACAATGGCAAAAGCAGTTATCTGTCCTCCAAATACTATTTGACCAATAACTTCCCAGCGACCCACAGCATCTGTTTAAAAAATTGTCTTTGCTTACCTGCCTCCAATTGGGTTCTACATTAATTGTGAAATGGAAAGTGATCCGTGGGGGAATATTTGGAGGAGGCAGGTACAGGGAAGCACAGGGTAGGTAGGAAGCAGGGGAAAACATGGGTCTACTGAAGGGCACTCACGTGGCAAGGCATGGGATTGTTGACTCCTTATGCAAGCTCCTTTCTGATATTTACAGTCTACACATCCAACATGAGCTCACTTTAAATTTGCCTCTATCCTACTAGTTTCTTATCCTAAAATATATTCTTACATATACAAAAATCTACTTCTTCATTTGGCTATGACTCTGAGTATTATCAAAGTTTTATCATCTTTCTGATCTTGAGAAATGCTTGGGAACGAAACTAAGGAGTCAATGATGGAGCAGTGCTTCCATTTCTAATCCAAAAAAAGATGTCCGTTGAGAATATGGGAATTTGGAAAGTCAACTCTCATGAAGAGTGAACTAGAAGCAGGTTCAGTGCCCGCTCATTCCACTCTTTGCTCACAGGAAAGATAATTGAATATTTGTCTGTGGTGCCTTCCTTTTTATATCCACCCAGTGTATGCAGTTGTATCTTCGGGCCGAAGCAGAAGTGTAGTCTTAGCAACAATCCTACATCTTATTCTTTTATCCAGGTACTTCCTGCCTGCACCAGGGGCTTCTCAGCTTACTCCCAGATTTCTAATATGTCATCTCATTGCAGCTGATGACATCCCTCCAAGACAGGTAAGAATTACCATGCCCATTGGACAGCCATCAAAAATAAAGCTCAAAGAGTTTGAGATCACATTCATGGCATGGCAGGCAGAATCTAAACTGGCCCTAGATTCCTGCTCCCTAATAAGCATGCATTGCATGTCCACCCTTTGAGGGCAGGCGGGACTTGGGAATATGATGAGATGTTCCCGCTATTGTAAGGTTACCTTATAAGGCAAAGGTGGTAGAATTTTGCAGATGTAATTAAGATCCCTAATCAGTTGAGTTTGAGTTAATCAAAATGGAGATTCCCCTAAGTGGGCCTGGCCTAATCAGGTGAGTCTTTTAAAAGAGAATCTAGGCCTTCCTTGAAAAGGGAAATTTAAAGTGAGAGAGCAGCTCTCCTGCTGGTCTTGAAGAAGCAAGATTCCAGGAGTTCTGCATCTACAAGGAAATGATTTCTACCAAGAACCACATGAGCTTGGAAGGATCTCGAGCCCAGAGGAGACCTCAGCCCCAGCAATACCTCGGTTGCAACCTTGTGAGATCCTGAGCAGAAGACTCCAGCTCAGCTGTGCCCAGACTCATGCCCCACAGACAGTGTGACATAATGAATGTGTTTTGAGCCTTTAAATTTGCGGTAATTTGTTACATAGCAAGAGAAAGCAAATACACGTGTGATCACCAATCAAGTAGACTTGCCTTAACATCCACGCTGTGGCCATTCCGACCCCCTTTGTGAACTCCTTTCTGGTATTTACAGTCTACACATGCAATAAAGCTCACTTTAAATTTGCTTCTATCCTACTATTTTCTTATCCTAAAATATATTCTCATAAATACAAAAATCTACTTCTTGATTTGGCTATGACTCTCAGTGTTATCAAAGAGCTTTCTTATAACATACAGAAAAAGAAACTATGATAGTTTTTCTTTTCCAAGGGCCTTGAACAGCAGCATACTTGACACCAGTATGAGACTTTCTTGTTAAGCCCATAAACGTTAGTACCTTATGAGAAAAGCCATACCTTTAGAAACACCTGACTAAATATTTCATCAGTGCAACACACAGCAAATTCCTGCAGTAGAGTCACTGGATTTACAACCATCAAACTGTATTAAACTTACAATATCAAGATTTATCACCTATAAAATGGAGTCTCGTTTTAGTAATATCTCACATTCGATCCCAAAGGATCTCAAATACCTTCGACCCTTCACCAGGGCACTTCACCATAATTCATAACGAGGTAATCAAATACTTCACTGTAAGGCAGCCACCGCCACATGAGAGGATTAACTCACCTATCAAGGAAGGGTAGGCAGGGCTGGGACAGAAGGCAGCCGCTGCTTTACTGAGTGCAGAAATGGTACCAAGATCTAGATCACAGGGAGCAAAAACCACACAGAACCACGGGGGTGGAGTTGGGCCATCCTGACAGGCTTCTGGTCCCAGTGGTTTCAAACATTAGTTTTTGGTGGCAGAACGCGTTCTCCCCATACAATGTTACAACAAGTCTCAACCAATGGAACAGATACAATTGGAAGAAACAGCTCTGGCTGAGTTAGGGAGAAGAGAGGAAGACCCAGTCCCCACAGTACCTCCCTTCTGGCCCCCTTGGCATTCTGCAGCCCATTGTTGGAGACCCTGTTTCTACTTAGTGGTTCCCCACTTTGACTACATATTTTTTAAAAGGTAGATGCCCAGGTTTCACCCCAGAGCCTCTGATTTCTTTGGCATTCACCAGTCTGGTTGAGCCCCATGTGATGTTTGAGGAGCCTGAGATTCCAAGAGAGAAAAAAGATTTGCTAAAGGGAGTACAGGTTTAAAACTACAACCCAGGAACATAGAGCCTGAATCATCGAGCCAGTCCTCAGAATGTTCGCAGGATGTCATTATGCATGTTGAGATTGTAACTTTGGGTTGAAATCTGTAAGTTTTGAAGATTTGTAGTGATCACATACCTTAAATAATTCCTCAAAAGTATTCAGGTCTTTATGATATAGGCAAATTACATGATCAACATCTTAGGAGGGTCTCTGCACCCATCATTTAAAGAATAATTTGGTCTATTGAAGAGACCACAAATTTCCATGGCAGCATGAACCAACAACCACTATGGTGAGACACCATAAGGAGAACTCCTACCCATCCCTCAAAACCCAGCTCAAGTATCACCCCAGCGGTGAATGTTCCCTTCACCTTCTGGCCTTCTTCTGTGTACCCTGATCAGTCATTATTAGAAGGGACACTGGATTAAAATTATATGGTTATACACAATGATCCCCATCATAATTTGAGCCCTGAATATGATGAGGTCCATGATTCATTTTCAGCGATATCTTTAACATCCTTATATGTCTTTACTCATCTGAAGAATGGGAATAATAGCAGTACCTACTCTTACACAAAACAGAGAAAAGTATTTAGAACACTGAGCACTCAATCATTGTTATTTATCATTATTATTTACACTGGCTGTGCCTGTCACTCAATCATATCATCCTATCTTATTGTCTTTAAGGCAAATATTCTCCAAAACTAGCAGGTTTCCTCAAGATCTGTCTTCCCACTTCACTCCCTGACCCCATCCCCAGGATGTAAGCTTCTATGCATGTGACAGACATGTCTATTGCACTAAATCCCATTGACTCTGCAGTGTCTGACCGTCGAGGATGCTGAGTTGCTATTTGTGAATGAACAAAGAAATATGTTCAGCAAAACAGCAAGATCATAACCCCAGCTTATAGGAACATAGTCTTGACCAGACATTATTCAAATCTCCCTTACTTGTTTTTTTCTTGAGACAGTGTCTGTCTCTGTCACCCAGGCTGGAGTGCAGTGGCGCGATCTCGGCTCACGGAAACCTCTGCCTCCTGGTCTCAAGCGATCCTCCCACCTCGGCTTCCTGAATAGCTGGGACTATAGGCGCTCACCATCACGCTCGGCTAATTTTTGTAGAGACAGGGTTTCACCATATTGGCCAGGATGGTCTCAAACTCCTGAGCTCAAGCGATCCTCCCACCTCAGCCTCCCAAAGTGCTGGGATGACAAGTGTGAGCCACCATGCCTGGCCCAAATCTCCCATACTTCTGCACTCACAAATTGAATTTTTGTGGCTTTGAGTATTACACTCTGTTAGTGGATCTTAGGGGCCAACTCCATTTTATAGATGAGGAAGGAGATGGAGGCCACAAGAGGCGAATGACTTGGCTGGGGAGTGGCAGTTCCAGGGCTACCCCAGGTGCAGGGTCCCAGGCACCAGCTGATGCTCCTTTCAGTGTCCTTGGTACAGGAGGGTTAAGTCAGAGTGTCCTGGGATGCAGGAGTTCCAGATGCCTAGAAATGCTCAGACCATGAGTTGCCAGTGCCTCCCTTTTGTCAACAAAATTGGCTTTAGCAAGCTTCAGTTCTGGAAAACCTAGATTTTCTATTTATAAACATAACCTCAAGTTGGAATTCTGGCTTGTTGGGAGGACTGATTCAGCCCTTTATTCCAAAAAGGTAAACAGAAGTTTAAAAAAAAACCAACCACCAAACAAAACCCAAAGTGGGCCTTCCAGCTCTTAAAAAAACTTAAAGCTCAAACACACTTTCCCATAAAAGCCACTTACGTCCCACCGTCTGCCCACACTTGAGCCTGGGCTCTCAATGGGAAAAATCTAAGAGCGCAATGCTGCCTGTTGCGTGAGAGCTGGCGGGCTGTCATCTTGCTTGTCTTCACAGAACAGTGTGTAAACTGGGGCTGTTCCCCTCTAACAGGTCGGCCCACTGGGATCTGGCAGCACAGGGAGGTGCAGAGTTCAAAGCTGTGATCATAGAGTGCTTTCTGCCTCCTTACGAACTACCTGGCTCCCCTAGGTCCACTTCATGCCCAATACTTAGTCACTGCCTCATAAATAAACTGAACCAATGAATATCAGTGTGTTTGGTCATAGCACACCTCATTCCCAAGAAGAATGGGATGGCAACAACACAACCACCATAACATCACTGATGCCATAACAGGAGAGCACGGACAGTTAGGGGAATGGGGCAAGGGGAAAATGAGAGAGTACCACTAATAAAAACACTGGATTGTATTCCCATAGGATAACTGTATTAGTCTGTTTTCACACTACTATAAAGAAATACCCAAGACTGCATATAAAGGAAAGAGGTTTAATTGACTCACAGTTCCACATGGCTGGGGAGACCTCAGGAAATTTACCATCATGGCAGAAGTCGAAGGGGAAGCAAGGACCTTCTTCACATGACAGCAGGAGAGAGAAGTGTGAGCAAGAGCAGGCAAAACTGCCTTACAAAACCATCAGATCTCGTAAGAACTCATTCACCATCATGAGAACAGCATGGGGGAAAACACCCTCATGATCCAATCACCTCCTACCTGGCCCCTCCCTCGACATGTGGGGATTATGGGGATTACAATTCCAGATGAGATTTGGGTGGGGACACAGAGCCAAATCATATTGATAATTATGGGTGGACTTGGCTGTGGCCCATCTTCCCCAGTAGGATGTAAATGTCTATAACAAGGGCAGGAACGCCACATTACTCATTGTTCCAGAAGAATGTCTGCACGTAGAAGGTGGTTAATAAATATTTAAGTGAATAGGTGAACTGAGTTACCTAGTAGTCAAAGCATAAAAAGAAAAGGTCAGCTACGGGATTCATAGTGTCCATTCAAACCAAATCTTTAGGAGAAGCACAGGCTTTTCTGGACATTTCTCCACCAGACCCTCTTGATTTTACATGTCCCAGTTTACTGTGTCAGACTAACCAGGAGATCCCCCCCACCCCGCTGCCACACTGCCCGGCACCAGGGACTGCCACACACCAACATTCAGAAGGGCCCCAGGTCCCACACCCCTTGGTTCAAACATTATTAAAAGAAACCAAAAAACAAAAAAAAAAAACAGAAAATTTCCCCATCCTCTCTACTCTGCTGGTTGCCCTCTGCCCCCCATCATGTCAGTGGACCACAGATAATGCACAAGCCAGCGCTTGGAGATCCACACTGACTGAGGTTCTTCTGCAGTGGAGCAGTGTTTGGGTGCACTGGTGACTGGCATGACCCTTGTATTCCAGTGGCTCCCAGACATGTGAAGAGATGGCGTCAACAGGGCGAGATGTGTTGTGAGAAGGGCCAGGGACTGTAGCAGGGACCAGAGGACAGGCTCAGGCTGAGGGTGGGGCTGGGTGTGGGAGGATAGGCAGGACTGGATGAGGAAAGGTGGTGGGAGGGGGAGGGAAGGGAGTGTCTCAGGCGGAGTCCACAGCACATAGAGAGGTGCAGATGTGGGGTCATTAGGAAGACAATGCCCATTACCCTGAGAGGGTGGGGTGTAACTCCTCTCCAGAGGAGAACTTTGTGAATTACATTCTTCTCTGCAACTGTCAGGGGTCAACACCTGGACACACAAAACTAGTACAGAACACACACTTTGGATGTGAAGCCTCAGCATCACTCTCTTACTCAGTGGAAGAGACCACTACCTTCCTAAAGTCACTTTGTCCCCTGACGGCACGACTGGATAAACCTCCCTGCTTTTTCCATCCTGCTACCATGATGCCCTATAGCATAACAGGAGTGGTTTTACCGAGGTAAAGGAGTGCTTCTTTTTCTTCAAAAAAAGTGACTGCAAAAACAGGACGGAAAAAAGCAAAGAGGTTAAAGCCAACACTTGCTTTGGCAAGTGGGGTTTGGCAGAGCATTATTTAAAGTGACATGCCCATGGCTTATCTTACCAGGACTGGGGCACACAGCCCTGAAATGGCCATTGGGTGAGTCGCTAACTGTTCAGGCTAAGGGGATGTAGGGAACAGAGTAAGCGTAGGTCCCACCTTCAGTTCTCCTCCAATGAGGAAGAGTGTGATGGATCTTTTCCTCCTCTGAAACACAGAAATGATACTAGGGTCACATATAAAACAAAGAGGCCTGCAACTGCTGCCTATGTTGGCTAGAGGAGTCACCATCTGGTTTTCTTCTCAACATGAAAGATCTACGTGCACACGTATTTTAATTCTACCACCTTTCTTTCAAAAGACCCACATAAACCGGGAAATTCTTGGATGACGGTTCAAATGCTTTTGTTTTGGATGGACATGGGTTCAACCCTCTTACTGGGATCTCAGGCAAATTACTTCACTTCTCCATACCTCGTTTTGCCCATCTCTAAAGTGAGGATTGTAGCGACAATTAGCACTTGTTATGGACAACTGTCAGGGCACTGCACCCAGCGTTTTACGTGAACTCTCATTTAATCTGAATGATTCTTGGCTCCTCATAGTAAAGGCAAGGTTATGAGACTAAAATAGGTTAAGTAACTTGCCCAAATTCCACAGTGCTGGAAACCAGGCGTCCTGACTCTAGTCCTCAATCAGAATCTCTACGAGCCACGTTCCTCCAAAAACCACCATTTTCATAATTGCCTTGAGAAGTGAATGGCATAAAACAGATAAAACGTTGAGCACAGACATGGCACTTATTACATGTTTGACAAATCTTAGCTAGGTGGGCCGCAAGTCCCTATATAAAATCCTTGCCTTGAGACCAATGTGTTTGGCAATTCAGAGTTTTCTGAATTTTAGAAAATTCAGTGTGTAAGCCATCTATTAGGTGATGGCCCCAGCAGCATCTGCAGCAGGACCAGTAATGAGGCATGTTAATATTGCTGTTGCCAAACCTAGGATTAGCCACGCTAAATGGGATAGAGACTATATATAGGCTCAACTCAGTAGAGGTCAGGTGTTGCTGCTAAGTAAGTTCTGGAAACCTGATTTTCAGTGTGTTTTGGACTTCAGAATTATGAGCCTGTATTAGTGCCCAAGATACATGGTCTTCCTCCATATGCACAAGGAAGTATGTGTGAGGGTACTAGCTACACCTTTGCTCCTGACAAATTAATGTGAGAACGTTACAAATATCTAACAGAGAATAAGCTAAACCAGTGAGGGAACCTCCATACAATGAAATAGTATGTGAATGTTACAGAGAAAACAGTTGGCTTTACAAGTGTGTGTCCACAGACACATATACATACGTAAAAAGTCACTGAGCTACATGTATTAAGATTAGTGCACTTTATGCATATTACTGTATGTTTTAACTTCAATTATAAAGAAAAAATCCGAAAATTTCATATGGAATATTCTCAAATAAGTTAGCTAAAAAAGCAATAGGTAGAAGTGTGCTGAGTGTGCTACCATGTAAAAGCAGTAAGGACATAGCCAGTCACTTATTTGTGTAAAACTTCTGAAAAAAATACTCAAAGAAACTAGGTAACATTGGTTGCCTTTGAGGAAAAGTACTACACAAAGAGAAATACTTTTCATGGTAGAGCTTTTTGTACATTTTTAGGTGTTTTTATTTTAACCATGTGGTTGTAGTTCCTATAGGAAAAATATTCTTAAAAAAAAGCTTACTCCTGAAGTCCTAGCACTTTGGGAGGCCGAGGTGGGCGGATGGCTTGACTCCAGGAGTTCGAGACCAGCCTGGACAACATAGTAAAACCCCATCTCTACAAATAAAACAAAAATTAGCTGTGTGTGGTGGTGCACGCCTGTAGTCCCAGCTACTTGGAGGGCTGAGCTAGATCACTTGAGCCAGGACGTTGAGGTTGCAGTGAGCCGTGTTCGCACCACTGCACTCCAGCCTGGGTGACAAAGTGAGACCCTGCCTTAAAAAATAATTAAAATTAAAAAACAATGAAAAGCTTACTACCTATACTATTGAGATTCAGCTATCAAGTTCTCCAAACCCTCTCTCCCTGATCCAGGGAAGGGCAAGGTGACTGACTACAGTGGCACTAGGGTTGTGATAATTTCCAAAGTTAGGGGAGAATGTGCAGATAAACTGGAGCTTTGAGATCTCAGGCCCAAAGATCGGGATGAGTAAGTGTGAACGCCCAATCCAAACTGTGGGGCCCTACGAGCAAGGTCAGGGAGGTATGAATCAGGCAGGGGCACAGAGCTCAGCATAGGTTTTGAGTAAATGTGTAAAGGGATAATGTGCACACACGTGTGTGTATGTTGCTCCTGGCTCCTCTCCACTCAGCACCCTGAAGATGATTGCCGACCTCCAATGCTAACTTCTGAAAATGGTTGGCTTTAGGGTCAGAGAGGCAAAATATAAAAACAAATCATTTTTGGTCCTGTGGTGATACAATGTTCTTTAAGTTTGGTTTAGCCACATGGGTTAGATAACTGACCATATATTCATTTTGTCAAATTTAGGCTGTGTGCTGGGTACTGATCTACAGCAGGAAGCAGGACGAGGTCCTACCCTCATGGAGCATCCCTTCTAGTATCATGTGGGGGACAGCTAGAGACAAGGTGATAGAGTGCAATGTTAAATCCATGATAGTTATGGGGGGCTACCTTATATTAATACGGGATGTCCTCTGAGCAGTAGTTGAATGGGACCCTGAATGATAGGAGCCAACCATGCCAACACATTTCCATTAAAGATGCGTGTTTTCTGGATGCCAGCTCTGCACCAAACACCTTCCCTGTATCCTTTCACTTAATCCTCATGACCACCCTCTGGGTTCCAGTTATTACTATCATCACTTGTAGAGTGCACAGAAACAAAGCATTTTGTCCAAGGTCACACAGTCAAGTGACAGAGAAGGCTTCACACACACGAAGTCCGACCCCAGAGCCTCCCCTGAACTCTGTACTAGGATGAGCTTAGTGCTCAGTGAAACCAGCAAGACCCTCGTGACTAAAGCACACTGAGACGACTCAGCCGTGGAGGGGCCGGATCACACAGGCTTTGTAGGCCATGGGAGGAGTTTAGTTCTATTTTGATTTCTATTTTAACTATTCTGGCTACAATGTGGAAAACAGATCAGAGAGGGGAAAAGGGTGGAAGCAGGAAGACCCGTTAGGAGGCTGTGACACAGTCCAGGTAAAAGCAATGGTTGTTCGATCAGGGTGCTGGCAGTGGAAAGGGGATTACACTTTATCTAGGAGGCCAAATCAACAGAATTTGCTGACGGACGACTGACAGGATGCAAGACTACGAGGGAAGGACAGGAACCAAGGATGACCCTTGGTAAGCTTTTCGTTTGGGCAGCTGAGATGGGTGGAGGGACTGTTTGCAGAGCACCATTTCAACAGAAGAGCACTAGAAAAATGTGAGGGTTCAACAAATGGTGCTGGAGAAACTGGATATTCACATGCAAAAGAATGAGGCTGGACCATTACCTTATACCACAGAGAGTCCCCAACGTATGATGGCTCAACTTAATGACTTTTTGACTTTCTGATGGTGCAAAACTGATATGCATCCAGTAGAAACCATACTTTGAGGACCTAGCCGGTTCCCCCCACACAGCCCACAGCGGCTCACGCCTGTAATACCAACACTTTGGGAGGTCGAGGCAGGGGGATCACGAGGTCAAGAGATCAATGCTCATCCTGGCCAACATGGTGAAACCCCATCTCTACCAAAAATACAAAACTTAGCTGGGCGTGGTGGCACACGTCTGTAGTCCCAGCTACTTGGGAGGCTGAGGCAGGAGAATCGCTCTAACCCAGGAGGCGGAGGTTGCAGTGAGCCAAGATTGCACCACTGCACTCCAGCCTGACAACAGGGCAAGACTCCATCTCAAAAAAATAAAAATAATAAAACAGGCTTTGTGTTAGATAATTTTGCCCAAGTGTAGGCTAATGTGTGTTCTGAGCACATTTACATTAGGCTAGGCAAAACTATGATGTTCAGTAGGTTGGGTGGATTGAATAATTTTTTTTTGAAACAAGGTCTCACTCTGCTGCCCAGGTTAGAGTACAGTGGCATGATCATGGCTCAGCCCAGCCTTGACCTCCCCAGGCTCAGATGATCTTCGACCTCAGCTTCCTGAGTAGCTGGGACTAAAGGCATGTGCCACCACACCCAGCGAATTGTATTTTTATAGAGATGAGCTTTTGACATGCTGCCCAGACTGGTCCGAACTCTGGAGCTCCAGCAATCTGCCCACCTTGGCCTCCCAAAGTGCTGAGATTATAGGTGTGAGCCACTGCGCTGGGGCAAATGCATTTTTGACTTAAGATATTTTCAACTTACGATGGGTTTACTGGGACATAACTCCATCATGACTAGAGAAGCTTCTGTACGAAAGCTAACTCATAATGGACCAAAGACCCAGTGTAAGAGCTAAAACTATAAAACTCTCATCCAGAATATATACAGAACTTCTAAAACTCAACAACAAAAAAACCCAATTCAAGAATGGGTAAAAGGGACTTGAATAGATAATTTTCCAAAGAGACAAATGGTCAATAAGCCATTAAAAGATGCTCAACATCTCTAATCATTAGGAAAATGTAAATCAAAACCACAATAAGATACCACTTTACATCCGTTAGGATGGCTCTTAGCAAAAACACATAAAACAAGTATTGGTGAGGATGTGAAGAAACTGGAACTTGGTGCATTACTGGTGGGAAAGTAAAATAGTGTAGTCACTATAGAAAACAATATGGTGACTTCCCAAAAAATTAAGCAGAATTACCATACAATCCAGCAATTCTACTTCTGGGTATATACTCTAAAGAACTGAAAGCAGTGACCCAAACAGGTATGTCTACACTAATGTTTACAGCAGCACTGTTCACAACAGCCAAAAGGTGGAAGCAACCCCAATGTCCATTGGCAGATGAATAAACAAAATGTGGTCTATGCATATAATGGGATATTATTCACCTTAAAAAGCAAATTCTGACATGTGCCATGGTATGGATGAACCATGAAGACGTTATGCTAAGTGAAGTCAGACACAAAAGGGCAAACATTGTCAGATTCCCCTTATATGAGGTACTTAGAAAAATTAAATTCAGAGACACAAAGTAGAATGAGGTTGCCAGGGATTTGGAGGGAAAGGAATATTAGTGTTTAATGGGTAGAGTTTTAATTTGGGATAAAGAAAATGTTCTGGAGATGGGCCAGGCGCGGTGGCTCACGCCTATAATTCCAGCACTTTGGGAGGCTGAGGCAGGCAGGAAGATCACGAGGTCAGGAGATCAAGACCATCCTGGGTAACATGGTGAAACCCCTTCTCTACTAAAAATACAAAAAATTAGCCTGGCGTGGTGGCGGGCGCCTGTAGTCCCAGCTACTCGGGAGGCTGAGGCTGGTGAATCCCTTGAACCCGGGAGGCAGAGGTTGCAGTGAGCTGAGATTGCGCCACTACATTCCAGCCTGGGTGACAGAGCGAAACTCTGTCTCAAAAAAAGAAAAAGAAAAACTTCTGGAGATGAAGGGTGGTGAGAATTGCAAAACACTGTGAAGGTACTTTATGCCATTAAACTGTACACTTAAAAATGGTTAAGATGGTAAACTTTATGTGTATTTTACCACATACACACCAAAAAACCTTCTAAGGGTTGTTCATAAACTGCCTTGCAGACCAGTTATAAAGCACTTCTCCTGGCCTGCACATCTCTCTGCTCCTTGCATCTTTCCAAGGGGCACAGACCTGAGCTGGCTGGGACCCAGCATTTACCATTCCATCTAAAACATACATTGTGCTCACGGATCTGCACACACACAAAAATTCAATCCCATCTGGATTCTTTTCACGCACATCGCAATCTGCAAAATGATACATTCAGCCTGGCTGTGTTCTTTCTTGCTAGCCGTGACAGCTGCAGACGTGAGCAGTTGCTTGTCTTGGAGGGTAGGGTCAATGGTGGCAGGAAGGACCTGTGGCCCTGAGGCTTGGCCTGAACTATCTAGAGAATTCAGGGCAGTAACATCAACACACACAAGCATGCAGCACTTACCCAAATTCCTTAGGATTAAAATATACTTTTTTCTCATCTAGTTTAGGGCAGTCAGAGAGAGAGGAAAGGAAGGGACTAATTTAAACCTACAAAGGAAAACTAAACTTTTTTCTCATTCTAAAAAACTTCTTACCATCTTGTTTCTACAACCAAATGATTCATATTAGTGCTTGGTTTACTGAGTTACAAAAAAAGTTGGGTCAAAAGGCTAAAATGATAGAATTATTTCTTAATCAACAATATTGGAAATGTGTCCTAAAAACCTGGAAGCTGAACATTCTGTCCACCTGCTTTTAGAAAAGCCAAGTTCACCTCAAGAATGTGTCAAACACATCATCTAAATAATCCAAGACCTAGAATGCATCAATCAATGTGACAGAATTTCCAAAAAGCAGATTGGAATTAAGTCTTCAAAAAAGACAGTTGTTACTATATAATTCTACAGGTGGACATGAAGCAGAACTTGGTAAACAAAATTTTATATTAAAATATGCATTTTCATATGATTCACCATGGAATTGAAACATTATAAAGATCATTTCTGCTACCACTATTTAAACGTTATTACCCACTTGAATTGAAAAAAGATGAAAGGACACAAAGTGAACAGACGATAACTTTATTGGAGATTTACTTGGCTACAATTATTACAAAAAAAACAACTAAAGGTAATTGTGATCCATAAGGTGCAGACTGCAAATTTCTGCAGCATGATTACTGTATGAATGAATGACATCATGTTCCTTAAAAAACAGCTGCAGCATGTGATGGTAAATATTTTATTGTCAATCAAATAATATGCATTAGTTTTACTTGATTTTAGTAATTTTCCTTCACTATTTACAGCAGAAAAGCCAGAAATTTACTTCCTGTTCACCTTTGCATTTTTGCTATGTAACCTGCTGCTGCAGTGAATTCTTAGTGCATCTATAAAATTTAAATTGTCTGTGGTTGATGTCCAAATAAAAATGGACTAGAAAAAAAGAAGTAATGATTAAAATATATTTACAAGTTAGTTGTGAAAAATCATTTTCACTGCTAGTGGAAAATACAATGGTCTCAATGCAAATTTCCTAGATATTGCTATTGGCGTCTCCAACAACTTTAAAAATCATTTTAATAGTCTTGGTCTTAAACATATCTTTAAAACTTTTCATGTACAATATAAAATAAAGAAATTTATCTGGAAATAATTAAATTCCTGAAAAGTAATCAGTGGTTGGAAAAATATAATTATTCAAATGTAATTAAAACAACCATATAGGTAATAAACATGACATGAGTTTCTCTTCTGCAGATAATGCAAATGGGTTAAAGACTCTTAACATAATTTCAGATGCAGTTAAAAAAAGGTATCAAGGTCTCAGTTTGGTGGCTTCAATCTTGTGTAAAGGGATTAGACACCCTAACAGAGCAAGATCCAATATTTTAAATCAACGGGGCCTTGTGCATGAACTGCGCTCGATCTGGATTCCAGTGATCCTCTGCAGTGCCCACCTGCCTCCAGGGAGCGACTGAAGAAGCCGACTGCCGGGGGAACACCTGGATTCATGAACCAAAGCAGCCTCAAGTTTCATGTTGTCAAGGCAGGGTATCAGAATCTTTCTGAGGGCAAAGTATTATTAACAAATAAAAATATCAGTATTTTAAAAGACAATTACAGGAGTGTTAGAGGTCATTCTAAATTTCATCACTTCACGTAATATAAAAGAAAAAAGAAAAGAAATATAACAAACATTTTAAAAACATAATTAAGAGTTCAGTTAACAAATCTGTTTCATACTTTCACAAACAGTAAAAATGCCACAGACAAAAATGACCTATTTAAGTTGTGCGAGTATATGACACATTGCAGGCATTATAATTATCTTTTTCAAATTCCATAAATCAAAACAGCAGCAAGGCCAAACCACATTTTTTTCCTCTCTGTTAAGCATATTTTCTTGAAATGAGGTAAAGCATGGTACCAAGTGCAATGCTTATCTGTGCTACATGAACAGAACAGAAGGGAAAAAGCTATTATAAAACGCAGCATAGTTAGGACTGCGGAAAGCATATTATAAAAGAAATTTTAAAAAATTTACAAATGAAGGTTCATGTTAACTAACTTGCACACAATCATCATAAGGAATTTCTGCAGTTGCTTTTTCAAGACACGCCTCCCCAGTCCTTTACACACGTGCTCAGGGCACAACCACACCCCACTGGTAGGTTTTCCATATTACATTCGGTCTCACATTGCAATCACAGGAACACAGGGTGGCACACAGGGCTCTAAAGTGGGGCAACATAGAGTGATTTTTTTTTTCCTTAATTGACAGATGCAAAACATTTCAACAAGCTAAACACAGGAAAACTTTACAGCATTAAAAATCAGCAGCACAAAAGCGTTCATAACCATTTCATATGTCTAACTCGTACTTTTTTATTTTTTAACTCAGTAACCAGGGGATCACAGAATGCTTCAAACTGTGAGTCAAATTAAAATCTACTATTTTTCTCCAACAAAAAGTGAAACGGCTGAAGTTTGCTGTTGATAAAACATTTGAATGGTAGAAGGAAATTTGAACCCCTGAGAATGTATGACCTAATCATGTCTAAGTTTGAACATCTTAGTATTAACAAAAAAATACTCTTCTTAAGGTTACAAATATATTGAGGCATTTTTCTCCCACTGGGAATCATAACTGTGAAAACAATCTGATTTTGGTGCCAGGAATCAAGAGAATCCCGTAACACTGGGATCAATGTATTAGACACAATGCAAAGCCCTAAGCTCCTGGCATCAGGTAGTTTATAAATATTAAGAGATTTGTGATTAAACTTGATCACAAATCACCCTCAGAATAAAATTCACATCCAGCCTTGTTAACTGCACACTTTTACAGTTATATAATTCAAGAATTGCTTTGTTTTAACTGGTCATATCTTACATTAAGGTTTTTTAAAAAATCAAATAGACATCTAAGGTTCCAAATCGGAATTAAATATTTTTAAAACAAGTCACCTAATTTGCTCAAAAACTCGTTTAATAATTTAGATCTCAATTTAAGTTTAAGATTGGAGACAACAAAAAACACTGGAGAAGCTTAATACCCCCCTCACTCAGGGTTCCTTAGAAAGCAGAGCTGACAGTTTTCTGTCGGTGCACTCGCACAGAGGCATTTCTCTGTGGGTGGATGATGCAGATAAAGCAGGAAGGACAGTATTCAAATGTCACTTACATATAAATGCAGCATTCCACGAAGCATCAAGTTCAGAATCATGTGCTGGGAAATATGAGACACCTCTGCTCAGCTTTCTTAAACTTCAAGCATAATTAACGGGGCAAATTGCAGCAAACCTCTACTGGTATGTTGATGGGAGTGCAAGACTGACCCACAGCTTTTAAAAAGGTAAATTAAGAGGTATTATAGTTACAGTGCAAAAAAAAAAAAATTAAAATTTCAAGCATAATACATAAACATAGCACCAAACAGGGGAAAAATGCATGCAAAAGAAAAGAAGAACTGAGGTATTTAAGTGAAGAGTGCCTACAAGTCTAATTAAAGAAACTTAGGCAAATGCCTAAAGAAGTTTTTTTTTTTTTCCTTTTCCAAAGATGGAAATAATGAGCTAGTTTATCTAAATTAATGACCTAAATCACAGATGTATCAAAATTACGGCAGTTTATCGCAAACGTTAAACTTTCACGGCATTAACAGCACAGCTTTGGTAGGTGAAATATGCATGCAACATTATGAAAAGTATAGTAAGAAATTTATGTGAGGAGACTAAGGGTAAAGGTGCTGTGTTTTGCTTCTTAAATAAGTAACCAATCAATTATAAAATCTGCAGCATATTTTAGGTGTGATATGTCTAAGGTTTATTTTGTTAGAGCAACAGCCTAGAAGGCAAAATTATTTGCCATAAACATTTCCATCAGTGGGAACTACCTGGCAGGAGGACTTTAGTAAAATGGGGTGTTTAGCCAAAGATCATTTTTATGATAAAAAATATCCGTAGACTACATATTCTGGTTTTTAAAATGTCTTCAGTATACATATGACAGAAATTTTAGTATGATCCTGTAATAAGTTACAACTATACTAGTGAGTTGTAAGTATCACGCTGTCTCAACGTCTAATGCATAATAAAATGAAAGGAATGTAAAACAGTTTGTTCCAAAAAGATCAGAGATTAAAGACTATCCATGAAGGTTTCACTTTTAAGGCAAGAACCCTTTTTTATGCAAGACTATGTGGCATCAGAAAACTAAAATGTGATTCACCAACATGCCAGCCAATGTTCATTAAAAATCTGTCCCTTACTATCAGGTGCAACAGCGACCGGGAACATCACCTTACACAGTATAACGTGGAAAGAAAAGACAACATTGGCGCACTTCTCCTCTCGAAAACCTTATCTTTCTATTCAGCTTATCAACTACTGCAGGACTGGCACTACTGCACACACGGAGAGATGGAGAAGAATCTACATCATCCTAGGGACTGCTGGAGGTTTAAGCTCCATGGCCTTCTAACACTAAGCAAAGCTGACATAAACTCAAAAAAAAAAAAACAAAACCTGTCAATTATTTTGAGCACTTGCTAAATGTCATCATTAAAGCACTCTTGTGATTTAAACAAAGCAGAAGTGAGGAAAGAAGATAAGATTGTGTTTGCGCAAAAAACTAAAACTACAATTAGTTCCAAAATTTTATACATATGTTAAATGTTTTATTCTGTTATCTATCCTGTTATCAACCAAACTTTAAATTCTGCCTTCAATTCATTCCACTCACTAACAACTTTAAGTCTTCCTTTCCGATTTAAATAATTTTCCCCTTAATTTTTTTTGTTTTGTTTCTTGTTTTGAATTTTAAAAAGCGGTTTCAGCTATTGGGAACCTGAGGTTGATTAGCTTTGAGGCTTCGGAGGGCTCTTCTTGCTGCTGCAGATTTGGCAATCCTGTAACTTCGACCAACACCTTTAAATTTCCCCTTTCCTACTACTTCCACAGTGACTCTGACCTTCCCGTCGTAAGTTCTCTCAGCCGGGCTGTAAAAAATCCAAACAGCTTGAATTAGAAGTCAGAAGTATTTATTATCATTGTCAATCAGCATTTAGTGTGCACTCTCAGGCCAGGAGTCCCATGTATAAGCTGACACCACACAAAGGAAACACGCGTTACGACTTACTGCAATTGCATACCCCCGACAGACAGGGCTGCCGTCTAGTCTTTATTACAGCATTATTTCATAAAAACAGAAGGAAAAAAGAGAAGTCAATCAGATTACAAACAGAAATCTGACAACAGCACACCACAGTGTAAATATTTTTCAGAATCATTAGTTTACAATATCTTTGTGAACTTTTCCCCTTTGATGTTTTTAAGTTAATGTTTTTTCCATGTACATTTTTTGCTTACCTAAATTTGGCAGTTTCTGGTTCCATTTCAAGCAATTCTCGCACAGGGGAACGGGGTACATTTGCAGAAAACTTTTCTGCAATCAAAATGAAAGAATAATATGAATAATATCTCTGAAGTTGTTTTTAATTTTGTGGGTTTTTTTCTTTCTAAAGGGAGCCAACAATACCTATTAGTGGCCGCATCATGGGATAGTACACCTGCCAGACTGTCTCCAGTGACATCCCACTATCCATGTAAATGGCACCAGCAAGCGACTCAAAAATATCCCCCATGGCCTTTGGAACTTCAATATCCTCTTCTTTCTCTTCATCCTCCTCAGATCTCCTAAGCTATTACAGAGGGAAAAGTGACTTGTAAGCAAAAAGGCCACTTTTACAGGCAGTCCACAGATGTAGTTTCTTTTCTTGGATATATGACTTTTGTTACTTCTTTAGTAAGGGGGGAAATACCATTTATGGTATGCCTACTATATTGTAATAGTAAAACAAATGTTATATTTTTAAAAAAGTTTTTCAAACTTCTCAAGAAAAAAAGAAAAAATATCCCCACCCCATTTATTATTCTATATACCCAGCAAAGAAAAAAGATTACTTCTAACTTTAAACAACCTTAACAAAGAATTAGAAATAGTCAATAAAAGTATGAAAAAAATTCAAATTCACTCGTAATCAAAGAACTATACTTTAAAACAGTTCTACTCCCTAGCTGCTTGGCAAGCATTCAATAGTACTAATTGGTCTGGTGCTGGCACGGGTGTATGCTGCTTTGGGGAGCAGAAATCGCTGTTGTAGGGAAATAGGGAAATTATATTTGAAAGATTTTTTCCTCCAAGTTCCCTCTTCATTAAGCCACTAGATATGTGTTCACTATAACCGAGTATCTGACATAGCATGTATGCAAATTAATAAAAGAAAATCATGCATCAAAAGCCTTTGAAAAGTTCACAATTCTTTGATGCAGCAATTGCATCTCTAAGAACTTATTTTAAGGAGGTAACTAGATACATAAGCGTATTTATCACCTCCATGGTTATTAAACATCCTAACCAAAAACTACTTAATTACTCGGCCATAAAGAAGCGTTTAAATCAATCAGCCACGTGTTGACTAGCGTGTGGCCCCTGAGCATCACGATACCCATCAATACACGGAAAGTCAGCCACAATATATTATACGTGAAAAGAACAGGTGACAGTATCCTATACATAACAGAATTCCATTTTACATTTTAGATATGTTTATATCTATACACATCCACAATTCCTCCCAAAATGTTAATATTGGTTATTTCCGAGGTAGCATAATCAGGCAAATTTAACTAATTTTCTTCTTATTTACTTGTACTAACTTTTCTAAAATCAACACAAATCATTTGTGAAAAAAATAAAGAGAAAGTGGGAAAATACTAATTTCTAATAGGTTGTTTAGCCATACAAAGTTACATATAATACATTTATACTGCTGATTACTTAAAAAAACAGACTTATTGTTCATATTTATGGTTTTGAGATAGAAAGGAATTTTAAAACTTACCAAGTTTAATTCTCTCTTTTTACAGCTGAGGAAACGGAGGCCCAGAGAGGTAAAGAGACTTTCTTAAGATCAAATAGTAAGTTAGAAATGCCAGACCATGACATTTCCAATCAGTTCTTGTAACTTCTATACATATGTTTATATAAACAAAGGGAAGGAAAAGAATGAACAAAAACTAACAAAACCAATATGCCCCACTGGCATCCAAAGAGAGCTTAAATCTAATTTTAACTAATTCCTCAAATTTCAAGCTTAGCTATTTCTAAAGAATGAGACTAGGTAACACTTGGAAGTCTACGAGCTGGTCCCGCCTTCTCGCCTCACAGCCTGCCACGCTCCAGCTCAGGCTGTTCATCTTGGACAAGAGCACAGAGGCGCGTTAAAGTAAGAGCAGGGCCTACTGACTCCTCCAGTGCACATCTGGGCAGCTGGCAGGGCGTGAACTCGGCTCTGCGGCTAGACTTCAAACCTACTCTTAATTTTTGTCATAGAAAGTCACTACTCCCCAACAAAGGTTTGGTGCAATTAAAAAGGGGAAGGTACAAATTAAAGCAATGACAACTAAAACAGCTACTAGTATTAAGGTTGTATTTCCTGACTCCTTATAAGAAAATCTACAAAAATAAGAAAATCAAAGGAAATGAAATGGGAAGAGGAGGAAATGAGAGTCTCTCTGGGGGACACAGGTATGCAGATGAATGTTAAGAGACTGGAAAGATCTAAGCAATATCCTTTCCTACAAAAATTCGAAATAGCTCACAAACACATTAGAATTAGCTCTGTCACCAGACAGCCTTTGGCTGAACTTACAATAGAAGCCTCCCAAATTCCAATGGTCAAAAATTTAGAAGTTTGTTTTTTAAATTAGATTTTCCCACTTCAAGTAGAAGCAGAATGTATATTTATGATGCTTCCCTGAGATATTAGCAAATATTTCTGATCCATTTAAAAAAGGAAGGATAAGCTACACTGGGCTTTTACTAAAGCTAAACCTGCCTTGGGGTCCGGCAGTGGAGGCCACTTCTTTGGCATGCCTCAATGCTGGAAGCCCTCATGAAGGCGTGGGAAGGGTACCTAACTGAAAGGCCTGGTTCCTTCTCTTCACCTGAATGACCACACAGCCCACAGTGGGGGCAGACAAGTTCAAGAGGCCTACCTGCAAACTGCAGTTCACTCGTGCTCCCACAGAACACAGCACACTGGGTCCCACACCCCTGACCTCCTGCTGTCCCTTTAGACCACTATGCCGTCAGAACTCTGAAACTACAGAGACTCCTAGTTAGACCACTTTTTTCAACATCGTTTTGAACAGCACTAACCTCAGAATCCATTCCTTGCATTTCATTCTTCTCAAGCTGAAACTGCACAAAGTCATCAATGACATGGAAGAGCTCAGGAGAGACAGCTTTGAAGTACTTGTGGTAGTCGTACTTTACAGCCAGCGATGCAAAGATGGTGTTGTTGACCAGGGCAGACCGCAGGTCTGTCAGGACCCCCGGGGAGTGCTGCCGCGGGTCTTCATAAAGGTGCTTGGTTATGAGGTAGTCCAAAATCGCATCTCCCAGGAATTCTAAGCGCTGGTAACAATCTGAGGGGATCCGAAGTGGAACCGTAAGCTTGTGCAGAAGCATTTACACTATCCCCACATAGCAACTGATCCCCAAATCCGAAGAAGATTTGTATTTACAATCATTTTCATACATATATTCTTCAAAAAGGATATCTGACATATCATACTAAAAAGCCTCTGGAAACTAAATTTTAATGACAAATTAAGTACATTTCTTATATAAACTGGGGTCATAAAATCTTCAAGTGGTCAAAAGACTAACGCTTGTTAAGAAGGAAAAACAAAACCTCACAGGTGCTATCATGATCACTGAATGCTTTTCTCTGGCACTGTGCTGTCTGGGCAGGTGCTGGGGCCTTCCTCTCGAGTCTCCCTCACACATCATCACTTAAGTGAAACCAGGGCCGCACACACCTCTCCATGTGGCTACACTGTGCTGCCATCGCTAAAGTCTCATTCACACTCTGGAATCTGTGCATAAGTGATACCATTCCTCACTATTCCTGGGCTATTTTTGTTACACAGGATGACAGGAAAAGAAGACCCTCTTCTTAACTTGAGCTATTATAGAAATGAATTTACCACAAACCAAGAGATTGAGAAAGAAGAGTTGTGAAAGGGAGCAAAGGCAGGTAAACTGGTTGTCAAAATGTGAAAATGATCAATGTTAAATCAACACCTCTATTTTCTCACAGTGATTAAAATAATATATCCAGCTGAGGAAACTGAGGCAGGGACCGATGGTGACTTGTCCCAGAATAAGCAAGGAATTAAGAAGCAGGGACTGCTAGGCGAGAACCCAGGTCTCGGAACTTCCAGCAGAATGTAGTCGAAAGCCACGTATCATTTTTCCTCCATAACGAAAATTAGGCTTTAGTTTCATCAGTCTTTCCAGTCCAGAGTCAGATAGTTTTTCACTTTTTGGTTTTTACATTTTGCTGATCACCTTAACCTACGCTGCTTTTATTATATAAACTACAAACTTTATACTTTGCTTTGGTGTTCTGAATTCAGGCACTTATTTTTCTGATACAGAAATTGAAATGTAAACTTCAGCTGTGTTTCACAGCCTGAAGCTGATTTGGGTGTGAGGGGCTTGTTCTCCCTTCTAATCTAATGGGTTGACAGTCTATTAAAAGAGGGGCAAATACAGAGCACAGTGAGAAGTAGAAGATGACAGCAGAGTCACAGCAAGGGCCACGCAACCTTCTTGTGAAATCATTGCTTTTAATCTTTTAATCTATCCATCTTTAAAAAGACCCTAAAGGAGGGGTCTTTTTGTCCAGGAAGAACAATAAAAGGCTGTGGAAATACATCCAGAATATACAACTAAATCAAAAACCAAAAGCAGCACTGAATGGGCAAGAGAAAGATATTTGCGGAGGATAAAATGGGGAAAACACATCAAAATACTAAGGTTAAAATTTCTCTAATTAGGCAGATATAAAATGACACTGATGAGGGTATATGATAGCCATACTCCCAACAACCAAAGTTATAAAGCAATACGTGCTCCCCAAATAACAAGGAAAAGAATTCTTTCTATTCCTTTTGTTCCCCGCCCCATCCCTTGAATATTAAGCATGAACACTGTACATGCATAGATCACTTTTACAAGGCCAACACGATGAGATCAACACAAAGTCTCATTTTCCCAGAAATGAAGTCTGGTCGTGGGCTCCTTACCAGTGATAGTATTGTAGTGGTAGGAGGCATGTGTAAAAGCCTGGAGAAGGTAAGCCTTATTCTTGAATCTGTAGTTGATTTTCTTTTCAAAATTTTCAAACCCCGATATAAGGTGATTCAGTGTTTTATCTGCATCTGGATGATCAAACATACATCTTGGTGGAATCTTCAAACAACCATATTCCGAGTCTTTCAATACAGAAGAGCGTGAACTGGCCACAGAAGCAGCAGCACAGCTCACTGAAAGGTTCTTTTGTTGGCTGTTGAAATTCTCCCGAGTAGGGCACAGGGCCTTTTCCCGATCAGTCCTTTTAATTACCGGGAGCACCTTCAGCCCCAGTGAACAGAGGAAAAGCTGAGCAGCCCTCTCCCCACAGCTGGTTAAATAGCAGCCCAGCAGGGCTTCCACACAGTCCGCTATGCTTTTGTCAGCAATACACTGCTCAGTGTGCAAGTCGTAAGAAATGGACTGCTTTCCCGTGTCAACACCACAGTTTTCTTCTGATGGATTCCAGAACCCCACCACAAAGTCATCTTCTTCAACAGCTTTGCTAGGATCCAGATAGCACATTGCATCCCAAGAGCTGTAGTCAAAATCCTCAAAATCTGATGAAAATGGCATACTACCTAAGGAGGATTTTTTGGGCATTTTCCATTCATATGCAGAATCAGTGGTTGAAAAAGGAGAAAGAGAGATTTTCTTTACAAAAGCTCCTGACCCCATTAACATATTATCTATAAATCTGATATGTTCCTGATCATACTCCAGGAAATCATCTTCATAGTCAGCCTCTTCCTTCGGAGCCCTCCACATCAGGCTCTCCTCCTCCTCATCCTCCTCCTCGTAATCCTCATCCAGTTTGCCATTCGCCAGCATGCAGTCTTTTGTCTGAAACGAGGGGGAATGGGGAAGGAGGGGAAACATAGCTGCTGTTTTTAAAAGGGTTTGAAACTCAATAAAAGCAAGGGTTATGGATAATTTCAAATGACAACCACAAATACTAAAAGGCAACTTTAAAATCATGGCCATTTGTTTTCAATTAACATAAAATAAGTTATTTAATCATATAAACAAAGTAAAACATGTTCTTTGAATGTTCGTTTTCTAAGTTATAAAATGACCTTTATCCAGTATGAAGCTTTAAGTTAAGGACTTTGAACATGGATATAAAGTTAAAATTAATGTCCACAATGCAAAACTTCAACTAAGTCGTCTAACTCTGGTAGGACACACAATGAAAGCACTCATATGCTGATCACACAGATCTTCAATTTTGCTGACAAAATTTGAAAATGTGGTAATTTGATTTTCAAAAAGATTTTCAAACTAATAAAACGAAATTCCAGATGTAGAAAAGCATTACCTTTGCAATTAAGAATATAATATAAAAACAGATAAAATCATTTTTTAAAATGTACAATAGGATTTTATAATAAAGCTTTTTGTCCCTATTTCCACTTCAAAGTATACTTGCCACAAAAAAACTACACTGCTTTCCTTAAAAAATAAAAGTGATCACTGCACTAAGCTATGAATTTGAGAAGTTACGTTTTTTCCCTCCACTCTGAACTACGGTAATCAGGGGAACAGATTATAGCATAACTGACAAAAATGGAAGAAAATTTAGACTAACATGAAACACAACAATCCAATTTCTGTCAAAAGATCTTTGCTAATTCCAATTTCTTTGGCAAAAGCTTATTTGTGAGTGACAACCTTAATAATGGGCTAGATTTCAGTAATGATGTAACTTCTTTGCAATCCTAGAAAGATGCCAAATTTCTGTTATGCAAGTTTTTAAAAAACCAAAAAACTTGTGAAGGGGGAAGACGAAGGGTGTGCATCAATGTTGATTGTAACAACTTTCCAGTGTTCTGACAAAAAAAAGTTGCAACCTTCAAGCATTTTTTAAATACTACAAATATTTTAAACTAGACTCAAGATATAAACACTACATTTGTCTGAAAAGAAATAGCAGTAAGCCAAGCCATATCTCTAACTATTTATCTTTTCATTTTTTTAATTAAGAAAGAAACACCTTTTCAAGAATAAGGAACACCAAAAGCAACTGTAGCGGCAGACCTCAAGGAACATTTCCTGCTAACAATCTTAGACTTTCCAAGGCAACATGAAGATGTTTTTGATTGGTCCTTAAGAAAAAGAGGGCCAAACTGCGATTTTTAAAAAATCAGACAATATTTTTTTTTTATTGAAAAAAACCTTCTGTATCTTTAGAAAGGTGCCACCATAAGCCAAAAGTGGCAGAGCACAAAAATCACAAAGGGCTGACTTTTATCACAAACTGTGTGATCCTGGGCAAAGCCTTTTAGTGCCTCTGGGTTTCAGATGCTTCATCTACAAAAGAGTGGGGTTCTGTCTCATAAAATGTTTTTCAAGAGCACTTCAAGCCTTTTAAGAAAAAACAGCCACATGAAATCCTTTTCTATATCATTCAAGTCAACTTTGATACTCTCGTCTATTAAGAGGCGTTTTAGCATGCAAAGGTTTCCACTTAAGCCCATTTGCTGAAGGGCCAGAGCAAGGTAGGGAGAATGGCAATGCAACCAGCCAAAACCACAGTGTATCTTTTCAATATAATGCAAGGGCCTATATTTCAATAAAAGTAACTTACTAAATAAAAATCTGAACAGTATTTCTAATGAATTCCAATAACCAAAGTGCCATCAGAAACATTAAGAAAAATAAATTGAACTTTGTGTTGTATCTTAAAAAAAAAATCAATGACATGCCAATGTCACCTTCATGCTACAAGTTTTTAAAAAGAGCCAAAAACATTATGAAACGGTATTAACAAAGGAGGATGACTGTTACTGGAATGTTATTCATAGAAATACCATACCATTTCTAAAGTTGAAAATCTATACATTTTCCTCTAAGGTTCTACATATTTCTAAATTAATAACAAATAATTGTTCGGACCTAACTTGCATTAAAATATTCCCTTAATGCTTTTCCAAATAAGTTCTAATTCTGTAATAAGACAAATACTACATGAGTTAAAAACATCCTCAATAAATAGGTAAAAATCCAAATAGTGTCACTGAACATGCTACCTGGAAATACTTAAAGGCAGATATATAGGATACATGCATCACAAAGAAGACATGGAGAAAATGGATATTTAAAAATATAACCTTTGAAAGAAAAAAACGGTATTATCATTGTTGGCCTGAGGTAAAAATGAAGTAACAATGAGCCAATTTATTTTTAATGCAAAATAAATCTCCAAGAAATGAAACTGTCTGAAGCATTGCCTTTAACTTCGGAAGAGGCACTAGAACTCTCCCAGTCAACCACCACTGCGCTGGTTCCTGCAGTTTGGAGGCCCTCCCAAGTGCCCTCTGGTGGCCTTCAAGACAAGACAAAATGAAGTGGCTGTTGCTGATATTTGGAGTCTTCTTAAGTCACTGGCAAGATTTAAATTATTTCCAGAAAATAACAATCTTTATGGATGATTTTTTTTTTTTAAGTTCACAGGAGTCCTGACTGGGAAAACCCTGAGCTACAAAAGCAAGATTTTACTGAAATTAATTATTTCACAGACAGACTGGAGATCACAGGTCACTGAAAAGTCATTTCACTGAACAGAGCTAAGGATCTAGGATAAATTGTAATAACAGCAAAGTGAAATTTTTTTAAAGAAGAGCAAAACTCAAAGTCAAAACATCACATACTCTTATGCCTTTGGAAAAGAAATAATAAAAATAGAAATTTGCCTCCATCAAAATTATAATACTATTTCTGAATTCAGTGAAAAGACAGTGTAATTAAAGGAATTAATTAAATATATCAAATATCTACTCTATTATAAACATACCAAGAAAATGAAACAAAAAATTAATAAAACAAATTATTTGGCTCACCGAAAAGTAAATCCCTCCAGTTACACACACACACACACACACACACACACACACACACACACAAACTTACCATTTCATCTTTTTCCCATTTATCTGTGTTGCTTTTGTCTTGATTTACTACATAACCAGGAGGAAGCCAATTCACAGGGGGATCAAATATTGACACCACCATGCGGCTGGGTAGTCCCTTCTTTTTTCCAAGGCGATACAGATTACAGTTGCTGACCTTTAGCAGAAAATATTAGGATACTTATCCATAAATGATCACTGCTGGAATTCATTCAAGGCATATTAACATATCCTCAGTTAAATGTTCTTAAAATTAATCAATTAATTATATGTCATCAATTAATTATAAGGGCTCTACAGTTTTTCTACCCATTCATGTTATAAAAAGAATATTAAATTCCCACATATTCTATGCTTTTTTGGTGTAAATATTTCTGAATATAAGATGCAGAGCAGAAAAAATAATGTATATAACTATGCATACTCCTTATGAATGACTGAGAAGAAACACTTCAGACAATATCAAAGCCTTGAAAATACAACCTGATGATATAAAATGCAAACTGCTAACTGGAATTACCAAAGTAGAAAAGAACCCATAGAAAAAGTCAAGATGTCACAATATTTTCAATGAAATGGGGGGAGGATGCCATCAGCTCTAGCTGCAAAGTGAAAACTGGCACCGAACAAAACTGAAACAATGTTATATTCCTAGAATCGAAGCCACAAACGGGATTTCAACTGTAATGCTCTCTCAAATATTATTCCTTTGTTTTACAGCCATTTCAAGACACTTTTATTCAACTTAAAAAAAATGAACCAAAAGGTTTCTGTTTATTCACATTAATGGAACAGCTTTACTATCTTACCCTCTACTCCGGTCTGTTTTTCCTAATGCCTCTATCTCCTTCTTAATTTCTCACATCATTGCATTTCTGTCAAGTTAGTACTTGGAAACTAGGGTCTAGAATTGTCAATCCCATTTTCATTTTCATAAAGCTCGGTTCCTTATTATTAAGTACTTCATTAGCCCTCTTCCCATGTAACTCAACTATTGTTTAATAGACACCCCCCATATGAGAGGCACTCGATTGGGCAACCCTGAGGGAACGATGGCAGCAGGACAGAGGGGCAGTCCTCGTGACACACAGGCTAGCAGGGAAAAGGAGGGTACGTGTGACCACTATAGCCAAAAGTACTCTCCCTCTCTGCCTGAAACGTAGCAGGCTGAAATAAATGCTAGCTTCCCTTTCCAAGCTAAGAGAACAAAGCATCACAAGCGCCAAGAAGAGGATAAAGTACAACGTGGACTCATGGGAGGGAAATCACATTCCAAGTTGACAGAAATGGTGGGCAGGATGAAGAAAGAGCTACGTAAGGTCTCAAATATGGGGCAAAATTCTGGACAGGTAGAGATGGAGGCAAGCCCTCTGCAGAAGGAAGGACAGAGCAAGGGCCCCAAGGCTGGGGGTCTGAGCGTGGAGTCTGTCCAATGAGCTGCAAGGGGCTTCCACCTGCTTAGGATCCAAAACGCATCAGGGCTGAAAGGGCCTGAACAGCAGGCTGAGGGAGTGATCATTCTTTCTGCAGAAATAAGGAGTAGAAGGTTTCTGAGCAGACAAATGGACGAGTTTTGTAATAGAAAGTCACCTCTGTCTTGTCTAACAGAGTATCCTATCCTATTGCCTATGCCACACTTGTCCAAGCCTCTGATACTTTCTTCCTGCAACCACCTCTTGGAAATCTCATCCATTCTCAGAGCTTCCGTATGGCGACTACTCTACAAAACCGTATCTGAATCCTACAGCCTCAATTATCTGAACATTTCCACTTCATATTCCATGAGGTCTAAAATCTCAACTCTAACATGGACTTCCCACATTTCTCCCTACCTCCCTGCTACTGCCACTGCCCCCAAGTTGCCAGTTTACGTGGTTGTTATGACTGCGCCTCCAGTCCACCTCAAGATCATCCTGGGAGGCCTTGGACACACTCCTGACTCTCCCAGATGAACAGTTAGGTGACCTGACAGGAGCCCATTCGACTCTCTAAGTGTGAGTCCCCTCATCTGCAAAACAGGGATGTGTTGTCTCTTTCCCAGAGGCTTAGAGAAGAGTGAATGAGTGAGCACTTGGGAAATGCTTGGTGTGCTGCCTGGTGTGATGGTTCTATCCGGAGCAGTTAGTGTGATGGGGAAGGGGAAGGTCTCCAAAGCCAGGCTGTCTGGATTCGACCCAAGCTCTGCCACTTACTTGCCAAGTGACCTTGGGCAAGCTAACTTCTCCAGCCTATTCTCACCTATAAAATGGGGAAAATAAAAGTTTCTACCTCTCAGAATTATAAAAATTAAATTAGGTTTATATGCATATATGTGTATATATGTGGGTGTGTGTACGTGTGTGTGCGTATACGGTTATCTTTTAGAGTAGTGCAGAGTAAGCACTTTTAAATTGTTAGCTAAAATTATTTCTTCTGAAATTCTCACTCACCTCAGCCCCTTCCTCTCTACCAGAACTCTAGTTCTATCCCATTCTCTGCTTCTGCTGTTGGTTTGGATATGCTTTTCAACTCACACTACATTCTGCTACCAGATTAATCATTTTAAACTACCACTTTATTAACATTAATAGTTCCTTGCTCTAAATTCCTTCAACAGTGCCTACAACATTCAAAACACGTGCAAACTCCTTAGCCCAGCATTCAAGGCCTTCCACGATACAGCTTCACCCCAGCTGCCTTTTCAAGCCTTTTCTCAGGTATTTCCACACTTCTGACTGCTGCCACGGCTGCTTCCCTGACGCTGACATGCTCTGCCATCTGTTCACTTTGCTTATGCACTGTCAACTTGCCTCCTCCATTAATGCCATCCTTGATTCAACAGTGATGCTCCTTCCTTCTGAGTGCTGCAAGTGATCAGCAGCTTTCTAAGGTATTTGTCCAGGAGGCTCATGTTGCCTTGTGAGACTTTTTTCCATTTTTCCCCCATAACTTGAATATCTTACCTTCATTCCTTTTCTTAAGTCTTAGTCCATGCTGAGTTTAAGAGCCCGCCCTTTCTCTGAGCTATCGAGCGTTAATTACTCAGAACTCTGGTGTCACCCTCTTCACACTGGAGAGCAGCCAAGCTCTGTGAAGCTTGTTACTCTTCTCCGCTCCACTCTCCAAAACTTTGGAGATGAGCTCCTCCACAAGACTTGTGTCTTACTCATGTCTGTATGCCTTGTAAGCCAAGACGTACCCTCTCAAATAAATGTTTAACTCAACAAAGCAGAAGCTCCTTGACTGACTACAATGCACATTTCTTCATATCCCCCTCAGGATCAAGGGGTGTACACACTTGCATAGCTTCCTTTGAACTGACTTTCAATCAAAAAGTAAGGCACGTGGAGATCAGCTAAGCCCCAAAACCTGAGTGTGGGATTGGTGTAAAGCAATACTCATCAACTGCCAGGTAGTTCTGCCACAGGCTTTCGCTGGCCCTGGTAGAACAAGGGAGCAGCTGTGCTTGGCCGGTGTAGCAATTTCTGAGCATGATACGTTCTCATCCTCTGAGATTATCCAACACTGCAAACCACTTTCAGGCACACTGAATAATTAACTGCTCAAAATAAAAAAATCATCTCTTACCTTTTTGCTTCTCATATATGAAAGGCGGCCCTCATGCGCATCAGGGTAAGTGCAAAATAGATATGTGGTGATGGCATGCTTTAAAAAGGAGTCGCCAAGCATTTCAAGCCGCTCCAGGTTAAATCCATCACTAGCGTTTGACAGAGTCAAAGCCTGAAGAATAAGTCCAGGATTGGGGCCAAGAGTCCTTGAGGAGTACCCAATAGAAGGGCTCTGCTCAGAATCCATCCTGCCCTTGAGCACTTGAATAGTGTCTGTCGTACCAGGCATTACGGCCATCACAGGACTTCCATCTGAGGTAGATTTGTTAGCATTTCCATCAAGGTATTTATTACTCAGGAGAGTACATTCATCGCTGGGCTGGGGCTGGTTCTCGTAACTGTATAAATTCTGAATGGAATATGAGGTAGTTGGTTGCACGGGTATTTCCTGCTTGTAGTAATTTAGCTGATTTCCTTGGCAAAAGTCTCTGTTAGCTAAATCATAACTGCCATTGGCGAGATTTTGATTGTAAGAAAGACCATTAATTGCTGTAAGATCTGCTGAAACTTCAACGTGGAGCTTACCAGGGGACTCGCTGAGCAACGTTCTGCAGTTCACAGACATTTGGTCATGATTTTCTAGAGAGGAGGTTCTATTAGCACCTTGATGTGCAGCATTTTCAGGGACAATTGTGCTGTGCTTACAGTAATTATCATTTTCAGCTGAAGAGGAGTTAGAAATTGAGATGAAAGATTTGCTGTCAATAGATTTTTTCCACCCGAAGTCTAAGTTAGGGTATCTGCAAAGACATTTTTATAACTTTACATCAGATTCTTCAAAACAGCTAGGCTGAGAGCAACAGCAATTTGAATTTAAAAACAAAAACAAAGATCCCAAAAATGTACTCCTAAACTTTAGAATAGAAGCAAGTTTCCAAATTTTTAATTTACAGTGTAAATTATAAAGTGGGACATGGTTTTATCTACTGCTTTAATCCCTGGCCCTAGACTCTAGGTGTGGTAGTTAAGAAGGTCACGAAGCTTGCAGGCATCCTGCAGGACCTGGGGCCTAGCTTCACGGGTTGGAATCCCAGGCACTCTGGTTAACCCGCTGAGTAACTCTGGGCAACTTACATAAACTCTCTGTGCCTCAGCTTCTGCACCTGAGAAAAGGGCTAACAATTCCTATCTCATAGCACTGTCTTAATGATTAAATGAGCTAACTAACACAGGGTACAGCATTTAAGCTAGTGTTTGGCACTATAGCAACTAACCAATAAATATTGTGGTTATTCCTATTATATTTTAAAATTCCTTCAATCCCTAGAACAGTCTTGATATTGCCAATTGGATAACCAGAACTAATGTGAGTGTTTAAGCCAACAGTTTCTTTAGAATGCAGAGATTTTACTAATGGGAAGAAAATAATGAAGACAAAGAACATGCTAAGGCTATTGCTTTTTAACATATATTTGGATTTTTAAAAGAAAAAACAGACTGAAAATGCTGATGCAGTAACAAAGAACAATTTCATTCTCACTCCAACTGTTATGGCTTAAGCAGTAATGGTTATTTCTGACCTCAGATTCTCATCTCCCTCTGAGACTTGACAAGACATAAGATATCCATTATTTTCTTTTTACTCTTTTAAGAATTATTTTATATACAATTTTAACTTAATTCTGTTCTTTTGCAAACAGGATCTCATGATCTGTGTTCTTTCTGGCTGACTGCACAGGCATACCTAAAATCCGCAGGAAGTGATCTGACTCCCACGCCAGCATCGCTGGCAGTCTGGGCTCTTAGCTCCTCTGCAGTCAAAAGGCAGTGAAGGCGATAAAGTATGCTGGGGAGACAAACAGCTTTTCTCCACAGTGATGCTGGAATTGGATGTATAGCACAGAGTTCTGGAACCAGTATCTTCAAGTAAGGGGAAAAATGGACAGATAAATACAAAGCGCACACACAAAAGAAAAAAAAAAAGACCAATTTCACTAATGGATAAAGAAAATCATAAATGCTAGTAAAACTTAATTTTAAAAAATATTTGTAAAAATAATCCTCTAAGGCCAAATGGGATTTATCAAAGGATTTATGAGAATGATTTTGTGATATATTAATGGGCCAAGTATAAAAACAAAACTCTCAATACTTACCAAAAAGAACATTCAAATAACATTCAACACATAATACTAATTAAAACAAAACAAAACAAAATTTGAGGATTAGGTAACTTCTAAAAAATTAACGAATCATGCATTTAACTTGGTAAGATAAAATTCAAACTTATCTTTAATAATCTTTAATACTCAAACAAATACTAAGTTATGCTAGTACAATTAACTCATTACCTGTTTATTCTGCAGACTTTCCCATTTGGCTTTCCTCTTCTCAGCACTGCTTAAAGGAAGCGCTTTCCCCTTCTGATTCAAATGTCGAGGTGTCAAAAGATTAAGTCTGTAAGAATTCCAAAACAATTTTATCAAACACACAAAAATGAGTACATATTCACAGTGGTTCTCCAAAAACCACCTGAAGAGCTCATTTCAACTACAGCCTCTTGGGCTACCCCTTGGGCAAGTTTGTGTGCAAAGCATCTCCTGATTTCAGATAGTCCACGGGTGGGCAGGGGGACAGTGAACCTCTGCATGTCTAGTGATGTCTGGTAAGAATCCCTCAAGTGCAATCCAAGTGTCATCTCTGAAGCCCCTTACCTTGAAGATGTGTGGTCCACATCCAGCAGTGGCTGGTTGAGATTGGTTAGGTCAAGGTTGTACTTTGTTTTATAATATTCTGCAAAAGTTTCATACTCAGGGGAAGGAAATTTACTGAGTGGGGTAAGATCAGTGTACACATCAGCTACATAAAATCGATGAGGCTGATCAAAATTGCGATATCTAAAAAAGAAAAACAAAAAAACAATCAGTTGCTTTTTGATTTAAATCAACTATTCTCAAAATACAACTGTTTGTAGTATGGAAATGATGATTAAGAATTCAAAAGATTAAAAATAAGTAACAATAAACATCTGTATTCCAAATATATTTCAAGTATGTAAGAACTGTATTTTTATCAAGTAAAAATGGACACATTATTGTCCCATTTTATTATTATTCTTGTTCTAAATATCTACATTTTGATAACACATGAAGCTAAATGGCACCTTTACATATCTATTTCATCTATATAAATAGTATAAAAAATTTACACTATCCAAAGAGTAAATACTTTGTATATTACTAATGCTAAACATTAAAGACACTTGTCATATAAAACGTATTACTGCATCATCTATGATAGTGATGGTCCTGATAACTAACATTTAAAATATGGTTTTGAGGTGCAAAAAGAAAAAAAAAATCAAAGATTGAATTACAACTAGTATTATAATTATTTGAAAACTGCCTGTATTGTATTGCCCCAAAACTCCATTCCCTAAATTTTTATAAAATAAGGAAAAAAATCATTCTGGATTTACTATTTTCACAGAGCTTAATATTCCTTATAAAAATTTTAAGAAATGAAATCATTATTTATAATCAAATTCTATAAGACTCTGGAGACTAAAAGGATGGAGATTTTAAGAAGAAAGCCTATCAACATTAGATTATCTGACCCTTTACAAAGGAAAATTCCTTATCTATAACGTTTTAGGTATTATTTTTTAAGCAAGTATACTGGAGAGAACGGGTCGACCTTAAGAGTTTCTTTCTTTTCCCCGATCTGTTGCCCAGGCTGGAGTGTAGTGGTGTGATCACAGCTTACTGCACAGCCTAGAAATCCTGGGCTGAAGCAATCTTCCCACCTCAGCCCTGAGTAGCTGTGATTACAGCACGCATCACCATGCCTGACTGACTAATATATTTCCTATTAGTAATTACAATGCTAAAATCACAGCCCACTTATATTCCCATGTGAATAAGTGAATTTTTTTTTTTTTTTTGAGACAGAGTCTTGGTGTGTCTCCAGGCTGGAGTGCAGTGGAGCGATCTCAGCTCACTGCAATCTCCGCCTCCTAGCTTGAAGTGATTGCCCTGCCTCAGCCTCCCGAGTAACTGGGACTACAGGCGTGCACCACCACGCCTGGCTAATTTTTTGTATTTTTAGTAGAGACGAGGTTTCACCATGCTGGCCAGGATGGTCTCAATCTCCTGACCTCATGATCTGCCCGCCTTGGCCTCCCAAAGTGCTGGGACTGCAGGCGTGAGCCACCGTGCCCGACCTAGTGCATCTTTTAAAACAAAGTATCACCACCATTTTCCTTTCCATTTAAATACCTACCTTGGAATGATAACGGCATCTTGGTAATCTTCTAATTTAAAAACAAAGGGTGTTTCTTTTGTATACTTTGTACTGGGAATGCCTATGCGAGCTTCAGACTTCTCAATATCTTCCATGAATTTAAAGTCAATATCCAAAGTGCTGGAGTCATTAACTTAGAAGAGAAAAACGACTCTTTAGCTTGTTAAAACATGATACAGATAAGTTTCATACCAAAGCTGTATGTTTGTATATGTGTCTAGAGTTATCAAAGTAAGAGATTTTTTTCTTACCAACATTAAGAGGTAGAACACAGTATGCTGAATCAGCGTCTGTAGGTTTAAATTCTAGTGCAGGTTTTTCAAGCCGAAGAATATGTGAGAATATATACTGGTGAAGTCTTGTAATCAACTCAAGCATTTGTAGAGACAACATGAAACCAGACTTCTTCAACTCAATGGATATGGTAACCTCTCCAGAGCGTGTGTACACAGGAAAGTGTGGAATCTTAGCAAAAGGAAATGTAAAGCACCCCTCAAAATTAACAGGTATTTTATTCCATTACAGTTAACTTCAGAACAGAAATGATGCTTTCTAGTGGAGAAATAGAAGAGGCACCTCGATCTTTAAATATTAAACATACTGAGGTAACAAAAGGTACTTACTACTAGTTTTTTTTTTTTTCCTTTTCCTAAGCAAGACGTTTTTGACATAAGTACTCATTATGAAATACCTACCTGAGGTATGGGTTTGGCCGTCAGTATTCCAAAGCATCTTGTGGTATCTTCAGGAGGATAGAGCTTCCGCCTTCTAAAGTTGAGTTCATCAGGTAAAGGTGTAGTTAAAACCATTCCTATCACATACAGGTAACAGGGCTGATCAGGTCTGGGATAACTATCCCTCAAACACTCTGGAATCTAGAGTTGGAAAGGAAAATTAAGCGTCATGCTCAAGCATATTAGCCTCTTTTCCAGATGTCAGCAAGAAAACAAATTAATTCTGGCTTTACTAAAAGCTGATGAGAATAAGCTAAGAAAATACCCGAGGCATGACACTTCTTAATTACTTAACCCTGCTGGGTAAGTCAGCGGATCTCAGGACAGGGCTGCTGACGGTGGCCCAAGTTCACATACATTATAATGCAGTGCTGACTACATAGCTAATACCAAAATTATACATAAAACAATCCAACACTGTAGGGCCTTTTTAAAAATACTATTCATTTGATCTATTTCTTCTGACAAGAAAACTCATCTCTTCCTTGGGCTTTTTATGTATTAACTGTAGAGTATCAGAAAATGAAGTTAGGCAAATTTTTAAAAAATCACATATAATCCTATCACTCAAAGACAGCCTTTATTAACATTTTGATACACTGTATAATTCCTAGACTCTTTTTCTATGCATAAATACATAGAAACATATATACATTTATATTTTTCAATACAAATAAAATCACACAACACTGGTGTATATTAGGGTATGTGTGTATCTGTGTTTGTGAGATAGCCTGATTTTTATCCCGTTACTGTAAAGAGAATATCTGTCCGAGTCAATATGAGCCAATATCATCATTTGTAATGGCTACCTCATTATGTGAGTGAACCATAATTAAATGGACATTGCTGCTAGGCTTTCAATATTAACACAATCCTTCAGATTATGGTCTTGCAGTTCCTGAGGTTCAATGAAAAAGAACTGCATCTGTAGTTAAAAGGTACAAAAATGCTGGTAAAAGAGACAGTTATATTTAATAGAGAATCAGAAAATAAAGAATGTATCTATTAATTAAACAGGATGCCAGGCAGTACTATGCTTTTCTTTTTTTGTAGAGACAAGGTCTCACTATGTTGACCAGGCTGGTCTCGGATTCCTGGCCTCAAGTGATCCTCCTGCCTCAGCCTCCTAAAATGCTGGGATCACAGGTGTGAACCACCACACCCAGCCAATACTATGCTTTTAGAAACACTTATCATTAACGACTTTATCACATGAAACTAGTCTCACGTGAAAATTTGGTATGAGGAAAACATGCATTTTGGGAAAATGGGTAACATTCATGATTTTTTAAAAACATGATTCTGAATCTTGAAAATGCTAAGCTGGGTGCAAAATTTTATAAAGTAAAAACTTGGTAAAACTGCATAAGCAAAACCAAAGAAACACATATTTAGGCTAACATACAGGCACAGCAGTCCCCGCTTATCTGCAGCCTCCATGGTTTCAGTAACCTGAGGTCAGTCACGGTCCAATAACAGGTGTGTACAGTACAGTATTTTGAGAGAGACCACATTCACATAACTTTTATTACAGTATATGGTTACAATTGTTCTATTTTGTTATTACTGTGCCTAATTTATATCTTAAACTATCATAAATATGTACAAACGTATTTTAAAAAGCATAATATATGCTGTAAGTCCTCACTTAATGTCTTCGGCAGGTTCTTAGAAACTGGCTAAGGGAAACAACCAATTGGTAGAAAGAAACCAATTTTCCCACAGGCTAATTGACATAAATCAGTTAAATTCCTCCAGCACATTTCTGATCACAAAAACATCACCAAATTTCTAAATTAAAAAAAAACACTTTTAATATTAAGCATTAAAATAAATGTGAGCTATAGATACACTTAAGAAAGATGAATAAAAACAAGGAAGATGATTATTCACCCACTTATTCCAGTTCAGGGCCAAGGGTGCCAGAGTCTATCCTGGCAGCTCAGGGCCCCATGCAGGAACCCATCCCGGACAGGACACCACTCTGTGGCAGGGCACACGCACATGCATCCCCATGCTCACTCACAGTGGGGCAGTGCAGACACGCCAGTTCACCTGATGTGCACAGTTTTGGGATGTAGTAGGAAACCGGAGTAAGCAGACATGAGGAGAATGTGCCAACCCCACATAGAGACAGTGGCCCTGGCTGGGAACGATTTTTTTTTTCCTTGTCAACGTTCTAATGAAACAACGTTGAGCTGCTGGAGGATCGGTACTATCTGCAGTTTCCACTGTGGGTCTTGGAACATACCCTCCAAGGGTAAGCGGGACTACTACACACAGCAAAATTCTGCTTTTGCTTGGGGTTCTTATGAGGTAAAAATATTAACAAATATTTTAAAAATAAATACTTCAGCCAAGTTTGTCTATTACTAGAAGTTAGATTTAGAGATGCTTTCATGTGTGAACTCTGCTAGGATGCCCACAGATTGAGCTGGAAACACTCCATGGAAATAACTTATTTCGATTCCCAATGGCCCACACTGGGAATCTGACATAACTCCTGACAGATATTTGTGCTTCTACCTTCCAGTGTACCTGTCATCTTGAGAGGGCATCTTTTCACTTGCTTATTTTATCACACAAATCCTCTTCTGTCTTAGCCCCAAATCATAAGTAAAACAAGAATCACACCACTAAACTGAATGAAACAAAGAATGTCTATTTAAATGAAATAATCTCATTCTGGATAGAATATGACAGATGGGTCCAAGAATCCTTTTGAGAAGAAAAACAAAAGCAACCTCTGAAGTGGAAGAGCACACATTCTACATTAGGAAGGAAAGAGGCTGATCTGAGAGAAGCTGTGAATCGGAGAAAGGAGCTGAGATCCAGAGTGGGCCAAACTGTAAGGGTGTGGGAAGCCAGCCAAGCAGAGGAACTGAGATTTGATGTAGCGGAAAACAAAGTCAGAAATGCTAGGTTTTTACTCTGTTCTAACCAATACTAACTGCTTTTGGGTAGCACTGCCTTCGTTTCGTGGAACCTGGTCTTCCTGGAACACTGGTCTCTTCTTCATCATGCAAATCAAGCTCCTCTTCATATTTAACAGTCTCTTTCCCAACTGGCATCAAATGGTCATCCAGTTCGCCTAACAAATTTAAAGAGAGAATTAACACAATCCAGATTTTGCCTGATTAATTAGTAAAGAATTTAGAACAGAACTATGTTAGAAGGACCTGGAAAAGTAATGGAAACTAAAGCACCTTTGCCTTTTACAATTTAAAAGTAATCAGATTCACACTTCAGGCAAAGTCTATTTTGGCATCCATATATTCCAATATGAGCTGGACTGCAAATTCTGTTCTAAGGTTCAGAAACAAAAACATCTAAACATGACATCACCACATATCAATGCTAAATAAAATGGCCATAGAAAATGGGTCCACTTATACAGGAGCAGGATTGAGAAAAAAAAAAAAAAGAAACTGAGTTCATTTTTTAAAAAAGGATTAATTTCTATACTAGTATAGACTAATTTGAGAGACTGACATATTAAAACACAAGTGTTCATGGTGCATGATTCAACAATTACGAAAAGACCTTTATGTACTTAAAAGGAGTCATTAAAGAGAGCAAATAAATGACAGTTGTTTGCAGTCAAGCTATGGAAAACAAAGAGCTCCCACAACAATGTAGGATCTTCAAGTTACTAACACTTATGTTTATATTCACCAAAGCACATTAAGATCAGCAAGTGAATAGCTCTACAAAATCCTTACAGATCTATAAAGTCCTCTATATGCTTTTTTTTTACAATGGTTGCAATTTATTTTCATTCGTATATGCTTTTCAAACATCCTTACCAATTTTGTGCAGTTTCTCACAGCAAATGAGAGCTACAACTCTTTCAGCCAATCGTACACAGCTCATTGGTGGACCCTGAAAATAACAAAAACCTTTCCATTATATATGCACATCGCTGTATTACCTCTAGCACATGAAACACCTATGAAACCACTGCCCCAACATTTTTAAAGTTCAATTTACCAAAACAAAATTCTTTATTTTGAAAAATTCCAGCAAGTTTTTAAAAATTCTAATCTCCATATTTGAAATATTCATCTTTAAAAGTCCTGCCTAGTAAAAACTAAGTCATAATTAAGATTTTACAATTTTGATGAATTTAAATTTCAGTAAGATTTTAAAGTATCTTATTTTTACTAATCAATAAATATGTAACAAAAAGAAAGATTTATCAAAACATAGCTATAACATTAACAGTATTGAGCAGCTTTTTATGTGCAATAGAAATTAGTCACCTTGGAACACTTGGAAATCAGTACTGAGACCAAGAACAGTATTTACAAAAAGCAGATTTTTGAGTCACCAACAAAATAACTAGGACAACGCAACGATCTATAATAAGTTTTATATTACTCTAAGTGTCTAAGCCACAGTTGAATGATTCTGTCAAAAATGTGCATGTTAGTAACACCTTAGAAGAAACTTCAGAGATCACCTAGTCCAGTTCTAAGTATCTGTAAATTAGACAGTCTATTACAAATATGAACATGTAGATGACTACAAAAGCAATCTATAAATCTACTTTTGAAAGTAAATTTGGTTTTTATTTTTATTTTTGGTCTGTCAACACAAGGCTCCTGCTCATGAAAGTAGATTTTAAAATCAAATTTACCTATAACTTGCAAGTCTTAGAAAAGCTGAAAAAATCCACTAATGACACATTTTAAAAGATAACAATCATTTCTTCTTCTAAACTTACAACAATGGAGGCTCGAAGAGGTGAGTTAATTGGCAGATAAAGAGTTGAATAAAATGTACCATCAGGCAACTCTCGGGTTCTGCATTTAGGAGCTAGATGAGTAAACGGATCACTTGGTAATCTAGCACAGTATCTGTGAAGAAAAAGAAATTCTGAGGCTGAATCTACAACTGAGAAAATATTGATATTTATAACCTCGAGTTTGATTTGTCATGTGCCTCTTCCCCTCTACTGAATTTGTATTTATATGTGGCATTTAAACTTTACTGCTTCAAACTTCGAATAAGACAGAATAGTGTTGTCTAACAGAACTTCTGCAAAGATGTTCTATATCTTCGATGCCCAACAGGGCAGTGGCTGGTGAGCACTTGAAATGTGAGAAGTACAACTACGAAACTCCATTTTTTATTTTATTTTAAATTGAATTTTGAATTTAAATAGTAACATGTGTCGAGTGTTACCATAATAGAGCACAAAGTATTGTTCAGAATCCAGTAAGAAAACATACTGCCAATGTTTTTTCCTTAATCATCTTACATTTCCCACCAACTACCAGCACACATATAAGGAAGGCATCAGCAGAGGGCGGGACAGCCCAGTGCTGACACAAAAAGGACAGTAGAACTAGCAACTCACTGAGCAACAGCACCAGGGAAGGTTGGAACAGGGCAGAAAGCTAGCCCAGAAAGGGATGCTGGGACAGGACCCACATCAGGAGGGTGCTGGAATGGGCAGCAGCCCTGTGAGGTTGCGACCTGTGCAGCAAGGGCACCTGACCACAGTTGCAGCCCTACAGAGCAGGGAGACTGGCTACATACAGGAAGACTGAACACTAATTATTTTGAGGACAATGGGAGCCAAATTTCTGATTATTAGAGAAAGGAGGTACAAAGACAGAAAGGAGGAAATCTAGAATGAAACCTCTAGTGTCACACTGAAAATAGAGATATCAACAGATAGACACTGAAACAAATACAGATGTAAACATGAACAAACAAACATTCTAGCTCTGTCCACTAAAACGCCTGGCAGCAGCAACACACCGGTAGCAATGAATAAACCTAGTATCCAGTTCTTGGTTTCTAACTACAACTTTTTCTCCACTAAATTCGAGGAAATTGCCAACATCAAGGCTGGGGCAGTCTAGAATGTCTTGCGCCATAAAACAAGGAAGTATTCAAGGAATAATAGTGAGATGTTAAAAAGACAAAGAAACCAGCTTTAAGGGGTTCCCACTGGCCAAATATGAAACAATTTTAACATCAAAACAAACAGTAAATGATAATGATAGATTATAACCCATTAAATAAAACAGGAGTCCATAAGTTCACACTGACATTAAAAAATGATAATATAAGAATGAATAAACGGAGAGAAGAAATGGATGGTAGAATGCCAACTAATAAATACAGAAATAATGGAGTTAGAAAATCATTTAGTAGCCATCATAGTAATAATCAATTTGGGCCAGAAATATCAAAGAATGCTTACACTAATGAGTCAAACTGGGAAAAGGAACAAATTTTATACCGTCTCAAAGTATCTCCCCATGAAATATCTACTAATTATAAAAGGGGTGAAAGGGAACTTTACAGTAGAGAAAACTGGCAGACTTCACTCAAGTGATCTAAGTTACCACCGGTAAGGGCACAAATCAACATGGTGTGCGACTTGGTAAGCTAGGATGAGGAGAGGACACCATCGTCTCAGTGATGTGCTGCCCAAAAATTTGTAACCTGGGTCTCATCATAAGAAAATAGCAGACAAACCCAGACTGACAGTAAGACTACAAAATGACAGCCTATCTATCTTCCAAAGTTTCAAGGTCATTAAAGTCAAGGAGAGACTAAAGAATGGTTCCAGATTGAAGGAGACTAGGAAGATGTGACAACAGGAGTTGAGGACAACTCCTGACTCTAAGGTAGATACTTTGGCTACAAAGAACATTCTCATGAAACTGAATGAGTCTCTCTTGGTGTCTGGGTGAAAGGCATATGCGGAATTCTAGTATTCTTACAACACTTTAAAGTTTGAAATTGTTTCAAAATAAAAGGTTACAAAGAAAATCTTATACTTGCTCTTTTGTCTCTGAATAGAAATTATCCTGGTATATAATCCAGGAATGCATTTGCTGTTCTTAGCTCTTAGAAATTTTATTATCAGCTCTGGACAAAGTAAATTACAATGTACCCAAAAACATAAATTAGTTTATCACAATCTTACTTTATTGCTAGGGGAAAATTCAACATTACCCAATGGTTATGGCACAAAACAAAAAATTTCAGGATTTAGAAAAAAATTGGTGAGAATTATAAAATTAAATTAAACCTAATTTAAAATGCCTTCATTATGTTAGCCTTGCCAAGGAATACTGAACTTTTATTGCTGCACGATACTGTTTTTGCCTTTTGATTTAAAAAAAAATGAAAAAAGAAGTAACTTTTCTTTATCGAAAATATGGCAAGTCTAAGTAAAGACTGGTAACCGCAAAATGTCAACAATACAAAATGTACAGGTTTAGACTTAAACTGTGCAACATTCCCAGGTTTTCCACACAAATGATATGATGCCATACCTATTGATGTGTCCAATGGCCGTGTTGATTGTGACTCGTGGACCACCATCGTCAGGCCTCAACACATATGGTGGGAAAACGTCATCATCATCCATGACAGGATCAATGTCAGTCTCACCAGTATCAACCGACTTGGAACACTTGTTTCTCAAGATCTGAACATTTAAAAAACAGAACTTATGATGAAAACACATCCTCTCTGCTGTATGCTGTCTGCCTCTGTACCTACAGAAAAAACTCTCCTGAAAATATCTCTCTCTCTCCTAAACATACTTCAGTACTCCAAAGTAACCTGCTGCAGACACCTTCTTCCAATGAATCCCTCCCAGTTCCAATCGTATGGAGACCCTTACCATATGGTACAAAGTCTATACTGTACCGTGCCTACACAGACACACACACACACACACACACACACACACACGACTGTTAGTCTTTCTGAATGTAACTACCATGTCATCATTTTCCAATCACTCAATAACTTAAGCAGTCAACAGTTACTGTCCATATTTGCAATGCAATTTCCCAGACGTTCATCCCAAATAACATATGTGATGATCATTTTCACTGTTATCTTATTGTGCCCTTTCAAACACTTTGTATAACACTGCCGGGTCTTTGTGATCATTCTCAACTTCCTTACAATGTACACAGAGTACACCTCTTTTGAGATTATTGCCTGTAGATAAAACTCATTATCTGTTCCTATGGATACAAAGAATAACAAAGAAGCCACATTAATTTTTTTTCCCAATCTGCCGGCACATGTTAATATGTTGATCTTACCTTTTCAATAGCTTTGTAGGTTTTAAGGTCTTCTTCAAAACTTTTTATTTTGTCTGTATCCGCTAACATTATATAATTAGAGATGGGTGCCCTTGCTCTTCCTTTAGATTGAACATAGGATCGATATTCTGTGGGCAAATCAAAACGAACCACCAAGTTGCATTTTGGTATATCAACACCCTCTTCTACAATACTTGTTGCAATAAGCAGGTTGGTCTCATGTGCTCGAAATTTCCTAAGTACCTGAAAAAAAAAATCCACCAAGAAAAGCACTTCTAAGAAAATTTCTAAAATGAACAAAAAAAATTAGTAAAAGTAAATGACAACTGTCATTTCTGACACACATGCTCTTGGGCATTCTAAATCCTTAAGGCCAGGCTAAAGAAGATGACAGTATCACAGAAAACTCAGCATGCATGGAAACATGGACAAAGAAACTGATTTAATGAGACTCTCCAATTCAGGATAAATTAAATGGTAACATAAGCTAGTGTTCAGACAGTTATATCTATCAGACTGGCTCCTGGACTCTCCAAATTTGGAAATTATCAAAAAGCTACAATGTAGAAAAGGCCTTCAACAGGAATTATTCTGCTAATTTTAAGTTAAATAATAAACTTTAAATAGGTTTTTGTGTACAAGCCAGACCATGGTATTAGTTTTTAGCATCTTTACAATGCTGTTTCCTGTATTAAGACCTTACAAGGCACAAAAATATTTAAGCTAAAATCTATAAAATATAGTGCTGTTTTTTTTTTTAAGAATTGAAACAAAATAGGCCTTTAAATGAAAAAAAGAAAACACTTTCTAGGAAAAGATTTCAGTTTGTTAATTCATAGTCATATGGAATGTACAAGAGTTAAGGTCATACATGCTTTGTCTTTCCATGAAATGCAGTTGTGTAACATCAATCCAATCACAGAAAATAAGTTGGTTGATGGCAATTAAGACACAAAATTGGTTTGCCAGATAGCTATTCTAATTCTGAGCATACAAATCACTCTACAGCTACCTCATGGGGACAGCTGGTCTAATATATGAAGAAGTATTCTATAATACAAAAAATAATAGTAATTCTGGGAAACTATGAAAAAAGGGAGACCCTATGGGCACTTTGTCTGTATATGTCCCGAAAACTGTTATTGTACACTTATTTTGATTTAAGTTACCTCTTCCTGTTTTCTGAATTCTGCTTCCATCTGTTTGTTGCGAGGCTGATTCTTCCCAATGCCATGTCCAGTTATGAAATTGCTACTGATATAAGCCAGCTCTGGATCTTGTTTGCCAGCTTCCTTTATCAATCTAAGAAAATTATACACATTTGGAAGTTAAACGTTGCTGAAAGAAAATAAACTTTTGTTTTTAAAGCCTCCTTTAAAATGGAAGTACATGCATTTTTTGCAAACATACCTAACAAAACGGTCTTGGTCCTTTTTTCCCAACTTGCTTAAACAGAAATCACTGTCACTCTTCACCACATAGATCTGTGGACCAAGTACTTATAACGCCAAATACAAGATTGGTTTGTACTGACAAATGAAATGGTCACGTTACCTCCAACAGCTGATTTGGCGACGGTGATTTAATAGAAATGTGGCCCAGGATGAGACTGAGCTAGTCAGAGAGAAACACGGATCCTCATAGATCTTGGCCTCGGGACAGGACGTCCAATGAAAAAAGCTCGACTCATCCCTCTACCAGTTCTACTAGCTCATCTCTCAACTCAACACCCTTCTCTAGACCATGCACAGCTTGAGCTGCAGGCCCTACTGTGCTTATACAGAAAGGACCAGTGAGCCCAACACCAAAGGAAACCTTCACCCCCAACAAATGTAACAAGAGTTCCAGCTGCGATTTCTTTTCCTCTTATCCTATCACCTGATATCATTAGAAGCAGAGCCCATGGGAAAGAAATGTTGTATCCTCTCAATCCCTGATGCTTTCTTGTCCCCAGGCCACTGACCAAAATTCTGCACAGCATAGTACAGGGCACAGAAATGGCAAGGCAACCCCACCCTTCCCTGTCATGAAAGAGGAGATTCCTGAGCTCTGTCTCTCTTCCTGCCTGCTCCTCTGTATTAACCCACAGTGCCTGTAACTGAAAGCTGGCCTTCTAGCTAAGAAATGGCAAAGAGCTACGGGACGGGATCACATTACACGGGTGCAGAAGGTTAACAGTTAGTGCTGCCATTACAGCTATTTTGGAAATATCCACATTCAAAAACTCAGCACACGGGATAAATGGTTCCACACCTGATATAAGCGATTCCACATGGTTTCTCTGAAGTCATATTACATAGTATAAATTCCAAATAGAAAATTGCATTTTTAAGTTGAATCATTCTTTTAAAAAAAAAAAAAATACATGAAACAGACTAATAATAAAGAGCTGGAAGTGGCCATCTAGAATCTCTCTTGATCCCAACCGGCACAACACTTGCGTGTCTAGGTTAGTTTGGGAGTCTACAAACTACAGCTTGTAGTTCAAGCTCTACAGTTCACGTACTTAAATATTCAGAATCAGAGCTCCCTTATTATGTTCCAAGATGTGTTTAATTATTTTAATAAATTTAAGATGTAACAGAAAGCAGTGTTACATGCAAACAAATAACATGTCCAAAAGTCTAAAATACAAAATAAATCACCTTAGAAATAATACATACTTCCAAATTTTATATAAATAAGCATCAATTTGAATATAATAGAGATTTAGAATGTGTTTTAACTTACTGTTAATTAGGCAAAGAATGTATTTTACTTTGCTAAAATTATAAATTATCCATCTGGCAGACTTCAATTAGCTAAGAAATAGAGGCAACAACAGTCAATTCATTTTTCCTTAATGAAACCCACATCAAAACCACAGAGAACAGAAGAGACAACAGGCACAATAAATAAAATCTCTTGTAAGCAATAATTACATGGGATATACCTATGCTAATAATGCTTAGAGAGAAAAATGTATTTATCTACTTGGTGAATCTTGGCCATGCCTAACCAGTACCCAGGACAAAGCTACAGGCTTCAGGGAAAACAAAGCCAGGCAGTCACATCATGTGAACTCCCAGAGGATAATGGACAGTGCAAACTGCTTAAAGAGTTTGTAACACCACAGAAAAAATAAGACAATGTATTATTTGTTTCTTTTGGTTTTTACACTCAGTTTATACAAGCTGTTCACCAGCAAGCTGTTCACCAGCAAAGTATACTGTTCCCTAATGCACAGTGTTTCTGAAACGATCTGCAGTGAAGAACCAGCTTTTCTTTTTAAATTTCCAATCCATCAGAGGCAGTTTTGTAGAATTTCATAAAAGTGAATGACTAAGAAAATGAAATTTAAAAAGTATTAAAATTCAAGCATCAATTTTATTGTATTCAGCAGATATAAAATTACTGTCAAACTGCTCTAAGAGTTTCTAAATGCTTCTTCTCAATCTTTGTACTTAACTCATGACATAGGTAAATTCTGGCACCAATTCATAGCCTATACTTTGTGTGTATATGTACATCTAATTCTCCCCAATTAGAATGAAAATAACATAACCAAAAATAGGAAATATGTATGGTAGGTTCAGAAAACTAATAGATGTATTACAAAAAATTGTGATCTGAATAAACATGCTAACTAATGCAGACAACCATAAGAGGAAAAGAAATTCAAAGATATAAACACATTATTTGAAATTCCTGCCAGGTTATTGAAATACATTATCAACAACTCCTTTAACAGTATCCCTTACTCCTTACATTTTCTTGTCAATGTGGAGAAAACCAGATATAATTCCTCTATGATTTCACTAAAAAAAGATCACTGACAGTTACATAATAGCATACGGATGTTGCACTCCCTAGATGGGTGCATAAGCGGCTGAAGAATTAGCATCTACTGTGTGCTGGTTGATAAAACTGCCATTTTTAATACAAAGTCTCTTACCAACAAGCCAGTAAGAGAGGGAGGTATTATTTCCATTTTACGAATGAACATACTGAAACTTTTAAAAGTTAAATAACTTTCACAAAATATACATCCACAAAGTGGGCAGAAAAGAAACCAAGTCTCCTCGGCAAAATGGCTGATTCTAGGGCCAGGCAGGGAGAAATACAAGAGCCCAGAGCACCCTGTGGTATCACAAAGAAAGTGCTCAAAAACAAAAGGATGAGGGTATGTCAAAGGGACACGGGTGCTAAACTCGAAGAGCTCCCAGTGGCCACCGCTGCAACAATTTGAGCAACAAATAAATAACACAGTATTGGATTATGGCCCAAAGTATAAAATAAACATGAAACCACCAACTGAAATACATGATTCAATTAATAAATATAAGTAGACAGTTACATAAAAAGGATAAACCAGACAAGTTTTCCTTACAGAAGAATTCCAAATACATATAGATATATCCCTCTCCAGCAAGTGGAGATTAATCCCTCCCTACCAGGGTGGGCTAGACTTGGAGACTTCCTTCCAAATAGAGTAAGAAAAGGGAAACAGTGTAACTTTACAGTAGAGAAAGCAGACAAACACTATCACAATCCATTGATGAAGATGAACATGACGAGTGACGTTTTGTGGTTGATACCATGAGAGCCCCCTGATATAATGTGACTAGAAGAGCAGGTCACCTCCATGGTATTCTTCCATATCCGATCACCCCAGTACAACCCCAAGAACATAAGAAAAACCCAAATGGAGGGGCATTCACCAAATACCTGACCTGTACTCCTGAAGACTGTCAAGGTCATCAAAAACAAGACGGAAACTGAAAAACTGTGACAGACCAGAGGAAACTGGGTAGATACTGACAACTAAATGTGATATGACACCTTGGATTAAAGACATTATCCCTTACTGTCTAGTGGTTAGAAAAAAATAAAAATAAATTTTTTGAAAAAGAGGACATTAGTAGAAAAGCTGTCAAAATCCAAATAAAGTCTGGAGTTAATAGTAATGGGCCAATGTTAGTTTTCTTAGTTGTGACAAACACTGACATGAGATAATATCAATGGGGGAAACTAAGTGAGGGGCATATGAGAACTCCGTACCATTTTTCCAACTTTTCTGTAAATCTCAAATTATTCCAAAATAAAAAGTTATTAGGAAAAAAAGGGGGAGGGGTAGAGACAGGATGTGAACCCAGGTTTGTCCAATGCCAGTATCACACAATACTAGTATATTACACGGTGAAAAGAACACTGGACTTGAGACTGGAAGCCATTTTCTGCCACTTGATATGTGTGTAATTTGGGGGAAGGTCACACACTGATGCTTGTTTTCTTCCTCTGTAATATGGAAAGAACATCTACTTTCCTCCCCTATGGAGTGTTGTGAATATGTCTTAAATATATATAACTTAGAAACCCCTATGTAAATATAAGGTACAAAGAAACCCATAAACATAAGACTGTGCACATACCTACACTACATATAGAAGTGGCTGTGATTTATTTTTTTTAATTAGGAGAGTAGAAAACTGCATGTATATTACAATAGCTTATATGCCCATGAAACTATTCACTATAGAAGGGTTTTTCCTCCCATTAAACTGATGGAAGGAAAGAATCTGAATTTCAGGAAGTTTTTCTAAGCTTATTAAAAAGCTTACTGGAACAAGACCTCTATTGTATATTTAATTAGCTGCTCATAAAGTCAACCCTCAGAGCACTCTTGATTCATCATACAGCACTAAATTCCAGTCACATTTTATGAAAGTTGATCACAATTCATCTGATCCTTAAAGTCAATAGGAAGTAACCGACTGATTCTGGATAAACCTTTTCAGGCTAATATTCCTGCAATAAAAACTGGCACATCTTTACCTAAAAATACATGCAGAAAACAGGAGGAAGGCGGAAAATACACCCCCATTTCTTCTCTCCAAGCCCCAGAAAATTTATTTAATCCTTATATAATCCTAAATGGAGACGGGGAGTATGTCCATAACTAGGCTTACAACTGCGCCAGCATTAAACTTTTTTGACTCCCAAAATGCTTTTTCCCTGCCCTAAGAAATAATCCCTCCTTAGTCACGCTCTCCCAGGTCCGTCTCCTGGCAATCTTCCTGCTGTAAAGCACTGGTTTTTAGTGTTCTGTGATGCCCAGGGGCATTACTATGATAGAAAGAACTGGAAACTAGGAGTCAGGATATTAGGATTCTAGAATTGTCTCTGCCATTGACTAGCAATTTAACTTACAGCAAATCACTCTCTCTCCTGAGGCTCTTTCTCATTTTTACAAAAATAAGTGGGTTGGATTAGATAGTCAGTGAGGTCCCCTTCCAATCTTCAACTTCTAATTTAAATGTAATTTGGTCCCTAAAGTTATTTTCCTTTGTATTCATCAGAAGGATCAGGCTCAATGACTATGAAAATTACCAGACTAAAAACTGCCAGATGATGACCCTCGAGTCCAATTTCTCGTTACTCAAAAAAGTTTTTAAAACCCCTAAACATTCAGAAGCAGTTAAGCGCGTGTGCGCGTGCGTGTACGCGCGCGCGCGCGCACACACACACAAAGAAAGAAAAAGAAAAAAAAAAATCCCAAATTACCTTAGGAAGCAAAGCTTAGTTTTTCCTAAGAGATCACTACTTGCAGAAAAGTTAGGGATCAACTGTGGCCAATTAATGGATCTCATAGAAAAGTAAATTGATTTAAGTACAAAATAAGGACCTTTTTTGGCAGAAAAAAATAAGAGTATCTATCTACAAACCAAAAGGACCATACATTAAGTGACCATCTGACAGAAATCTGAAGTATAGCTCCCTGGCTGGTTCTAAATTAGAAAAAAAATCTTTCATTGAAGGGAGAAAGAGTAGGAATCCACGGCCTAAAATTTGGATTCAATATCACCTTTGCTAATAGTCTTAGAACTTTCCCCAACATTCTTATTCTCTTCTGATTCACAAAATTTTAATATGCAGTCTATGAACCAACCCAAAATAAATTCAATTGTTCTAAACTTTTTGCACTGTGGCCTTGAAAACTTTATTTTTGGAGACAAAGTCTGGCTCTACTGCCCAGGCTGGAGTGCAGTGGTGCCATCTCAGCTCACTGCAACCTCTGCCTCCCAGGCTCAACTCATCTTCCCACCACAGCCTCCCAAGTAGCTGGGACTACAGGCATACACCACCACCGGCTAATTTTTGTATTTTTTCTAGAGACAGGGTTTCGTTGTGTTGCCCCTTGTGAACTCAAACAATCTACCTGCCTCTGGCTCCCAAAGTGCTGGAATTACAGGCACAACCCATCATGCCCAACCTAGCCTTGAAAAGTTGAATCCATATTTTTAAGAGAAAAAAATCAACATTAAAAAATTAGTCACAATACCCAGATAAAATTTCTCCTAAGACTACCTGAGGGGAACACTTGGTGTGAAATGCTTAACACAATGTCTAACACATAGTTAAGGATTAATAAATATCTGAATTGAATCTAAAATTGAATATAAAACAATGCTTTACTTAAATGTATACTGATTTTTTTAAAAACCATACTTGTCCTCCATTTTAGGTAGATTAGAATAGATTAGCATCCTTTAAGAAAAAAATATCAGCCATATGAAAAGCAGCCTTCTGGAAAACATCCTCTCTGTCAATCCCAGGACAGCATGACGTATCAGCAATGATGGCGCCAAGTCAAGGACACTTACATAACCCTCATGCTAGCTCTTACAGCTGCTGCAGCGCATCACATCACAACACAGGACGCCTCCCTGTTCTCATGTGAAAGGAGTCAACTTACAGATTTACCTGTTTAAGACAACTGCTGTGTATCTTCTTTCCACAAAAATAATTCCGCACAAAATGTTGGTAAAAGGAGAAGGAAAATTTGTCTCTGGCTTCTCTTTTTCTTCAATTTCTTCATCCTCATCATCATCCTCAGAATCACTCCATGACACATAATTATCCTGATTTCTATTATTATACCACTCAACGCTTTCAAACTGCTGTCGCTCATATGGTTTATATTTGCGTAAGATTTCGAGCAGTTTGATTACTTTAGGAGTTACAAATTTCAGGTCAAGTGAGGCAGGTGAGAAGTGCTCTTCACATAGTGCATGTATTTTCCTTAGGAAAGTGTCTGTAAACAATAAAAATTTCCTGTGCAGCTCCTCTTGCTCATGTTTGATGTATTTCTGTAGTTCTCTTACCATCATTCCAGCTACTTTATCTGCACACCAGGGTCCCAGAACTACCAATACGGCACGACAGTCTGATAGTATCTACAAAAAAAAGAAAAGAAAAAACCTAATGCCAAATAATAATAATGTAGCATTTTCATGTGGGGTTTAACTGGGATTTCAGTTGTTCTCAAATGGCTCCTTAAATGTAACCCAGCCTTAGGTTAAGTCCCTGAAGGTGGGGGGAGAGGCCATTAGCCTTTTCAAGCTCATTTCGTATGTATATGCCTAGAACCATCTCCTTTTTTCAATAAAATAATCAAACAGAAATTAAAAGATGCAATTGTATGAGGTTAATGAAGCTTATTTTTAGATCTGTAATTAGTTAAAACTATACCTGAGTCATTTACTTCCTGCCAAATTACATAAAATTTATGTAGCACAGTAATTTAACTTTAGGCATCAAGGAAGAGCAATACAGTTTTCCTTGAACTTTATGTACAATATTCTCCAGCATTATATGTTTTCCACTATACTGACTAGAAACTGTGGATGAATTTTGGTCGATCTACAGTCAGCACCTCTGGATGCCACGGTGAGACTGTTGTAAAAACACTGCACAGCTGTCTCTATCATCATTTCTTTTTTCTTTCTTTCTTTCTAAACAGTAGGAAAGGCCTTTATTGGTTGGAAGTGGAAAAGGAGCTAGGACAGCTGCACTGGGGCAGCCTCCACACACTCTGTCACAGTTCTCCAAAAGCCCCTGTTATCCGATTTCAATGAAAACACCACCACAAGGTCAGGGCTCCTCAACATTAACATCTCAGCTAAATTCAGACTCTGATCCTGGACCCTCCCAGAGTGCTGCATCTTACAACTCTAATTGAGAGCCGAAAGTCAATCCATGGCCAGGGTGTAACTGAGGAATTGAGGGAGAGGGAGAGAGGCAGAGAGGCAGAGAGGGAGAGAGGGAGAGGGAGAAGGTCGGGGGAGGGAGAGGGGAAAGGTGGGGGAAGGGGAGGAGGAGGGGAGAGGAAGAGAGGGAGAAGGGGAGAGGAGGAGGGGGAGGAGGGGGAGGAGGAGAGGAGGCAGAGATGGGGGGAGGAGGGAGGGGACAGGGAGGGGGAGGAGGGAGGGGAGAGGGAGGAGGAGGGGAGGAAGAGGGGGAGGGGAGGAAGACAGGGAGGGGAGGAGGGGGAGGGGAGGGGGAGGGAGGGGAGGTACAGAAAGAGGAGAGGAGAGAAAGAGAGAGAGAGAGGAAAAAAAGACAGGAAAGAAAAGAAAGAAAAGGAAAGAGGAAAGGAAAGGGAAGGGAAAAGGAAAGGAAGAAAGAATGCAAAGATTGAGAAAAATGTGGGCACTGCTGCTCGAGAAGAAAAAAATCATCAGGAGAGAAACTAAGACCCACATTTAATACAGTGTTAACATTCACAAATGGTTGCAAAGTTCTAGGGCAGTGGTTCTCGAGCTTTAATGAATCAGATTACTGGAGGGCTTATCGAAATTCAAAACTGAAGACTGCAAACAGTAAAATTCAGTCCTGAGGACCCCACCCAGATGCTGCTGATGATGATGTGGGGCCCACAATGGAAGGATCACTGTCCTAAGGGATCTCTTCTCAAAGCAGTACCACTGAGAGACAATAGGCTCATATCCAGTTACACACACTAGGAAACTGCGGAAGAATTTGTTTAATTCAAGGGTTTGAACAGGAACTAACTCTTCTGACCAAAAAGAAACAAAAATTGGACTCACTCCTTATACTTAAATAACCATGACATGAATCCTAGCTCAGCTCCTTAAATAGGGGAAGTCTACACTTAATATAAATGTGCACTGGATAACAATGAACTCAACCTAATATGGTATGTTCAATGAAAAATGTCTAAAAAGATTAAGACCTTAAACTAAAATGCAAAGAAAAGAGCCGCATTAAGCATATTTTCATTTCAATATTAAAAATTAACAAAGCTTTCAAAATATAATCACTATACCTACTTGGTATATGCTTACCTGTTTCGAAATTAAAGTAGAATCTCTTTCTTTTGAATGTACAGATATATTACAATCATTGATAAAATTAAGTGCTTCTTCTAATTCCATCAGCAGTCTTTCATAAAGCCCACTTCTGTCAGTAAATGGTCCACAATCCACCACAATCTCACATGGCTGAGAAGTATACCTTTAACATAAGAAACAAAAGGTATCAATACTGCAGTAGTGAGAATGCAATTTAAAAAAAGTTTTTCAAAAAGCAAAAAAAAAAAAAAGGGAATAGATACTAAAAAAAAAAAAAAATGCCAGAATGTTAGCAGTGGGGTGAGATTTTAGGTGTTTAATTATTATTTTTCTATATTACCATATTTCTCAACAGTAAATAATGTATTTTATAAACCAGTAAAGTGTTGTTTAAAAGATGTTTTCAAAAGGCAAGGGGAGAAGAGGGGAAAGAAAAGAATACAAATGAGCATCCACTGCATCCCCAAGCATGATGCTGGGAATTTACATACCTTCTAACTGAATCCACACACAGGGAGGATGACGAAGGAAATGAAGGTTCAAAGACATTACATGACTCTGTCTAAACAAAACTCAGGACTGCCTTCCTCTGAGGGCTCTTTCAGCCAAACCCTACTGCCTCCCTGAACACCTTTTGTTTCATTTCTAAAAAACTCACTACAGCATTATGATCCATTTATAGGTCTAACTCCAAAAAGAAGCTTCCTAGTTTCAGTTTGTATATCTAATCAATATAAAAGGCAGGCTTACAACATGCCTTCCTAAAGTGGTACTCATGTTTATCTGCACAGGTTGAGTGCCCTTATCTGAAAGGCTTGGGACCTGAACTGTTTTGGATTTCCAATATTTTTCAGATTTTGGAATATTTGCATATAAAAAATGAAGTATCTTGAGGATGGGACCCAAGTCTAAACATGAAATTCATTTATGTTTCATATACACCTTACAGCTTGAAGGTAATTTTACACAATATTTTTAAATAATGTTGTGAATGAAACAGGTTTTGGTCGCATTTTGGCTTCAGTTCATCACAAGGTCAGATATGAAATGTTCCACTTGTGGCAGCACACCAGCACTCAAAAGGTTTCAGATTTTGGAGCATTTTGAATTTCGCGTTTTCAGATTAGGGTTGCTCAATCTGTACTACGCTTGCCTGTTAGGTCTCAAGAAATGACCACAGGGGCTGATATTCAAATAATTTTGCCAATAGATTTCATTATTATTAGTTTGTTTTCTTTTGTTTTTTAGGTTTAGACTTCCATCTTTTGCCCCCTTAGGCATTTGTCAGAATGAGGAACAAGGGTGTTCAAAATACTCATGAAACTCAATCACTTCGCAGAAGCGGAAAGAAGAATGGGAAGACTGATCACTGGGAGTTTTATCATTCAATTTATCCATTTCCATATCTGTGTGAATTTTTAATATTTGCAAATATCACTTTTATTTTTAATGTATTTTTAAATCCTCATAAGGAAAACTCCCCCAACTTTCATTCATTTCTAATATCATTCCTTGGGTCTTTTATGCCTTTCATAAAAAATGACCACCAGAATGGCACATAATATCCTAAAAGTACATATGATAATTTTAATAAAAGAAATCTAGCAAAAACATATATACTATAGTTCTTTTTTTCTTAACCCAAAACAGAATTTATACTCAACCAAAGAGTCCTTATTTGCAGAATTAGGTAATGCTTATTCAACAGATTGCTTATCAGTTTTACTTAAACGCTCTACTACTTCTACTTCTCAGAAAACCTTTGGGCAATACAAGTGAAGCACTCTAACTCAGGTCAGACAAAAGCACAAGCACGGCCTTCTACTTCACCACCACAGTGTTGGCTCAAGAAGTCAGACACAGCACGTTCTAGAGGTCGTAAGATTTATATTTCACATGGCATTTGGATACCTAAGTTTGATAGATCCCAAATATTACCTTTCCTTCTCACTCTCCAAAGAAAATTTTCCTCAAATTCTTACTAAATGCCAGGCACACTGCAGATTTTTCTATGTGTCAATGTAATTGATCATCAAAGAATCCCATGAAACCACTGTCAATGCCATTTTACAAGTTCAAGGAAATAAGTGACTCACTCAAGGTCACACAGCTTACAATTAGTGGAGCTAGTATTCAAACCCATGTCTGACTTAACTCCACAACTTGAGAAATCAGTCTCCGCTACTTATTGTAACTGTCCTAAGAACCACCACTAGGTAATCTTTAGCCTTATTTAAGACTACATCTAGTAAGAATGGAAGGCTATTTTGACATAAATCGAATTCATTGCATTTGAAAAGCCATTTTCCTAATTTGTAAAGGCTCCCTTCCACCAACCTAAGTTATGAAGGTTTTGTGTGTGTGTGCGCTTTTCAATGAAACTCAAAATAGTAACCCTCTCAAAAAGAGTCAAACCTAGAAATCACAAACAGCAACTTTCTCTGAAATCCACAACCCATTTTCAAAACAAAGGGGTATTTCCAAACATTTTAAAGTATACTGCTGAATTCTCTAAATAACTTAATGTTCTTTGAAAGCATCATGTAAGACATTCAGGTCAGAACAACAAAGCACACATATTGACAGAAAAAAAATACAAATTTACTGTCAAAGTTCCCAGTCCTTGGCAACAACAGCAAATAGGAAGAGCTGACACATAATCTCTTAAGGCAGAAATGCCTGTCTGCTACTCTCTGTGGAAACAACGTTAGATTCTTGAACTCACAGGTAATGGTACTTATAGAGAATTCTTACTCTTGCCCATTCCTTTTTACTGCCATTTGTTCACTTAAATAGGTACTCTCTGCAAGGTACTACAAAAACACCAAAGACTTAATATTGTTTTCAACTAATCTCATTAAAGCTGAGTCAATCAGAAGTGCATACCTGTCTAAGACCACCAGGTCAGTTGCAGTTTCAGCATTACTCTTAAGAATTTTCTCTAGTTTCTGAATCTTTTCTTCCAATTCCTCTGGATCACATTTCCCATTTAAAATGGAAGCAGTTAGTCCCAAAATGCGAGGACATGATGGACAATTTTCACAGAGCTAACATAATAAAAGATACTGACAGTAAAGACTTCATTTTGCAAGGCTATAACAAGAGAGACATCGCCATATTAAAACATATCAAAATCACTAACAAATAGTAAAAAAGAATTTGTTTGGTGGAAATGCCACTATACCAAGGACAACATAAAATTACTCATAGAATTACTGTAGTTTGTTTAAAAGATCTGTTTTTCAAAAAGGCTCAATTAGATACACTATGAAAATTATATAGAATTTATTATGATGTTTAAAAGTTTATTATAGATTTAAATGAACATTAATTTAATATTCATTCATTCATACACTGCAGCCAAACTCCCAATATTGATAACTAATATTATTGCTTTTGAAATCTAAAAACAAAAATCTGCATTTACTCAATAGTTTACCAAGAATTACTAAGACTTAGGTCTAAAACTTACCTTCATAATTTCTCGATAGGGGTGGTCTAGGATTGCAAGATGACACTCATCAAACACCAAAAGGTTAATGTCTGACAGTGATAAGTAACCATTTTTCAAAACATTCAAGGCGACATAGCAAGTCATAATGAGAACCTAAAATAAAATCAACATCAGTAAACAAACATAGCATTCACTGCCTGGATATACTTACATAAAATCAGATCATAGAGCCATTGTATCATAAGTGAGGATTAAGGAATTCATTAGTCAAAATTAAAACTAAAATACTAAATACATATAATTTTATACATCAGAACTAAGAAGGAAATCAGGAAAGCATGGGAAAAGAGTAGAGAAAAAATATCTTGATAATGGAAAGCATGTCTTGACGACAAATCTAAATTTACTTCAGGTTCTTAGATCCCCACAGCCATATTATGACTGATGAGATCTGTCAATTTAGGCAAATCACAAAACAATTCACACTTTTTATTTTTTTCTGTTGAACTGACATGGTTTTCTGGAAGAAAACTCAGACTAAATGTTATTTTTGTAGCCTATCATTATGTGGATATTTAAGTGCTTTATTAATGAGGACTTATCCCAGTATGTGAAGCACACTAGTAGGCTGGGCTGTTTCAGTTCAGTGAGGAAGCGCCTCTTAATCACTGTGTATCCCCCAATGACCAACACACCAAAAGCCCCAGTACATGCTGGCTACATGGAAACATGTAAGTTAGAGGAGCCTCCAGCACATGCTGGCTGCATGGAAACATTCAGTTAGAGGAAGTCTCCGTCAAAGACCTAAACAGCTCAAGCAAGAAATTTTTCCAGTTTCAAGACATTTAACTCAAGACTAAATTTTTTGAAAGCGCATTATCAGCAAGTTGGAAATAGGTCATAGGAATTTGTGTTTTTCAAGCAAGCAGATCATACTGAAACCTATTTCTTTTCTACAAAGTTAAGAGCAATAAAAATTAGTAATTTATTTGTTTTTTGGGTTTTTTTCTGAGATGGAGTCTCGCTGTCACCCGGGCTGGAGTGCAGTGGCGCGATCTCAGCTCACTGCAAACTCCACCTTCTGGATTCAAGCAATTCTCCTGTCTCAGCCTCCCGAGTACCTAGGACTACTACGCCACCACGCCCGGCTAATTTTTTTATTGTTAGTAGAGACAGGGTTTCACCATATTGGTCAGGCTGGTCTTGAACTCCTGACCTCAGGTGATCCACCCACCTCAGCCTCCCAAAGTGCTGGGATTACAGACGTCAGCCACTGCATCCGGCCTTTATTTGGTTTTAAGGTAAGACTTACAGTAAGATATAGTACATCAGGACTAGCTTCTAGGCTGATTAAGTATAGGAAATTAGTTTTCAAACCTAAATCAGACAACCAAGGCTACAGATCATCTTACAAACCAAGTCAAGAACTTGTAGGGATTTATAAAGTGAAATTTCTCTACAAGTCTTACCTGGTGCTTAGTAAACTCTTGGTTCCATCTCTCTTTTGTCCAAGATGCATTTACTTCTAGGTTTGAGTATTCCCCAACCTTGAGATCTGAATGAGTTCTGACAGCTGACACTTGTTGAGCAACCTGGTTTGCTAATTACAAATATAATACTCCATGTAAATATGAGAAATCTTGCCTAGTTGGCTCTCTGGACTACTAATGATTAACAGTCTACAGAAATCCTTATTATTATATTAGACCTAACCAACAATGTTTTTGATAGCCTCTTTAAAACCACAGTTCCAAGGTTATCCTCCAAAAAAATGGCACCTACTAGACTTGCCACCTCACTTTTTGTCACTCGCTTCAGAGAACCCTACACCACCTTTCTTCTTCATAGCTGATTTCCTCTAAGCCACCCTCCTGTTTTCTTCAATAAAATCAGATGGAAACAAGACAGTCTAACATGTATTTAAAGCAGATAGTTATACTGAGACAACCTAAAAAAAGAGCAGTGACATGAATATATTAGTGCCCTACCAGCTTAGGTTCACATTTTATATTTTTTATTTTTATATATAATCCAAGCATATAAAAATCAGTATTTTAAACTCTTAACTGAATATCTAATTTCTAAGCAGCATGTAACTTTATTAATACAACTGATTAGCAAAATCATAAGTACAAACGTTAATTATCCATAATTAAGCACCTTTTGACATACTTGGTGAAGCTAAAACATCAAGAAAAAAATAAATGTAACAACTTAGATTATGTTCTAATGTACATATGTTCCAATACTTATGTTCCAAAAGCAATCCATTCAAAAGAAATACAGAAGCAGAACATTTAAGAGAAACAGCAAAAAGAAATAGGACAAAACAATTTCTGCCAGAAGAGATTAAATGAGTACATTATCTGTCAAACTTTCTTCAATAATTTAACTTAAGAAACACAGAAAATCTGTTTAAACATAAAATCCCATCCAATTTCCCCTGCACAACTTGATAAAATAATTTTTTATTACCAGAGTTGACCAAGAACACCGTCCTTTTTCCATTTCTGCTGAAGTCTCCCCTGATCTGATAGGACAGCTCTTTAGTGAGTAGTACTGCAATAAATGTCTTCCCTGAGCCAGTGTTTAAACAGACGATGGTATTATGATCCAGAGCTGCTTCAAGCAGTTCAACCTAGAAACATGGTGAAAAAAAAGTTATGCACTTCTTACCTAAGTACAAAATTTATAAAATTGGATTTTATTTTAAATCAGGAAATTTCACTATTCTCTAAAATCGTCCTCCAATAAATTTACAAAAAAAACCCCACAGTCTACGTCTTTATACGAGAATAACTCAGAGGAATAAAATGCCTGCTATATACAGCTGTATTGTGTAAATACGTGTTGAAATGGCATTTACCCTTTCTTTAAGCATTATTTTTGTATACACAGAATACTTCTTTAGAATAACATGAATGACTAAACTTAGAGTAATCGTGGTTCTGCCAGTTCATGGCTGAACATTTTCAAACTAATCTAGGTTCCTACCCAGCTCACTAGGACAGACACATCCAAGTGAATATTAAGGAACAGTGAGGTTTTCAGAGGGGGAAAAAAGAAACTTCACAAATACAACTATCAAATCCAATTACCCAGCAGATGTTAGAAAAGAAAAGGACTATTAAGAATAAAAGTATTTTAAATGAGAAAATTAATCAGAAGTGGGAGGCCTGAAAGGGTAAATGAGTTTTATATAAGTTGTGTCAACTATATGCTAATGTATTCCATTTTAGTGTAGAATGCTCCAGTATTAGTGTTCGCATTAGTACCTGATATTTTCTTGGCGTATAAATGTTATCATGAATTGCTTCTTGTTGCCATGGCAGTCCAAAGAAAGGACCCATTGGTGAGGAAGCAGGGGTCATGAGCTGCAGGCCTGCCATGCTGAGGGGTTGCAAAGCAGGGCTTTTCATTCATCCAGTGTTTCTTTCATTGCATTTTTGTTCTAGCACAGCTTACTACAAAAGGGAAAAAGAATACCATTACACAATCATGCAGGGTTAAAAACAAAGAAAGCACAGAAACAAGAGAAACATCAGAATATCATTCCTATGAGCCATTCAAACTCTTCCTATAATTGTTTTAGCTTTTTCTTGATCTAAGAGGATCATTTTAGGAGTCAAGCATTCTGTACCTTACCCAGTGATTCTATGCCTAGAAATTTGTCTTAAAGAATGAATCAAGCAACTTCACAAAGAGATGTACATGAATATTTGTTGTTGCATTATTACTTAAAAATAAGAAATAACTTTAAAATCTACTGGTAAAAAATAAGCTACATAAATTATGCTATGACTATATAATGGAATACTTTGAATCCATTAAGATTATAGCACATATCTGTAGTTCCTGACACAGAACAATGTCCATAATAAACCTTTAAAAGAAAATATGTACAGCATGATGCCTTGTTAAATATATGTACATATATAAAATATGTAAATATACACATAAATAAATTTTGAACATTCTTTGTATATTCTATGACGTTACTGATAAAATGATAATGTATGGAAGGCACTTAGCACTGTGCCTGCACCACGAAAGATTTAGACACCTGCTAAAATTGTCACTTTATCAACAGCTCACGAACACAGGCCTTTTTCTCAATTGACAACCTATTATAAATGCACAACTATTTAAATATGTATCTTTAAAATTATACATATCCTAGATAAATTAAAACAAATGACACCACTCTGTGAAATAAAAATTTTTTCATGGTATCTAAGCACTTTCTATATTTCATATAGTTTTTCCCACAGATAAATTTGATTATGTAAAATGATAAAAACTGAAACTTTAAAATTCCTACCCTTCAAACAGAGGGTCAGGGATTCAAATATCTGTGTGAAAGCCTACCACTGGCTTTACTGTCAGCAGGATTTCCTCGCCCCACAGAAGGGAATTTCCTCTCTTGCACTGCTTTGGAGTGTTCATTGCTATTACTCTATGAAACTGGAAGAGATAATTCAACTCTGTTACTTAACAACCAAAACTTTTGAATCTCCTGACATGTTAAGTACAACACATGACTTAAGTTGTTGCAACTATTTCAACAAGAAGTCTCAAGTGTAGGGTCTCTTATACAACACAATACTGAATTCTGATTTGAGAAATTAATTCTGTTGACAAGAATTCAACATTCAGCTACCATAAAGTACTATCTCAAGTAAGCAGTGCAGGGGCACCCCACTGCCGGAGCTGAGAGCCCGGTAAGACAGCACGTCTGCGGGCCTGACAGCACAATCACGCTCATCATCTTTCCAGAAGGGAACAAGCGAAGTACCACAGAGTACTTTATGAGATAATATTAACCCATAATTTCCCTGGATCAAAGAGAACTATGTTCTTCACGAAAAATAATGTGCTAATTCTCTCTGAATCAAAGCCCCAACAGCCATTCCTTTTACCCTAGTACCCAAGCCTAGTACCCACTTTCCCAAATTCAGCAAGCCCTCAGGACTTGCAGGCTCATCAGTTAAACTTTTTTCTTAATACAACTGCCAAGAACCCTATGTGGAAGTCTATTTTACCAAAATGTCTGAGATCAGGAGGCCACTCTGAAGGCCCAAGGCTAAGATCTGCGGGTCCCATCACTGACCTTCTCACCTGGAATCCACTCTCGTGATACCTCCACAATTCTCCTTCATGACTACAGACTGCATACTGTCTAGCACTATTCACCCTTAAGCCTGACCCTTCACTTTCACCCAACCCAAATGCTAATCCTAGACTTATTGAAGACATGGTAGAAGGTACCAAGAAACAAGTCTAAGTTCTGATGATGGATGAAAATATAAAACAAAGGAGAAAAGAGGGCCGTGATGTAAATACCCAACACATCTTCTCCTACTTCCAGAAACCAGGTATGTCCAGGAACCAGCAGCACCCCCTCCTCCCTACAACTGTCACCATTTCTTCTCATATAGATAACATTAGTAATAACAATAAATAACTTTAGAAAAATAGTCTAAAAATAAATTAGGAATGTTTTATTTTTTAAAGCTGGGGAGGGTATTCTTCAAAAATGTCAATGCCATAAAATACAAAGAAAAACTATGAAAATGTTCCAGATTAACAAAGACTATATGGATACAAATGGACATAAAGATGGAAATAACAGACAGGCTTATTATCCTTAGTATTACGTCCTCCAGGTTCATCTGCGTTTTTGCAAATGGCAGGATTTCCTTCTTTTTAGCGCTGAATAATATTCCTCCATGTGTGTTTGTGTATCACAATTTCTTTACCCATTCATCTGTTGATGGACACTTAGATTGTTTCAATATTTTGGCTATTATGAATAATGTTGCAAAGAACATAAATAGTGATCTCATTCATAAAGGACATTATTGAATTCATTTTTAAAACGAGATAACAGCAATGTTAAAATTCCCTGAAGTTGATATAACTGACTGTGGCTATGTAAGACAATACTCTTATTGTTAGAAAATATACACTGAAGTATTTAGGGGTAAAGAGCTATGATACATGTAACTTATTCTCAAATGGTACAGAAAAAGAATCTACATGTAGATACACACACACACACACACACACACACACACACACACACAGCTGATAAAGCAAGTGGGGCAAAATGGGTACAGCACATATTTTTGTCCTATTATTCTTGCAACATAAATCTTTTTCTTCATTTTCTGCTCAAATATAAATAAATACCTCATTCCTTTATGTATTCAAAAGCACAAGGACAGGTGATTCTGGCTAGCTCTCAAATACTCCATTTCCTCCACAGGTAATAGCCATGCTCAACTCAGCGTGGTCTCAGTCAAACAGTGGCTCACTGATCAAGGATCCAGTTTCTTTTTTTCTTTTTTTTCACCAAGACTGAGAATCACTCGATCACTCAGGCTGAGTGCAGTGGTGCAATGATGGCTCACTGCAGCCTCAACCTCACAAGTAGCTGGGACCACAGGTGTGCATCACCACGACTGGCTAATTTTTTAATTTTTTGTAGAGACAGGGTCTCACTATGCTGCCTAGGCTCTAGTTTCTTATTTTCTGCCATCTGCCAGTCACCCAAACCTAAGCTGATGGGCATACAACTTACCCCTGGCCAGAGGAATTGGTTCATGCTCATCCAACAGCAAAAAATTTAGGACTTTCATTTGATGGTTGAAGAGAAGCAGTTGTCTTTCTTTCCCTCTAAAGATGACTCATGAAATTATTAGTCCCATTTGCTGCTGCAATTACACTACACAGACCCATGAAAAGATCCAGCCTTAGGATGAAACCAGCACCGCAGATGGCAAAAATAAAGAACCTGGGTCATTGATGACATCAATAAACTGCTGGATCAACCAAACTCAAAGCCCAGCCTAACAATGGACTTTCCAATTAACTGAGCCAACAAATTCCTTAACTATCCAAGCTAGCTTGAGTTGAATATTCTGGGATAAAAGCAAACCAAATGACACTCTCTAAATCACTATTATCACTTCCTGTAAAAGGTATAAGTAGAAAAGAGGAAAGCAAAGAACAGATATGAACAGAAAGGAAAGGAAAAAAAGGAAAGAAGGGAAAGAAGGAAAGGAGGAAAAAGGGAAAGCAAGGGAAAGGGGAAAAGGAAAGAAAAGGGAAAGGAAGAGGAAGGGGAAGGAAAAGGGGAAGGAGAAGGAAAAGGGGAAGGGGAAAGGAAAAAGGGAAGGGGAAAGGAAAGGGGAAGAGGAAGAGAAAGGGGAAATAAAAAGGAAAATGGAAAGGGGAAGGGGAAGGGAAAGGCAAAAGAAAAAGGAAAAGGGAAAGGGGAAGAGGAAAGGGAAAGGGGAAGGGGAAGGGAAAGAGGAAGGAAAAGGGAAGGGGGAAGGGGAAGGAAAAGGTAAAGGGGAAAGGGAAAGAAAAAGGGGAAGGGAATAAGAGGAAGGAAAAGGGGAAGAGGAAAGGGAAAGAAAAAGGGGACAGGAATGGGGATAGGGAAGGGGAAGGGAAAGGGGAAGGGGAAGGAAAAGGGAAAGGGGAAAGGGAAAGAAAAAGGGGAAGGGAATGGAGAAGGGGAAGGGAAAGGGGAAGGGGAAAGGAAAAAAGTCAGGGATCAAAGCAGAAAGCCATCAGGCCACAAATATTGAGATAATGAACAAGTACTGCAGCCAGACCCCAAGCAAGGTGAAAAGCTTTGTTTGTAAGGGAAAAGTCAAGGGTCTTAGACTCCAAAAAACCAGGGATGAGCTCTACCAAGAAGCTTCTAAGACTTTGAAAATGTTCTCCTTATTTGTCCTTAGGAATACTTTTTTTCACTTTCTGCTATCAGTAAATTCTTTTTGAAACTGCAAAGCCGCTTGTTTCGGAAACAAATTGAGGAAAAATCTGGACAGTTCTTCCTCGGCACAAGAGAGGGAGAGAGATCGTTTCCCTGGCCTGCCTATTTCCTCCTTTGTTCTCATAAAATCACAAAGGAGAAAACAGGCAGGGCAGGGAAGCTGGCCCAAGACCAACAAAGACTCAATTCTATCTGGAAAATAAGCCCTAGACCTCCAATGTTTCTCAGGCCCGGTTTCACCTCAAGACACCAACCTCACTCAAGTATGTGGATCCTATTCCTACAAACCAGCAGGTAAAGAGCTTGGAAAAGGAGGAGTTGCAAATTCACTCAGTGTCCAGGTTCTGTTCCTGGCATTTCAAAGGACAGAGATTTTTTTTTTTTCTTAGCAAACACAACATTTCTCATAAATGCCCTACCCCACCCTAAAACTTTCACAGGGTTTAGAAAAAAATGATAGGTAGCTGGTTTCTAAGAATCAATCTGAGAAAAAAAGTGGAAAAAAAAAACAGAGAAATGAAAGGTTACATTTATCAACATTTAGGCTCTAAATAAAGAGAAAATAGATACATTATATAGTAAAAATAAATATCAAACAATAAAGAAATACAGAAATAACATCTCTAACCAAAAATACCTGAAAAGATTAAGGTTTCTATCAGCTCTCACAAAAAACCATGTGTAAGAAAATAATACAAACTACTGGAATGGAATTCATTAAAAAGTTGATATTTAAAAAGGAAATTAAGCAAAGCACTACACTCTGTGATATCTAGTCCCAAATGTACTCTGAAAAGTACTGCCCCCACTCATGACTGCCTGACTTCTGCCGACCTGTAACCTTACGTTCAGATTATTCACCCAGCTTCTCAGTAAACTATCGCAAGAACAAAAAACCAAACACCGCATATTCTCACTCATAGGTGGGAATTGAACAATGAGATCACATGGACACAGGAAGGGGAATATCACACTCTGGGGACTGTGGTGGGGTCGGGGGAGGGGGGAGGGATAGCATTGGGAGATATACCTAATGCTAGATGACACATTAGTGGGTGCAGCGCACCAGCATGGCACATGTATACATATGTAACTAACCTGCACAATGTGCACATGTACCCTAAAACTTAGAGTATAATAAAAAAAATAAAAATAAATAAAAAAATAAAAAAAAAAAAAAAAGAATGCTATCCTATTGCTGCCTCATCACCATTCACCAGCAATTTCCACAACAGAAGAGTAATCCCTGTTGGCTGAAAGCCTATAGCATATTATGCATCCTCCCTGACTGACCAACTGAAAGTGTTTAATCCTGTATTTCAATCCTATGTGCTCAATCCAAGTGATCCTAGCAGTTATACTACAGAGGCTTGGGGTATAGTCTTAATCCATAAAATGTACTTCTGTAATTTTATATGAATTCTTATTTAGAAAATTTCTCTTAAAACTCTGTTCTCACTAAAATATGACCAATTAGACTAGAATTTCCTTGGATATAGGAGCTGCATATCTTACCCTTACCTGTATTACCCACTGTACAGAACCACATCCAGGACATGGTAAACAAAAACTGCAGGTTGTTAGAATGAAAACAATGTCCACCTGAGTGACATTAAAACCTCAAACAGCTTCTATTTGCCTTTCATAATTTCTATCACAGATTTTTAGAGCTATTCATAGACACACATACACAACATACATGTTATTCTTTTACTGGAGCACAGCTCCATAAGAACAAGACATGAGTCTCATTCTTTGCACCTCTTAAATTTCCTGCTACAATGTTCTGTATATACATTTAAGTAAATATTTGACAAACTGAATTAGAGACTCATGAATGTCCACACAATAATATACAGAACAGAATCATGGATGGATCAAGATATATTTCTATTCGGTTTGGAAACACACATCTATCCCACTCCTACCAGCCCTGAGAGATGAGTGCAGGAGAGAGGATGTACAAGGACATAAAGAACAACAATTTAACCCTTCCAATTATATTTTCCATAAGGTTACAATGTTTAAATTAATTTTCATTCATTTAGTGGACAATAACTGGCCCCAGTAATGCACTTTCTATTTAGGGAAAACAAATCCAAGACTTAAAATTCCAACAGGTAATCTGTAATATAAAAACAGGAAAACCTATAATTTTGCCAATTTTTACTTTCTTGGCATGTTTAAACAGATTTTTTAAACTTGGCCTTAATGAAAAGATCTGAATCTCTGCTGGCAGGTAAAGGTTCTAGTTTCACAGATAAACTGGCTACCATTAACTGCTTTTGCAGAGCCAAAATAACTCCACATGACTGTTTTTCAACTATAGATTTTAAATTTCTGGTCAAACAACTTACCCTCATGAAACTAGTGAGGTTGTTTCATAGTTTCCACATATTATGCACTTAGAAATACAGTCATGCACCCAATAACAATGTTTTAGAGACTGACCCCGTATAAGACTATGGTCTCGTAAGATTATGATACTGTATTTTTACTGTACCTTTTCTATGCTTAGGTATATTTAGATATACAAATACCACTGTGTCACAACGGCCTACAGTATTCAATATAGTAACATGGTGTACAGGTTAGTAGCCTAGGAACAAAAGGTCATACCATATAGCCTAGGTGTATAATAGGCTATACCATGTAGGTTTATGTTAATTAAGTACACTCTATGATGTTCACACAATGACAAAATCGCCTAACAATGCATTTCTCAGAAGATATCCAGTCATTAAGCAATGCATGACTGTAATTTAGCAAAAGACAAGAAAGACAAGAATAAACTCTCTTCCTCTTTCCACATGATGAATCACAGATTTACCGTTTTAATGTTTGAGATCTCTGTGTTGCTCTTGTCTGAACTGCATTTTGACATTGTGATAGCAGTTTATTGGAAAATCACAGCATGCCCAAGCTTCTGCTCTAAAAATAAATGCAAAAATAGCCAAGTTTAAGATTCCTGTAAACTGAACAGAAACACATCTACAAGAGAGCCCTACTGATATGAAGAGTTGAATAAAAGGCCATTATTTTGAATTAAATTTTAAACAAAAGGCATTTAGATTATTTTAGGATACCAAGGCTTACCCTAAAACAAAGAACAAGAGAATAAGCTACAATAGCATGCCTAATTCCCAGAGATCTGGGAGAAATAAAGAGCTAGAGCAAAGTTCAAAAAAAGATTTCAAAGCTAATATAAGGAAATCAAAGTAAATAAAGTCTAAAGATGGTATTTTATAGAAAAATGAAAAAAATAGCTATTATTTCCTAAATTCACATAAACGAAAGAAATAAAGAAGGTCACCAGAAGACGTACTTGGCTGAGAAATCCAAATAACCCAGTAGTAACTCTTTAACACAGGTATGAAATCCATCAGCAATTCCAATTTCCCAAAATGAAATTAAAAACACAAAAGGACAGTTACATCTACACTATACATTTTTATAGAATTAGTTTATAAATAAAATAATTCAAGAACACTGTTAATGTTAATGTCGGGCATAAATTTAAATTTGGGGTGGCTCTCTAAAAGAGATTATAAATCAAAAACTAAGAAAGCATAAAATGTAGATATAAAAAGTTTAATTTGATCAACAAATACTGATTTTGTTAGATCTGACATCAGACTTGGTTTGCGCTCAGGTCTGAGCCTTCTGCAATGCCTCCACTACCATAAGCTCAGGAAAAACAAATTGGCAGTGGCCTCTTTTTACTACTTCCAGTCCTTTAAAAGACATTCTCATGGAGGTTAAAGTTCTCATTTCATACACAAATTTGTTTTGCTAAGAAGTCAACAAAGCAGACTGGGGCAACCTTATCACTACTTTGGCATATACATATTTACCTCAAAATGCTGATTCTAAGTTCTTTCAGAGTTTCCAAGTCTGTATTAATTCATACCCTAGGTAACCTAAAAGCAATCAGAGAGAAATTTTAGAAGAGACAACTCATTTTTTAAAACGAACTTTAAGAGATGTTCTACTTTTTAAGATCCCTCATAAAATTCTTTATCTGTTGGGCAACAAGACAATGCATGTCTAAAAGAACTGCCCTTTAAAATTGGGATATTATGTTCTAATACAGCCAGGAAAAACAACTTGTTAGTACAATCCAATTAGATAGAAGGGATAACTCTTGGCATTAAATTACCTTTTCCCTCAGTAAAACTTGGCTTTAAAAATACTTAAACACTATGATAAATCAGTACCATGCTGTATATGAGCATATCTTCCTATCTCCCAATATGTCAGTGCTTATGTTTTCATTTTTCTTTTTGTTTTTTATTTTTTTTTTCTATTTTGTAGAGCTGGGGCCACCCCATGTTTCCCAGGCTGGTCTCGAACTCCTGGGCTCAAGTGATCCTCCCACCGTGGCCTCCCAAAGTGCTGTAGTCCCAAAAGATTACCCAAATACCACTGCATTACAACTGCCTACAGTACTCAGTACAGTAACATGCTGTATTGAATACTGCAGATTACAGGTGTGAGCCACTGCAACCAGCCAAATTTGTGTTTTCTAAGGCTACCTCAGACTTCATTTAATTTTTAATTTCATTCTATACCGCCACCTAGTAGGATGCAAAGACCACGCACACCAACATGTCCTGCTGTGTCACCCTCTAGAGATGATTTCCAATTCAGACTCACCTCATTCCTAGAAATGCCATAATCAAATTACTAAGTTGATAATCCTTTAAAATTCAATGTCACCCAACTATTACAAAATTATTGCTAAGTTATCCACATTATTTCCATTGATAATTCCATACATACATTAGAAAGGTAATATGTCAAGTATAATAGCAACTTATTTTATACTGGTAATTCAAAGCTAATAGGTCATTTTCTCATTTTAATTGATCACTGTGAAGTAAAGTACAAACCTGCAAAATCCTGTTTCATAGGCCCCTTTAAGATAACTCTGAAACAGGCACGCCACATATCAGACAGTCAAGTTTTAGTACAAACTAGCAAACTTAATCCACATTAGCAACTAAATGCAGTAACGAGGCTGTATCCTTTCACAGGCTAGTAGCAAGAAAGAGCTAACCATTCAGATCTGAAGCCTAAAGGCACCTAGAACTTTCTGCTGTGAATTTTCAAAATTGGTGACAAAATAATTTCAACTCATCCATGTTATTATGCATCACAGATTCTGACATTATTAACTTTGCAAATATTACCATCCAGATTTCATTCCTACTCTCACAAAGCCCAAAATGCATGACTTCTATAAAGTTCCAGGATAAACAAATGGAAAAAAACCACAATATAGTGACATTAAAACAGTATAAGCAATACTCATGGTAAGCTAACAGAGAAAACTAAAAAAATGTATGAAGCACTTTAAGTTCCTAGTAACAAAAGTGCTATGTGAGATACAAGGCATTATTTTAACTGCAATCACGCCTACATCACTTAGGACAGCCATGGTATAGATACAAAATACTGACTGTTGACGTAAGGACAAATACAAATTAAAAATAAGAGGCATAGTTCTCCCTGCTGAAAATAAAAGGGAAGAGGTCCCTTTCCCCTTTTCTTTTCCAGATTTTATTTCTCCCTCCCTTTCAATGTATATAAATTTAAGTCTCTAGTCTTATAACTTGGCTATGTTTCCTAAGGACCTGAAAGCCATCTCTGAAATGGGAAATAACACTCAATCGCCTGGTTTCCTAGGAGGAGATGGGCCTAATCTGTCACCTGACTCCAAAATGTAAAACCTACCTCTAGTCATAAAAATGTGAAAAAAAATTAGCAATTTTATCTTGAAAATATGGATGTAATGGATTGTAACCATTTAGTTACATAAAACAGTAAGATTTCTTTCTGTCTTTGCCATCCCTTTAGTGACTGCCTGTGATGGGCACAGCAGTCTGATTTAATGTTCATTCAATAATAACATTGTTTTCTTTCTTTTCTACCTTTGTGGAGCAATTTTCTGGGTTGGGAGATTTTGGTTTTAATTGTATTTCCCTAACATTAGCTTTTTTATTTTTTAAATATAGCCCAAATCTCAAACAGTATTCATACCAAATAATAAAATTCCATTTCTTAGAACTTAAATACTGGAGAAGCCCTAAAATATGCTGGCCAACTACATGGAGGAATTTTTAAAAATGAAAATGAAAGTGGGCAAACAGCCACACTGAAAATGAATCCACACATAGAATCCAAGTTGTTTGAAAACAACTCCTACCTACTTCCCTTTTCTAAGTTGTAGAGCAGAAAAAGTCTCAGATGTTTTTAGCTAACTTAATAAGCAAATTGATGCTCTTGCCTCTTAATATACACATTTATATTTATACATATACTTATATATACATATAAACATGTATTTAATGGACGTATTTGCCTCAAAACACTGATTCTGAGTTTTCAGTGACATCTATACACTGTCACTCCCTTCTCATGTATACCCGCCTATGCAGGAGGCACTGAGTAAGGCAACTGGGGATATAGGAAGCAGCCTCTTTTTTTTTTCCTTTGTACCTATCTTTCTTTTAAAAATTATCTTAATGCCAGCAAGCAGTTCAGTGTCAGAATACCAAGGTTTAAATCCAGACTCCACTACCTCGCTAACATTGTTTACTTGCCTGTAAAACAGAAACACCTGACTATTACGAGGATTACACAAGATCTTAAACTTAGTAGAGAGAAAATAAAATGCTTGGAACATACAAAATCCATATCATACAAAATATCTCTACCTAGAACCATTTTTTTTAGCATAATTCTTAAACTCTTAAAATTTTATGAAACCCTTAAAGAAAACCTAAAATGTTTCATTAACCGTAAGATTCGGCATAGAAAATGCATTCTCATATAATGCATAGAAGATTTTATACAGAATTTATAGCCAGATTAACCTGAAAAACCACAAACTCCTGAATGGGGATCAGGAGATGCCACCCCCAACTATGCCACTTTGGTATATTATTTTGAGCTGAAAGCAATTAAGAATCAACAGATTCAGGAAAAGTTCTATGCCTTCCCTTTTTCTACTTAAGAGTAAGGCATAAACTCCCCCTTCTTCTACACCAGGAAGAAAAGAACAATCCTTATCACAGCACAGAGAGATGGCACCAAGATGAATCTGCATAAACAAACCTTAATAAATAAACCTTTTCTACCAATGGTTTCCTCCATACACCGTCTAATCACCTTCCCACAGTTTATCAACCCTAGAAATCCAAACATCCCCTCCTTTGTCCTTCCACAATTTATCACTCTTTGTTAAGATGGTATATGAGCCTCTAAATCTAAGTGTTTCTTTGGGATTTTACATCTTTTTCTTTGATGCCCCTGTGCGTGCAAAAATATTAACATCAATACAAGCTGTAGACCTCTTCCCCTGTTAATGTCTTTTGTTAGTTTAATTCACAGATCCCAGCAATAGAGCCTAAGTGGGTGGAGGAAAAGTTTTCCTCCCCTACATTCCAAACAAGCTAGCCATTATGCATTTACATTAAGATGAAAATCAATGCAATTAAATCACAAAATATGGTACCTAACGTAAAGTAAATTTAAACAGTTTTGTATTCACTAGTTCTCTTGAAAAACAAACAAAAAATACTGTGTACTACTTACTGGCTGGACAGACATCACTGAAAACATTATTTCACTGAACTGTTTCTTAGGCAATAAAATGTTTCACAGAGAAACAAGAAATAGTAATAATCATGGATATTTCAAAAATATAAAAAAGAAATCAAAAGAAAATATCCAACATATCCACAGTATATAAAACAAGTATTTCAAGGATTTATCAACTATTATTTAGTGAATATAGACTATGAAAAGATTAAGGTCAAACCAAGGATTAAGAGACTAAAGAGAAAAAAAAAACAATAATTTCAAGAATTTAAACACTGGTATCTTTGCATATTTAAATACAAAACACAAGAACTATTTATATTTTTACTTTTAATTGTCATTTGTCTTTTTAAAAAGTTTTTTTTTTAGTTTACCCTAACACTATGGGTATGAACTTTACATTTCTGTCATTCTTAATTAAAATTCGCTGCACATTAACCTAGTCATTACCACACACACAAAAAAAACTTCATATAGAAACGCTCCCTTCATCATTACCATTTATAAGAGCAAAGAAACACTCCCCGCCACCAATTTACATGTCTAACAATGATTGAGGAAATGGTTTGGTAAACCCTGGTTCATTTTACATGGTGAAGTTCAATTCAGCCATTTAAAATGGTAAGTTTATAATGAACAAAAATGCTTATGTTGAGAGCAGCAGCAGGCAGACAAATGCCTAGGCAGACAGGGGTAGGTCCCCAGTGAAACCCCACCTTCAAATCAAAGACAGTTTAAAGCCTGAAGGTCGAGATACACAGTATTTTTTGTTTGTTTTTCAAGAGAACTACAAGTCCCAGATAAATCCAGGGACCGGATTGAGAACCTGTCTTGCCATTTGGCACACTTTCCTCTGATTGATCCTCACCCTTCACCTATCTTACATATACCTACACTTCCCTAATTGGTTTCTTACACTGTCAAGCCCACCTTTGAGTGGTGCTTTTAACTTTTTTTTGCATACTCACAAACCAATCAGCACACACTCCCCTATTCTGAGCCTGTAAAAGCCCAGGACCCAGCCACACTGGGGGAAAAACCACACAACTTCGGGTGGGGAACCACCCCCGCATCCCCTTTCTGCTGAGAACTGTTTCATTGCTCAATAAAATTTACGTCTGCCTTCCTCACCCTTCAGTTGTCAGCATATCCTCATTCTTCTTGGATGCAGAACAAGAACTCAGGAACCGCCAAACGTGGGTATGAGCCGTAACACAGGTAGGCTGGGGCATGACTGGCCCAGCCACTAGCTGAGCCAGAGCACAAGCCAGGTGTGGCACAGGCAGGCCAAGTGGGAGGGTAGCATAGCCAAGCAAGGCCCGGACACGGGGGTCACCAGCCAAAGGTCCCCAGCTGGTAAAGTGACTGAGAAAAATCCTGTGTAAATGGCTTTAAATGAAAAAGTAGAACACTTTTATTTACAGTGAGACTATAATTATGTCTTAGTTAAAAACTAAAGGAAAGGAAAAAGGGAGGGAGTGAGGAAGGCTAAGAAGGAAAAGGAAGTGAGAAAGGATAAGAAGGAAAAGGAAGAGAGGAAGGAGGTGAGAGAAAATTAGTTTACCCAAAAATTAATGATGAATTACTTGGATGAGTATTTTTCCTTTAAACTTTTCAGCATTTTAAATTTCCTACAACTTGAACACACAGAATTGGGAATTGGAAAACAAACTTTCAAACTGTGGATGATTTGTGTGACGATAAGCTAGAGACATACAATTCTGTTTTAGGTATTGAAAACATCCTCCCAGCCGTGTGCAGTGGTTCACACCCATAATCCCAGCAATTTGGGAGGCCAAGGTGGGCAGATCACGTGAGCCCAGGAATTCTGAGACCAACCTGGGAAACATGGCAAAACCCCATCTCTACTAAAAATATAAAAATTAGCCAGGTGTGGTGGCATGTGCCTGTAGTCCCAACTCCTCAGGAGGCTGAGGCGGAAGAATCACCTGAGCCTGGGGGGCTGCAGTGAGCCATGATCACACCACTGCACTCCAGAGTAAGACCCTGTCTCTAGAATGAATGAATTAATGAGTAAAAACCTCCCCCGTTAAGGCACAAAATGTGGTAACATTTACCTGAATATCTGAGTGGGAAAAAACACACACAAACTGTTTTTCCTTTGTTCTCACACACCACATAAAATTTCTGTGACCAAATGTGTGGGGTTTCTCCCCAACAACAAGCAAGCCATCAATTCTGCAGCGGACACCAGCTGGGTGTCTTCTATTAATGACTGAATTCCAACATTATCTACCTGGAGATAGCATCAGATCCCACAGGTTGAGGGCTCCAGTCCTCAAGACCTCCCCCACCCTTCCGTGTCAATTGCAAACCTCAGGTTATTTTTTGCCCGTGCTCCCGACCAATCAGTTAACTGGGGTTCCCACAACGCCCTCCTGGGATTTAACTTGCTAGACCAGCTCACAGTCCTTGGGGAAAAACTTACTTATGTTTACCAGTTTATTATAAAGGATATTACAGGCTGGGTGCAGTGGCACACGCCTGTAATCCTAGCACTTTGGAAGGCCAAGATGGGAGGATCGCTTGAGGCCAGCAGTTCGAGACCGGCCTGGTCAACACAGCGAGAGTCCATCTCAATAAAAATAAGTAAATTAATTAGGTAAAGGATATTACAAAGATCCAGATGAAGACATGCACAGGGTTAGGTATGGAGAAGGGGTATAGAGCTTCCAAGCCCTCCCAGAGCAAACTGCCCTCCAGGAACCTCCATGTGTTCAACTATCCAGAAGCTTTCCAAACTCTGTCCTTCAGGGTTTTTATGAAGACTCATTACCTGGGCATGATTAACCTTCAGCCCCTCTTCCCTCCCCAGAGGTTGGAGGGTGGGTCTGAGTCCAAACCTCTAATCATGCCTTAGTCTTCCCAGTAACCAGCCCCCATTTTGAAGCTACCAGGAGCTACCGGCCACCAGTCGATCATTAGCATACAAAAACACATCACTTTGGAGATTCTAAGGATTTCAAGCCTTGTATGCCTAAGAATAGGGTAGAGGACAGACCAAATATATATTTTACAGTATCATAGTACCTACAATTTAAACCACAAATTCATTAGCCTTCTTTTCATGCATTACTGTATCTGAACCAAATAAATTTCTGGGTTTCTCTAAATCTCTAACATAAATATGTTATGTTTAGATTTCAATATAATCATGCCTAAAATTAGATTGGTCCAAAATTGAAGTGGAACACAGGTCAAATACCATCTTAACAAATTCCACCCATCAAAGATCTCCATATAAGAAGTGTCTCCAGGCTGCAAGCCAAAGGTCCGCTTACTTCTTGGAGTACTTCTCAGAAAGATGACATTTCAACACATCAAAACAGCACAGATACCCACCCCTCCCCTTCAAGTTACCTATAATGACATTTGTCCTACAGTTTTGTTTCAAGAGACATAAATACTTAACACATCACTAGCTTTCAAGGTGAGTTTTAAGGTTCATATTTGATTCCAAGTTTCTGTACTTTACTCTTTTTTTTTATTTTTTATTTGGAGACAGGGTCTCACTCTGTCTATTTACAGGCACCATCAGAGCACATTACAGCCTTGAACTCCTGGGCTCAAGTGATCCTGCCATCTCAGCCTCCTGAGCAGCTGAGACTACAGGCACATACTTTACTCTTAACACTGTGCAACGAGTGCTAGAATTTTATTCAATTCACGACTACCCTCTACCTTTACACCAAGAAAGAGCATCCATTGGGAAAAAGGAGCCACAATTTTCTCTTTGTCAAGCTGTTTTAAGATATATAACATGAATACTTAAATACTAAAGGGAGGTCAATCCAGAGACAAAATGAACATAAGAGACTACTGAGTTAAGATGGATGTTTATTGAGACAGGAAAGCAAATATATTAAAAGGTCCAGGCAAGAGTGTGACGCACTACATCATCATAGCTTCTGCGCAACATCTCATGTTATCTGCCTTTCCCGTAACACCAAAACAAGTGTGTACCAACAGAGTTCGCCACCTCTCACGAACCCCACCCCACAACTTTCCCTAAAAACCTCTATCACTTTAGTCCCCTCCCCTCTCATTTAGCACACATGGGCTAGCTACAACACCCAAATCATCACGGGCTTCATTATATTACTGCCCCATATATTAGCTGTTATTGCCATCTCCCTCAAGAGTATTAAGATCTTTGAAAGATAATCTCATACTATACTCACATTCATATTACATAGTTCATGATTTGTTTGATTTTCACGTTACTGTAAATTTGTAATGACTAGGTAGTTTGGAATGTAGGAAAGTAAATATCCATGAATAATTTTTTATTAATTAATTCGATGTTGAGAATAAGCTTTATTGATCTTAACTATTGAATTAAAGCAGCTTTTTATAGGTCAAATATAAAACTCAAATTAGACACTTTTAAATTAAAAGACTTTAAACAACCCAAATTATTTCAACAAGCTTAACATCCTCGATCTTGGCACCCAAGTCCAAAAGAATAATTCGAGGCTAACTAGAAACTGTCAAAGCTAGAGAGGTATCAGTTAGTGCAATGATAATTTTGGTATCATCTGACTATACCCATCCTAGTTTTCTCAGTTAACTTCCAACCACTACAAAATTCTCTTCCATATTAATGCAAACTAATCTGACTCCAACCTTGAAGATGTTTCAGAAACAATTTTAAAGTTCTTAAAGTTACAGGTGCAACTGGGAAAACCCAACTCAAGACAGTCTTATTTCTCAACTTAGTTTCTCATTTTACAAACTGTATTTTGTAGGCCGGGCACGGTGGCTCATGCCTGCAATCCCAGCACTTTGGGAGGCAGAGACAGGTGAATCACTTGAGGTCAGGAGTTCGAGACCAGCTTGGCTAACATGGTGAAACCCCGTCTCCACTTAAAAAATACAAAAATTAGCTCAATATAGTGGCTTGCACCTGTAGTCCCAGCTACTCAGGAGGCTGACACAGGAGAATCGCTTGAACCCAGGAGCCAGAGGTTGCAGTAAGCTAAGATCACGCCACTGCACCCCAGCCTGAGAGACAGAGCAAGACTCAGCATTAACAACAACAAAAAAGAAATCGTATTTTGTTAGGTTTAAAATTCAGGCGAAACTCTACTGAATGTCAACTAATAAATGTAGAAGGAATGACAGAAAAGTCACCATTTTTAACCATCACATTAGTGATTGAAGCAAGGATCATTAATGGATGCTAAAACCATTGGGTGAAGGTTACTAAAGAATATTTACATAGCCTGAAAGCTTTTCTGCAGATTACCTACTAATTACAAATGAAAACTAGTATTTTTATTCAGTGGAAAAACCAGATAGATACCCCTTTAATCCAAGTGACAAAGCTAAGATCACCAGTATTAGGACAAACTGACAACACATACCTAATGTAGTTTTCCTACTGAAAGTACAAAACTTGAATCTATTTTTGCCGGGGGAAAGAGGGGAACAGAGTCTCGCTCTGTTGCCCAGACTGGAGTGCAGTGGCACAATTATAGCTCACTGCTACCTCAAACTCTTAGGTTCTAGAGATCCTCCTGCCTTGGCCTCCTAAAGTGCTGAGATTACAGGAGTGAGCCACTGTGCCCAGCTGAAACCTGAATCTAATCATAAGGAAACATAAAACCTAACTTGAGGTTTATTTTACAAAACACTTGGCTTTATACACTGAATTGAAGTATGATTTCAAGGATGATGTGTTAATTCATGCATAGCAGATGAAGAATGTGTTATTTAGGGAAAGTTAAGAGACGTTTAAGGCACTGTTACATTTGGTATCACTACTACAGAGACCAACTAAGATAGCTGAACCAGTATAGATAATCCTCCTCGAAAACTTGTCTGTAAAATATTGTTCTCAAGCCCTCTTTTCCTTCATCCTCCATTATATTACTAGACCATACATTTCAATATTGATAATTTGGGGGCTCACAATATAATCTAATCACATTAAGACTATTGCATGTTAAAATTTTCTCTAATACACGTATTTAAAAGAAAAATATTACATTAATTTTATCAAATGCTAGTTATGTACCATGAGAGTTTAAGAAACTCCTTTTTTTTCTCAAAACCTCAAGAGGCAAACACCACTACGACAGTTTATAGACAAGGAAGCTGAGACTCAAGAGACGTTGCCATATGCCCAGTGCTCATCGGCTATAAAGTCGAAGAATCAGGATTTGAACCCTGGTCTCTCTGACGCCAAACACTTGCTCTTAAGCATCCCTACAAAGCTATGATAAAACATTAATATTTAACTCTGCAAAGTGGAAAGAACTTAAAATACCATGAATCAGAGCAACTGACAGTGATGGCTGGGCAGCAGGATGCATAAGAGGCGGACAGGCTGTGAGTTCATCATGTTAATCTCACCTCCCAGGATGTTACCAAAAGAGGAAAGACAGAAATCCTGCAATCTCGAAACATCTCAGAGGACTAAATACGACTAAATACGACTACTACCTTTCTTTTTCCCTTCAAACAGGGTCATTTAACTTCTTAATCAAAGAACCTTCCTACATCATGTCAAAGATCAGTTTTTAAACTAAGAGTCTTCTCTCATTATTCAAGTTCTCTAAGTACAACCGGTTTGTTTTCTTAAAATTCTGAACTGGTTAACAGACCTCATTTTCTAATCCTCAAGAATTGTTCAAATGTGTTGTTAAAACCCCTGCTTTATGGCATACATTGAGCTGTCAAAGAACGAACAAGCACAACAGAGTTAGTCTGTGCCAACAAGGAGAAAGTCTGCAATACAGTTAAACTCCAATTTTGACGGCGATTTTCTCCCACGATTCTTAACACTTCCCTCAGTCTGCAATGTTTCTGTGCACATAATCATACGTACCTCACAAAGCAAAAAGGACCAAGTAGCATGATTTGTCCAAAAGCAGAATAGTAATAATCTTTTTAAAAGCCTTAATATGCAAGCAATATTCTTCCCCACAAAACTGTGTTAGCTTCTAAATACTTCAAAAAGTATTATAAATTAACTTACTCACTCAACAAATCGGAGTGTCTCCTATATGTCAAGCACCATGTCTGGTAATGAACATGCATGAAGAATCTAATCCTTACTATTCCATAAACCTTAACACAACCAAGAACATGTAATGCTGTTATAAGCCTAAAAAACAAAAAGAAAAAACTCTAAGGCCAAACTTAAGCCTGTCATGTCTTACTTCTAGTAACAGTCTTACTGACATCCTCAGAGAATGTTTTGTAGCATCTTCTTAGTCACTTATTTAAAATGCATATTGAGGTAACTGCATGTTAAAGGAGTACCAACAATTCATTGACAATTTTAGATGAGGAAGCCATTTTGCACTCAGAATTATTTTAACAAAGGCTTTATTACATAACTGAAAATGTCAATTTCACCAGCTACATCTCAAAAATAATCTTTTTCTTTCTGTATTAATTCATCAAGTATACACCACGATACAACCAGTCTTACTTTTTAGACCAACACACGTTCCTAAAGACTGGGTGAGAGGGCTGGGCACGGTGGCTCACACCTGTAATCCCAGCACTTTGGGAGGCCGAGACGGGAGGATCACGAGGTCAGGAGATCAAGACCATCCTGGCTAAACACGGTGAAACCTCATCTCTACTAAAAATACAAAAAATTAGCAGGGTGTGGTGGCGGGCACCTGTAGTCCCAGCTACTCGGGAGGCTGAGGCAGGAGAATGGCATGAGCCCAGGAGGCGGAGCTTGCCGTGAGCTGAGATCGCACCACTGCACTCCAGCCTGGGCAACGTAGTGAGACTCCGTCTCAAAAAAAAAAAAAAGACTGGGTGAGAATTCCTATTTGGAAAATCCTCACTGCCCATGTTGTCCACAGAGCTTATTCCTGAATGGATTGTTATTTAGCATCTGTCAACAGCCTGAATGAGACAACTGATATTCGAGGGACACCACCCAAAAGAAATTAATGAATCAAACCACTGGAACAGTGAACACCTGTATTACTAAAGCTTTTCTATTATGCCTGAGGCTTTTATCCAGTTTCTCTAAAATGGCATGTGAAAAAATGTTTCTCTATCGTTTGTAAAATGTAAAACATTTTCTCCATATATTGCTAATGTTATTTAATGTAATAATCCAAAAGATTGATTATTCTTCATACAAGAGAAAAATCTGCTTCAAATTGGTATGCTTCCTTTCATTAATCAACGTGAGTTACATGCAGCACTCACCTTTCCTTGCCCCAATCATTCATCTAATTCTCTGCCTCCACATTCTATACTACCAACCTTTACCATTTTCATAGTACTCTAATACTTTCCTATTATAAGACCATTTCAAATCCTTTCTCAAAATAGACATCATAAACTATTAAATAAATGTACTAATACTAGAGTCTTAGCAGAAATTTGGAAGAAGTGAAAACTAGCCATCAAAAAATCAAAAGGTCCAAGCCCCACAGGCTAAGGAGGTGGAATACCAAGAAAATAATGCTGCCTCAGAAGACTAGTCATTTGGCAAGTCGTAAATTGCAAAGAAACCTGTGAATAAGAGCGAGTATAATACATACACTGGGCTTTCAGGATGAACTAAGCTCTTGAATGTCCAAAAAGCACAGCAAAAGGTAAACAAAATAAGTCACTTGGCTCCAACTTTCTCTTTATACAAATTAAAGACCTCACCAATATCTTCCTCTGGCATTCAATAAAGCACATCACTCCATGTTTGATCAGTTTTTTGAATACCTGCCAGACACTATGATTGGAACCAAGATCGTAAAAAGGAGTCGACCCTGGGCTTCAGAGAGATTACAGATTTTACTGACAGAGGAGTTGTTTGTAGGAAATTATCACTGCTTGGAGGAACCCTGAGAAAACTCATACTGCAATAAATTCTGAGTCTAGTCTAGTGTTTTGAAGATCAAGAAACAATGTGACCACTTTGAGGTATATGTCTAAAAGAAGGGAAAGCATGGACTCCAATGAATTATTTGTATACCTACGTTCACAGCACCATTATTCACAGTAGCCAAAAGATAGAAGCTACCCAAGTGGCCATGGACAGATGAATGGATAAACAAAATGCAGTATATTCATACAATGAAATACCATTCAGCTTTTCCAAGGAAGGGAATTCTGACATCTAAATCATCACAGATGAGCCGTGGAGACACTATGCTGGGTAAAATAAGCCAGACACAAAAGAACAAATACTGTATGACTCTACTTATTTTGAGGTTTCTCCAGTAGTCAGTGACAGGAAGTAGAATGGTGGTTCTCTGGCATTGAAGGTAGGATGGAATCAGGAGTTAGTGTTAATGAGGACAGTTTGAGTTGGGAAAGATGAAAAAGTATGGAGATGGATGCTGGTAATGACTAAAAACAATGTAAATGTACTGTATGCCAGCTAGTTGTACACTTAAAATGGTTCAACGTTGTGTTATGTATATTTTACCATGCCAAAAAAAAAAAAAAACAACTATCTGAAATATTCAAATAACCATTCATTCACCTGAACATTTAAGGTTAGACACAGCTTCATTCATTCCACAAGTCTTAACTGAGGAGTCACTACACGTGATGCAGCCCTGAAATCCATTTGGAACAGTAATGCAATACAAAAAGCATGCCTCCAAAGATTCTGAAACCAAACCACAATTCGATCTCGGCTCTGCCACTTCGAGATTCCTAACTTGGGGTAATAATCACTGACTCTTAGTTTCCTTGCCTATAAAACAAGGACAATATCGAGTTGATCGCAGGGTCACAGTGAGGATTAGAAGAGAATGTACGTAGAACCTGAAACATCTTGGCGCATAACAAGGAGGCACTCAATAACACGTTTCCCTTATCTCCTTTGCCATGAGCAAGTGGAAACGTGACCATGACATGGTAGGGTCGCAAGTGAGAGACTGTCTACGAAATATCTACTTTCTCAAATGAAACAAGCACCTCACATGTCAGATAGTGGTAGAGAATAAAACATCCCAACGCCATAAAAGTCACCCTCTCTAGAAGATAGCACTACAAGTACTGTACAACCCACTATATGACAAAATCACTGTCAAATAAGAATCATGAGCCACATCAAAAGACAATGTCTTCTAAAACCAAGACAATAAAGCTCAATAATAGCAAAACAACCTAGCTACCCAACTCACACATTGAGCCACGGGCAAAATACAGCAGAGCAGTCAGGGCTTACCCTTCAAACATGAGATGGAAGCATAAAAAGTAAAGCAGGCCCTTACTAAAAAGGATTGTAGGAAAATGTCTTTTCTCCCCAAATTAAAATGGACTAACTGTTCTCTTCTTAAAACAGCATTTTGGTGCCGTGAGTAAATCTATAAACCTATGTTACCATGATCAATGTTTATAGTGACCATGTTAAAAGCAATCTTTAGTTTTTTGTTTTTTTATCTATTGAGTTTTATGGAATATGCCCTAAAATGAAGTTTTGAAATAATTGTGTATGTATGTGCATGTACACAGCACATATTACATATAATACACACGTGCCACAGGTAGCTTTAAAGTAGACTTTGCAAAATAAACTGGCTATTCCAGAACCTAATTTCCAAAGATATCAATAATATTGAAAATTACTATTCTCTAGGACCTGGCTTATCCCGAACCCATCTTTTAATAAACTGAGTTTTTTGGTGAGGATGTATATTTTTATTTAGAAAACTTAACGTTTACACCAATACATATTCAATATAGCTAACCTGTTTTAACAGCACATTTTTAACAATATTTTCCGAGTTGCTTAAATCCTAACCTGAGTCCTTTTCCACTGTTTGAAAACAAGCACCACGAAGACACCTGACAATCAGGATTGTAAAGATTCAGAATATTCGAAGACAGAAGCATAGGCGTCCAAGTGATCCTCTTTCATCAGATGAATGTTTTTAAAACCTGAAAGTCCTAAGAACACTTACTTATCGTGTAGACCAGTAACGTGTCCCTTTAACCACAACTCTCTCCACAAAAGCACGGAGTTAACACTACACAAATAGGACCCTCCAACTCATCTCCACGTTTCCGCGGATCTTCAGGTTCCTAAGGACACACTCAGTGGTTTGCTGGCTCTGACCTCCAGGCAGAGCCATCAGGGCAACTCAGCTTTTCTGGACAATCTACAGAAATCTGATGTGCTAACTTAAAACATACACTGATTTCCCCAAAATCAAAAACCCTGAAGAAAGGGTCCTCCGCAGGGTCTAGGCATTTTGGCACAAAAACATCTGAGGGGAGAGGCAAAAGAATGGCCTCGGCCCCTGCCCGCCCCCCAGGGCCCCAATCTGGTCCCCTGACAGTAATCACACAGGACCCTCCCGGGAGGGACCGAGAGCCCAGCTTCGTCCCCTCCGGGCGCGGCACAGCGGCCCCATCAGAGGAGGGCCCCAGGGTGCTCCGGCAGGTCAGGCGCGCGTCTCCACCTCCGCTGCTCCCGCGCCACCTTAGCGCGCGTGACGGGACCTGTCAAGAGCCCCAGGCCTCGCCAGGCCGGGGAGTGGACAGGCGCCGGCATCCCCCACCACGCCACGGCGGCCCGGAAAGTCTCCCAGGGCTGCCTCGCGGGGAGGCGCCGGGGTCCGGGCCCAGGAGCAGAGCCGAGGCGGGCAGACGCCGGGTCCACAGGCCGCGCTGTGCGGGACGACGAGGCAGGCGAGGCCGCGCCCTTCGTCAGCGCCCGCCAGGCCCGGACGCGCGGCTCGGGGCCATGGCCGGCACGCGGGCCTCCGCGCGGAGGCGGGAGCGCGGCCAGGCGACCCGCTCCCCGCCCCGGACACAAAGCTGCTCCGCGGGAGCCCGCCTCACCTGCAGCACGGGGCGCCGCGGGCCTTCGAGAACCATCGGACCCCGCTCCGGCGCGCGCGTCACAGCCCAGGCCTCCCGGAGCCGCCCGGCGCCGCCGCCCCCGCCGCCATTTCCTCGCGCTCGCCGTCGCCTCGTCCCCGCTGTCAGGTTACTCCATTCACCTGGGCCTGCAGCAGCCTGCGCCGCGCCTCCGCCTCGACCCCTCCCGCCGGCGCCTGCGGAGACTGCGCAGCGCCCGGCTGGCCGGCAGCCAGCGCACGGCCCGCGGCAACGGCGCACAGCCGCTTGGAGAATCCCACTGGCTCCCGCACCGCCCCTCCGCGCCCCCACGCTCCGCTCGCCCCGTGGCGGCATGAGAGCGAGCCTGTGATTGGACAGGGCCTGGCGGTGAAAGGTTAATCCCGGCCCCCCAGCCACTCAGGAGCAGGGAGACAGCGGGCGCGCGCGCGGAGGCCGGAGAGGCGTTTGCGGCCCAGCGCCTGGACTGGACCTTGGCGTTGGGCCGCAGTTGCCCGGAGTTTTTGGGGCCCCCGGGAACCCGCGCGCCGAGGCCGGCTAAGTTTGGCAGACTCTCTGAGCTCTCGGAATTCGACTGCCTCCATTGTTGCTCCTTCTGGCACCCACAGACCGTAACGTGGCCGTAATTGTTTCCCGGAGAGCTTAGCTTCCCTCTGAGCACCTCCCTCCCCTTTTTAAAGTACCTTCCCACTCGCCTGCGTTTCCTCGCGTTAGTGGTGCAGGGGCCTCCGCATTTGGGGAAATAACAAACACCCACTTCCGCCCCCCACCCCAACCGGGATCCCCAGATAATGAGAAATAGATGGTGGCCCTCTGTTTGTAAGCTGTTCATTTGCATAGGTCGGAACCGCGCACCACAGCTTGAAGCTAGGAATTAAAATATCGGTGGGAATTAAATAAGTGGCTGGCTTAAAGAACATCTTCTTAATTTATCCCCAAATGTAGACATCTCTTCAGTGGACCCCCTGATAGGCCGGTTTGCTCCAGGTGAGGTGTGCTCACAGCAACTGCAACCGTGTTTCTTTCAGACCATGGGCGTGAGCAGAACCTACTATGCGCCCCTGCTGCCTGGGCTGTGCTGTTCAGTTTGGGGCCACCAGCCCCACATGGCTCCTGAGCACTTAAAGTATGGCTAGTCGGAATCGAGATATATGCATTCTTTACCAAATAATGTTCAAAAAATTGTTACATGTTGAAGTGATAAACTTTTTCCATATATTGGGATAAAAGTTTTATTTGTTTATTTTTTAGTGTGGGTTCTACAGAATTTTAAATGTCACCTGTGGCCTGCATTATATTGCCATTGGGCAGGCTGATCTAGGGCTTGCATGCCTGTGATCCTTAGGTGCACCCTGTGAGGTAGGTGCTTTAACTGTGTGCACCCTGTGAGGTAGGTGCTTTAACTGTGTGCACATTGTGAGGTAGGTGCTGAAACTGCTTCCTGTTTTTTTTTTTTTTTTCTTTTGAGACGGAGTCTCACTCTGTCTCCAGGCTGGAGTGCAGTGGTGCGACCTGGGCTTACTGCAATCTCCGCCTCCCAGGTTCAAGTGATTCTCCTGCCTCAGCCTCCCGAGTAGCTGGGATTACAGGGGCACGCCACCACACCCAGCTAATTTTTGTATTTTTAGAAGAGACGGGGTTTCACCATGTTGGCCATGATGGTCTCGATTTCTGACCTTGTCATCCGTCCGCCTTGGCCTCCCAAAGTGCTGGGATTACGGGCGTGAGCCACCGTACCCAGCCTGCTTCCTGTTTTAACAGACGAAGAAATGGAATAACTTCCAACAAGTAAGTAGCCAGTAAGTGAACAACTGAGATTTGAACCCACGTAGTCTGGCTTTGAGGCTGGTGTGCTCAGTCATTACTGTGCTAAAATTTTGATAATATATTTACTATGAATTGGCTTAAGGTTTCACTTGAAAGTAGCATATTTATGGGCAAAATTAGGAAGTAGGATGCTCCTGGCAGACCCATGTATTTAAAAAAGTAGTTTCTTATATGTCAAGCACGGTGAGCATGTCATACCTTTAAGACCCCAGTCATACATATAAGGTTTTCTTTGTAGCTAGGAATTAAAATATCGGTGGGCGTTAAATAAGTGTCTGGCTTAAAGAACATCGTCTTAACTTATCCCCAAATGTAGATATCTCTTCGGTGGACTCCCTGATAAGCCTTTATGAGAAGGACAGCATCTCAGTATGGGGGTAGGCACTGGACTCTATTGGCAGTGGAAATTTGTGGGCTGGTACAACTTCAGCCCCTCTGGTTGCCCTCTTGCAATCTGTCAAGACTAGCCAGGCTGCTTGTTCCATCAGCAGGTATACCTGATTTTTTTATTTTTTTAATTTTATGTATTTGTTTTTTTCTTTTTTGAGGCAGAGTTTCACTCTTGTCGCCCAGGCTGGAGTGCAATGGCGCAATCTCGTCTCACTGCAACCTCTGCCTCCTAGGTTCAAGCGATTCTTCTGCCTCAGCCTCCCAAGTAGCTGGGTTACAGGCATGTGCCACCACGCCCGGCTAATTTTTGTATTTTCAGTAGAGACGGGGTTTCACCATGTTGGCCAGGCTGGTCTCGAACTCCTGACCTGCCTCGGCTTCCCAAAGTGGTGGGATTACAGGCATGAGCCACTGCGCCTGGCCGGTTTGTCTGATTTTTATCAATTTCAGTTTTTATTTTTAAAATAAATAGTATATCCATATTATTCATTTATCAGAAAGCCTATAAAAGATACACAGTGGAAAAAGATGTCCCTCACACCTGTCCTAGTGTCACAAATAGGTGACCACTGTTTCCTGCTCATTCTTCAAAATGTTTATGTATATATGAGCCAAGATATGCCCTTTGTGTTCCTTGTTTAGAAAAATGCCGGCATGCCATACATATTTACTCCACCTTGTGTTTTTTACTTAATGTATCCGGGGGGCATGTTTATAGTAACACATAGAGAGCTCCTTGCTGTTTTTTCAACCCCCTTAACATATTATTGCAGGTATATCCATACCATAATTTACCAATTCTCTATTGATGGACATTTAGACTTTAAGTCTTTTGGAATTAAAAGTTGATCCATTTGGAATCGATTTAATATATAGGGTGAGGTATAGATCCAAATTAATTTTTTTGTCCAGGTGGCTACACAGTCATTTATTGAGCAGTTCACTTCTGGACTCTGTATCCGTTCTAATGGTCTATCTATTCATGCTCCACTTGCTGGTTTGTTTTAAATCCAGAGACATAAAATCTTGTAAGGGATATTGTTTCACACTTTGTTTGGATCACTAGAAATCTTAAAGCCTATATTTCAGCCCGTGTTAAGCAACGGTATAGTACCATGTGGCATGCATTTTCTATGGGCTAATTTTTATTTTCCCTTAGCCCCTATTATTTCCACAATTTGGTTTATTTTTTGTAGAACAAGCCAGGATTTAAATATACCTTTAAGACTCTCTGTTTGCAAGTAACAGAAACCAAGCTGAACTAGCGCAACCAAAAAGGGAGAATTTACCATAATGATATAGGTGCTTCTCACAAAAGCCCAGAACAGGAATACAGCCACATCTTAGCAAAAACTAGAACCAGTCATTGAAAAGCTTCCAGGAACCCAAAAGGTACTCTCTGTGCCCCTTGTGATTGTTTTCTATGTATCTCTGCTAACTTGTTCTCTCTGCTTTTCCATCTACATGGGAGAATATAGTCACTCCCATATTGGACTGGGCTGTCAGTTCAGTGAGGAGTCTGAGCCCAAAGAAGGAAGGTGGGGCAGCAGCCCTGCAAGGCCAGACAGCTGATTACATACAGGAGAACTACACAAAGAAAAACTATATTGAGGCTAATGGGAGCCAGATTTTTCCCTGTTGGAGAAGGGAGTTACAAGTACAGAAATAAGAAAAGCAAGAAGTTTGTGTGATTGGATTGGAATTGGAGATATTCATGTAAAGTCATGGTTCTTAATACATGTAGATATAAAAATAAATATAAATGTAAAAGTGTGTATCTATATATTTTGTGAGATTCTGAAATATATATTTGGTCTTTGACCTCATTTTCTGGTGTACAACTCCTAAATTTCTTACAAACACCGAAGTGATGTCTTTTGTATGCTAATGAGTTGGCTCGTGGCTGGGAGCCCCTAGGTAGCTTTAGGATGGGGTTGGTCATCAGAAAGACCAAGGCAGGATCAGAGGGTTGGACCTTCAGCCTATCACCAACTTCTTGGAGAAGAGAAGGGTTGAAGGTCAGGTTATCACCAGTGGCCAATAGTTTAATCAGTCATCCCTTATGTAATGAAGCCTGCATAAAAACCCATGAGGACAGGGTTGGAGAGCTTCTAGATAGCTGAACACCAGGAGGTTCCTGGGAGGGTGGTGCACCCAGGGAAGGCATGAAAGGTCTGAGCCCCTTCTCCCACACCTCATCCTATTTATCTTTTCATCTGTATTGTTTGTAATATCTTTTGTAAACATAAGTGTTTGCTTGAGTTCAGTGAGCTGCTCTAGCAAATTAATCTAACCCAAGAGGGGGTCATGGCAACCACAACTTGAAGCCTGTCGGAAGTTCTGGAGGCCCAGACTTGGGACTGGTCAGTGGCCAGGGACAGAGTGGGGCAGTTGTTGGGATGTGTTGGGGAGTGAGCCTCAACCTGTGGGATCTGATGCTATCTCCAGGTTAGAAGGGAATTGGAGGACACCCAGTTGGTGTCTGCTGCAGAATCGATTGCTTGCTTGGTGTGTGGGGAAACGCCCCCCGACATTTGGTCACTGAAGTCTTCTTTGTTAATTGTTGAGGGTGAGGGAATAGGGTGTGTAATTTTTCCACAGTCAGTTATATACACACACATGTCTATAAATGTATTTACATATATTTCCTAGGCCTAACCAGTGAGAAGGTCTTGGTGCAGCAACACCACATTAGCCAAGAGAACACCTAACACCTAGCTCTAAACACCTTTCTCCATGAAAAGGAACCAGGGCGCTTTAGAGAAATGGCTGATTTTAGGGTTGGGCCAGAGAAAGTATAGTATGAGACTGGAACATCTTGTGCTAGAAAGTGTGGAAATGCTCAAGAAATGGTGGAGACAGTTCAAAAGGACAAAGCAATCAGCTTGAAAGGGCTCCTGTTGGCCAAATCTGGGACAATTTGAACATCAAAATAAATCACAGTAGCAGGAGATTATATCCCATGGGTTAAAATGGAATCTATGAGTCCACACTTTCAAAAAAAAAAAATAAATGGCAATAAAGAGCTCTTTAGAATAGAATTCAATAATATATTTAGAAAAAAGAATGGAATTGTAACCCAGTCATAGGTTCAGCAGCCCACTGCTTACAGAGCACAATTAACAAGAGTGAGGTCTGCCGTAAAGAAAGTGACTTTTTATTCCAAAGCTTAACGTAGGGGGAAAAGTGCAGGTTCCTGCCTTAAGGTACTGATTTGCTTTTGGGGCAGAAAGCAGGGGCTTTTAAAGTGGGACTTGGCATGAATGGCATGCAGGGGAGGGAGCAAGCAGGTGAGGATCTACATGACTCTCCTTAGCGCTTTTATCTACCGGGTGTTTGAGCTGGCACCATGGCAGGCAGGACTAGATTGTAAAGTGGCCATTGTCTGAGATGCTCTCCAAGTGGGACAGAGTTTCCTAGCAGGCATAGTTTAGATTGTAAATTGACTGTTGTCTCTCCAGGCAGTCTCCTGGTGGGAGAGATTTCTGGCTTAGAACCTTCTAAAAGCACATGGTTAAATAAGCTTGCCCTGTAAGGAGTGTCTGGTGAAGGGAAGGTAAAGATTATAATTGCATTTCTAAGGAACTAAGTGGGAAGTGGGAGAAAGGAGAAAAGGAGAAAAGAAAAAAAAAATGTTTTAAAACACAGTTATCTTTCTCTTAGAAAAATGGGGGTACTCAGTAAACAGAATTAGAAAATCACCATTTGGCAATCATCAGACAAGAAATATCAATGTTTGCTAAATCTAGTGGGGAAAAGTTGAATAAGGAATGAGTTACTTACATAGGTTCAAAGCATCTCCCCATGAAATTCTTATTTAAAAAAACAGGAACTTTACAAAAGAGGAATCTAGTAGATATCGTCTTACTCATGACAAAAAAAAAAATCAGCATTAATCAGGCTGCACTTTGACCCATTTATCAGTTGCTGAAAGTCACACAGCACTCTAGATACTGACCAGTTGCATCCGCAGTTGTTCCTATCAATAGAATTTCCAACTTTAGGATCATGACTATTTAACAGTTGATTTTCATCTCTATTGTTCCTATAGATAGAATCTCTGACATTAAAACCATAAGGTTTTTGCTTAAGGATCAGTTAAGATGTTTACAGACCCTGAATTCCATAAGCATTTTGAAGCGCAGAATCAGCATGAGAAGACAGCTTCCTCATCTCCTGCCCTATGACTTCAACCTGCACTGTTCAACCAATGAATGATCTCTGCCCTTCGGCCCACTCCAAAACCCTAAAAAACCCTACCCCAAACTCCTTAAGGAGATGGATTTGAGGTTCCCTCCTGTCTCCCTGTTCTGTGACACTACGACTAAACCTCTCTGCTGCAGCCTGGTGTCTCCACATGTTGACTTGCTGAATGCATTGGGCACTGGACCAATTATGGTTACAACCTTATCAAGTGCTGACAAGGGTATAGTACAACTGGAACTCGCATACATTGCTGATGGGAATGCAGATGCTGTAACCACTGTGGAAAACAGTTTGGCAGTTTCTTATCAAGTTAAGATATATTTTCCATAAAACCTAGTATATTGTCTCTCTAGAGAACCCTAATACACATATATATACATATATGTATATGTAGATATACACATATACACATGTGTGGATGTACACATAGACACGTGTGTGGATATACATATATACACATGTGTATGTGTGTATATACACGCACATGTGTGTGGATATACATATATACATGTCTACATAGATATACAATTATGTGTATATACATGTATATGTATGTATATGTGTATGTAGATATATGTGTGTTTGTGTGTATGTGTATGGAAGTTAATTTGTTAGGGAGAATTGGTTCCCATGTTCACAAAGGTGAAGTCCCACAATTAGGCAAGCTGGAAAATGAAAGAAGCCAATAGTGTAACTCAGTCCAAGTGTGAAAGCCTCAAAACCAGGGAAGCCAACACTACAGCCCCCATTCTGAGGCTGAAGGTCTGAGAGTCCCTGGGAGGCTGCTAGTGTAAGTCCCAGAGCCCAGAGGTTGAAGAACCTGGAGTCTGATGTCCAAGGGTGAGAGGCAGAAAAGTCTTCTTGCTCCAGAAGTGTGAGAGAGCAAAAAAGGAAAGCCAAGCAAGCTGAATGTCCCTTTTCTTCCACCTGCTTTATTCTAGCCACATCCCAATGTGATTGGATGGTGCCCACCCACATTGAGGGCTGGTCTTTCTTTTTCAGTCCACTGACTCACATGCCAGTCTCCTCTGGAAACAACTCATGGACACACCATGAGTTGTGGACACACCCAGCAACAGTGTGTCACCAGTGACCTAGGCATTCCCAATCCAGTCAAGTTGACGACTAATATTAACCATCACACCTAGCATTCCTACTCCTAGACATTTACCTAAAAGAAATGAAGCCAAAATCTAGAAACAACTCCAGTATCTATCAGTTGGCAAATGGAAAACAACTTGTGGCACATCCATATAATGGGACACTATGCAGCAATAAAAAAGGGATGAAATACTGGTATATGGAACAACACTGTTGAATCTTATAAGCAAAGTGAAAGAAACCAGACACAAAGGGTTATATAATGTAGGATTCCATTTCTGTGACTTTCTGAAAAAAAGCAGAGCTATAGGGAAAGAAATCAGATGTGTAGCTTTAGGGGTTATAATGGGGAGAATCTTTTTGGGGTGATAAAAATGTCCTATATCCTGATCGTGCCTGGTTGTTACACACTGCAAACATTTGTCAAAACTCATTGAACTATACACTACATTTTATATAATTCAAATTAGACTTCACTAATCCTGATTTCAAACCAAAATCTATGACTCTCCAGTGTAGCTCACTTATATTTTCAGGGTCACCCTAGGCTCTGGGCAAGTAAGGCACCAACCACCTTTGCCTCACATCTCATTGACTTGGACATGAAACCCATCTTCCCTCCATTGTCCAATATGCTCATTCATGCTCTCTAAGGTAACACTTACTAAAAATGCAAGAGGATATTAGCAGGAAGGTGGGATAGGAAGAAGGAGAGTTTGCCTTGTATCAATGAACACAACTTAAGTAAAATAGAAGGTATTGTTCTCAAAGTGTCTTCTGGACCCCATCATGGTAGAGTTCCTCTGTGACTTCACCTTTCTTCTCTTTCTTCCGCTCTCCTCTTTGGTAATTACTTGTTTATTCATTTATTGTTTTTTCATCTCCTGGAGGCTGAGAATAAAAGTTTGTACCTCTGCCCTCCCAGAACAATGAGTATTTGTTTTGTTCTGCTGCTGTAACAAAAAACCCCCCAGAAACAGCCGGATTGATCAACTCTAACTATTACACAGGTTTTTGAAAACTGGCCAGTCATTGACAACGCCAACTTTCTGAGACAGCCAGTTAACAAGTCTCAGCCCAATAACCATGCTTCCATAGCTAATGATCAGTCAATCCATAGATATTCCTGTTTCTGAAAATCCAGCAATCCCTGAACTCTAAAATTCCTAAATACGTATTTAGGATATGCAATGTGCTTTAATTAGAAAGACTGTATGATATAGTTTGGATGTTTGTCCCCTCCAAATCTCATGTTGAAATGTGATTCCCAGTGTTGGAGGTGGGGCCTGGTGGGAGGTGATTGGATCATGGGGCGGGGGTGGTTCTTCATGAATGGTTTACCCATTCCCTGGGTGATGAGTGAGTTCTCACTTGGTTCATGTGAGATCTGGTTGTTTAAAAGAGTTTGGGACCTTCCCCTTCTCCCTCTCTTGTTCCCATTCTCACCATGTGACACACTGGCTTCCCTTCACCTTCCACACTGATTGAAAGCTACCTGAGGCCTCACCAGAAGCCCAGTAGATGCTGGCATCATGCTTGTGCAGCCTGCAGAACTGTGATCCAGTTAAACCTTTTTCTTTATAAATTACCCAACCTCAAGCATTTTTTATAGCAATGCAAAAATGGACTAATACAGAAGATCAGTATAAGGAGTGGGGCATTACTGTAAAGACAGTTGAAAATATAGAAGTACCTTTGGAGCTGGGTAACAGGCAGAGGTTGGAAGAGGTTGGAAGGCTGAGAAGAAGAGAGAAAGATGAGGGAAAGTTTGGAACTTCGTAGAGACTTGTAAAGTGGTTATGACCAAAATGCTGATAGAGATATGGACAGTGAAGGCCAGGCTGAGGAGGTCTCAGATAGAAATGAGGAAATTACTGGGAACTGGAGCGAAGGTGACCTGTGTTACATCCTAGCAAAGAGCTTGGCTGCATTGTGTCCTAGGAATCTGTGGAAGGTTGAAATTAAGAGTGATGACTTAGGTTATTTGGCAGAAGAAATTTCTAAGCAGCAAAGCATTCAAGAAGTGGTATGACTGCTTCTAACCTACTATCAGATATGGGAGCAAAGAAATGACTTAAGTTGGAACTCATATTTAAAAGGAAACCAGAGTGTAAAAGTTTGGAAAATGTGCAGCCTGGCCATGTGGTAAAGAAGGAAAAAGTGTTTTTCAGCAGATGAATCTGACCACTTGCTAGAGAGATTTGCATGAATAAAAGGGAGCCAAGTGCTAATATCCAAGGCAATGGGGAAAAGGCCTCAGAGGCCTTTCAAAAATCTTCGAGGCAGCCCTTTCAAATGCCCAGAGGCCTAGGAGGAAGGAATGGTTTCAGGGGCCAGGCCCAAGACACTTCTGCCCAGCACAGCCTCAGGACGCTAGTCCTGGCATCCTGGCCACTCCAGCTACAGCTGTAGCTCAAGGGACTCCAGGTACAGCTTGGGCTATTGCTTTGGAGAGTGGAAGCCACCATAAGCCTTGATGGCTTCGATGTGGTGTTAAGCCAGCAGGTGGACAGAATGCAAGAGTGAAGGAGGCTTTGCAACTTCCACCTAGATGCCAGAGGATGTATGAGAAAGCCTGGGTGTGCCCAGGCAGAAGCCTGCTGCAGGGCCAGAGTCCTCATGGAGAGCCTCTAATAAGGAAACACCAAAGGGAAATATGGGATTGGAGCCCAAACATAGAGTCCCTCCCGGGGCACTGCCTAGTGAAACTGTGGGAAAGAGGCTGTTGCCCTCCAGACCCCAGAATGGTAGAGCCACCAGCAGCTTGCAAACTCAGTGTGGAAAAGCTGTAGGTACTCAACTCAAAGCCATGAGAGCAGCCATGGGTGCTGCACCCTGCAAAGCCACAGGGTAGAACGGCCCAAAGCCTTGGGAGCCCACTCCTTGCACCAGTGTGCCCTGAATGTGGGACACAGAGTCAAAGATTATTTTGGAGCTTTAAGATATAATGACTTCCCTGCTGGGTTTTAGACTTGCAGGGGGCCTGTAGCCCCTTTATGTTAGCTGATTTCTCTTTTTTGGAATGGGAGTATTTACCCAGCATCTGGGTACCACCACTGTATCTTGGAAGTAAATAACTTGGTTTTTATTTCACAGACTCAGGTGGAAAGAATGGCTCTCCAGATGAGACTTGGGCCTAGGGATTTTTGAGTTAACGCTGGCAAAGTAAGACTTTGGGGAGTTATTGCAAATGCATGATATTTTTAAATGTAAGAAAGACGTAAGACTCGGGTCCAGGGGTGGAATGATATAGTTTGGATGTGTGTCCTCTCCAAATCTCATGCTGAAATGTAGTCCGCATGTTGGAGGTGGGGCCTGGTAGGAGGTGATTGGATCATGGAGGTAGATCCTTCACAGATGGTTTAGCACCATCCCTTTTGTGGTGACTGAGTCCTTAGTTCACATGAGACCTGGTTGTGTAAAAGAGTTTAAGGCCCCCTTCTCCCTCTGTTTATTCTGCTCTCACCATGTGATACACTGACTCCGTCTTCATCTTCCACCATGACTGAAAGCTCCCTGAGGCCTCACCAGAGCCAAGCAGATGCTGATGCCATGCTTGTATAGCCTCCAGATCTGTGAGCCAGTTAAACCTCTTTTCTTTATAAATTGCCCGGCCTCGGGTATTTCTTTATAATGGTGCAAAATGGGCTAACATACTGTGCCTTATAAGTACAGATCTTCTTAAGCAAACAATAAATTCAGCCTTTTTATTCAAATACTAAGGGGTGCCCTCTTCCTTGGACAGTTCTCAGTGCCTGCTAACATCCCAAACTAGCAAGGACACACCCACCCTGATCAGATTTAAGGGGATATTTCCCCCAAGAGAGTTCCTTTCCTGGGGGAATTCTGAGTGCCACCTGTTAAAATATTTTTTCTCGTTTGTTCAGTAAGTATTCATTGAGCACTTCCTTTGTGTGAGAAATTATCTCAGGGGCTAGAGCTACAAAGTTGAAAAAATAAGATGTGTTCCCTATGTTCATAGAATTTACAGTACAGCAGGAGCAAAATAACAAATAATATCAGTAAAGTTTGATGATTGCTATGATAGCAAATGCACATGGATGGATATGGGGCCACATAATTAGGGGACTCTAACATAGTCCATGGGGTCAAAGAAGGTCTTCCTAAGTAAAGAATCTACCTGTAACACTGAGACCTGAAGTACTAGTAGCCAGGTAAAGGGCACAGAGTGTTCCAGGTAGAAGGAACAGCATGCCCAAAGTCCAAAAGCAAGGAGGTCTGACTTATTCAAAGAAGTCCAGTATTTACCCAATGTAGTGCAAGAGATAAGAGACAGGAAAACGGCACCAAAACACAAAGGAACTCATGTATCATGTTAAGGTTTTGTTGTTTCATCTAAAAGAGAAAAGCCATTGAAAGGTGTTTCAGTGAAAGGTGTTCAAGCAAAAGGTGATATGATCAGATTTACATTTTTACAAGTTAATTCCAGCCACTGTAGAAAATAGAGGAGAACAAAATTGAAGTGTGTGTTTGCAATAGTGTAAAACAGCAATCCCCAACCTTTTTGGCACCAGGGACCAGTTTTGTGGAAGACAGTTTTTTCACAGGGAAGGGGAGTATGGTTTCTAGACGAAACTGTTCCACCTCAGATCATCAAGTATTAGAGTCTCATAAGGGGCGTGCAACCCAGATCCCTCGCATGCGCAGTTCACAATAGGGTTCACGCTCCTATGAGAATCTAATGCCCCTGCTGATCTGACAGGAGGTGGAGCTCAGGTAGTGTGATGGTTAATGCTGAATGTCAACTTGATTGTGTCGAAGGATGCAAAGTATTGATCCTGGGTGTGTCTGTGAGGGTGTTGCCAAATGAGATTAACATTTGAGTCAGTGGGCCGGGAAAGGCAGACCCACCCTTAATCTGGGTAGGCACCATCTATTCAGCTGCCAGCATGGCCAGAATATAAAAGCAGGCAGAAAAACATGAAAAGGCTAGACTGGCTTAGCCTCCCAGCTTATATCTTTCTCCCATGATGGATGCTTCCTGCCCCCAAACATCGGACTCCAAGTTCTTGAGCTTTGGGACTCAGACTGGCTTCCTTGCTTCTCAGCTTGCAGACAGCCTATTGTGGGACCTTGTGATCGTGTGTTAATACTTCTTAAACTCATATATATATATATATATGTATATCCTATTACTTCTGTCCCTCTAGAGAACCCTGATTAATACAGGTAGTAATGCTTGCTCATCTGCCACTCATCTCCTGCTGTACTCAGTTTTGAACAGGCCATGGACTGGTACCAGTCAATGGCCTAGATGGGGACTCCTGGTGCAAAAGATGTAGTAGCGGCTTTGAGGATAGTCTTAATGGGAGAGAGAAATATCTGAATCAGAGACATTTGAGCAGTAAACGTGTGAATGGTTTACTCTCCTTTTTTTTTTTTTTTTTTTTTTTCCGAGATGGAGTCTCACTCTGTCGCCCAGGCTGGAGTGCAGTGGCGCAATCTCAGCTCACTGCAAGCTCCACCTCCCGGGTTCACGCCATTCTCCTTCCTCAGCCTCCCGAGTAGCTGGGACTACAGGTGCCCGCCACCATGCCTGGCTAATTTTTTGTATTTTTAGTAGAGATGGGGTTTCACAATGTTAGCCAGGATGGTCTCGATCTCCTTACCTCGTGATCCACCCGCCTCGGCCTCCCAAAGTGGTGGGATTACAGGCGTGAGCCACCGCGCCCAACCTACTCTCCTTTTTCATAGTTGTGGTTTCAAGGCCCCCAAGACTCTTTATCTTCTAGAAAGTAGAAGATGCAATTAGGGTACAACATTGCCAGGCATTAAGAGCTTGGAAATCTGACCAAGGGCCTTCTTCATCATAATTAAGATAAACAGTCTTGCCCAGGTGCTGTGGCTCATGCCTGCAATCCCAGCACTTTGGGAGGCTGAAGTGGGCAGATCACTTGAGGTCAGGAGTTCGAGACCAGCCTGGCCAACATGGTGAAACCCTGTCTCTACTAAAAATACAAAAATTAGCCAGGTGTGGTGGCAGACATCTGTAATCCCAGCTACTTGGGAGGCTGAGGCAGGAGAACCCCTTGAGCCCGGGAGGCAGAGGTTGCAGTGAGCCAAGATTGCACTTGGTGACAGCCTGGGTGACAGAGTACGACTCTGTCTCCAAAAAAAAAAAAAAGATTAACAGTCTTTGCCAAAGGGGTAAACTTCTTTTGTTGTTGTTATTTAGTTTTGTTTTTAATAAAATAATTAAAACAGCAAAACATAAACCTTAAGCTATTCAAATAGCATTTTCAGTTAGAAATAAAATGGAGAAAAATGACATATAGTATCGATAAAGTTTGATGATTGCCATAATAGCAAATGCACATGGATGGTTGTGTCTCCTCACCTGCCTCATCATTGTCTAAGCTGCTGAGTGCTTTCTTATGCTTTATGCTTTCGTTGCCTTTTTCCACTGTGTCAACACGAACCCTGGGTGATAAGAACTATTTTACTATCTGCATTTTACAGATGAGCTATTTGAAATCTAGGAAGATTTTTAATTTGCTCAAGTTTACACAATCAGTAAGTGTAGGAAAACTGAGTTTCAAAAAAAGATGTTTTGATTCCAGAATATGTTAAAAAGCCAGATTCTTAGGACAAGTCCCAGAGAGTCTTACCAAATAGGTCTGGGGTGAGGCCTGGGACTCTGCAGGTAACGCTGATTCAGGTGGCCTCCCATGGACCCCAGTAGTGGAAGCCCCTCTCTGTCCTGCTCCTAGAGCACTTCTGAACCCCCAAGGACTCAGGATGGACAAGCATCACTGTGAACCACATCTGGGGTCCCACAGCCATTGCTGCCTTGGGCCATATTTCATCCAAGCAGACACCCTGAATCCCTACTATTTGTGAGCACTGTGTTTACTAGGTACTGGGGCCACTGTGGCAAGTACTGCTCACAATCCTGGCCCTCCCAGATCTGTGCTCACCCTTTTCTCCCCCTACTGTTTGCTCCTTGAAGACCAGAATCAGATCTTTCATAGTCAACTTTGTTTTCTGAGGTTCTGGCCATGGTGCCTGGCATGTAATTAAAGCCTTGCAAAGCTTAAATAGTTTGTTGTTCTTTCATGAGCTTAGAGGGTGCTTGTTTTTTGTGCTACCTTACCTGCAACTTAACTTTCCTGCCCATCTCTGCCTTACACATCTTTTACTAGAGGGTTGTTCACAAAAGTTTGAAACTTGTATGTATGCAGTAAAGGACACATTTTATCATCAGTTTGGTTGCTCTTTGATTATCTACAGGTACAAAATGACCCAAAACATTAGGAGATACCCTGTTATTTCTATTAACCATAAGGAAAAAGAGTTCATTATAAGATATATTTTATCTTTGTAAATTATCATTAATCTTTCAAGATTGGCCAAGACAAGCAGGTAATTACCAAGCTTCCACCTTACCTGGTCAAGGGCTAACCTGGACTTTGCATTGTCCCATACCCTTTCTGAAAGGCTACCTACCTTCTTGGTTTGCAAAATATGAAACTCAACCCACAGTCCCTATATAATCTTTTCCCGCTCACCTTTCAGAATGAACATTTGAACCTATGTTTACCATTTTAAGGTCAACTTCAATTTTGACACTTCCTATAGCATCTACTCAGCCAAGCTGTCCTTCAGCCAAAATCTCTTTGATGAGTCTAGAGTTGAGAAAACTGCTCAGGAGAGGGAAAGTGCGGTGGCTTCACTTCAGCTGCCTCTGGATAGGATGCAGACTCACCCTTGTTCATTGTAGATTCTAGTATCTAAGTGTCTGTCAAAGTCGTTCTGTCATCCCATGGCTGGATCATTTGGCCACTTTCTGAGTCTGAGACACATTATGTTTAATTCAAAAGAAAGATTCTTTTCAAATATTTAATTATTCTTCTTGTTCCATTCATTCATTCCTTCATTCTTCAACAAACATCTTTGGAGCACTGGTCATGCTCTAAGACTGCCCTGGGGACTGGGGACATAATGGAGCGTAAGCCCTAGTGTGTCCAGTGGGAGGGTAGGATGTTACGACCCCTAGTTTACCTCTGTCCCCTGCCCTCCCACTGGACTATGAGCTTCCCAGAGTCACACAGACTTATTCTCCATTGTGACTCCAGTCTCTCAGAGAGTCATAGGCACAAGTTACAAAGGCGCTTTTCTAAGGGTTAATGATCTTAAAATCAGTAAACCAGTTTTTTTAGTGATCTCTGGTAGTTTGCTTAATATAAAGAAATCTAATTATATAACTTTCCTAAAGGTTATCTGTTTAAAAAGTCAGCAAAAGATGACTTAGTTTTTGAGATAAATAATAATAGTAGTGATACAGTAATGATAAATAACATGGATAGAGCATTTTTTCCCTTAGAGATGGGGTCTCCCTGTGTGGCCCAGGATAGAGTGCAGTGCTTATTTACAGGCATGATGATCGTGTACTACAGCCTCGAACTCCTGGGCTCAAACAATCCTCCTGCTTCAGCCTCCTGAGTAGCTGGGACTATAGGCACATGCCACCACACCCAGCAGACAGAGCACTTTTTATGTGCCATATCTTGTATCAACAGATGGATCGTAATCACCTGATCATTTCTTCTCCCGAATCTTATCTTGGTTAAAAGTGCTGCCCAAGTCCAGTTCGTGGCCCAGTACGGTGCATCCCACTGGTAAATTTGAACTCTCTCTTGTGACAGAGAAAATTCTGTTTCCTCCTCTTTGTACTGTTATTGCCTGGTTCTGGTTCTCTATTTCTCTATTTTCTGTCTCTCTAACCTGCAGTCCTAATCTGCTACCATCCACACTCTCCTTTGTTGCAAGCAAAGCCTATTGCCTGCTGTCCTGTCCCTGCCCTGCATCAAAACTCTCAATGTCTCCCCAGTGTCTGCAGACTTTTTAATCTAGAGTTCAAAGTCTTCAGATGCTGGTTCCTGCTTATGTAACTTCTTGCATTGCTAAGAAGTTAGTCTTCTAACACCTTACTAAGCTTTAGCCACATCAGGCTGCACTGTTTCCTACACACATGATGAAACTTTGCACCTCCATGCAATTGTTCATGCTTTTCCTCTTGCCCACAATGCCCTTCCTCTTTCTGTGCCCTAGAAATCCTGCCATTCTTCAGTGCTTATCTCAACTGGTCTCCTCCTTTGGGAGGTTGTCCCATTCTGTGACCTGATACCGTACTTGCTCCAGACCCTACTCCCTGCAGCAGAAAGAATTTCTTCCTTCTCTCTACTTCCAAGGCACACTACATATACTTTTATTCTAACACTTATCACAGGGTATGGTTTTTCTTGAGTATCCATTTCATCTACCAGACAATAGTTCCTTGAAAGTTCTCTTAGTTCAGAAAATGAAATCTGGCCTGTGCTAGGCACAACTGCTGTAAACAAATGACCTGGTCCTTCAAGGAAAGGGAAGACCCTTTCCTTGCCCTCCGATGGTGGTCAGCCTGGGATAAATGGGAGCACCACTGGCCTCTCCTTACCCTTTCCCCTGCATTTCCTTTTTCCTGCCCATCTCTCTTAACACTTTCCAAACGTCCTTCCCCAACTCATCACTTAATTTTATCCCACTCCAGTGATTATGATTTTAGGTAAAGCAGAGTAACTCTTTTACACTCTAAAACCTTGGCTTTTCTGAGTCAGCATAAAGTCAGCAGATCACCAAATGTCAGCCTGGACTAGGGGCTGCCCTCATACTGCTCACCTAGGAGCTCCTTGAGGGCAGCATCCTCATGTTAATTATATTTATATCCCTCAGAGTCTAGCAAAAGGCTCTGAGCATGACATCACTTACAAAACTCCTAAATTCATTATGAAAGTAAGTCCGTAAAGACAAAAGCTGGAGATATCCAATTCAAAGTATTTACAGTAGATGGAGCTATCTATTTCACTGTGGTCCACTCTGTATTTCATGTATCATGTGAAATTATTAACATTCTGGCAATTAATCAGTTCATACTTTTTGAAGAAGCATATTAAAAACCATGAGACTTGCCCTGTTTATTCTTGTAAGCTATAAGTTGCTAGAAAATATTAGTTTCCCTAAATATTGTATTGTTATTAAAAGCAATTGATATAAGTAATTGAAGACATTAGAAGCCAGAGATACAATGAAATCTTCAAGACTTCAATAGATGAAATGTGCAAAGGACATTTACATTTCCTGTAAGGGCAGCCAACTTATACATGGAGAGTTCAACCCTCCCACTTGTCATCTTTAAAAAGGCAAGAAAATTATTCTTTTACAAATATATTTCTAAGATATGTTTTCTAAGTTGACCAAAAGTGTAAGTGCCCAAATCTGATAAAGTTCTGTTGAAACTGTTACATTCGTAGTAATGATAATTGCTAGTCTTTTGGAAATCAACTTGGTAGGAAAAATAAAAATAATCCTTCTTTTGAACTGCTGTGCTTTTGTTAAGAAATAATCTAAAAGGAAAAAGTCAAATTCATGAGGTCATTTGTTACAGCATTTTTTATCGTAAAATATTCAAACAACCGAAATAATAAAATATTAAGTGACTAAGTAAAATATGATATTAGAATTATTTGTCATCCTGTAGCCATTAGAATATGTATGCAATCAATTTAGAGGTAGGGAAAAATGCTCATGAGTGAGGGGGGGCTGGACCAAACTCAGAATATAATCTTGTATGTATTCTCTGTTAGGCTTTCTAAAAATTATACATAGATAAAACAAGGATTGAATTAAATGGAAAAATTAAAATTGTATATATATGTTAAGTGATTACTAGTGAAATTTTTTTTTATTATACTTTAAGTTTTAGGGTACATGTGCACAACGTGCGGGTTTGTTACATGTGTATACATGTGCCATGTTGGTGTGATGCACCCATTAACTCGTCATTTACATTAGGTATTTCTCCTAATGCTATCCCTCCCCACTCCCCCAACCCCACAACAGGCCCCAGTGTGTGATGTTCCCCACCCTGTGTCCAAGTGTTCTCATTGTTCAATTCCCACCTATGAGTGAAAACATGTGGTGTTTGGTTTTCTGTCCTTGCGATAGTTTGCTGAGAATGATGATTTCTAGTTTCATCCATGTCCCTACAAAGGACATGAACGCATCCTTTTTTATGGCTGCATAGTATTCCATGGTGTATATGTGCCACATTTTCTTAATCCAGTCTATCATTGATGGACATTTGGGTTGGTTCCAAGTCTTTGCTATTGTGAATAGTGCTGCAATAAACATACGTGTGCATGTGTCTTTATAGCTGTATGATTTATAATCCTTTGGGTATATACCCAGTAATGGGATGGCTGGGTCAAATGGTATTTCTAGTTCCAGATCCTTGAGGAATCGCCACACTGTCTTCCACAATGGTTGAACTAGTTTACAGTCCCACCAACAGTGTAAAAGTGTTCCTATTTCTCCACATCCTCTCCAGCACCTGTTGTTTCCTGACTTTTTAGTGATTGCCATTCTAAATGGTGTGATATGGTATCACATTGTGGTTTGATTTGCATATCTCTGATGGCCAGTGATGATGAGCATTTTTTCATGTGTCTGTTGGCTGCATAAATGTCTTCTTTTGAGAAGTTGTCTGTTCATATCCTTTGCCCACTTTTTGATGGGGTTGTTTGTTTTTTTCTTGTAAATTTGTTTGAGTTCTTTGTAGATTCTGGATATTAGCCCTTTGTCAGATGAGTAGATTGCAAAAATTTTCTCCCATTCTGTAGGTTGCCTATTCACTCTGATGGTAGTTTCTCTTGCTGTGCAGAAGCTCTTTAGTTTAATTAGATCCCATTTGTCAATTTTGGCTTTTGTTGCCATTGCTTTTGGTGTTTTAGACATGAAGTCCTTGCCCATGCCTATGTCCTGAAAGGTATTGCCTAGGTTTTCTTCTAGTAGGGTTTTTATGGTTGTAGGTCTAAGATTTAAGTCTTTAATCCATCTTGAATTGATTTTTGTATAAGGTGTAAGGAAGGGATCCAGTTTCAGCTTTCTACATATGGCTAGCCAGTTTTCCCAGCACCATTTATTAAATAGGGAATCCTTTCCCCATTTCTTGTTTTTGTCAGGTTTGTCAAAGATCATATGGTTGTAGATGTGTGCTATTATTTCTGAGGGCTCTGTTCTGTTCCATTGGTCTATATCTCTGTTTTGGTACCAGTACAATGCTGTTTTGGTTACTGCAGCCTTGTAGTATAGTTTGAAGTCAGGTAGCATGATGCCTCCAGCTTTGTTCTTTTGGCTCAGGATTGTCTTGGCAATGCGGGCTCTTTTTTGGTTCCATATGAACTTTAAAGGAGTTTTTTCCAATTCTGTGAAGAAAGTCATTGGTAGCTTAATGGGGATGGCATTGAATCTATAAATTACCTTGGGCAGTATGGCCATTTTCATGATATTGATTCTGCCTATCCATGGGCATGGAATGTTCTTCCATTTGTTTGTGTCCTCTTTTATTTTCCTGAGCAGTGGTTTGTAGAAAGAAAGGATGATGCTGCTGCAATTCCATGAACATTAGTGCTTGCTTTATTTATTGGGTATTTTTACAGACGGTAGCTCATTTCAGTTCTCGCAGGGGGACTATTTCTTTTAAGCTTTAATCTCTAGAGGTTTAATTTGGTTACTTAAATTTTTAAAATTTTTATGGTTACTAGTAGGTGTATATATTTATGGGGTACATGAGATATTTTGATATAGGCATACAATGTATAATAATCACATCAGGGTAAATGGGGTATTCATCCCCTCAAGCATTTTTTTTTTATGTTATGAACTTTCCAATTATACTTTCAGTTATTTTTAAATATACAATAAATTATTGTAGTCATCCTGTTGTGCTATCAAATACTAGATCCTATTCATTCTATCTAACTATATGTTTGTACCCATTAACCATCCCCCACCCCTCCACTACTACCCTTCCCAGCCTTGGGTAGCCATCCTTCTACTCTCTGTCTCCATGAGTTCAATTGTTTTGATTTTTAGCCCCCACAAATAAGTGAGAACATGAGAAGTTTTTCTGTGCCTGGATTATTTCACATAATATCCTTCAGTTCCATCCATGTTGTTGCAAATGATAGGATCTCATTCTTTTTTATGGCAGAATGGTTTTTCATTGTGTATATGTACCACATTTCCTTTATCCATTCATTTGTTGATGGACACTTAGGTTGCCTCCAAATCTTGGCTGTTGTGAACAGTGCTGTAATAAACATGGGAGTGCAGAGATGTCTTCAATATACTGATTTCCATTCTTTTAGGTATATACTTGGTAGTAGGATTGCTGGATCATATGGTAGCTCTATTGTTAGGTTTATTTTTTATTTAAAAAAACATTTTTTTGAGACAGTCTCACTCTGTTGCCTAGGCTGGAGTGCAATGGCGCAATCTTGGCTCACTGTAACCTCTGCCTCCCAGGTTCAAGTGATTCTCCTACCTCAGCCTCCTGAGTGCCTGGGATTACAGGTGTGTGCCACCACACTTGGCTAACTTTCGTATTTTTAGTACAGGGTTTCACCATGTTGGCCAGGCTGGTCTCAAACTCCTGATCTCAAGTGATCCACCCGCCTCAGCTTCCCAAAGTGCTGGGATTACAGGCGTGAGCCACCATGCCCGGTCCTATTGTTAGTTTTTTGAGGAACCTCCAAACCATTCTCCATAGTGGTTGTACTAATTTACATTCCCAACAACAGCATACAAGGGTTCCCTTTTCTCCACATCCTCGCCCCCATTCCTTATTGCCTGTCTTTTGGATAGAAGCCATTTTAACTGGAGTGAGATGATATCTCATTGTGGTTTTAATTTGCATTTCTCTGATGATCACTGATGTTGAGCCCCTTTTCATATGCCTGTTTGCTATTTTTTTTTTTTTTTTTTCAGAAATGTCTATTGAGTTCTTTTTCCTATGGGGACTGTTATGATTTGCATTCACAGTTGAGGGAACTGAGGGCTGGGAATGTTGAGACTTTTCAGAGGTCCTAAAAGAATGGACCCCTGAGTCAATGGCACACGAAGCTCCCTGTCCAGCTTTCTTCCACATGGCAGGACGTAGGCCTCAGACTGGAACCCTGGCAGTCATTTTTGCCCTGTGGGTCTCTCTGAGCCCTGCCCACCAGAAGCAGCTGCAGATCCCATGGCCCAGGTCACATTCTCTTGGGGGCCACTTCTGGGGACACACAAGGAAGACTGATGTGCCAGAAACATTCCAGTGGCCCCGGGTTCCTATTCCAACTCTGCCTGCACTATCTTCATTCAATCATTCCTTCCAGCCTCAACCTTCTCATGGGAAGGACGCAACCACCCACCACAAAACTCACTGTGAGAGTCTTGTGATAGTATAGTATGTTCATAGCCTAGCGCCTGGGAGAGTGCTCAAGAATGGGTAGCTGTGAGCCTGGCAGGTAGTGCACACCTGTAGTCCCAGCTACTCAGGAGGCTGAGGCAGGAGGCTCCCTTGAGCTAAGGAGTTCAAAGCTGCAGTGAGCTATGATCGTGCCATTACACTCCAGCGTGAGCAACAGGGTGAGACACTGTCTCAAAAAAAAAAAAAAAAAAAAAAAAGAAAGAAATGGTAGTTGCTCTGGGTGAACTCCTTCAGAGGATGGATTTGATTTCATTACCATCTCTAAGCCCCAGACACCCTGCAGGCCTTCCATACAGGTATGTATAAGGAACAAGCTGCCCACATCACCCCTGACAACCAGGACTTAGACAAATGTCACCAAGGCTGCTAGATGCCTGCTGCCAACCAACAGCCCTTCTAACTTGTAATTCATTTAGCACAGGTTGGAGCTGAAGGAGTGCCCAGGCTGCGGATGGAGGAAGGACGTGCTCGGGAGAAGGTGAAGATGGGAGAGAAGCAAGATCTTCTGTGTTTGGACCAAGGACACATTTCCTTACTCCATAGCAGCTGTGGTCAGTGGCTTAGCTCGGACAAGGAGATGAGAGCCCATGTGTTGTGAGGGTTCTTCTGGGAACTCTGAGAAGGCAGGAGCCGCCCCCGCCCTTCACTGCCTCTCTTCCATTCTGCAGCATGGAATATGGATGTGTGGTCTGGATGTACAGACACCATTTTGGACCATAAAGACAAGGACGATTGTCTAAGGATGACACAGCCAGAGCACTGAGAGTGGCGAGAAGGACAGGGGAGCTGCTGTGCCAAGCAGGACTGTCTCTCTTAAGAGAAAAATAAAATTTATTGGTGTTTAAACCATTGCTTTTTTGGGCTGTCACGTCACTGGAATTAATCTGAAACGCTGCAGCAATTAATGGAAAAAATAGAACCCCATCTTCACGCTTTGAGCTTTTTATGGCATAACCACTCTGTCCAAAGTAATATACCACCAAGTTGAAACATGATTATGCTCAGCTGTTTACAGGCTTTGGAAATTTCAGTACAGGGTTTATCTTCCTGTCATACAGCCTGCCATTCCCCTTTTAATGTGGCCAGATCGTTTGATGTGTTTTCTCTTTGTCTCCATTCAAGCAGGGAGAAGGCTCTGTGCATCCAGGAAGGTTTGTGAAGGGCCTCCTGGTATCTGTATTCAAAAGATTTAAAATTCAAATACAGCAGGGAGAGTGGTCGGAAGACCCACTTCGGGGTGGCGTGTCAGAATGGGATTGGTGGGGGAGAGATCAGTCTGGGGGCTCCGCAGATGCCATGGGAATGGCCTCATGGTACACTGGGGACCTGAGATTCCAAAACTGGTCAGAGATGCCCAAGCCCAGTCAATCACGGCACAGCAGCAGAGCAGCTAAGGGGCCATGGGGGCTGCGCCCTACCAGTGCAGACAGAGGCACAGTCACCTCAGGGCACTTCAGTGCCACAGCCCGAGTACCCTTGGACAGGGAGAGGAAAAGGAGATGAGCAACGGGCGTCTCAAACTTAACATGCTCAGATTCAGGAACTCCGGGTCTTCCCCACCATCTGCTTCAGCCCCATTTCCCCATCAGCCAATGGCATCTTTATTCTTCCAGATCCTCAGGCCAAAACCTTGGAGCATTTTTCAATCCTTTTTCTCTTACACTGTACACCCAATCCATTTGCAAATCCAGAGGGTCTACTTTCAAAATACATCCAGAATAAAACCACTGTGGCCCACTTCCGCTGCACCCACCTGTGCCATTGTCATCTCTCCCGGACTGTTGAAATAGACTTCTGGCTGGCCTCTGCATTCTGCCCTCGTTCCCTGGAGTTTATTCTCATTATGGCAGCTGGGTTTAGCCTGCTAAAATGTAAGCTGACGTGTGCTCAAAATTCTCCAGTGGATCCCAGTTCACTCTGGGTAAAGGCCAAAGCCCTTAACACATCCTACAAGGCCCTACCTGGCCTCTCTCCTCTCACTCACCATGCATTCACCAAACCAGGCTCTTTGCTGTTCCGTAAAAACCCCAGCCATGATCCTGCCTCAGTGCCTTTGCACTGGCTGCTCCCTTTGCTTAGAAAACTCTTTCCCCAGGCATTCAAAGGATCTGTCCCTGCGGCTCTTTTAGGTCTTTAGTCAAATGTCTCTTGCTCAAAGAGGTCTTTCCTGGCTGCTGTATGAACCTGGTGGCACCTCGCTGTCCACCCCCAATCTACCTTCCTTCCCTGCGTTTTCTTATAGCACTGACGACATACTGTGCATCTTACCATTATTTTGTTTCTGTCTGCCTCTTCTCACTAGACGGTCAGCTCTGGGAGGATAAAAACCTTGTTTTGGTTTCCTATTATATTCGCAGCAACCAGAACAGTGCTGATGCCAAGTAGGTGTGTAATAAATATTTGTTGCACCACCTTTTATTTGCTCTCCCTCTGTCCCCATCTTACTCCTGCTGCCCTTGGTTGCATCCCCTCTGCCCTCAAATGATGCAATCATCACGTCAGCTTTGGCTCAGGCTCTGTCTTCTGAGGACCCCTGGCAACTACAGTAACTTCCTGGAGGTCACACAGCTAGTAAAAGACAGATCTAGGATTCAGACCTAGGCAGTCCCACTCCAGAGCTGCATAGCTACTACTACTATTATTACTACTACTTGGAGCATTACAAAGGCTCTAGGCAAGTTAATGCAGTTTAAAAAAGGGCATATTCTCTACAATCTCTACCACTCTAAAGCCAATTGGCTTCGCTTCGGCCCTGGCAAAAGTATTATTTGTTGGGACTATTTGTTGGAAAGATAGTGTAATTTCTGGTTGTCAAAACCACAAACACACATGAAAATAAGTATCATCAACGAAATCGTCAGTTCAAGAAATTTATATTCAAAAATTTTCTTAAGAATACACATGATTTTACAAGATCATTCATCATAGCACCAAGCCTAATATTCCTTAATAGAAAACAGTCAAATAACAAATACTCCAGTTAATTCCCACAGGTATAAATTATTCAAATAGCCATTTATATCTTAATTTACAGTAATCAATAAATAAGACGGCACATTCATATATTGTTTATAAAGATCTTTTTTTTTACAAAGCTACAGCTATGTATATCCTAAATAGACAAAAATAATCCTTGTACTACAAAATAACATTTCATTTTCCTCAATAGTTTTCTTAGAGCTCTCAGTAAAAACTTTCAGACATAGTCAATTAAGCCCTGCACAATAAGGAAACATTCAATCTGCTCAATAGACCAGACTCCCCCAAAATAAAACAATGATCACCACCCACTACAATATGGTCTGAACAATCTCCTGTCTCCAAGTTTAGTTAAGTCTGTCCTGAGGATGTACAGTAGGGAACGACCATTTTTCCGTGTTCACAATTTGTCTTTGGCGGATAGTATCAGCACCACTGTGAGTGACATAGGCAGCATCTTATGGTGCAATTTCAAGGGCAGAGGGCAGGTGTCCCCTGCACCACATTCCCTCCCCACAGCTACCGCCCCTACCCCAGGGACATTCTACACAAACACACCAGCATTTGGCTTAAGGGATCCTTGTTGGAATGCAAACGGCTCCGATTCTGAGTAGAATTTCAGAAGCCTTTTTGAGTCGTTACTCGGGGAAGGGGAAAAGATGAGGGATGGGAAGATCTAGTCCTGTACAGCTATTTATTCCTGCAGTTGAACTTTTGAATTTAAAAGAAATTCCCTTAGGAAACTGCCTCAGATGCTGACGTAATTTAAGGAGACCAATTTCCTTCTAACAGCCCTAGGAAGCAGATTTCCCAGGTTCTACTTCAAACATTCATCTGAAACCTTTAAGATTCAGACTACCTTCTGTCTGACCAAACTCTTCCCAAAGGCACCTTTCTCAGATACTAAAGCCAAGAAGCACTGCCCTAAGCTTTGGGCTGATATACAGAGGTACACTTGCTTTAAGCAAATAGGCCACTTATTGAGATAAATAAAAACTACCTTCGTAACCTTTGGATTTTTAAACTTAGAAAGGACTTTTAAAAGAAGTCTTCCCACTTCCAACCCAGAGAGGTAAATTCAAGGCATCTGCAGGTGAGCCACAGCTAGGACGTGGGTTCTCCATACCCATACCAGTGTTGGCCTGCTTTGGACAATGTCAACTCTCCAGACAACAGGCACTCCCAGAGTTTCCTTTAAAAAAGTGTCTAAATCCTTGCATGACATTTAGCAATACTGGCATTCTGGCACAGCATGGGCTTGTAGAGAATACACACCTATTGATTTTTGCTGGGGCTAAAGGAAGTGGTAGCTATTGCAAACAGAATACAAGTATCAAATGATATTTTGCTATTTTGTTTTTTGTAACAATGCAAAAATCACTACTTTTAAGCTTAAAATACAGGAAAAATAATAATCCCTGCCTCAGAGACCAACCAGTTATGAATTCATCCAAGTAATTCGTGGTCTCTACTTCTCCATTTTAATTACACTGCCCTCAGGCCTTCTCTACTTTTCTTTTTGAAGGAGAAAGCCCAATTTCCTACTCTGTGAAGTACGTGTTAGAGGTGCAGAGATGAGCAGCTGGGGGCAGGATGTATAGTTAATTGGAGGCCCTGAAGAACTGTCTTTGATGTTGGACACTGAGATTTTACTGCAAAAGACCCTTTCAAGGCGGCCATTTTGGTTGCAAATTTGCAACTGCAGTGAAGTTTAGAGTGTTTGAAAATAACAGTCCTATGTTCCCAGTTCTGCTACTTACTAGTTCACGCTATGACCTTATTTTTCTGTCCTGTGCTTTAGCTTCCTTTCCGAAATAAACACCTCCCACGATTGTTCTAAGGGTCAAGTGAGTTAATGAGTAAACAATGGCTTAAACTTCCTCTTGCAAAAAGGCCTGAGTTAGATTTGAGACAGGGTAGCTCAGAAAAAAGTAATGGATTGGAGAGAGGTTGGAAGAAGCTATGGTACACTAAGGGTTAGGGAAAGAGGTATAGTCAACGCTTGCTTCAAGAGGAAGGAAATAGAGAAAAGGGGGCTGCTGGGCATCCTACAACTTCATAAACTTTCAAGAAAAGTATTTTTCATCCAACAAATATGTGCTGAATGCCTATAATGCACAGAAGCTCAGAAGTTAGTTTGCCAAGATCACCCAGAGATCTGGTGACAGAGCTGGGACTCCAATCTAAATCTGGCTGACTCCCAAACCTGACTTCTTTCTCTAGCCCACAATACCTCCCAGAGAAGAAGGCAGTGATTAAAATGAAAACAAAAAAAAGGGTTCCTTTAAAGAGAACACTGCTAGATGAAGCTATTCTTGACATCTGAGTGTCAGGGATTTAAACAAATTAGCAGTGCGATTGAGGCCGTGGATTGTTGAGGCATGTGTATATTTAAAAACAACTTGGTCAAACAGTACAAAATACTGGTTGTCTTTTTCCCATAGACAAGAATGTTTTTTGGCATGTTGCTCCAGCCCTGGCTGGGAGGAACTGCTTGCTTGATGTGTTCTCATCAAGGTTCTCAGAACAAGTTCTAAACACAAAGAAGCCAGTATTCCCAGCATTGTGGGGTCTGGCAACTGCAGAACACTCAGCTCAGAAACTCTGATAACTTTTGTGGGCTCTTGGGGAACCAGCAGCTCTGAGTCTCCAGGCTTTTGACCCACACCTGACCAAGCTCACCCCATGCCCTGTCTCACACACAATGGTAGAGAAGTGACAAGACCTGAAGGTCCTGTAGGACTCTTAAGAAAAATCAGAGTGAAGGCCAGGCACAGTGGTTCATGCCTATAATCCCAGCATTTTGGTAGGCCAAGGCAGGAGGATCACTTGAGGCCAGGAGTTCGAGACCAGCCTGAGCAACAGTGAGACCTGTATCTATAAAAGATAAAAAAATTAGGTGGGCGTGGTGGCATGCACCTGTACTACCAGCTACTTGGGAGGCTGAGGCAGGAGGATTGCCTGAGCCCAGGAGTTTCAGGCTGCAGTGAGCTGTGATCACACCACTGTACTCCAGCCTCGGTGACAGAGTAAGATGCTGTCTCTTAAAAAAAAAATCAGAGTGAAGAGGGCAGGTGCTCACGTGGAGCCCAAAGATACAGGTGTCTGCACACGATGGAAATGGAACCTGTGCAAAGTCCATGCAAAGTCTGTGCACCGGGCTCACTTCCATGAGCTGCTGACTGCTGTTTTCCAAGGAAATGCCTGATGAGAGCAAGGCGCAAGATCTGTGGAGCTCAAGGGGATGCTTGTGTCTCATGTTTGGTTCTCCCACGCTGGCTGTTAGGGGAAAAGAGCCATAGCAATTTTCAGCACAGAAGCACAATAATGCCCACTCCAGCTCCCAGCCTTCCACCACCCAACCCAGGTCCTGGACCTTGTCATTAGGGCAGCCCCCTCATCAGTTGGATGGGACAGAACAACCTGCTATGTGGTGATGGTTCCAGATGGCAGCTGCTGGCCCAAGACGTTAAATCTTCCCCAAATGCTGTGTCAGCAGTGATTATGCAATGTCGGGGAAGGAGAAATAACACAGCTGGGCCTCACAGGGCTTTGTGCAGTCTCATTTCCTGGCTGAGAAGGTCCCGAGATACCAGGCTGACTGGAAGCTCCCACACAGCCCATTTCTGGGACCTGAGGGCGCAAGGCTCCACAGAGGAATACCGGCGGGGAATGCAGTGGAGACCCCCAGGAAGGTGTCTCCAAGCAGAAGGGAGAGAGAGGCCGTGTCTCAAAACTCCAGAGGCTTCTGAAGTCCTTCTGGAGAGTTAAGAAAATCGGAGCTCATGTGAAAGCATTCTTGTCATACAACTGCCTTCCAATGGCATGACCACGGAAGGAGAACAGCTCCTCACCAAAGCAGCCATGATGGATTCTGACATTTTCGTAAGACACATCTGTACTTGCTAATTCTGACTTTTGTTGGAGAGATGAGCTCCATGGTGTTCTGAGTCCCTAGCGATGGTGGGTAGGGAGGTTAGCTTCAGCAGCTGAGGCTGTGGTTTTGTAGTAAACTTAACTGGGAATGAAGATGGCTATCTGGAGGTCATCAACTAGCAGGGCGACTAGTCGTTTCCTCTTTCTAATCTTCAGTTTTTCATCTCTTAAATGAGGCACTGAACGCTTACATAATTCCTGAGGTTTTCGAACAGTCTGTGACTTACAGAGATCAACAACACAGGCTGCCCCCAGTGCCTCTGCCTTCCCTCTGTTCCATCCTGATAAAGAGCAGGCATGCACTGCATGGGAAGAGGGTGGGGGGAACTATGCTGAACCTCAGAAATGGAGACGCCCATGTTCTGGGTGGCTGCCCGAGGGGCAGCAAGAGTGTCCTGCTTCTGAGCCTTGGTGGGAGAACATCTCCCCACAAAGGTCAGGTCTGACCAGGAAGCCCCGACCACCTGATCATCAACTATGGCAAGATACAAACTTCGACGAGGCAATGTTGGCCACGTTCAACAGAGAATCCGCGCTGTTTGTTTGCTGGCAAACACCTGTGTGGACTACTTGTTTCTTTATTTTTGAGACAGCGTCTCGCTCTGTCACTCAGGTGGAGTAAAATAGCAGGATCATAGCTCACAGTAACCTCAAAGTCATGGGCTCAAACAATTCTCCTGCCTCATCCTCCTGAGTAGCTGGGACTATAAGTGTATGCCACCACTAATTTAAATTTAACTTTTTGTAGAGATGGAGTCTTGCTATGTTGTGCAGGCTGGTCTTGAATTCCTGGCCTCAAGCGATCCTCCTGCCTTGGCCTCCCAAAGGGCTGGGATTATAGGTGTGAGCCACTACTGTGCCTAGCCAGTTTTCTGTTTCTTAAGTGAAGCAAGGGTGGTAAAGAAAACCTAGAACCCAGACCACCACATAGACTATATCTTTGGGGAGGCAGGAGATCTAAGATCATTTACTGACAATAGGCAGCAAAACCAGGGGGAAGGAAGGAAGGTAATAACTAATCATGGCATTCAAGCAGAGCTTAGCCATGCTATGTATCCCTCTCCTGCACTTGGCACAGCATTACACAAAATCACTTAGCAGACCACAGCTCAACAGGATGGATGTTGCTGCAGTCCCAGCTGGACTCAGGGCACGTTCACAAACCAGTCAGAGCAGCAAGCCCCCTAAGCAACCTGTGAGATAACTCAAATGGGGTTTATGGATCAAGATGGTATACTGAACACATGAGCCTGTTTCTTCCCTCATGAAACCCCATGAAAATAGGAGCAGAGGAATGAAAGTTATATTAATACAACCATGAACACAGAATACAGAAGAGAACAGTAAGCAAGAGCTAGCAACCTATTTATGCAGGAATGGAACTGATGGAAAAGTGAGCAGGGAGGGGGATCCTAAAACCACATGCCTGCAGAGGGGAGGCCACAGAGTGGTCAGCAGAGATGCCCTGTGGCCTCCAGGAGAGGCTTGGGGATTGGAATAGGAGGGATGGGGTGAGACATGGGGCTGAAGACCAGGGCATTTATTGGCTCTGAGGTCCCCTGTCCTTCCCATGCAGCCAGATGACCACTGTGCTCCTACTCCATGGAGAAATCAGAGCAGCTCCAACTCAGGGACACCAGGCACAGCAAAGGTTGAAGCAACTTAATGAAAGTCTAAATACTCACGGGTGATGAGGCTGCCTGCTCAGCGGTCAGGACTCGGGCACACTGAGTATAGACCAGGGTCTCTGGATATGGTCCTACAGTTGTGCATTGCACAGAGGCACTTGGCTAAAGAGGGCAATTAGGAGTTAAAATCTAGCCTTTTCATTGTTCCTCGAGCATTGTCCAAGCTCAGAGCTGGGTATGTCTGGAGGAAGGGGCAAAAGGTGTCCTTTGCCAGTCAAGCCAAGTGCTCATGGGGACTTCTGCCCAGATGGGACACCATTTTTGAAACCACATGAGTACTCAGCATAGGCTAAAAGCCCTGTGTATGCCCGTTTCCCAGGAAGGAGAGTAGTGGGAATATCTCTCAAGAAACAGAATGAGCCCCAGAGAAAACACGTGCAAATACTGACAGGCAGTGTTCTCCAATGATGAGTCCAGGTGCCCACCTGGTGACCCTAGTGGAAAAGCTCACCAGTTGGCACACACAACTTCCAATCAGCTTTTGGATGCCTCACTCTTAAAACATGAACAGATCCATAGGATCACCATATATTTGAGAAAAATTCACAACGTGAAAGATAGAGACTGAGACCACCAAAATAAAGAGAACTCAGAGAAAATGAGGGCAACACAGGGAGCAGAAAAGACTTCCCCTCAGACCACAATCATTAACGTCCACAGAGAGACAAAATCTGCATCCACGCATCAAGAGCAGGACACTGTAAAACAAAGACAGGATAATAACCAAAGGTTTTATTAACTTGGAAAATAAAAATTCAATAAAACATTCAGATTGGGAAGATAAAAATGAATAATTCTTCCTGAAAGCAGATCAGAAACATAGACGAAAAATAGAAAAGATAAAAAATATTAGAGCATCAGCCTGGGTGTAGGGGAGGGTCCAACATTGAAATAATAGGTGGTCCAGAAAGAAAGAATGTAAATAATCACAAGAAAATTTAAGAAATTTCCCATGAAGGCCCAGCACAAGGTTTAACACCCGGGATACAACACCATCATGACAGTTCAGAACACCAAGAATAAAGAGATCTTAAATGTTTCCAGGAAGGGTGGATAAAAAAACCTAAGTCACATATAAAGGTACGGGAATCAGAATGGCATCAGAAATCTCAACCAGCACGCTTGGGAGGGGCTAGGGGAGGGTATTATTTTCCACCTGTCATTCTATGCTCAGCCACATTTCTGTTAAGGGCAGAATACAGACATCTTAAGTCATGCAAAAATCTCAAAATATTTACAACCATATTTACTTCCCATGTTCTCTTCCTCAGGAAGTTATTAAAGAATGTGCCACACCAAAAAAAAAAAAAAAGTAAAGAGAGAGAATAGCAAATTAATGGGGACATTTGGAGGAGAAAGGACATGTAACCATAACACACTGCTGGGCTTGGGAGTCAACAATCCTTAAGTGCTCCAGGTAATGTCAACACCTAATAGAAATGTACTAAATGATGTGATCTAGCTATACTGGAAAACCAAAGCACGGTATGGTAAGAGTGAAATCCTCCTCTACTGTGACAGCAAGCCAGTAGATGTTTCTAAATTAAAAAATAAAGTGTAAGCACGTTATGTAGAAATGCAAACATAAGAGAGTTGAAAGTGGTTACTTCTAAGCAGCGAGACTTAGGGGACTGCTAGTTCTTGTTAAAAGCCTTATTGTATTTCTTTTAATTTAAAAAAAATTTACAAGCAATGGGGTGGTTTGTCCTGCAGACTTCCACATCCATTTTCTATATCCAGCTTCTTCCATAGAAGCCTATACTCAAATGAGATTTTTTTTTCCTTTGCAAAATATCAGTTGACTGCCAACCTGAACCAAATGACTTTCAGGCATCTTGCCAGTAGATGTTTTAAACAATATTACAAGTTGTAATAGGTGAGAGAAGTATCTTGCAGAGGTTTTTCTGAACAAGGTCTAGACCCATAAAATGAAATGATTCACATTTGGGTTGGCTCTTCCCAGGCTCTTCGAGCATCTAATTTAGGCAAGGACTGCATGGTGCCCAGAGTTATAAACTATCACATAATCTTTATTATCTGTACCTTTGAGCTTTCATTGATGCCAGGGAGCTCATTAATTAGCTCATTTTCCATGGGGCTCTTGGCCTTCCAGATGGAATCACTCCAAGCTCCCAGCAGCTTTCTGGTTGGAAGGCTGAAATTCTTTCAGGAGGGGAGACAGACTATAATCAGACTGGTTTAGAGGCCAGATTTTGGCTGTCATCGACTCAGATGTGCTATGTAAATTCTTCTGGCCATGCTGGAATTCTGTAAACTTGAAACCCACTGCTTGAAATGAGCAAGTCCTTGGCTAGCAAAGAAAGAAACGTGATTCCTGGAGTAAGAGCGACGCTGGTATGTCAAATGACAAGCTGTTGCAGCTGTCAAGGGTATTTCAGAAGGAATTGGGGATGAGCTTGAAGGTGAGTAAGAATTCCTCATGGGAAAAATACAAGAACAAAACAAATGTCGATAGTTGGTCTAAACTTTTTGGTTTTGCTTGAATGTGGACATTTTAATCTAGTCATTTTATCTTTTTCTCAGGACATTGGTGTGCCCAGTGGAAGTTTCCTACAAGGGGTGACAGCTCTGGACAGGGCATCAGGTGCCTGTGTGCTCACTGCAAGTCTGCCCCTGGTCGGCTATATGATCTTGGTCAAGCTGCTCTGTCTCTCTGGGTCCAGCTAGACAAGATGCTCACTGAGTCCCCTCCTGACTCATTTGTGATTTTATAAGGGTTGCCTGGTACATGCTTTCTGAAGGGGAGAGCAAGGGGAGGAGGAACCAATGCAGAGACTCACCACGGACCTGAGTCTTGGCAGGGAGGAGAGAGCAGAGGGAGCCTGGGGCTGAGGAAGACTGGGGGCAGGGGTGCTAGAGATGCCTCTCTTCTTTCACAAACCTCCTGTGCTGGCCTGCTCCCGGAGTGCTGTCCAGAAAGCCTCTTCAAGAAACCCATTACAAGTGACCACAAAGAATGCCCGTTCCAAGACATGCATTCTGAGGGAGGTGTGCACCAAAGCTTTAGTGGGCAGGAAGCTACCCCACCACCCAGCTCCAGCACTGCTGGGAGCTGATTCCAGCCCAGCCACTCCTCATGGCTTTTATATGGCCCTGCTGGGCCCTGGCGATCTGGTTTGAAAATCATGGTTCTATCTCAATCCAATCAATGGAAAACTGAATTTCAAGTGTTATCTCCCCTCAAACAAAAAACAAAACAAAAAAACAACAAAAAAAACAGGGTGAAAAAGAGCACACAGTGGCTCTCAACACAGCTTTCACCTTCCTCCCTGGATTCTGCCATTCCTGGATGTGCTTACACAGAGCTGGCTGCTCGGATTTCCCCTAGTGAATGCAACCAGTTACCGGACTGCGACAGGTGCATGGACCCCAGCACCTTCTCTCAAACACCCACGCTTGGAGGAAAACGTGGCAGCTCTCTCCCCAGCTGGGGCTTGGCCTGGGGTGCCCACCCTCTTTCTCATTAAGCAGCCCTTCATCTGAGAGGTAAGAAACTCAAGTTCATCCAGCGTGTGAACCTGCAATGTGGGGTGTGCTAAGATCCAGGCGGGCTAATGATCACTAACAATGCTCCCTATCCAACCCAGCAAGGCACACAAGGACAAAACCCCACCTACGGATCCAGCTGCATGCCTGAGTTTTGAGTACACAGCCAAAGAAAAAAGCATGCTCAGGTTGTCCAGAAAAAAAAGGAAACCTGAAAAAAAAAAAAAAACCACAATAGCGAGAAAGGGGGTCTAAGTTTCCTCGGAGGTCCTCAACTGTCTGTAGAAGTGCCCCACCCAGAACCCAAAATAAAATGAAGTAACCCCGCCCCTGGTCAGGGTCCTGTCTTTTTTATTATCCAGACACACGTATCAGAGCCTGCTAACATCCAGTTGTGGGAAGAGCAGCAAGCAGTACACCAGGAGCCACAGGAAGAGAATAAAATACATCATATCCGGCTGCTGGACAAGCTGTGTCAGGGAGTCACTCTGCGGGCTGTGGCTCCCCAGTGACATGGCTTCTCCTGAGCTGTTGGCCTTCCTACAGAAGAAACACAGAGGAAACGCAGTTACCAAGCAGGTTCCCAGGAAAGTGGACCCCACCCAGTGCTACCCGTCTCTCCCCGGCCCCCACTCCCCGCCTGAAGACCCGAAGGCTCCCCAGCACCATGTCCAGGTAGGCCCCACACTGTGTGTACTGGCCCAAGGCAGTGCGTCGGGCCATCCAGGCAGCCCCTCGAGCTTTTGCACGTACTCCGTTCATCTCCATAACATCAGGTGAGAGGAGGTGGCAGCCCCATTCTGCAGATGGACACACTGAGGCTTTCGGGGTGGAGTGACTTGCCCAAGGCCATGCAATTAACTTGGCGACAGAGAGGGCGCCTAGGCCAGGTCTCCTGGGACACCTTTCTTGATGCCACAGTGCTCTCAGAGAGTGACACGGAGTTAGATACTGATCGCTTGCTGCTGTTTGTTAGTAACGCAGGGGACCCCATAGGTCATCTAAGGGATGAAGTGTCCCTAATAGCAGATCATTTTAAATCATCTATCAGAAAGAAACAAAGACCTCTCCCATTCCCCACAGTTTTGTTTTGGCTTTGGAATATTACCTTTAAAATAATTACTAGATTTGATTTCAGTCAGATTTACCTTCCTGCTTTTATTTTATAGGTGGTAGTGTTAAAATGTCATTTCAGTTTTGCCTGGCGGATCATAGGGAAGCCCAGAAGGTTTTGCCTGGGGCTGGGGCCTCTGCTTGGAGCTGCATGTAGAGAAGCCTGCAGTGTAAGCCTCTTAGGGTGGTTTCGTGCGGTGTAATGGAGATTACGAGAGGCTAAAACCACTTGTCCCAGAACTATCTCCTGATAGCAGGAGCGAGGGGCAGGGTGGGATTAAACATCTGCCACAGTCTACATACTGAATGATAAATACCCACATGATGGTCTTCTTTAAAAAGCTGTCCACAGAAACAAGTTAAACTATATACTTTTTATAGAGACACGGTCTCTCTGTGTTGCCCAGGCTAGTCTCAAACTCCTGGCCTCAAGCAGTCCTCCCTCCTTGGCCTCCCAAAGTGCTGGGATTACAGGCGTGAGCCACCATGCGCAGCCTAAACCATATTTTTTATTATAAAGGTAATAAATGCTCAATGTAGACAACTGAAAACACGACTGCATTTCTCAACTTTACAGGTTCTATTTTCAACGCCTCTATCTCATAAGAGCAAAAAGGATTATTTTCCTATGAGCATATCCAGCCTGGTGGAAAACTTGAATTAGTATTTCCATTTCATGGCAGGGGAAAGGAGCTGTCTTGCTTCTTTTTTAGCAGCCAGAGGGATGGGGTTCTAATGACCACACTCTTGGGTGTTGGGTAATATTCAGACAGAGGCTTCCGATTCCAGTAATCTAAATCCTTCCAAGCCAATTCAAATCTGTGGCGAGTAAATAAAATTTTTTAAAAATAAAAACATAATAAAGCAACTCTATGACTTCAACAGGAATGGGGACGTCTCAGAATTGTAAGAATTTGAGACGTTTTTCTGGTTTCCTATGTTTTAAATGGGCAGGTTTCCAGCAATTCAGCAACATTAGGCCAGGCCAACAGTTCTCCGACAGCAAGAAATACTTTCATAGACATCCTGGCATGTTTGCTTTCCCTCTTCATGTCTGCTCTGATGCCATAAAACTGTAAAATCAGCTCAGTAAGCTTCTGAGTACTGTACCTGCAGTGGCAACAGAGAATGGACAGGCGTCAGGGGCTACAGCATTCACAGGGGCCACACAGCCTCACAAGACCACCACCTCTTCTCCTGCCTGGCCGTCCCTTTGCTAACTACCCTATACCACTAAACCACCCTATACTCTATACCACTCATTTAAACACAGCTGCAGGCTCAGAACCCAGACCCGTCTTTAAACTGACTCATTTTCGGAACCGGGCCCTAACCATCAGTGTTAATTAATATCTACTTTTCCTTTCTACTCATATTCAATTTACATCATTTTCTCTGGAATAGTTATTTTCTTGCATTATCCCAAATTATTAATACTGTTATCAACAAAGCAGTGGGAGAATAACCACCCCTGTAAGGCAGGCTGCAGAATGTAAAAACATTTTATTACTACCCCCACAAAACCTGAAGTAAAGCCACCAACCTGGTTAATATTCGGTTTCTTCTGTCATCCAGATCTGCTGCGTTCCTCAACTGAACATAGCTAAAATGATCCTACAGTGAAATTTATAAACAAAAGCCCCCGCAACCCAATTAGTAAAGATGAAATCTCTGAAACAGAAGATAAAACGATTTTAAACACACAAAGCCGAGCATGCCGGGCATTTCTCAATACCGCCAGCGTCTAGATCCAAAATCAAAGTGCTAAACAATATACATTCCTCTACCTCCTCCCCTAAGCCCCTCCCTTGTGAGTGCGAGAGACCCCACCACCCGGAACCCGGATTGGGGTGTGCTGCTCCGGGTTCTAACACATCTGCTACTGAGCACGTGCCACTGTCCATCGGACCTTGACTCATGTTGCACCTCTGTCTCTGAACGTGATCCTTCTGGGTGCGCGCGGGGTCCAGGTGAGGCGTTTTGGGTGCGTTTTTATAGCAAGGAGGCCTTTGGGCTTTAAAATCCTCACTTTATTTACATCTCTTATTGCCCAAACCGGATATCCGATCGGACTGTGCTTAATGATAAGGTTCCAATCTGCTTGTCTTCTATCCAAAAGTATAGCTGTTGCATGCCAGTAATTTCAAAGCTCTGGGCTGGGGAGGAGGAAGGATGGAAAGGAATTGATTAGCAGGGGCCGTGCGGAAAGAGAAGAAATTCACATACTAACCGATTCCGAAGACCTATGAGTATGTCGTCGAAGGTAAATGCTGGAGTCACTGTGACTAGTCCTGAAAAACAAACACATGTTTTGAATTGGTACCACCTGGAGCTCTTCATGGCTCAGTTGTACGGTCACCCCCATCCTGGGGTTTCCACGTATGGGTTTAGGCAAGCGACAACTTCACAGCCAGGGACAGAAATGACAGATTTTATATCTAACATGCCTACTTTGGTTGGACAGTGCTTACAAATAGGATGGATATTAGTGATACACACATTGGGCCCTCATCTACAAGAAAAATCAAAGTCAGGATTTTAAATAGAAAGCAAGGCACATATTCTTAAAAATCAAAGCATTTGGAGCAGGAAGTAACCCAAGCATCCTGATGTGCTGGGACTCACCAGAGGTTCTCTGCAATTAGTCAGACCTGGGCCTAGACCAGGCTGCCCTGACTCTCTCTACCTGCGTCTGAGGTCCAAAATGTACAAGTGGGAATGCTTGCCTCGCACTTTTCACATTCCACCCAGTCCTAGCGGAATGGAGGGTAACGTCCTATTTCCTTGAAGGATGGAGCCCCGCCTGAATCACCCCTGTGGCTGACCTCTTTCTCCCTCTCCTGAAGTCCCCAGGCCTAGCAGACTCCATTGCATAGTGGCTGCTCAAGGACTCTTTGAGAATTAATCTGCTTAGGGAGAAGCTGAGCAGTTGGGCAAATCCCCTGCACTGTTTGTCCAAAGTGCTCACCTGCACTGACAGCAGAGCCCAGCGACATGAGAAGATCATAGATGACTGCTAGACAGTCACACCCAGGGGCAGGGACAGGCACGCTGGGAGTCAAAGGCCAAGTGGGCAGCAGCCTTCTGTTGTGCCTTGGCCCTCCTCCCCCTGCCTCTGTTTCCCCAAAGTCCAGGCACAGAAGCAAGGCAGAGGGAGGTGGAAAGCCAGGCACCTGCCAGCAACTCCTCTGGCTCTGTCTGTATGGGCTTCTCCCTACCCCTCCCCAAATGCATACCTCAATAGTTTTCTGTTGCAGCTTGTATTACATCATCACAGGCAACAAGGGGGCACAAAAAGAATGTGGAATGTGGAGTGGGACACATCTGAGTCCAAGACTCCCTAAGCTGGGGAAGTTACCTGGCCCCCTGACCTTCTTTGTCTGCCATATGAGGCACAGTCCCACCAATGTGTCTATAGGTGACGTGAGAATGAATGAGAAAATGAATGTGAAGTTCCTGGGCACAGTAAGGGCTTGATCAACACTGACTGACTATTGTGACGATGAGAGAGGGGAGAGACCAGGGTCTTCTGATTTTCAGCAGTTACACATTTTCCCTGGGACAAATCTGGCTCATCTGGTGGCCTTGGAGTGACAGAGCAGAGGTGTGCTATGAGATTCCTGTAGATCAGTTAAATCTCATTATCCTCCCTGCTCCCTCCTTCTCCCAAGCTAAATCAAGCATCCCTACTTCCTTGGAATGGGAATTGTGGAAGAAGCCATAATATTAATGAGATGTCCAGCTTCCACGTGCCAGACATTAATGGTCTCCTTGGTGGAAAGGTGGATATGCTTGAAGTCATTAAGATGCTTATAAAGTGAAGTCTGGTCAACCTGTAGTTGTCTGGGGGCCAGAAGGCAGCCAGCAGAGGCTCCAAGTCTACCGCGTTCACCCCCACGCCTACCTATGGTTCAGCCATCTGCTGCTCACTGCCAGCTTCCACCCAAAGGTTTGAAGACTGAGGAGAGAAGGCAAGCTTCCCATCCTTCCCTTTTTGCTCCTTATGAGGTCTGGTAATGATGAGGGTGGGTCGGGGAACCCAGGTGTAGAGAATGAGGATTGTGTATGAAGCTGTATTTCCCTTGCTGTCCAATCCCATGCCTGCACCTCCCACCCCATCAAATCAGAAACTGCAAATAACTCTCTAACTCTCTGGCTCCACCTTACGGGTGAAAAGAGATGAATAAAATACCTGGAAGGAATGCTGTAGTCGCTACTGTCTTCTTCTAGGTCATCTGAGGATTGAACACTTCCTGGTGCTACAAATAGTGAACTTTCTACGTGGTCCACATGTTTCCTTTTTTCCTTTTTTTTACTACTGATTGATTCTTTCGTTACATTTTCTTCTAGGGGGTTTGCTATGTTTTCCAGGTTTGGGGATTCCTGGGACTGAAAGACAGAACAACCAAATCCAAGTCAGTATGTCACGCTGCAGTGTAAAGTAGGTGACATCACCCAGCAGTGCTCTGCCCAGGCCCAGCCAGGGCGTCCCTTCCAATTCTGCCTGTTCCCTGATCCTCTTCATGAATCCCCTGCAGCACAGCCTGCATGAGAGACAAGTCCACCCCAACTCCGGCCCCTGGTACAGACTTCAAATGCTACAAATTGATGGAGTTAAAACAATATAGGTTCTAGAGTTGGCAAGATCTGATTTCAAATCCTGGCTGAGTCAGCTCTGTGACCTTGAGTGACTGATGTTATCTTTTTGAGCCTCAGTTTATTTGTTGGTGAAATGGGTACAATAATTATTAACCACATCCCACTATTCCACAGGATTTCCTATAAATAATGTCTCTAATTAGCTGTGTGTGGTAGTGCCTGTGGTCCCAACTACTCGGGAGGTGGAGGTGGGAGGATTGCTTGGGCCTGGGAGGCAGAGGTTGCAGTGAGCCAAGATCATGCCACTGCACTCCAACCTGGATGACACAGTGAGACCCTGTGAAGAAGAAGGAAGAAGAAGAAAAGAGGAGGAGGAAGAAGGAGAAGGAGGAGGAAGAAGAAGAAAGAAGAAAGGACAAGAAGAAGAAAGAAGAAAAGTAAAGAAGAAAAAAGAAGGAGAGAAGGAAGGAAGGAAGATAGAGAGAGAAAGAAAAAAGAAAAAAAGAAAGAAAGAAAGAAAGAGGAGGAAGAGAAGGGCTCTTACAGTGAGCAGTGGTTGAATCCTTCACAACCATCATCCAATTAAACAAAAGAATAAATCCTGGAAGCTAGGTGGGCCAAAGGGTGCAAAGGTGGCCTATAGGTTTGGAGAGGCACACGCACAGGCAGGTGTAGAGTTTTCAGGATGCCATCTTCACTGTGCCTTTGGCCAAAGGTGGATGGTAGTGCAACATGTCTAGCATGCATTGGTAATGAAGATTCTTTGACCTCTGTCTGCACCAGGCACTCTGAAACCCGTCAGCAAGGCTCCCGAGTGAAATGCAGGAGCACGGTCATTGTTGGAGCCACGTCTCAAGAATTCTTTTAGGGGCTGGAAGAACCTGTTCAACAGGTGTCAGAATAAGAGCATTAGAGCGGCCAGGCCATTGTGCCCCGGGAGAACAAAGCTCCATGCAGGAATGAAAAGCTGCGCTCAGCAATCTGAAATGATAGTCTCACAGGCTGCCCTCATCAATGGTCAAATGCTACTGTTTTTGAAAGATGAAACAAGCAGAGGGCTTATTTATTTTTTCAAGATCAGAAGAAAAACTTGCCATTTTCTAGTCCCTTTGGCTGGGAAAATATCTTTTTTTCTTTCTTTTTTTTTTTTTTTTTTTTTTTTGAGATGGAGTCTTGCTTTTGTCTCCTAGGCTGGAGTGCAGTGGCTTGATCTTGGCTCACTGCAACCTCTACCTCCCAGGTTTAAGTGATTTTTCTGCCTCAGCCTCCGGAGTAGCTGGGATTACAGGCACCTGCCACCACGCCTGGCTAATTTTTGTATTTTTAGTAGAGACAGGGTTTCTCCATGTTGGCCAGGCTGGTCTCGAACTCTTGACCTCAGGTGGTCCACCCACTTCAGCCTCCCAAAGGGCAGGGATTACAGGCGTGAGCCACTGCTCCTGGCCTCTTTTTTTTTTTTAAAGGAAGGCAAGGTATCAGAGAAATGCCTCATCCCATCTCCTTGTCTGCCAGGACCCAAGACTCCCAGACCTCACCTTGGGCTCCTCATCAAACGGGCTGTACCCTCCCCCTACGCTCACCCACACGGATTGAGGCAAGGGCTGCACTTGGGAGCAAATTGCAAGGTGGGCTGGGGATCAGTGGGCAGTGCTTGCTGGGCAGGTGAGGCAGCGGACCGGAGCCAAGTGAGGCAGACGGTGTTGATTTCATTCCCACACTGCACCCAAGGGAGCTCATCTGCCCACGCTCTCACCAAGAGTGAGATCCATGTAAGATGGAGTTCAAATCTAGATCTCCCGATTCTACCACTGCAACCCAGGGCTCTTTCAGCCACACCGCAAATCACCTGTCCAAGTGCTGGACACATGCACTCTCTGCTTTTGGCAATTGCTGGAAGGAAAGCATTCGAGAACAAACTGCCACATTTGTATTTTCACAGGCCACATCCAATAGGCCAGGAGGGAGGATGCAAACCACTAATTCATCATTTTATTTTATTTATTATTTATTTATTTATTTATTTTGAGACTTCAGAGAAGTCAGCACACAGCAGGCCATGGAAGCAAGTGGAGGACTGGGTTCCTCTCCCTGGGGGAAGAGGGGGAAGATGGCAGCCGTGGTCCCTGGCACCTGCAGAGCCATCCAGCCCTCTTCCCATCCATTCCACGGTTGGCAAACACGGAGTGTGCAGCCCTGCCCATGTGGCCCTCGGCCTGAGGATGCTGCTCCTCCTAGGGCTTAGGTAGCCACTCCTCATTGCTCAGATTTGGCAAACTGAATAAAACCAGCCCCCCACTTCTGGCCTAGCTAAAATCTGCAGTGTCTTTTAGGACGAACCTGATCCCTTATATTAATTTCCCTTATTCTCTTTATTGGCTCAACTAATCTTCTAGGTCTTCTACCCCACTCATTCACACCAACTACTCAACTGTCAATAAACTTAAACTTAAAAAAGACTACTCGAACCAGACTTTTTCTGTAGCTCCCGCAGGGTGCAAGCCTCTCTCAATCCTCCAATCAGCTCCAGTCCTTTGGGCCCCTCACTGGGCTCTGATGAGCCAGGGCTTTGTCATGTATCTCAGTGTTTCATTTACCTTCCATTTGCTGTATGCCCCCGAAACCATCGTGTAATAAACCTTTGTCCCCTACACTGGCAGGCCCTGTCAGGCACCGTGCTGGTCTCTAGCATCCAAAGATCAATACACAAATGTCCACACTCTCTCGGGAGAGAAAAACAAAGCCCATGGAAATCAGGTAAGCACTCAAGGAGAGATTGTCAAAAATGTGATCAGCTATAGGGAGGGAGCAATGGCTCTGCCTGGGGAGGAGGTCGGAGGGCTTCTGGGAGGAGGTGCCATTTGCATTGACTTTGAAGGTTGAATAACTGCTTGCCCAGATGGTGGGACCAGCCCAGTCACACCTGGAGGCAGAGGAGAGCCTGGATGTCTGGGGGTGTGGGAGGATGCTGGCTTGGCTAGAGGGGAGGGAGACAAAGAGGGGTGGGTGGCCAGGTTAGAGCGGGAAGAGTCTTGGAGTTCATGCTAAGACATTTAGACTTTGTCCTGGATGCAGCAGTCAGGAAGTGATAAGGTGAGACTTGTGCTTTAGGGTCATCCCTCTGCAAGCTGAGCTGGGGAGGAGGGACAGTGACAGACTGGGGAAGGGTCTGAGATAGAGGCAGAGCCAATGCAATCTGAAATAGCTGGTCACTTTCCCACCTGGCTCCTGCACTTAGGGGACCTCTACCCTTAGTCCCTCTACCCAGAACTTCCTCCCCAGTTCTAGGCTCCCCAAAACCCCCATGCAGCCTTTCTGGATCTGGGTGGGAGCCTCCTTCTGTTGAACTCCTGAATCCCTTCGCTGGGCCCATCTCTAATGGCTGAGGCCACATTCTCTCACAGTACAGTTACTGGGGACTCTGTCTCCCGCATTAGACACCGAAGGCAGGATTTTCCTTCTTTTTTTATCTTCCTGGCAGTGCCAGATGCATCGCTTTCCATGGGGTTGGATGAGTAAGCAGGTGAGCTCATGGAGGGGCTGGAGAGGCCGAGCCCAGGCCCTTCTCCTCCCTGGCTGTCTTGCCCTGGATGCCCTGTGTGCACTATATCCAGCAGGGCATGGCCAATGTGGTTTCGGACTCACCTCCTGGATCCCCAGTGCCGTAGCAGGACGCAGCACTTATTAACGTGGCATCTGCAGGAGGAGCCTCCCCATCAGGCCAGCCGCCCAGGCACCCCCCTTCACTGATCACTCCAGTGGCCCTTTGTGAGCTACTGGGCCAGATGAAGTGGGAACACAAGTGGCAGATAAGAATGTGACCAGCTGCTCAAGCTCAGAAGAGCGCATGTCCCCTTATGCTATTTACACACCAATTTCAAACCACAGAAACCAAAGATTAGTGCCCAACAGGCAAAAGTCCTTTAAAAAAATCAAAACTGGAGTCAAACATGAGGGCTTCTTCTGTTTCTCCTAAGTTACTGCAGAACAGGCTAGTGTTCACTAAGTGCATGCTAGATGTTAGCTACGATGACTGTTTTTTTCTTTAACTTTCTAATGCCTATGTTAGTGGTAAGTTATGAGAGAACATCACATACCGGGGCCTGTGGGGGTCGGGGGCTAGGGGAGGGATAGCATTAGGAAAAATACCTAATGTAGATGATGGGTTGATGGGTGCAGCAAACCACCATGGCACATGTATACCTATGTAACAAACCTGCACGTTCTGCACATGTACCCCAGAACTTAAAGTATAATAAAAAAATTTAAAAATATATATATATATATTTTTTGTTTTTCAACTTTTATTTTAGATTTGGGGGGTTCATGTGCAAGTTTGTTATGTAGGTATATTGCATGATGCTGAAGCTTGGGGTAATTATCTTCCAACCCCCCAAGCAGCCGTGTCAGCTTGGAGACCCTTGGGAGTCACAGCGAAGAAGGCCTGGATTTCCAGCCCTCCCCACCCCTCTCAAAGGCCTTCCATCATTCCCCACGACCCCTTCTATTTCCCACACTATGAGGTTCCCCTGGCTGCAATACCCAACGGTTAGTACACTATTCTCAGTACCTGGGTGATGGGGTCATGAAGGCTGACTCCAGCCTTGAGTTTTAAAGGACTTTTTATTAGTTTGTTTGTTTCTTCCTTTATTGGCTTTTTTTTCCTTTTTTTTTTTTTTTATTTTACTTTAAGTTCTGGGATACACGTACAGAGTGTGCAGGTTTGTTACATAGAAATACAAGTGTCATGGTAGTTTGCTGCACCTATCAACCCATCATCTAGGTTTTAAGGCCCGCATGCATTAGATATTTGTCCTAATGATCTCCCTCCCCTCGCCTCCCACCCCCCAACAATGTGTGTTGTTCCCCTCCCTGTGTCCATGTGTTCTCATTGTTCAACTCCCATTTATAAGTGAGGACAAGCGGTGTTTGGTTTTCTGTTCCTCTTTTAGTTTGCTGAGAATGATGGCTTCCAGCTTCATCCATGTCCCTGCAAAGGGCATGAACTCATTCTTTTTTATGGCTGCATAGTATTCCATGGTATATATGTACCACATTTTCTTTATCCAGTCTATCACTGGGGGGCATTTGGGTTGGTTCCATGTCTTTGCTATTGTAAATAGTGTTGCAATAAACATATGTGTGCATGTATGTCTTTATAGCAGAATGATTTATATTCCTTTGGGCATATACCTCGTAATGGGATTGGTGGGTCAAATGGTATTTCTGGTTCTGAAATCAGATGGAGGAATCACCACACTGTCTTCCACAATGGTTGGACTAATTTACAATCCCACCAATGGTGTAAAAGCATTCCTACTTCTCCACAGCCTCGCCAGCATCTATTGTTTCCTGACATAATCGCCATTCTTACTGGTGTGAGATGGAATCTCATTGTGGTTTTGATTTGCATTTCTCTAATGATCAGTGATGGTGAGCTTTTTTGATTTTTAAAGGACTTATTCCTGTTGGGCACTAATATTTGGTTTCTGTGTTAGAAATGTGTGTGTAACAGGATAAGGGAGATGTGCTTTCCTGATCCCACTGCCCAGGTACTGAGAATAGTATGCAACGGTTAGTTTTTCAACCCTTGCCCTGTGACAATGACTGCTTTTGAAATCATTTCTGCCCCTCCTCTGCTGGACCCTCAAAGGTGACCTCACTTGATCCTCAGAGCATACCTGTGAGTAGGGCCAGGACTGGGGGAAAGCCAGTGAGGTGCCCGTGTGCAGGATTTCAGGAGGTGCTCACTCTCAGGTGCCAACCCTGCATTTGCCCGAGCCTCACAGTAGGTGCCTCTTTGAATTTTGCACCATAGTAGTCCCAAGGGAAGCCCCCTCATCGCTATTTTATGGAGCAAGAAGCTGAGCTTCAGACAAAGAACTATCAAGTTTCCCAGGCAGGACCCAGGGTTCCCAAATCCCACGGTTGAGTACCTGATGGCTGTCCATGGGGTCATTCTCTTTGGTCTCCCTTTGCTGGTGGTCCTCATGGGGGGCCAGTGGAGCGGGTTCTGAGGCTGGTGTGGTACCCACACCACCCCTGCTGAGATACAGCACCTGGTCGCTGGCACTGGGGAGGCTCTCTCCTGGCACCGAGGAACTGGAGCTGCTCTGAGAGCCATCGGCCTCCTCCTCCCTGGAGTCCAGGTCTGGCATATAGCCCTCTGGCTCTTCGAGATCCATTTCTTCATTTTTTAGATCCTCCGGGTCTTCTACATAAGCCTCCAAAACTGCAGCCAGGGGAACCTCATAGTGTGGGAAATAGAAGAGGTCGTGGGGAATGACGGAAACCTTTGAGAGGGGTGGGGAGGGCTTGAAATCCAGGCCTTCTTCGCTGTGACTCCCAAGGGTCTCCAAGCTGACACAGCTGCTTGGGGGGCTGGAAGATAATTCCTCGCCCACACCCTGGAGGTCATCGTCTTCTCCCTCTTCCTCATAATGAGGACGGGTGGACTTTCTCTTGGCCTTTTCATGCACCTCTGGCTTTTTATCCACTGGTGTCTCTTCTGGGGCTGAAGGACAGCCTTCAGCTTCTTCTCCGGAGTCCTGATGAGGTTCATGTTTGTCCATCTTAACTTGAGGCTCTGGCGAATCCTTCTTTTTGTGAGCAGATTTAATACTCCTTTTACCTAGTTTTTCAGCATGATTCTCAAAAGCCTCAGCATCCTCGTCAGGTTTTGTCTCATGAGGTGAAGGAACTTTGTTGAAAGCCTGGCTGGTAGAAGCAAAATCTATTAGGTCGCTGTTAAATTTTGAGGCTTTTAATGGGATGGCTTCAAAATAGTCTCCCTCCTCTAAAGCTTCTACAGTCATCAGGTTAACCTTGATCTGGAAGGAATCGGCCATCACAGTATTTTCTCCTGGGGGTGAAAGAGAGTGACTTTCTTCATCGTGGCGGGCTGTACTCTCTAAAGCACCATTACAGGAAGAAGACTGAGAATTATTGTTTGTGCCCTCCACCAAAAAAATGTCACCAGCGACCTTGTCAGAGGAGGATTCTGGAATCTTCGAGGATTCCTGTTTCTGTTCCTTTTCCTCAGCAACCTCAACTGCCAAGACATGTCCATCCTGCCTCAATGATTCCTTTGCCACTCTTGGGCTCCCTTCAAAGCAAAGGGACAGGTTCTTACTGCAGAAAGGATCCTTGTAGGTGTCAGCCTCAAAGTGAACTGTTTTCTTGATCGGCAAAGAGTTGGACCTCCCGTTCTCCTTTCTGGATGATAAAATGGAGGATTCTGGAGATGGCTCACTGATGTCGCTGGTCTTACCTGGGCCCCCTTGCAGGACCTGGTCAATAATCTGGTGCATGAACTCGGTGGAGCTGTCTGACAGCGCATGGCTGGAAACACCATCCAGGCGGAATTCCTTCATGCTCTCGGGCTTGTCACAGACAAAGACTTTGGAGGGTGGTGGGTGGCTGGTTTCATGGTTAACAGTGTAGGTACGCTCCCCATTTTCAGTCAGAACGAAGACTTTGCTCTCCTGTTCAGAAGGAGTTTCTTTGATGCGAACAAAAGTGGATTCGATAGGAACTTCTTTATCTGAATCGAAAATATCTTCCTGCAAAAAAAAACAAAAACAAACAAACAAAAAAAAACAAAAGAACAACAACAAAAAAAAGCACAGAGCAACATGAGTAAGAAGAATATTTAAGTACAACCCATATCCACCTTTCCCAAAACACAAACAAACAAAAATGGAAAAAGCCACTTCAAACCAATGCAAAGTGTTCTAAGATGTAAATGGTTAGAGAAGACTCTTGTTCCTGCTGAAATATGAAAACATCAGATAAATAAAAATATAAAATACCATGTTTTTTAAAAAGCTATGGATTAACGAATCTCAATGAAACCAAGCTCTAAAGAAGGACAATCCCTTCTAAAGTGAGCAGAGATTGTCAGCCCCTTCATGCTTGAGGACCATGTTGCCTAGTCTGGGTATGGACTTGGAGAAGAGCTAATCCACCTGAGATAAGGAAAGATCAGCCAAATCTTTATTGATTGTGTGGGCTGGTATGAGAGAGTGAATCTGGAAGCCCTCCAAACACAAAAGCAATTTTCTTCATATACTAATTAGCCCACACAGGGAATTTTGCTGTGTAAGAGCCAGCTGGGGGCAGGGCTGAAAAGCAGAAAATGACTCTGTGGTACTGCAGTGCTTGACTCCCAATGCACCGATAGTGTGAATTGACTTCAGCCTCAAATCATTTAAAACCAGAGAGAAGAAATTAAATAAAACTGCAACATAGCTCCTATTGACGCTGATATGATCAAAACGACAGCTCCTCATCTTACACACTTGTTTGGGAAAGGGCTGTATTTCCTGAGGGAAAAAAATGACATCTGCTTCAACCTCTATTGTTCTTTTATATACCAAGTTTGACATAAAATAATTACAAGACATGAAGAGGCAGGAAAACGAAATCCACAATCAAGAGAAGAAATAATCACTAGATATAGACCCATATAGGACCCGGAGTTAGAATTCACAAGCAAAGGCTCTAGAATAACTAATCTGTGCTACAAGCAATACAAAAGAAATAGTTCTTCAGGCTCAAAGAACACAATCTCAGATATAAAGCCTAAAGGAGGGAATGAACAGTACTGGAAATGGTAAATATATGGTCAATAGAAAAGACTACTTCAAAGTTTTCTTAAAAAGCCTACTAGCTATTTAAAGCAAAAATAACAAGGTATTGAGGATTAAAACATATGCAGAAGTAAAGTAAATGACAATATAGTAGCAAAAGTAATGGAGATGAAGTAAAATTATATATGTGATATATATAAAATATATACAAATATGTAAAATATGCATTGTACTTGAAGTAGTATATTAATTTAAGGTAAGCTGATGTATGTTAAAGATGAGTATTATAATCACTAGAACAGCTACTAAAAAGATAAAACAAGGTGATGTGGTTAAAAAACCAATAAAGGGGATAAATGCACACAAAAGAAATCCTTGAATAATCCCCAAAAAGTTAAGAAGGAAGGACAATGGAGCATAGAACATATCAGACCAATGGAAAACAATAACCAAGATGGTAGATGAAACCCGTATAAACGTATGAAAAATGTACTGATTAAATGACAGAGTTTGTCAGAATAAATACAAGACCCAACTGTATACTGTTTACAAGAGACATACTTTAAATATAAGTGTACATACACTGAAAGGAAAAAAATGGAAAAAGTTATGACACAAGCACTAATCATAAGAAAGCTGCTATGGCTATGTTCATATCAGACAAAGCACACTTCAAGATGGGGGAAATTTTATAAAAATAAAGCAATCAAGTCATCAGGAAAATATAATAAATTGTGTCTGTGCACTTAACAGCATAGCATCAACATATATTAAACAAAAACTGGCAGAACTAAGAGGAGAAATAAATTCACAATCACAGTTGGAGATTTTTTTTTCAACATTTCTCTCCTGCATTAATGGATCAGGAAAGCAGGAAAAATCAGTATAAATATAGAATACTAGAATAGCATATTAACATATTAACAGCATATTAAAGAATACCAGTATTCTTTAACTGTATAAGACCCGTTCTTTTCAAATGCATATGGCACATTTACCAAAAGAAACCATGTGCTGGGCCACAAAGCTAGCAACAATGTGTGGTACATGGTCAGGGCCCAACAAATGTTTACTGAAATGAAATAACTCAGCAGAATTGTTAAGAACAGTTCACTGCGTGTCTGGATAAGCTGTAAATTCTCATCTGTATTCCCTTGTAGATGTAAATAGACTGTTCTGCAGTGATGCAGCATGTTCTGTGAACCAGAATGACTTTCTCCAGGTATTATTTCTGGCTCAATCTTTTCCCATCTGCAGTTTCTGACCTCAGCATTGGGGAGATCTGTGTCAGATTTGCTCAATTTTAGCTGTGGCTTTGACTCACACAAATACCGTATGTTTTAGTTGATTTCAAACTCTGCCTACAGATTAAGAGCTCAGGGCTAATGAAAGCCCCAATGCCTAGTATTTCAAAATACAGTAACAGGCCAGGAAAATTGAATTGCAAAATAATAATCACTACTTTTTTTTTTTTGCTTAAAACAACAAAAATTTGTTATGTTACACTTCTGGACATCAGAAATCCAAAACAGGCCTCAATGGACTAAAATCAAGATATTGGCAGGGCTGGATCCCTTTCTTTTGATTCTGTTTAAATTTTTAATTGACAAATAATAATTGTATATATTTATGGAGTATAATGTGATATCTTAAAACGTGTATACATTGTAAAATGATCAAATCTGAGAAATCAATATATTCGTCACCTCAAATATTTATCATTTCTTTGTAATGAAAACAGTTAAAATCTTCTCTTTTAGACATTTTGAAATACACAGTATATTATTCTTTCTTTCTTTTTTGTAGAAAAGAAAATGGGGTCTCGCTTTGTTGCCCAGGCTGGTCTTTAACTCCTGGGCTCAAGCAATCCTCCTGCTTCAGCCTCCCAAAGTGTTGGGATTATAAATGTGAGCCACTGGTTACATTATTATTAACTATAGCCATCTTGCTCTGCAATACAATACCAGAACTGATTCCTCCTATGTAACTGTAACTTTATACCCATTGACCAAGTCACCATTATTCACTAAACATCCACTGTTGTTCCAGGCACAGTACTAGGTACTTCACATAACTGTTTATCCTTCACATAGCCCTGAAATGTGGGTCAGATTTCCATTTTACAGGTGACACACATTCAATAGATACACATTCAATATAGATGTGTATCAGAGAGGTCAAGTCACCAGCCTGAGGTCACACAGCTCCAAGTGGAGAACTGGCATTCCAGCCCAGGAATTCCTGCTTCCACAGCGCCCTGTAAGGGGTCCGTATGTGGTGCAGGGACAGGCAGGAAACACACACACAGGTGGGGGCCAGGATGAAAGTCACGGCATGGAGGATCCTGGGAAGTTCTTCTGTACAAAACAGAGCCCCAGTTTCAGCTGCATGTTGTAAGGGAAACAAGAGCCTGAACTTTGGAAACACAGAGGGTCCAAACCCCAGCTCTGTGCTTCATAGCTGAGTGACTATGGAGAGGTCTTTAAGCCTCTTTGAGATCCTTATTTTCGTTTATAAAAGAGGATTATGATACTGAGCCATGCTGGATTGCAGGAATGGCAGGCAGCCCAGAGACACAGGGGCAAGGCAGCCAGCTAGAAAAGCAGCTCCCCTCTCCTGCAAGCATCCTTTAACTCTTTATGCTTTCCTTTTTTTCTGTCTGGTACTTATAACTACCCCAAGTTACGTTTTTGCTCACTTATAACTGTTTCCGTTACTAGAACAACGCTCCACAAGGCCAGGGACCTCAGCCATCTAGTTTATTTCTGAGTCCCCTAAGCCAGGGGCAAGGGTTCAGTCAATTACTAACGGATTCAAGAAAAGGCTGTCATTGCTGTCATTATTATCAGCTCGGGGTTGTGCATGGGTTGGGTGGGAGTTCAACGGGGCCAGGACAACTTCTAAAAGGTCTGATTCTGTGCCCAAAAAAACTCTCACCAAGTATAATCTGGAATTCTGAAAATAAAAAGGCAAACTTTTCAATGATCATTGTCTTTTATGATTTGTAACATTGATAAAAATCTGGTAGATGCTAACATATTCCATCTGACATGTAAAAAATCAAGAAGCAGATCCGTTTTATAAGAAAGCGTCTTTCATAATCTTAATAAAGTTTGTCATGGGAAGAGGTCTGTGACAGGCGTCAGTTTCCATCCTGCTTTGAAACTTAATGCACGTTACATGTAAATAGTTCCCCCCTTATTTGCGGTTTTTCTTTCTGAGGTTTCAGTCACCCATGGTCAACTGTGGTCTGAAAAGATTAAATGGAAAATTCCAGAAATAAACAATTCCTAAGTTTCAAATGGAGTGCTGTTCTGAGTAGTGGGATGAAATCTCTCACCATCCTGCTCTGTCCTGCCTGGGACGTGACTCGTTCCTTTGTCTAGCACATCCATGCCATCTCTGCCACCCATCTGTCACTCACTCAGTAGCTGTCTGGATGATCAGAGATCAGCCACCACGATATCAAAGTGCTTGTGTTCACATAGCCCTTATTTTACTTAAGAATGGCCCCAAACTGCAAAAGTAATGATGTCGGCCCATGGTTATAATTGTTCTATGTAACTATTAGTTGTTGTTAATCTCTTTCTGTGCCTAATTTATTAATTAAACTTTATCATAGATACATATGTATAGGAAAAAAGTGGTATATATAGGGTTCGGTACTATCCGAAGTTTCAAGCATCGACTGGGGGTCTTGAACTGTATCCCCCGCATATGAGGGGGACAACTATCATTCTGAAATTAAAACATGGTAAGGCCGTGCTCAAGGGACTTGGGAGCAACTGGCGATTTTGACTGCTAGTTACACAGAGCAACGCTGCCCACGTCCCTGCTTCGTCTGATGGCCAGCGGATGGAAATGTATGGTGTCGGAATTAAAGGTAAGAAAAGCAAACATACGGCTTCCAACTCCGGAAAACGTTCTAGAAACTGTGCCACGTAAGTCATGATAGACTGCTCGTCTGGTGTGTCAACCATGATGTCTGTCGAGAGAGACACAGGAATTAGCAGGAGATACAAACACACACGCTTTCAATAGTATTCCCGGATGCCTGATGGTGAAGAATCCCACAGATTATTGAAGGTTTTTTCTCTTTATTTTCCACTTGAGGAACTTTAGGCTCAAAGGTGGTGAATCATTTAACTGAAATCTCACAGCTGGCTGATGAACAGAGAAGCAAGGATATAGAATTTAGGGCTTCTTATTCCCAAAATTCTGTCCCTTCTTCCTTGCTGTTTTAGTCCCTTCCACAGTAAGCAGCCAGCTCGCTGCTGGCTCCATGGGCAAGGACGGTGAACCAGGCAGCCTACATATGGTATACGGAGTCCTACGTTAGCCTAACCCACGTGGAAGGCAACTTCACAGAGATAGCCAAACCCTTTAAACAGGTATGGGCTCTCCCCCTCTGTCATTCTGCTAATGAAACCTGGTCCTTAAGGAAATAATCTGGGATGCACGTTGAGCTTTATTTACTAAGATGTTCACTGCGGTGTTGTTATATCTAAAAGGAAATATTTCAGAAACAACCTCAATGTCTACCAGTAGTGGAAGAGCTAAGTACATTTTTTTTTTTTGGAGACAGAGTCTGGCTCTGTCGCCCAGGCTGGAGTGCAGTGGCACGATCTCAGCTCACTGCAACTTCCACCTCCCGGACTCAAGTGATTCTCCTGCCTCAGTCTCCCGAGTAGCTGGGATTACAGACTGCGCCACCACGCCCAGCTAATTTTTGTATTATTAGTGGAGATGGGGTTTCACCATGTTGGCCAGGCTGGTCTCGAACTCCTGACCTCAGGTGATCCACCTGCCTCGGCCTCCCAAAGTGCTGGGATTATAGGCGTGAGCCACCACGCCCAGCCACTAAGTACATTTTAGTATGCCCACTAGATGAATTATTATGCAGCCAATAAAAATATATAATACATTATAGAAGTATGTAAAATACTTATGATATAATGTTAAATAAAAAGTACAAAATTATATATATACAGTAAATGATAACAATTATGTAAAAATATAATTAGAGGCATATAAAATATCGGAAAAATATCCATATGATCTGAGTGGTAGAAATATAGGAGAAAAAATCTTCTTCATTAGATTTTTCTGTATTTTCCAGATTTTCCACATGGGACAGCAAGTGGTACATTTGTAAAAAAAAATTATTAGAAAGAAAGAGAGAACCACTGCTACCTTCTGGCTCCAGGAGCCTGGGGATGTGCAGGGCATCCTGTGCGATGCTGAAAGCCTTCTCTAGATTTTCTCGTGTGGAATTTTCCAGGGCCTGTTTCATGTCCACCAGGCTGGGGTCAATGGCCTTGATCACCGCCAGGAAAGCCAGCCCACTCCTCCAACTGCCCGCAAAGTCCTGCACCGCCACGCCATACCTGAAGGAAAAACAGCAGCGGCGGCCAGGATGCTGGTTAGTAAACAGACTCAAAGGTGCAAGGTCAGCATGCAGCAGCCGCGTGAGTTTTTGAGTGGGGCAGAGCTGCCGACCTCGCCAGGTGAAGACGCCTTCATCCCTGAGCATGGGAGAGCTGCCCTGAACCACTCACATTTCCATTTCCAGCCAAATGGAATAGGAGGGTATACACTGAACAAAGAGGCAAAATAGGACCCTGGGTTCCCCAATTCCCAGACACATAAAGGACCAACTGTATAGACCATTCCTTGTATCAGTGACATTGAAAACATAACATGGAATGTGCTGTGCCATAAAAATGGAACCAGAAAGACACAAGTTTGTACCTCAGCTGTCCCCTCTATGCTTCTAGTGCCATGGCCTTGGGCAAGTCACCTACCTCTCTGAGCCTCAAACTCCACACAGTGAACTTGCTGGGGCTTTTGTGGGGAAAGTCGAGCCTGGCCCCAGAAGAACGGCCAAGTCATAGGGTCAACCTAATATACAACGTTGGGAGCCCAAGAAAGCCACTCACTAATGACAGCTACTATTATCAGTAATAGAAATAAAAGCACCATTGTAAAAGTGAGGGGCAGAGAGCTTTCACTCTATTTTGTAGAATGGAGGCTACCTCAACTTTTTAAAAGTAAAAGTGAAGGACAAAAGAGGAGAGAATCTTGCCAGGCACTAATTTCCTGTAGAATCTATCCTGAGACTCCACCAATCTCTCAACCGTGGTCAATAAACGCTCTTAAAAAAAAAAAAAAAAACCAAAAACAACCAAGTACCTTTTTATTTGGAAATCATTTAAGACCCAAAAGAAGTTGAAACACAGTACAGAGAGTCTCTACTCTTTCCCCAGCTTCCTCCAGTGACAGCATCTTATGCTACCAGGGTGCGTTATCCAAACCAGAACACCAATACTGGTCCAAGACAATTATTAATCAAGCTATAGACTGCATTTGAATTTCACATTTTCACAGGTGTTACTTTTCATGGCGGTGGTGTACAGATTAATGTAACCACCACAATAGAGAAACAGAACTGTCCTATCACCCCAAGACACTTCCTCTCCCATACATCACACCCCCCTTCTACCCTAACCCCTGACAATGAACTTTTTTTTGGTTGATATTTATGTAAACAACATTTAATGGTGGTTCACATTTGTCAATTTCAATCTACCACGCTTGATCTCTCAATCAAAACTCTGAAGATCCAACCTCTCTTCCCTCTTTTATTTCCACACACAGGGGATAAAGGAATCAATATTTGTGAAGTGCTTAATATGGGCTGGCACTGTGCAAGGTGCTCTTTCATGGATTTTATTTAATTTCACCTAATTGTCCTGGAAGGCAGTGTGTGATAGGATACTATTTGCAGTTGGGGCTTGGAAAGGTAAATGATTCACCAGGATCTCAACCAGTCTGTACGCTGAGGAGCTGGGGCGGCCCCGAGTTGGTTTGGTTTCCACCACACTGGTCTGGCATTTGTGCCCATGGTCCAGGGGCTGTGGGCCTGCTGCTGGTAAAAAGGCCTGATACAAAACTGCTAAAATCACTCTGCTGCCGGTGTGGGGTGAAACAGGGCCGGAACTTGGCTCCAGTTCCCGTCTCGATTTTGGAAGGTCCGACCTAACTTTGAGTATGTTACAGCCTTTATTATTACTATTTTTAAAGTAGGTACAGACTCTGGAAGATACCCTGAAGCTTAAATGCACACAAGTCATTAGAATCCAAGAGACATGCCCATGTTGAGAGGCAACATGATGAAGGCTCCTCTGATCTGTATTCAAATCTTATCAGCTTTGTGCAAACCAAACATTCTGCAAACTGCATTTTGTGTGTACTGCAAAACCAGAAAAATGCAGGGTTTCCTGTTCTGACATTCTTTTTTTTTTTTTTTTTGAGATGTTGTCTCGCTCTGTTGCCCAGGCTGGAATGCAGTGGAGTGAACTCGGCTCACTGCAAGCTCCGCCTCCCAGGTTCACGCCATTCTCCTGCCTCAGCCTCCCGAGTAGCTGGGACTACAGGTGCCCGCCACCACGCCCGGCTAATTTTGTTTGTATTGTTTAGTAGAGACAGGGTTTCACCGTGTTAGCCAGGATGGTCTTGATCCCTGACCTGGTGATCCACTCGCCTCGGCCTCCCAAAGTGCTGGGATTACAGGCATGAGCCACCGCGCCTGCCCCCTGTTCTGATATTCTATATGAAGCAATGGGCACATACATAACTGGCACCTTAATAAATACTAATTCTCCTTTCCTCTGCCTGAAAGCAGCTAGTTAAATGAAGTAGTGTGGGGAGAGGGGCTGCGGCTTACTTTCTCGTTTTCCTCTGCACCCACGCCAACAGGGCCTTGATAGCCTTCCTCTGGTCTTTCACCGATATTGCCACGCTCCTCTCTGCAGTGGGTGTGGGTGGGAAGGATGAGTCTGAGTCTGTGCCCCCTGAGCCAGGGGACAAGCTGGAAGATGGAGAGTTTCTGCTGAGGTTGCCTGTGAGCTCCTTAATCTGGAAGGAAAATGGCATTTCAGACCCCAGCAACAGACCCACCCTCTCAGCAAGCCCCTTGTCTGGCGGGTGGCCATATGGACCATGGCTGGAGGGACCGGCTCAGGCAGGATTGCTTCTCTGAATGCAGAGAAACCCTTTCTGATGGCTGTGGCAGGGGACAGGCAGTACTTGTGATGGCCTGTCCGTTTCTTGTGGCTTGTGGTACACGTAATTACACTCTATAGGGAGGACCGTCTTTTCCTGGAGTCTCTCCAGCTCCAGCCAGCACTTCACACCAGGTCTTCCTGACCCAACTCTGCCGCCCCTTTCCTCTCACCGCCCATCACTCCCAGACTTCACTGAGCTCTTTCAAGCCCCATTGCTTCTGCTCATCCTGCCCTTGCTGCCTCGATGTCCCTTCCCTCCATCAGTGAACTCCTCTCATGAGGACTTCTGTAAGATATGCAGAACCCTAGGCTCTACCCCAGAGCTACTGGAATCAGAATCTGTTTCAATACCACCCTCAGGCAATTCACACACACAGTAGGTTACGTCTAACTTAGTTTGAAAGATGAGTAGGAGGTCTAGCGCACTCCTACTCATCCTTCAAAACCCAGCTCTGGTGTCACTTCTTCCAGGAAGTTTTCCTTACTGCACTCCCCCATCTGAGCTAGCTGCCCCTGCTTGGAGCTCTTGCATCACCTTCTACCATATAGGATTGACTTGTCTGTGATCCTAAAGGGTCATGAGGGCAGGGCCTTTTACTTTCAGCACCTGGCATCTTGGAGAAACTCAATAGACATTTGTTAAATAAATAAATGAAGCCCTACGGTGGTGGATTTAAGGTCTTGACTTTTACCACATCTTCGGGATGTTTCCAGAATCTCTGAGGAAGTTTAATAACAGGTAGCAGTAATTGAAGCATATGTATAACACATGGTGGCTGCTGCTGCTTTTTTTTTTTTTTTTTTTTTTTGAGACAGGATCTCATTCTGTTGCCCAGGCTGGAGTGCAGTGGCATGATCATGTCTCACTATAGCCTTGAACTCTCAGGTTCAAGTAATCCTCCAAACTCAGCCTTCCAAGTTGCTGGGATTACAGGCACACACCACCATGCCTGGCTAATTTTGTTTGTTTTTTGTAGAGATGGGGTCTTGCTCTGTTTCCAGGGCTGATGTTGGAACTCCTGGGCTCAAGCGACCCTGCCGCCATGGCCTCCCAAAGTTCTGGGATTATATGCGTGAGCCACTGTGCCCAGCCCACATGGCTTCTTTTGATGCTCACCACCTATTATGACCACTGCTCCCATTTCACAGACATGGAAACTGAGGCTCTGAGAGAGACAGTATTTTTTTTTTTTTAAGTTCATGGTTCACTCAGAACAGGAACTATTGTCTCCAGACCTTGTTTGTGCTCATGCTTCTCTGAAATGCAGGCATTGCGCCAAAATCCAAGCAAATCATGCCCGTGTGGATCACTTTCACTCTTGGGAGGGTAATCGAACAGTGAACCACAAGTTTCTATTCCAAAAGCGGGTGGGCTCTAGAAAATGAGATACCAGCTCTCTCCTTCTGACAGGGAAATGAACTTGAGCACAATTTAAAATGTCATCTTCTGATGGGTTGATGGGTGCGGCAAACCACCATGGCACGTGTATACCTATGTAACAAACCTGCACATTCTGCACATGTGCCCCAGAACTTAAAGTATAACAATAAAAAATAAAATAAAAATAAAATGTCATCTTCTTATTCCAATCACAGATCCAGTTCTCCCTCTATCAAATCTGCATTTCCAGTTAGAGGCTGAAGTTGCAAAGAACAGAACAATAAGGTCTCGCCTGTTATTCTTCTTCCTCAGGCATCTTTAGTGCAAGCTCTTTAATCACCTCTAAGGAACACTGAGTGATTTCAGGAAAGTAACTCTACCAAGTTCCAGTTTTGGTCAGGAGTATTCCCCGGTTCTTGTGACACTTTAGAACAAAGTTATTTTTTGAAGTAAATATTTAACTCTTCCAGACCCAAGAGGATAGATATTCTCTTCTAGAGAACTTGCACCGCTTTTAAAATCACAGAGACTCAAACACTTTAGCAACCAGATTCTTCTAGTGCTTTTTCAGTGAGTAGAAAAGATAAAATCTGCCATAAACTAAGCCTCACTGCCTCCCTTAATCTGGCCCCACTCTCTTCTGTGGCTGCTCAGCAGACACAAGATCATGATTGTGTGTTTTGGAAAAGAAATGATCTTACCTGGAAGAAGAGGATTATGTTCCATATCAGCCCAAGAACCAAAGAAGGGTTGCCATCTGCTATTTCTGCTGCATCAATGCTAACCAGTTTTACCTGGAGGGAAGCAATTTATGAACTTAAAGCGAGGTGTCCAGGGAGGATAACATATGTTATTTTCTGGTTCTCTCTCTCTCTCTGTGTGTGTGTGTGTGTGTGTGTGTGTGTGTGTGTGTGTGTGTGTTTGCATGAGCCTGTTTTTCTTACTTACCCTGCCATTCTCAGGGACACTCAGCATGCAAAAGTGTATTTAATTAACACATACACAGCACTTACCATATGCAGCCTCTATTCTAAACTTCTTACAAATATTAACTCAGTTTATTCTCACAATAAACCTATGATGTAGGTGTATTAGTCCGTTCTCATGTTGCTGCAAAGATACTACCTGAGACTGAGTAATTTATAAAAGGAAAGGGGATTAATGGACACACAGTTCCACATGGTTGGAGAGGCCTCACAATCATGGTGGAGGGCGAAGGGGAAGCAAGACACGTCTCACATGGCGACAGGCAAGAGAACGTGTGCAGGGGAATTCCCTTTTATAAAACCATCAGCTCTCAGGAGACTTATTCACTATCATGAGAACAGCACATGAAAGACCTGCTCCCCCGATTCAATGACCTCCCACCAGGTCCCTCCCACGACACGTGGGAATTATGGGAGCTACAATTCAAGGTGAGATTTGGGTGGGGACACAGCCAAACCATATCAGTAGGTACTTCTATTGTCCCTCCAGTTCAAGTAAGGGAATTTCAGAGAGGTTAAATACAACATGCCCAGTGTCACATAGCTGGTAAGGCTTCAGTCATTCTTTTCCAAGAGAGATGGAAAATGCCCAGTACATCTGTCTGCTACATAAACACCACCACGCCTGGATTTAGCATGTCCTTGGGACAAACACAGAGCACCGACATGAGCAGTCACGGACTGTGGTGGGTGAGTTGACTGCTAATTAGAAATAGTGTACTGGGATAAGGTTTATACCCAGGGTTTCTGCACCATTAGAAAAGATCCCACTGATTAGTTAAAATGTGCCTCTTGTAGAAACCCTCAGGGTCTTATCTATGTATTTAACTATGTTCTGACCACAGAATGATGCTCCTGGTAAATCCCTAAGGCCAACCTGACATCTGGACCAGCAGCATCTGTATCACGTGGGACCCCCATGTTAGAAATGCTCATTCTCCCCTATGTCTACAGAATCAAGAACTCTGTGGGTGGGCCCAGAAATCTGTATTTTAGTAAGTGCGCCAGGTGATTCCAGTGCATGCTCGGGTTTGAGGATCACTGCCCTAAGTCATCAGTTCATTCCACAAACAAAATCTAAGCACTGGACACAGATCGGGTCTCTGCAGACCTCTCTGAAAAGGGCCAGAGAGTAAATATTTAAGGCTTTGCAGGCCACACTGGTGTCTGCCACACATTTTTCTTCTTTCTTAACAACGCTTAATAAAGCAAAAGTCTAAGTCATTCTTCAGGAGAAAGAGAAAGTCAAGATACACTATCAGGTCCACACTGCAAAATTCTGCCTGGTAGACTGGGGAAAGAGAACCTGAAGAGAGCATCTCATACAAAACCTTTTTCTTTTTCCTCTATTTCTTTCCTCTCTCTCTTCCCTTCATGGCTTTTTAAACTGTCTGACATGGGTCTCTGATCCTATCAGTTCATCATGGGTTTCCGACAACACCAATCATTTAGGCCTGGGCTTGCCTAATCGAGGGAGAGTTCTGGGTTCCCAAGCTGCAGTCTGTTTTGAGGACAGATGCCAAGAATATAAGTCAGACAACACAGGCTCATCACTGGCAGGTCAGAGGCCAGGAAGGAAGTTGTCAATACTGTGAATAACACAGTTGATCGGATTCAGGTTCAGTACTATCTCCGCATTCATCACGAGCGCAAGTCCTGCATGATGGATCACCCACGAGAACTCGCCTGCTCGTCTCCTAAGCCTCTGCTCTGACAGCTCCTGTTTCTGTGGCTTACTGAGCACATTCCAGTCCAGGGGAATCAAAGCCGCTAGTCAACTTGATCACCCTGGCCTTCCCTTTCACCTGGGGGAAGCCCAAATGGCAAGTGACAGCTGTGGCCCTGTAAGCTGAGGTTTCAAAGTGAGAAGACAGAGCTGCCTTGTAGGGGTGCCGTAAACACCATGGTGCACCATCCCAAGAGGGGAAGGGCAGGGCTGAGCAGGGAATAAAGCACCCTCCTGAGGTGCCCAGTTCCCTCAGAGAACTGGGATGAGGGAAGGTGGTGACTGCAGGTGGTCCGAGGCCCCAAGGGGCAGATATTTCCAAAAACTGTGGCTTGTGTGCCCAGCTACCATTTTGTTTTTGGTGGTGAACAAAAAGGTTAACAGCCAGACTTCAGTTCAGAGCTTCAGGGACAATGCTTTCCTCCTCTTGTTCCTCCTAACTCAGCTAGTTTTGCCAGATTGAAAACAAGTGGACCAATTGGTTTGTGGAAATATTCCGTCTCCCTCTGCGGCTGGGAGAAGGTGGTATCACACCTAGTTATCACATGTAGGGTGATAACTCAGGGGCCTGGTAAGTGATGACAGCCATCCCGAGAATGGAGAGTGCTTTTCACAGGTCAGTTCCTTTAGTGTTTACAATATACCCATTTTAGAGATGAGGAAGTTCAGGCTCAGAGAAGTTGAATAACTTGCAAGTCATAGAGCTGGTCCTGTGGGGCAGCCCATCTCTGACACGGGCATAAACACTGTGCTCTGTGACGTGTGGTTGCAGGGGAGAGAGGAGAGGACAGGGGCCAGCCACAGCACCTAACGGCATCTGAATCCCTGAGCAAAGAGGACCTGGCTGCTGCCTGGCATCCACCACCCAGTTCTGGGCACCGCTTTAGCTCAGCAGAGCTGTTATAGCCTGTTGGGGACAGTGGGCTGAAATAATGGGACAAGAAGTGACCAGCGAGGGCCCACTGAGTATTTTGTGGATTCTGGGAATGGGACAGAGTCTGCATCTGAAACGCTCGTTTCCACCTGGCTCACTCCCCTGGGCTTGCCTTCCCACCGGGCCATTCACTTGTCCTACCTGCCTGGTAAATGGGGCCCAGTGGGGCACCAAGCTGACATAGTATGCTCGCATTTGGAATATTTACAGTTGTTTGAAAAAATAGAGGGGATGGAGGCTTTAATGTTCCTTGACTTTAAGGCAGCTACTGCAGGCAGTTTGGAAAATACTACACAGATGGATGACAGAAGGCCAGGCCTTCCCAAGCCTCTGCACTGCACTCCCTCATTGCCACACCTGTTCCTAGGCTAGTCCTTCCCCGACTCAGCTGTTTGTTTTTGCCTCTGCAGGATCATCCCCCATCTTCATGCCCCTGGGGTGACATACAGCACGCTGTCCATGTGAGGTCTCTTCCAGCTGATCCTAAGCATCTTGAAGGCACAGATGAGTCTCTAATGTAGCTGTCTGTCTCCAATGCTGAGAAGTCTCTCAGGCCCACAAAAGACACTTGGTAAATGTGACCCAAATGGCTGCTGGAAGCAAACCTAGGACCTACTAGGTAATTCTGATAAATGCAGCAGGAGGGTTTTGCCTGCATTACAGCAGACTCATAAACGTGGGCAGCTGACAGAGCAGGAGAGTATTTAGAGGTCAATACGGTGGAAGGAAGAGCAGCACGAATCTGAGGAGGCTGTTTGAAGGCCCCACATTATCACAAAAACCATGCCCTTTGCAATTCAGGAGTAGACACTGCTAAGAACAGCCATACGCAATGCCTGCTCCAGGGAGCAGGTGGGCATCAGACGTAATCAATCAAGGGGGGTGACGCAGTGAGAGCTGGAGCCCACGCAGCTTTCGGTCTGGCTGGTGCATGGCTAACCTGTACCTGGACAAGTCATTTAGCCCCAAAAACTCTCCCAGGTAGGTTTTGTTTTTCTCTCCTCCATTTCACAGATGTAGAAACGGAGGCTCAGGGAAGATGCCATTTGCCTACAGTTCCTGGGAGTGGGGAAGCCAGAACTGGAAACAGTCCTCCGTACTCCAGGACCTGTGCTGGCCCACGTTTGGCCAGAGGCCAGCAGTGTCATTGACTCAACAGAAAGGGAGGCTTTTAATGAACAGGGGGTAGGCTTTCTTTATAAAAAGTTTTAATGAGCTATAACTCACATCCCATCCTATTCACGCACTCAAAGTATAAAATTCGATGTTTTGTAGTGTATTGAAAGATGTATGCAAGAATCACTACAATCAATTTTAGAACATTTTCATCCTCTCTAAAAGAAACCCTGTACCCTCGAGCTACCACCCCTCATCCCCCTGTCTTCCCACAGCCCAAAACAACAACTAGTCTACTTTCCATTTCCAAAAACTTCCCTGTCCTGGACATTTCATATGAATAGAATCATATAATAAGTGGTCCTTTGCGTCTGGCTTCTCTCACTTAGCATGTTGTCAAGGTTCATCCATTATCAGTGCTTCATTTTTTTTAAGGCTGAATAATATTCCACTGTATGGATAGGTCCCTTTTTTTTTTTTTTTTTTTTTTTTTGAGACAAAGTCTCGCTCTGTTGCTCAGGCTGGAGTGCAGTGGCGAGATCTTAGCTCACTGAAACGTCCGCCTCCAGGGCTCAAGCAATTCTCCTGCCTCAGCCTCCCTCGTAGCTAGGATTATAGCTCCCCACGACCGTGCCCAGCTAATTTTTGCATTTTTAGTAGAGATGGCGTTTCATCATGTTGGCCAGGCTAGTCTTGAACTCCTGACCTCAGGTGATCCACCCGCCTCGGCCTCCCAAAGTGCTGGGATTACAGGCGTGAGCCACCGCGCCCAGCCATCTAAGTCACATTTTGAGAATCCACTTGTCCGTGGGTGGACAGGCGGGTTGTTCCCACCTTTTGGCTGTTGTGAATTGTGCTGCCATGAACTGTAATGCGCTTGCTGGCCGCCACCATCTGAACCTCCCCTCTGTGCCTGGGACTTTCTCCTAGAACTACTGGGAGGGGACTATTGGGAAGCAGAGCCTACCCCTGTTCAGACAGTGAAAGTGCTTTCCCATCCTCCTTTGCCCCTGGAATGTGGGCTGAGGCCCAGGCTGTGCAGCCACACATCCTGTCCGGGCCTTTGAATCTGGACCTGTGATGCTGAGACGACCACAAAGCAGAGAGAGCTCCTTCTGCAGGCTGTGGTGGGGCTGCCCAGAGGTTGCAGGGGCAGGGCGGTGAGGGCATGTCCTGCCGTCTCTTCAGGGGGCTCTGCGGTAGTCCTGGTGCCTGGCATGGGTTCTGTCCCTGATTCGCTGGTCTTTCAAGTCATTCTGTGGCTACTCGGCATATTTCAACAAATTCCTTTACTGCTTAAATCAGCTGAGTTCAGCTTCTGTTACTATGAAGAACCCCAGATGAATCCTACTTTATGATAAAATCTCACTGTATGTGCCAATGTGTCAGGCAAGCTGGGTTTTGTTTTAACCCGGATTGATTGGTGAAACCTAATGAGAGGCGTGATGAAACGTCCTCCCTGCTGAGCCACCCCCTCCCCTCTGTGAAGAATGTGGAGCAGGGTTCCAGGCACAGAAAAAGATCATCGGAGTCTAGAAAGTTACATCAAGAATGGGAGAATTTTGTAACTTTTTTCCCCTGGCTCATTTGGCCCCCCTCTTCCCCTTCTTCTCCCATATTCTAAGTTCCAAGAGAAAGTTCTACACTCGGACATGCTCGCCATACTCTTATTCAAGGGAATGAAGGAGAAAACGTGAACTGAATTCTAAATATCTGAGAGCCAGTTAGCTGCTCTGCCTTTCTACGACTGAACGTACATCAGAGTTTTAATCCTGATGGCTGCAAAGTGGGTGGGCACGGAGTCAGGGACTATGTTCCCAACGGAGGGGTCATCTGAGTGATTTCTGTGAAATTTAAGCTTAGTTTAATTTGACCATTTTAGCTCAGTCCCCGTCTCACGCTTCTCTTGCGACCAGCACTGAACTTCAAATGACGTCCTTTTCCTAACAGGACAAGCTTGTGTTAGCAGGATGAGCTTCAAACACTTACATTGCTATCTTCCAAAAACTTAAGTGCTTTCGCTATGTTGTTCAACCGAAAAATACGATGCGACGAGGATTTGTATTCGTGCAGCTATAAAACAGAACAGAACAAAACAAGCACATTAAACCCGCACAGGCACTTCCCAACACCCAGCGGTGCTGCTGGGTGTGCTTTACTTTTTTCACATGAATTTCAAGAAAAAGTTAGGGGCTCACAGCTAAAACCCACCTGGAATGCATCCAAACCCACACAGGTGCCTCTCAGGACATACAAATGTGACATCAGAGGGCTCTCAAAGGTCGGCCTTATTTACAGTACTTGGGATTTAACTCGCTGAAGTTGGTGAGTTGGGGGGAACTGAAGTGGGTCAGCAAGGGACAAATTTGTCAATTTTTTTCTCTGGGACCCAGCTCCTGGCTTGTTAGATTCCTCCCTTCTCCTGAGACCCTCCATTACGTGTTCCCTTCGCTAAGCGGCTGCTTTTGTTAGGACAGGGAGCACTAGCTGTCAGCATCACGGCTCAGCTGCTAAATCATCCAGCCGAGGTCCTCCCCAGTGGCGGCAGATGTTTCTGTTTTCTAGCCAAGAGTTTTGTGGACAGTTATCCCAGGTCGAAAGAGAGAAAGAGAGAGAAAGAGAAAGAAAGAGACGTCTGCAGAAGCTAAAACTCTGACAAGGTTAGCTCTACATACCAGGAATACCATCACAGCCAACTCACCCTGAACTGAAGCACACTGACGCTCCTCCAGGTTGGGGGAAGATGGCATTACAAGGCAAACCAGTGGGTCAGCTCCACCAGGTGTGAAGTGCCAGGCCACGCTCATGGGGAAGTGGAGGCCTGTTCTTGGCTGGGCTCCAGAATCAAAGACTCCCCGTGGAGGCCCACCAAGGACACAGCAGCTGGTGACCAGGGCTCTGGCAATAAAGTGGGGAGCCTCTGTGCTGGGAGCATAAACAAGGGACTAGAAGGTACTTTTTCAGGAAGTCTTTTGGGGACCGTGCTCATGGCGAGGCCTCTAAGAAACCAAATACTGTTGAGAGTTCATCACTGAATACTGCGTAGCCCTCTGCGGGTGCCGCTAATAGGTATCTTGTGTTTTGCCATTGGGAAAGCAAAGGTGGGATGGTTAAGAGGTCTGATAAGATACCAGCTACATTATATCTGAGAAGAGAAGCAGGGACTCTTGACTTTAGACCTACAGTTAAGGACAGACCCAGGACGCTCTGTGCTGGCTGAGCTATGGTTTGGTAGAGTTGTGACCCCGTTGCTGCACCTCTGTTTTAGTTAGGCACAATGGGTTGCCAAGGCCAAATCAAACAGTGGACTCTGGAACAGGCTTTCTCAATCTTGACACTTCTACCATTCTGGGCTGGATCAGTTTGCCCCCTCATGGAACATTTCATCATGTCTGGGAGATTGTTAGCTGTCACACCTGGAGGTGATACTGTTGTTTAGCAGTTAGATACTAAATGTCCTGCAATGCACAGGACATCTTCCCATAGCAAGAAACTATGTGACCCAAATGTCAACAGTGCCAAGGCTGAGAAACTCTGCTGTCTGTGAAGAGAACAAGGGCCAATCTGCACACAGCAGAGGGATGCAACATGGAGAAGTCTGGCTAATGTCCAAAGTGGAATGAACGTCAAGACCAGCTGGCTCAACTTCAGTCATACTTAAAAGAATGTTCTAGAAGCCAGCAGTTCTAGGGTGCTTAGCCTTAGGGTGGTTGATAAAAGGCCTTTCTCTTCCAATTTTTCCACTTCTCAGCGATGATTCTAGTTTATATAATGGCTGGCTGGCTAAATTTTAACTGTTTAGTTCTAATCTTAAGCCTTAACAGACTCAAAGAAAACACTGGGCATTTATTCATTTATTTTCTAAAATACATTGGCTTAAAAAAAAAAGTACTAGTTCATTCCACATGACTATATGGCTTGTAGGCACTAATAAAAAAAGTCACCGCTTCAGAGTTTCTTATTATAGGATATGTCCAGGTATTTGTGTTGAAAAGAAAACCTCAGCAGCGTTTTCCTTTGCATTTTCTTTCTTTCTGACCCTTCTGTAACATACGTACCAGATTCCGCCCAGACAGGACTTCTAACAAAGCCATTAGGATTTTGCCATCTTGTATATCGACGAATAAATCTTTAACTTCTAGAGGTGGGTTGCACTTTGAAAGAGAAGGGAAGAAAGTAGCCAATTAGCAACCTGTGTGATCCACAAAGCTATGTCAGAGATGCAGCTTTCTGCTCAAGAGAAAACTTCCAAACATCCAGCTCTGTTTACAGGTAGAAAAGCCCATCCAAGGAGGTAGCAGGCCCATCCCCCTGGAAGTGATACCCAGGCAGCGGTGCACAGCCACAACTTGGCAGGAAGGCTGCAGAGAAGATTCACCAAGAGGGGGCTGATCGACAAGTGGCCCTTGGGGGCCCTTCAAACCGAAGATCTCAGACCCCACGTTTAGATCACATCCACATGCTTAAGGGCAGAAAGAAATGGCATATCTTGACTACATCCTTCTGTAGAATAAAACAATTCTATCAGGGCTTAATGTGAAATTACCTAGTGCAAGCCCTTCATTTTATTTATTTATTTATTTATTTATTTATTTTGAGACAAGAGTCACGCTCTGTCGCCCAGGCTTAGGAGTGCAGTGGCACAATTTTGGCTCACTGCAACCTCCGCCTCCCGGGTTCAAGTGATTCTCCTGCCTCCGCCTCTCGAGGAGCTGGGATTACAGGCAGCTGCCAGCATGACCGGCTAATTTTTGTGGTTTTAGTAGAGATGGGGTTTCACCATGTTGGCCAGTCTGGTCTCGAACTCCTGACCTCAGGTGATCCGCCCGCCTCGGCCTCCCAAAGTGCTGGAATTACAGGCATGAGCCACTGCGCCCGGCCACCCTTCACTTTAGATTGGGGAAACTGAGGCTCAAAGAGGATGAGTGATAGTCGCAGCATTTGGTCAAGCTAGCTGTTTGGTATTGTCCTGTTTCCTGTATCCGGCCACAAGGGCTGAACGCAAGTGTACCCTAGATCCACACAGCAATGACAAGACCCTGGGCCAGTTACTCTCCAGGATTCAATACGGCATCAGTAGGGCTCCCCCATCTCCAAGACTGCTTTAGTCTTCAAGTGTGCCCTCCTGAGGTGCCCGTCATTGCTTCACCAATATTTAGACCAAGTCTGGAGGTGGTGGGACCCTTAGCAGAGGAAGCCAGGAAAGGGGGCTGGTGTGTGAGACTTGGCTAGGAGAGCAGGTGGCTGGCAGGACACAGCTGGCCTGCTGAATGGCTCAATGGTTGGGTGAAGGGAAGAAGGCTTTCCTCACCCCACGTGTGTAGACTTACTAGGAACTCAAAGGTTCAGAGGTCGATTTACATGTCCATGTATATGTGTATGTGTATTTATATGTTTAGGTACAAAAGCAATACAAGCTCATTATTACAAATCTAACTCATTAAAGTTGTACCAAAAAAAAAAAAAAGCTGCATGTTACTCCTCTATTCCTCCACAAAATCCAGCTTCCTGAGATAAATCAACATTGCACCTCACATGAGCCAACGAGAAGCAAGGCCGTTAGACACACCTGAGTTCAAAGCCAGGCTCTACCTTGATAGCAACTTGGCCTTGGGAATGTTCTTTAACCTCCCTGGGCCTAACCTGACCTTGCACACTTGCACAAAGATAGTGTACTTGTCTGCAATGTCAGGTGAGGAATCTGACCCTCGTCAGAGGACTGGGCTGGAATGCAATGAGATCATGCAGGTAGGGAGCCTGGCACAGCCCCCACCTACCCGGCCCATTCCCACCTGCTGACTGCTAAGTGGCATCCTGCCTGCAGAGCCTTGGGATGCCCTCCTCAGGAAGACATTTCATTCAGAGGGTGTATGCCTTGTGGCCATCAGTGGAAGGGAGATGTCCTCAGCTGGCGGCCCCTTTGTAGTGAACGGCTCTTGAAACACCTTCTCTCTGCCCCACTCACTCACTTTCTGGGTTCCCTGGGTCAGTAACAGAAGCCCCAGCCTCAGTTCCCGTAGACTACTTCCTTCTCCCTGAGGGGAAACGCAATTCCCTAAACAGGATCTAGAGTGTGGAGGGGGGCCTGGGAAGGAAAAGAGCCAGAAGCCCCCTGGGCTTTCCTCTCTGGGCCTAGACCTGGGAGGGGTCTGCTGTCCAAGTGAACTGACACTGTTTGGTTCCACACGGTATCTGCTAGGAGCTTGGCTGGACGTGGCCGGGAGTCTGAAGAACTGGCTGGAACTTGTGGGTTAGATGCTCCAGTGTGAGGATTTGCAAACTCTGTTCCCCGGAACCTTAGGCTTCAGCAGAGCAGCTTTAGGACACCCTATAGGGGAGAGGGGGATGGTGGAGGCAGCTGATCCCACTGCACCCGCTTTAATCAGAGAGGCTCAGCTCTTACTGGCCTGTACAGTCACCCCTCAGTATCTATATGGGATCGGTTCCAGGACTTCCCTCAGGTACCAACATCTGCAGATGCTCAAGTCCCTGATATATAATGGCACAGTATTTGTATATAATCTATGCACATCCTCCCATATACTTAAAATCACCTCTAGATTACTTATAATACCTAATTCAGTGTAAATGCAAAGTAAATAGTTGTTATACTCTATCGTTCAGGGAGTAATGACAAGAAGCAACTCTGTACTTGTTTAGTACAGATGCAGTTTTTTTTTTCTGAATATTTTTTATCTGCTGTTGGTTGAAGCCACAGATGTGGAACCCACAGAGAAGGAGGGATGACTACATTTACGGTTCTAGGTAATGCTTTGCTTGAAGAAAGGTTTCTACTGTCTAAACAAGCTTGATAATAACTCCTTTTAATCGCAACAGAATCTCTGGGAGCAGGGTCCAGAAACTTGCATTTTTCTTCTTCTTCTTTTTTTTTTGAGATGAGATCTTGCTCTGTGGCCCAGGCTGGAGTGCAGTGGCATGACCACGGTTCACTGCAGTCTCAAACCCTTAGCTCAAGTGATCCTCCCATCCCAGCCTCTTAAATAGTTGGAACTACAGGCACGTGCCATCACGTCTGGTTAATTTTTTAAACTTTTTGTAGAGATGGAGTCTCTCTGTGTTGCCCAGGCTGGTCTCAAATTCCTGGGCTCATGCGATATCCTCCTGCCTTGGCCTCCCAAAGGGCTGGGATTACAGGCGTGAGCCACCATGACCGGCCGAAACCCGATTCTTAATAAGCTTCCACCCCGGCATGAATTTCCTGTTTACCTTTTTGTACTGGGGGCTTTGGCAAGGTTAGAGCAGCTGGTCTGGGTGCTGTCTCTGCTCCTGGGTACAGGGGAAGGCTGGGCATTCACATGGGAGATAGGATTAATGGGGCATGGAGCTCCTGATGGGAGACAGGATTAATGGGGCATGGAGCTCCTGAGGCCAACGGGAGGGTGGCAGCCATAACCAGCCAGAGACCCAGGGGCAGGAAACAGTGGAACTGTGGCCCAGCCACCCTTTCCCTGTGGGAAAGCCTCCTTCCCGTGGCAGCCGTGGAGGGCCTGTGTTTCATTTTTTATGGAGGAAGGTGGCATTTCCTTACCCTTTATACGAGTCCCTTTACCCCCAGTTAGTCAAAATACAGGGCAATTCCACCCGCAGGTGCACAGAAAAGGGCTTCGCTTCAAGGGCAACAGCGACTTTGAACCAAAAGGCAAATTATTTTCTTTGCAAACTGCCGCAGCTCCTTGGGCACCTTCCACCCTGAGCATGACGGGATCAGGTTACTGAGGCTCTTACGGAAATGTTATTCCTGTTAATGCGAGGCAGAAAACGCGAGACCCGAACGGAATACCCCCTGATAAATGGACTAACAACATTTCCAGTTACCAGCCCCGGCCGTGGCCAAGCCTTACTTCTGAGTTAAACCTGAAGAATAATTTCCATTGACAGTTCCTATAAGAGCCTCAGCAGCAGCAGCAAACAGGGCCTTGGCCGGAGTCCATCCTGCGAGATGGCAGGGGGAGAAATTGAACCTGCGCCAGGGAAAACACTCCTTGGGCCCCAAACGCTCTGTGGGCTTCATGAGATTGGTATGGCCGAATAAACAGCACCCCCAGGGCTTTCTTCATGATCTAACTCCTTCGGTAAATTAAGGAATTTTTCCAGAAGCCAGAGACTCAGTAAATATTTCTGACAGCCTTCAAATTGCAGTTAAGCCCAATTCACCAAGGAGTTCCTGGGTTTCCTTTACATGCAAGGTTGTTCTTGAAAGTCTCAAGGTTGGAAACGTGGCTGTTAATTTTGCCCTGTTTATTAGACATCAGTTTCAGGTGCTATCTGATTTATTTTCAGAGTCGGCGCTACCCACCTGCCCTGAGAAAGGGGCAGGAATTTGACCAGGGAGAAAATCCTTGATATGATAAATGCGAACAGAGGTTCATTTGGGGTGGTGAGTGGGTGCGGGTATATTCACCACGTGACCCTCTGTACTTTTCTGTATTTATTTATTTTAATTTTTTAAAAAAGAAAGAAAGAAATACTCCATGGCTCTAGTGTGTCCCCCAGCAGGAATTTCCAGCTACCCTGACACACATCAGGCATTAATTTAAGAGTTCAGTGATCTCAGGTTTGGGGACAAGTTTTCCTTTTGCTTTTTTCCCCAAAATAACACTTCACTTTAGGAGCATTGCCGAAAATGTGCCAATAATCAAAACAACTGGTTGATGATTTATAAGCTTCATCTGCGATACAATCTTTCACCCGTAGAGTTCAGGATGCTCCTGGGTGAAGTGGTGGCACTGCGTCACATGTTCTACACGTCAGGAGTGGAGGTGTGGGTGGCCGAATGCCTGCTCGGGCAATATCCTAGACCTAAAGATAAACTATGTGAATTAGAATTGAGGTCAAGAGCTCCACTTCCTAAAAGCCACATTTATTTTCTCTGCTTTCTAATCATTTCAGTGATTTCTTCTAAGAACCTTTCTTTTGTGTTAACCATAAAGGCAGTCAATAGTTACTCTTGAACCTTTTGTTTTGTTTTTTGAGACAGGGTCTCGCTCTGCCGCCCAGGCTGGAGTGCAGTGGTGCGATCTCAGCTCACTGCAAACTCCACCTCCTGGGTTCAAGCGATTCTCCAGTCTCAGCCTCCCCAGTAGCTGGGACTACGGGCATGAGCCACCACGCCCAGCTAATTTTTGTATTTTTAGTAGAGACAAGGTTTCACCATGCTGGCCAGGCTGGTCTCAAACTCCTGACCTCAAGTGATCTACCTGCCTCAGCCTCCCAAAGCACTGGGGTTACAGGCATAAGCCACTGTGCCCGGCCTCTCTTGAACCTTTTAAGAGGAGAAGAGAGACGATTACCTACAAACATGAAAGTGGGGTGCTACTAGCTTCAAACAGAATTGAGACTACTTGCTGGATATAGATGGAGAACCAGATAGTGGTGCTTAAGGAGAAAGAGGTGAAGTGAGTAGATAAAAAATCAACTTTCTAAAAAAGAGAAAAATAATCTCTCCTCTCCCAGCCCCAGGCCCACAGTCTTGAGGTCCATCCAACCTCATGCACCAGGAGGGCTGAGATTTCTGCCTGCTCCCATCCCCCTTCTCACCCAGAGCTGTTCATCCCTTCCCATCACTGCCTCTCCTCTGTGGCTCTTCCTTTAGTCTGTTTCAAGTGGGGAGCTGATTCAGCTGCTTTTGTTTTATGGTGTGTGCATGAGATGCTTGCAAACAAAATGCAACTCAAAACAGCCGGGCCAAAGAATGCAAGAAGAGAAAGAAACAGAGGAATAGAAGGGCCACTAAGTTGAATACAGAGGAGAAGCCATGGAAAGTTCAGGAAAGCCACATTATGTCTCCGTGCCTCTGTTTCCTCCTTCTGATAGGAGGGGGGTAATTCAAGTCGTCATGAGGATGACAGGAGACATGGCATGTGTGTGTGGCACTATGCAGGATGCCTGATGCAGAGTGAAGGGGCAGGTAATAATATTATTACTATTATTATTATTAAATAGCAACATTATGTGACTTTAGAAGGAAATCTAGCTTTGCCCAATACCTACAAATGGCTCTTGGCTCTTCACAGATCCCGGGTCTGGCAATCAAGATGCGCACCTGAGTTTCAGGTGTTGGTGTGTTCAATAATGAACGTCTTCCACCATCTGCTCAGATTCCTACTTAAAGACAGACCCTCTCTTTCCTTCCCCTGATAAGAATGATGACCCCAGGAGGGCAGAGCCGTGTCTCAGTCATCTCTTCCCAATCCTGAGCTTGGTAACCGGCAGGGGGAGGCACTTATAAATGTTTAAATGAATGAACAACAGAAAGAGCACAGGTCACCAGCTCCCCCTCCACTCTCTGGAACTGTAAATTCAGTTACAGATGAATCTATCACTTAGCAAACACCCAAGTGCGCCATTACCTTTTCTAGATGTAGATTTATCCATCGTGTAAAGGTCCTCTTCTGCACATTTTCCCTCTCAACTGAAAACAAAGACATACCATCAGCTGGGAGAATAAGAAGTATGTGCAAAATCACACCTTCCCCTTCCCAAGGGGAGATTCTAGGTGGAGGGCAGACAGAACCCCAGGGTGTCCCATGTAAGAACAGAGGCCTTTCTGGAAGGGGTTGGCAACGCCTTACCTGGCACCCACAACCCATGCTCCCCAGCCCAACCCCTGAGCATCTATGTAAACCCACAGATTCAGACACATGGAACAAAATGTTCTCTACAACCCAATTCAAACATTTAGACATCTGACAGTTCAGGCTAAGAAGCACTGGAGACAAAACTACAAATCAACCCCACAAGAGGCTGTAATGGGACTGCATGGTCACCCAGTGGCAGTGATGGGCATGAGGAGATGGGAGAGGGCAGTCAGGGTCGGGGTGGAGTGGAGCCGATAATTAGGAATTGGATAGGGGCTCTGGAATGTGCCACAGTGTGGTGAAAGGGATTGGACAGCCCAAGATCAGACTCTGAGCCCTGTCATCTCCCAGCTTTGTGTGCCCGGGCCAGACCCCCACCCGCATGTCTGATCTGCACATGGAGGATGAGGAGCTCACTCTCCAAGCTGCTCTAAGGATACCCAGGCTCCTGCAGAGCCAACTCCACACAGTCCCTGGCACAGGGGCTGCCAGTGGTTTTTCTTTGTAGCTATTATTTCTAGAGCCAGGGCAGACTTTGCACCCTCCAGGAATAAAGAGTTCTGCAGGCGCTTGCTGCTGAGCCAATGTGAACCGAAGGACATAAACCAGGAATGGACCCCTTCTCCCAGGGGAGAGCATTACCCAAAGAGGCTTCTTAGCAAAGATCTTTCACTGCCAAGGGCGACTGCCATCCGCCAAGCACTCACTGCGTCCCGGACACTTTGTTTCCATTCATCTTTAAACCTTACAACAGGGGTCCCCAACCCCCAGGCCATGGACCAGTACTGGTCCGCGCCTGTTAGGAACTGGCCTGCACAGCAGGTGGTGAGAAGCGAGCATCACGGCCTGAGCTCCGCCTCCTGTCAGATCAACAGAGGCATTAAATCCTCTAACTTTTTTTTTTTTTTTTTTTTTGATACAGAGTCTAGCTCTGTCACCCAGGCTGGAGTGCAGTGACGCAATCTCGGCTCACTACAAGCTCCGCCTCCCGGGTTCATGCCATTCTCCTGCCTCAGCCTCCAGAGTAGCTGGGACTACAGGCGCGCACCACCATGCCTGGCTAATTTTTGTTGTATTTTTAGTAGAGACAGAGTTTCACCATGTTAGCCAGGATGGTCTCGATCTCCTGACCTCGGGATCCGCCCACCTCGGCCTCCCAAAGTACTGGGATTACAGGCGTGAGCCACCGCGCCCAGCCGCATTAAATCCTCATAGGAGCTTGAAAACATCCCCCTCAGCACCCTGTCCATGGAAAAATTTTCTTCCACAAAACTGGTCCCTGGTGCCAAAAAGGCTGGAGACCACTGCCTTACAACACCCCTGCAAAGTACAAACTATTATTTTACAGCTGAACAGAATGCAGCTCAGAGAGGTTCCAGTGACTTGCTCAGCTGAAGAGAGGCAGAGCTGGGAATCCCCATCCAGGTCTGTCAGCCCCACACCAGCCAGAACCCTGGAAATGGAAGGCTTGAGTTTGGATTCCAGCTATTCCAATCATGGCAAAGGTGTCTGCAATAGTCATAACAGTGATTTTTAAAAAAAAGTACCAAGCACTTGCTATATGGCAGGCACTTACCTAGGTAATTTACATGGATTAACTAATTTAATCCTTACTACCATCCTCTGTGGCAGGTGCTATTATGACCTTCAGATGGGACAATCGCGCCCAGGGAGATGTTGTAACTTGTCCAAGGTCACACAATTAATAGTAAGGTTATCATTTCTGTTTTACAGATGAAGAAACGGAGGGGCAAATAGTTAATAAAACAGCCCAGGTGGAACTCCATTCTGTGCTTTTTCTGCTCTCTCCTGAGTTCTGTGGCCTTAGCTGTCTTGGGCCCTCGAGCACCCGGAGGGTGTTTCTGAGATGGGCCCCAGTGCCAGTGTCTGGGTGAGGGTGCGTGGTGGCCTGAGGCTGCAGCCTCCTCGGCTGTGAGCTGCCACGCCTCCAGGAAACTTCCTTCAATATCTGAGCCAGACGGCTCCTCAGCTACTGGATTTCAACATATTGAAAGACCATATCACATATGCCTAAAACGATTCCAAATTTCTTTAGCAATAAGAAAATGAGAGCCAATTGATCTCCTGCAGGAGAGCAAAGCTTATGGATTTCTGTAACAACGGGACTTTTTTCCTCTTGGCCTCATTATTTGGCAGAATGTGGCACCCATAAATCACGTTTCAATATTATGCCTTACAATATTTTTAACTGAAGAACCAGCAGACAGTAATTACGTACATCACTGCTTTTCTCTCAGTTTCCTCCTTTTCTGTAAGGGAGGGTCACTGGCTAATAGGCATAAGAATTAAAGAACGAATTCCAGTAAACTGTGTTTCACGGGTGAGAGGGAAGGGAGAAGGAAAAGAAGTTAATAGAAATGAGGTTGGGAGGAGACATGTGCTGAGACCAGTGAGTACCAGAGTCTTGGAGACTCCCGGAAGCTCAGAGAGTGTCTGTCCCAAGCTCTATCGGAGATCCTTCCACTTTGCAATATGGATCCACTTTATTCTCTCTGATGGCTACAGTGTTTTCCATAGTCTGGTTGTTCCCCCTGTGGATGGACATCAAGACTGCTGCCCATTTTTCACTGTTTCGAGCAATGCAGAAACAAGCATTGTATGAGCATCCTGGTTCTTTGTGCACAAACATATGAATATATTTCTTACCCGTGACAACTAAAAGTGGAACTGCTGGGTCTTAGTGGTAGGCACATTAAAAATTTTAATAGCTACTTCCAAATTGCCCTCCCACAAGGCTGTCCCGGTTTATGCTTTTACCCCCACCTGTCTTTAAACAAGTTTATGGGGACTGTAAAGTATTTACACACACATTCAAACACTCAGGCTGGTTTCTCCATATGGCTTCAGAGAGAGCAAAGTATATCCCCTGAAACAGAAGTGCATTTAGTAAAAGCCTCAGAGAACCTGGGTTAGGCTGCTAGTTTAACTACACTCAAGGGTGTAAATGAGGAGGTGGGTATCTGACAGTCTACACATAACTCATCTATCCATCCATCCATCATCCCTCCATCCACCCATCCATCCATCCACCTACCCATCCATCCATCCAGCCATCCATCTATCCAACCATCCATTTATCCATCCATTCATCCATCTGTCCATCCATCCATTCATCCATCTGTCCATCCATCCATCCATCCATCCAATCATCTGTTCATCCTCCCAGCAGATATTTATGCAGTAATTACCATATTCTGGAAATTATGATAGGCTCTCTGGGCAAAACCAGAGATGAAGAATTAAGCATTCATGGAATCTGCACTCCAAGAATTCACAGCCAAATAAGTAAAAGAGAGAAAACATGGCTGCCACAAGGTGTATATGCAAGGAGAAATGGATTAGAATGCTGAAGGCTGACAGGAACTGGAAAAGGTGACTTCAGACCCCGTGAGGTACTCCTGCAGGGCCCTAAGAGGCTCTGCTGGCAGAATTGGAACAAGGCGGGGGGTGGCCACAGGCAAAGACTCTGTTCTAACCCTGTCCTGATTCAGAGCCAACCCCTCTGGGTGGTTTCACTTCTGCTCTAGCCAAGGCCAGCAGGCTGGCCTGAGCACAAATCAGCTTCAACAGCAAAGCTGACCCACAGAGGCAGATGGGGCTGACAGAAGGACCCCAGGGGACCCTGAGAAAACCACAAATAGCAGACAAGTCCCAAACTGAAGCAGAGTGTGGACACCATGTTATCTGGACCTAAAACTGGGACGCATTGCTCAATACACAGGAGAGACTGCGAGAACTCAAGCCCGCCCCAGAACATCCACTTCAGCGCCACGCACCACTGGCTGGGCGACCTTGGGCACACTTGCAATTTTCAAAACACCTTTGCCTTGGTCTCCCCTCCACAGAATGAGGTTGGCCATGCCTCCCTCACAGGAATGCTACGGAGATTAAATGATATCAGCCCAGAAAGCACCCCCACAGCTGCTGCCGCAAGCAAGGCCAGTTTCCTCCGTCCCCAGGGTCCCCCAGCATTGCTCTGGTCACCGGCGTTTTGACTGGTGTCTCGACACGAAGGTCTGCGGCTCTTTCATGGCCTTCTCCGCTTTGAGACGCCCACCCCCCATCCTGCAGACTCTTGCTACTTCTGGCCTGCCAAGACTCCATAAACTTTATACAGTTTCCATAAATCCAACGGCCCCTTTTTTCCTATCACATTGTAAAGGTGTAGGAAACCATTTCTCTGGAAGGGCCTGGCCTTCTCACAGAGTGTTTGTGGGGCCCGGTGTGGGTTTAATGGGCAAGGATAGAGTCATAAAAGTGCTGTAAAATCGCCATCCCTGGCTCTGCCTGGCTGGCCAGGATGCCCAAGTGCCGGGCCGGGTGGAGGAGCAGAAACTGGCCAGGCCTGGACTCCAGGGGCCGAGACAGAAGGGAGGGAGGCCTGGCCCTGGCTCAGCCGCACCAGCCCAAATTCCTAGGTGTGTCTTTAGCTCTGCTTTGCCAAGAACAGATCACTTGAAAATGGGAGGTGGGACATTCCTCTCTTCTCCAGGCTGTCCGTGGCTGGCTCAGGAGTTCAGAGTCACAGAGAAAGGGATGCACGCATTAGGAGTTAAAATGTTTATTTACAGTTGTGGCTTTTTGTCTCTATGTCCACATTTGCCCCAAATCTACTTTCTACATATTGATAATATTTCTGCTCTTTGTTGCCCAGGAGAAAGTCTTCATGGCTTTATCTGCTCATAAAAAATTATAAGCTCATTGTAAAAAATTAAAATACAGAAAAGCATAGAGAAAAATATCTAAAATTGCTTGACATTTCATTATGCCCAGAGAAAACTCTCTCTCTTTCTCTCTCTCTCACACACACACACACACAGAGCAAGCACATGTACTCATGTATACAATTTAAACGTGATCAGTAAATGGCTCAGAGTTTCTCAACGTGTGGCCCACATGGGTCACTAACGTCATGAGCCTCTGGGATGACAATTAAGATGCCAATTCCTGGACTCCAGACCTACTGCCTCACACTGGGGCCGGGGCCTGGGAATCTGCATTTAGCCAGCTCTCCAGTTGATGAGGATGCACAGTTTGGAAACTTAAATCTTAGCCAGAGGAGATGATTAGCATCATTTTTTGGTCATCTTTGGGTGGGGTAGAGAATGACAATGAGCACCTCAGCCTGGCATAGGACAAAGACCAGGCAGTCTAGAGCCAGACACACAGGCTCCACCACAGACCCCAGGCTTAACAGTCACTTGAAACAATTAAGTGAGATATTGCAAAGGGAATGACTCGTGGGCACTGGGCCAAAAAATGGTCATTTTCTGTCCTTCTTTGTCTAAAGGGCTCTTCCTGACAATGGCCATCGGCAAATGGCTTTAGTCACTGAATTCATACAGTTGGACAGAATCTGATTCTCATGAGAGGTGTTTTGCCTAGGTGGACAGCAGATCAGAATTTCCGCATGGGAGCCGTATTCTTTGACGTCCATCCAGACAGGTCCACCGGGGCCAGTGTTTCCAGCTTCCGAGACGCTGCTTGGGAGAGGGGAGGGAGACAAAGGGGGTGAGACGTGGCTTCATCTCTACACGCGCTCGCCCAGACGTTCGGGCATGCAGGAGGCGGAGGGGTACCAGGCTCCCTGAACCTGCCACCAGGATGGGTGAGCTGCAGCACAGCATGGGGGGCAAAAAGCCCACCTTCCCTCTGCCACCAAGCTGCTGTAGAGAAGGAGACATTTGAATGGGTGAGCCTGCCCTGCCAACCGGGGCAGTGAAGGTCCTCAAGGGAGCTGCTTGACAGCAGCCGCCACTTCCCATGCAATAACTTGTCTCTTCTGTAAGCCTCAAACATTCCTGCGCAGCTGCTCTCATGTGGTCCCCGTTTTACAGGTAAGGAGTCTGAGGCACAGAGAGCTTAGGAACATGGCCGCTCAGTGAAACGCCAGGATTTGAACACGTGACGGCTGAGGTGCTGTGTGGTGCACCTCCCACTGTTCTGCAGCGTCCTGGGGGCATGTGCTCTTCAGCCAGGCGGGGGGTCTCAATGCTCCAAACCCCCCTCCAGGAACTACTCTGGCCTCCCAGCTTTCCTCACCCCATGCCCCCACCCAGAACATCTCGCGCAGCTTGGAATCCCTCAAGGCCTGGCTCTCAACCAGTGGTTCTCAGCCCGGGGTGATGGCTCCCAGGGGACATCCCGCAATGCCTGGAGATGTTTTTGATTGCCACGACTGAGGGGGAGGGGCTGCTGGCACCCAGCGGGCAGAGGCCAGGGGCACTGCTCCACATCCTGCCATGCACGGGACAGCCCCAGATCACACAATGACCCGGCTCAGAGTGGCAACACTGCCAGGGGCAGAGGCCATTGGGGGGCCTGTGTGACTACCCCACACTGATCCTATCTTGACCTTTCTCCCACAGAAGACAGAGAAGAGTTTCAGCAACAGGAGGGCTCTGCCAACAAGCCCCTCTGAGTGACCTTGGACAATGTCAGTTCTGTACTTGGGGCCTCAGTTTGCCTATCTGTACAACAGGGATCATGGTACCCACTTCATGAGGTTGTGAGGACCAAGTTTATTAGCGCTGTCCTTGCCATACCATGTGGGGTTGTGGGAATGGTGTGGGGAGGGGCTGCTGTAGTTATTCGTCAGGCACTAGGCAGCCAGGGAGAGCATGCAAGCAGGTGACAGCAAGAAGGAAGAACAGCTATGACGAGGCCTCTATGGGATAAAGCATCCAAACACCTTGGCACGGGCCAAAGACCTTGGCACATCGTAAGTGCTCAATAGATGCAGCCGTGGCTATGATTGCTCATTTTGGACAAGTTACTGGACTACCCTGTAAAATGGAGATAATAACTCCCTCCTGGGGCTGTTGAAGAGACAATGAAGCCTGTGCACGCCAGGTGCAAAAAAGTTGTGTAGTAAACAGACTAATCTGTTCTTCCAATTTACAGCACATCACGGCCATGCACAGAGGCCCTGCAGATGGGCGGAGTGCCTTTCGCAATCCTCACAAAGCCAAGCGCCTTTAGACAAGTAGACCCGGCACCTGCAGAGGCTGGGAGGAGGCAGCCGGAGTCAGAGCTTGGGGCAGCAGAGAAGGTGGATCCCACCTGAACCCCAGGGGTTATGTGTGTGTGTGCCATGGGGTCACACACTAAGCGCTGGGACAGCATGGTCACGTGGCAGAGAGGGACTGGCTACCCTGGGTTCTCTCTGTTACCACTGGGAGGATCATTTGAGAGCAAAGGTCCCCATCCACTGTCCGGGAGGCCAGGAGAGGGAGGGTGGCAGGAGGCCTCACACTTTGCAACTTTGCTCCAGTTTTGTGCAGAGGGAAGAAGACCTTGGCACCCATCTGCTCCCATGCCCCAGGTGTCATTTCCCAAGAAGCCCAGCGTCTCACAGCCGTCTCGGCACCAGAGGACAGCCGCAGCCCCATGGGTGGCAGGCTCTGGAGGCTTCTCTGATGCTCCCTGGTCTAGAAATCTCTTGCCCAACCTTTTATATAAGTGACCTCCCGAGATGCTTTACATGCACTTGCTCATTCTTGGTCTGAGCTGACCTCTGCTCTCTGGGAAACCCCTTCTCCTCCTTGCCCAAGGATTCCTTTTCTCCATGGCTCAGATTCTTTCTAACTGCAAGCGTCCTTGGCTCACATCAGCCACGCAATCTCACTCCATCAGCTTGAGCGAGCCCCTGTGGATCTTTAAACCAGATGAAAAAACATCTTTCCTCTCTTGAGCCAAGTGAGGCGGCCCAGCCAACTGGCCCACCCTCCGACCACACAATGGCAAGCCCTGCCCCACTGACGGTGTGTAGAGGAGCCAGCCCTCAGACGGCCCCTGCCTGCCCCTCCAGCCCCAACGCTGCCGACTCCCACGGCCCACTGCCACTCCTTACTCCTGGCGTGGCCCAGCCCCGCTTGGTGGTTTCGCTCCTTTCCCCATCTTTCAACACCTCCCAGAAACACAACCTCATTACATGGCCTCATGCTGGTTCACTTGAGAAATAAAACTCAGAAACAAATTAAATGGCAATTTCTTTTTAAACAGGAGAGGGGCCAGGCTTCAGGAATACCAGGCCAACGTCCTTCGGTTCCGACTCTTTGGGGCCACTTCCCCCATCGGCTCTGGCGGTATTAAAGTCAAGGCCTCCATGTGGTTTTTCACCAGCAGTGATTTTGCATTTAATTTCCTTTGTTTTTCCTCCCCTCATGTTTGCTCTGACCCAAGTCCCTTTTATCAAGACTTTGGTAATAAAATGCAAAACCCTCTTTGGGACCATGCGCCAAGCAGCATGCAACTACTACAGGTAAGTGGCAGGCCAAGTCTTGTAGAGGCCCTCCCCCACCCAAATTCTTGGGCTCCTCCACCACCCCCTGCCACCATGCTGACCAGGGAGGCACAGACGGGCATCAGGGCACAGAGTGAGTAACCTGCTCCAGCCGGCACAAACCGGTGGTCTCCCCAATACATGCCCGCAGAGACTCAAATAAAACTGCCAAGCTCACTCTAACTAGGGACTTAAATCCAATTCTCTCACAGGTCCCAGAGGCCACCAATTAACATACCATGTCCTGCCCCACCATGCCCCGCTTCTCAGCTGCTCCAAAACACATAACCCAGGGCTCCAAAGAGCTAGTCCCAATTACACACCAAATTAAGTTTAAGCTATATATATATAGGGCTGGTGCCTATAACTAAAATAGAAAAATAAAACCGCTCTAGTTTTGCTGTGAGTTATTCTGTCTAACCTCAGTGCTAAACCTCAGCCCACCTTGATTTATGACAGGTGACGCCAGCCAGCCATTAAAAACACAAGCTTAGAAAGGGATTTTAACATTCACCCAGATGGGCAGGCCAGGGTGACAGGACCAATCCAGGCAGACTGCCCTGAAGCGCCCGGCTGAAATTGAGACAAGGATTGAAATAGTACTGAACACATCACTCACACACCCAGTTAGCAGACATTGATGACTATACTCAGGCATAAATACTAAGACATAGACCTCATGGGCTTCCTTTGGCAGGTTTGAGAAGAAGGAATGAACGCAGGGAAGGAAGGAGATGGGTAAGAAAATGAAGAAGGAAGGAAGAGAGGGAGGGAAGGAAGGAAAGATGGAATGGAGATAGAAAAGTATTCGCTTTTTACATTCTATAAGGATTCAGCTTCTGGGCCCCTGACCATGATCCCTGGAGGACTAAACTCTCTGTTGAGAACCACAGATTTTGGCGGTTTCTTTTAATCCCAATGTTTTTGTGAAAGTGTTCCGGTTTCTGAATATAAACTCGAGCAACATCTAAAGCAGTGTTTTCCAAGCCATATTCTACAGAGTATGAGTTCTAAAATGCCCCTCCAAAAAGGAAGAGCTTGCTAAGTTTGGAACATATTACACAGTCTGCCCCCTTGCATCATTTATGATCAGTAAATGAGAGGCTCTGATAAGCCCTGCAATGAAGAAATTGGTTTAACTTTGTTTAAACTAAGTGCATTTGAACCCAGACCCCATTTCTGTGTAAAATGAATCGCAACGTTCTTACAGAATCCTGCTTTGGAAATAGTCATGTGCCATATAATGACATTTCAACGATGGACCACATACACAATGGTGTTCCCATGGGATTATAATGGAGCTGTCTTATACAGGTATACCATTCATTATCTTTTATATCTATTTTTTACTGTGCCTCTTCTATGTTTAGATATTGTTTAGATGTGAAAACACTGTTGTGTTACAATTACCTGCAGTATTCAGTACAGTAACAAGCTATACAGGAGTCTAGGAGCAATAGGCTGCACCATAGATCTGAGGTGTGTAGTAGGCTGTACCATCCAGTTTTGTGTAAGCACACTCGACAATGTTTGTACAACAAAATCGCCTAACAGTGCAATTCTCAGGATGTATTCCTGTTGTGAAGCGATGTAGGACTGCACAGAGAAATGTTCATAAATCAGGGGAAGATGACCCACTGGTGCTCACAGCCAGCCATGTGCTTACCAAACCCTACTTCCTTCTCCTTTCTGGCACACAGCGGTGCTACATCTCCCAGCCTCCTATGCAGGGAATGGTGTGGCATGACCAAGTTCCAGCTAGTAGAACATGGGTGGGTTCCAGGTATACCACTTCCAGACATGGCCCCAAACAAAATCCCACACAACCCTCCATGCCTCGTGACCACTGCATGGAAGGACTCCATGGACCTGGAGGGGAGACAGAACCATAAAAGGAAAGGAGTCTGGGGTCCCATGTCTCCCCATGGACAAGGATCACCCAGTAAAGCCATCCAAGGAGGAATACCCTTGCTGGACTGTTGAGTGAGAAATAAATATTCACTGAGTTAAGCCACAGTCACGTGGGGTGGTAATTACAGCAGCTGCCCACCCTGGCTAAAGCCCGCCTTGACTAAGAACTAGGCAAAGCGCAAGGAAGGAAGGGAGGAAATCAACCTTTATAAAGCCTCGTAATTCTCCCAACCACTTCAACAGGTGAGTGGCCATGTTTCCTATGTAGATGAGGAAACTGAGTCTCAGAGAGGGGAAGTGATTGGCCTCAGTAGCTGGTGGTACAGCCAGGAGAGGAGTCTATTCTAGTCACTGTGAGCCAAGCCCCTCCATGGCACCTTGCCGGGCTGCTTGAACCCCTTCAAAGCAAACATCTTGGAGAAGGCCCTTTGTGAAGTATCTGTTTCATGCCTGGATTGGCTCAAGTGCGGAAGAAAGGTGTGATCTGTTGTGTTGTCCCTTAGGAACAGAGCTTGACAGGCCTAGCAAGAAGAATTAGCTTGACCTCTTGTGTTCAGTTATTTAAAAAAAAAAAGTGAAAAACACACAACCTCATACAAATGACCCTGATTTGCATTTTTAAGCCCATCTGTCTTTAATAAAACCCCACACTCACCCTGTAAACATCCGTGTTTTTAAGTGCATGGAAAGGCCAATCAGCTGGGAGATGATCTAGTATTATGGTGACCAACTGTCCGGATTTGCCTGGGACTGAAGGGCCTCCTGGGGCATGGGACATTTGGGGCTCAAACTGGGAAAGTCCTAGGTAAACCAGGACAAGTGGGCCACTCTGGCTAGGAGTCAGCTACTATGTCCAGGAGAGCATGCCCCAGGGGGAAAGCAGCTGGGACAGGCAGAACTGGATTCACATGAAAAACAAAGAGAAAGGCAAGGCGGTTAATATTTGCTTTCAATGCAAGGGGCAAAACAAACCCAGAAATTCCCATTTGCAACTTCTACCTGCCAACAAAAAGTGACAACAGCATGAACTGAAGTTTCTACCCTGAGCAGGAGAGGTAAAGACTGGAAACTATGATGAAGAAAGGCAAGAGGTGTCAAGTTCTCCTGGAGCTGGAAGTGTCACCAACATTTTGTGTTAATTAGCACAAGAGAGACCAGAGGCTGCGTAAGCTGGAGCCAGGAGACTGAGCTATGACAATGTGACAATACCAATGCTGCAGACACCAACTGATCCTTCTGAAATGCATTCATTTGAAAACAAACAAAAGTTATCTATATATACAAACTGTCTAAATGTATACACTCATGCACGCCTGTGTGTGTGCGTGTGTGTATATGGAACACACACGCACGCACACTCTCGCCGTAATGTCAACCACCTTCAACCTTTTCAAGGAAGTCTGGTCACCAGAGTACCCGAAGGGATTTTTGTTATTACAAGGTCTCCCTAATGCCACAGACCCAATAGCTCAGACCTCAAGAACCAGACTGTGACATTGAGGTCGAAGTTGGATCATTGTTCCTGGGCAGAAACCCTGTAGGTTACAAACGCCAGTTCTGCAATCTTAAAAAACCCACTTGGATTACACCTGTGATTCTCAGTCCTGGGTGCACATGATGGTCATCTGGGGAAATTTGAAAAAAAAAAATTGAGGTGCCTGGGTCCCATTCTAGACTAAGTGAATTTGAATCCTAGGGGTGGGGACTCAGGCATTTCTTTTCTTTTTTCTTTTTCTTTTTTTTTTTTTTTTTTTTTTTTTTGAGATGGAGTCAGGCTCTGTTGCCCAGGCTGGAGTGCAGTGGCGCAGTCTCAGCTCACTGCAACCTCCACCTTCCAGGTTCAAGCGATTCTCCTGCCTCAGCCTCCCGAGCATCTGGGATTACAGGCATGCACCGCCATGCCTGGCTAATTTTTTGTATTTCTAGTAGAGATGGGGTTTCACCATGTTGGCCAGGCTGGTCTCGAGCTCCTGACCTCAAGTGATCCACCTGCCTTGGCCTCCCAAAGTGCTGGGATTACAGGCATGAGCCACCATGCCCAGCCTGGCATCTCTTTTTCTTTTTTTTTGAGACGGAGTCTCGCTCTGTCGCCAGGCTGGAGTGCAGTGACATGATCTCGGCTCACTGCAACAACATCCACCTCCACAGTTCAAGTGATTCTCCTGCCTCAGCCTCCCAAGTAGCTGGGACTACAGGCGCATGCCACCATGTCCGGCTCATTTTTTGTATTTTTAGTAGAGACAGGGTTTCACTATATAGGCCAAGATGGTCTCGAACTCCAGACCTCGTGATCCGCCCACCTTGGCCTCCCAAAGTGCTGGGATTACAGGCATGAGCCACCACGCCCAGCCTGGCATCTCTATTTTTAATGTACCCCAGGTGATTCTGACACTGAGCCAGGGCTGAGAACCACTGCCCTAAGCTAGAGGTTGGCAATTTTTTTTCTGTTAAGGGCCACATAGTAAATGTTGCAGACTTTGAAGGCCCTATGGTCTTTGTCATATAGAGTCAAGTCATCATCATGGTGTGAAAGCTGCCAAAACACTGCATAAATGGGTATGGCTGTGTTATAACAAAACTTTCTTTGTATGATCAAGTGGTGGGCCTACTTTGCCAAACCCTGCTGTAGACTCCATAAGATTCACTGCCTGATTTAAGCAGGCATTTTAGATTCTTCTGGTGTCCTTACCGCTCATGGCCCAACTTTTAAGATTTTAAGATCCAGTTTTGGGCTTCAGAAGGAAAGATTTGTTTGCATTCTCTTTACTGTTATGAGAAAATCAAAGAGCAGTGGTGGATTGATGGGGTGATAGGTGTGTGTGTTGGGGGTAGGTCTGTGGGAACTAGAAAAGGCAGAAGTGTTTGTTACTTGCAAGTCAGGGAGCCCTACTTGAATTTTCTCCCGCCATCACCAAAACCAGTACTGAAAATCACATTTGGGCAACCATGCTTTTAAATAATTATTGCCTCTGTTTTCCTTCTTCAACAACTGACCTTTTCAAATCCAGTCCTAGCACTCACTCCTCCCTCACCTAACCCCTACTAAAATTTTTCCTTTGTTTGAAGAATCCAGGGGAGCATGGAGAAGAAAAATGATTCCTTGATTTTTTTTTCGGTAAAGTTTAAATAGAAATAGGTGAAAAAAAATCCAAGGTAAAATTTTTCAATAGATCAAATTTTGTTCAAGGAGAGTAATCTCCTCTATTTTTTTTTTTTTTTTTAGCACCAAAGAACCCAGAATTACTCTGCTTATTGGAGCACTCGACAATCCAGTTTTCTGACTGGAGAGGCCTTTCAGTAAAAGCAGCTTCTGATATGGTTTGGATTTGTGTCCCCACCCAAATCTCATGTCAAATTGTGATCCCTAATGTTGGAGGTGGGGCCTGGTGGGAGGTGATTGCACCACAGGGGTGATTTCTTTTGAATAGTTTAGCACCATTCCTTTGGTGCTGTTCTCTCAATAGAGTTCTCACGAGATCTGGTTGTTTAAAGGCGTGTAGCACCTTCCCCCTCTCTCTTTTCCTCTTGCACCAGCCATGTAAGAGGTACTTGCTTCCCCTTCGCCTTCTACCATGATTGTAAGATTCCTGTGGCCTCCCCAGCCATGCTTCCTATACAGCCTGCAGAACCATGAGCCAATTAAACCTCTTTTCTTTATAAATTACCCAATCTCAGGTATTTCTTTACAGTAGTGCGAGAACAGACTAATACAGCTTCTCATCCAACACTGTCATCAAGGCAGTCAGCCAGAGTCTACTTGAATGCCTCCCGGGATGAGGTGCTCAGTACCTATTCAGGTAGCCTGTTCCACAGTTGGGCAGCTCTAGTAGCCTAATTTTCAGATACTGAACTGAAACCTGTCACCCTCACACTCCCAATTATTGGTCCTAGTTGTGCCCGTTGAGTTTTCTCCTTATCCACAAGACAAGCTTTGAGATACTGGAAACCTGATTGTGGGTGCCTCTGGTCAAACATTTCTAGTTCCTCCAAAACTTAACATCGCATAGAAAAACTAAGAACGCACAGAAACACTCTACATCAGATGATTCTGACAGGGAAGTCTTGAGAAATGTTTTTCAGGCTGCTAAAAAATCCAGTACAATGGAAGGTTTTGTTACTTTTGTTGAAAGACTACTATAATTCTTCCCTCTATATATGCTATGAAAACTGTTCTTTGACACAGGTTTGTTAGGGGTCAATTTTTACGTGAAGATGAACCCGTGCATCTATGCAGGAGATGAGAACACACTAGTGCGCTAAAAGAAGGACATATCATATCACTAACAGATCCCCTTCCAATGGGGATCACTAACAGATCCCCTTCCAATGGGGGCTGCTGCAAATATTCAGGATTTCCCCTTTGGGGCAACAGGAATCTCATAACCACCTACAGTTCCTTTTTCACTTTGCTGTCAGGAAATTCATCCTTGAACTTGAAGTCCACCTTTAGCATATATACACATATATGTGTATACACACACACACACACACACACATAAGGATCTAAATCAATGAATATTTTCATGAAAATTTAGGTTCAAGGAAGGTTAATATCTAAATATTTGGGCCACATTCTCACTCATTTGCTAAAGGTGGACTTCAAGTTCAAGGATGAATTTCCTGACCGCAAAGTGAAAAAGGAACTGTAACTGGTTATATTATATATATATATATATATAATATATATATATATTATATATATATATATATTATATATATATATTATATATATATATATAATATATATATATATATTATATATATATAGTTTTGTTTTGTTTTATTTTATTTTATGGGTCAGGTAAGCTACCTCAAATGTCCAAGAATGTAGAGTATAATAATGAACAAGTGAACACATGAATGAGTGAATGCATAAGTAGGCAGAATGTCTTATAAATCTTTGTATCTTGCCCCCTCCCAGTGCCTGGTGTGTAAGTACAGATGCGTGATGGATGGACGGATGGATGGATGGATGGATGGATAGGTGGATGGGTGGGTAGATGGATGGATGGATAGGTAGATGGATGAATGGATAGGTGGATGGAGAGATGGATGGATGAATGGATGGGTGGGTGGATGGATGGATGAATGAATGGATAGGTGGATGGGTGAGTGGGTGGATGGATGGATGGATGAATGGATAGGTAGATGGATAGATGGATGGGTGGGTGGGTGGGTGGATGGATGGATGGATGGATGGATGGATAGGTGGATGGATAAATGGATGGGTGGATGGATGGATGAATGAATGAATGGATAGGTGGGTGGGTGGTTGGATTATTGGATGGATGGATGGATGGACGGATGGATGGATAGGTGGGTGGGTGGGTGGATTGCTGGATGGATGGATGCATGGATGGATGGATGGATGGATGGACACACGGATGAATGGATGGATGGATGGATGGATGGATGGATGGATGGAAAGCCCACTCCCTTTTCTACTCTTTGCATTTGGCCTCCAAACGCACCATGCCCATTATGATATTCCCTCGTATTAATCATGACTTTTTATTTTTTGCATATTCTGATGTTGTGACATCTGGGACTCTGCTAATACTAAATAAGCTGCTGCTCCCAGAGCTGACTGATTCCTAGCAATAGCACACAACTCACAAGAAACATGCTTTTCATATGAAAACCGAACAATCCAGAGCCCACACCTTTCCCTTCCTCTATCAGGCTATTATACTTTGAGACAATGTTTCCTGCCCTAATTACCTCAGGGCCAGGCCAGGAAACTAGGGACAGCCCCTATGCTCAGAGCCTGCTGAAATCACTCAAACTACCAATCCTAAACCTGCTGAACCTGCCTCTCCCATTCCTTCCTGTGAAAACCACAAGAAAGGTTCTTGTCCATCTTTCTTCTCTCTCCTTTTGCCACTTAATGGGCCGTGGGGCTTCCCATGGGGCCCTGCATGGTGTGGCACCCCCCTCCTCTTGGGAACTGTGAGTAACAAACTATTTTTTTGAGATGGAGTCTCGCTCTGTCGCCCAGGCTGGAGTGCAGTGGCGCCATCTTGGCTCACTGCAAGCTCCACCTCCCGGGTTCATGCCATTCTCTTGCCTCAGCCTCCCAAGTAGCTGGGAGTAGAGGCGCCCACCACCACGCCAGCTAATTTTTTGTATTTTTGGTAGAGGTGGGGTTTCACTGTGTTAGCCAGGATGGTTTCAATCTCCTGACCTCGTGATCCTCCTGCCTCAGCCACCCAAAGTGCAGGAACTACAGGCGTGAGCCACGGCACCTGGCCACAAACTGTTTTTTAAAATGGAAGTTGTCTCCTGATCTGTGGGCCTCACCATAGCTGAATTATAATAAAACCCACATTTTAAAATATCCCTGCCCCCAAATTCTTATAGAGTTTAGATCACTCATTTCCCAGCTGCAACCTTAACTGCTACTCTGTGAATCTAACCTCATCAATTCTAGGAACAAAATCTAGGTCTTCTCCCTCTTTGCACCTGCCCCCTGGACTCCCAGAGTTGCTGTTCACAGTACTGATCAGGCTGTTAATGTCAGTGACATCACCAGACAGAATTCACAGGCCAGAACCATGACAGCCTGGGTGAAGGTACTCAGGAATCAGTGTGGGACCCAGCAGTGTGCCAGCCCAAGGGGCCTTCTGAACATCCATCCCTGATTGGATGGGTCACTATGGCTATATTGGTGGAATTCTGACCTGGAATGAAGTCCCTACATGGTGCTTTTCTGGCACTGAGCCACTGTGAAGGGATTTCACCCAGGCCAGCATTTTCTATGCCTAGGTTCAGGTATCCAGGGAACTTCCCTGGCTACATAATGAGCAGCAGATGTACACATGCTTGGCCAAGGCTCAGCCATCTTGGCATTTAAATGGTCAATTAAGGTGCTGCATCTGATTGGCCCCTGGGAAGAAAAGAGGTGCTGTGCCGCATGGTGCCATCAGGCATGAAGGAACCTCCCTGAGTCGAGAGGCTGCTGGTTGTCGGATCTCTGCTGCACAGCTCCATGTCTTTTGGGCTTCCTCTTTGCTCTGCACTGTGCACACTTCATCCTTTACTCTGACCCAGCCAACCCAGGAGACAGGCACTATCATTATGGTGTGCACACCAGAAGGGTCTGCAGACCCACTTTTGTATAAGGATGTCTCCTCCCTTACCACTGATCCACGTGGTAAGAGCACTGGGACCCTGGCAGCCAACAATGTGGTCAATGGATCAGGGTTGCACCTGAATCCATTCCTTGGAAATTCAGAATGGGACTATGATTCTGGACTCCAACTGACTGGTCCTTCGAATCAAAGGGATGGTGTGCAGGCCATTAGCTGCTACGTGGACTGGAGAGCAAAGACTAGTGAGGAAGGAAGAAAGAGAGAGACATAGAGATGAGAGAAGAGGAGAGAGAGAAAAAGAGAGAGAAGGAGAGAGAGAGAAAGCATGCAAAAGAGAGACCTGTTCTGGCCAGTTCCTGAGGCCCCACTACACCCTAACCCTTGGGTTTATGCAACTCTGCTACTCTTAAAGTAAATCCAACTTTTTAATGGTGCTCTCATGGGTTTCTGTTGGTTACAATTAAAAGCAGCTCAACTAATTTCTTCAATAAGCAAACTGCAAATGAAAAAAAAAAAAGAGGAAAGAGGGGAAAAGAAACTTGTCAAGAGAGGCTTAAGAGACACACCAGCTCGTTGCAATGTATGGGCTTTGATTCAGACAATTTTTTAAAATATTTTAAAAAATCATTGTATTCTGAAAGTTTGAAAACATAACTAAAATTCTTAAGAAAATATAAAATGCCAAAATTAGGGCAAGAAGAATTGGGAAATTTTAAATAAACCAATGAATGTTAAAAACAGCAACATAGAGACCTTGACTCAAATATTTCTGATCCCCATCTTGCAGCTGTGCTAACCAAGGCACAGAGACGTTAGGTTACCCATCGAAGAAATGAGAGCGAGGTTTGAACCCCAGGCCTGGCCCTAAAGCTCACATCCCTAACCATTACACAGTACTGTCCGTTGACCTCGTCCCTGACCAGGACACCAGATGTCACTCATAGCATGTCCCAGTAAACCACAAGGAAATCATTAGCAGAAGTATTCCAAGTCCTTCCAAATTAGGTCACCACCCCCTGCAATGCTGCCTGCCACCTTGGAGGGTCCCTCTGCAGATGGATGCGTGCTTTTGGTGGTTATTTGCAATTTCAAATATTTTAGTCAGTTCTTCCCTTCTGCAAGGGAAGAATCCTGTCTTCAAAGTCTAAATGCCATAAAAGGGCTTCCCTGCATAAACAAGCCTGCAGTGGGGGGAACTGGAATAGGAAACAACGTTTTTATCATAAGCTTGCCTGTATATTTTTTCTACCATAAGTATATATTTGATAAAAGTTTTATGTTTTATTTACAAAAAATTACTATGTACCCTGTACATAGTGCAGCATTTCTGATCTTCTGTCTTCAACACCAATCGGGGGAAATATTTACAAATGTTATATTTGACAAGAAAATTTTCTTTGTACAAAATGAGTGGGTATCTACAGTAGAACAAAATTGAAAATTACAACAGAAAAAAAGGCACATGGATTAAATTATTCTATGACAAATGATTTCCTTTCATTCTTCCTTCTACGTTTGTTGCATTTTTGATGGCTTAACACTATTTTGACCACATTGTGTGTGCACCAGTAAGGTATGCTGCATAGTGGACACAGCTGGCTGCCTGCCCAATATCTTTTCTCGCCTTTCCTGAATGGTAGCCGTTGTCACTGCTATTTATCTTGCTTCCTCTTCATCACTGCATGTTGAGCAGATAACTTGTCTTTTAGTTGATTAGCACAAGGAACCAGACACATTCAAACCTGGTGGGAAACTGGCACAGTCCTGCCCGATCCTGGACTTTGCACCCTAGCTGCAATAACATAATGAAACTTTGTAGCCCTCTCCCTTGGGAAGAAGGTGAGTCATGTCTGTGTATTGGAAAAGGGTATGTACAAATATCTTGGGAAGCTAATGGGGTGGACCGAGACAGATGCTGCTGGTTGCCTCCCCAATATCCATTTTCCCCTTCTTTCTAACAAACAGAATCCCAATTTCTTTCCTTTTCTTTTTCTTTTTTTTTTGAGATGGAGTCTCCCTCTGTCGCCCAGGCTGGAGTGCAGTGGTGCGATCTCAGCTCACTGCAACCTCCGCCTTCCGGATTCAAGCAATTCTCCTGCCTCAGCCTCCCAAGTAGCTGGGACTACAGGCGTGCACCATCACACCCAGCTAATTTTTTTTGTATTTTCAGTACAGACGGGGTTTCACTGTGTTAGCCAGGGTGGTCTTGATCTCCTGACTTCATGATCTGCCCACTCAGAACCCAATTTCAAGTTAGCAATCTTCCTGGTTTAAAAACAACCATTTCCCAGCCTTCTTGCACTCAGAGGTAGCCATGTAACAAAGTTTGGCCAAGGAGCTGGGAGTGGAACTCAGGGAGTAGGGGTTCCAGGAATGCTTTTTAAAAGGGGGCAGACAATGCTGGTGTGTGCCCCCGTTCCCATTCCTTTAATCTGCCTTCCCAAAACAAAGGTGCGAAGCTGGATTACACAACCGCCACTGCTAAGAATGACTGAGCAGTGAACAGAGGTAGCTGGTTCCTGAATGGCCCTACTGGGCCCCAGAACTGGGCCAGGCTGTCTCTCTCTGGGCTTATTTGTATATGATCAAGAAATCCTCTTTGATGAAGCCATTGTAAGTCAAGTTTTTGTTACTTGCAGGTGAACGATAAAATAGACATCCTTGTGTTATTACAAACCCATCATGTGTGACGGTAAACAGAATGCTTACTCAACCATATCCCAATTGTTGGATATTTCAGCTAGTTCCAATGTTTTTTTCCTGCTGCTATACATACTTCAGTAATAAGCATTTTATGCATAAATGCCTGTGGGTACTTGCAATTCTATAGCACTTTACAATCTGCAAAACTCTTCCAACTCCATTCTCTCATGAAGCCAGAGAAAAATAATTCAAGATAAGATGGCTCGGCAGACAAATAACAGGCAACAGGCTCTCTGGGATGTGTTCTTCCCTCTGTTATGTTGCCCCACATGTAACTTCTTCACAAAAAGCCATGCAGTGTTCATAAATATTGGCGGCTGAGCCAAAAGCAAGAAATGCAAAACAATTACACATCCTGAAGAGCTACAGAGCATGTCATCCAGGTTCTAAAACCCTGCAGATTAACTCTATTGGAGGTCACCCCGTTAAGTCAGGAAGCCTGTCTCTTACTTCAGGTACAAAGAATGAACGAATGCAGGGGACTAAGGCATAAACAAGGGCTCATGAATACTGTATATTGCTTGGGGCCTCTGAAAAACATAGGGGGACTGGCCCAAAGCCTCAAGATGATGAGCTACATGTTTGCATGTGGGAGCTGGGAGGGGAGGAGAATGGAAAGGACAAGCACTAGAAAAGGTGGCAAGGACTAGGAGATCTTGCAAAGGTATTAGGAGAGGGCTGGTTCTTAACGACAGTACAGGAAATCTGCTCCAGGGACCACCTGGAGCCAAACATCACCTCCTCTAACCTCTGGATTTCCTGAGTGCACTTTTTATTTCCCATGTGGTATGGAATACGCATTTGGCGTCTGCACTCAATGATCTCATGTGTGTGTGTAATGGGGGGTGGGTGTCGCAGGGCCAAAGGCAACGTCCATCTTCTTGGTTCTTAGACAATGATGATAAAACCACCACCCACCATCCTGCATTCTAAGAAAGCTTTGTGCCTCTGCATGTGATATTCATTTTGTGGATGGGATCCAATCATTCTGGCTGTGAATCGAATCCCATATTCTCACCGGCCAACCCTATAAAATCAGAGATGTAGTAAAAGGGACTCGTCTCCTAGTCAAGTGGTCTTTGCACTCTTTAAAACACATTTGTTCCCTACTTGTCCGATTCTGAATGTCTTCGATTGTATAAATACAATTCTTTTGTTACAGAACGAGGACGACCTAGCATCTGAATCAAAAAGGTCATTGTATACCCTTGAGTGTGAAAACTAGGAACCTGTATTTATTAAGTTCTGTGCATGGCTCTGGGCACTTGAGAGATAGGTATTATTATCTCTGTTTTGTAGAGGAGGAAACTGAGGCTCAGAAAGGTAAAGGAATTTTATGCTCAGGGTCACACACATAAAAATGATATTCTCAATGTCTTAGAAAGATTGGCTGTAATTCTGGGAACATGCAGTGTCACAGGGAGAATTGTGGGGCCTTTGCTGGTGAACAGCACCTCTTCCCATTGTTCAACTGTCTCTTTTGTTGGAGTGCTGGAGCTCCTCAGAGCCTAGTGGTTTTCTGAGACACATTCCCTTCCTTTTACTTATTCTCATAGCTCCAGGCACAGGTTCTAAACTTGGGTCCAAGGACCCGAGCCAGGCCTGGGGTCTCTTTATGCAGAGATGAGTTTTCTGCACTCAGCCCCCATGGAGGAGAAGGATTAGCGAGGCAAAGCCCAACTTGATTGAAAAATAACTTCCCTGCAGACCACTTTATGGCTCTGCGCCTCTTCCTTCCAGTCCTGCTGGGTCTGGGCCCAAGACCGTGGACTCGGGGTGGTCCTTCCTTCTCCAAGGGGCCGGAAATTACCAAAGGAGCAACAGGGGGTGCTGAGTGTGCCAGCTGAAGTCGGGCAGCAACTAATTAATGTTTTAAAAATTTAAAAACCAAAGCAACCAGGGGTCAAGTGCAGGCCCTCAGAACCAGGCTGCCTGGCCTCGACCATTTACCAGCTCTGAGAGGGTGGGAAAGCTGCTCCCCCTCACTGTCCCCATACGGAAAGTGGGGATAATGAGAGCCCACAGCATTGCAGGGTTGCCTTGAAGATAAAATGAGAGCTGGTATTTACAAAGTGCTTGGAATCTGACACGTGGCAGTGAACAAAGATTGGACAGTGCCAGCCCTGCATCTGAATGAGCACCTTGAATGTTCACCCATCAGTCCAAGCAAGACTCATTGCTTACGAGTAGCTGAGAGACATCTGGTCTGCGCCCTTGGCTTCTGGTGGGTAATTTATGTCACATTTGAGAAGAGTTCTGACTACGAAGGACCTTAGTGTGGGAATGGCTACACCCAACAGGCTTAGGGTGGGGACTGGCCGCCAATCCAGAAAGACCTGCCCTGTGATTTAGAGTGGAGGTTTTAAGGTCACACAGTCTCAGGAGTCCTGGAGACTGAGTTCAACCACCCAAGCAATCAATCAATCATCAGCCATGCCTCTGTAATGAAGCCCCAGTGGAAACCCAAGTGAGTCTCCCCAGTTGGCAATATTCAGTGAGTGCTGTCACGTGTGATGCCGGGAGGGTAAAGCATCCTGCCCCCATGGGGAGGACACATGGGGAGCTTTGCATCGGGAACCCTTCCAGTCTTGCCCTACGCATCTCTTGCTTGCATTGATTTTAATCTGAAGCCATGCCCTGGAATAAGCCGTAACTGTGAAGTATAACAGTGTTCAGTGAGTTCACTGAGTACTTCTGATGGAATGATAGAAACTGAGGGTGATTTTAGGAACCCCCCTGAACTTGCAGTTGGTGCCAGAAACAAGAGTGGTCTTGTGTGGACCTTGGCAATTTGGCAAACTCCAGGCATCTTCCCCTCCAAAAACCCTCCTGAGCTCCATGCCCACTGTGGCCCCTGACCACCCACATTGGAAAGGACAAAGGAACTGAGGAAGGAAGCTTCTGCCTGCACGAAGTGGAGTTCTTTCTATAAATTAGCTCATGGATGCCTCGGTTTATACATCTGTAAAATGGGACTCACAGCGCTTACCCCTCCAGGTTGTAACTTGCCCAAGATCTCACAGTCAGGGAGCAAGAGCACAGGGTTCCGCTCCATGGCCTGAGTACTGTGCCCAGTCCACATAACCTCCTAAGGGTTAAGGCCAGCTTGGTGGTGAGACAGTTCCCCTCAGGAAGGACGGCTCATTCACACAGGAAATGACATCTTTAGCATCACAATTACAAATATGGATCAAGTCTCGCATGCAGGGAATGCAGGGAGATGGAGGACAGTGTCACCTAATATGGCCCAGTCATGTCATAAGAATGACCTGGGAGGCTCATTAACACAGTGTTTTTTTGTTTTTTTGTTTTTTTTTTTTTGAGACAGAGTCTCTCTCTGTTGCCCAGGCTGGAGTGCAGTGGCGCGATCTCGGCTCACTGCAAGCTCCGCCTCCCGGGTTCACGCCATTCTCCTGCCTCAGCCTCCCCAGTAGCTGGGACTACAGGTGCCCGCCACCACTCCTGGCTAATTTTTTTTGTATTTTTAGTAGAAACGGGGTTTCACCATGTTAGCCAGGATGGTCTCGATCTCCTGACCTCCTGATCCGCCCGCCTCGGCCTCTCAAAGTGCTGGGATTACAGGCGTGAGCCACTGCACAAGGCCCATTAACACAGTTTTTTAGGCCCAGGACCTGACTGAAAAGATCCAAATGCCAACTGGAGAAGCCTGGGAATCTGTATGTTTAATAGCTCACTGTGGGCCAATTCTACCCATGGGCAGATCCGAGAACCCCTGTCAAGATGGAAAGGGCCTGGGGTCCCCTCCTAGCAGCACCACTGTTGTGTGAGTCTCAGAGTCTCAGGTCTGGACCTTTGTCCCCATCTATGTAACGGGGGTGATGATCCCAGCTGTCCTTTCTCACCCATCGTGCAGTTGTGAGGATGATGTGCTTGGGGCAGACCCAGCCCCACCCATGACCCAGGAGCCAAGGCCACCCCCCAAGGTCAGCAGTGTATAGCACTCACTAGACAGCGGGTGCAGCCAGTTCTGCTAGGACGGCGGTTAGAAAATGCAAATTGGTTCCAAAGCATTTGACATAGTAGGGAAAAATTTAAGCATGACATAAACTTGGCATTTGCTGATGTACAATTTCATTCCTGAGAAACACTAGATGGGCATAGAATTCATAAAGCTCTGCACCCAGCTGACGAGCAGAGTGGAGCTGTGTAGAATATACCCTGCTCCCAACATACCGAAGCCTCGTGCACACACACTTGGACGTCCACCAGCCCCCTTGGCTCCCTGCGTGCGTTATGAGGCACCCCATCCATATCAAATCCTGTGACGTGTTATGGGCTGAACGGTGTTCTCCCCCACCCTCCCACAATCCAGATGTTCAAGTCCTAACCCAAGGAGCCAGAATGTGACAATACTATTCAAGATAGGATCTTTTTAAAATTTTTTTGAGATGGAGTCTTGCTCTGTCACCCAGGCTGGAGTGCAGTGGTGCAATTACGGCTCACTGCAGCCTCAACTTCCCAGGGCTTAAGTGATCCGCTGGACTCAGCCTCCCCAGTAGCCAGGTGTGTGCCACTATGCCTGGCTAATTTAAAATAGTTTCTTTTGTAGAGACAGGGTCTCGCTATGTTGACTAGGCTGGTTTTGAACTCCTGGGTTCAAGTGATCCTCCCACCTTGCTGGGATTGAGCCACCCCACCTGGCCTGGAGCTAGGATCTTTAAAGAGGTGATTAAGTTAAAACGAGGCCTTTCGCATTTGCTCTAATCCAACCTGACAGTGTTCTTATAAGAAGAGGACAATTGAACACTCCAGGAAACACCAGGGGTGCATGCACAGAGAGGGATGACCATGAGAGGAGGGGCAGGGGACGGCCATCTGCAAGCCAAGGAGAGCGCTTCAGAGGAAGCCCCCTGCCGGCACCTTGATCCTGGACTTCCAGCCTCCAGCACTATAGGAAAATACATTTCTGTTGGTTAAGCCACCCAACCTGGGGTACAGTAGTTCCCCCCATCTGCAGTTTCAGTTTCTGTGACTTCAGTTGCTAGCAGTCATCTGGGGTCTGAAAATAGGTGAGTATGGTGCAAGAAGATGTTCTGAGAGAGAGGGTGAGAACATTCACCTGACTTTCATTACAGGGTCTTGTTATCATTGATTTTATTAGTCATTGTTGTTAATCTCTCACTGTGCCTAATTTATAAATTGAACTTTATCATACATATGTATGTGCAGGAAAAAGCATAGTACATATAGGGTTCGGCACTATCTGCAGTTTCAAGCATCCCTGGGGGCTCTTGGAACGCATCCCCTGCAGAGAAGGAGGCAGTAGGGTACTTGTTCCAGCAGCCTTAGCAAATGAATACACAGCTTTCTGTCTGATTTCCATCGGGTCACCTTCCTTCCACCCTTTCACAATTCACAAGCCACACCCCTCCCACGCCCACTTCAGGAGCAAGCTTCAGGCCTTCCTCAAGTCAGTGCCGTATTTAGTGTAGCACTGACGCATTTCTTAACCACTCAACAGTTCTATTGTTTTTACTAGGTTCCCATGTTTTTTTAATGCATCCCTCATGAAGTTTTTGAGTGCTGCACTCCAGTGTTATTTTCCCTTATTTTTGTGCATGAGTGTGGCGATGTTTAGGAGCACATGTACCATGTTATAGCAGAACTGACAGTACTAGTATAAGCTCTTTGCCTAAATTAATTCCTTTAATCCGTATTCTTTTAACCCTATGAGGCAGCTACTATCCTTATCCCCATTTTACAAATGAGGAAACTGAGGCACAGAAAGCTTAACGAACTTGCCTGCAGTCATACAGCTAGAAGTGGGCAGAATGGTAATTTGAGCCCAAGTTCTGAACCACTGGGCTACAGGGTAGTTACATGGGTGGGCATATGGGGTACAATGCCCCCACACTGTCCTCGCCACGGGCACACCCAACCGAGGCCCGCCACCCACTCCTCGGCACCCAGTTGGGAAGGACTTCACAGCACTCCCTGCCTCCTTTAAAACCCAGTTCTATTCACAAAAGAGCACAGACTGATCAGGCTTCATGAATGTTTAATGGGATGGAACCCTCCTTGTTTTGTCAGCAACAATGAATCTTGGCTGAGGAAATTGCTACCAACGACACTGTGACTCAACAGATAATTGCAGTGCTTGACACTGAGAAGCACTCTAACTCCTTCTTTGTGAACACGTTTTGACACAGTTTGCTCCCTGTGAAGGAGCTGGCCTCCTGGAGTACCTCCCACCTGCTGCTGGGCCCACGGCAGGGTAACTGCCACCAGCTTGCTGAGTGTGGCTCTGCACAACCGCCTCGTCAATACCCATCCCACGTGGAACTGTGCAAGACACTTACATGACCAGAAAGAAGACCAGGTGACTCCTGGCTAGAGTCCTTCATTTGTTCATTTCAAAACGAAACTGAACATGGCGTGTGTCTAGGCTGGGATGGGAGAGAAATTGCCAAATGTAGGGCCCTGGTCCACATTGCACCGGGAAAACAGACATGGGGAAACTGGGGATGGCAGGAGAAGAGCTGTCAGTGGACAGGGCCACTAAGCCTCCTGGGTCAGGGGCAGAATTGGAGCAGGAGCTTGAAGGCCCCATGCGGTGTTAGCAGATAGGGAAAAGGAGAGGGCATTCTCCATGTTGGGAACAGCAAGGGCAAAGGCTGGGTGGCATCTAATGATGAATGATGTGTTCTGAGACTGGTTAAGCCCACGCTCCTTGACAGACAGGAGGGGGACACAGAGGAGGGAGAGGCGCTTTGATGAGACAGCCTTAAATGCCACCCAGGGGTTTCTTCAGACCAAAAATATTTAATACGACGAGGCCCATTATCCATAAAGCTTCGTTAAATTAGAATGCGTGATCTTTCATCCTGGGTTGACGTTTGCACGAGTTAAGTCGGAGAAGGCAAAGGTAAGGGCAAAATGCATTATTTACACTTTGCATCGAAACAACGGTCGAGAGCCTGCTGTCAACCGCCCGCTGCATCTAGACGGGGACCTGTTTGTTACTGTTTTTATTCATTTCCCTCTTAATTAATCCTCTGCAAATAACAGATTTACATCATTCTGTTGGAGTTGAAGGATCCCAACTGTAAATGAAGGTGTCTATTCATTGACATAGACCCTGCAGGAGCCATTTGTTTTGTTCATAGAATAATTATCTACTTAACTGTTAACAATATTTTAACAGAATCTCATTAATTCAAATTAAACTCTTTCAATTAACTTGTATTATTTAAGGGCCTGGGTGGGACGGCACGCAAGCTTGCATTTCTGAAGCCAGGCAGTGGGCTAAAGGTGCTCAGGCACACACCTGGTTTAATTCTTTCAACGACAACGTGTTCAAACTCCCTTGTCTTGCAGCCTGCCTCTTTGCTCTCACACCCCAGCCACGTGGCTATGCGGGGTGCGGAGCTACCATGTTCTAGTAAGACTTCCAAGTCCTAGGCCTTGTCTCTGCCGCATCTCAGCACCCTGGTCCTCCCAGTCCCAGTTGGACTGACTTAGAGGACGCAGGACCTATGCTGAGCCTCTTCCCTGAGAGATTTGGACTCAGGACTGAAGCCATGAGACCAGAACTTGGGGGTTAAAGGAGGCCTCATTTCCCGCTTGGTAGAGAAAGTCGGTCCAGACAATAAGAGAGAACTGGACAGACTGTAGAGAGGGGCAGAGGCAAAAGTACAAGAGTCAGCTATGGTGTGTGTGAAGTGTGTGGTGTGTGTACATGTGGGGGCTGTGGGCATGAGTGTGGTGCGAGTGTGCAGAATAGGTGGTATGCGTGAGGTGTGTGTGCTTGTGTGGGGTGTGGGGAATGTGTATTCAGCACATGTGCAGTGTTTATGTGTGTTTGTGTGGGGATATGATATGCGTGTAGTGTTGTGTATATGTGGGGTGTGTGTATATGTATGCATAGTGCATATGATGTGGTGTGTGTGGTGTGCATGGTGTGTACATATGTATGATGTATATGTATGTATCTGTGACATGTGGGGGCGTGTGTGTGGTGTGTGTGTGGTGTATGTGTGTGTGTGGGGTGTGTGTATGTGTATGTGTGGTGTGTGGTGTATGGTATGTTTGTGTGGGGGTGTGTATATGTGTATGTGTGGTGTGTGTGTGATCTGTGTGGTGTGTGTAGAGGATGTGTTTGTATGTGTGGTGTGGTTGTGTGTGGAGGGTGTGTTTGTGTGTGGTATATGCATCTGTGGTGTGTGTGTTGAGGGTGTGTATGTGTGGTGTGTGATGTGTGCGGAGGATGTGTTTGTATGTGTGGTGTGGTTGTGTGTGAAGGGTATGTGTATGTGGTGTGTATGTATCTGTGGTATATGTGCGGAAGGTGTGTATGTGTGGTGTGTGGTGTGTGTGTGGAGGGTGTGTGTATGTGGAGATATGTGTATATGTGTGGTGTGTGGTTGTGTGTGGAGGGTGTGTTTGTGTGTGGTATGTGTATGTATCTGTGGTGTGTGTGTGGTATGTGTATGTATCTGTGGTGTGTGTGTGGAGGGTGTGTATGTGTGGTGTGGTTGTATGTGGAAGGTGTGTTTGTGTGTGGTATGTGTATGTATCTGTGGTGTGTGTGTGGTATGTGTATGTATCTGTGGTGTGTGTGTGGAGGGTGTGTGTGTATGTGGAGGATATGTGTATATGTGTGGTTTGTGAGTGAATGGAGTATGTGTTTGTGTGTATGGTGTGTGGTGTGTGTGCGTGGAGAGTGTGTTTGTATGTATGTGTGATATGTGTTGTGTGTGTTTGTGTGGTGTGGTGTGTGGAGAATGTGTTTGTATGTATGTGTGATATGTGTTGTGTGTTTATGTGTGCTGTGGTGTGCTATGTGCATCTGTGTGTGTGAAGTGGGGTGTGCACTCAGGGAGTTGGTGCTGCATGGCAGGCTGGAGCGGAGAGCTGTGCCGGCCAGCAGGGCTAGGAAAGCAGTGGGCCGGCCTCCTAGTGTCAGAGGTATAGACAACCACTGCTCTTCCCCAATGTCAGTGGGAATGGAGGGGTAAACACATATGTTTGGTTGGGAGATGCGACAGAGCTGACAGCAGGCTGGACCCTGGCCGTCCACTGGCTCCCCACTCACCAGGCCTGACCTTGGGCACCAGAACGGAGAAGGAAATGTGCGTGGACAAACCTCCGGGTTACCAGAATGTGCACTTTATGAGGACACGGAGGAAACCCCCACCCACCTCTTCCTGGGCCCCTCCTGGAGTTTCAAGAAACATCTGGGAGGAAACGAGACAGGCTGTAGTTCCCACAGAGCTGCTGGGAGCAGGCCAGGGAAACGAGATCTTGATCTGTTTGGGAATCCTGTTTTTGTGCCTGGTTGGGGGCTAGGAGAGGAGATCACTTGCACAGGGCCCACCCCCACCCCCAGGTGGGACCAGCACAGGGCAGATACCTGTTCTGAACTATGGGCATCTGCTGTTGAGTTCACTGAGCACAAAAGTAATGACATGCAAACTCAAAACCATGGCATGCATAACCCCTCAAAGGTTCTTCTTCACTCAGGACTCTTCAGCATTAAAATGCATGGCCAGCTGCACCTGCGTTTCCTCTCCCCACACCCACCTGGACGGCTATTCCCTTGCGCTTGGTGGCTCCTGAATATGCCTGCTTGCCTGGGGCTCCAGGCCTTTGCACACGCTGTTCCTGCTGTCTGGCACTCTCTCCCTGCACTTCTCCACCTGCTCGTCAAATTCCTCTGGCTGCCCTCCCTAAGATAGGGGTGGCACTTCCTTTCCACTCCCTGCTATTGCAGCACCCACGACTCTGCATCCTCCTGTGGGCATCTGGCACATGGCAGGTGTTCAGTAAGCATATCATTCATTCATTCATTCTGTCCTGCATATTGGTTCACTAGAAGAATGGATCAAAAAGCCAGGCGCAGTGGCTCACGCCTGTAATCCCAGCACTTTGGGAGGCCGAGGCAGGCAGATCACGAGGTCAGGAGATCGAGACCATCCTGGCTAACACGGTGAAACCCCATCTCTACTAAAAATACAAAAAAATTAGCTGGGCGAGGTGGCGGGCGCCTGTAGTCGCAGCTACTCGGGAGGCTGAGGCAGGAGAATGGTGTGAACCCAGAAAGCGGAGCTTTCAGTGAGCCGAGATGGCGCCACTGCACTCCAGCCTGGGCAACAGAGCCAGACTCTGTCTAAAAAAAAAAAAAAGAATGGATCCAACAAACAAATTACTGAATAAAATGTTTGTTGAAAGAATCAAGCACTTACAATATTGCCTGCTATGAGTGGAGACGTTATCTTAGACACATCCTTAGTCTTCAGGGAGCTTGTGATTTTGACACACAATAACAGAAGGCTTGTGGGAAGTGTGACTAATATCTTACAGTCCATGTCAAATGTGAAATCAATGGTAAACACAATACATATTGTGGGGTGAGTTGGTGTGGGTGGGAAACGATCCTTGGAGGCTGGTGTGACCATGGGAGGCTTCCTGGTGGAAGTGTCTTTGACTCAGGTATTGAGTGACTACACAACCCAGTTTATCTCCATTGTCCAAATGAAATACAGTTGATTCTCATCATTCACAGTATGATATTCTATGAAGTTGTGGTCAACCCTGACTTGTGAATACTGAATCATTGTTTTTGTGGAAATACAGTATTAGGTTCCTGCAAACCTCTGGTTACAAATTTTTTCCAACCAACCAATACATACCCTTGACTCTTGTTTCATGTGTGTTTCTGTCTAAGGAGACTTTATTGAATATGCATTGATGACTCACTAACACTGAACTCATGGCCAACAGCGCTGTAACTCATCCCTGAACGAAGCTTACTGAACACATGTATTTTCTCCGCAAGGAACGTCAGAGCCTTTCTGCACTTCCGGACTCTGACTGGGGGCTGTTTTAAACGGCAAGATCACCGAGAGAAAGCACACAAATGCAAAAAAAAAAAAAAAAGTGGCACTAAGTAAGCTGTGGAAAGGACACTTATTTATAGTTTGAGAGCTGAAGCAGAAGGCCGAGGCCCATTGCCTCGTTTCACCTCCGCTGGGAACGTGCGCGTCTGGCTGCTCAGACTTTATGCCGCTTTGCGCACCTCCGTGAAAGACGAGCACTGATTGTGGAGACACAAATACATTTCAGAGAGTGGGTGAATTCCCGGATTCTGTCTTTGTAAACTGGTCTACTCTCTAAAATGGATTTGTAGCTACAAATGTCATGTTACTGCCATGGTTTTTGCATTTTTGTAGTTTCTCCTGGGCATCTTGCTATCTAAAACGGCCCTCAGGTATAGTGCTGAAGTGCAGAAAGGCTGCAATATTCCCTGCAGAGAAAATACACTTATCAGGGAATGGAATGGAATGAGCAGTCACTCTCAGCAGTGAGAGTCACCAGTTTTAGAGGACCTGTGCCTCTGCATTGCGACCTGGAGACCACACAACTGCTGTCGGGAAGGATGGCTCTTCCAAGCCTGGCCTTCCCAAGATGCCCACAGGTCCACCCGCTCCTCTCATCTGCCCATTGGGCAGTTATGCCCCAGATGACATGGGGATCCCCACAGCCCATGCCCCCCTGCAGCAAGAACCTGGAAGTCATCACTGGCTTCTGCGTCCCTGGCCTCTATGAGTATCCATCAGCCTCACTCAGAGGGAATGAGTCCTGACAACCTGCGAGCAGCTTTGTCCCCCAGATGCCTGTCCTGGAAATTTTTCCTCCAAGCGGCAGCTTGGCTCTGGGCTCAGGAGGGCCCGCATCAAAGGCCTGGCTGTGCCTGGCTGACAGGCGCTGGGGCTGGGCCAGCGTCCACGCCTGTATTCCCAAATGCTCCCAAACATCCTGGCAAATCAATCTGAACTCTCCACGTGTCTCCCCACATCGTTTGGACAGCCAGCAACCCGATGTCATCACCTGTTCAAAAGCATTAAAGCTATTCTCAGAGCTGGGCTCCAGGGGACTCTCACTGAGCTGATGTTTTCTCAGAGCCCTGTACCTGCGCTGGGGTTCACTGAGTTTTTGGCCTGGCTACTGAAAACCACTCTGCCAGCTGTTCTGTTCAACAGAAGAACAACAAAATAAATACATTCCCAGTGACCAGAGGACAACTCAGCAAGCAGCGACCTGAAAAATAATCTAGAACAAGCAAAGAGTCAACCAAAAGATATCCACGTGACATTTATGAAATGCCTAATAAAAATAGCTACCACTTCTGCAGCACTTGTTATGTGTCAGGCAGGCACTGTGCTTAGGGCTTTAGAGACAGTATCGTATCCAATCTTGGTAAGTTCAAGGTAGGGCCTACTCTTTTTCCCATTTCATTTATTTATTTATTTTTGAGACAGGATCTTACTCTATTGTCCAGGCTGGAGTATAGTGGTGTGATCATGGCTCACTGCAGCCTCATCCTCTCCAGGCTCAAGTGATCCTTCCACCTCAGCCTTCCGAGTAGCTGGGACTACAGGTATGTGCCACCATGCCCGGCTAATTTTTGTATTTTTTCTAGAAACAGGGTCTCCCTATGTTGCCCAGTCTGGTCTCAAACTCCTGGATTCAAGCAATCCTCCTGCCTTGACCTCCAAAGTACTGGGGTTTCAGGCATGAGCTACTGTGCCCAGCCTCCCCATTTTCTGGATGAGAAAGTTGGCCTCAGAGAGTCAAGTCATGTGTCCAAGGCCACGCAGCTTGTTCTTCTGGGAGGTAGGAGCAAAACTAGGCCATGGTCTCAGAGCACAGCTCTTAACCACCCTGCAGTGACAGTGGCTCCCAGGCTCAGCCTGTGCCACCCAAACCAACTGCCCAGCGCATATGTGGCTCCCTGTATTAGTCTGTTCTCATGCTGCTAATAAAGACATACCCGAGACTGGCTAATTTATAAAGGAAATAAGTTTAATTGACTCACAGTTCAGTATGGCGGAGGAGGCCTCAGGAAACTTACAATCATGGTGGAAGGTGAAGGAGAAGCAAATACGTCCTCTTCACGTGGCAGCAGCAAGGAGAAGTGCCAAACAAAGGGGAAAAGACCCCTTATAAAACCATCAGATCTCATGATAACTCTCTCACTATCAGGAGAACAGCATGGGGGTAACTGCTCCCATGATTCAATTACCTCCCGCCAGGTTGGTCCCATGGCACGTGGGGATTATGGGAACTACAATTCAAGATGAGATCTGGGTGGGGACACAGCCAAACCCTATTACCCACTGGGGTCTGGCACCTACAAGCCTGAAAGATCCAGACACTGATGAGGGAATGAAGTAGCCACATCCACCTAGCAAAAGGGTTCCGGTGTGACCCAGGAAAAGGAGCGGGAGGCATCTGCCCACTTCACCTCAATGCAGGAGTTTGGCAATGGAGCCCTAAACGTTACTTGGAATATGAATTCACAGGTAGCATAACTGGATGTTCCAGCTGGAAGGGCATGAGACAGGCTTTGCAGAGCCTAGAGCAGCCAAAGAGATGAGGTGGGGGTGGCTGGGAGAAGAAAGGAAACCTCGGATACATTTTGTAAGTTGTGCCTCAATTTTCTGGAAAATGGGGATAATGGCAGTGCCCACCTTGGGGGGTTGTTGTGAGGATTAAATGAGTTAGTGCCTGTGAAGAACTCACACAAGTGACTGGCACAGCAAATGCCCAGTGAGTGTCGGTTATGGTCATTGTCACTAGTATCATCATGACCTCAGACCCTCTGAGTCCGGATTCATGACCACCATTCCCAACTTGGTATTCAACACACCTACCTTATTACTTTGCACCTTATTACTTTATTTATTTATTTATTTATTTATTTATTTATTTATTTATTTATTTGAGACAGGGTCTCACTCTGTCACCCAGGCTGGACTGCAGTGGCACCATCTCAGCTCACACTGCAGCCCTGACCTCCTGGGTTCCAGCGATCCTCCCACCTTAGCCTCCTGAGTAGCTGGAACTACAGGCATGCATCAATATGCCTGGCTAATTTTTGTAATTTTTGTACAGCTAGGATTTCACTATGTTGCCCAGGCTGGAACTCCTGGGCTCAAGCAATCTGCCTGCCTTGGCCTCCCAAAGTGCTGAGATTATAGGCATGAGCCACTGTGCCGGACCCCTGCATCTTATTTTAATAAATCCTCAGCCAGCCTTGTGACCTCGGAGTGCCAGAACTGGATTCGAGGCCCCACTTAGCAGCTGTACAACCCTGGGTTAGTCCCGTAAAACATTCAGTCTTTAAGCTCAGGGAGAATCACAAATCCACCATGCTCAGTACAGAGGGCTCAATAAATGGCTAGTGTGTTTACAAGACCACAGAGGCGCGCAGAAGCTAAGGTTACACTACTAGAAAATGAAGGAGGAAAGACTCACATCCAGGCCTCCCAGGGTCCATGCCCTTCACAGGAAAGCCCCCACTTCTATGAGCATGTTTAGAATAAACACAGTGTGATGGTTACTTTTATGTGTCAACGTGACCAGGCAATGGCACCCAGAGATGTGGTCAAACATTATTCTAGATGTTTCTGTGAAGTCGTTTTTTAGGTAAGATTAACATCTAAATCACACTTTGAAGGCTGGGCGCAGTGGCTCACACCTATAATCCCAGCTCTTTGGGAGGGCAAGGCAGGAGGATCACTTGAATCCAGGAGTTTGAGACCAGCCTGGGCAACATGGATCTACCAAAACACCGTCAGATCTCATGATAACTCTCCATCTCTACCAAAAAAAAAAAAAAAAATTAGCCAGGTGTGGTTGCAGTGGCTCATGTCTATAATCCTAGCACTTTGAGAGGCCAAGGCAGGAGGACTGTTTGAGCCCATGAGTTTGAGACCACCACATGCCAAAACCCTGTCTCTACAAAAAAAATACAAAAATTAGCCAGGCATGGTGGTGCATGCCTGTAGTCCCAGCTGCTCTGGGAGGGTGAGGCTGAGAGGGTCTCAGCCTGGGAGGCAGAGGTTGCAGTGAGCCGAGACTGTGCCACAGCACTGCAGCCTGGGTGAAAGAGTGAGACTCTGAATCAAAAAAAAAAAAATCCCCAGCTGACTTTGAGAAAAGCAGACGGCCCTCCATCAAATGTGGGTGGGCTCCATCTAATCAGTTAAAGCCTTAACACAAAGCGTGACCTCCTCTGAGCAAGAAGGAATTCTGCCAGCAGGTGCCTTCAGACTTAAACTGCAACTTTTCCTTGCGTCTCCAGCCTGCTGACCTACCTTACTGACTTTGATCTCGCCAAACTCCACAATTGCATAAACCAATTCCCTAAAATAAGTGTCTTTCTCTGTATGTAGACTCATCCTCTTGGCTGTTTCTCTGGAGACCCCTGACTAATATGCATAGGTATGACTCCTGGCACAGTGCGTGCTACAAAGAGGAGAAGGCACTACCTGTGAATCAGACCATCTGTGAGTATTTGCAATTGCCCAACCATATCAATTTCTCACTTTCACTTCCTGGTGAGTCATATTCCGAGCAGCTGGCTAGGATCAGAAGAAACAAGGCATTCTTTTCATGCTCAGACAGAGCCCTGTTGAACGTTTACCTTCCTGAAGAAGGCAGAAAGAGGAAGGGCCTCCTAGTGACATTCTCCAGCCTTGAGGAAGAAGAAAATTCTGATTTAATGAGCTTGAGTTTGAATGTAATCAGATTTTCTCTATAGCAACAGCTCCACAACACAATCCTCTTGGCAGCTGCAACAACCAGCCATCTCCTGATGAAACCAGACATCTCACACACGGGCCACTGGAGAAGCCACCGTCGAGGCACAAGATGCCAGAGGATGGGACCACCCCACCTGGTCATCAGCTTTAGATTTGAGTGGGAGTAAGCAGGTAGTGCCACAGTCCTTTGATTTGGGAATTTACAAATGCGTATCTAAAAGTATGCTTCCCCTGAATTGAAAGTCTTTCCTCTAAGATCTGGAACGAGACAAGGATGTCCACTGTCATTACTTTTATTCAGCATAGTACTGGAAGTCCTAGCTAGAGCAATTAGGCAAAAGAAAGAAACGAAGGGCATCCAAATGGAAAACGAAGTCAAGTTATCCTTGTCTTTAAATATAAAACAACATAATCTTGCATTTAGAAAAACCTAAAGACTCCACCAAAAAATGTTAGAACTGATAAATTCAGTAAAGTTGTAGAATACAAAACCAACATACAAAAATCAGTAGCATTTATATGACGAAAGCAAACAATCTGAAAAAGAAATCAAGAAAGCAATCCCATTTACAATAGCTATAAAAATATAAAATACCTAGGTATAGATTTTGCCAAGTGAAAGATGGCTACAAGGAAAACTATAAAACACTGATGAAAGAAACTGAAGAAGACAAAACAATGGAAAGATATTCCATGTTCATGGATTGGAAGAATTAATATATTAAAATGTCAAGATCACCCAAAGTGATTTACAGACTCAGTGCAATCCCTATCAAAATACCAATGACTTTCTTCATGGAAATATAAAAAAATTCTAAAATTTCTAAAAATTCACAAAAGACCCTGAATAGCCAACGCACTCTTAAGCAAAAAGAACACAGTTGGAGGCATCACACTATCTGACTTCAAAATACAGTACAAAGCCAAGTAACCAAAACAGCATGGTAACTGGCATAAAAAAAGACACAAAGACCAATGAAACAGAATAGAGAACCCAGAAATAAATCATGAATTTACAGCCAACTTATTTTTGACAAAGGGGCCAAAATGGGGAAAGGGCAGTCTCTTTAATAAGTGGTGCTGGGAAAATTGCATAACCATATGCCAAAGAATAAAGCTAGACTCCTATTTCTGAGCATACAAAAATCAAATCAAAATGAACTAAAGACTTTAAGACCTAAAACTATGAACCCACTAAAAGAAAACATTGAGGAAATGCTCCAGGACATTGGTTTGGGCAAAGATTTTTTGAAAAAGACCTTAAAAGAACAGGGAACAAAAGAAAAAATAGACAATTGGGATCACATCAAGCTAAAAAGCTTCTTCACAGCAAAGGAAACAATCAACAAAGTGAAGAGACAACATACAGAATGGGAGAAAATATTTGCAAACCATCCATCTGATAAGGGATTAATAACAAGAATATGCAAAGAACTCAAACACCCCAACAGAAAAAGAAACCCCCAAGTAATCCAATTATAAAATGGGCAAAGGACACAAGTAGACATTTCTTAAGAGAATACATACAAACGGCCAACAGGCATATGAATAAAGTGCTCAACATCACTAATCATCAGGGAAACGCAAATTGAAACCACAGTGAGATATCATCTCACCCCAGTTAAAATGGCTCTTAACCAAAAGACAGGAAATAACGGATGCTGGTGAGAATGTGGAGAAAGGGGAGCCCTCATACACTGTTGCTAGAATGTAAATTAACACAGCCACTATGAAGATTCGTCAAAAAACTAAAAATAGAAGTACCTTATGATCCAGCAATCCCACAACTGGGTAAATATCCAAAACAAAGGAAGTCAATACATCAAAGAAATATCTACACTCTCATATTTATTTCAGCACTATTCACAATAGCCAAAATATGGAATCAACCTACGTGCCCATCCACAGATAAATGAATAAAGAAAATGTGCTATATATACACACAATGGAATATTATTCGGCCATAAAAAAGAAATCCTGTCGGTTGCAGCAATATGGATGAAACTGGAGATCATTATGTTAAGTTAAACAACCAGGCATAAAAAGACAAATATCACATGTTCTCACTCATGTGTGGGAGCTAAGAAAGGATCTCATGAAAATAGAAAATGAATTTATGGTTATCAGAGGCCAGGAAGGAGAGAGGGGAGAGGGGATGAAGAGAAGTTGATTAATGGGTATAAAAATTCCGTTGGATAAAAGGAATAAGACCTAGTGTTCAATAGTTCAGTACAGTGACTATGGTTGATAATAATCTCTTATATATTTCAAAATAGCTAGAAGAGAAAAATTTGAAGCACAAAGAGAAGATAAATGTTTGAGGTGATGGATACCCCAATTGCCCCGGTTTGATCATTATACATTATATGAATATATCAAAATATTGCACATACCCTGAAAATATGTGTATCGTTTATGTAACAATTTTGTAAAAATAATAAATGAACTATCTGTATGTGCAATACCTTGGATGTATCTGAAGGGAATTATGCTATGTAAAAAAAAAAAAAAAAGCCAATCTCAAATGATTACACCACCATGATTCTTACTGATACAACATTCTTGAAATGACAGAATTCTAGAGTTGGAAACTGGATTTGAAGTTGCTGGGGGTAGTGACTGAGAAGGAAGGGTGGGGGCATGACTATAAAAGGGAACCACAACTAATCCTTTTGATGGAACTTTCTTCATCTTGACTGCCATGGTGGTCACACAAATCTACATAGGTGCTAAGATTTCCTAGAACTAAACACACAAGCACATAGATGAGTCCATAAGCAGCTGGTGACATCTGAACCAGCTGGAGGGATTGTGTCCAGTTCTTCCTCCTGGCTGTGATACTGCACTGTAGCTATGAAAGAGGTTACCACTGCAGAAACTAGTGAGGGTATACTGGGACCTCTCTCTCTCTCTCTCTTTTTTTTTTTTTTTTTTTTTTTTTTTTAGACAGAGTCTCACTCTGTCGCCCAGGCTGGAGTGCAGTGGCACAATCTTGGCTCACTGCAACCTCCACCTCCCAGGTTCAAGTGATTTTCCTGCCTCAGCCTCCCGAGTAGCTGGGACTACAGGCACGTGCCACCATACCGAGCTAATTTTTGTATTTTTAGCAGAGACAGGGTTTCACCATATTAGCCAGGCTGGTCTTGAACTCCTGATCTCGTGATCCGCCGCCTCAGCCTCCCAAAGTGCTGGGATTACAGGCGTGAGCCACCGCACTTGGCTATGTCTTACAACCATATGTAAATCAACAATAATCTCAAAATGAAAGGTTAAAAATAATAAAAACTCTTCATCCACCAAGACGTTAATCAAATATATGCCTGTGCTTATATTTAGTTTTAATTATTGTCAGACATAACATCCTTTTTGTATTCTTAATGTTTTATGAGCATTACAATAAAAAATCTTATGATTTCTACTGTGTTATATATGAATGTATTAAACAATTACATGTAAAATATCTTTATGTATTTTCACATTTCTATCTTTACCTCATTTATTTTTATATGATATTCAATATGAGTATAATATCATTGTTCTTCAAATGGGAAAATAATATGCTTCACCTCTGAGTGGTACATCTACGGAAAGGTGGTCAGATGGCCAGACCCAAGTCACAGCTAAAAGGGCTTTCCCCAGCTCATGAGCTGTGACAAGGTCATTGTGCTTTATGTTCATATTTGGCCTTTTGAGTCTCAATGGACTCCTGCTTGACAGTAATTGACACCTTGGTTGCGGCCCATAGGCTCTGCCAACCTGAACCCCACCAGGCTCCTTCCTGGATGCCCAAGCCCCAGCATCAGCCTGGCTGACCCCAGCTGCCTGGCACCAAAGGCTCCCACTGGCCCCCACAGCATGGAGATACTGCTGGGAGGTAACCATATCTCCAGGGTCCTGACTCTAGGTGGGTCACATGATGAATTCTGGACACTGGAATGGGAGGTAAGGGGTGTGTGTCCTCTCCGGCCTGGCCCCTGCACCTCACATGAGCTCCTCCCCCACCCCAATCCACAGGCTGGAGGTTGGTGCCTGTCCCTGCATGCCCCTGCAGTGGACTTCATGAGAGAGAAAATTAACTTCTACTATGTTAAACCACCGCGATTCGGAGACTCAGCTAGCGTTCCCTTAACAACACACTTCCATTTTAGGAATAAGAAAACAGAACCTAAGAAGGTAAAATGGCTTGGCCAGGGTCAGACAGCCAGGGAGGGGAAGAGCCAGGGCCAGGACTCGGGCACTTAGCAGGGAATCTCCTCCCACGATGTGCCATGTCTGCCTGCCAAGCTATGGTCCAGTTCATGCTGTCTTTGTTGACCATCTCCCCATCCATCACCTCATTCAATTTTTAAAGGAAATTCTATTAAAAATAACTTATTTCCCAAGCCAAGTGCCTCACTCATTTTTTTTTAAGATATAATTCACATGCAATATAATACACCTATTTAAAGCCCATAGCTCAGTGGTATCTAGTCTATGCACAGAGTTGTATAACCATACCACAATCTAATTTTAGAACACACTCACCAAAAATACATTCGATTACCCATTAGCTGTCATTCTCCATTCTCCACCTTCCCCTCAGCAGCTTCAGGCAAACACTAATAGACCTTCTAGCTCCATTGATCTGGAACATTTCATATAAATGGAATCATATAATATGTGGCCTTTTGGACTGGCTTCTTTTAGCATAATGTTTTCAAGGTTCATCCATATTATAGGACGTTTTCAAGGTTTATCCATGGAACAGCATGCATCAGTACTTCCTTTCTTTTTATTGCAGATTAATATTCCAAGTATGACTATACCACATTTTCTTTCTTCATTCACCAGTTGATAGATGTTGGGTTGCATCCACATTCTGCCTACCATGAATAATTCTGCCATGCTGCTATAAACATTTGCATTCATTTTTTTTACATGGAGGTCTGTTTTCATTTCTCCTGGGTATACACCTAGGAGTAGAATTTCTGGATTCTATGGTAATGGTATGTGTGACATTTTGAGAAACGGACAGACTGTTTTCTAAAAGCAACTGTTTTATATTTCCTCTAGCAGTGCATTGGGGTTCTAATTTTTCCACATCCTTGAGAACACTTGTAATGGTCTCTTTTATTTTAGCCATTGTTTGTGGATGTGAAGTGGCATATCATTATTAAGTGGTACTTCATTTCCACGATGACTAATGATGTTCAACATTTTTCATGTGCTTATTGGTAATTCGTGTATCTTCTATGAAGAAATATCTACTCAAATCCTTTGCCCATTTTTAAACTGGGTTGTTTATCTATTACGGAGATGCAAGAGTTCTTTATTCATTGTGGATACAGTCCCTTATCAGATATACAATTTGCAAATATTTTCTCTCAGTCTGTGGGTTATCATTTTACTTTCGTGATGGTATCCTTTAAAGCACAAGAGTTTTTAATTTTGATGAAACCTGATTCAACTATTCCTGATAAGCCAAATTATTCTGAACGATTCAGTCCCAGAACAGCAGCCGTGTTCTCCCGACCTGTCTAGAGAGGCCACATTCCTGAGAGCCACGAAGACAGCACCAAAGGCCCTGGGGTCCCCTCTCCTTTTACCTCATTTCAGAAGGGTTTTCTACCAGGGAACAAAGTTGGTCTGAAGATACAAATGATGATCACAGAATGAAATACTATGCAGTCACTAAAATTATCATGCAGATCTACCAACTGGCAGCAGGTTTAAATAAAGTAAAAGGACAAGAGAACAGAGTAGTATGTAGGGTATAAGGCCTGTCTTTTTCATTTCCCTGAGTTGAGGCACGATTCAGTGCTGTAAAATGTGTGAAAGTTAAGTGTCTTGCTCAATGAATTTTAGCCTGTATATCTATCTGCATAACTACCACTCAGATCAAGAATACAGAACATTTGCATCACCCCAGAATGTTCTCTTTGCCTCTTTCCAGTCTGTCTCCACTCCGTGCCTACCAAAGGTATGCACTATCTTGACTTCTATCATCATAGATTAAATGTACCTGTTCCTGAACTTCATCTACATGGAATCACACAGTTTGTGCCTGTCGGTTTTGTTCCATTAACAATTTTGAGACTCATCTGTGTTACTGTATTAACAGGCTGGTCCTTTTACTGCTATGAATTATTCCACAGTGTGACTATTATGCAATTAATCTATCCCTTCTCTGTTGATGGGCATGCATCTTGTCCCAGAGAAAATATAAACATTTGAATGGAGAAAAGTGTGAAAAGAAAAATGCCAAAGTGTACAAGACGTTTCGTTTGTGGGTAGGGCGAGGCCCTCAGCCTACTGGTGGCAAAACCGAGGAAGGACAAGTAGAAGGCTGGAGCAGGCTCTGGAGAAAGGCAGACACTGAGCCGGAGGAGGAGCCTGCCAGGAGGGTGTGGGCTGAGGAGCTGGAAGGGGAGAGGGGAGGAGGGCACTCCAGGAAGAGGAGGAGGAGGGTATTAGAGGGATCCTGGCTGCTGTAACACATAAGCCCCAAACCTCACTGGGACCCAGGAACAGAATGGGGTGGGAGAGAAGTTCCAGAACACCCAGAGATGAAGTCAGCCATTCATCCACATGCTCAACAGGCTTCTCCTGCACACCTACTATGCACAAGGCCCTATGCCAGGGGCCCGGAATCTCAAGCATTCAGGCAGTGAACTCACTGGACAATTGTGACATCTGGAGTAACATTCAAAGTTTGAAGTTTGGATATAGATTCACATTTAGTACGACAATACACCAGCCATATGTTGTGAGTGCTTCATTCTTCCTTAATTTAACCAACAGTTGAGTCCAGCTGTGTGCCAAGCTCTTGACTAGATGCTAAGAAGCAAGGTGGCCCTGGCTCCTGCCTGCACGGAGTTCATGGTGTAGTGGGACAGAAGAAAGACCAAACTCAAGCTGATTAATAAAATAATTGTAAGTTGTTTCTATGCGCTCCCAAGGGAAAACGTTGGGGCCAAGATATTGAAAACCTCCCTTGTTCATTTATTATTTTTGAATAGACAAACACTTGCATGGTTCAAAATTCCAAAAATGTAATAAAAGGGAATGCAGTGATGTCTCCCTTCCATCCCTCTCTGCAGCCAGCCGCTTTCCCTTCCCCAAAGCAAACAATGCAGTAGTGGTTGTGTGAGTCCTTAATGAAATATTTTACACTTCTATGAAGAAAATGCATATGCATGCCTACACCCTCCCCTACACACTATTTAGCATGCTCTAAAGGGCTGATCCACGGACAGTGAGGATGAGTCAGCCCTGCAAATTATGATGGAAAGCAGCCCTGCAAATTGTGATGGAAAGGACATTCCAGAAAGAGACACCAGCAGGTGAGAAGCCCCAGAGGATGTTCAGAAGGCTTAGAGGCGACAGTGTGGAGAGTTGGGCTGTCTGGCCCAGGACCGCTCTGGGGAGATTCCTGCTCCACAGAGGCCAGGCCTGGGGTGAGTCAATGGATCCACTACCCGCCCCACTCCAGAGGCCACACGTCAAGAAGGGCTCCTCCCTATTCACTCCTACCCTGGAGGATTCCTCACAGGGAGAAGAAGGAGAAGGAGTTTATGAGGCTATAGTTCACTTATGATGCTGCACAGCCAACTTCCGTCATCTGATAGGGCCTAACACTCCAATCTGTGGCTGGTTCACCCCTAAATAAACACTACTCCCAGTGCAGTAAGCCATGCTCAGGAAAGGCCCTGAAAGGCTCATCAGTGCTTGTGATGGTGCCGTAATAACCACAGACTTATTCTGCACCCGGCCCCTGCAGCAATGTCCAGGGAATTTAATAACCTTGGGTATCTTACCCCCGCCATTAGGGGAGGTGAAGAAAGAAGGTGGGTGAACGTGAGTGTGTTTTTGACATATAGCTCTGCAAAGCCTGCCCTCTGCCCTTCCGTGCCTGAGTGTCTCCACTTTGTTGACACACTTTAGGTCAACAATAAAAGCCACACACTCTTAAGGCCTCCCTGCTTCCCAAAGCCAATCCTATAGATAAACCGATCGTACATGAACCTCATGAACCTCATTCAGACCTACGACACGCTCCTCCCAGCCAGTCCAGCCTGCACTTGGAAACTCACAACGCTGGGTCACGCTCAACTCAGCTGTCTGATTCTGAACCTGGCATCCCCTTCGGTTATTAAACAAAGAACGGGTCCTTTACCGATGTAGTTCTCAGTGTCATTACCCGGGTTCTGGCTTATCAATAGGTTTCCCATGTTTTATTGTGATTTCTATATTTCTCAGCTATTACCATTTTACTTTCCCTAATTTGCCATCCAGACCTTCCCCTGTTACTTTCTTTGCTCCCGCTTGGTTTCTCCTGAACGTGTTTAGCCGTGAGCTCTCTGCGCACCCAGATTCCCCCGTCTCCTCTGGTTTTGGTTTCCATCGTTCTGCTTGGAAATGCCTGTCTTTTCTCTTTCCCCATCAGACCACATATGGTCTAACCACACCTTATGAACTTCCCAGGGCTACGTGGCACCTAGCACACGAAGTCAGGAGGTATTCTTATTACCACCCCTGCCCATGCACAGCAGCCACAGGCTGTGTCGTGTGTCAGCTGTCATCATGTTAATTGTGGTCAAGTAGCAAACAGCCCTGGAGAGCTGTGGTCCCTCTGCCCAGCACAGCTGCAGGTATCACTCCCCATCAGGTTCCTGGCACCTGGCCCTGGTCGCTGGATAGAAGGGAAGCGTCCCCAAAGCTCACACCCAGCACGCTGCCTCGTAAGAACATCTCTAAACCCTGTGTGGCTCCTTGAAGGGAAGACCCTGACTGCCTTCTCATTCTTGTGTGTGTCTTGCAGTATTATTATATGATAGTCACAGCCGGGCGCGGTGGCTCACGCCTGTAATCCCAGCACTTTGGGAGGCCAAAGCGGGCGGATCACCAGGTCAAGAGATCAAGACCATCTTGGCCAACAAGGTGAAACCCTGTCTCTACTAAAAATACAAAAATTAGCTGGGCTTGGTGGCAGGCGCCTGTAGTCCTAGCTACTCAGGAGACTGAAGCAGGAGAATCGCTTGAACCCAGGGGGGCAGAGGTTGCAGTGAGATGAGATAGCACCACTGCACTCCAGCCTGACGACAGGGCAACACTCTGTCTCAAAAAAAAAAAAAAAAAAAGTCACTCATTCCTTCAACAAATATTTACTGACCCTTACTGTAGGCCAGATAGTGGTCTAGCCCTGGAGGTACATATACCCAAGAAAGGCATCTCACAGATGACGCAGATTAAAAATCCCAGACTCAGGGCACTTGCGGTCTCGTATGAAGACAGATGTCAGAGGCATTCAAACCAGAGTAACTCCATCTTGAATAGGGGCTGGGTAAAATTAGGCTGAGACCTACAGGGCTGCATTGCCCTGAGGTTAGGCATTCTTAGCCACCGGATAAGACAGGAGGCCGGTGCAAGACACCTGTCACAAAGACCCCACTGATAAAACAGGATGCTGTAAGGAGGTTGGCCAAAACCTCCCCAAACTAAAATGACAATGAAAGTGACCTTTGGCCATCCTGACTGCTCATTAGATGCTAATTATAATGCATTAGTATGCTACAAGACACTCCCACCAGCACCATGACAGTTTACAAATGCCATGACAACGTCTGGAAGTTACCCCATATGGTCTAAAAAGGGGAGGAAAACTCAGTTCCAGAAACTGCCCACCCTTTCCTGAAAACTCATAAATAATCCACGCCTTCTTTAGCATATAATCAAGAAATAACCATAAAAATCGCCAACCCACAGTCCTCTGGACCACACTGCCTATTGGAGTAGCCATTTGTTTATTCCTTTACTTTCTTTCTGAAACAGTTTCACTTTCATCACCTAGACTGCAGTGCAATGGCGTGACGTCGGCTCACTGGAACCTCTGCCTCCCATGCTCAAGTGATTCTCCTGCCTCAGCCTCCTGAGTAGCTGGGATTACAGGCGCATGCCACCATGCCTGGCTAATTTTTGTATTTTTTGTAGAGATGGGGATTTGCCATGTTGCCTAGGTTGGTCTCGAGCACCTGAGCTCAAGTGATCCGCCCACCTCAGCCTCCCAAAGTGCTGGGATTACAGGCATGAGCCACCATGCCTGGCCTTTTTCCTTTACTTTCTTAATAAACTTGCTTCGCTTTACTCAGTGAACTCACCCTGAAGTCTTTCTTGCGTGAGATCCAAGAACTCTCTCTTGGGGTCTGAACTGGGACCCCTTTCCAGTAACACCTTCCTGGCAAACCACGAAGGGGTGATATTGAGGAGACCCCTGACTCAAAGGAAATCAACTGCAGTCCCAATTAGCCAACTTTGGGTAAGTGTTTGGGTATTTTACCCTGGGGAAAGGGCGGAATTGAGTTAGAGGTATTTTATCCTGAGGAAAGGATGGAATTGGGCTGGGACTCCTAAGACCATAGGGGATGAGAGGTCCTCTTGGTGAAGTCCCTCAGTAAGGAAAAGTGGATTTCGTGCCACAGGATGTTAGCCGCTATTCTCTTTGGATTAATCTGCCTTTGCGCTCTTTGCTGTCATCTGTGGGTGATAGGATTAGGTATGCATAGGATCATGGGATATGAGGAGCTTTTTTCTCCCCAAAGGGGGAACTTGGGAGCTGATGGGATTGCTGGAAAAGATCCTTTAGGGACTGACGAGTGGCTGGCTGAACTGTTGATATGATGGGTGGGTCTTTCTCTGGCCTCCCTGAGTTCCTTGCCTTCCTCACCCCACCGCAGGCAATACTTTTCTCTTTCTTTCTTTCCTTTCCCTTTCCCATCTTTTTCTGTCACTCAGGGCAACTGTCCACTTCTCCATCTTTCCCAGAGACCACATGTTGAAACTCCTGGTTGGAGGTCACTGCACCCCACTTTGAATGGATTAAAGACAACAGGGGACAATGGAGGTGAATTTGAGCCTTGCCAGGTGGATACTGGACACTGAGCTGGGTGGATAATGTCTGTGTTTTGTCACGCATATTTTTCTCTGGCCAAAATGGAAAATGTTAATTCAGTTCCTCCACGCAACCCCTGGTGTGGCATCTTGCAAAATTGAGAGGTTTTTGCCTATGGTTCCATAAAAGTGAAAAAGATGATTTTTTTTTTTGGGTAACATGGCTTGGCCCCCCCATAGCTATGGCACAGCAAGCAGGGTCATCAAAGCCATTCAGAGAAGGGGAACCCAGAAACCTGGCACACTGGCAAAAGGACAAGAGTTTCTTACAAGTCAGGCTTCAGCCTCTCTCTGTGCAAACTGGTTGAATGAATGGTAAAAATCATTGTCTCTTCGCAAAGTTTTGATTAATGGGAAAAAGGACTGGTGAGGCTAGTCTTAGGCTGTAGCGAATTTGGTGAACTTTGTGCTACAAACTTGTCTTTGTGTGTCACTCTGTCATAAAAGGTGTGTCATAGATATAATGCAGGCCTAGGACCCCTGTAAGTCTGCTATTTGAGCTGACCCAGCACTGATCAACTATAAACTTTGCTGCTGCAGGTCCCTGAAACAAAAACTGGATGAGGTTTCCCTCTCATCTTGTTTTATGTCCTTGGGAGCTTGACTTTCTAACCACGTGGCAGTTCTGTCTCTTGGTCTCCGCCATTTGGAAGGTGGGAATTTTGTGAATTCATGTCATAGTTAGCTCTAAAAATTATCTTGAGCAGTTAAAAGGCTTTGCAAGCTCAAAGTTGATTGCTCTAGGCTCCTTCTGGGGAGGTCAATGGAGACTGCCCAATGCTGTAGCTTAGTAGCTAAGCCTTTGTCTTTTCTTTTCTTTTTCTTTCTTTCTCTTTTTTTGGAGATAGAGTCTCCCTCTGTCACCCAGGCCAGAGTGCAGTGGCACGATCTTGGCTCACTGCAACCTCTGCCTCCCAGGTTCAAGCAATTCTCCTGTCTCAGCCTCCAGAGTAGCTGGGACTACAGGTGCCCACCACCACACCTGGCTAATTTTTGATTTTTAGTAGAGATGGAGTTTCACCATATTGGTCAGGCTGGTCTCGAACTCCTAACTTCAGGTCATCCACCTGCCTTGGCCTCCCAAAGTGTTGGGATTACAGGCGTGAGCCACTGTGCCAGGCCAGGCTTTGTCTATTCATGATGGCAGCCTGGGTTCATTCTCAGCCTAGGGAATAAGAATTTTCTGGTTTGATATTTGCGTGACCTTTGCCATTTACTGATTCTTTCCCTCTCCGTGAACAACTTCTGACTTGCCATCTTGAAGTTCCTTTCTCTGAGCTACCTTTGGAGATTCTAAATCTCATTTTAAAAAAAAGTGCTTACACCTTTTTGAAAGTACCTCATACACCCATAGTTAAGTCATAACCTTAGTTAAGGAATATTGGTTTCACCTGGGAGGTTACCTTTGCAAAAGTTCAAAAGCCAGCAATATCGGGTGCTTGTCCTGGCTAGAGTTTGGGAATAAGAGATTTCATTAAAACTCAGCTTAATTAAAAACGGATATCCAAGCTATACATATATTTAAAAGACCTTTAAGTTTTTTCTCTTCTTGGATCTTATTTTTCTGAAAAAGTTTTTTCTTCTTGGTGAACTGAGTCGTTTTTCTCCATCTTATCTTCTTGCCACTCTTGATGCCCACATGAGAGGACATAAGATAATTTCTAACAGCCCGAGACTCCTGGCAAAAAAGGGAGAAGGTGCCACCGATCCCGTTTTGGGAAAACTCTGTTTTCCTCATGGAACCCCAGAAATTGAAAGTAGATCAATCCCTCTCAAATTCTAAGGCTTTGTTCTGTTTTACACTGTGTTACCTGACCTTTTTTAATTTTTTAGGGTATCAGAAATTAGTATGCATTATGAGAGATATAGCCTTGATATAGGTGGGAAATAAACTTTTAGGGATGGCTAATGGCAGTAATGGGAAGATACTCTCTTTGCATATTTGGATCAGAGAAGCATGTTCTTGGCTGCCTAGAAGTTATGGAAACATCCCCACCCCCACTAACAAACAGGACTCCTATGGGGGATGTGCTGATTCCCTTTTGAGATCCAGGATCCAGTATAAAAATGGGGATCTGTTCTGTTTTTGTCTTCCAGCTGTGCCCGCTTATTAGGCCCTAAAAACTGCATGCTTTCCTGGCCCTGTTCCTTGAAGGACTGCACCCTGAAGCCAGTAATCTAATTAAATTTTAATTAAACTTAAAAACTGGCAAATGAAAAATCTTACGACTACTGGATCTTCTTCTGTCTGCATGTATTTATATGTGTTCTGTGTGTGATGTTTATATAAAAGAGCTCTACTTAATTGGCTTAAAGAAAATTAAGTGCTTAAATCAAATATTTTGTCAGAAAAATAAAAACTTTAATACCTTTTAGTTCGTGTCACTTGAGTAATCTTTGGGAACTAAAGATAGTTTTAAAGGTTATTGGTAAAATAAAAATATCTTCAAAATGTAGATATTTGGTCTAAATTATGCAGGTCAGATATTAGGTTTGTTAAATGCTTTAAGCTCTAAACTGCTTCTATGACTTGATAATTGCTCAGCTTACCTACTTTGGAGACATTAGATTCTAGATAAGGCCTGGGACATATGGAGTTAGCCATGCCCCTGGCTATGCTGGAAAGAGTTAAACCTTATCTGCACTTCTGTCTGGTGTCCTAGGCTCCACACCTGGTACATAATTAAAATCACTTACTGGCCAGGGCGGTGGCTCACGCCTGTAATCCCAGCACTTTGGGAGGCCCAGGTGGGCGGATCATGAGGTCAGGAGATCGAGACCATCCTGGCTAACACGGTGAAACCCTGTCTCTACTAAAAATACAAAAAATTAGCCAGACGTGGTGGCGGGCACCTGTGGTCCCAGCTCCTCGGGAGGATGAGGCAGGAGAATGGCGTGAACCCAGGAGGCGGAGCTTGCAGTGAGCCAAGATCATGCCACTGCACTCCAGCCTGGGCGACAGAGCGAGACTCCGTCTCAAAAAACAAAACAAAACAAAACAAAAATCACTTACTTACTGGCTTTTTCACCAAAAATAAAAGTTGCTAAGAGTTAACACTGTAACATGTATATTGAGACGACTAAAGAAACAGTTTTACATGCAAGGTGTATAAGAAATGTAGAATGTATTTTTGGTAAAAGATTATAAGGCATCAGAATATGTTGTTGTTTTTTTTTTTTGCCTAGTATAAAGGGTTAAAGGATTATATTAAGTTAGATAGGCTAAAGCTGAAGATTTGAGCAAGTTGTGGAAGGTTTGTGAAAGATTAATCTTGTAAAAGAAATTGTGTGTGAACATATTGGCTGAAGTTAAAGAGGTATTATTTGGTTTTTCCATAAATTGAACATTGGAATAAAGCACAACAGGATTTTCTTAGACCATTGGTCTGTGCTTTAACAAAAAAATTCTAAAGGGTTATAAACAGTTTTGAAAATATTACCTTATGGTCAAACTGATTAAAGTTGGATAAATTTGTCTACAGGGTTTCATTAAGAATTGGGTTTGATATTAATAGGACACTAATGCAAAGGTAAAATTTGGCTAGATTCTCTCTTGAGCAAGATTTTCATGTAACATTAAAAGATAATAAAAGATTTTTATTTGCCTTTTAAATACAGGAAAAAGAAGGGAAATAAAAGAGACTGTTTAGAAAGCTAAGTCTTCCCTCTGCTAATGAATAGAGGTTTTTGCTTGTTTAAAATCTTTGAGTTATTTGGCTAAATAAATGACTTACGGTGACCTGGGATTTTCTCTTACAGTGTTTTAAAACTTTGATATTTGACAAACTTTCCAAAATCTAATTCTAAATTAAGTCTTTTTCTGACCTGATTAATCCTTTTAGATATTAGATTCCCTAAAGTCCAAAAGTATTTGGCTTATTTGGTATATTAAAATCATATAGGAAGCATTGTCAAGTATGAAATGGTGTTTGGCTTTTGTTGGGCTATATTTTTATAAATATGTTATTGGTATGTGTTCCAAAATTAGGGGAAACTCCTATAATTTTGATATGACTTAGTGGTATGTTATCAGTAATAATTACAATGGTTATCTAAAATTGTTACATGCCACGAAAGTAACCAAATTTCCTTGTAAATTTTGTCTTTGACTGTGGCTGCCCTAAGACTTTTTGTCATCCACAGACAATTGTTATCTTGTTTCAATCCTCTTTAAAAGGTCGTTTATAATCAGCTACGGAACTCTGACAAGCACTTTTAAATGCAGAGAGGAAAAATAAACTTCCAAGTCTCTTTTGGATAACTAATATATTCATAAATACCAGGCAAAACAGGAATTAACTGCATAGACAGAACTAATAAAAGTTCTGACAGGCCCAGGAGCCCCAAATTATCTTGAGACCTTGAGATGAGAAACATTTATCCAACTCATACAAGTATTTACGGACACAGTTAAATAAATCCATGGCTGGGTTCAAGGCTTTAAAAAGTCTAAGCTGTCACCGCTTATGGTTCCAGCAAAGCCAATTTTTAAAAAGAAGGCTATATGGCAAATAATTATTCTTGCTGCACATTATACAGATCATCAGGCCAAGTATAATAAAACTAAAAGTCATTTTGCAAACAAATCAGTCCTACTGTTACTTCTTTTTAATAAAAATGGGAACTAGAGAAAGAAAAATTATGTTTCAAAAACTATGGTACACCTGTTATTAGATTCTAGTCACATTCATTGTTTTTGAGTTTTTTCTGCAATTTAGACTGACCCTGCTTATTCCTGTGAGCCAACCAGTGATCACTGGCTACTGCTCAGGAGAAACAGGGATAGGTAATGTAAAAAATCTAGATTGATTTTCTAATTCTGGGCACATATTGGAATAGGCTAACAACTCCATATCAGCTTGGTTCCAACAATAGCCCAGTTCAAGGAAAGCCTTCTTGTTTAGTCACTTGGGGTAATATTACTTATTTTGCTTTACTGTTGTGGAATATATTGCTGTTGTACTCCTCGTGTAGAAATGCAAGATAAGCTTACTCAACGTTTTCTTAAACACTTATTAAATCTTCCAGATAGTGTCACCTATTGTCAGAAGTCACAGTTCTTTCTGTTTTCTGGTACCAAGAAGGGCTGTACCATGCAGGCAGATGAAGGCAGAAAGAGAGTAGAGGCTAGGGGCGGGCTCCACCACCCTTCAATTCACGAAAGAGCTGCCCTATTTTCCTCTACTGTGGGCCACACTTGTTGGATTTGGCTGTGTGTCTCTGGTTATGGATGGTAACTTTCCTCAGAGCATCAGCTTAACAAGTAAGTGAGAACATGTCAATTGGGTTCTGAAGGATGAGTAGGAATTCATCAGTCACAGTTGCTGGAGAAGAGAATGTCCAGGGAACACCATGTACAAAAAGAATGAGCAGTTTGATTTTGCAGGAGCAGAGGATGGGGCAGAAGGCAAATGCCAGATCTTGAACAATTCTTCTTGCACTAAGATTTGCACTTCTAGGGAACCATGGAGAGTGGCCAAACCAGACTTCATTTTTAAGAACATCTCTCTGGCAGCATATGGAAAGGATATTGGAAAGAGAAGCAAGTATAGGCCAAGAAGCCAGTTAGGAAGCTTTTGTAGTCTAGGCATGTGTGATGGAGGCTTGGACAGGAGTAGGAGCTGGGGGGCGACATAGGAAGGGTCAGATCAGAGCAATATCAGGAGAGAAAGGACCTGCCAATTTGTTCAGACAGACCATGAGGCAATGCAGGCTGAGCTGGTTCAGGCCCAAATGAGAACTGAGTGGCCAGAAAGGGGCAGCTGAATCCAGTATGCAGAGGCCAAACAAGCACTGATATGGCCCCTGGGGACCCCACCTATGCAGAGGGCAGGCAAAAACCACAAGGACAAAGAGTCAAGGACAGATCTCCAAGGCACTTGCCACCTCAGCCCAGGAAGCCTTTATATTACCCCTGGACAAGGAGCAGCCACTCAGAGAGAAGGTCAGAATCAGGGCCGGAAGGGGAAAGCAGTGGAGAGTTCTAAAGCCTCCCTGCTCCCACTGGCTTACAGCCTCAAGTCAGCAGGACCAGCACATTCTTTGCAGGAGCAGAACTGGAGCCTGTCAGATGCAGGAGCAGGAAAAATGACCACAATCAAGAAGCCCACACTCTTTTTATACACAGAAGGACACAGAGGACTGGGGAGGGGGAGGGACTCACCTAAGGTCACAGGGCAGTCGGGCTGGAGCAGATCTCAGGGCTTCAGCCCCAGCCCTGTGCTCCATGGCATGATGCTGTGGTGATATGGTTTGTGTCCCCATCCAAATCTCAACTTGAATTTTATCTCCCAGAATTCCCACATGTTGTGAGAGGGACCCAGTGGGAGGTAATTGAGTCACAGGGGCCTGTATTTCCCATGCTATTCTTGTAATAGTGAATAAGTCTCATGCGATCTGATGGGTTTATCAGGGGTTTTTGCTTTTGCTTCTTTCTCATTTTCTCTTGCTGCTGCCATGTAAGAAATGCCTTTCACCTTCCGCCACGATGCTGAGGCCTCCCCAGCCATGTGGAACTGTAAGTCCAATTAAACCTCTTTTTCTTCCCAGTCTCGGGTATGTCTTTATCAGCAGTGTGAAAAATGAACTAATACAGTAAATTGGTACCAGTAGAGTGCAGCATTGCTGAAAAGATACCCAAAAACGTGGAAGCGACTTTGGAACTGGGTAACAGGCAGAGGTTGGAACAGTTTGGAGGGCTCCAAAGAAGACAAGACAATGTAGGAAAGTTTGGAACTTCCTAGAGACTTGTTGAATGGTTTTGCCCAAAATGCTGATAGCAACATGGACAATAAGGTGAGGAACTTGTTGGGAACCACAGCAAAGGTGACTCTTGTTATGTTTTAGCAAAGATACTGGGGGCATTTTTCCCCTGCCCTAGAGATGTGTGGAACTTTGAACTTGAGAAAGATGATTTAGGTATCTGGTGGAAGAAATTTCTAAGCAGCAAAGCATTCAAGAGGTGACTTGGGCACTGTTAAAGGCATTCAGTTTTATAAGGGAAGCAGAGCATAAAAGTTTGGAAAATTTGCAGTCTGACTATGCGATAGAAAAGAAAAACCCATTTTGGGGGAAGAAATTCAAGCTGGCTGCTGAAATTTGCATAAGTAGCAAGGAACCTAATGTTAATCCCCAAGGCCATAGAGAAAGTGTCTCCAGGCCACGTCAGAGACCTTCATGGCAGCCCCTCCCATCACAGCCCCAGAGGCCCAGGTGGAAAAAATGGTTTTGTGGGCCAGACCCAGGGTGCCTGTGCTGTGTGCAGCCTAGGGACTTGGTGCCCTGTGTCCCAGCCGCTCCAGTTGTGGTGGAAAGGGGCCAATGTACAGCTCAGGCTGTGGCTTCAGAGGGTGAAAGCCCCAAGCCTTGGGAGCTTCCATGTGGTGTTGAGTCTGCAGGTGCACAGAAGTCAAGAATTGAGGTTTGGGAACCTCCGCCTAGATTTCAGATATATATATGGAAATGCCTGGATGCGCAGGCAAAAGTTTGCTGCAGGGGCAGGGCCCTCATGGAAAACCTCCACTAGGGCAGTGCAGAAGGGAAATGTGGGGTCAGAGCCCCCATACAGAGTCCCTACTGGGGCACTGCCTAGTGGAGCTATAAAAAGAGGGCCACCATCTTCCAGAACCCAGAATGGTAGATCCACTGACAGCTTACACCATGTGCCTGGAAAAAACACAGACACTCAACACCAGCATGTGAAAACAGCCAGGAGGGAGGCTGTACCCTGCAAAGCCACAGGTGGGGAGCTGCCCAAGACCATGGGAACCCACCTCTTGCATCAGCATGATCTGGAGTCAAAGATCATTTTGGAGCTTTAAATTTTGGTGCCCCCCACCCCCAAATTTCAGACTTGCACAGGCCCTGTAACCCCTTTTTTTGGCCAATTTCTCCCATTTTGAATGGCTGTATTTACCCAATACCTGTACCCCACTGTATCTAGGAAGCAACTAGCTTGCTTTTGATTTTGCAGACTCATAGGCAGAAGGGATTTGCCTTGTCTCAGATAAGACTTTGGACTGTGGATTTGTGGGTTAATGCTGAAATTAGTTAAGGCTTTGGGGGACTGTTGGGAAGGCATGACAGGTTTTGAAGTGTGAGAATATGAGATCTGGGAGGGGCCATGGGTGGAATGATATGGTTTGGCTGTGTCCCCACCCAAATCTCTACTTGAATTGTATCTCCGAGAATTTCCACGTGTTGTGGGAGGGACCCAGGGGGAGGTAATTGAATCATGGGGGCCAGTCTTTCTCATGCTATTCTCATGGTAATGATTAAGTCTCATGAGATTTGATGGGTTTATCAAAGGTTTACACTTTTGTTTCTTTCTCATTTTCTCTCGCCACCACCATATAAGAAGTGCCTTTCGCCTCTCACCATGATTCTGAGGCCTCCTTAGCCATGTGGAACTGTAAGTCCAATTAAACTTCTTTTTCTTCCCAGTCGTGGGTATGCCTTTATCAGCAGTGTGAAAAACGGACTAATACATGTGGCTTTCCAGGCTTGATTTTGAACAGGAAGAAAAATTAAACCTGAAACCACCCATCCCCAACTAGTACCTGGAAATATATCCATTAGAATCAATCTTTTAAGTCATCAAATTCTCTTCCAGGAAAGGAGAGTATGAAATTTAAATGTGTGTGGGAGAGAGAATCTGGGCCCAGCAAGGTAGGGCCTGCATGTGAACGCTGTCTGGGCCTCTGGAGAAGCAGTGCTGTCTTCTGTGCTGTTGACACACAAGCTAGGGAAACACTGGGTAAATTGTAGAACATGCCTTCCTCCCCTAGACACGTATGACAGGCCCCACAGAGTCCCATAAAGGAAAAGACTAATCATAACTGGAGGATCTGAGAAAATCTTTTAGAAGAGTGGACATTTGCACTGGGTATATTACAGGTGAGATCACTGGGATATGTGGCTAAGATATATGCTCCAGGATGAGGTGGACTTTTGAGCTGGGTATGTAACAGGCGAGATCACTGGGATATGTGGATAAGGTATAAGCTCCATGGTACGGCCACACCCTCCACTCATGTCCACAGCAGGCATTGTTAATCAACCACGGCACTCTTTCCCACCCATCCCAGACTTCACTTCAAAATCCTTCTGCACTCAGCACTCCAGGTAGCCACCAACAATTGATTCATATAGGACCACATGGTAAAGTGCATGCAAGATCATCTCTGACCTATGGGAAGTGGAGGAGGAGGAGGAAGGGGAGAAGAGTGGAGACGAAGCAAGCTTGGGCATCAAATGTCAGGCTGAAAAACTTCTTCCTCTGGCTATTTGATATTAAGGATATTATTAATTATTTCAGGTGTGATCATGGTAATGTGGTTATGCTTTTTAAAAAGTCCTTATCTTTTAAAGAAAAATACTAAAGTATTTATGAATGAAATGGAACAACATCTGAAATTTACTTCACTAGTAAGTCCTAGACAATGAGGTGGGAAGATGGAGAGGCAAGAGGTAATAGCCATACAATGGAATATTATTTAGCCATAAAGAGGAATAAAGCATTGATGCATGCTACAACATGGATGAACCTCAAAAACATTATGCTAAGAAGCCAGGCACAGGTTACATATTATCTGCTTCCATTTAAATGAAGTATCTAGAATAAGTAAATCCATAGAGACAGAAAGCAGTTTAGTGGTTTCCAGGAGATAGAGGGATGGTAAATGGGGAGTGACTCCTTAATGTGTTGGGTCTTCTTTGGGGGTGATGAAACTTTTGGAATAAGATAGTGGTAATGGTTGTACACTCTGAATGTACTAAATCTTACTGAATTACACATTTTAAAATGGTTAATTTTATGTTGTGTGATTTTCGGCTCAGTTACAAAATGTTTTCACCCAAAATAAAAATGTCATTTTACCCCCAAAAAATTATAAAATTAATGGGAGTTGAAGACATAAAGACCAAGAGTCTGCAGGGAGGGGACTGCCCTTCCATGAGGCAGAGAGAACAGTGAGTTCAAAGGCCCTGAAGAGAGAGCACGTGTCTCACGGTAGATCAGTCAGGGATCATCAGGGTCTCACTCAACACCTGTGTGTGCCAGCCTCTGCTCACCACGTGACCCCACAGAAAGTTTGCATGCAACTTTGCAGACAGGCAGACCCAGGCTGTGAAAGGTGGCATCTATGATTTGGGAGGGAGAACCAACAACTAACACAAAAAGGCCAGATGCCACACGTGAGCTGCCTCCCAGGTCTTGTCATCCCCGCAAGGCTACCACATTTTGCTTCTGTCACCTTCACTAGAATCCCAGCCTTGCCTGAAGGGCCCCTTGTGCCTTGCCTCCTATCTTCCCTCCTGTGAATTTGCACAGAGGAGGGGCAATTCTAATGGTCTGACTTTGCAAACCAGGGAAATCCTGTGATTTGAGCAACAAAGCTTACATCTATACAAATAAATAAAAACCTCCCCGCTTCTGCCAGCCCTCTCTGTGCACAAACCCTCTGTCTGATGGGAACTGTCCCCGTCACTTTCTAGCCCAGCTCCGTGGCCAGGCTCCATGGAGGCCACATGCAACATGCAAACTACAGAGCCAAGTATGCTGGGCCTGCCTCAACCTGCCCGCCCTTCTCAGCATGGCGCGATGTTCAGGCATCTCTGGGATGCTGGATGCTGTAGCAGGCAGCAGCTGGATCCCTGTTTGTCACTTACTTGGAGAGGGAGAGAGGAGGGTCTGAGAGCAGCACCCTTCCTGCAGTGCCATGGTTGTTAAACTTGAGCACCCATCAGAAGCACCAGGCCCCACATCCAGAGTTCCTGATGCAGTAGGCTGAGGTGGAGCCTGAGAATCTGCAGTTGCAACAAGGTCCTGGGTGATGCTGATGCTGCTGGCCAGGAACCTCACTTTGAGAATGACAGCTTCAATGGTTTAGCATTGGAAGATGTCCATAAAGCTCAGACAACACTGGCTTGCAGGGAGGAGATGCCCTGGGATTCTGGGTCTTTCTTGGGATCCTGCAGCCTCCAGTCCAAGGTCATCAGCCTCTCTCCATACAGCCCTGTTTCTGGAGGGCAGAGAGGCTCCTAGCCAGCTATCTGCATTTCCCTCCCTGTGCTCTCAACCAACCCACCGTAATTACTGGCTATCAAGATTCTCAGTGCACACCAAGGCATCACCTACCAGAGTACAAAGATTTCCTGTTCATTAGTTCATGGTTCATTAGTTCATTAGTCTGTGACTTGGACAGGTTTTATGCCCATTTTGCAGCAGAGAAAACAGAATCATAACAGTCAAGTAACCTGTCTAAGATCTCACAACCACAGCATAGTGGGGCCTGGAAGAGCACATGGGCTTTCTACTTCTAAACCCACGTACAATTTCTATACTGCCACAGTGGTATCCCCCACAGAAGACCTGTATCCTAAGGCAGGGGCCTTATCACAAAGTCCTACTCTTAGAGGACTTACGTGAACAGCTGCAAACCAGAGTTGCAACAGCCATGATGTGGCTGATCCAGAGGACTAAGGTGCCCTGGGAGGGCACCTAATGAGGTTTTGGGATCACAGTAGGCTTTTGAAAGAGATAAGCCTAAGAGAAGCCTTAAAGAGGAGTGAGCCAGTGAGAAGGCAGGGCTGGGGAAGGAACAGTGCGCTAGGCAGAGGGAATAGCAGATGCAAAGGCCGAGAGGTAAGACAGATCAGGCACATCTGAACAATGGAAACTACAGCAGCTGGAGCACAGGGTTCTGCTAGGTGATGAAGCACAAGGCTGAAGAGATTGGCAGATCCTATGCTTAAACACCTCACAAAACACATCAAGAAGTTTCAGCTCACATCAATGCATTGCTGGCTGGCAGGCTGTAAATTGGTGCCACTTTCAAAAACTGTTTGGCAGCATCCACAAAAAATAAAACATGCTGACCCTTTGATTCCACAATTCCACCCCTGTGTATAAGCCAGAAGAAACAAGCGCTTGTGTCCACCAAAAGACATGCCCAAGAGTGTTCTTCACAGCACATTCATAATAGCCAAAAACTGGGATCAATCCACTTGTCCATCAACAGGAGAACAGACATGGTACAGTCGCACAAAGGAATACTACACAGCAATGAAAAAGAATTAACTCACAACTTGCATGGATCTCTGGATCTCGCCAACTATCAAGCAAAAGAAGCCAACACACAAAGAATCCACTGCAGGATCCATTTATGCAAAAGTTCCCAAACAATCAACATTCAGCATGGTGCTGGGAATCACAATAGGGGTTACCGCTGGAGGTAGGTATCACTGGGAGGGGCACAGAGAGAGCTGCTTGTGTTCCAGATGTGGCCTCTGCCTGCATCTGAGTGGCGGTGCCATGGGTGTGTGCACACATCACATACACCTAAGGTTAGGGCACTCTGTACACTTTACTGTTATATGACACTTCATATAAATCCCATTGGTCAGGCTGGGCATGGTGGTTCATACCTGTAATCCCAGCACTTTGAGAGGCCAATACAGGCAGATTGCCTGAGTTCAGGAGTGCAAGACCAGCCTGGGCAACATGGTGAAACTCCATCTCTGCTAAAAAATACAAAAAATTAGCCAGGTGTGGTGGGGCGTGCCTGTAGTCCCAGCTACGTGGGAGGCTGAGGCATGGGAATTGCTTGAACCTGGGAGGCAGAGGTTGCAACCTGGTTGACAGAGCAAGACTCTGTCTCAAAAAATAAATAAATAAATAAATAAATAAATAAATAAATAAATAAACAAACAAACAAACAAAAAAACCGTTGTTCTACATCCTTATCATATGTATACTATACTTCAATTTTTTTAAATGCTAAAAGGAGAAAAGGGTTGATAACAAAGACCTGGGTGTTGGAGGGCGTGGGCATTGAAGGCTTCAAACCAGGGAAAAGAAGCAATCAGGCTCCTCCCACCCCAATCCCCCAGCCCCATTCCTGGGCTGCCCACTTTCTCCACAGCCTAGTCCTCTCGGCTGTTGTCCTCTCTGTTCCCTTTTATGCCCAATCCCCATCCTCTTAGGAGCTGGCCATTCATATTATGACCCCATCAGGCCAAAATCCCCACTGGCTGCCTTAGCCTACTGTGCCAGGTCTCCCATGGTCCTTTTGCTCAGGGGCCAGCTTGTCACCTCCCCCACCAGGGGGTTGGCCTCCTTGTGTGTAATCGCCACCTAAGACAGGTTTAAAGACATGCAAGAATCAAACACAATAGCTGAAGCCTATAACATTTCAAGGCAAAGTGTCCATTCTTTGGGGGATGTCTTTTGGGAATTCTATCTTCAAAATAATATAACCTTTAAAAAAGAAAAGCTCCTTAATCCTCACATGAAAGACAAATTGCCTCCAATCCAAGGCTGTTTCTCGTTGACACCTGCAGAGCCCTTCACAGTGTGCAAAGCCACTCAGGTGCAATGGGTCCTAGTGCTAAACCCTTACCATGATGCCCTGGGTCCGCCCCGCCCACTCTTCTTTCTTGGGTGGTGGTGCTTTGTGACTCTGTCACACTTTGACGCTCCCCCAAAGATGTCCAGATCCCAATCCCTGGAGTCTGTGTGTTGCCTTTATGTGGCAAAAACAGACTTTGCAGATGTGTTAAGGATCTTGAGATGGAGAAGTTTTCCCGTAGTCTCAGGGAGGGCCTTAAATGTAATCACAAGGGTCTTTATAAGAGGAAGACAGAGGGAGATGTGATCCAGAAGACAGAAGAGAAGAGACAGTTGATGGAAACAGAGTCAGAGAGAGTTGAGACGCTGCTGGCTTTGAAGATGGAGGAACAGGCCACAAGCCAACAAATATGAGGGCCCTCTAGAAACTAAAACAGGCAAGGCAACAGATTCTCTCCTGGGGCCTTCAGAAGGAACGCAGTATTACCAGTGCCTTGAATTTAGCCCAGTGAGACTGCCTCAGGTTTCTGACCTCCAGAACTGTGAGATGCCACATCTGCATTGCTTGTAAGTGCTCACTTTGTGTAAGTTTGTTACAGCAGCCCTAGGAAACCCACGGACCTCCTTATGGTGCTTTCAGCTCCCGAGCGTCAGAACAGCTTCTCAGTATTCCTATCCCCACCCTAGTGCTGTGGTATGCAGTAGGTGCTCAATGAATGCTGGTTCTATGAAGGGTGGTAGCCTAGGGATACCGACGCAGAATAACTAATAATACCAAGGACATGGAGCTCCTGTGCTTGCAGCAGAGATGACACAAACACGTGCTTGCCAGGAACGCAGCTGCTGATGCTGCTATGATTATTAATATCCTTCTAGGCACCTGCTGGGCTCCGAGCTGACCACGCTCTTCTGTCAAATTCTTAATTTCTTCCTCTCCCAAAGGGCAAGAACAATTTAAAAAGAAACCACCTTGGAAAAAGCTTTAGCTGGCCAGAGTGGAACCCGGGCTGTGACAGCGTCCCTGGTTACTGATGACAACATTCACCCACCCAGCTGAGCCTGGGCGTGAGCCTTCCTGTCTGCCTGGGGCTTGGCTCGCCATCCAGGAAACCACCTGTTGCAGGCGCCTGTGAAATGGGAGCCAGGCAGCCTAGCCATGGCGATGGCCTGTAAACAGATTTATCCCGCCCACATGGAGCCGCATCCCTGCAGCTCCTGCGTCTCGGGGCTGGCTAATACCTGGGACCGCATGCTGCCTGTGCCAAAAAAACCCAGACACACATCCTCCTGGAAATATCATTGGCCACAGGAGCTGTTTCTCATCCCCAGAGCTCCAGGTTGCAGGTGCGGCTGGGGATTATCACTTCTGCAAATAAACACCAAGCCCAGGTGAAAGCTCCAGGAGAGACGGAGTCAGACTGGCCCCAGCAAACCTCGCTGGGGAATGGGGAGCCCTGTCCTCCTCCTTAAAAGTGAGCTGAGCGTACGTTATTCAGAGCCCCATAGATAAATTCCCATAGCCTGTGACCCAATATTTCCACATCTAGGTATCTGTCCTCTAAGATCACCAGAAATGGGGACAAGAATGAACGTGCAAGGAGGTTCAGCAGGAGGTACCAAAAAGCATGCAAAGCTGGAGAAGCCGTGGATGGCCAACAGCAGTTAAGTCAGCCACAGAAAGAATGCGCATGCAGCCCCAAAAATGCTGGTTACCCAACATTTAAAACATGGGAAAATTCTGAGGTCAGAACACAAAGTGAAAAAAAATAGGATCCAAAATTATATACATGGTGGACTGAAATTGCTAATGGCAATGACAAGCATTTATTGAGAACTGACTGTGTTCCTGGCACTGTGCCAAGGGTTGACGTGTTCCCACGTCCTCATCTGGCCTCACTGCAAGCCCGAGAGGAAGGTCTGACTTTTGGGCCTATTTCACAGATAGGGGGACTGAGGCATGGAGAGAATTCAGCGGCTCACTCCACACAACTACACGTCCTTAACACCCTCTACACCATTTATGTTAAAACTCGACACATTCACAGGGAAAAAGCCCAAAAAGAAAATGCATCAAAAGGTAAATGGTAGTCATTTCTGGGTGGCATCATTTGGAACATTTTGTATTTTTCCATATTTTATACAGTGGACATGTACTACTTTTAAAACCAGAAACTATGCTATTTTTAAAAGTCTCCAGAGATTTCATAAGCTCCCCTAGGATGGTTTAAAATAACAACACAAACAAACACCAGTAATGAGATCTGCCCCCCAAGGGTCCCCCACCCCCACCCCCACCCCCACCTCCACCCCCTGCATCTTGGGTCACAGGCTCCATGGCCCTCCAGGAGGTGTAAGTAAAAGCCTTACTGTCTCCCTTATTGATTTTTGTCCTTCCTCTAAGAAATGTCCTTGAATTTAAATAACTTCAGGTCAAAAGCCTAAGCAAGCTCTGCCCTGCACACTCACGGGGACCGACGGTACCCTCTGACTTCACCTGCTCTGCAGATTCCCAGGCTGGTGGTAGGGGAGGGTGGGGACCATTATGCTTGTGCCCCCACTAAAAACACCAGCTTTCCCACGAGCTAGGATTTGCTGGGAGCTGGAGAGAAATCAGCATAGCCTGATTAAATTAACATGAACCAGCTCAGGGAGGGCGAGATGAAGCTCCAAAAGCGCAGGCCTGTGAGAGCACGGGTGCCCGGTGTGGGTCTGCTCCTCCAGGGACATGGCTAATTGCACCCCAGCACATCCAACCGGCCACAAACATGATCATCCAGGGGTAACCACGGAGCAGGAGAAAGAAGTGGGTAAGTGACACAGAGCAGAATGCAATTTTGCACATAGCCGTCCATGGCCATGAGAACCACTAGGAATGTATTTGGGAGATGGTTAGAAATAAAAAAATTAAAATGACAATAACTATGTCAGGGTAAATGAGATGGAAAATCCCTGCCCTCCCCTCCCTTCCCTCCTTCCCTCCCTCCTTCCCTCCCTTCTTCCCTCCTTCCCTCTCTCCTTCCTTCCCTCCCTCCCTCCTTCTTTCCCCCCCTTCCTTCCCTCCCTCCTTCCTTCTTTTCCTCCCTCCCTCCTTCCTTCCCTCCCTCCTTCCCTCCCTCCCTCCTTCTTTTCCTCCCTCCCTCCTTCCTTCCCTCCCTCCTTCCCTCCCTCCCTCCTTCCTTCCTTCCCTCCCTCCCTCCTTCTTTTCCTCCCTCCCTCCTTCCTTCCCTCCCTCCTTCCTTCCCTCCCTCCTTCCTTCCTTCCTTCTCTCAATACCTCCTTCCTCCCTTCCTCCCTATTTTCAAGTTTTCTCTGACTTGTTTTTAAATCAAATCAAATAACCATACATATCTTGAGGCCTCCCTAGGCAGTCTGTCAGCCTCTGATCTTCACTGTCATTCTCTATGGATTCAAGACCAGGAGAATGGGCTCTGTGCACCTGCTCCCAGCAGGCAGGAACGAGCTGCACAGACCCCAGCACTGGATAAGAAGGGCAGAGACATGTGGGTGTACTGCGCCCCCTGTCTCCCACCCACCCCCGCCCCGCAGCCCTCTCTGGCTTGTGAAATGGAAAAATAAATCTGAGGCAACAACACATCCCCTGGCTGAGCTGTCCTGTGAGGCTGAGAATGGGGTCCAGGCTCCTTCCTTTCCCAAGGGTCTCGGGACCATCACACAAACCTGCAGTCTCTAGAAACCAAGTCTGGTGTTGTTCTACGTGGTACGGAATGAGGCAACATGAAGTAGAAAACAAGGAAAAACTCCCTCCCACTCCCTCCTCAGTCTCTCACTTAGCGTTTTAGCTAAAACTTACCAAACGCCAGCAGGGAAGGTGCCAGCCCCACTGCCTGGCTGGAGGGTGACACCAAAGAGGAGGAGGAGGAGGAGGAGGCCAGAAGTCTGGCTGGAGGGCTTCCCCACTCCCCAGGCGAACCTCTTCCTACCTACCTCACCCTAAACAGCCAGGAGAGTGCGTGCAGTCAGCCTGCCTGCCAAAGAATGGGTGGGGGAGTGGGCTGGATTCACTTATATTTCCAGAAATATTTGCTAAGCACCTACTATGTGCCAGGGACTGGACAGACTACAAAGATGAGGAAAAGGCATGGCCCCTGCTTGCACGGGGAAGACAAAATTTAACCAAGAAAACAGAACAGCAGAATTACAGTTAAGATCGCTGCAATGAAGCAGGAAAAAGCTGGGTTTCAGGACACAATCTCTTAGGGCACCTCTGGAAGGAGAAGGGCTGGGGGCAGAACGTGTGCTTGTCTGGCATGCACGGGGCAGGCCTTGCACCCAGTCTGGGCCAAGAGGCATCCGCGGGGAAGGATCCTGTCCAACAGAAAGGCCCTGGAGACAGACCTGCATCCACATTCCGGCTCCCCCTCCCTCACCTGTCCCTTCCGAGTCACATGATCTTGGGAAGTTACCTCCTGGTCTCTACCTTGTAGAAAAGGGCACTTATTTTCAGGTGTGATGGTGAGGATTAGGATAAATCCCTGTGCTAGTCTCCTTTGCACACCCCTCCTCCTACTTCATCTTCCTTTCTCTCCCTGCCCTGTGTCCTGGGGGCAGGTCCTCCACAGGTTGTGTCACTGGGCACCTGGTCTTCTGGCTACTCACTGGGTTTGGCCAATGGGAGGCGCTGGCAGGACAACGTGGGGTGGAGGGGCCACATCACTTATTCCTCTGCTGCCTCCTACTCTTGCTCCCGCTCCTTAGCTGTGGTTTTGGCCAGGGCTGCATTCTTCCACCTGGGCCCCCAGCTCCAGCCAGAGTGCCCCTCACCAGGCGATAGCTTTGTGGGGCTCCTATAATTCAGCCCCCTCTTCTTGCCCATCAGGCCTGGCAATGGTAACAGCTCCCTGCTGCTGGGAGCCACTGGGTGCTGCACCAGCCCTTGCTGGTGGCCTTTTCCTGCCCCATCTCTGTAAACAGCCTCTGCATCAAACCCTCTGGACTCACTCCTTGGAGTTTCCTACTGGGCTCCTGCCTCATACGACCCTATAATAAGCTCGATGCAATTTTAGTCATGATTACAGGGTGGAGGCCACTGCTCCTGGGGAAAATGTGTTCAGGCTGCAATGCACACAAGCTGGTTAGTTCAGTCTAATCGAAGAGGGTAGCCACTGGAAAGGGTAAGCAGGAGACTTCAGAGCCATTGGTTGTGAAGGCAGAGCTATCCTTCACTCAACAAGCACTGTGCTTCCTGCATGCCAGGCATTGTGCCAGCTGGTAAGAACAGAGAGGTGAGTAAGACGCAGGCTCTCCCTGGGGGGATAGCCCAGCAGAGGCAGTAGATATACTGTATGAACAGGTGGCTGCTGCACAGGGGATACGTACGGTAAGAGCTGAGAATGGCAAGAAGAAACTCTGTCAGTCTGCCCGGGGGTGGTGTCAGGAGAGGACTCAGAAGAAGGGACACTGGACTAGCCCTCTTTGAATGCACAGTTTTCTGGGCTAAAAGAGCACTTAGAGCAAAAGGGAAAACATACACAAAAACAAAGGGGTGGGAGAGGCCCGTTGGGACAAAGGTCAGTGTTCTCATGTTGACCAAAGGACCAGGCCACTTAAAGTGACAGGTGGCCAATGACAGATGAATGACCCACAAACAAGTCAAGTTCGGTCCTACCTCAGGACCTTTGCACTTGCTGTTTTCTCTGTCCAAAGTAATGTGCACCCAACTGTTTGCATGGCGTCATCTACTCTTCATTGTTCATCTCCTCAGAGAGGCTCCCCCGATCACAAGTAGCTTCCTTGGTTTCCCTTGTTGTAACAAATTGCCACAAATGTGGTTGCTGAAAACAACCCAAACTTATCTTATAGGTTGGGAGGTCAGAGCCCAAAAGAGTCTCACTGGGCGAAAATCAAGGCACTATTCCCTCTGGAGGTTCCAGGGGGAAAATGCGTTGTCTTAGTCTGTTTTATGCTGTTATAACAGAATGCCACAGACTGGGTAATTTATGCTGGACAGAATTTTGGCTCACATTTCTAGAGGCTGGGCAGTCCAAGAACACAGCACTGGAATCTGCTGGTGCATCATCCCATAGTGGAAGGCAAAAGGGCAAGAGACCACACAAGACAGAGAGGAAGGGGGCTGGACTTATCATTTTATCAGAGACCACCTCCTGTGATAACTAACCCACTCCCTCAATAATGACACTAATCCATTCACCAGGGCAGAGCCCTTACAACATAATTATAAAGACTGATCAAAAGCCCTGCTGTAAAAACACAACAAAACTGGAAGTTGTAGTACAGACTGTTGGTTGCCTTCCCCACCCCAAATAACCATTCTCTCTTTCCTCCACAGAATCAGAACCTCTTGTTCTTAGGTGGGCACCATGGGCTTTATTTCCCAGTTTCCTGTGCAATTAATCACAACCCAGTGACTAAGTGCTGACCAATAAGATGTCAGCAGAAATGCTATCAGGCAGTTTCTTGAAACTTCCATTAACAGAGAGCTAGCATCCGCCCTTTGATCCTTCTTCATCATCCTTCCTTCTGTCACGCTGCCTGAAATGTTAATGTAACGGCTGGAGCTCTAGCAGCCATCTTGGGTCTTCAGGTCAAGAGCTACATGGTGGGATGGCAGTGCAATGAGCTAAGAGGAACCTGAGAACCTGCAGATAATCTGATGCACAGCGGGCCACACCAGCTTGAACAGGAATGTGTTTTGCTTTACAACAATGTTGTTTCAGGTTTCCTGTAATTCATAGCCAAACCTAATCGAGACTGATCCAAAGTCACCCCTAGGTTTGTCTGACTCCAGGGCTGTGCACTTGAATTTCATCTTCCCATCAGACGGGATAAGAGAACACCTTCTGTTGGAGGTGGAGGAAGCAAACGAATGCCAGCTAGTGTGTTCCCAGGAAGGGTTCTGGGCTCGGTGCTTGCCAGGGGTGGGAGCGAAAGGGCAGCCATTGGACTCCTATCTGTGGCTTTCCCTGCAGATATCACTTTACTAGGCTTGAAAGAAGCCTGTAAAGTCTCATTTACAAAGTAAGCCTATGCCTGGGGCTCAGTGGAGTTCCTGTGGTTTTTAGGAGGAAGGGATTTCAAAAATCACTTAGAAGGCGCTTATGCACATCACTGGTCACAGAACCAAAATGGCCACTTTTGTGCAGTCCTGCTTAAACAGACATACCAGTGTCATTAAAAAACTGTGATAAGGAGATTCCCAGCTCGCTAGTGGTCTCTCTTTAAAATCAGATTTATTGAAGTCTAATTTACATACATTTCAGCCTTTCCTGTGTACAGTTCTGTGAGTTCTGGCAAACAAATAAAGCCATATAACCACCACCATACGGAAGAGATAGAATATTCCATCACTCCCAAAATTCCTTTGTGTCCTATTGTACTCAATCCTCTTCCCCGACTCCCAGCCCCTGACAACCACACATCCATTTTTTGTCCTGATAATTTTGCCTTCTCCAAGCTGTCATATACATGGAATCATGCAGTCTGTAGAGCATTTAGAATCTAGCTTCTTCCACGTAGTAGAAGGGTTTTGAGATTCGTCTGTGCTGTGTGCATTAGCAGTTCTTCCCTTCTTCCTCCTGAGCAGTATTCCACTGCATGGATGTGCCACAATCTGTTGATCCCTTTGCCAGTACAGGGACGTTTGGACTGTGCCCAGTTTTTGGCTATTATGAATATGGCAGGCACACACACACACACACACACACACACACACACACACACAGAGTGCATGCATATGTATGCTCACCCACGCATATAGTTTTGTGTGTGGATATGCTTCCATTTCCCTTGGCAAATACCTTAGAGGAAATCTGAGGCTGTATGGTAGAGTATGTCTCACTTGACAAGAAACTGCTAGCCACACTTTCCGGAGCAGCTGTACCACTTTGCATTTCCCCCAGCAGCACACGAGAGCTCCAGATGCTCCAGGGCCTTGCCCGCACTGGGATGGGCCTGCTCTAAAGTCACAGAATTCTCGACTCTCCCAGCTCCCATGGCGTCATCGATCAACCCCACCCCACCCGGCTGCCACCATGGCACCCAATTCTAGCTGGGCTCCTGCCTGCAGTCCTCTCCCTTCCCTTCCCCTTCCCCCCCAATAGATTTTATACCCCAGTGAATCACAAAACACAAAGAAGAGCCTGTTCTCTCCCTTGTCCTGACTCAGATCTGCCAGAAGGTGAGTGGTGGGTTCTGCTCAGCTTCTCCAGGGTAGCCTGCCGCTGCATCAGAAGGGCATCCTCTTTAGCCAGAAGCTTCTCTCTTGTCTTGCCTGCACCCTGGAGACCAAACTGGTGCAAGGAACCAGAAACTGTTCAAGGCGCCACACGGCCACTAATCCAGCACCCCAAAGTGGAGAGGGTCAGTCATACAAAGAGATAGTAACCTCAGTCGCAGGAATGTGACCCCTCACTTGCCAGCAACTGCCCCACCAAACACACAATTTTTGTAATGAAGAAAGATGCTTTCCACCAGGCTAAGTTAATCTTGGGTCAGAACGTTGGCCCAAGTATAAACCAGGAGACCTGTAACAGGAGTACATTCATGTCTTTGCAAAAAGAGGTACATCTATACCTGCAAAGGAAGACAGCAGGAGAGACAGAAGTGACCGTGAAATGGAGACAGGTGCACATAAATAAGCATATTTAACCTAACATCCAGGGTACCATCTACCATTCCTATATTACAGAGGAAGAAAGGGAGTTTAGAGATGCGCCATAACCTGCTCAGGTCACAGGCCAGGTTGTCCGATCCAGGTTCTCCCGACTCTAAGGCATCTTTGCAAGCAATATTTTACAAGCGTCTGTGTTACCACCAGGTTCCAGTTACTTTGGTACCCCACAGAAAGCCACTTCCAGTACTTCCAGCACTCATTCATTTATTTATATGTTTATTCATTCATATGTTTATTCATTTACACATTTATTGAGTGCCCTCTATGTGTCTGACATTAGGGAAGCCTCAGTGATTGAACCAGACAAAAATCCTGCCCTGTTAGCACATGGTCTAATGGGAATGAGAGCCAGCGGGTAGAGAAAAGGGACTCGGGCTGCCCAGGGTCCTTGCTGTGCTCCCCCCAACCCCACCACCACTGCCGCAGGCCCTTTCCCTAACAAAAAGGCTCATCCAAGTCAGGAGAGAGCAGATGCAAAAACCCAGGATCCAGAGGACCATTCTGGGCTCTTCAGTGCCCAGGCCCCACTGGGTCCATGACTGAATGGGAGACACTGTGAAGGAGCAAGAACACTGTCCAAGAGCCAGGTCTCTCCTCCAGCCCCACGGGACACGCACCAGGGCTTCCGGCATTCATTCATTCATGCCACTGTTTGCTAAGTGCCTATGCTGCACCAGGTGCAGCACCAGGTGCTGGAGACACAGGAGGATGAGAGCAGGGCTGCTGTCCACAAGGACTCACAATGCAGTGGGGAGACAGCAACCTGTCCACGCCCACTAGGAAGTAGAAGGTAAATGATGGGATGCAAACAGGGCTTCTGAGGTTGGAAGAGACCCTGCTACAAAGAGGCAGAGCCAAGATTCGAGTCCAGGCTGTGGGCTCTAAGCTGTGTGATCATCACCCTATGCCACCACCTCCCACTTGGATTTTTTCTGCATTTAAATCCAGTGTCGCAGACCTGACCTGTGCTGGCCCTCTCCCTTCCCTGCCCAACCTTTGGTTACCTTTCCTCCTCATTTTCATTCTCGCCTTCCATTAGAACTAGCTCAATAGTTCTTTCATTTTTCTGTGTTAAGTGCCAAGTGACAGGAGTTTGGGGGGACCCAGAAACCTATACCCTGAAAGAAACAGAATGGCAGTCAAGCATAAATGTTGACCAAGGGCAATAAAATGTTTGACCTCATCATTGTTTTTCTAGGAACCTATCCTGCGGAAATTTCACCCCAACATAGAGACGCCTCTACAGAGCGAGACGCTCAATCAGGAAGCTCTGATTGGAAAGCAGCCTCCCGTCTCCCACTATGGAGGTGGCCCAGATGCTCAGTGGGGCACGGTGTGGCCACTCCATGGGCACCACTGGGTTAGCTCTGGGCCAGGCTCCCAGAGGTGGCTGAGACCACATCCTGCCCCCAAAGGGCTCACACCCAGTGCGGGAGTCACCACAGTGTGACAATGAAGTGGCACCCCAAAGCACATAGATGAGTAAAACAAAAGTCACCCCAACTCTGTGGGCTGGTGTCAGAGCCAACCTGTGGAGCCTCTTTGGAGCTGAGCCTGTTTTAAAAGAAGCAAATCACAGACCTTTTGGACTCTCTGATAACGCCCCAGTCCATTGCTTCACTGAATGGAAGAAATCCAGAACCTGCCTCCAACAGCAAAGATGTGACCATCTTCACCTGGCAGGGCACAGGGCTCTGTGTATTCGGTACTCCAGATCAAAGGAGACCTCTAATGGAAACTTTGTTAGCTCAGGGCAATAGAGCATGTCCATGAGCCACGCTGCTGCCTACATCGGCTTCTGGGTGAGTTGTTCCCTCTGCAAGGAACGTTCCTCCCCCTCCCATCTGGCTAACTCCCATTTATTCTTCTCATTTCCACTTAAAAACACTACCTTCTCTGAACAGCCTTCCATAAAACATAATGCAGGGTCCCCTTGTTAGATACTCTCCCTGTAGTCTGCCATCACAGCCATCATTATATCCCGATGAGACCGGGGGGACTGACTCCCTGCCATGGAGCAGAGACTAGGTCTGTTCTCCTCACTTCTGTATCCCCAGTGCCTGGGAAAGAGCCTGGAACCGAGCAGACGCTCAATAAATATTTGTAGGAAGCTGCTGTTGCATGAAGTTAACTCAGGAATCAGAAGGGCTCTGGTTGGTTTGACTTGAAAATAGGCAATATTTTAGAAAATAGAAATAAAAGTTGCAGATTCTGCACCTGATGCACTAAGTAATTTTCCATGAAGTAACTTTCCAAAAGGGTCATGCACTATTGTGTCACTTTGTTGGATTCTTCCCACAACTGGAGAGTATCGGGTTATAATGGACACAATTCACAGAACAGCTATTACATCAACTATTGATTTTCCAAGGGCCCCAAAGCTGAAGCTGCACATCAAAGAGTCTTTTGAGTGAAGGCACATGTAGTTCCCATAATTCTTGTGTGTCCGAGAGTGGGGACAGCTCTTTGGAGAAACACAGCTCCCCCTTCATTTGCCTATTACCCTACCAGCTCTCAAATGGGCAGTACCACTCCCAGGTGGAAATGCGGGGGGAATTTTTGACTGCCACATGACTGGCATTTTGTGGACTCACTCAAGGATGTTAAAACCTCCTGCCGTGTGTGGAACATCCCACTCATAGAGGACCATCCTGCTCCAAAAGCCAGGAGTGGCCACCCCACACTCACACATTGAGGGATGCTGGCCTCCAGCCAGCCTAGGCCATGTCCACAGGGTGAAATGGCTGCAAGGGAAAATGAATCCAAAAGGTCACTTCATTATTAATGAGGACCCCCTACTCCCTCATCCCCAGGTCTGCTGCCCACCCAGGATGGACCGGTCACCTTCCTGAACAACCAGCACATTCCTGCCCTTGCATGCTGGCTCATACCAACCTACTAGGTCACCTGGAGGCCATCCCCACCAAGCCCCACCTACTTGAGCCTCCACCCAACGCAAAGTCCTTCTATAGGAAACTTTCCTGGATCACTCAACCCCAATAATCTCTCCCATCTCCAAAAAATTCCAGACCTCCAACCAGACAATTCACTTAGTACGTGTCAACTACTGCTGTGTACTCTCCACAACATGGTCCCTGAGTGCAGACACCAAGTCTGACATGCCCCAGCATCACCCCAACAGACTGACTAAGTGACCGATTCATTCACCTCATTCAGTTGGGCCACCACAACACTGAGCTATGGTCGTGCCATGAACTCCAGCCTGGACAACAGGGCAAGACCCCATCTCGAAAAAAGAAAGGAAGCAGGTGGATCACTTGAGTTAGGAGTTTGAGACCAGCCTGGCCAACACAGTGAAACCCCATTTCTACTAAAAATACAAAAAAATTAGTGGGGCATGGTGGTGTGCACCTGTAATCCCAGCTACTCAGGAGGCTGAGGCAGGAGAATCGCTTGAACCCGGGAGGCAGAGGTTGCAGTGAGCCAAGATCGCGCCACTACACTCCAGCCTGGGCAACAGAGTGAGACTTTGTCTCAAAAATTAAAAAAATTAAAACAAAAAAAGAGGAAGGAAGGAAAGAAGGAAGGAGGGAAGGAGGGAGGAAGGAAAAGGTTAGCCTAGACCTAGTCCTGATGAACTGAAATATAACATGAGCCACACACAAAATGTTACATTTTCCAGTAGCCCTGTTATATATAAAGTCAAAAGAAACAGGGGAAATTGATTTTAACAATATATATATTTTTAATCTACTATATCCAAAGTATTATCATTTCAACATTTAGGTAATATTTTAAAACGATTAATGGTATTAATGAGATTGACCACCAAAGCAAACACATTCCTCTTTTACTTTAAATAAAGGAAAAAAACAAAAGTTGATTCATAAAAACCCTTTACTAGTATTGGGCATTTTTAACACTCATGACTTCACTGAGTCTCCCAAACAACCCTGGGAGGGCTTGACTATTTGTTCAAGTGACATTACAGATAGAAGAGACCAACACACCACAAGGACCCATAATTTGGCTAAAGCGCTGCAGCTGCAAAGTGAAGAAGCTAAAATTCAAATCTGGGCCTGGCTTCAAACACCTCCTCTTTTCACCACAGGCCAGGCAGCCTGTCCTTTCTCTGGCTTTGTTCTTATTGATCAACTATGTTTACTAGATAAGGGCTGCAGGATAAGCAGGCATCATTTCAGCGGTGCTGGAGGGTCAGGTAGTGATTTGTTCTTTACTGGAGTCTCCAAAGAGTGTTTCCACAGTGCTCCTAGTTCCAGGTAATCCAAACCATGCAAAAATGTAGAAGATCAAGTAAAGTCAGTATCTGATAGAGGCTCAAGCAGGATAACTTTTAATCCTGCCATGAAGAAAAGCTTAACTTTAAAAACTTGGCACCAGCCAGTTCTCCCCTCAGGGAGCCTGTGGCTTTGGGCTTGAGGAGGTTTTATAAAAGCAAGCAGGACTCCAACACCAAACAATGCATGTTCTACCAAATAACTCATTCCCTCAGCGGTGTGGCTTTTCTCTCCCAAGGGGCCAAAGCACCCTATGTGCAGCAGAGGCTGCAGCTTTAAAACAGCAGTAATCACAACAAGTGCACGATGGTGAGCGGGGTGTCAAATTAACCCCACGCCCACCCCTGCCACGCCAAGCTCAGAAGAGCTTTCAGTCCACTGATGGGCAATTAGGGGCCGGGGAGGACCTTGGCGGGGAGTTCATTAGAGAACGTCCTCTGCCTCTGCAGCTGCACCCCATATGGGCCCCCAACCCTCACGCCTTGGGACCTCAACCACGGATGAACCAAAGTGTGCGGCTGAGAAAATAGCCATTAGGTGTGACCAATGCCTCCTCTGCAATGCCCCCGATTTCTCCTGGTAACCAGTATTCAGCAGCAGCCTGGGAAATGGTCAAAATGGAATGAACATAGCCAGCAGGCATCTGCAGACTTGGAATCTCCAAAGCTAGGATGATGGCAGCACCCATTTACCAGCCTCCCATCTGGCTGTTTGCCAGCCTCCCATCTGGCTGTTCTGAGATGCCTGGAAAGGAAGGGAGAGATTTCTCAGAGATGAGGACGGACCCAACTGGGCTTCTAATTTTAGTCCATCTCCCAACTTTATTGAAACCTAGAGGAAAGGGATTTTGTTTTATGTATGCATTACATATTTAGATAATAAACCCTCAACGATGGCAAGAACAGAAGAAGGGGAGACAGCAATACAATTCTAGGTGGTAGCAAGAAGGACCAGTGGTCACGGATTTGGCAAACTCAAAGAAATCTACATCTTCAGCCAGACGTGGTGGCTCACACCTGTAATCCCAGCACATTGGGGGTCCAAGGTGAGAAGATCACTTGAGCCCAGGAGTTTGATGCCAACCTGGGCAACATAGTGAGACTTTGTCTCTACAAAAAAATAAACAAAATTAGGCATGGTGGTGCATGCCTGTGGTCCCAGCTACTTGGGAGACTGAGGCAGGAGGTTTGATTGAGCCTAGGAGTTCAAGGCTGCAGTTTGCCATGATGGTGCCACTGCATTCCAGCCTGCAGCCTGGGCGACAGAGAGAAATTCTGTCTTAAAAGAAAAAAAAAAAAGGAATCTGCATCCTCAGTGACAGCAAGGAAGGATGAAAACCAAGCCAATTTACAACCCAGAAGTCCCAAAGGGTCGGGAATTAGTGGTGGCAGGTATCTCTGGAAATGGGGTTAAAGTGCAGGGATGCACTAAGAGGATGAGAGGAAAGAACCAGCCGGATCCGTGCATCCCCTCCCCCACATCTCCCAGCTGGGTGACTGTCCCTCCCCCATCAGGCACAGAACTGGAAGTTTATTCTCTGAAGAGGTTAAAAATACTGAGAAGATCTCAATGCAAATTGTACTGTACAATCTATATAGTACAATTGTACTGATTGTACAGATTGTTGTACAATCTGTACAACAGCCAGATTAAGTGATTTTATACATACTACATGCAGAGGACCAATGCCTCCCAAGCCCACTTCCTTCTGCAGCTCCGAAACCCCCCACTCCTCACCCCCAGCAGCCTGGTCTGACCCTCCAGACAGGAGACTGTAAGACCCTTCCATGGGGAGCCCAAGCAGCCTGGGAGGAAAGACCTAAAGATACTGGCATGGGGGTCCCCATGAAACAGTCCAGTAGGGACCTATGGGAGAAGCTTCCAGTCAGGAAGGACACCCATGTACTCGGAACCTGCAGAATGCTTATTAGTCCCCAACTTTTAAAGAGGGGAAAGCAACCAAGGACTATAAGGCAGCTAAGAAAGAAGGCCTCTAACACGAAAGCTTCAGATCAAGCGAAGCCAAGAGAAAGGGTGCACAGGTCCATCACACCCAGTGTGCGCCAGGCCCTCTCTAAGCCCTTCACCTCCAGTAACTCATGCAATTAGTGCAGCTCCCAAAGCAGACATCAGTATTATTCTTCCCATTGTACCGATGAGGCCTTTGAAAAAGAGAGAGGTTAAATAACTTGTCCAAAATCATAAAGCTAGTAAGCGGCAGAGCCAGGATTCCCAACTAGCCATTTGGCTCCACGCCATTGAGCACTGTGTGAGCCACCACTCAAAGCTCCGCCCCAACCCTGTCCATCATGACCATCCTCAGCACGTATGAGAAGATGATGCAGTCGTGAACAAGAGGCTTCTTTGAAGAATAAGAGAGAGTTCTCGCAAATTAAAAATGTGATAGGTTAAAATATGGAATGTAAAATTGATGGAATCTCAAAGAAAGCAGAACAAAGAGCAAAAGGGATCAAAAAATAGAAAAGGTAAGAGAATTGGAGGATCAGCCCATGAGGAATGATATCCAAGTAAAAGGAGTTCTAGAAGGTCAGAAAACCAAGGAACAGAAATCATAATGGATTGTCCTAGAAAATTTCCCAGAACTGAAGTATAGTTTCCAGAAAGGTCTCATTAAGGGCACAGCATAATGGATGAAAAGAGACCAGCACCAACGCAGGTCACCTTGAAGTCTCAGGCTGCTGGGGACAAACCAAGGCTCCTGTGAGCATCCAGACAGCATGAAGCAGGATGCAAACAGAGGATTAGAGATGACTTCACCCTTCTCTGTAGCTACCCTAGAAGCAGGCAGACAGTGGAGCAAGGAACACTTCAATACGCTGAAGGAAAATCATTTCCAACCTGGAATTTGATGCCCAGGTAATGTAGCAATCAAGAATTAGAGTATAAGTTCATTTTCCCATGTGCAAATTCTCAGTAAATCTACCACCCAGGCACTCTCTCTCAGGAAGGATGTGCTCCTGTATGCAACGAGTGAAGCCATCAGAGGAAGGCAGGAAGCAGGAGATCTGACCCAGGAGAGAAGCGAGGGGGACCACAGGTGACAGTGACAGGCAGTCCAGGTGACAGCTGGGCCCCAGGTGTGGAGGACAGCACAAGTTCAGACTGAAGAAAGTCAGAGGCCCCAGACTTGCTCAAGAAGAGAGAACTAGCCAGGCATGGTGGCTCATGCCTGTAATCTCAGCACTTTGGGAAGCTGAGGTGGGCAGATTACTTAAAGTCAGGAGTTCGAGACCAGCCTGGCCTACACGGTGAAACCCCATCTCTCTGAAAACACAAAAAAATTAGCTGGGCATGGTGGTGCACGTCTGTAATCCCAGCTACTCGGGAAGCGGCGGCTGAGGCAGGAGAATTGCTTGAACCCAAAAGGCAGAGGTTGCAGTGAGCCGAGATCATACCACTGCACAGAGACAGTGACCACACCTGGGTGACAGAGCTAGACTCCATCTCAAACAAAAAAAAAAGAAGAGATAAGAGAGACACTTTACCTGATGCACCCAAACAACTTAAGGAGGTATCTAGAATAGTAAGAGAGTTTCAGATGAATTAATAAGCGCATACCCCACGACCAACAGCAACAGCAGACGATATTTAATTCCAAAGAAAACAAAAAGCAGATCAGGTAAGGAAAAGTGACCATCATTTACTACACAGCTAAGCTCTGAAGAGCACTGACCTACTAGTGACACTGTAAACCCCAGTTACGGATCTTATCAAAATTATGATGAAAACATATGGGGAAGTTGAGAGGAGGCAGATTTGAGGTTAAAGGAGGTAAAGAGGGGTCCTACATCCTCACCTTCTACAGTAAGAAACCAGAGCTTAGAACCAAAAAATCAAGATGAAACAATACATGCATGTTATTTAGAGACATGGAAGAAAATACTAAAATCATCAGCTTAAAAAACAATGCAAGCCATATCCTCCAGGGAAAGGGGCTGGGGTCTCACTGTTTTCCATACAAACCTTAAAGAAAAGGCAAGGGAATGGGGAAACAGGCATTGATGAAGACATATGACCTCACTGAATGTTCTAGCAACCAGGAGAAGTTGGGGTTATCATCCCTTTCCACCAAAAAGACATGGTCGGGCTCACAGCTACCCACAGCCAGTCAATACTAAAAACAGGCTCAAATCCAACTCTGCCAAACCCAGCATCCACACTCTCCCTTTGATTCCACATTCATGCATTCAACAATATAAACTGAGCACTCTCTAAGCCTGGGTCACAGGGGTGGCCAGGGCAGACTCCAGCACCTGACCCAGTAGGACTTCTGGTCTACCTGGGCAAACCCACAGTAAACAAGCCATCATTAACAACAAATCCAAGTGTAGCAGTGCCTACCCTACACAGCCTCAACCTAGGACTGCAGCACTTATCTGATTCCTGCTGTTCCTCTTCCTTTCCTCACCCACTCCACAATCCCTCACTGACCTCATGGCATTGCGATGTCTCTGTCCCCTACGGGTCAGCAATCACGTGCCACTTCATGGCCCTTGCCCAAGGTACTCCTGGGAACTCAATACAGGCCATTGCCCGGGGCAACCTCCTGCTTTCGGCACCCAAGGCCCTTGGCTTTGAATCGGGAGGTAACACGTTTGGTTTGTTTTAGATCAGAGTTAAACTCACAGGCCAGGCCAGCTCTCTCTTGGAGAGAGCCAGCTCTCCAAGAGAGAGCTCCACGCTTGTGTACATGAAAGAAGAGGAAGCAGCCTTTGTAGACCGGCCTCCAGAAAGGCCTGGTGAGTCTAGGGGGCTGCAGCAAATTCCTGGAGATATCACAGTGTGCTGTGAAACCTCACATCTGCTGCTCACTCGCTGAGAACAGGGCAAAGCCACGGAGCCCCTCTGACCTCGGAGTCTGCATCTGTGAAGTAGGGGCCCCAGAGGTTTACGTCAGCCTTAAATGACATAATGGGGATGGCTCCGCTTTATCATCTGCCATCACCATAACACAACACAGGGACAAGAGGGTGGTTCCCATGGCTGCCTCTGCTCACTTCTGCCATCATTCAAGGTTATGAGAATTTCATCTCCTCAATTTCTTCAGATCCCCACTCTTTTGAGATCCACCCCGGGGAATCACCAGGCAGAAATCTTCAGTCAAGAAGTCAGCCTTTACTTTGTTAGTTCAAGGAAAACCTGGTGTGTAAATGACTCTAAACAGAACCAGCTGGGCCACTGAACAGACTGTGATAAGGCTCAGCAGCAAAGCTGGCTGACATCTTGCCCAACATCCTTTAGCTGGGATCCAGTTTTCTTTCTGGGTTCCAAGTAAGTCAATTGTCCTCTCTAGCACCACCTGGTCCTTGATCTAGTGCTGGTCAAGTCTCTCCCCATGTCCCCACATTCAAATCTCATCTTACTACCCAGCCCCTGACTGACTTCATCTTCCCAGGCTTACCTCTGATTCCTGGTTCTACCACTCATTAGCTCAATGGCTTGGAACCTGTGACAATCTCACTCAGCCTTAGTTCTCAGGGCTGATAATAATGCCCACCATCAGGGTTCTTCCAAAGACATGGCACAGGGTCCTGCACTGTGGTCACCTCTCCCCAGCCTACCAACCCCCTCCCCGCACACACTCCCCATGATCGCATCAGTGCCCTATAACCAATAAAGGCAGTCCCTGACTTGATTTTTATATAGCATGTACTGTATATTATACATATTGTAACAGCAACAATACCGCAGATTGTCTTCTGTAACTCAGGTTGCAACTCCCCCAGTGTAGCCTGACAAGGAAGAAGCCGTGCGCACGCATGGGGGACCTTTTTCAGCTGCATGGCCATATATTTGGAATATTACTGGAATGTCTGATTGCATTTCATCCTTGTTTTATAAAAATAAGTAGAAACAGAAGAAAAAAAATGGGAAGTGTGGTTATCCATGATCATTACTGGTTTCGTAAACCTACCACGAGACAACAATGGAACGGGGGCCATGAAGATTGTGGGGCTAATCCCGCGTTCAGTCAAGGAGGGAGAGGGAGGCTAGGGAGGTTGGAAACACAGACGACATCATTCAACAGCACTGAAACAGTGAGGCAGGATTAGGACTTTTCTTTCATTCTTTGGCAACTGAAGTCCCTTGTAAGTTGCATGTCTAGCCTGGGACTTTCGATATGTGATGTAATAAAACCAAAAGTCGGAAACTGTCTATAAACCCATATTTTAATGATGCTCTCTTGTTTTCTAAATAAACTGTGATATTTCACATCAAGTAGAAGATTGTTTACCCAACACAACCAGGACTCAGCTTGCTCTAGGGTAACGGCATTTCCAGGGTTCATGGATCTCCACTCCAAAAGTACACAAGGATTAGAACAGAGATGTTACTGCTGCCAGAACATGTTCAGTCCCAAAATCCACACAACAGCGTATGCAACTAGAGGACACGACGATGCCACCCTCTTTGTCCCAGGGCCACAGGGCATAGATGAGATCACCATGACACAACGACACCACCTTCTCTGGCCTCCTAGGTAAAGAGTCTGTTGGCTCAAGCCGGACTCTCCCTTCCTCTTAAAGCCCACTCCTGCCCTTTGTCAGGAAGCCTCCCCGAGTTCTCCAGCCAGGTGGTGGCAGCCCTATGACCACAGCCCTGGTCTGTGCACTCTCAGCTAAAGCTTGCTGCCCCCACCCTGGTCTCCACCAAACTCACAGAGAAACCTACAGGGCAGTCCAGCTGTGCAAATATCTCCCCAATGTGTCTCTTCTATGGAAGCAGAGAAGGCTTGACAGCCATTTGTTATTTACTTGCGTATGAGATTCCTGTGGCTGCTGTGACAGATTACCACACGCTTAGTGGCTGAAAACAACACAAATAAATTCTCTTCTAGTTCTGAAGGTCAGAAGTCTGAATGGGTTTTACCAGCTAAAACCAAGGTTACAGGCAAGGTTCCTTCTCGAGATTCCAGAATCCAGGTCTTCCCTTTTCTGGCTTGTAGAGGCCTGATATGGTTTGGGTGTGTGTCCCCTCCAAATCTCAGGTTGAAATGTGATCCGCAGTGCTGGAGGTGGGCCCTGTGCTGGCTCCCCTTCCCTTCTGCCGTGATTGGAAGCTTCCTGAGGCCTCCCCAGAAGCAGATGCTGGCACCACACTTCCTGAACAGCCTGCAGAACCATGAGCCAATTAAACTTCTTTTCTTTATAAATTACCCAGACTCAGGTATTTCTTTAGAGCAATGCAAAAACGACCTAACACAAGGTCCCTGCATTCCTCGGCTCCTGGTCCCATCCTGCAGCAGCACTGCTCTCAACTCTGCTTCCATGATCACATCTCCTGTCTCCCTCTCTCTCTGACCCTCCTGCTTCCTTCTTATAAGGAGGCTTGTGATTAGTTAGGTCCACTTGGATAATCCAAGATAATCTCCTTATCTCAAGATCCTTCACTTAATCATATCTGCCAAGTCCCTTTTACCAAGGAAGAGGACATATTCACCCGTTTGGGGGATTAGGATGTGGACATCTTGCAGGGGAGGCATTGTCCAGCCTACAACGCTTCTAAAGACCTGCTCCATGTTAGGGGCTGGCAGGACAAAGATTCGTGCACCTCACTCAGGGCTCCACTCAGAGGCGGGCTCAGAGGGCATCTGTGAAGCCCCTGGGAGTCCAGATCACAGGGCTGTGAGTTCTGTCCAGGAGGGCACACACAGGGCCCAAAAAGGCTGTTCTGGGCATGGTCACAGTCATTCTCTGCAGAAGGGACCTCGTGGACAAAGGCACAGCAAGGGTAAAGGGCGTGGCCTGTGGGCAAACCCGGAAGACACCTGGGTGCAGCTGTGGCCCAGTTCCTTCAAGGAAGGCCAGGAGAGGTGGGGGCAGAGCACACAGCAGCACTTCTTCCCAGGGGCAAAGAGCCCTGGTGGAGAGATGGATGGGGTGCGAGAAAAGTCTTTGGGTTGCAGGGCCGGAGCAGGACGGGCACACTGGAGGCAGCATAGACAGTGGTTGTGGCAACTAACAAGGAGAATGTGTGCAAAGGAGGCAAACGTGGGAAGGCCCAAATGAGACAGACATTCAGGGCCAGGACTGACGGGACACGGGAGGCGAGGGAAGAGGCGCATGAACAGTGCTATCTGAAGGTTCAGGTTCCTCCACCACCAGATTGGCAGGTCACCTCCGAGCCCCCTCCCCACCCGCCGCCCCAGTTCTCAGCTGGAAGGGCTCAGAACACTGCTTTTAAGTATGTCATACCATAGAGGATTAAAAATAGTTTTAAAAAGGAGAGGGTTATAAATATCGCAAAGCCTCCTGGCTGCATGGAGAACCCCCCAGGAGAGGAAAGCAGGGGTGGGGCGTGCCTCCACCATCGGAGCCTGGGGTCCTTCCAGTTAGACCGGGAGGTCTGCAGTTCTGCAGGAGCTGAAAGTAGTTCTGGTCAACACCAAAATGACCCCAGGACTTCTGTAAATTCCCCAAATCCTAACAACCCCAGGGCCTTTGTAAATTCCCCAAATCCTGCTTGCTTTTTCTGTGCCTTGGGGACACTGGACCACAATCTCCAAGAAGCACTAGAACACAAGGGAACCAAATAAAAAGAGGGACAGAAATAAAAGGTGAAGGTCAACTGCATGGGCCCGTCTGGGACGCACCATCCTGCATGCCCCGACCCAACCCTGGCTTCCGTCCTGCTGAGGAGCTTGCTGGGGCTCTCCCTGACCCCATGGCCCCCCACCACATGCTCCCCTACCCTGTGGGTTCATGGGACAGATTTTCCTCTGTACCCCATCCTCTGCCACCTTCTTCATTCCAGGGATACAGAACATAGAGGCGACCACTGTGACATGACATCACCACATTCTCTGGCCTCCTGGGTAGACAATCTGTGACTCATGCGGGCCTCTTCCTTCCCCTTGAGTCCCACTCTCCTGCCCTCTGTCGGGAAGCCTCCCCGGGTTTCTATGGCCAAGTGGTGCCAGCCCCGTGACCAGAGCCCTGGTCTGTACACTCTCAGCTCAGGCCTGTTGCCGCCACCGTGTTCTCCACCAAACTCACAGAGAAACCTACAGGGCAGTCTAGCTGTGCAAATGTCCCCCTCAAGACTGGACTGGGCCTCCCTCCCCACCCTACACTCCTGCAGGACCCACGGTGAGCACCCACAGTTCCTACACGCTGATCTCAACCTCACCATAACCCTATCCTCTCTGTACTGAGAACTCCTAGCATGTCCCATTCACCCACCCCTCCATCCCGAGCTCCCAGAATTTCAGGGGGACTGGACAACTGTTATTTGACCAAAGGACCAGGCTTCAAGTGGGTAAGCCCATTTCTAAAGCAGATTTAAAACGTACCCCAGGCAGTCTGGCACCCTTTGGAGAAGAAGGCTGGGCTGCCACACATACAACAAGCATTCCCTGCTGTCATCACGAGAAGCACCTTCTACTTGTCACGTGCCCTGGGTCTGGGTTCAGAAAATACAGTTCCTAACTTTCTACAGGAAGTCCTCCAGATTGCTGTATTCTGCATAGCAGCCTGATACTTGCTGACAAGGACCCATTTCCTACTCCGTAGGGAGGCTGGCCGGCCTCACCCCACGAACCTGATTCCAGCCTTCCAGGCCCCTATATTCACATACTGCTGCTGGAAAGAAGAGTGATTCCTTGTCCACAGATGTTGGGGCTTTCTTCTGGATAGAATCAGACGTGGGATAACAATGACCAGGCAAGTGTGGGAGGCACGTGGCAGGGGTTCCAAGATAACACCTTAGTTCTGGGATGTGGGGGCATCTTGACGGCTTTCATCCTGGGCTGCTGTTCCAAGGCAGAGCAGCTGACTTTAGCAAAAACATCACTGACAGACATACACACACAGAGAGATACACACTAAAAATACACATACACGGCCAGGTGCAGTGGCTCACACCTGTAATCCCAGTACTTTGGGAGGCCAAGGCAGGTGGATCACCTGAGGTCAGGAGTTCGAGACCAGCCTGGCCAACATGGTGAAAGCCTGTCTCTACTAAAAATATAAAAATTAGCTGGGCATGGTGGCGCATGCCTGTAATCCCAGCTACTCGAGAGGCTAAAGCAGGAGAATTGCTTGAACCCAGGAGGCAGAGGTTGCAGTGAGTCAAGATCACACCATTGCACTCCAGCCTTGGTGACAAGAATGAAACTCTGTCTCAAAAAAATAAAATAAAAATTAAAAACACACATACACACACCACTTTTCTTTTGCTGAGAGCATTTTACTAACACTTTTCTCCATTTCTGTCTTCCTCTTTTTCTACACTGGGCTGGATGATACATATTTTTGGTTTTGTGGGTACTTCTTTGCCTCAACTACTCAGCTGTGCCCTTGTCCTGCAAAAGCAGCTATAGGCAATATGCAAATAAATGGGTGTGTCTATGTGCCAATAAAACTTTATACACAAAAAGAGGCAGCAGGCCAGATTTGGCCTGTGGGCCGTAGTTTGCAAATCCCTACTCCGATAGAAAGAAAGTAGGAAAAGAAGACCTGGTAAGGAAGAAAAAGTCCATTTTTTGATGCTGCACTTATGATTTCTGATGCTGCCTCTAATTCCTTCTGTGACTAACGCAATCTACCACTGTTTAAACAAAAAAAAAAAAAAGGCATGGGGAAAGAAAAAAAATTTATAAAAAGGTTTCTATGGGAACAGGGAGTTCACTTTTAATGGTTCAATCACAAAAAAGACAATTACTTTATTTTTCTCTCTTCTTCTCAGACATAGGGCAGATGTGATCTATGGCTTGTCGGGCAGAGGGACTTTGTCCAGAGCCTCAGCTATTTCAGTGAAAAATTAAATGCCAGAGTGTTCCACAGGTCAGGGAGGGCAGTTTATGAAATCTGGGCCTCTTGGGCAAAGGGTTGCTTCCCTAGAGCTGCAGATCTGGTGAGACATCCCGCCTCTCTCATGAGGCTATAGGGCCAGCAGGCAGCTCTGGGCTGCTCTGATGCAAAGTCGTGGCTGCTGACACGTGATTCTGTGGCGAAACTTCTTCCTAGGTCTGCTGCCAACTGGACTGAGGGCTTCCCTCTCCCTGCTGCAAAGCCATTTGTGAGATGGGCTTCTGTTTTACCTGGCCCCTGAACACTCTCGTTCCTTGGTACAAACATGCCTGGGTGGAGTCCAGAGCCCCTTGTTTGCCCTGATGGCGGGCTGGCCACTATACCTCCCTAGGTACCTTCAACTTGACAGCCAAGGACAAGCCAAGAATGTACATCATTTACCACGTGTACTTGTATAGCAAAGCTTATGAAATGCAACATTTTCTACCCAGGACACTTGGTGGAAGTGAATCTCCAGCACTCCACAGTGAAAAGAATCTAGGATGCAGCCAGCAGTGCTTAGTAGAGCCCAGAGTCACACACCAGCCATCCACTCATGCATGCCGGGCTGGAAGGCAGACGGCTTTAGGTGGGCACCTGCCCAGGCCCACCACTCCTTGACCACCTTCCCAGGGGTGGATTTGAGCCCCAGATAATCCAACCCTCTCATTTTGCAAATGAGGAAACTAAGGAACCACAAGGGAGAGAGATTTTTCAGAATCTCACAGCGAGTTTGCAACAAAGCCAGGACCCTGGCTCAGGCCTTCAGCCTTTGGGTCTTGGTTGTGGCTTCCGCAGCCGCACAATGCTCCACCTGGAAAGGCCCCTCAAGAAAAATCCACACCATGAGATAGGGATGGAGCTGGCACTAGAACACGGCCTTTTGCCTGTTGTAATCAGGAGTGAACTCAAAGCCCGTGGCCTGACCCCAGCCACAGTCAGAAAGAAACTTTCTACATGATGATTCATCCCTTAGAACCAGGCACACAGCCCCAGGGGTAGTGCCCTGGCAGGCAGTTCCTTGACATGAAACCTGTGCATTTGGTTTTCTTTGGGTTTTTATATAGAAACCTTCAGTGCACTTGCTGTGCCCTCTAAGAGCTGGCGGAGGTGGGAACAGGAACGGTCCCTCCTTGGCTCCATCCCTTCTCTGGCTGCTGGATAACGGTGACCATGGCAGCATCCCATCCCACTGCTGTGTGCTCCACTGCTGTGTGAAAGGAAGGTCTAGAGATAGGGAGGTAAAGATGGAGCGATAAGGAACTGGAGGGGTGGGCTGTGGGGGCAGGAATTGTTGGGGAGTTATGGGAGAGAAGGTTGGTGTGGCATCCTGAGCCAGGCCACAGGTGACCTCGCACAACAGGTCAAGGGGCTTGGACTTCATCCTGTAAGCCAGTGCAACCCAGCCTTTTTCTCGTGGTCACATGGGACCATGATACCATTTGTCCTGGGATGGGCCAAAGAGCTGCCCAGGCCCCCACTCTGCTGCCCTTAGCTCATGGGTTGGGAAGCTCTGCTGTAGGTCACAAAACCTACTGGTGGCTTTAGCAACAACATGCTCGAGTGGCTGGGTGGTGGGTGGAAAGCCGTAAAGAAGTCAGTGACTGCGGAGTCCAAGTTCGCATGAGGGACACCTGCACCTGGGCCTGAGCCAGTGGAACAAAAGGAGAAAGTGGGCCACATGGGCCGGGGCTGATCCTTCGGAAAACGCAGGCCCTGCCCTGCCTCTGAGCCTGCCTTGAGGGGATTCCAATCATTTCTCTCCCTTCTGCACTGTGCAACCCAGAACCTACGCAGTCAAGTTTCTGCTTGGCCTTCAAAGTCCAGGTCCAGAATTACAGCATCAAACGCCAAAAGCACCAGAATGACAGGGGATGGCCCAAAGCAGAACTGACCTCTGCACCGCTAGAATCAGAAAATTCAAGCTACAGTCTGGCTGGGTGCCCATGACAGTTTCACGCTCCTGAAAGGCAGAGACTAGAACCAGCTTTCATTCTCCAATGTCTGCAAGATGCTACGTGCTCGACACACATGTGCTAAACTGCTCAGAGAAGGGTTGTGGGTTTTTTGGGTGGTGGAGGCTTCCCACATGAATGGAGCCTTCTTTAAATCCTGGCCTGACACCCCTTTTTGTCCAACAGTACAGTGACCCCCAGAACTGGTGGAACACTGAGCTGGACCCTGAGGCTCAGACAAAGAGGGAGAGGGGGCAGCCAGACTAGCCTGTCTTTCGAAGGACACCAGAGCCCCCAGCCAGGTACGGAACTAAGGCGCAGACCTATTAACACACCACCTCTAACATCAGTTCTAGAAAATATGTCCCTGCCTTCCCACATGGCTCCAAGGAAGCAGGGACCACCTGGCAGAAGCTGCCAGCATCCTGCAATTCCATCTTCTCTTCTCCAAAAAGGTCAACAGCTTGGACCACCCCTGTTTCCTTGCAAGGGACCCTGTGAGGGTGGCACAGGCAGTCTGCCCAGAGGGACATGCCCATGCTCTGCCAGAGGGCTCCTCCTTGACGAACGTCTTTTTGAGCTATGCATGTGAACATATCCATGAACACTGCATCTGCTCAAGTATCAGACACAGGAAGGTGAGTGGCAGGCCTCTTGGGAGGGGCCATCACTCTGCCCAGCTCACCCGGACCTCCAAAGACAGGTCGAGAAATCTTCATTCCAATGTTTTTTGGGGGATGACCTATGACATCACAATCACATTGCATGGATTTCAGAATCCTACAGTTCAGCGTGAGAGATAAAAGCCTTGGATGAGCAAGTGAGCAGAGGCCAAGATACTTCTAAGTCAACTTAAACTTATGGATATATGGAAAGATACAAAGATATAGCTCTATTATTAAACTATTCTTCCCTGAAATGCAATATCCCAGAGGTTGTAAGCTCAGGGCTACCCCTCATTAATGACCCCAGGATCACCCCATCCCAGGGCCCCAAGAGAGTCAAAGCTTTCTGAAAAGAATCAGGAATGCCTGACCCTGACAGCAGCTGCTGCCTACAGATGGAGGCCAGGAATCCCTCTCAATCCCTATGATTAGAGATCTGTAAGATCCCACTGTAGCCCTCCTTCCATCGCCACGACAACTGCGGCTATCTGTGCTGTAAGCAGGCACACAGCTTCAATGGCAGCCCCTCTGCCTGGACTCCTCCTGCCTCCCATAACTTGACTACCCTCTGCACTGAGTTCAGAAGAACAAGGCCCCTGCTGGTGGCCCCCAAAGTCGATCATCCAGGCACATCCCGGGCCATCTGACATCTGACAGCCAGTTATGGCAGATGCTCTAACTAAGCTCGGCGTGGAGCACCTTCTGGACTCGGCCCTTTGGCTGAGACTTCCTGAGTACCACAGGAGCAAGGAGAGAAAATGCCTATTAAGCATTCAGTCAAGAGACTGACCAAAGGAAAAATCAAGAGAAGGGAAAAATCAAGAGAAGACAGATGCCTGCCCCCATCTCCACTCCCAGCCTCTTCTCAGCAATGCTAAGCAAAGCACAACGCCCGACACGGTAACTCTACAGTGCTAATGCCCCCAAAAGACACGGACAGCTTCATTCATTCATAATAGCCCCAAACTGCACACAACCCAAAGGTCCCTCAACAGGTGAATGAATCATCAAACAGCGGGGCATCCATACCATGGAATAGTACTCAGCAAGAAAGGAAGTCCAGATACAGGCGAGAGCACAGAGGAATCACACCAGCACAATGCTGGGAAAAAAAAAAAAAAGGCCAGAGTACATACTGTATGATCCAGTTGTATATCAGGTTCTAGCGGCAAAACTAACTTTCAGTAATGGATCAAGTTTGCTCCCTTGGTGGTCAGGGGGCAGTGTTATTGGCTGAGAAAGAAGATGAATCGACCATCTAGGGTACTGGAAATCTACATCTTGATCTGGGTGGTTGTTACATAGATGTACTCATACATAAAGTTTTGTTGAACTTAATAAGTGCACATTTAAACATATACATACATTTAAAAATTTATTTTTTTAATGGCAAAGCCTGTTGATGCTTAAATTGTAACTGATGTTTGCCTAAAAGTGAGGACAGTTCACTGGGAGCTGAGGGAGAGGAGCCTACTCAGTGAACTCCTACCCAACCTCCAGGACCCATCTCAAATTGTCCCTATTCTGTAAAGCCTTCTCCCACCGTTCTGGTTGTAACCTAATGTTCATATTGCGGGGCATCTCTTCACAACAATCAATCTTCTCTAAACCAGGAGCTAATCCTAGAGGAATGCAGGAACTTGTTGCACGAAGCATTGGTTAGTATGTGCTTATTAAACACTCAATGGTTGCCTAAGACAGACAGGTACACACACTCACACCCTCACAGTCCAGCAGAAGACACTAATGCCCACCCCCAAACAGGATGTCAGTTCTTCTCAGGCAACAGGATCCAGGCACTTGGCTTATTATCAAAAGAGATCACTTTCAACATCCCAGCCCAAGCCTCCTCCTTTAACACAAATCACAGCCAGAAGAGATCAGAGCGGCCCAGAGCAAACTCAGTTTCCAGTGTCCACCCCAGGAGGCTCCCCAGTCCTTTTGAGGTCACCTCTGCCGGCACTGTCCTTGCCCAACCTAGGGGTGGGGCAGACCCTGGGCTCCCAGGAAACATTCAATCAGGTGTAATGTTTAAACTTGACTGCTCGGCCATCCCCCAGCGCTGGGGCTCCCTACCCTATAACAGTAAAGTCGCTGCCCTGGCTGGGGGAGGGCACCCACAGCCCCATCGCCTCTCTGCCCAGGCCTCCCAGCTCGCTCCTAGCCACTCCTAACCTTGAACCCTCTAGAAACCCAAGCCAGCAGGGGAAGCAGCTACAGAAACTTCACCTGCACAGGTCAATGTGGGTGAAGAAGGGCCGGAAGTGGTGTTCTGTCTAGTTCTGCAAAGCCCATATATGAAAAAAAAGAAGCTGGAGATACAGTTCCATGAAGAACACCTGTCTGTTGGGTGGATAGGTTGTGGAGGGGAAATTATGGGTGACTTTTTTCCTTCAAATATTTTTGTGCTTTCTAAGTTTCCACATTGAATAAATTCTTTTGAAAGAGAAACACACTTCATGTGTGGCACCGCCATACCCAGCCGCTCTCCACCACTGGAGTTTCTCTTTCACCTCTTCTCAGCTACCTCCCAGGTAGAAGCCTTGGTCCCAGTGTCCTGTGCCCAGGCAGGGTCGGAGTTGGGGGCCAGCGTGGGGGAAGGGTGGGGCTCTCGCCCTCTCCCCAGTTAGAGTCCTGATCCTGCAGGGGAGGGGCAGCTCCCTAAGCAAAGTGGCCGCTGGAGTTGGGTGCTTGCCTGACCCCACCGATCCGATCCGCACCCCTGGCCCCGCTTTCCCCAACTCACCCCCTGAAGCGCCGCCCACCATTCAATTCCCCTTGCCTCGAAGGTACTTAGGAAGTGCGCGAACTCACACACACACACACACACACACACACACACACACACAGAGTCGCACTGTCTCCTCCCCTCCCTAACCTGGGCCACCGCCCCCAAGAGCCCACGTACAAACTTCTCCAAACTCGCAGCGGTGACTGGAGGGGGTGGTGACGTCCCCCTAATGAAAATGCGAGCCCTCGCCCCACAACACACACACGTGTGGCGCCCCACCCCCTGGGCAACTGTAAACCTGGCCGCGGCTGGCCGCCCTGGGGCTTGGGGGCGGGTATCCAACCCCAGCCTCCCACCTCGAGGCAAGTGACAGGAACAACGAGCGGCCGGCGAGCGGGGGCGGCGCGGGGGAGTTGCCAAGTGTCGGAGCGGCGCCCCGGGCCCCCCGAGCGCCCAGCCATCCCGGGGCGAGCCTGGGCTGCGTTACCTTGCAGGTTCTGCACTCGGATGTCGCTAATCTGCCCGATGAGCTCCTCGCGTTGGAACCAGTCCCACTCGTGTGCAGCCATGAAGCGCGGGCGGGAGAGCCCGGGCCAGCGCGGCGCGGGCGGCGGGCGCGGAGAGCCTGGCTGGCGGGCGCGCGAGCGGCACGCACCCGGCGAGGGCGCCGCGGAGCTGGAGTCGCGGCGGGCGCGGGCGGGGCGCGGGCGCGGGCGGGGCGGGGCGGGGCGGGGAGGGGCGGGCGGCGCGGTCGGGGCCGCCCCCGCCGCGGGCTGGCGCGAGCGAGCGCGGGGCGGCGGGTGCGGGGCGGCGGGCTCGCTCTCACTCCCCCGTGCGGGGGCGGGGGCCCTGAGGAGCGAGGGGCGAGGGGCGAGGGGCGGGGCGGGGCGGGGCAGGGGCGGGAGGCTGGGTCAGGCCAGCTTGTGTTTTTTTTCTTTCCGGGGTGTTTGTAGGTTGGATTGTTTGGTTACAAACCGGCTGTGATGAGGCGCGGGTCCCGGCCCCCAGATTGTGATGTCTCAGGGGGCGGTGGGCCGGGTGACGCAACTGGGGGTGGGCCCGTGGGTCCCAGTACCTGGTCCAGGAGGCAGCGTCTCCCTCCCGTCCGGGATAAGACACCCCCTCCGCGGGTCCCCTGTCCACTCTGGAGAGGCAGCCCCCACTTGGAGGGACCAGGACCCGAGCCCTGCCCATCCCCGAATCCTGGGAGCCCTGCGTGGGGAGTGTCGAGGGCCTGGGTCGGGGGGCAAACTAGTGTGGAGGTAAAGTTGTGGGAGTCTCCAAAGTGCGGGGGGGCTGTGAAAGAAGGGCCTTCTTCGTTGGTTTAGATACTAGGAGCCTTTTCCGGTCCAGTAATGTGACTCCAGCTTCTAGGAAGGAACAAGAAGCAGGCCAACTCCTAGGAGCTGGGGTACGCTGTGGGGTCTCTGGCCACTGAGTCTCCAAGTGACCCTCTGTGGGGTCACTGGAAATTAGTGAAAATGCCAGGACAGAACTTCCTGTGGAGACTACTGAAAATGCCAGGACAGGCCTTCCGGTCCCCTCCCTCCCCACCTCCACTGTTGAACTCTAGAGAATTCCAGGATCTTATCCTGTTTGGTGCCCACCATGTGGTTTACACTCCTTAAAAGTGAGACCCTACAGTTACCGAATTTGCCCAAGGTTGAGGAATGACTTAGGAGCAGGAAGTCCCAGCCCCCTGCTCCCAGCTCAGTGCTTGGGCCCTTTCTGTGACAACTAAGGCCACAAAGAAAATGGCTTTAAATATTCAGTGTTCCAAGAGGGGGAAAAAAATGGACAGGGCTCACTGGGCATTTAAACACATGGGCCTGTGTGCATCGCTGCTCTGTTCACAGCAATGAATCCCGGAAACCCGGCTGCTCACTAATTACCCAGTAACTATGGAGGTCCCCCGAAGGACAGACCTGTGCCCTTGAGGCAGGGCCCTGAAGGAGGGTGAGTCTACCCTCCAGTCATCCATTGGGGCAGGGGCTATCGTGTGGCCCTTAAACAAGGAAAGGAGATTTCTAAAGTGGACTCCAGAAAGGAGAAAGTCAATTTGGGTTAAGGAACTGTGAATGCGGGTGGAGGGCAGCAGAGGTCTCTAAAGACTGACCTTGGAGCTGAGCCCAGAAGGAGGAGAGGAACCCCCACAGGGACAGCAGTTTGGGCGGGGAAAGGTGGGATCAGTGGAGACAGAAGTGGAGGCCCCATTAGGGGCTCCTTGGTGCTTGGGCTTGAGGCAGGAGCTTCCTTGCTGCTGCCTTGATTCTTAATCTTGTGGTCATTTCACACTCCAAGGAGCAGGATCTCTTTCTGCGTCCTGTGGAGCCAGGGTGGTAGTAGCAGCCAGGCTAATTTTGCCCCATCTGCTAGCCATCTCCCTGTTCTTACACTTCAATTTATTTTCCATAATTGCTGTGGGGTGAAGTTGTGCTGAAAACCATTTTCTTTACAAAGCAGAGAGCTAAGAGAATCAGCCTTCTTCTCCATCATGAGAGAGGTTGCAGGGAATCTGTCTTTAAGCAATGTGCCCTGTGGATGTTAGCTACAGGGTTGGGCCATTTTTCATGATGCAAAGATGTCTGATCCTGGGAATGGACAGCCACATCATTTGGGGAACACTACCCAGTCAGCAACAGCTCCCTGGCAGGGAGGGACTATGATCACCATCGATTGAGCACCAACTGTATACCAGTTGTTGGACGACTCTCAGCCTAAAGAACTTCTTTGCTTTTCAGTAAGGTGGAAAGAATTTTAGGTGTTTTTCAAAAAGGAATAGAAGCCAGTATTGAGCATGAGGCTGGCCTCTAAAAGGTACTTGAATATTCATTGAACTCATGTGTCAATATCACCCCTGTTTCCTAGAGTGTCTCTGGGCTCCTCTGTGGGGCACACTAAGTCATCTGTGATTGATCTGTGCCCCTCAATCCTGGCTCTACACTTTTTGACCCAGCAGTGCTGAGCTGCCTCAGGTCCTGGCCACATCCAGTCACTTCCAGACCTTTGCTCATTTGTCCCCTTTGAAACGCCCTTCCCCTGCTCCCTGCACTTCACCTTTACCTAGCTTACTCCTGCTTAATCATGTGCACCTCAGAGACTTCTCCAACACCACTAGGCTCAGCTGGGTGCCTGTCTTGTACAATTCCCGTAATATTAAGTACAATCACATAATATTCCATGAACTCTGCAATTCTGTTTCCTGATTGCATCGTACTACAATTATGTTTACTTGACAGTTTTCCCCAATAAATTGTGAAGTACGTGAAAACAAGGGCTGCTCTGTGTCTGGCACAGGGAGAGGTGTCGAAATTAAATGGATGGATGAATGAATGACTCTCACTATAGGCCTGAACCCAGAAACCAGGGGACCAAAGTGAAAAAAACAGTTGACCTTCATGTCCAAGGCCCCAGTACGCTCCTGGAAAGGTGATTTTAAAAAAGTTTGCATATGTGCGATAGGCAAAGCACGTGCTTTTGGGAACCAGGTACATACCAATCTATGATATGTCCCTTCCTCTGGGTGTGTGCAGCCTCCTGGATCTGGAGTTCTGGCTGGGAGAGAAGGGTGTGTGACTTTCAGAAGGAATTAGGTATTTGGCATCTTGCATGAATCAACAGTACTCTTTTTCTTTTGCACTTCTTTGGGGGAAGGAGAAGTATTCTGCCTGAAGGCTTGGCTTCCTGGGAGTTTCCAGAAACTGAGTTTATAGAAATTGCCCAATTCTGCTAGAATCCTTGTCATTGTTTACAACCGATTTCTGCTGAGGGAAAGGACTTGGAGTCAGAGAATTGTAGAGAATCCCCAAAATGAACCTTAAAGATCGCTAAGTCTAACATCTCTTCCCATGTAAGGGCTTCTAAAACATGGTCCAGACAGGTCCAGATTCCCTGCAACCTGTCTCATGATGGATGGCCCAATGGTCTTCCTGCCTCTGCTTATGGGAACTGATGAATTCTGGCAGGAAACCCAGGTAGAGGTTTGCATCTCCTCATCCCAGACCCACTTTGGGGAAGAATAGGACAATGAAGATAAGCCCAGCACACCCTCCCAGCCACTTCCGGGAGAGGAGTGTGTTGGGGGCTGTGGCAAGGGGGATGCTGCCTTCTCTGGTCACGGCCTCAAGCCCTCACATGTGTACAACCCTTTAGGGTTTGGACAGCCCTTTCTTAGCCAGTGTTCATCTGGTCTTTGCAGTGACTTCATGAGGCCAAGGAGGCAGGGATCAGTTTTAGACGGGGTTTAAAGCTAGTAAGTAACCCATCCAAGATCGCAGAGCAAGGCAAAACCAATCTTTGTCCTGTAGCTCTTACCGCCTACCCACATCTCTCCCAAATATGACTGCATAAGGGCTCATGCTATGGGCCAGATTGACGCTTCGTAATTGGTATTAGTCATATGTTTATGTTGTATTTTTTAAAAAGTCTTAACTCCTTTAAATCAGAGTGCTCATATAAAAATCTTTAGAAATTTCAAATTAAGTCCGATTAAGTGATGATAGTGGATCCTAGCTGGATTGACCAATGATTGTCCTTCAAATGGACCAAAAACCTCTCCTGGGCAGGGGGCTTGCATTATGATGTCACCAGACTGCACTGTATCATAAAGACCCCCTGGAATCATTGGTCACCCAGGGTCTGGCCCTGTGCTAGCACCCAACTGTGAACAAGACCCAGAATCCACCTGTGAGGAGGGAGTCCAACTCTCTACAGTGTAGCCTGCCTCTGCTTTTTAGACCTTATCGAAAGGACATCAAGGAGCTTTTGGAGGACTTAAACAGGGATCAGATTGTCCCTTTAGTTGTGGTGTGGAGAAGTGATCAGAGGAGTGAGGCAGGCTGTCAGGCGGCCCTGCTGGCCTCGGTGATACAGGTGTCAGGCAGTGGCGGCCTTCGCCGGAGTGGTGGTCATGGAGATGGATTCTCCAGCTGTTCAGGCAGTGGAATTAGCAGTACCTGGCAGCTGGCTGAGGAATTTGGCAACGCCCTGTCCACACACTTTTGCTTCTAGGACTTCTGTATGTCTGTTACACCCACTATACTGCAAACTCCTCAAGAATGCCTTGCAAGCAGAGCTGTCTAATTCATCTGTGCATCGCCAGAGCCCAGCACCGTGCTGAGCACATAGTAGGAGCTCAATAAATGTTAGTTGCATACGTGAATAAACAAATATTTAAACTTCACCAAGCAGTAACTCCTAATACTCATTGAGTGCCAAGCTCCTCAAGAGAGTCAGGGTCTCATCTGTGCTTGGGAATGCTGGGTGTCAGCCTGTCTGCTGAGGTTTTGCCTGCTAAACTTTTCTTACCCATTGCTACCTACCTCCAGGAATCCTGTGGGATATAACGCAAAGGCTGGTAGCAGAGAGAGATGCTGAGACATAGAAAGAATCCAGGCTCAGCTGGACGCGGTGGCTCATGCCTGTAATCCCAGCACTTTGGGAGGCTGAGGCCGGCAGATCACGAGGTCAAGAGATGGAGACCATCCTGGCCAACATGGTGAAACCCTGTCTCTACTAAAAATACAAAAATTAGCTGGGTGTGGTGGTGCACACCTGTAGTCCCAGCTACTCGGGAGGCTGAGGCAGGAGAATGGCTTGAACCTGGGAGGCAGAGGTTGCAGTGAGCCGAGATCACACCACTGCACTCCAGCCTGGGTGACAGAGCGAGACTCTGTCTCAAAAAAAAGGAAAAAGAAGAAAGAATCCAGGCTCAGGCAAAAGAATGGTGGGTATGGTGCAGTAGACAACAGACAGAAGTGGCTACTCATGAGCTGTGTGAACTTGGGCAAGTTCCTAATTAATTTTGGCCTCTGTGCTGTCATCTGTAAAATGGGGCCCGGTGTCCCTACCTGGAAGGATTGTGTGAGATCAAAGCTGTGCATATAGAGAAGAGATTTTCAGTGAGTCTCTTTGGTAAGAGTCAGATCATTTCCATCGTACAGAGTGAACAACATTCAGAAGAAAAACTTGCCCTGAACTTGGGAGATTACCTATAAGTAAAAGATTAATATATTCTCTGAGATTTTATTAGTTTTTTTGGCGTGTGTAGGTGTTGGTGGGTGGTTAAAAAAAAATCCTGCTTCCCTAAGTAGACAGCACCGGATGCCCCAATTTCCACAAATAAAACCCTTCATTTCTTCCAGGTTTGAACAAAGGCTGCTTCCCTAGAGACAGCTCTGCTAATTTTTTTTTTTTTTGCAGACATTAGAACACTATTTAAAGAGTGTACATCTCCTAGTGAAGCAAATGATAAACTTTCCCACCTACAAAGTGTGAGATATTGGCAATGTAAAGATGTGAAGAGAGATACGGTACTATGGAGGGAGAGAAAGCCCTGTGTATGAGATATTTGCAACAGCATTGCAGATAGATAGATACATAGATATAATTTTTTAACATTTGGAATCAAAAGCAAACTTTATGGCTAATAGTCCCAGGAAGCTCACGCCTATAATCCCAGCACTTTGGGAGGCCAAGGAGGGTGGATCACCTGAAGTCAGGAGTTCAAGACCAGCCTGGCCAACATGGTGAAACCTCATCTCTACTAAAAATACAAAAATTAGGCAGGCATGGTAGTGGGCACCTGTAATCCCAGCTACTCGGAAGGCTGAGGCAGGAGAATTGCTTGAGCCCAGGAGGCAGAGGTTGCAGTGAGCCAAGATCGCACCACTGCACTCCAGCCTGGATGACAGAGCAAGACTCCGTCTCTAAATAAATAAATAAACAAACAAACAAACAAATACTAAAGTGTGGCACAGATAAAATCCTTGAGCCAGTGCTTCGAGCTGACAATCCTTACATGGACAACTCAATTACAACAGATTTGTTGTGCATCTATTACTGTGCAGCTGACATTGACCAAGAACTCACTATTTCCCAAGGATTGGGCCAAGTGCTTTGTATGTATTATCTAATTTAATCCTCTCAACAACTCTTCCAAGGAGATACGGTTATCATCCTGATTTTATTGATGAGGAAACAAAGGACAAAAAAGTTCAGTAATGTCCCCAAGGTCACATAAGTCATTAGGTTAGCCAAGAAGTAACTGGAGTCCAGGTGTTTTGCGGAAACCAAGTCTGATCTTTCTGCTCTGCAGCAGCAGCCTTTGAGGAGAATAGTTCAAGTTAGAAATTCACTAAGAAATACTTTCAGGCAATTGTTGGTCTTAGGTAAACAAGATCACAAGGGGCAAGTTTTCCCTATTAGGCCAGGAGCAAAAAGTCTCTCCATTGCCCTTTGCAGAAAGCTTTCTTCTGTGTGTGTGAAATGCTGGGGACATTTCTGCCTCTGACCCCTGAGCATCCCAAACACTGTGGCTGTGCTGGAAAAGTATGTATGTTTCCTGCTGTTCAAATTGATTTCAACATGTAGATTCCAAAACAAAGCAAAAACAAACAAAAAGCCTTTATCCAAGCCAGCAATAAGTCCAAATCCATCCTTGGTAGCCAGTGTCATCCAAAGAAGACCCCCACCAACTCTTCCCTTCCCACAGGGGCATGCTGCTCCTCACATGAAACAGGAGAATCTCTTTTCTCCTCCCTTGAAAGTGGGCTGTGATGCAAGACAGGTGAGCCCAAGAATTGGGGCTTAGCTTGGGAGGGTTCTTGGCTTCATCTAGGAAAGAATACAAGGGTGAGCTGGTGGTGTTAATCAGAAACTTTTATTGAAGCAGCAGTGTACAACAGCAGAAACAAAGGCATTGCTCCTTGCAGAGCAGGGCTACCCCATGGGCAGCATACCCAGAATAGTGGCTCAGAGGCAGTTCTGCAGTTGCGTTTATACTCACTTTTAATTATATTGCAAATTAAGGGACAGTTTGAGCAGAAATTTCTAGGAAAAGTATGGTAACCTCTGGATTGCTGGGTCATTGCCATGGAAGGGGGTGGTAACCTTCAGGTGTTGCCACAGCAATGGTAAACTCACATGGCAAACTGGTGGGGTGTCTTATGGGGAAGTGCTTCTGTCCCAACCTGTTTCAGCTAGTCCTCAGTTTGTTCCGGTATCTGAGCCCCACCTTCAGAGTTGAGTCCTGCTTCCTACCTCAGCTGGACTTAATGACTTGCTTGGCTAAGAGAATGTAGTGGATGCAATATTTGGGGGCCCCTGAGGCTGGGTCATAGGAAGCCTTGCAGCGTCTGTCCTAGCCTCTTAGAACACTTGCTCTGGTCACAGGCTTCTTCCATTTAATCAATCTGAGAGTGCCATGCTATGAGGAAGCCCAGTCAGTTGCATATGGGGTGACATAGGTCCCACCAGCCCCCAACTGCTTGAGCCATCTCAGCCCAGGAGCCAAGCAGGTGAGTGAAAAACCCACCTCGGACAAGAGCTCATCTTCAGCCCAGCTGAGCTTTTGGCCTGGCTGGAGCTACAGCCCCAGCTATCACCTGTATCACCTGACTGCAACAGCATGAGAGATCCCATACAAGAATTTCCCGGCAGAGCTCAGTCAACCCCCAAAATCCTTGGAGAAAATCCATTGCATAGTTTTAAGCTGCTCAGCTCTGTCATGCGGTACTAGCTAACTAGAGCACGATCCTCTCCTCTCCATCTCCACAGCATCTTGGTCCCGGCCATGGTCATCTCTCCCTTAGATGCCCTCCACCACCACCTACCTGTTTCCTTGTCCCCCATGGTGGTCTCCAACCTCACTCTCCAGGGTGATCTTAAAATGTCATTGGAGCATGTCACTCCCTGGCCTCCCCCTGCACATCTCTTGAAAATCAGCCTCCTTGCCGTGTTCACAGGGCTTGAGAAATTTTGACCCCTCATCTCATTAGCTCCCCGCTCCTCTTTCAAGCCACCTGTTCCTTTCAGTTCCTCAAAAGAGCTGCTTTTTGTGCAAACCTTATGACCCAAGAATTTCACTGGCGGTCTACACTCACCAGAAGTGTACAAATATCAGCTGGACGTGGTGGCTTATGCCTGTTAACCCCAGCACTTTGGGAGGCCGAGGTGGGTGGATCATTTGAGGTCAGGAGTTTGAGACCAGCCTGGCCAACATGGCGAAAACCTGTCTTCTATTAAAAATACAAAAATTAGTTGGGCATCATGATGCAGGCCTGTAATCCCAGGCCTGAGGCAGGAGGCTGAGGCAGGAGGATCGTTTGAACCTGGGAGGTTGAGGTTGTAGTGAGCCGAGATCACGCCACTGTACTCTAGCCTGGGTGACAGAGCGTGACTCCGTCTTGAAAAAAGAAAAAAAAAAGTGTACAAATATATTCCTTGAAAGATGTGTTCAGGAGTATTCATGGCAGTGTTATTCTCCATAGCCAACACAGCCCAAAGATCCATCAGGAGGAGGATGGGTAAATAATGGAATACGATTTATCAAGAGGAAAAGGAGAGAACAACACGGATGAGTCTCACAACTCTAACATGGGGTGAAAGCAGCCAGATACAAAATAATGCACAATGCAGAGTCCAGTTGAAAAAACGCTACAAAAATAACACAATCTGTGATGAGAAAAGTCAGGATAGTGGTTAGCCTGGGAGGGAGGTGGGAAATGGAAGGAGCGTAAGGAGTGCCTCTGGGGTGCCGGTCATGCTTTGTTTCTCATATGGGTCTGGTCGTACAAGCGTGTTATTCTCTAGGGGGTAGTTTGCCAATTGTACATTTTCTGGCTGGATGTTCAATAAGGTGTTAAAAAAAAAAAAAGTGCTGTCCTATCTCCTTCCAAATGACTTTCCTACACACACCTTCGAAATTCCTCCACCGGGAATTTACTGCTTTCTCTTAGTCTTCTTCTGGTTATTCAGATCCAGCTCAGCCCTCCCCTCCTCGGGGAGCCCTTCCTCTGTTGCATCAGTTAGTCTTGGCTGTGGGGCGATCATACCTACAAGCAAAGCACAGTGACTCAAAGCAGTCTCATTAATTAGCTCATGATTCTAAGGCTGGCAATTTGGGCAGTTCTTATGCTGCTGGGGAGGATAATGTGGACCAGTTTTGAGAAAGCAAGACACGAAGAAAGAGAATCCTGGTTCAGTGCCCATCTGGAAAGCTTCATTCATGCTGATCTGATTTAGTGCGTCGTTAAATTGTGTTTTATAAATGCATAAACACAGAATTGATAAGATTTGTTCTATAATCCCCGCTGAACACACATGTCAGTTACTGGGCTGGGAGCTGGGGACAGATTGATGGATAAGATTAATGCAGGAGGTGGGTATGGGTTCATTTGTTCCTTTTTTTATTCCTTTATTTGTTCATTCATTTCACCAGCCAACTTTAATGGAGGACCTAGCAAGTGCCAGGCAGCATTCTGAGCCCTGGAATCCGGTGATGAACATGACAGACAAGATTCCTGCCCCCAAGGAGCTGCACCTTAATAAGTCCCGCAATGAAGGAGACAGAACATAAACAGAGGAAAATACACAAGATGCCAGCTTGTGAGAAGTGCTAGCAAAAAAAGACACAAGTATGTCCAGAGAGTCTGAGGTGTATACAGGTATACAGAGTTCAATTCTTCTGGGGCAGATGGCAGGAAAACGTTCTAAAAATAAGTACCATGTTTTTAGTAGAAGCCATGTCAGAGGCTTGATGTGCATTTTTTCTAACTTGTACAACAAACCATGAGGTAAACAACATTTTCCTACTTTGTAGATGGGGAAACTGATGTTGAGAGAAGTTGAGTCACTTGTCCAAGGTCACACAGCAGGGTGAGGGTGGCCTCACACTGGTGTGTCCCAAAGGGCATCTGGTGTCCAGTGTTGTTCTCTTGGTAGAGGTGATGAGGCCTAATGAAGCCAAGAAAGATAAGTGGATGTTTTCCTGGTGGGCAATGGTCAAGGGAAGTGAAGGGAGCCCGGTGAGCAAAGCTGCTGTGTGTGAAACTGCCTGGTGTGGTCCAGGAGCTCAGTGTAGCCTGGGCCAAGCATATGAGCTGGGAGGGAAGGGTGGAGGGCCGGATCCAGAGGGAGAGTGGGTTCTTGGTTATGGAGCCACGGCAGGTGCGAGGCTGGGGAGGGACACTGGTAGGCTCCCGTTGAAACTCAGCCATCTAGAGCCCATTTTCCCGTAGGCCTCCAGCTCCTCAGCTGCAGGAAGGAGGCTGTATGGAGTTCAGAGCACAGGCTCTTCAATCGGACGGCACAGCCTGGATACGTGGTGGGCTTAGCAATTTGCTCTTGTGAGATACAATGCGATTTCTCAGTAAATTCTGCATCTCAGCTTTGGCTTCATCTGTGTCTGAGTCTCCATCTCATGCAGCTAGCTTATCATAGATCAGTACATTCACAGCATTTATTCGATCCTTTACAAAAACAACAGCCCGGGTTCAAATCCCAGCTCCACCACTTCCTCCCTGTGAGGCCCTGGGGAAGTAACATATCCACTCGGTACCTCTTGTAAAATGGAGGTGGCAGTGACTTTTATTTTTTATTTATTTATTTTTAGACAGAGTTTCACTCTGTCACTCAGGCTGGAGTGCAGTGGTATGATCTCAGCTCACTGCAACCTCCACCTCCCGAGTTCAAGTGATTCTCATGACTCAGCCTCCTGAGTAGCTGGGATCACAGGCATGTGCTACCACACCTGGCTAATTGTTTGTATTTTTAGTGGCAACGGGGTTTCGCCATGTTGGCTAGGCTGGTCTCGAACTCCTGTCCTTAAGCAATCTTCTTGCCTTGGCCTCCCAAAGTGCTGGGATTGCAGGCATGAGTCACCACGCCCAGATAGCAGTGATTTTTCAATGAAGTAATATACACGTGATGTGGAGAACTTTTCTGGCACAGAGTAGGCACGCAGCAGGGACCACGTGCTATCCTTGGGGGCATCTGACCAGTCCCTACAGGCCAGTGTCACTCCCAGGCAAGTGCAACTGTTTACTGAAGGCAGCATCGCTAGCGAAGGCAGGACCTGGAGAGGGCAGGATCCCCGGTGAAGTCAGGTCCTGAGTTTTCCAGTGAACTCAGTGCCTTCCATTCAGTGGGCGGCCGCTGGCCCAGATGGAGCCGGGGGTGGATTCTTGAGCTTGGTTCACCAAGAGAGGAGGGTACTGCACAATCTCGGGAGCCAACCACATTTTTTTTTTTTTTGTACAGCTCATTTCACCAATGAAAAGGCACTGGCAACATCTCCTATGCAGATTAGCCGCAGCCTCCGGTGCCGATTTAGCAAAGCCATGATTGACCAGATCCGAGGCTCGCTGCCCTGTGGAGCTGCTTCCTAATTATGTTACTTCAAGCACCCATCCCCAGGGTGCAGGTTAAAGTTAACCAGCACACTAATGTACATCAAGCAGTGTAGGCGGAGGCGCAGTTCTGAAGACAGTCACCAATACGCGGCAAATACCTATTGTGAGATCCATCACCTGCTGGATGGGCCTGCTCCCTCTACCACTCCCCTCCCACCTGCGCCTGGGTTGGGGAACTGGCCCCTTGCTAACTAGTCTAATCCCCTTCAGTTGGTCACAAGCCCTGTGGAGGTGGGAAGGAGACAGGACTGGGAAGGCAGTGAGGGAGGGCACGATGTGACTTCAGGGACAGCAGGAGCCTGAGTCTGGAGTTTGGGCTGCCCTAATTTGCTGTGTGACCTTGAAAGCCCCTTCCCCTTTTAAGAATGGGCTCATCTCTTTTCTAAAGAAGACATTCCATGGGAGAGGTGGTGCCATGGGAGTGTCACCTGGGAGGCTGCAGGCCTGCCCTAGGGCCCAGTCATTCTGGAGGAAGCCCTTGTGGGCTAGGAGACGGCAGGCTCCGCCTCTGACCTATTGGTTTCCCTCTGTCTGCCACTGTCCAGAGATCAGAATCCTGGGTCCTCTGGCACGGGCATCCACTCTCACCAAGACAGACAGGATGGAGCCTCTTCCTTAGGGCCTTGAGGCTTCACCACAGTCGTTGCAGTCTGGGGACTATTGAACCAGACTGACTCTGGTCCTGGAGGGTGACCGTGGACATCGACCCTCCCTGAACCTGAGTTCTCATCAATGGGATGGAAAGATCAATATGCCTGTCCTAGATTTCTCAAAGGGCCGGTGTGGTGCTCAGTTGAGAGGTGCATGTGCAGGACAGCGTGGGCAGCAATAGGTGGGGGTGTGGGGAGCTGCCTGAGCCGGGCAGATGCTCAGGAGGAAGGGGTAGAGGGGAAGCTGCTGGGAGTGGGGAGAGACACTTGAGATGCACGTGGAAGGAACCCAGGGCTGAGCCAGCAGAGGAAAGAGGGTGGGAGGGTAGCCAGGTGGGAGGGCAGGAGGAGCCAAGATATGGAGGCTGAAAGCAGCGCAGTGGGCTTGGGGGATGCACAGGGCACCCGCTGCCCAGAGAGGTTCCAGTTAGTCCTCCGCCTAAGAAGTGCCCCCATTGTTCCAGGACTCCTTCCCTCCTTTTCTCCTGCCCTCATTCCTCCCTTCCTGCCTCTTTTTCCCTCCGCCCTCCCTTTCTTCTTTTTCTTTTTTTCCTTCTCTTCTTCCTGCTTCCTTCACTAGTAGTTACTGGCACCCACTATGTACCAGCCACTGTGCTGGGCACGGATGGACACACATCAGCCCCTGCCCGCATGGTGGAACAGGGATATGGGAGAGAAAGACAACAAACAACTCGGTGTACAAATAGTCAACTACAGTGGGTAAGTGCCCTGGAGAGAAAGTTCAGGGAGTGGTGAGAATATCTAACAGGGAAACTGTTCTCTGTGTGGGGTGTGGGTGGGGCAGGGTGGTAGATTGTTTACAAAGACAAGGCCTCAGTAACTCTTCCCAGCCAAGGTAGAGTTTGTTTCTTCACCTCTTGATTCTGAGCTTGGCCATGACTTGCTCTGGCCAATGGACATTAGCAAACATGGCAGAGGCAGAGGCTTAAAAAGTGCTTGGGCATTCAGACTTTTGCCCTCTTTTGTGGCACTTGGAATTCTGAGACACTGATGGGAAGAGCCCAAGCTAGCCTACTTGAGAGGTCACACGGAGGAGAACCAAGGTGCCCCTAGCAACAGGATACTAACTGGCACACACATGAGGCCATCTTAGATTATCCAGCCCGGCCGATGCAGAGGCATGAGTCCATGTCTTCCTCCCTGACAGCATCAGTGAATCTTAGGGAAAGAACACTGGCAGAAGCTCTGCAGCCGAGAGAGTTGGGCCTCCACACAAATATCCAGCTTCTCTTTGTTTTCACAACTTGCAATGTGCATGCACTGAAGTTTGCTTGGTTGCTGAAATCACACACAGTCATGAAATCGCTTATTAGGGTATATCATGTCAGTGGAATTTGTGGTTAAGGGAGGGATGATCATTTTCCCAGAGGCTTTAGGTGGGCTTTAGTTCCAGAAAAATCTATAACCCCCGCTTCACCTGACCCACAGCCACAGCCCTGTACAAATGGACAGGTTCTGCTTGCCCTGGGATATCTTTGCTGAGAGGACCCCAGGCCCTGTGGAGTGATGGAGGTCAGCCACTCAGTAGCAAAGGCTGGCTGTCTCCCACACACCAGTGCCTGATTTGGGGAGGAAGGGAATGCAGACCTTCTGAGAAAGGGTGACCTTTGCAGCTAGGCCATGTGGCCAGACTTAGGTAACACCTCTCCATTAAAATTGATGTTCCTCCTAATCAGCAGTGATGGGGGGATTGTTTCTTAAATGCTGCTAAATGCAGTGCCAGGTCCCAGGGGAGAAGGCAGGGGTCTTGCTAGTTCTCCTCCGTGATGTTCTCCAGCCAGAAAGGGCTTCTGGCAGCCCCTACCTGTGAGAGGGGCTCATTTCCCAAGGTGGGTTGACAAGCATCTGGAAACTAAGAATTCTCTGCACATTGCCTGTAATTTCCCTTTGATTTTACATGTCCTCCAGCCCTCAGAACCATTATTATTTTTTTTTAAGAAAAGCAAAGATTAAATCCTCATACCTCTCTGGAAAAGTGGAGGGGACCACATTCCAGCATCTGGTGCCTTGTTTGCCCCAAACATGACTTCAAGTGAATCGACATAATACTCTTCCAGAGGGAAAGCAGAACCATCTGCAGGGCTGAGGGACCAAGAAACACAGTGAGGAATTCCACAGGAGGCCCACGCGGAGGGATGTGACACCCCAGGTGGACTCTAGGGGACGCTCACTTGGAACTTGCATCACCCGGAACTGTGTCTGCCACTGTGACTTCAGAGCAGCACAGACCTGAGGTGGATCCAGCAATGCCCACAACTGTCCAACAATTTCACTTTTCCGAGGCTCAGTTTCCATGTGGAAAATGGACTGGCTCTGAGTATTAAATGAGGATGAATGTCCATATGCCTCACCCCTTTCTTCATGAAAGGAAGACACCTCTGGGACTCAGACAAATGGCCAATAACATCTAGTCTTTATTCAGTCCTAACTGCATGACAATACAACTAGCGTAACAGTCATCAACATAAGGAATGCTCTCAATATTGCTCGATGCCCTGTGTGCTATCACTAATAGCAACAACTGCTGTTCATCTATGCCACGATATGCACCAAATCTACACCACTCCTTTAAGGTGTCACTGTCTCCATTCCACAGATGAGAAAACAGCCTCCAGAAGAGGAAAGTGTAGATGAGTTAATTTTTCCCTGCCCAACGTTGATTCCCATTCCTTCTGATCATGGTGCCCTGACTTCTTTGGGAGAACTCCCTCTTCTCTGTGACGGGCTGACTGGTGGGATTATCAGTCAAGGTGCCCACCTCCTCTAGCTCTCCCCATCTCTCTCAGTCTCTGGAGTTTCTGTTTCAAGCATAAGGACAGAAGATTAGAAATGGCTGAAGCTGATTTGCCCCAGGAGGAGGGTGGGGTCGTGTCCTGAGGAGACGCTCTTGTGGGACCCTGCTTCTTGGACTCCTTGGATCCCAGCCCCACCCCACCCCCAGACAGCCTTATTCTGCCTTCAGAGTCTGGTCCTTTGCTTTCCTTTAAATTCTGAGACCCTCTTGGGTCTGCCCTTTCCCATGTAGGTTACAGCCAGATTGGTTTCTGTTGCTTGCATCCCTCAAACTCTGCCTGACACAGGAAGTGACTCCTCCAGGTCATCCAGCCCATGAGTGGCATAGTCAGAGGAAGCCCTCCGTCACCAGGCTCTCAAGCCAGTGCTCTCTCCATCATGCCACATGGCTGGCCTTGGGGTGGTCCTGCCATAGGGAGAGCTTTCTGAGATGGGTCAGGGGGCAGATTATCATCAAAGACCTGGTGATGGAAAGACACATGGCATGGCCTCATGGTCATGGAGCCTGCATGGAGGCCAACATGCTGGAGGAGAGCTTTGAAGGCATCCACGGAAGCAGATGACAGGAGCCTGAAAGCCATGTGTGGCCACACACCTGCTTCTGACATAATTAATGAGACATCTATATTGTTCCTGTCAGTGAGCTTCTTTGCTACCCAAGCCCTTAGTTCATCATGTATTTTTTAAAGCAAAAATGGAGGCCTTCCTGAAACAGCCTCCCTCATTTTGCTTAATAATGCTGCAGTATTGACGTTCTATGAGGGTGAGGTGACACCATCTCAGGATGATGCACTAGACCCCCAGTGATTGATGGCTATACTTTTTTTTACTGACACTTTGAAAAGAAAGGGCCCCTCTCAGATTACTGAGCAAGTGGTTAGCCTTGGACCTTTCACTAATGGCAACCATAATTTCATGACTTATTTTACCGTGCCATCTTGTATGATTCTAGTTTGTATGATTTCCTCACTTTTCAGATGTGGAATCTGAGGCTCAGAGAGGCTAAGTAACTTGCTTAAGTTCACACAGCTCGTAAGCGAAGGAGACAGAGATAAGATCCCTGAGGTTATTGAAGTTATTGAAAGAATAGCTTGCTCCTTTGCCATGCCCTCCCCTCCTCCCTGGTACCTGCTGGAATTCTCATCTGCACCCTGGGTTGCTCTGGGAGTCACTGGCTGCCCTCTTCCTTGGGACCCACTCTTCTAGGTTGCTGCCAGGACAGGGCAGTAAGTGGGCTTCAAACACCAGCAAGGCCCTTCAGCTTGGCTCAGGGTCTTGCCTCCTGCCAAGGTGCCTTGCTTTGTTCTCATGCCCAAAGTGAGAGCTAACCTTGGCACACTGTTTACAGCTGTGCCTCTCTGGTCAGGATCGAGGAGTAGAGCGTTGATGCCCATGCCTACCATGGCACAGCTTCAGCTAACATGAGCCAGAGCCCATGAGCCCAAGGCTCTTGCCCCTTCTGGTCTCTAGAGGTCATGAGCCCACGACTCTTCCCCCTGCTGGTCTGTAGAGCTCATGAGCCCATGGCTCTTCTCTCCCCTGGACTCTGGAGCTTATAAGCCTATGGTTCTTCTCCCTGCTGGTCTCTGGAGCCCATGAGCTCACAGCCCTCCTCCCTCCTGGTCTCTGGAGCCCATGAGCCCATGACTCTTCTCCCTGCTGGTCTCTGGATCCTATGAGCCCACGGTCCTCCTCCCTGCTGGTCTCTGCTCTTCGCCCTGCTGGTCTCTAGAGCTCATGAGCCCATGGCCCTCCTCCCTGCTGGTCTCTGCTCTTCTCCCTTCTGGTCCCAGGAGCTCATGAGCCCATGGCTCTTCTCCCTGCTGGTCTCTAGAGTTCATGAGCCCACAGCCCTCCTCCCTGCTGGTCTCTGGAGCCCATGAGCCCATGGCTCTTCTCCCTGCTGGTCTGTGCTCTTCTCCCTTCTGCTGGAGCTCTTCTTCCCTGGACCTCATGAGCCCATGGCTTTTCTCCCTGCTGGGCTCTACAGCCCCCTTTCTCTCCCCACATATCTCTCCAGGACGCCTCTTCCTATTTGTCCAGAGAATATTCCAAGACTCGCCTTTGCCTGTCTCTGGGACAGCAATCCACAGAGAAGTCTGAGTCGTGGTAGGTGCAAACCCATGGAATTCTCTTTGCCCCCAACCCTGCTGTGGCCACTTTCACACCCTCTGTCAGAACGCGCCTCTCCAGCAGCGTAGGGCAGCCAGGCAGCCCTTAATGGTAATAGCTGTAACTACAGCCAATTTCCAATAATTGGCGGCCTTTGCCAGGGAATTCCTGCCTGTCCCAGCAGCTCCTTCTTGCTGCCTTTGATCTCTACCAGTCTCTGTGAGACACAAAATAATGTTGTCATCTTCAATTACTCCAAGGGACAGAGTGGCCTTGACCTCGCCACCAACGTCCCCAGCCCACATGGGGTAGTGGCAGCCATGAGGGAGGCTGGGCCGTGGACAAGGGGAGTCCCCAGGCCCATTCATGGGGTTGGTGCTTCTGGAAACCCCACTGCTACTATGTGTGAAGATGGGCCCCCCAGCTGAGGGTGTGGAGAGCATGCCGGCAGATACTAACAAGCACAGGCTGTACAGGTTGCCAGACGCCTCCTTTGTGCTAGGCACATGCCTTCTCTGATCCTCTAAGCAACTCCTTTGCCAGGATATATTATTATCTCCATTTTACGAAGGAGGAAACTCAGGCTCAGAGATAGTCACAGGCATGGCCAGTGGGTGGTGGGGGCAGTTCAGCCCTGGGTGCTGGGCTCAGGTTCAGAGCTTTTTCCATGTGGCACAGCTCCCCGGGTCTGTGAATGAGACGCACGCTCCACCTTCCCTACAGGCTCTTGAGTTCCTTGAGGACAGAAACTGGGTGTCCTTCGGATCCACCGCCTCCCAGGGCTGCTAGCACAGAGCTGGGTGTGGTGTAAATGCTCAGCCGACCCTTGTCAAGCCCAGGGGTCAGTTCCTTGGTCCTCTTCTTTTATCAGTTACACTTACTCCTTGGTTATCTCATCTAAGCTCGGAGCTTTATTTCCCCACCTATACACTGATAACTCCCACCTTTACATCTTCCCATAGCCAACTGCAGGTGTGATATCTAGCAGGTGTCTCAAATTCAACTCGTCCCAAACTGGCCTCCTTATTTTTTCTCCAAAACCAGCTCTTCCACAATTTTCCTGATCTTTGTATTTGGGTTCTCTAACTTTGCAGTTACTCTGGCTAAAAACCGTGGGGTCATTCTCATCTCCTTCATTTCTCAGGTATTTTACCTTCAATCCACAAGGACATCTTGTCAGTTTAACCTCAAAAAAAATCTATAATCCAACTAGTTCTTCCTGCCTTCACTGCCACCATCAGCTCTCACTGGCATCACTGCCATGGCTTCCTGACCTGTCTGCCTACATCCATCCCTGCTCCCCTGCATCCTGTTAACCACTAAGGTGATGATGCTTCTCTGCCCCAGCCCTCTTGTGGCCCCTCATCTCTCCCATGGGGAGATTCACTGAGGCCACTGACATAGTGCCTGTCATTCATGAAAGGGGACTGCTATGGTGAATGGAATGATAAAGGCCATAGCATGGTCATGGAAACACAGGGCAGAGGGGACTCATTCCAACCATTGGAAGGAGAGGGCTTCCAGAAGGAGGCATCATTGGTTCTAAGCTTTGAACCCTGAGTCTGTCTATTATGTTGTCTAGAGACATGCAGATAATAGTGCCTGTAACGCTGCACTCTGGCGAGGGTGTCCACCGAGGGCTGATTCCACCAGACAGTCTGTCCCAGCTCTCTCTGTGCTCCTGTGTGCCAGCACTGGGTAGGTTCTCAGGTTGCCCAGGGCCCAACATCCTCATTGCAGAAGCAGATATTCCAGCGGGCTCAACAGAAGCAACTATGCACACGAGAATGCTCCTTGAGAGTGGCATAAGGGCTGTTACTATTATTATTTATTTAATATAATATAACAATAAATTCCTTCACCTGCTTCTTTCTCATCCATTGGTGTGAGCTCAAAGGATGCAGATCTTTTTTTTTTCTTTTCTTTTCTTTTTTTTTTTTTTGGAGATGGAGTTTTTCTCTTCTTGCCCAAGCTGGAGTGCCATGGCGCTATCTTGGCTCACTGCAACCTCCGCCTCCCAGGTTCAAGCGATTCTCTTGCCTTAGCCTTCTGAGTAGCTGGGATTACAGGCACACGCCAGGACGTCCGGCTAATTTTTTGTATCTTTAGTAGAAAAAGGTTTCACCATGTTAGCTAGGCTGGTCTCGAACTCCTGACCTCAGGTGATCTGCCTGCCTTGGCCTCCCAAAGTTCTGGGATTATAGGCATGAGCCACAGCACCTGGCCAGATCATTTTTAATGTTAGCCAGAACTAAGGAAGGGCCCCGTTTCAACTGCAAAAAGTCCAGACCAGCAGAGTTGAGCTTCACTCCTCCTCCACTTTCTGGGATCTGGTCCCATGCGTGCTACATGGATGATCTCACTTCTTTTTCATGTAGTCCTGCAAGGTAGGTACTACTGTCACCACTTTACAGGCTGGGTGGTGAAGCCACCTGCTCACAGTGCCACCGCCAGTGAAGGGCAGAGCCAAGACAGGAATCAGGTCTGTCTGTCACCAAAGTGCCATGTTCTTAGCCACTATACTGCACTACAGCCTGGGAGACTTGCAGAGCCACGGGGAAGTCACACGTGGATCTTTCTTTCTAGGCTGATCCATGACCTACCTCTCAGTTCCTGGGCAGGTGAGTGCCGACCCGAAGTGCTTGCTCCGTGGGCTTGTCCTGCCTTGCACCCACTGCAATGCCTTCCAGGTTGAGGTGCGCTGGGCACACGCCCAGAGACCTTTGCACTGCCGTTTGAAAAGTTATTTAATGAGAAACTTTTTGTACTTCTCTTGTCCTCTTGCCAGAGGCTTCTGTATACATAACTCTGCAAACTGCTCTGCTATTTGCTCATAGAAGTCAAGTTGATTTTTAGTCTCTCTTCCTTCTATGTAGATCCCTCTAAATAGTTCTATGGCCATTTCCTTTTTTATAACTATATATCTTTATAACTATGTCTTCCTTTATTTATAGGTGTATGTAGGTGCTATTCTTTCTCCTTTATTTATAAGCATTTCAACAGAGGACCAGGATCTGAAGCCAAAAAGTGAGAATTATCTGGGTCTTTTAGTTTTTTTGTTTTTTAATATTTATGGGTACATAGTAGGTATATATATTTGTGTGGTACATAAGATATATGGATACGGAGAATTGCCTGTTTATTCATCGAAGACCTAGAAAATAATTCACAGAGAGCAGGTCAGGTTCAATGTGAAGCTTCCATAAAGTCAAATTCCTGCTGCAGAAAAATGTGGGGAGAATCAAAGTTCTGGCCCTGAGCCTCATCAGCTCTGAGCCTTCGCCCTCCTCCCCTCCTGTGCAGGGGGTGGAAACCACATGGGCTTTGGCATCAGAAGGACGGGGACTCAAATTCCAGCTCTGCCAGTGTCCTTGGGCATGTTCCTAAACTGCCCTGATGATGTTTACCTGGCAAGATCTTGGGAGGATTGGTGTCATAAAGCTCACAAAGGTCCCAGCACAGAGGCCAACACACAGATGGTGCCCAACTCTCTTTGTGGGCTGTGCCTTGACTCCCGAAAGATTAGGTGTGTGGGCGGAGCCGGACAAAGGCACAATGCCATGCTGATCCGGCCAGTCTGTTTCCTGCCTGGGGCGTGTTCTCTCACAGCAAGGCCCCGGAGAGAACTCCAGGAAGAGACACACTGAGAAAGTGAGCTTTTATGGACCACACTAGCTCACACCCAATTATTATCATGATGAAATGGTTTTCCCAAGGGCTGGTATGAAAGATTGTAGATTTTGTGGATTCCTTGCTTTGGTTTTATTTCCTTCCACCAACTTAATGATGGGTCACTTTGCTAGTGACCTGTCATTCACCAGCCCCACCTTGGTAAACAGCAGCAGGATGTGATTTTTGAGTCAGTTTCTCTATATGCTGGAAACATTGTGAGCGGGGATGAGGGAGAGGGCAGAGATTGGTTTGTTCAATCAACAAATATTTATTGAGCTCCTGATAAGTGCCAGACATGGTGCTAGCACCAGGGATGTGGAAATGAACAGGTGCCTCCCCTCATGGAGCTTACATTCTCTTATGGAGGCTGAATAAGCAAATAAAATGTCAGGTAGCAGTAAGTGCTATGAAGACATGTAAGGCAGGGCAGGAGGATGGAGAGAAATGAAGGGAAGAGATGGTGCTGTTTGAGATAGAGTGGTTAGGAAGGGGCTCTCTGAAGAAGTGACATTTGAACAAGGACTTGAATGAGGATGTTACCTATGTGAGGAACAGCAAATGTAAAGACACTGAGGTGGTGTATTAGTCAGCTATTGCTACAATGATGCTGCATAATACACATCCTATGACTCAGTGGCTGAAAACAATAATTATTTGTTCTTGATGATGCTTCTGCAGGTCCACTAGTGAGCGGCTGATGTAGGATGGGCTCAGCTGGGCTTGACTTCAAGCTGCATATCTGTGTCTCTCATCCTCTTTGCATCAGCAGGCTAGGGAGGGCATGTTCTCAGGTTGGTGGCAGCAGAGGGATAGGACAAACAGAAAGAAGTGATTCACTTTAGGGCCTCACTTGGAACTGACACACCGTGAGTCTACTCATATTTTACTGACCAAGACATAGCACAACGCCAAGCTTAACATCCATGGAGCTGAGAAGTATACTGTACCTCTAGTAGTAGGAATGGCAAATGGCAGAGGGCATGGACAGGGAGATGGGTGAAGAATTGGGAACATCAGTGCTGTCTGCCACAAGTGGGAACTAGCTTTGTGTGCTGAAGCATCAGCAACAAGGTCGGGATGGCCAATGTGGAGTGAATGAGGCGGAGAGGGGAAAAGATGAGGTCAGGACCTGGATGGCAGCCACTTCATAAATGTCCTTGATAAGAAGTTGGACTTATTCTAAGTGTAATGGGAAGCCACTGGAGGCTGGTTTTTTTCCTTTAATTTTAATTGGCATATATCACATACTATAAAGCACACAAATATTAGTTAAATATACAGTTCGATGATAAGTTTTTAGAAAGTGAAAAGTTAGTTTTGACTTTTTTTAGCTTTATATAAATGGAATTAAACTGTACATATTCCTTTGTGCCTGTTTTCTTTTGATCAGCTTTATGTCTGTGAGATTCATCTATGTCCTCACCTGGAGCAGTTATATCCTCCCCTATCACTGTATGGTATTCATCATATGACTATACCTCAATTTATTGATCTTTTCTATTGTTGATGGACATTTGAGTAGTTGCCAGTTTTGGGCTATGAAGAATAATCCTGCTAAGAATATTTTGTTTGTGTTTTCTGCTGCACAGATATAAACATTTCTGTTTGGTATATACGGAGGAGTGTGTATGTACCTGTTAATAGGGTATATGTATGGTCAGCTTTAGTAAATATGGCCAATAAATGTCATTATATATGTTAATATAGAAAACAGTATATTAATATATTACATAATATATAACAATATATATTACTATGTGTTATACAGATGTATAAAGGTATAAAACAAGTGTCTTCTCCTACTGTATGGCTTGCCTTTTGACTCTTAAAAGTGTCACTCAGTGAAGACTGGGCGTGGTGGCTCACACCTGTAATCCCAGCACTTTGGGAGGCTGAGGCAGGAGGATTGCTTGAGGCCAGGAGTTCGAGACCAGCCCTGGCAGCATAGCAAGACCCTGTCTCTACAAAAAAAGTTGAAAATTAACTAGGTGTGGTGCTATGCACTTATAGTCCCAGCTACTTGGGAAGCTGAGGTGTGAGGGATCACTTGAAGTTGGGAGTTTGAGGCTGCACTGAGCTCTGATCACACCACTGCACTGTAGCCCGAGTGAGACCCTGTCTCAAAAAAAAAAAAAAAAGTGTCATTTAGTGGACAGAAGTTCTTGGTTTTAATGTAATTCAATTCCTCAACTTTTTCCTTTATGGCTAATGCCTTTTGTATTCAGTTAAATGAATCTTTATCTTTACAAAGATCACAAATGTAATCTCCTATGTTTTCCTCTAGAAGCTTTATTGTTTTATTTTCAACATTTAAGGACTTGTATAGAGAATATTTAATGAACTGATACAGATCAAAAAGAAAAAGAATGGAGAGTTGTTGGTCAAAGGCACAAAGTTTCAGATAGAATGAGATTTGAGATCTATTGTATAGCACAGTGACTACAGCCAATAATAATGTATATTTTAAAATAACTTAGAAAGTGAATGTCCAATGTCTCACCACAAAAAATAATAAGTGAGGTGTTATATATGCTGATTAACTTAATTTATGTATTCCCCATTGTATACATATACATTGCACCCCATAAAAAAATATACAATTAGGCCAGGCATGGTGGCTCACACCTATAATCCCAGCACTTTGGGAGGCCGAGGTAGGCAGATCACCTGAGGTCAGGAGTTCAAGACCAGCCTGACCAACATGGAGAAACCCTGTCTCTACTAAAAATACAAAATTAGCCAGGTGTGGTGGCACATGCCTGTAGTCCCAGCTACTCAGGAGGCTAAGGCAGGAGAATCGCTTGAACCCAGGAGGCAAAGGTTGCGGTGAGCTGAAATCATGCCATTGCACTCCAGCCTCGGCATCAAGAGCAAAACTCCATCTCAAAAAAAAAAAAAGTATATATATGTGTATATATATGGATATATATGTGTATATATGTATACACAATTAATATTTGTCAGTTAAAATAATATTAATAAAACATTTTTAAAGAAAAAGACAAGCCAATTTTTTAAATGAGTAAGATTATTGAATAGGATCTTCACAAAAGGGGACATTCATATGGCCAATAAGCACACAAAAATGTCTGCAACATCATTAGTTATCAAAGAAGTATACATTTAAGTTATATGAGATTTCACTTCACATCCACCAAAATGACTAAAATTAAACAAAACATAGAAAATACCAAGTGTTTATGAGGATGTGCAGCAATTGCTGGTGGGACAGCATATTAAATACAACCACTTTGGAAAACTTGTGGTTTCTACTAAAGTTGGACATACATAGACCCTATTAGTATACACATCAGATGGGCCCAGGTTGAGGATAATCCTACAGAATAATTGAGAACATGAAAGATAGGGAAAGAATAAGAATAAGGATCCAGGGCCGGGTGCGGTGGCTCATGCCTGTAATCCCAGCACTTTGGGAGGCCGAGGCGGGTGTATCACCCGAGGTCAGGAGTTCAAGACCAGCCTGGCCAACATGGCGAGACCCTGTCTTTACTAAAAATACAAAAATTGGCTGGGTGTGGTGGCAGGCACCTGTAATCCCAGCTACTCGGGAGGCTGAGGCAGGAGAATCACTTGAACCCAGGAGGCAGAGGTTGCAGTGAGCCAAGACTGTGCCATTGCACTCCAGCCTGGGCAACAAGAGCAAAACTCCATCTCAAAAAAAAAAAAAAAAAAAAAAAGAATAAGGATCCATTCCAGATTGAAGGGGATAAAGAGAAACAACAATGAACTAGAACATCACGTGAGAGTGTTAAGCAAAGGAGTGGAATGATATAACTTGTTGTTTTTAAAGATCAGTCTGGCTGCTGCATGGCGAGCAAATGGGGCAGGTTGTGGCAGCAAGGAGGTGTTAGGAGACTCTTGCAATAATCCAAGAAAAAGGTAATCATGATGGGGATCAGGGTGGAAACAGGAAGGAGGGAAGTAATCAGATTCCAGAGATATTTTGAAGATATTGACAGCAATTGCTAGTAGGAGAGGGAGAACAAGAATGCAATAATGACCATGCAAGGTTTTTGGCCTGACCATCTGGATGATCAGTGACATCATCACTGAGATGGGTGAGGCCAGGGGGCTGGTACAGGTCTAAGTGTGGTGAGGTAAGCAGTAGCAATCATGAGTTCAAAATTTAAGACATCCAAGGGGAGGGAAGTGTCAAATAGGCATTTGGCATTGTCAATCTGAAGCTTAGAAGAGAAGACAGAGCTGGAGATAAATGCCTTAGTGTTACCAGTGTATAAATGGTGTTTAATGCCTTAAGAATGGACAAGGTCACTAAGGGAGTGATTGTAGGAAGAGGAGAGGAGAGAACAAGAGAGGAAAGGAGAGAATGACTGGGGAAGAGAAGAGAATGATGGGGAGAGGAGGAGACATCTGGAATGAGCAGCCAGCTAAGGAGAAAAGCCAGAGAAATGTGGTGGTCCAGAAAGCAAGTGAAGGAAGTGTTTCAAGATGGATGCCGCCGAGAAGCATTTAACATGGTTAATCACTATTAACCATGAAGGGTAAGAATCGACCACTGAATTCGCAAAAAGAAAGTGTAAAGACTATTGACTAAAAGTGAGACAAGTGAGACTGGGTAAATGGATTTCCTTCATAGACTGTCTGAGGCAGGGCATGTACAGTGTCTGATGGAGGGCTCATAATCACAGTTATTGTTGCTCCACTGAGAATAGGTCCTTTGCACCTCTGGAGTCACAGAAATGGCAGCCCAGCAAAGAGTGAAGGAACAGCCATCGCCACTCAAAACATGGTCACAGTGGCCTCAGAACCTTGGGATTTGCAAGGCACTTGACACTTTGTTGCAAAGACCTAACATGAACCACACTCTTGCTACTATTCATCAGTCTCTATTTCTAGGTGAATGGGGTAGAAAAATATAGATAAAATTTTATGCAGGGAAAATCCCATCATCATTTTAGCCATCAAGGCCCCCTTAAAACTGCTCAGCAGAGGTGGTAACTTAGCGCAAGATTCACTGAGGAGGATTTCATTCTTTTCCTAGCATATTGATGACAGATTTATTTTTTAATTTGCGGTTTTTTGATGCATCCATCCATTCATTCACTAGTAACTCATTCATTCAATTATCCTTGCAGAATAGGGGCACACTAGGGCTATGGAAATGCATAAGCCATGGTTTGAAGTCGTGTGTGTGTGTGTGTGTGTGTGTGTGTGGGGCGGGGGGTGAGGGGGTATGACAGCAGCAGGTTGAAGACCTTGCAGTGAGTAGGATTAGTGCCCAGGATAGGGGCAGAGGACGCGCTACAGGGAGCGCAGAATAAGAGAGAGGTCAGCTTCATCTGGAGAGGTGGGAACAGCCTGCCAATGTGGCCATGGCTTGACTGGGGCTTGAAGAAAGAGCCTAAGTGTTCTAGCCTGGGAGTGGGATGGGCAGGCATCCAGGGCGAAAACAATATAGGCAAAGGCAGGAAATCAAAAGCCTTGGGAGAGCTTGGGGCATGAAGGCAGAGAAGACTTGGAAGGGCTGAGCCTGGACAGGTATGGATAGTAATGATTAGTAGTAAGAATAGCACTGGCTAACACTTACTTATTTAGTTGAATAATACCATTTATTGGCCAGGCGTGGTGGCTCAAGCCTGTAATCTCAACACTTTGGGAGGTCAAGGCAGGAAGATCACTGGAGCTCAGGAGTTCAAGACCAGCCTGTGTAATATGGTGAAACCTTATCTCTACAAAAAACTAGAAAAATTAGCCTGGCATGGTGGCATGCGCCTGTAGTCCCAGCTACTAGGGAGGCTGAGGTGGGAGGATCGCTTGAGCCGGGAAGGCCAAGACTGCAGTGAGCCGAGATCGAGCTACTGTACTCCAGCATGGGTGACAGAACGAGACCACGTTTTTTTAAACAAATGAAAAATAACATTTATTGAGTGCTTGCTGTGTGTCAGGCCCTTTAAGTGGAAAGAATATTCTGTCTTGTAGTGTTTAGCTGGGAATATTTTATTCATTTTTATCAAGGCCCTTAGATAATGACTCAAATGAATGGACTGCTGAACTCTGGAGTGGAGACTAGACCACGAAGGTAGAACTTGCAAAGGAAGTGGCTGAAGACTGCTTTTGTGACTTTTGTCTGCTCATCCACCGCAGGACAGACACAAAGGACAGGCCCAGGGATTGGAGGATTCCTAAGTGAAGCGGTCTCTATGCTGAGCTGTGAGTGGCCCCTCCCAGCTCCACCTCCCCACCTCCAACCCCACATCCAATCAGGGATGCATGGGTAGTGCTTTTCTCTCATCCAAGCTAGTTAGGGGGCTTTGAGGAAGCCTCAGAGAGTGTAATACCTGTTTCCTCCAGCTTCAGAGACACAGTGGGCTGTTGTTTGACTCACCCTTGAAGAATCCCAAGACCTTTACAAGGCTGCATGAAGTGGCTTTGGCAACAGAGCAGGGCAGCACAGCTGTGCTCCTGTTGACAAGGGGCAGATGATGCAGAAGAGTCCCCAGGAGCCAAGATGCTGTCTGGCCCTTAGGTCCCTACATCAGGCCCTGGCCAAGGGACTGAAGAAGCTTTAATTCTGAATGAAGTTAGGAATGTTGGCCACTATCTCAAATGAATGTAATATTTACTAAAATGAGATCAGGAGACCACTGTAATAGCAGGATTATTAGTAGTAATAGCAGTATCTAAGAGTGAGCATGGGCCGGGTGCGGTGGCTCACGCCTGTAATCTCAACACTCTGGGAGGCTGAGGCGGGAAGATCACGAGGTCAGGAGATCGAGACCATCCTGGCTAACAAGGTGAAACGCTGTCTCTACTAAAAAATACAAAAAAATTAGTTGGGTGTGGTGGCGCGTGCCTGTAATCCCAGCTACTTGGGAGGCTGAGGCAGGAGAATCGTTTGAACCCGGGAGGCAGAGGTGGCAGTGAGCTGAGATCATGCCATTGCACTCCAGCCTGGGTGACAGAGCGAGATTCCGTCTCAGAAAAAAAAAAGAAAAAGAAAAAGAAAAACGACAAAAAAAGAGTGAGCATGAAGATTCCCCAAGATTTCTTCAAGGAGCAGGGAACAGTCCCCAAGAGCAGACTGGAGCAAGCACTAGGGTGGAAGGGGAATGGGGGTGTTAGGGTAGGGGAGAATGTTCAGTGCCTGCACCTTATGAATTCTCCTCATTTGATGCAATAGTTACAGGCCTTCCAGCAATTCTAAAAGGTTGATTCTATTATTATTCCTATTATATAGATAAGCAATATGAGGCACACAGGTATTGAGAGGTCTTATGGCAGCTCCAGAATTTCAATATAGGCCAGGACAATGCATCTCCCTTCAAGTGGAGGAGGAGATACGATATTTGTGTTGAAGCTATTCCCATAACAAGCCAGCTATTTTCCTCCTGGACTGAAGTCTATGGGAATGGCTTGGGAGGGAGGAGGCTGATGGAGATAGGGGTGGAGGTAGTTAAGGCACCCTCCCAAGCTGGTTTTGGGGCTCCCAGTGGGTGAGACCCAAGGCAGAGAGACCCCTTTAGAGGCAACTGCAACAGTCCTGGGGTGGGTCTGGGTACTTGGACCCTGCCCTTGGGATGGAGATGCCAGGAGGAATTCAGGAGAAGCGAAAGGTCAGAAATTTCCCCTGGAGTAGGATTCAGGAAAAAAGGGATTACAGGAAGACACCCACATTTCTGCTTCCAAAGAGAAGCAACTTTCATGGAGATGGGGAGAAAAAGCCAAACAACCATGCATCAGGCAGCCTCAGAGAAACAAATGGAGGGGGCATGAGGCATCTAGAAACATGAGCCCTGGAAAATGAGGACTGGGCACCTTTGACATTTGCACAGCCCAGAGAAGCAGTCCCCAAGGAGCGTGGAGGCAGGAGCTAGGGGAGACAGCACAAGAATGGGAAAACCTTGGCCACGAACAGCTCCTCAGCACCCCTCGCTGGTCACGGGTGGGAGACAGGTCATCATTGAACAAGTTGCGCTTCAGTTCCATCTTTGTCTGTGTCACCCACCCTGGGAAACACCGATCTAGCCTTTGGACATCCTTTCAGATGCGACACAGGTTTGGAGAGGAAAGCAAAGGCCCATCCCTAAAAACTCACTGCCCTCCAAAGGGTGCTTTGGGCTTCTTTCCAACAGAAGGTGCACCCAGCCCCCCATGCCCGCTTGGTCTTGACTCCAGGAAATGACCTGTAGATTCTAGGAGACAGCTCTTATTTGTGTAACATTTTACTGGCCTCACCTGGCTCCAAAGATATTTACAAGTGTCAATATAAGGCAAAAAGCCCCAGCCAAGCCTTCAGCATCCCCAGCGAATGTACTTCATGCACCCAAACTGAATATCTCTCTTGCCTCACCCTAGACCTGGCCCAGGGTAAGACAAGCGAGACATTTGTCTTGGGTGCAAATTCCCTCCAACTGGAGGGAAATAAGTGAATTCTGCACAGCCTGATGGAGTCAAGGACAAAGATTTGGGCAGGATTTGAGTCTCGGTTGTGCCTATTACCATGGACCCTGGGACAAGTCTCTACTTCCTTTTGATGGACAGTTTCTGTAAAATGGGCATGTGATTCTTACTTTGAGGTCTCAGAAGGTGACTGTGAAGATCTGATGAGATACAGGATAGGGCTTTACAAGTAGTGATATGCATGCACAGGTAAAGACACAGATATTGTATTCCAAACCTGCAAACAGCTCCCTCTCCTCAATATTTTACGGCGCTGCTTGGTGGATGTGAATGGACTCTGCACTGTACGTGGGCGTGGACTCCGAGCAGAAGCAGGGGGGTGTTCTCGGGACCCTTGTGGCTGGCCAGTTGTCCTGTCAAAGCAGCTTCTTGCTCCCCAGGGGCCAGGTAAGAAAGAGAAGGTGGCTTTGTCTACACTCAGGACAGGTCTGATGGATGGTGGCATGGAGCACTTATCTTTATTTAAAATTTTGAGAGCTGGGCATAGTGGCTCATGCCAGTAATCTCAAGAGTTGGGAGGCTGAGGCAGGAGGATCACAACATAGTGAGACCCCCATCTCTACAAAAACTTTAAAAAAAATAGCCGGTGTGATGGCGTGCACCTGTGGTCCCAGCTACTTGGGAGGCTGAGGTGGGAGAATCATTGGAGTCCCAGCATTTGAAGCTGCAGTGAGCTATAATTGTGCCACTGCACTCCAACTTGGGTGATAGAGTAAGACCCTTTCTCAAAAAAAAAAAAAAAAATTTCATTGATATTTTGTTCATATGGGATTTTTCTGCAGTAATGTTGATTTTCTAAAATATTACTTAGCTACAAAGTTTCTTGGTGCCCCCTTAAATTTTGCACCCAAGGCGAGTGTCTCACTTGCCTTGCCCTAGACCTGGCCCAAGTTCTATCAGTTACTGAGAGAGATGTGTTAAAATCTCCAACTATGATCATAGACTTGCCTCTTTCTCCCTTTAATTCTGTTGATTTTTGCTTTACCTGGTTTGAAGCTCTATTATTCCTAAATACACATTAAAGATTTTTTTAAATGAATTTACCCTTTTAACATCAAAAACCTTCCTCGTCTCTAGCAACACACTTGTCTTGAACTCTACTTTCTCTGACACTATTATATTCACACTCGCTTACTTATCCTCCCTGTTTTCGTGTTAGATTTTTTTCCTGTCACTTTAATTTCAGAACTGTGTTCTTCTTTATATTAAAAGCTCTCTCTTGTTAACAGCATAGAGCTAGGTCTTGCTTTGATTTTTAACTTTTTAATCCAGTCGACAATTGCTGTCTTTTAATTGGGGGGTTTATTTTATATTTAGAGTAATTATTGATGTGGTTGGATGTAAGCCTCCATTTCCTACTTATTTTCTTTTTCTTCTTTTCTTCATTCTTTATTCTTTCTTTCAGGCTTTCTTTTGGGAAAATTGAGTATTGTTTTGTGTTCCAGTTTTACTCTCTTCAGTTATTGCCATTTTGGCTGTATCTATTTTTGTTTGTTTGTTTGTTTGTTGGGTTTTTTTTAGTAGTAATACCTTACCACTAACACTTTGGGTATTACAATATGCACCCTTAATTTATTTTGATTTACCATAAATTAATACTATACTGCTTCATGTAAACTACAAGAACTACAATGGCATAAATCCATTTATTATTCTCTTGTCCTTTGAGCTTTTATGGTCATATTTTTATTTCTATATAAGTTATAAATGCTACAATATGTTTTAAATTTTTTCACTTTAAATGCATATATTGACCAGGTGAGGTGGCTCACGCCTATAACCCCAGCACTTTGGGAGGCCAAGGCAGGGGGATCACTTGAGGTCAGGAGTTTGAGACCAGCCTGGCCAACATGGTGAAACCCCATCTCTACTAAAAATACAAAAATTAGCTGGGCATGGTGGTGCACACCTGTAGTCCCAGTTACTCAGGAGGCTGAGGCAGGAGAATCACTCGAACCCAGGAGGCAGAGGTTGCAGTGAACCGAGATTGCGCCACTGAACTCCAGCCTGGGCAACAGAGCAAGACACCGTCTCAAAAAACAAAATAAAACATACACGCATATCTTTTAAAGAAATTAAGAAAAAAAATGGTCATTTGTTCATATATTTAATTACCTAGTAATCTTCTTTCCTTCCTTGAGACCTGTATTTCCAACTATATCCTTTGCCTTTAGCCCAAAGAATTTTTAAAAACATTTCTTGTAGCATGGCTCTGCTGGCACTGAATTCCTTAGATTTTGTTTTTCTCAAAACATCTTTATTTTCCTGTATTTCTGAAGAAAATGTTTACTGAATGTAGAACCCTGGCTTGGTGGTTATTTTGCTTCAGCACTTTAAAGAACATGGCACCATTCTGTCCTCCATTGTTTCTATGGAGAAGGCAGCTGTCATTCTTATCGTATCCCCGGATTTCATATATCTTTTAACTTCTGGAGTCTTTAAGATTTTCTGTTTATTTTTGCTTCTCAGGCATTTGATTATGATGTGGATTTCTTTATTTTAGTATTATTATTATTTTTTCCTTCTTGGGTTTGTTGAACTTTGGGAGCCTGTAGATGCTGGAAATTTGAAAAAAAAAATGGCCATTATTTCTTCCTATATTTTTTTCTGTCTCGTTTCCTCCGTCTTTGGGACCCTGGTTGACATATGCTAACCTGTCAGGTGTTGTCCCACTAATTACTGAGATGCTCTTCCTTATTTTTTTCAATATTATTTTCTCAGTTCAGATCATTACATCGTGTGTTTTTTTCAAGGTCATGCTCATTTCTTCCGCCACTTCTGATCTGCTTTAAGCCCATTCAATAGATTTTACAGATTTATTGATGTATAATTGCCATACAATAAATCACACATATTTAAAATGTAAACCTGGAGGAGTTTTGACATAGGTTTATGACTATACAAAGGGCACCATCCCCAAAAGCTTCCTTGGGCTACTTTGAAAGCCATTCCTCTCTCTCTGCTTTCTGATTGGTTTGCATTTTCTGGAATTTCATGCATCTTTTCTTTTTCTGGCTCTTCCTCCCAGCATGATAGCTACGCACTTCATCCATGTTGTTGCGGGGTGCCACAGGCATCCCTGCTTGACTACGTGCCTGTTTTTATTGTTATATAGATGCACCACCGTTTGTTGATCTGCTCATCTGCTGATGGGCCCCTGGGCTTTTTCTCGTTTTTAGCTATTAAAAATAAAACTGTTATAAGCATTCATGTAATGATCCTTGTGTGGAAATATGCTGGCATTTCTTTCTTTCTTTCTTTCTTTCCTTCTTTTTTTATTTTTTGAGACACAGTCTCACCTTCACCCAGGCTGGAGGGCAGTGGCGGGATTTTGGCTCAGTGTAACCTCTGCCTTCTGGGTTCAAGCGACTCTCCTGTCTCACTCTCCCAAGTAGCTGGGACTACAGGTGCCACCACCACGCCCAGCTAGTTTTCATATTTTTAGTAGACACAGGGTTTCACCATGTTGGCCAGGCTAGTCTTGAACTCCTGACCTCAAGTGATCTGCCCGCCTCAGCCTCCCAAAGTGTCGGGAATACAGGCATGAGCCACCATGCCCAGCCGTGCTTGCATTTCTTTTGTGTAAATATGTAGGGATGGAATGGCTGAATCATATGTAGGTATGTATTTAGCTTTTATAAAAACCACCAAACTGTGCTTCCAACGTGGCTGTTCCATTTTACATGCCCACCAGCAGTGCTGGACACCCTACATTGCTCTCCATCCTTAGAAATACTTGGTATGGTCTGTCTGTTTAAAATAGTGAAGAGCTTTAGAAGTGATAAATACCGTATGTTGGTAAATATAAAATATATTATTTCTTTTAGAAAATCCCTTTAACGGCTTGGCAATGTTGTCCATGCCTGTAATCCCAGTGCTTTGGGAGGCTGAGGCAGGAGGATTGCTTCAGGCCAGGAGTTTGAGACCAGCCTGGGCAACATAGCAAGACCTTGTCTCTACAAAAATAAACACAAATAAAAAAAGTTAGCCAGGTGTGGTGGTGCACACCTCTAGTTCTAGATATTTGGGAGGCTGAAGTGGGAAGATGGCCTGGGTGACAGATCAAGACCCTCTCTGTAAAATAAATAAATAAATAAATAAATAAATAAATAAATCCTTTAAAAGGTAATTATTAAAAGTAAAACTACTATCAACTAACATATTGTAAGGTGGAGTTTATAACATACATAGAAGTAAAAATATATGACAAATTAGAACAATGGCCAGGAGAGGAGAAATGGAAGTATACTGTTATAAAGTTTTCATATAGCACATGTCGTGTTATAATATCACTTGAAGGTAGATTGTAATAAGGGAAAAATGTGTACTATAACCCTAAAGCAACCACTAAAAGAAAACAGAGAGGGGTAGCCAAGAAGCCCACAAGAGATAAAATAGGATCATAAAAGAATTCTCAGCCGGACACAGTGGCTTACACCTGTAATCCCAGCACTTTGGGAGGCTGAGATGAGAGGGTCACCTGAGGTTAGGGGTTCAAGACCAGCCTGGCCAACATGGTGAAACCCCATCTCTACCAAAAATACAAAAATTAGCTGGGCGTGGTGGCAGGCACCTGTAGTCCTGGCTACTTGGGACGCTGAGGCAGGAGAATCACTTGGACCCAGGAGGTGGAGGTTGCAGCGAAGCTGAGATCACACCGCTATACTCCAGCCCGGGCAACAAGAGCGAAACTCCATTAAAAAAAAAAAAAAAGCTCAACCTAAAAGACGGCAGAAAAAGAGGAAAAGGAAACAACAGATGGCACGCTATCAACCAGCGTGACTTAGCTGATATTTATAAAACACTTCACCCAAGGACAACAGAATACACACTCCTCTCCAACGCACATGGAATATGTACCAAAGTAGGCCATATTCTGGGCTACAGAACAAGTCTTGATAAATGTAAATGAACCCCCACTTTACAAAATTTGCTCTGTGCTCACAAATTAGACATCAATACCCAAAAGACATCTGGAAAATGACATAATATTAGAAACAAAATAATATACATCTAAGTAATGCATGGGCCAAAGCAAAAATCAAAAGTTGCCCATATCAAAACATCTCATGTACCCCATAAATATATACACCTACTATGTACCCACAAAATTTAAAAATTGGGGTGGGGGGAGAGGGGAGCGATAGCATTAGGAGATATACCTAATGTAAATGACAAGTTAATGGGTGTAGCACACCAACATGGCACATATATACATATGTAACAAACCTGCACATTGTGCACATGTACCCTAGAACTTAAAGTATAATAAAAAAAATTAAAAAAAGAAGAAATCAAAAGTAACTCAAAGTGAATGAAAATAAAAACTGACATTATCAGTACTTGCAAGATGCAGCTAAAGTGGTGCTCAGAGGAAAATTCATAGCATGAATTGCCATTAAAAAAGAGGAAAGGGCCAGGCTTGGTGGCTCATGCCTGTAATCCCAGCAATTTGGGAGGCCAAGGTGGGCAGATCACGAGGTCAGGAGATTGAGACCATTCTGGCTAACACAGTGAAACCCTGTCTCCACTAAAAATACAAAAAAATTAGCCAGGTGTGGTGGCGGGCACCTGTAGTCCCAGCTACTTGGGAGACTGAGGCAGGAGAATGGTGTGAACCTGGGAGGCAGAGCTTGCGGTGAGCCGAGATGGCACCACTGCACTCCAGCCTGGGTGAGAGAGACAGACTCCGTCTCAAAAAAAAAAAAAAAGAGGAAAGGTCACGAAGCAATGACCTAGGCTTTTACCTTAGGAAACAAGAAAAGAGAGAGCAAATCAAGTCCAAAGTAAAAAGAAGAAAGGAAATAATAAAGTAAAATTAGGTATCAGTGACATTGAAAAGCCAAGAGGAGACAGAAACACAAAGTCAAATACTGCATGTTCTCACTTATAAGTGGGTGCTAAATGATGGGTACACAGGGGCATGCAGAGTGGAATAGTAGACATTGGAGATTATGAAACATGGGAGGGTGGGGATGGGGGTGAGGGATAGAAAATTCCCTATTGGATACAATGTTCACTCTTCAGATGATGTGTATAGGAAAAGCCCAGACTTTACCACTATGCAATATATGCATGGAAGAAACCTGCACTTGTACCCCCCAAAAATATACAAATAAAAAATTAAAAAGGAGAGAATGAAACAAAAGCTTTTTCTTTGAGAAAATCATAAAATTATATGCTTTCTTTTTTTCCCAAGAGTTGTATTCCCACCAGTTCTGAATTGCATTCCAGTGCCTTCAAATGGTTTTTTAAAAATTTGCTATTCAGAGATTTTAATGGTTACAATCAGGAGGCTTGGTCAGATTCAAGCCACCCCACCATTTACTGTACCTGGAACCCTGGCTTCCATAGCTACTTGTCACACTGTATGCTTCCTTCTGTAGCCTTCTCTCCTACTTATTTGATGTTTCCCATTGTCTGTGAGCCAGGAGATCGAATAATCATACTTGTGAGAATTGTATAACAGCCAGAATCAGTGGCTCTGGCAGACTCTCTGGTGAATGAGGTCTGTGCGTTTCCATTCAAACACCTCTTTTGTTTACTTCCCAGGAGATGGTATGATGTAATGAAATGGAGATGGGCCACAGAGTCTGACTTGACCGAGGTTCAAATCCTAGGTTTGCCACTTAGGAGTATCATGACCTTGGGCAATGTACCTCACCTCTGTGGACTCAGTTTCCTTACCTGTGAAATGAGGTTGCATTGAATCTCCAGACTGCTGTAGGGCCTAAAGGACATAATATATTGAAAGTTCCTAACATCACCCCTGGCACCCCCTGGTGCTCAGCACAAATGACCTTTCCTTCCTTAACCCTTTCCCTCCTGTCCTGGAGAATATCTGTTGACTGGTAAGTTACCTCCAGATGAGTAAATCAGGGTGTGTCGAGGTATTAATATATATTTGAGCCAATTTGCTTTTTAAGTTTTCTTTGTGCGTGTGCTAACAAATTGTAAAGGCATCAAAGATTCTATTCACTACTTTCCAGTTCCTTGGCCACCCCCCTCTGCCACCGTTAGGCTGAATCAGCTCTGGTCCTGAGTCCCCCACCAGAATGACTATGTCTGGGGCCAATAAAGTCCATTGCCCATCCCAGGGGGCACTATTGGCCATCATTAACATTAAATTCTATAGTCCTGGCCGGAGCGAGAACCCATTCTCTCCCCAGTCACCAGGACAGGACCAGCAGGCTGGGAATGTCACTTTATTTGGATTTGGTTCATGGGATGGGGGTCTCAGAACAAATTGGAAGGCCTCACACCGGCAACTGGGCCCAACCAGCTGGGCTCCTGACCCGGGACCTCGTTCTGGCCTGTCTCCCCAAAGCTTATCCACCTAGGATGAGTGCCTTGAAAGTGTACCAAAAATAGAAGTGGCGACGTTTTCAGGAGTTGGTGAAGTCTGACCTTTTACCCTTAGTGAGTCTGTGTAAGGCGTGAGACAACATGGTCTGTCGTCCTTTACGTGCAGGTTTTGGGCAGATGTGCAGATGACGCATCTACCTGCCTTGGGTGTAGTGTGGCGGCCACCAGACCAAGCCTCGTCCAGCTGCCTTCTGCTGAACAGCTGTGGACCCATAAAAGGAAATGCCAGACCTCCCAGCTCTTGCCTCAGAGACAAGCCTCCCTCACATCTATCTCCTCCACCAGCCCTCCCCTGAAAACTGAATTTAAAATCAAGCAGGGCTAGGGAGTCACCGCTCCTGGGGTGTTTTCAGGAATTATCACAGGCCCTGTTCAAAGTGTATAATGTTCTTAAACTGACAGGATTAGGGGATTAAAATTGTATACATTCTAGAATCCAGGTATCAGAAACTCTCTTGAGAAAAAAATGCCTGGCTTGGTGGAGGGGAGTTAAAGTGCTGTAATATCTAGCAGGTGTCTTCAAAGGCCTGCACATGGCCCACGCATTGTCTAACTATGCACTTGTTCATGTGTTGCTTCATTCATTCATGCACATTTATTCATTAGATTGTTTATTTGTTCACACATCAAAATAATATTTCTTGAGCACCTATTATGTGCCAGACACTGAGCTGGGTACTGGGGTTGCTGGGGCAAATGTGATGGCCCAACTTTGCCTCTTCAATACCCACTCCCCATTCTTCTGGCATCAACATCCTGAATTTGTTTAGGGGACAGCCCATCCAATGGACAGAGCCTGAGTGGGGCCCACATCCAAGTGGGGCCTGCCCTTCTGTGGCCCAGTGCAGGCCAGTCAAGAGTATTCCCCCTGGAATTGGAATCTTGAGCAGCATAACATGACAGGGACAAAGGATTACTCTTCATGTATAGCCCTGGCACCCCCAGAGACTCTCCATGTGCCCCTGCCCTGGATCACTGCTGTTCTCTGAACCCAGTCTGGTTTTTATTCTAATTCTTTGAGCTCTCCCAAATCCTCCCAATCAATTTTGCTTTGCTTAAGTAAGCCAGTTTTATTTCCGTTACTAGCAACTCCAGAGCCCTAATATATTCTCTATCCCCCAAGAGCTCACAGTCTCGTAGGACAGACAAGTAAACCAATGATTTGGGCTCAGATACCCTTATAGCAATTACACTGAGCGTTCTGAGAGCCCAGAGGAAGGGCCTTGATTAATTTCTTAGCCTCAGTTTCTCTTTAAATGAAGAGCCCTGTAAACCACTCCAGGTATTCCAGTTATTCATTGCTTTATAATATACCATCCACAGCTGTATGGCTTAAAATATGGATGCATTATTGTCTCCTGTGGTTCTGGGATTTGACTGGACTCAGCCAGTTCTTGCGTAGGTTCTCTTATGCTGTTTGTAGTTGGATTCAGCTGGGGTTGGAATTATCTGAGGGCTTGACGTTGCAGGACGTCCAAGATGGCTCACACAGCATGATGACCTGCTGGTCGTCAACTGGGAGCATGGCTAAGGCTGTCCCTGGGAACATCCATATATGGCCTCTCTGTGTAAAGAATTTTACAACACAGAGTGCTCCAAGATCAACCCCAGAGACCCCAGTGGACACTGCAAGGCTTCTTATGACCTAGCCCTAGAAGTCCCAGAATACCACTAATGACCACTTTATATTTGTCAAGCAAGTCTGTAAGGCCAGCCCAGATTCCAGGGGAGGCAAATTAGACCCCACATCCTAATGAGAGAATGAGACAGTCCTACTACAGGTACAGCATGTGGGATGGGAGCTACTGTTGTGGCCATCTTTGGGAAACATGATTTCTCTCACCAGGTATTCCTTCTAGAACATTCCTTGGGCTACTCACATGCCCAAAATAGGTGGCAGATCTTTGGTGCTTGATCCTAAGTCTCTCCTATGTTAGATGTGACTAATTACTTTGGAAATACCAGTCCCCAGAGTCTTCTGGCATTGTCATGAAGCTTTGTCAACAGAATCAGACCAACCCTCAAAGCTTTAGATTCAAACTCTGTGTTTTCGTCTCAGTTCTAACGCTGAGTTGCTGTGTGAACTTGGTAAGTTGCTTCATCTCTCTGACCCTCAATTTCCTGCTCTGTAAAGGTGACTATTAAACATAGCAGTCCTGCTGAACTCCTGGGATTATGGTGAAAACAAAATGAAATTTTGCAAGTGAAGGAGATTTGTTAACTGTAAAGACCAGGGCACACATAGCAGATTATGGTGATGCCGGCTCCATTGAGGAAGGCACTTTCTATACATTACTCTCCCCAAATCCCTGTAAGGCAGGCAGGCAGCCTTGTAAGTGAGGAAATTAGCTCAAATTCCATTTCTTATTTAAGCCACTTGCTATAAAATTTGAGTCCAGATCTTCTGCAGGCCCCAATCCCTGAGTGGGCTTTTTTTCTTTTTCTCCTTTCCTTTTTTTTTTTTTTTTTTTTTTTTTTTTGGGACAGTCTCGCTCTGTCACCCATGCTGGAGTGCAGTAGCATGATCTTGGTTCACTGAAACCTCCACCTCCCAGGTTCAAGCGATACTTGTGCCTTAGCCTCCCAAGTAGCTGGGATTACAGTCATGCGCCACCATACCTGGCTAATTTTTTTTAGTAGAGACAGGGTTCTGCCATATTGGCCAGACTGGTCTTGAACTCCTGGCCTCGAGTGATCTGCCCACCTCGGTCTCCCAGAGTGCTGGGATGACAGGTGTAAGCCACCGCACCCGGCCCCTGAGTGGGCTTTTTAAGAGTTGCTTTTTCATTGTTAAAGAAACTAGAAGGACCTGGGTGTGGGTAAATCCCCACAGATTCTAGCTTAGAGTGGGTGCTTCATCCATAAGTGTTGGTTGAATGAAAGAATGATGGATGAATGAATGCATGATTAACGACCAACCTGGCATTTTGCTCAGGACACCTTCCGGACCTTTGAAAACTCAATTGAACCTCTCGTTATTCTTGTATTACTTGATTTCTTTCAGTTTAAAAACACGTAGTTCAGGTAGGGTAAATTCAGGTTTCTTTCAGATGTTGACTGCCCGGAAAAGTAGCAGACCTTACTTCTCTGATCCCGCAGCACCTGGCCACACTTTTATTTACTTATTTTAGAGAGAGTCTTGCTCTGTGGCCCAGGCTGGAGTGCAGTGGCACCGTCATGGCTCACTGCAGCCTTGACCTCCCAGACTCAAGCGATCCTCTCACCTCAGCCTCTGGAGTAGCTGGGACTATAGGCACGCACCACGACACCTGGCGAATTAGTTTTTTTTATTTTTTGTAGAGATGGAGTCTTGCTATGTTGCCTAGGCTGGTCTTGAACTCCTGGGCTCAAATGATCCTCCTGCCCCGGCCTCCTAAAGTGCTTGTATTACAGACCAGAGCCACGCTTCTATTAGGGTCCCCACCTCGCCCCCTCCCTGTCTTCATTCCTCCAGGGAACAGGCTGAGTCCCTACCTGAGCCAGGCACTGTGCTTGCCCTGAGAATGTGGAGTGGCAACCATTTATTGACTGTGCCATCCTGTTTCCGTATCTGTGACTCCACCAGGCAGACCTCACTGCTTACCCCACAAGGAGCCCTGGCGCCTTGAACTGTGCCTGGACCACAGGGCAGTGACCAGTGAGCGTTTATTAAATGAATAAACAAATGCACAAATGTTCCCAGTGAATGATTTTGGAAAACGCCCAAGTGTTGTTTCAGTTCAGTGAAAAGCGAACATTTGGCTTCAGCTGAGGTTCACTCCACCGTGGGTTGCTGGGTCATTTCAGTTCAGGGCTCTGTTGAGGAATGTGGGGTTTTGCCTGGGTTGGGTTGAGAGCAGCAATGGGTGCCTTTATCAGGGGCAGAGGGGCGCCCGGAAGCCTTTCTTTTGAAAGTCCCCGTGACCCCTAGCGCTGAGACAAATGCACCGTGTCGCTGCCCAGCGGCCGGCAATTCCCGCGCGCGCCCCCCAGCCCCCGTCCTCCCAGGCGCGACCTTGATGGAGCGACCCTTGGCCGCGGCGCCGGGACTCAGACAATGCACAATGCGCCGAGCCTGGGCCGCAGCTCCTCAGCGCGGCCACAAGCGCTCTATTGAGCCGGCTGGCGGCGGGCGCTGGAGGCGGCGAGTGGTGCGAGGAGAGGTGCTCTGAGGCCTCTTTGTTCAGGGGCTCACGTGGGGGCAGTTGCTCCGCCGCCCACACAAGTATGCAAAGCCTCCCTGACCCTGGCGGTGGAAAAAGCCTGCCGGCCACCCCCAACCAGAACCAGAATCGGGGTCTTATTCCATACCAGCAGCCCTGCCCGCCCATGCCTTGAAATCTCTATTTTCCGGTGGGGAAATTGAGGCCAGAGAGGCCAATGAGCTTGTGTGGACCTGGCCAACCTGAGAAGGCCTAGAAAGCCCCAAATTCACAAGAATGCATTAATAGGGGATGAAAGCCATAGTGAAAGAGATCATGGAAGAGGCCTCCTGTTGGTTTGGGCAAGCAAGGACGCGGTGTTTTTGATGGGCCCTCTACAGGGGGCGGGCCAGGTAATGGAAAGAATATGGGCCTTGGATCCCGGAAGTCCAGGCTCAAATCCTGGCTCTACTTGCGGTGTCTATGCAATCTTGGGCAGGCGTCTGACCGCTCTGTGCTTTTGTATAAAATATTACCTAGCTCACAAGATAATACACGCCCAGCCCTGGATCCCAGGGGACAGGCAGCCCTCTGGAACCACAGGATCTGACACTGTCGGGGACAGTGGAAGGGGCCCAAACTTCCCACCTGGAAAGACCTGAGACGCTTATGCTTTGATGTTTATGGACTGTGTGGCCTCTGAAGCTGCCTTTCTTATTTGTAAAGTGGGACTAATAATACCCCAGTCAGAGGGCTCCGGTGGAGTTTTAATGAGGTCACACAGTGAAAGCATCTGGCACATAGTAGGTGCTCAGTAAACAGCAGCTGTAGTGATTGCTGTGTCATCCCTGAGGATGCAGGATGTCACCCAGGCTCTGCCAGGTAGGCCAGCCTGGGGTGGCTTGCAGACAGGTAGGATCCTTGAGTCTCTTCAGGGCTGGAGACGGCCTTCCACTCCTGGGGGAGGACCTTGGGGAGGGGCACACCAGGAGCAGAAGGTGTTTGAGGTCGGCCAGTGTGGAGGCAACAGTGCCCCCTACTGGACAGTCTGCAGAGTCCGAGGGTCTCCGGCACCTTGGCCCGGTTGAGCTGCCGGGACCTGGCTGATCCTTCTGGAGGAGGAGCCTCTCAGAAATCTCCGGAGCTGGCCCCTCTCCCAGGTGAATCCTATTGTGTTGGCCGGAGGCACTACCCTCCCCACATCCTGCCAAGGACTGCCTTTCTTAGTTCAGCCGAGTTCATTCTTCTGTTTCTCTAACATCTTTCCATCTCTGGCGTCTTTCCTTTGGGAAACAAAAGTAGAGAGAGCTCCACCCAAATTAGCTGAGTTATTATCTGAAACTTGCCAACGGACTTTCTGACCCCAGGAGAGTAGATGGCGGCTCTGTGTCGCAAACAGAGCCACAGCCTCGACAGTCACCTGCCCTCCTGGAGGCACTGGGGCACTCGGAAGGGGGCGATGCATGTAAAAGTGCTTCTCACCTGAGAAGTCCTTCCGTCTCAGAAACGGGAAGGGTTCGTCTTTCTCCAGATTGCCAGCAACTTTCTTTCGGATTATATTCAATAAGTGTGCCATGGAGCAGATGTGAGCCTGGGTATCCGGCAGGCAGAGAAACCTGGAGAGAGACAAACGCCACACAGATAGAATTTCCATCACAATTGATGAACCTCTCTAGTCCTCTGGCGTTTCTGCAGAAGGCGAGGGCAGTAACGGGGCTGCTCATTGGCTTGCTCTGATCTGGGGATGGCCAGTTGAGACGAGTCTTGAATCTTTCCATGCTGTTTAATGAAACAAGCGAATGTGGCCCTTGCTCTGGGAGCTGGACTTTATCACCCAAGCAGGGTTAAGATTACTTCGATGGGCTTTTCTGACCTGAGGGGTGACCTGTGTGTGATCTCTGGTTTTCCAGGTGCAAGGGGCTGGTCCATGAGACGTCCACTTTTGGCTGCAGTTAGGTAGCAGTTTGCTAAGTTAGAAGGATAGAGAAATAGAAGAAAAGATACAGGGGTCTGAGAAGACCTCATGTCAAGCCTGTAGCATCTCCCACTGGGGCCCCGTTCGTGACAGCTGACTACCTGCCTTGCTAATTGCTCTTAGCACCCTTTGGCCAGCCTATCTGTGCACATATGCAGAGAAGGACTATGTGACTGAGCCGTGGGCAGTGCAGAGGGCTAAGAGACAGGCTGTGTGGGTTGAAGCCTGCTTTGCCCCTCTTCACCAACATCCACTAGGTCTACCTCTTCCCTGTCTTCTTGGTGACAGTTTGGATTCTAGTGACAATTAGCTGATGCCCTCAAGGAATTCACATCACAGCTCTGAGTTTGGGAAGGTAGGACTAGCTGAGCTCCAAGTCCCTCCAATCCTGGAACTGACTCTTTCCTCCTCTCTCCTCCCCAGAAAAGGGAGTGTGGGCTCCCCAGCCAGAGAGAGGACCCAGCTAGTCACTTGCCTGCCCTTTGACCTTTCTAGTCTCCCGTCCTCATCCAACCTTCCCTGTTGGATTCTGTGAGTGAAAGGAGACAATGTTTTGAGGTCCCAGCACCCCGGGGGGATGCTTAATCAGTGGCCATTCCCTTCCTCCCTCCTTCCCTCCTCCTATCCTCTCCCTCCCTCTTCTACCCTCTGGTCCATTATCTTGGCTTTCAGTTGGCCTCAAGTGACATAAACAATAAATGCCCCCTTTTTTTCCAACTGCTTTATTAGTCTTTAGTCAGGAGGTAAGAATAATAACTATAACTTACAAATTTATCTATAAAGGTAAGTCTTTCTCTAAGAAGGTAAAATAAACAAACAAACTAAATCCCACTAATAGTAGACTTTTCCCCAGGGACTAAAAACCACATTTGTTTTTTTCCATCAAAAGCAGTGCTTTCAAGTGGGGTGGGAGAGGGAGGGTTGTCCCCCATAAGACATTTTTGGTTGTCACTCCTGGAAGGAGATGAACATCACCCAGGGGGCAGAGGCTGGGGACGCTGTCAGACGTCCTGCAGTGCCCAGGACAGCCCCAGCACAGTGAAGGATTTTCTGGCCCCAAACACCAACGCTGCTGAGATTGACAAACCCTGGTCTCAACAATAGACACAGAGGCGTGAACATGCCGCTGCCAAACCACGTGTGTGTGGGGGGGTCCAGACAGACTCATTTCTAGAACAATCTGTGGGAGAAAAGTTGATAGCTGCTGAGCCTGGGAAATGGAAGTTCCGAGCAAGCAAAGCCCCCACATCCCTCCCTGAGCATTTCCGGACCCGTGGAGCAGCAGAAACAGCTCTGCTCAGTGGTCGAGGCCAGCCTGAGACAGTGCCTCTCAGCCCTCTTGCCGCTGGCAAGCCACTCAACAGTTCAGAGCCCAAAAAGTAGGACCAGGTCTATCAGTGTTTCCCTGACTAGAGAGATTTTAGAAGCCCAGAGTTGATTTTGATGATGCAGGGACTGTACCTTTAGGTAACACAGACCACATATGAAATGATTCTTCCCTTTTCAGTTTGCTTTCAAGCCTCTGTTAAGAAGAGAGTCTCTGGTGCTACTTTGTCTTGAACGCTTCTTTGACTTTTGTTTATCTCCCTTTTCATCAACAGCAGGCAGGCTCCAGGTTCACAGGCAATAGTGTGTTTATCTGGAATTTAATCAAGTGGACTTACTTCCATCGTATTCTTTGTTATGGCCACAGTTGCACTGCTGGCTTCCCATTTATGGTGGTGAAGTCAAGTTTCCTTTGACAATGAATTTAAGTAAGCAACCAAGTAGACTTGAGGACACATATTTAGTAAACTGCGTTATGGGTGGTATATGGAAGTGGCAAATTCATGAAGTGGGTTCGAGAATGCCTGGGGTGTGGGGGGAGGAGGGGGAGGCGTCACACTTGGTCATCCAACTCGAGTCTCAGTTTCCTCATATAGAAAGAATGACAATCTCTTCCCTGCCTGAGTAAATGGGTTTGAGCAAAATCAAGCAGCACGGGGCAGGTGAAAGCATTGGTCCCTTGTCCCCCTGACACCTGCAAGGTGCTGCTGTCCTTGTGATGACCTTCTCTGCAGGCCCTTGCTCTCTCTCTCTCTCTCTCTCTGGGTGGCCCAGCACTCTCAGCAGTTAGGGCTGTACTTGTGAGTGGCAAGGAAAGGGGCTAGCGTCATTCAACCCTCACTGCATGCCTCCATGCATGTTAGCTCATTTCATGCTCAGAGTACACCTGTGAAGAAAGTCTTATGCAGCCACACTTTTTAATGAGGAGCCTGGGGTTCGGGGAGAGGCAGTCCCAGGTCGAAGATCTACGTAACTGTTAAATAATAAAGTCCAGATTCAAGCCCAGCTCTGTCTGCCTTCAAAACCTGCACTTTTTCCACTAGATCACCCATAAAGGCAAGCTGCCCTTGACCCTGACCATCTGTAATCACTAAGCAAAAACACAGCAGAGGGTCAAGGCAAAGGTCACCAGCCAGGGGCCACAGGTCAGGTTGCCAGGCACTCCCTCTTTATCTCCGTACACTCACCTGTGGTGGAGTAGACACAGTGCAGGCTCAGTCCTGCAGACTCCTTTGATACTTCCTGGTAAGTTCAGCGCCATGTTGCCTGAGGCTCTTCACATGTTTTGGAGGAAATCTTGGCTTTGGAGCCCTGGGTTCAAACCCCAGCTTGGCCACTTGCTGGCTGAAGAGCTGCGTTAAATCTAGTTTACTCATCTGCGAAATAGGCATAATAATAGTAACATCCCTCTATGGGTGATGGGAGATTTACCAAAGACTATACGTAGTTGACATAACAATCATCAGCCCTCGATAAATAATGGCGTTTTGCTATAAATAAAATACAAGTGTCCATGTCTAATTCACAATTCACATAAAAGCCAGACCCGGGTCAGCTTACTTAAACAACAGTGTGGAAAGTTGTTGGCTGGAATTTTCTTCAGGGTAACTGAAGCTGAAATAAAGCAATGTGATTTGGGTTAACACCGTTTTATTGGTACTATTGCCTAAGAAATGAAAAGTGTGTGTTTGGTTATTTTGTTTGTTTTTTGACCCTACAAATTTCTAGAATTCCATTACACATGATGCAATTTGATTTCCAACATCTGCAAATCAGCATTCAGCTTTACTTCCTATTTCAGCCAGTGTGGGAGAGATTTTTTTGATTTCTTCTGAGCAAGAATCATCATAACTATTTTCCCCTCCCTTTTCTGCTGACAGGATGGTCAAAGAATAAGCTGTGTGTATTTTTCCCTACAAGTCACTCTGCTCCTTGATGCCTCAGTTTCTCTGTCTAGTGAAAAGGGCATGATGATTCGTCTGATTCCTATAGATTTCATGAGACTGAATGAGTGATCACTCTACTGAAGGCTGTCTTTTCATAAGAGGCATTGCATTCTGAATTTCATTCATTCAGCTGTTCATTCATATACTCATTCCACACACTTTCAAAAGCCTTGTCTGTGCCAGGCACTGTGTCATGTGCTGAAGCTCCAGAGATGCGTACAAAGTTGTTCCCACCTTTGTGTAGAGTAAGTCAGGAGGGCCAGACACAAAGGAACATACAATTGTACCAGTGTGAAAAAATACTGGGGAAGAGAGCTAATTCTGGAGATTAGCCCACTCACTGATCAGGGAGAAGACATCTGAGACAGACCTTCAAATTCAAGTGTGATGTGGGAATAAGGAGAGAATTGGGAGGGGGCCAGGTGCAGTGGCTCATGCCTGTAGTCCCAGCACTTTTGGAGGCTGAGGCAGGAGGATCACTTGAGCCTAGGAGTTCAAGACCAGCCTGGGCAACACAGAGAGACCCTGTATTTAAAAAAAAATATATATATATACATATATATATATATATACACATATATATATATATATATATATGTATATATATATACACAAAAATTAGCCAGATGTGGTGGCACGCAACTGTAGTCCCAGCTATTCCGGATGCTGAGGTGGGAGGATTGACTGAGCCTGGGAGGGTGAGGGGTGAGGAAGGAGGAGAAGAAGAAGAAGAGGAGGAGGAGGAGGAAGATTGGGAGATGAGGGAGGGCTGAAAGTTGAGTTTAGGTAAGAGTTTTTCAAACTGCAGATGGGAATCTTCCTGAGATCTATAGTAAGATCATACTGAAATGGCAACTATTTTAACTGAAATGGACTGGACTGGAATGGAATAGATTGGAATGTGTCTAGAGTTAAAGGGAAAAATAATTGTCTTATGATTGTTTTAAAGGTGTGTGTGTGTCTGTGTGTGTATGCTGGTTCTTGATATAAAATGTTCTTACTCTTATAGAGTAAAATTAAAAAGAAATTTTTAAAGGAAATTCTATGATCCAGATAAGAATCCAGAGGATCTCCATCAGTGGTGTGTAGTTAAATTTTTTAACAGTTGGCTAAGAAAAAAAAAGTAGGCATTCATATGTGTACATGTTTATTGTGCATTTTACTGATATGAAGGATTGTAGCACACAACTTACAAATAAGAAAATATATAATATTCTTTATTGCAAATTCCACAGAGCCAGTTGATTCTCATAGAATGCTTTTGAGAACTTTTGCTAAATTCTTATCTGTAGCTGACTTATGGTTGCATCTCAGTCATGATTTGAGAAGATTAAACTACAAGTAAATGTTTGAATACTGTCCAAGTCAGCAAAGAAGTGACTCACATCATTGATGAATGAGTATAGTTTCAACATGTATGTTGGTTGGTATTTTCATTTACTCTAATGAGTGAGAGAAGACTAAAACAACAAAGATTTACGTCAGAACTTCACTCACTCATCAGGCTGGACATGGTGCTCACACCTGTAATCCCAGCACTTTGGGAGGCCAAGGTGGGCGGAACACCTGAGGTTAGGATTTCAAGACCAGCCTGGTCAACATGGAAAAGCCCGTCTCCACTAAAAATACAAAAATTAGCTGTGAGGTGGGCACCTGTAATCCCAGCTACTCAGGAGGCTGAGGCAGGAAAATCACTTGAACCCGGGAGGTAGAGGTTGTGGTGAGCTGAGATCAAGCCACTGCACTCCAGGACAGAGTGAGACTCTGTCTCAAAAAAAAAAAAGAACTTCACTTATTCATCAATATTATGTCACTTCTTTACTAAGTTGGATAATAGTTTTCAAATTCTAAGAGTATTTTCTTAATTTTTTTAGTGCTTTTCACAATATAATGGCTACAGGTATAACATACTTTAAATATAATCTCTTGAGGAAAAATTGTGGAAGATTTTGAGGTGGATAAAAGATTACTGGATATTCTTTTAGTAAATCTCTGGGGCCTCCAGGGATTATCTCATGCTATAGAGGTATGTGCCTTTGTCTGTCTTTTTATTTTACAACCTTGCAGAGATGTTAACTTATAAAAAATTGATAGTGGGCAAATCTTTTATGTCCATGGCTAAGCAAATGATACCTGTCCAAGGTTATGCAAATGAATTTTACCAGGTAGAAAATGTAAATCTGTGCAAGGCAAATCCTCGTTTAACCCAGTTGTAACTTCTTACTGGTCCCTCATTAATTAATGGGTTAGGTAAAATAATTGACTTGTATTCATATTATACCTGCTTGAGAGTCATAATTTTAACCTTTTGTGAAAACTCTCCTCTCACAATCTTGATCATTAACACTTTCTTCATCACCTTCTTAAGTCTAGACAATCAATAAAACAATAAATCCAAGTCTCATGTGTAGCACTTGCCTATTTCCATGGTGTATATACTTCCACAGCAACAAATTTCAAGCTACTAATGTGTGCGATATTATCGAACATGGAGTTGGAAAGAGCTGCACAGTAGCATGCCATTATATAATATTACCAACCCGAGGCAGGTGGATGACTTGAGCCCGGGAGTTCGAGACAGGCCTAGGCAACATGCCGAAACCCTGTCTCTGCAAAAAATACAAAAATTAGCCGTGTGTGGTGGTGCACGCTTATAGTCCCAGCTACTCGGGAGGCTGAGGTAGGAGGACCACCTGAGCCTGGGAAGTGGAGGGTGCAGTGAGCCTTGATTGTGTCACCGCACTCCAGCCTGGGCTACAGAGCAAGATCCTGTCTCAAAAAAAAAAAAAAAAAAAAATATCATCACACAGATGCAATAAACATCCATATCCTCGAGAGCATAGGTAACAGTAAAATCTCATGACATAATCAGGAAGGGATACGTTTTAAGTATTTATTGCCACATTTTAATATAATTTATTTAAGTATATAAATTTAATATTTATTGTGCTTAGCAATTTCAAAATCTTGAAAATTTAACAATGGGTTCTTACAGGATCCCTGGATATCAAAAAACACACCCACAGAAAAAAATGTGGTTCTTCTTTTTCTCTTTTCTCTGCAGATGCTTGGGATTCCAATCAGTGGATTTAAATGAAGAAGCTGAGGCTGGGTGCGGTGGCTCACGTCTGTGATCCCAGCACTTTGGGAGGCTGAGGCGGCAAATCACCTGAGGTCAGGAGTTCGAGACCAGCCTAGCCAACATGGCAAAACCCTGTCTCTACTAAAAATAAAAAAATTAGCTGGGCATGGTGGCATGCATCTGTAATCCCAGCTACTGGGGAGGCTGAGGCAGGAGAATGGCTTGAACCCAGGAGGTGGAGGTTTCAGTGAGCCAAGATCGCTCCATTGCACTCCAGCCTGGGCAACAGAGTGAGACTCTGTTTCAAACAAACAAGCAAACAAACCAGGAAAACAAAAACCAAATTAAATGAAGGAGCTGGGATCGAGGTCTGTAAACAGAGCAGGATCAGGGTAACCCTTTGAGTTCCGCCTGATCAGATTCAGATTTGAGAGTAGTGTCACCACGGCTGAGGAGGCTTCCCAAGGTGACATGGACTGAGGGATCATGTCTCACTTCTGCGTTCTCAACTAGCAGGACTCACTCTTCCATGGCCTGAGGGCTGCAGAATGGAGGGGAAACAGAGTCCTGCCCTGGCTTGGGAGTTGGAGACCTGAGTTCCTGCCCTGCCTTGCTATGAGCCCCACTCTGTGTGGGACCCAGTGTCCTCACGAATGGAGTCTGTCTTGCGCAGGAGCAGGCAGGCGGCCCACGTATAATAAACAGCTGATCCTCAGATCATAGAGGGTAAAGGGTAGGGGTGAAAATGGAGGGTGCGTGCCCTGCCTGTAAGCACTAAATTCAAACATTTAAAGATGACCGTGCGCTGCTGACCAGGCAGACTTGGCGAGCAGGGTGCCAGTTTGAGATCCCTCAGCTAGAGGATTTCTAGGGCCCAGTCTGGTTTGACAGCCCCTCTTCCTACCCACCATACCTGTGCCTTACCCATCTCCTGAACTCCTGTCCTTCACATCCTTACCCAGGAAAAGGCTAAGGAATGGCCTGGGAAATGTTTATTACATCAAGTGGGGCATGTAGTGATACCATTGAATAAGTTATCCTTGAAAGATGTTTAGTGTTTGGGAGTTTGCAAGCTCAGACCATTTTTGAAGGGGAAAAAAAAAGTCTTTGTGTTGAATGTTCAGTTCCTCTGGCGTCCGGAAGGTTCAAACCAGTTCTTTCCATCCCCTTCAAACAGATTTCTGTCTCTGTGGGATGCCCCAAATGAAGGAACTGGCTTACCTTTCAGAGTCACAGGGTAGAAAAATATGTATGACTTTAAGCCCTAGAGAAGCCTGGATAGCCAGTGCTCCCCTTGGGGCGGTGTCTGGGGCTGAGATGGTGGAGGGAGCGCAGAGGCAAGTCTCCCAACCTCAACTCTGAGTGGAACAGCAGGAGCTATTACCACACCATTTACATGTGTTATGCCTCTGTCTGTGCAAGCTCCTGTAGATGAATTTGCAAGTTAAATGCATTTAGGTTACAACCATACCATACAAGGCACCTAATTTTCTTCTTACAAAGAATGACTAATCACCTGTTAGGAGAACTTTTGAGGACTATTATAGTATCATTTTATATATGTGTGTGTAAGGAGGCAAAGTATATGAGTGTGTATATATATTTGTCTCTTTATTAAAGACCACTTCTGTGATCTCAAATGTCATTGTCACTCTGAATTTAGACATTCATGCACACATAGGGTTGCTAGAGAAATACAAGACACCCACTTACGTTTGAATTTCAGATAAACAACGAGCACTTTTTAGCATAAGTACGTCCCAGGCAATATTTGGGAATACTCACATTCAAAAAGTATTTGCTTTTTGCCTACATTCAAATTTAACTGGACATCCTGTATTTTTATTTGATAAATCTGAGAATGCTACAGACACACAAATACACACATTTGTGGATATGCCTCCACAACACCCCCGATACAGAGACACAAATAGTGCACACGTATGCATAACTTGGCTGTCCTTTGCCATGGATTCAGACACACACACACACACACACACACACACACACACACTTCCTCCTCTATCATGAGCACAGCTGTGTCCCCAAGGTGCCCTCCGAGTTGAGTTTACAACCGCAGGGTCTGTTGCTGCTTCCTGAGGCGGGTTCCTCCCGGGTTTCTTTAAGAACCTGCAGTTCTGGGCAGCCATTACTCTTTCCTGAAGTTCCCATGGATTTAACAGCTTTGGACCTGGTTTGGAGCAGGGCCCCGGCTGCAGGCTTCCCTCCCGTCCAGGCTGCCCTGCCTGCCTCTCCCTGAAGGCGTCTCGGTTACTTGCGGGCCTGGCCGGGCTGGCTGGTGGGCTTTCTTGGGAGCAGGCCTCTTCCCTCCGGCTCCCCAGCTGCTCGTATCCGGGTTTACAGCCCCGGGGCAGTGCCTACAGGGCCTGCAGGCTGGATGTTCTGAGATTTTTATTGGCATCTCCATCAAGATGAGGGCCATGGGGGTCCTTCAGGTCTTCCGGAGCCGCTTTATTGGGGCTGGCCTTCCAGACACGGCGGGGAGCAGCGATTTCCAGGGGAATCTGGTTTCTCTGCTGGGCTCGCACCCGTTTCCTCTGTGTTTGGCTTGGCAGCGCCTGGGCCTGGCCTGTTTTGAGCCTCACCTCGTGCTTGGGCTTTTGTGGCCTGTCGGTGGATGAGGTGGCGCGGAGTAGCCGTTTCTCCTCAGCCGCAGGGACACAAACGGAGCTTTGTATGGGGCAGACGCAGGTGGAAGGGAAGGAGCTCAGGCCTCTCCTGTGCTCGGGGAAATGCTCTGGAGTTGGAGGACGTTAAAACACAAGTGCAAACCACTCCAGATCGTCTGCACCTTGAAAGCCCAAGCTCACTCGTGGGAGGACTGAATGGCCGGGTCTCAATGACTGCCGCCTTCTTTGGGACCCGGAATAGGAAAGAGGTGCAGGGAATAATATTCTGCGAGGGGATTTAAATTTTAAAACCCCAGTGGGGGTTAAGCTCACAGTGAGCTCTGGGCAGCAGATGGCCAGAGTGACCTTGGCGTTTGAGGCGGGGAAGGCAATGCCTGGGGAGAGAGTGCCTGTCCCGGGGGGTCCCCTGCTGTCCACAGGTCAGCCCATGTGGGCCACCAAACCAAATGACTAGCCAGCCGGCTTGTAATAAAAGATTCAGGATTGGCCCGGCGCATTGGCTCACACCTGTAATCCCAGCACTTTGGGAGGCCGAGGCGGGTGGATCACGAGGTCAGGAGTTTGAGACCAGCCTGACCAAGATGGTGAAGCCCCATCTCTACTGAAAATACAAAAATTAGCCTGGCACTGTGGTGGGCACCTGTAATCCCAGCTACTCGGGAGGCTGAGGCAGGAGAATTGCTTGAACCTGGGAGGCAGAAGTTGCAGTGAGCCAAGATCGCACCACTGCGCTTTAGCCTGGGGGATGGAGGAAGACTCTGTCTCAAAAAAAAAAAAAAAAAAAGATTCAGGATTAGTGTTTGACCTGAATTATGTCCCCCTCCAAATTCATATGATGAAGTCCTTGTGAATGTAGGTACTTCAGAATATGACTGTCCCCACCTCCCTGCAACCTCTGCCTCCCAAGTTCAAGATATTCTCCTGCCTCAGCCTCCCAAGTAGCTGGGACTACGGTGTGCGCCACCATGCCCAGCTAATTTTTGTATTTTTAGTAGAGATGGGTTTTTGCCATGTTGGCCAGGCTGGTCTCGAACACCTAACCTCAGGTGATCCACCTGCCTTGGCCTCCCAAAATGCTGGGATTATAGGCATGAGCTGCTGTGTCCAGTCTGGACATAGGGTCTTTAAAAAGATAATTAAACTAAAATGAGGTCAAACTGGTGGGCTCTAATCCAATGGGACTGATGCCCTCGTAAAAGAGGAAATGTGGACACAGATACACGCAGAGAAGTCCATGTGAGGACACAGGGAGAAGACAGACGTCTGCAAGCCAAGGAGAGAGGCCTCAACAGAAACCAGCCCAGCTGACACCTTGATCTCAGACTTCCAGCCTCCAGAACAGTGAGGAAGTCAGTTTCTGTTGTTTACACCCCCCAGTCTGTGGTACTTTGTTGCCGAGGCCCAAGCAAACAAATATGGTAGCCACAAGAAGGAAATGATCAGGGCGGGTCTTAATTTTGTTTTTTATACTCGGCCGATTGGAGAAGGTGGCCGCACACTTGTAGTAGAGTGTGATCACAGAGACACCAGTGCGTCCAGCTCTCGGGGCCATTCATTTCACCTCCATGTGAGCCAACTCAGCCTGCAGTTCAGCCCACTGTCCTTTATTCACTTACAGTTTGAGGTGCCCATGAAGCAGGTCCTGAGACTTAGGTGTCAGTAGTTTATCTGGGAAGTTGTTCCAGGAAATAGATGAGGGAACAGGGATGGGAGGAAAGCCAAAACCAGGGAGGGTCATGAGACAGTTGTGGTGGGTGGGCCTCAGGAGCTCGGTGCACCAGGGACCCTCTGAGAGTCTATCTGGTGCCCCTCGGAATCGTCCCACCAAGGGCAGGAAGCCAAGGAGTTTTTGCAGCCACCCAGGCTATGCCCCGGTGAAGGTCATTCCAGCTGCTGGAGAAGCTCGTCAGGCACAGGACACGGGAGATGGCCTGAGGGGGTGGGAATGTGTTCCCTGGGGTCAGCTGAGGATGGGGCACCAACGGCCTCTGCCCACTCTCTCACGAATCTTGCTAACCCAAGAGCTGGCCAGAACCCAATCCCTAATCTTGCTGATGGAGGCCCTCAGCCACCTTGCCCCTCACAGTGGGTCTGATTCTGCTCCTTCCTGCACCAACGTCATGCTTGATTTTCTTGGTTCTACATTAACCAAGGATGGGAAAAACCAAGGCATTTTTCCTAATCTCTCACAGCACTCAGCACAGCACTCAGCACAGCACTTCTGACATCAGACGTGCAGGGAGGTTCCCCCCATGCCACGCAGTTCTCCAGCGGACACCAGCGGGGTGTCCTGCAATTCAATTCGGGCCCTGTCTGCCTGGAGATAGCATCAGATCGTAGCATCGGATCGCACAGGCTGAGGGCTCAGTCCCACAAAACTGCACTTCACTTCAGATGTCAATCACAAGCCCCAGACTGTGGCCTGAGCTTCTGACTGATTGGCTATGAATAGGGGTTCCCACAGCCCCCTTTTCAGGTTTGATTAATTTGCTAGAGCAGCTCACAGAACTCAGAGAAACACTTTACATATATTGATCCATTTATTATAAAGGGTATTACAAAGGATGCCCGTAAGCAGCCAGGTGGAAGAGCAGCACAGGGCAAGGCATGGGGAAAGGGGCACAGAGCTCCCACCCTGTCCAGCTGTACCACTCTCTAAGAACCTCCACGTGTTCAGCTATCTGGAGACCCACCCCAGCTCTGTCCCTTTGAGGTTTTATGGAGACTTCATTAGGTAGGCATGATGGATTAAACCACTGGCCATTGGTGATCAACTCAACCCTCAGCCCCTGTCCCCTCCGCAGAGGTTTGGAGGTGGGGCTTAAAGTCCCAACCCTCTAATCCTGCCTTGGTCTATGCTGCCAGCCACCAGTCATCTCATTAGCATAAAAAAGACACTCATCACTCCAGAGAGTCCAAGGGCATCAGGAGCTGTGTGTCAGGGGCCTGGGGCAGGGACCAAATATGTATTTCTTAAATCACAGCATTGCACACACTTAACCCTTGGGTCTGTTGACATGCTGTTTCTCCAGCCTGAATCCTGTGCTCTCCCCCTGGAACAGGAGTCCTCTCTCACTAGAGACCTTCCCACTTCTGGACACTCCCCATCCCCATCCCTCACCAGCTCAGTGTGACCCCTGTATCTTCCTTGATACTGTGAAGTTGTCCCAGGACCTGCCCCTTCATAGGGATAAGACTTTTTCCCTCTCCTTTTCCCTCCTTCCTGTTTTCCTCCCTCCCTCCTTCTTTTCTTTCTTCTTCTCTCCCTCCCTCTTTCCTTTCTTCTCTTTTTTCCCTCCCTCCCTCTTTCCTTTCTTCCTTCTTTCCTCTCTCTCTCCCTCCTTCCCCTCTTCCTTCTTTCCTCCCTCCCTCCTTCCCCCTTCCTTCTTTCCTCTCTCCCTCCCTCCCTCCTTCCCCTCTTCCTTCTTTCCTCTCTCCCTTCTCCTTCCCCTCTTCCTTCTTTCCTCCCTCCCTCCTTCCCCCTTCCTTCTTTCCTCTCTCCCTCCCTCCCTCCTTCCCCTCTTCCTTCTTTCCTCTCTCCCTTCTCCTTTCCCTCTTCCTTCTTTCCTCCCTCCCTCCTTCCTCTCTTCCTTCTTTCCTCCCTTTTCCTTCTTTCCTCCCTCCCTCCTTCCCCTCTTCCTTCTTTCCTCTCTCCCTCCCTCCTTCCCCTCTTCCTTCTTTCCTCCCTCTCTCCTTCCCCTCTTCCTTTCCTCCCTCCTTCCCCTCTTCCTTCTTTCCTCCCTCCCTCCCTCCTTCCCCTCTTCCTTCTTTCCTCTCTCCCTCCCTCCCTCCTTTACTTACTGTGCAGTATGTACTGTGTACCATCTGTTTTGTACCAATCAGTGTGCTGGGGGCCACTGAGATGAGTAACTCAGCATTTCTGCCCTTGAGGGGTTCACCATCAATGGCAACAGCCAGCTTTGGTCGGCTCCTTCTGCAAACACTGACCCTCCCAGCCCAAGCCACCCTGCCTTCTGAGAATCGAAAGCCAGGTAAATTCAGTAGGCACTAGTCATGTGGGAGAGGGGTGGTGGATGAAGGCACGGCTTTGCTTCCTTTGTAAAAGCTCTGTGAGTCCTTATGGGTGCCTCTCAGAGGGTGCCTTGGAATTGCCACCCTGCCTGCAGCAGCAGCCACCACCATGGGTCTCTCTTACGCTGGATCCTCCCCATGCACTGCCTTGCTCTCCTCGCCTGTCACTCCTGCTTCCTGAAATCACCTCCCAAATCAACTGCCGGCACCTGAGTCCTTGCTTCAGGCTGTGCTTAATCTGAACCCAAATTAAGACCACGTCTCTGCCCAGTGCTGGGTTTGGCGGGTGTGGGCATGAGCCTGACTGCACCTGCTTTGCCAGCATTGGGTTGAGGGGCAAGAGGAAAGAAGTAAGGAGCCCAGCTGTGGTCTCCAGGCAAAACTGTGACCTTTGCAACTTCAGTAATGAAACTGGTTTTAAAAAATCTCCATCTGCCTGGTTCTTGCATCTACTTCTCAATGTTTCTTAAGGAAAGAAGAGCTGTGACTTAGAATTTCCTCAAACCCCCATATTTATACAAATGTATATTGACTAGCCTGTTACTCTATTATTTTTAATCAATTTTATTGAGGTATACTTTATAAACAATAAATGTGTAGTTAACAAATTGTGACAAATTGTATACCTAAGTGACCACCACCTTGATCAAAATAGAGAACATTCCAAAGTCCCAGACAGGTCCTCTCTGTCCTTTTCTGGTCAAACATCCACATTTTTTCCCAACCAGGCAACTCCTCATCTGATCTGAATCACTATGAAATCAATTTATCCATATTACAACTTCCTATGCATGGAGTCAGACATATAGAATGATCCCCTCTATGACTGACTTCTTTCATTCTGGGTTCTAGTTCTTTCCTTTCTTTACTGACTCATACTCATCATTGTATAAATCTTTGCAAGGTTATGTGTTTTCATTTCTCTTGGGTAAATGCCTAGGAGTAAAATTGCTGGGATATATGGTAGGTACATGTTTAACTTTATTTTTTTTTTAAAGAAATTTCTGAGCTGTTTCCCAAAGGAGTTGTTCCATCATACACTCTTACCAGCAACCTATGAGAATTAGTTACTCCAGCTCCACATCCTTGTCTGCTTTGGGTATTGTATCAGTTCATTCTCGCATTCCTATAAAGAAATACCTGAAGGCCAGCTGCGGTGGCTCTCTCCCGTAATCCCAGCACTTTGGGAAGCCAAGGCGGGTGGATCACCTGAGGTCAGGAGTTCGAGACCAGCCTGACCAACATGGTGAAACCCCGTCTCTACTAAAAATATAAAAATCAGCCGGGCATGGTGGCATGTGCCTGTAATCCCAGCTACTCAGGAGTCTGAGGCAGGAGAATCGCTTGAACCCAGGACATGGAGGTGGCAGTGAGCCAAGATCATGCCACTACACTGCAGCCTGGGTGATAGGGCGAAACTCCAACTCAAAAAAAAAAAAAAACCAGAAGAAAAAAAAGAAATAATACCTGGGTCTGGGTAATTTATAAAGCAAAGAGGTTTAATTGGTTCACAGTTCCACAGGCTGTACAGGAAGCATAGTGGCTTCAGATTCTGGGGGACCTCAGGGAGCTTTTACTTATGGGGGAAGGCGAATCGGAAGCAGGCATCTTCACATGGCAGGAGCAGAACCCAGAGAGCGTGGGGAGGTGCTACACACCTTTAAACACCCAGATCCCATGATAACTCACTCACTCACTCACTATCACGGGAACAACACCGAGGGAATGGTGCTATACCATTCATGAGAACTCTGCCCCCATGATCCAGTCACCTCCACCAGGCCCCACCTCCAGCACTGGGAATTCAACATGAGACAGTTTGACATGAGATTTGGTGGGGACACAAATCCAAACCATATCAGGTATTTTCAGGATTTTAAATTTTAGTTGTTTTAGTGGGTGTGTAGTTGTATCCATCTCTATCGGCCATTCCCATACCTTCTTTCGTGAAGCATCTGTTATTTTGCCAATTAAAAAAATTGCATTTTGTTTCTTTATTATTGAGTTGTAGAAGTCCTCTATATGTTCTGAATATGAGTCCATTATCAGGTACATGTGTTGTGAATATTTACTCCCAGACTCTGTCTTGCATTTTCAATTCCTTCTTTTGTACATTTAAAAAATTTATTTTTTAAAATTATTTATTTCCTTTTTGAGATGGAGGTCTCACTATGTTCCCCAGGCTGGCTTCAAACTCCTGGACTCAAGCGATCCTCCTGCCTCAGCCTCCCGAGAAGCTGGGAATACAGGTGTGCACCACCACACACAGCTCATTTTCGTGTCTTCGAGTTTTGTTATTTTTTAAACAATAAGAAAGCTCTATTTGCTTCTAGTATCTTTTTATTTGCTTTTAAATTTTAAACAGCTTTATTGAAGTATAATTTACATTTTATAAAATTCACTCATTTTAAGAGGATATTAACAGTGTTATTTTAAAGCAGAAAGTTTTAACTTAATGAAGTCCAGTTGATCCATTTTTTTCTTAGATTATCAAAACTTTTTTTCCTAAGACATTTTTCTCTATCCCAAAGTCACAAATATTTTTCGCTGCCTATGTTTTCTTCTGGAAGTTTCCTAGTTTTAGCTCTCACATTTAAGTCTCTGGGTTAATGTTTGCATGTCGTGACCAGTATTGTTTCTAGGTCTTTTCAGTGGCCAGAGCTAGGATATCTAGACTATGCAAAACATGCCTCATAAGTTTATGATGATGTTTCTAATTCAAATCAAGACTATAGGTTTTTGTTTTTTAACTTAACCTCTCTTGATTACATCTATATCTACTTTCTTTCATATCTGAGCATCTTGATTTTGAAGGGCACAAGGGATGGGAATTTAAATACCCCATAATTACTCATTTGTATTATCTCATCTTTCACACACAACAGTCTCATAACATTGATATGACCAATTATGATAACTGAAAACTGTTAAGAATGTTTTGTACATGTGCTTCCCTCTCCTCTCACTTGTTGTTGTTGTACTGTGTCTCCACTGTCAGGACATATGGCCAGTGCGTGCCTTTTTTTTTTTTTTTTCCCCAGATGGAGTCTCGCTCTTTTCCCCCAGGCTGGAGTGCAGTGGCATGATCTTGGCTCACTGCACCCTCCGTCTCCTGAGTTCAAGTGATTCTCCTGCCTCAGCCTCCCAAGTAGCTGGGACTACAGGTGCGTGCCACCACACCCAGCTAATTTGTTTTATTTTTAGTAGAGACAAGGTTTCACCGTGTTAGCCAGGATGGTCTCGATCTCCTGACCTTGTTATCTGCCCGCCTTGGCCTCCCAAAGTGCTGGGATTATAGGCATGAGCCACTGCACCTGGACTGCCTGCTTCTTTAAGCTGTCTTTTGTCCCTAGTTCTACTGGTAAGTATATATATTTCATGTTAATGTCTCTCTATCGTTTTGGTCATCTGCAGCTGATTCTCTGGTAGATTCCTTAGGAAGGACTACAGGAACAATTCTTTTCTTTTCTTTTCCTTTTCTTTTTTTTTTCTTTTTTCTTTTTGAGAGAAATTTCGCTCTGTCACCCAGGCTAGAGTCCAGTGGTGCAATCATGGCTCACTGCAGCCTCGACCTCCTGGACTCAGATGATCCTCTCATCTCAGCTTCCTCAGTAATTGGAACTACAGGCACACGCCACCATGCCCTGCTAATTTTTGCTTTTTTTTTTTTTTTTTTTTTTGGAGAGACAGGGTTTTGCCACATTGCCCAGGCTGGTCTTGAACTCCTGAGCTCAAGTGATCTATCTGCCTCGACCTCCCAAAGTGCTGGGATTACAGGGGTGAGCCACCACACCCAGCTAACAAAATTTTCTGGTTGCTACATGTTGATGACAGTTTGTGTCATCTTTACACCCTCTATTCTTGAAAACTGGTTTCCTTGGGTATAAAATCCTTGCTTTGCATTTTTTCCTCTTGCATATATTAAGTTATTCCATTTTCTAGCATAAACTACTATTTTTAAAAATCTGATATTAAATCTGATCGTTTTCTCTTCCTAAGCTTTTAAAGGACTTATTCCTTAAAGTCTGTGGTTTTAATAGATTCTTTTGGCATTGGTTGTTCTTGGCAAATTTTCCTAGATATACAATGTGCTCTTTCAATACATATCTTCAAATTGTATGTTTTTCTTTTAGAAGAGAGTTTTGGAATCACAGTTTTCAGTATTTTCCATTCTCTTGCTTTCATTCTACTTTTCAGTTTCCATTATCCATATATTAGACCTTCTTTGACTATTTTCAATATCTGGTCACATCCTCTCAACACTTTGTCTCTTTCTTTCATTTTTATTTTTTTGTTGTTGTTTTTAAAAAAACTTAACTGCTTTTTATCTTTGATTTCTCTTAGGGCATGTTTAGTTGTGTTGTTTGCTATTGTGTTATTCTGGTTTTGTCTTCATTTCTAAAATGAATTTTTCTTCTATTTCTAGTTCTTAGTTCTCATTTTTTTTTTAGTTTTTTAAATTCTAATTTATGTTTTTCCATTGTGTCTCGTATTTTATCCCCAGTGGCTTTTAGCTTTTCTTTTTTTAATAGTAGGTTTCAGTTTGATGTATTTTGTGAGTGTCTCTGGTGTGCTTTCATTGTCTGTAGGGATATTATTCAGGTTCTTATTCTCTTTTTTCTTATAATAATTTGGTATAAGATGATTATTTTCTGTTGCTCCTTTTTGTGCCAATTTAGTTTTTCTTGAACTTGCACAAGAAAGCTTGGTTCAGATAATGCTCCTAACTTCACAGAGCTGCTGCTTCTGTTGTTTTCATGTCATATTTTAAAATATAGTGTGCCGCTGCCTGAGTCCCCTGACTCTGTTCAGCTCCCCACTCTTATCTGGCCTTTCTTGTTCTGTAGTCTCAGTTGTTCCTTATGACTCAGCTTTTATTATTTCCTTCCAGCAGTTTCTTTTCAGTATAGGCCCCAGTCCTGCGCTCTTTCTAATACACCACACTAGACAGCTGGAGGTGGATGGAGCACTAACTTTCAGGTCTTCTTAAGAGTTTCATGGAGTTGTTTATGCAGGTGAGATACTGCGTGTGACTGACAAAGAATAAATTGAAGGCCACTGCATCACTCTATGTGACACTTCTCAAATGAGAAATGATAAGAAGACAGCTAACTCACCATAGGGAGGCATGTTCGGCCTAGATATAGGGCTGGCCAGAGTCTGACTTGTGACCTGATAGGAAATTGAGGTGTTCAAGTATTTGCCTTTGGATGAGTGTCTGTTCTGAAGTCTGGACGTATCAGATTTAAACTGTTTTGGGTTTTCTGTTGACAGGGGTATGCAGTGGTTTGAATGTTTTATGTCACCCCACATTTCTATGTTAGAATCCTTACTTCTAAACTGATGGTATTAGGAGGTGGGGCCTTTGGGAGGTGATTAGATTGTGGGAACAGAGCTCTCATGAATAGGACTGGTTCACTGATGAAGGTGCCTCTTCTTTGCCCCTTCTGCCACATGAGGTTAGAGTGAAAAAACAGCTGTCTATAAGGAAGTAATCAGTCACCAGACATGAATCTGTTGCACCTTGATTTTGGACTTCCCAGCCTCCAGTACTGTAGGAAATAAATTTCTATTGTTTAATAAGCCACCCCGTCGATGGTATTGTGTTACAGTAGGCTGAACTGCTTGAGACAGGGTGAAAGTGCATTGTGACTCTAAAATGTTTGCCAAACTGATTATGGCGTTATGATTATGTGTGAGGCTATGGCTTAATTCATTTGTTGGGCAAATATTGGATGAGCATCTGCTATGGGCCAGGTCTTGTGCAAGGGGCTGAGGATACAGTGGCAGACAAGGCAGTCTCTGCTTACAGAAATTCCAGTCCTATTCCTCTGTTCATGTAATTGAAACTTCACGCACATCAGCAAAATATTTATAAGTCTGTGAAGTCACAGATTTGCTGTTGAGAACAATAGCTCAGTGAAAAGTTTAACCTTGTTGGAGTAGAATCCTGACAGGAGGATGTTTGCATTTCTGCCTTTTAAAATGCTGCCACACATACCCAAAAAAACAAACCAAACAGAATATGGCATTCACATCTCTGTTTCTGGTTTTAATTTTCTCCTTTGAGGCCCAAATCAGATTTGAGTTTCTAAAGCAGTTTATTGTGGTGGAAACGGAGCTGGGATTTTATATAGCATGGAACTCTCCCATTTGAAGCCCTTGTCTTGAATGGGTATTACCTTCTGCTTTCAAGCAGATGTGTCTATCATCTCCAAACTGGCCCATCATTGAGGCCTGACTTTATCATGAAATGTGATAAGTGAGGCCAAAGGGTCACCTTTATTGTTCAAGAGAATGCTAAAACTTCACAAGAAAAACGTTTACTATCTGATAACTTGTTGGCAGGATTTACAGCCACTGGGGAAGATGAGAGTGTCCTCAAAGCCTAGCATCGTGGTTTCTATCAAATGGTAAAGCAAAAGACTCCTAAATAGGATTCGTTTATCAACCTGTGTTCTCTGAGTGGTTTATCTCCCCCTGAGTCTATTTCATTCACCAAGCATTTTTTCAGCGCCATCTTTGTGCAGGTACCATGCTGCATTCTACCGAGCTGAGACAGTGCCAGCGTTTAAAAGCAAGCTGCAGGGAAAGAGAAAACCAACACTTATTGGCCACTTTCTATGGGCCTGGCATGTGGCTAGATGCCTCCACACACAGGGCTTCATCGCAACCCCAGGAAGAATCACAAGGGAGGAACTGGAGGTTCAGAGAAGTTGACTGAGGTCAAATGTGAAGTCAGGAGGTCAAACGTGAAGTCATGAGGTCAAACATGAAGTCAGGCCCAGGTCTGTCTGAATCCATAGCTTCTACCTAGAAAAAACCTGGGTTGGGGGTAGTTGCGCGGAGCAGCACAAGCCTCTTCTTAAGTTTCAGCATAAAAATGTTGGGGGCAAATGAAAATCTCATAGCAGATAATTTGTCTCTGGCTTGGAGGAGTCTGAAAAATCCAGTAGTCTTTATATGATTAAAATATGCATGCGCACGCACACACACACACGTATTTCCTGACACTACTATATACATTCTGGCATTTTCTGTGAAGTTGTCCAGAAACAATGAGGCCACCAGTAATTATGACATGTCTCAATTCCTCTATTCATTATATAACCCAAAGAAGCACGTTAACATGTGGCAAAGTCATGATTGCATAAAAACTTTCTATAGTCAAGATGCCACTCATCCAGTGGATCTCAGGTGTCACCTCCTCCGAGAAGCCTGTGCTGACCTCCTGCTCCTGGCATGGTGCTTGCATGGCCCCAGCACCTCTGCCACAGCCCAGCATCCTTTGCAGCAGCTGTCTACTTGTTGGTGCTAGCCCTCATGAAGCCAACAGTCTTTGGATGGGAGACAGAAGGTCAATGAAATAATGGACTTGAAAGAGCTTTGTGAAGGGTAAATGCGATGTGATTGCCAGTCATTATGCAAGAGACAGAATGGAGTGGGGCGTGAAGGGCAAAGGGCAGGGCATGGTCTGCAGAAGGAGGGCCCCTGATGGTGACTTTGGAGGAGCCCTTGGTTTGGGGAGCCCTCCAGGCTCAAAGATGGGGTGGGCCCAGGGTGAGCCATGCGCAAGGTCAGTGTGCTCAAACGATCTCCAGGTCTATCAGTTTTTTCCTGCGGGAGTGATCCTTGCAGTGGATGCTTCTGAAAGCTCATGGGTGGGCATAGGTGGGAGCAGGTGCACCCTCAGCTCCATGGATTTGTTTCCACTGTGAGTCTGGCTGCATCAGAATCACCTTGGCCCTTCCTCAGTTTCCTGCAAAGCAGAGGCCGTCCAGTGTGCAATAGAAGGAGTGCTCAAGAAAGAATCCGGTGACGGGCAGAGCCAGCCTGGGAGGTCTGTTACTCTGGAGGCTCCCATGCAGACCTGCTGGGGAGGCTGAGACTGGGAGCCCACCTGCAGACACAGAGAAAAGCAGAGGGAGGTGCCTTTCTTCTCAAAGTTTTTAAGACCATTCACAAGTCTGTCCTGTTTTTTAAAAAAACTCAACCAGGAGTACCAGGCTGCTTCCTTGTCCCCAAATCGTGTGGCCACTCCTCAGGCCTTGTCCTGCGAGGCCCTTGTCTTACTCTGTGACAGTCACTCCATGAAAACTTTGGCTTACAGGAGCCCCCCTCTCCAGCTTGTCCTCCAACTCTGCTAAGGCCTTCTGCATTCTGTCTTATTTAATGCTCACTCACAAAAAGCCCATGAGGCAGATGCTCTTGATGTAACCCCCATCATGTAGATGGGGTCCTGAGGCACAGCAAGGTTAATTAACTTGTCACCGGTCACACAGCATGTGACTGTGGCGCTACAGTCTGATTCCAGGCAGTCTGGCTCCCGGCTCTTAACCACTGCGTGTACTGCCGCTCACATCAGGCATATTCAAGAGCATAATTACACAAAAGGTGGGGGATGCACAAGGCTAGGCGGGCGGCCAGCCATGTGATTGTTGGGTGCTCTCTGAGAAGGGCCAGCCAGGCGGGCCTCTGGGACAAGGGGACAGGAGGCATTCCTGAGCCAGGGTGGTGTAGGTACAGCTGAGCTGGGGCAGAGGGCCCAGGCTGCAAGTTTTCTGTTCTTCCTGACATCTGCTGGGCTCTCAGCACCGGACCTGGGTGTGGCCACTCACCCTCTGGGCAGCACCCTGGAGCTTCATGAGGCTTAACGCTTCAGAGGGGCCTTCCCCTGTCTCACCTCTCTCAACTCACTTTGCCAATAAATAACTGGAGACTCCAAAGAATGAGGAGTTCACCCTGGCGTTCGGTATTCTCTTCCTCTCCAGGCCTGTCTTTCTCCAGAGGACTTCAGGAGACATGTGCACGACCCAGCCCTTGGCTCCCAGGGCCCCACCACTCCACTTTGGCCACCACTCCCTGCACACCTGAGACTATCATCATATGGAAGATCACCAGTGCCCCTCCCTGAGCAGCCTCCTGCCCATCTGCACCGCCAGTATCTGGATCCCCCATTTTCTTCCATCAGCCCCACCCTCCTTCCTTGGAGTCTCCTATCCCCCATCCTCAATGTCTTTTTCCTTTGCCTTCTTCCTACATTTCTGTAAACACCCAGCCCTCTACCCGCTTTATTTCTTGCCTGGCCGCCAAGGGCAACTGATGCCACCAAAAACTTGTGGTCTCTACCCACCAGGGCCCTCCATGCCTTGGTGAGTGTTGGACTGATTCTGGGCCATTCTCTGCATTTCATCCTTCATCAGCGTGTTCAAGCCTCCATTAAACCACAAACACCTCCTTCTCTTCCAGCCTCTCCACTCTCAGGAGAAGACTTGACACCCAATTCATAGAAGGAACTGCAGGGCTCCTGCGTGTCACTCACACCTGACCTCCGCACACCTGCAGCCCACGTCCAACCATGGCCACTTGTTCCCCTCCCACCGGTCTCAGCAGAAAAAAGCATCCGTCCTCTAAGTTGGTACCAATCCTGCCCTCTGCACTCCTCATCTGTCCCTCCTCCCCACTTGGAAGGTCTCTCCATGGACCCCTGCCCATTCTTCCGGAAGATGAAGATGGCACCATTGTCTCTGAGTTGTATGGAATATAAGCTGTGTATCTTGAACTCTTCCTTCTCCACTGGCCCAGGTCTGGGCAACTGGGGGCCAGAGTGAGGAAGGGGCAAGAATGACCCCGACGCATAGAGGCTGGACAGCTGCATCTGTGTGTGTTTTTGCTTCCCAGTTCCTTTGGGGAACTCACATCTGCCAAACCCTGGGCTTTATTGCTGGGGTGTAAGTTAATGTACCTCCCTTTCCCTACAGAAGCCTAAGAGCACCCAGGAGCTTCTTGGGCCAGATCCTCCCCTCACCACCAAGCCCAGGCAAATAGTTGATGCACAGTCTCAGGGAGACCAGTTGGCTCCACTCTTCTGACCCAGGGACAGGAACCGGGTTAGAATTCATCTATTCCACCTCCACTGCCCAGGGAGACTGTCGAGAAGCTCATGCTCTCAGACTTTCCAGAACAGCCAGCACCTATCTATTCCCAGCCAGACAGTTTAGCTGCCAGGCTTCCAATAAATTCCCTCTTGCTTGTGTCAGGCAGAGTTGGTTTCTGTTGCTGGCAGCCAGCATGCCTACCTGAGGCAGAGAAGGCGTGGCCATTGTGTCTCAGCTGCGAGGAATATAACCCCCATCCAACTAACTCAAGTCAAGAGAGGTTATTGAAGGAGGAAAGGAATCTCCCAGAAAGGAGGCGTGGGAAGGACAGCACGGCCTTGTGGGAACTAGAACAACATCGAGACGCATTTTCCAGAGGCCACCTGGATGCTCATCTGCCCCTTCCTGGTGGCTCCATCCCCCCGCACCCCTCAACTGACCACAGACTGGCTTTCCCAGCCTACTCACAGTCCCAGCCTCCCTCCCTGCTGGCTCTGACACAACTCTACTGTCCACTGTCTTCATGTCACTTAGCTGAGATTCTCAAGAAAGAAAGAGTCCAAAAGGCTCTGATAGGTATTGAATCCCTCAGCCCCTTTCAGGGCTTATGGAAGAAGATTCCATATGGAAGCTTCCCGGACAGCTGAGTCAGGAGGCAGAGGTGAGCCTGGCAGGCAACTGAACGGACTCTTCCACTAGACACTTACTAAAATGAGCGGGTTAAAGCCGGCCTAGGGAGGTGATGGTGACAGTTCTGAGCAGGGTGCACAGAACACAGATTTGAGGCCTCCTTGCCAGAACACAGATAGGATGCCCAGGTAAGCATTTCTTTTGTTGTTGTTGTTGTTGAGATGAAGTCTCACTCTGTCACCCAGGGTGGAACACAGCGGTGCGATCTCGGTTCACTGCAACCTCTGCCTTCCTGATTTCGAGCGATTCTCCTGCCTCAGCCTCCCAAGTAGCTGGGATTACAGGCACATGTCACTATGTCCGGCTAATTTTTGTATTTTTTTCTTTTTTTTTTAGTAGAGATAGGGTTTTGCCATGTTGGTCAGGCTGGTCTTGAACTCCTGCCCTCAGGTGATCTGCCTGTCTTAGCCTCCCGAAGTGCTGGGATTACTGGGATTACAGGCTTGAGCCACCATGCTAGGCCCCAGGTAAGCATTTCTGAAAAGCCCCCCACCCTGGGAGCTACTCCAAACACTCCCCAAACAAGCCCCTCCCTGCGCCTGCTCTTAGGCACAGAATCCTCCGTCCTTCAAAGGGTTCTGGGCGCCCTGGGGCTGCTCCCTCCTGTGAGGCTTCACTCTTTGATCCCCCTTCCTGTCTACCAGCCCTCCTGGACTGAGCAGGACTTTCTCACTGTGGATGACAGAATCTTAACTCAAACTGGTTAAAGTGAAAAAGGGAATTTATTGACTTATGTAACTGAGAAGTCCGTGAGTGGAGCTGGCTTAGGACGGAAATAATGTCATCAGACCTCTTCTCTTTCTTGCTCTCTCTCTCTTCTCTTTCTCTCTGTCTCTCTCTCTTCTCTTTCTCTCTGTCTCTCTCTCTTCTCTTTCTCTCTGTCTCTCTCTCTCTCCCTGCTCCCCACTGCACACACACACCCTCTGCTCCCCTCTGCACACACACACCCTCTGCTCCCCTCTGCACACACACCCCCTCTGCTCCCCTCTGCACACACACACCCTCTGCTCCCCTCTGCATGTGGGCCCAGCTTTTCCTACTGTAGATGAGTTCCTCCGCGCAGTAGGAGAAAGGGCCACAGCTGCAGGAGCTTCAGGTGTATGTCATCCCAACTTAGTCTCAGGCTAAGCTTACGTCTTCTTTCTCCAACCTCCATAGGTAGAATCCCAGCTTGGGACTGGTCAATTGGGTCACCTGTGTTTCCTGTATTATTGCCATTACTATGTTCAGGAAGGTGGGAGGTTCTGACTGTCAAGGCCTGGGTCACATGCCCCTTCCTTTGCCCAGGGACTGATTGGCAGCTGTACTAGAATCACATGCACAGAGGATAAGTCAGCAGGAGGAAGGACGATCCTATTTCAAGATGTAGGAAGGGATGTTGGACAAATAGAAACAGCAGATGACCTCCGCACCACTTCGTTTGGGGGCGTAGGTTGGCAGGACTCCTGGATCGTTCAGAGAGATTTCTTCCCCACCTCATCTTTCTATGCTATCTGCACTCTCTCCGGCTGGTACCCTTTCTGTCTTATTGTCTGGCGAGTGTTCCAGCATACTGTCTGCCTTTGTGAAAGGTCACAGAGTATAAATACATGCATAAACATAAAGCAGGCATTGCTCATTGGATTTCTCGTTTGGGGTCCACACTGCCTCCTTCTAGCCTGGGCTGGGAATGCATGTATCTTCCCACTTTTGTATTCCTTTTTCTGAAGGTTGTTGGGTTTCAGATTCTATTAATATTAATTCAGCATCTTCTGGGTGTCCAGTACTTTCACATCCATTATCTCCCTTAAGCCCTGGATTATGGTTGGGGAGCCCAAGGCTGAAAGAGGTGAACACCTGTTGTCTTAGTTTCCTAGGCTGCTGTAACAAATGACCACAGACTGGGTAGCTTGAAACAACAGACATTTATTCTTGTATAGTTCAGGAAGCCAGAAGTCCAAAATCAAGGTCTTAGCAGGGCTGGTTTCTTTGGACGGCCATGAGGGAGAACCCACTCCCTGCCTGTCTCGGAGCTTCTGGTAGTTGCTGGTGATCCTGGCATTTGCAGCTGTAGCTGCTGACTCCAACCTCTGTCTCCATGGTCACAGGGCCATCTTCTTATGAGAACACCAGGCATATCGGATTAAAAGCTCAACCTCGTTTTAACTGATTACATCTGCAATGACCCTATATCCAAATAAGGTTATATTCTGAGTTACTGGGAGTAAAAGCTCACTGCGTTGTTTTTGGAGGAAACAATTCAACTCCTAAAACCCGTTAAGCGGTGAAGCCAGGCCTCAAACCCATGTCCAACTCCAGAGTCCATGCTCTTTCTGCCTGAAGCTGATGATAATGACAGCCAGTGTTTTCAGGGGACTGTGGTGTATGGGCAATTCCTTACATACTTACTACTTAAAATTCATAACAGCCCTACAAAGTAGGCACTGGGGACATCATTTTCTAGGTGAGGAAATTAGGGCATGCAGAGGTGAAATGCTAAAAGTAACACATCCCCACTTAGGAGCAGAGTTGGGATTTGAGCAGGTTCACCTGACTTCTCCTCCAAGTTGCTCCTGGCCCTGCCTTGCTGAGCTAGAAGGCCCAATATACACATTGACAAAATGCTATGGGAACCCTGGGTGGGCAGAGACCACTGCTGCCTGCAAAGGTTGGGATAAGGCTGGTGGAGAGAAAAAACTTAGAAATCCTTCGTGGAGGAAGTGACAGTTTAGCTAGATCCAGGAAGATGAGTCAGATTTAGTGGGGCAGAGAGGAGAGGGAAGGATGTTTCCAACAAGGCAGAGAGTAGAAGCAAGACGTAAAGCCAGGGAAGTATTTGGGGTACAAAGGTGGTTCTGTCTGGCTTGTCCGTAGCCCACAGTTTCACGTGGGTGAAAAAGGAAAGAGGCTCACTTGAACTGGGGACCCAAATGAAGTATCTGTATTGACTTGCCCTCCAGGTCCCTGTGTTCTAGTGGAAATTTACTTCTTTTTTTTTTTTTTTGAGACGGAGTCTCGCTCTGTCGCCCAGGCTGGAGTGCAGTGGCGGGATCTCGGCTCACTGCAAGCTCCGCCTCCCGGGTTCACGCCATTCTCCTGCCTCAGCCTCCCAAGTAGCTGGGACTACAGGCGCCCGCCACCACGCCCGGCTAATTTTTTTGTATTTTTAGTAGAGACGGGGTTTCACCGTTTTAGCCGGGATGGTCTCGATCTCCTGACCTCGTGATCCGCCCGCCTCGGCCTCCCAAAGTGCTGGGATTACAGGCGTGAGCCACCGCGCCCGGCCGGAAATTTACTTCTAAAGCTGCGTGTCCTTCAAGAGAGGGAGCAATCCTGGGAAGGCAGGGCAAGCCCAAACAAATGAGACCCACCGAGTGGGGTCCACTCCCTTTCTCCCTCCCACATACCCACAGACACCCCCTATCCCAGCCCAAAAACCAGAGGGTTGAGCTGAGAAACTCTCTGCCTCCAGAAGGCCCAGCCTTACTTCACTCTGATCCACCCAAGTGAAAAGGTTTCCAATGTGTTTTCCGGTTGCCATGGGTTTGCTTTCTGCGTCAGACATTCAGTCTGTCAGACATGAAATTGAATAATATTTTTATTTTTAGGCACGGGTCACAGAGTCTTTTCTTTCTGCTGCCGGGTTCGCCCCCGCACTGGAACTCCAGGGAATTGGGTCTCTGGAAGCCTGGGCAATGAATAGCTTCAGCAGGAAGCTGGTGGGTGGTGTTCTGTCTGAGCTGGACACTGTGTCCTAGAGCGAGATGACCTCACTCCGGCAGGGGTCCCTTTTGTGTCTTGGCAGAGCAGCTGGTTTTGGTCAAGAGCTGGGTGCAAGTTGTGCCCATGTGTCAAGGCTGGCACTGTGGGAGGGCAGGTTGGTGGAGTGGACCTGCTGTGGGTGGTGGAGGATGTCCAGATGGCCAGTGGCATGTGGCAATGTTGACAAGGAACAGGTGACCACACCAGCAAGTAGTCAGGATCCACAGAGAGCCATGGGATGCCCAAAGGTAGTTTGCTGGCATTAAGTGGAGGCAGGAATGAGCTCTCGTAGTTCTAGTTAAAGGGGGAAATTTAGAAATAGGACCCTCATATTAGGGGCCAGTTCCAAGAACAAAGCAAAACCCCAGGCTTAGAGCAGGATGCCTCAATCTTGGTACAACTGGCACTTGGGGCTGGATAGTTTTTTGTCATCGGAGACAGTCCTATGTGTTGTAGGACATTTAGCAGCATTCCTGGCCTTCACACACTAGATGCTAGTAACACCCCCTCCCCAGTTGTAACAACTAAAAATATCTCTAGACATCACCAAATGTCCATAGAGCAGGGAGGCAAAATTGTCTCCTGTTGAGGCTGAGAGGGATCTGGAAAATGAACACGTTTGGGATTTGGGAGGCAGACTCAGGAGCAAGGGAGTAAACAAAGATCTAGTTAGTGGAATAAATGGTGACTCCTTGGCTTGCCCCACATTGGTTAGGATCTTGGGTGGCAAGCGGCGAATGTCAGTTTTTGCTAACATTCCTGCTGTGGTTTGAATGTGTCCCCAGAAGTTCACAGGCTAGAAACTTAGTCCTCAATGCAATGGTGTTGAGAGGTGAGACCTTTAAGAGGTGATTAAGTCATGAGGGCTCTGTCCTCATGAATGAATTAACACCATTATTGTGGGACTGGTTTCTTTATAAAGAATGAGTTTGGCCTACTTCCCTCTCTCTCTTACCATGTGATGCCTTCTGCCATGTGGTGCCACAGCAAGAAGGCGCTCACCAGATGCCAGCACCTTGTTCTTGGACTTCCCATCCTCCAGAACCATAAGCCAATACATTTCTGTTCATTATAAATTACCCAGTCTCAGGTATTCTGTTATAGCAGCACAACAATGAACTAAGATAATTCCCAAAAGGAGATGTACCGAAAGGCTATGGTAGAGGTAGCCGGGACATTCCTTAGTAACAAGAGGCTGGAAGATTTGACTTAGAAATGGCAGGAACCAAGGAAGCCTCCATTTCTTCATCTGTATAATGGGAGTAATAACAGTGCCTGCCTCATAGAGGCATTGTGAGGATTAAATGAGTTATTATAGGTATCCAATACATGATAAGCACAGTGTGAGAATTAGCTACTATAACTATTAATGTGGTTGTTTTCGTTTTGTTACTTTCCTATTCATGATCTGGTTGTTGTCTTTCTTTCCATCTTCATGTCTCACCACCCTGTCTCTTGCCCCAACACTCCAGTCATCCTTGGCCATCTGTGAGCCTCTCAAATGCTAAGCCATTTCACATTTTCACCCAGCTGAAATAATTTCTATGGAATTTGTCTCAAGGTTCTGTTGCTCTTATCTTTAAAGTGTTTAGACAGAGAATAAGCCTGCCATTTTGAAGTAGCAGATCCCAGAAATATTTCTCAGAGGAGGTGATGAAGTGTTAAACGCAGCAGGGCTTTCCTGAGAAGTGATTTGCTGCCACAGACCATCTGAGGGGCAAGAGAACAGCTCAGAGAGCAAGAGGACAGGCTGGAGCCTAAGTCAGAAGAAAGAATCCCAGCATGGGCAGGGATTTGTATATTAGCCTTCGTATAGCACGCAGAGACAGACGTAATGCAAGATGGCTGCATCTTTTCTGCTTTGAGCTTAGAAGAGGAGAAAATCTAGGCAAAGGGACATAAGTCATGGAGAGAACAGGGAAAAGTAGCCCCTGAAACTTGCTGTTTTGGGAGTCATGAGGTACAGCCAATGGCATGGGGAAACCACACCACCATCACCTCTACCTCAGACAGTGAACTGTGCTCTAAGGGCTTTTAGCAGCAAAAAGGTGAGATTTTAAATGTTGGAGCCATTTGTGGTGTGAGAAGCCCTTGTGGACAGGTAGCTGGCACTTTTCATCACCTGGGAGCAGAAGTGAGCATAAAATAAAAGCCTTCTCTTCAGGGCAGACCATGGGAAACTAGCCTTGGAGTGAGTAAGCAGGAAGAGCTGACTTTAGCCAGAAGGTATGGGACTCGCACCCAGGTGTTGTGTTTGTGTTAAGCTTGCTTCATATTGAATCTGGACTTGAAATTGTTATGCAAAGAGTAGCCACTGTGGGTAATTAAATATTTATGCTCTTATTTAACAACAATTTCCATTTTAGCAAAGAAAGCAGACTTTAATCCCCTGCCACTTCTCACCTCTTTCTGGAGCAACCCCAGCTTCAGTTGAGCCCGGAACAGCACTTATTGCTGGTCACCAGAGGCAGCCCCTAGAATGTCAGGCCAAGAGGGGAGCTATACCAAGCTAGCCCTTGACCACAGCAGGCAGCCTTGATGATGAACCAAGGGCTTGATCTCTGCCTATCATAAAGCCTGGGTTCAAGTTCTGGCTCCACCTCGAGCTAGCAAACTTAATTCCTCTGAGCCTCACTTTCCTTGTCTGTAAAACAGACATGAGGATCTCTGCCCCATGGGAATGCTGTATAGCTGAAACAAGATAACAAGTGTTAATGGTTCCCAGGCGTATGGTGCCCAAAAGTCAAGAGAGAGATGTTAGAATGCAGGTTCCCAGGCATCTCTTCAGATTTTCTGATTAAGTAAAGGTGGGGCCTTCCTGCAAACTTCTAGGTGATTCTTTTATCTAGATATGTTAGTAAGAAACACTGATGTTTAAAAAGGGTTTAGTAACAAACCCAGCACACAGTAAGTCTTCAGTACATGTCATTGGTGGCGGTTGTAATCATTATTCTAATTATTACAACAATAGTGGTACATGACAAACTCTCTCCAAATCCAGTGGCTTAAAACAATAAGCATTTGTTTATCCCAGGAATACGCAGTTCAGTGAGGCAGGCTGGTCTCAGCTGTGATTCTTTTGGTTGTAACTGGGCTCACTTAACAGGTTCAATGCCAGCTGGCTGTCCAATGAAATGATGGGGCAAATAGGCCACGTGTCTCTGAAAATGGGCGTGAGGATCTCTGCCCCATGTGCCATGAGAACATGCTAATCCAGCATGTTCTCATGGAGGTGGCAGAGGTGCCAGTGCTTTCAGGCCTGTGCTTACTGTCACGTTTGCTCCCATCTCATTGGTCAAAACAAATTGCATAGCTGAGCCTAGAGCCAAGACATGGCGAGCATCCCACCTGGAGCAGTAGCCCCTGATTAAGCACATGCCACAGGGAGCTGGTAGGGGGAGTGTGAAGATTTGGGACTAATCATAAGTATTGTTGTAGAAAATATCAAAGTTCACTGTCTTTGTCTACCAAATTTGCTTCGATGAGCGTGCATTACACTTTCAATCAGAAACAAATTTAGCTATTATCACTTTGAAACAAAAATAGTGCTTAGAAAACAAGAGAGGATTATTATGAGGAGTAAACAAGGTTTAAACATGTCAATGCATGAGGAAGAACATTACAAGCTGCCCAGAAGCCTGGGGGATGATGTGCTAAGAATCAGGCCCCCAGCTAGATGTGAACAGCCCCCTCTCCATCAGGCCTGCAGTCTGCTTTGGATCTGGCTATGCTGCTGCGACATCACCCTGACGTTAGGATCAGGTGTTAACTCACCCCTTATCCCTCTGGAGCCCCAGTGCTCGCATGGTGAATGAGTTTCAGGCAGCAAAACCACAGCCCTCCTCACTTTGAGGGCTTCTCTTTGCTTTCCCCTTTATCCAACCCCCAGAAATTTACTTCTCTTGTGTCACAATAGACTGAGGGCTCCTCAGAGGGCAAGGCCACATCCCCAAAATATATCATAAGAGCACCCACAAAAATAAGAGTCAGTACTACTTTTTTGAGCATTTATTATGCTCCAGGCATGGTGCTAACTGCATTTTTATATATTAGCTAATTTAATGCTTCTGGTGACCCCATGAGTTTGTGTATGAGTTTCCTATTGCTGCTGTAACAAACTACCACATACCTGGTGTCTGAAAATAGCACAAATTTATTCTCTTACACTTACAGAGCTCAGAAGTCCTAAAATGGTACTAAAAATCAAGTCAGTAGGCCTATGTTCCTTCTGGACGATCTAGAGGAAAATCTGTTCCTTGCCTTATGCAGCCTCGAGAAACCGTGTGCATCCCTCAGCTTGTGGCTCCCTTCCAGCAATGAGGATAAAAAAATGGATGGGGATATGGATGCATGTATGGAAGGGTAGATGGAAAGATGGACAAATGGAAGGATGGATGGATGCATGGATGGATGGAAGGATGGATGGATAGTTGGATGAATGGATGGCTGGATGATGGATGGATGAATGGAAGGATGAATGGATGTATGGATGTGTGGATGTATGGATGGATGAGTGAATGGAGGGTTGAAGGTATGTATGTATGTATGGATGGATGGATGGATGGTTGGAGAGATGAACAGAGGATGGATGGATGGATGAATAGATGGTTGAATATATGGATGGATGATGGATGAATGGATGGAAAGATGGATGGATGGTTGGATAGATGGATGGGTGAATGGATGGCTGGCTTGATGTATGGATATATGTAAGGATGGATGGATGGATGGATGGATGGATGGATGGATGGATGGATGGATAGATGGATAATTGGATGGATGGATGGATGGATGGATGGATGGATGGATGGATGGATGAATGAATGAATAGACACTCAGAAAGTCTTTAGTCTCCTCTAGATTTCATCTCTGTGGCTGAGACAATGGCAAAGCATTTCTCTTTTCCATCCCCATCCCTGGAGCTGTCGTTTTTCACATCCATCAGCATCAAGATACTTCCCACTAAACTTCGTGGGTGAGAGCCTGTACTCTTTCCAAACCTCTCACTGAACCAGTCCACTCTTGTCATGAGAAAATAAGTATGTCATCTAATTACCAATGATGTCAGTCAAGGAACCTTAAACAAAGAGATTAGTTCTGCTTGTATTTGTTGGTACAATGGACATCATAACATATTTAACAGCATTGTAATGTGGAACAGATGGGAAAGACCCCAGCTTTCGGGGCCTCTCCATCTCTCCCACTTTCTACCAACAGCCAAAACCAAGCGACCTTTTAGAACACTTTATGGGCTGGATGCCTGCCAGAAATTGCTCACCCAGGGGCTGCCAGTACCGGCCCAGCCTGATAATGCCTGCTGGGTTCTTCATTGAAGACGATCAAGTTACAATCCTTGGGAATGCTGGAAATTCCACAGTGGATCTAGATACAATATTGGGGTGAAGCCCTCCCAAGCTTTACCCATTTATCATTGAGTTTCCACCGAGTGCTGATTATGTCATGGGATTTCCATCATGAAACCAAAATCTTGAGAAATCACCAAGGAGTAAATTTCAGTTTGGTTATGTGCTGGGCAACCTTGGATAAATTAGTCATCTCTCTGAGCCTGTGTCTTCAGCTGCAAAATAAGGGAGAAGAGCCAGCTGGACTAGTCATGAAGCCTGAGTGAGACAATGTCTGTAGAAGCCCAATAGGCACACAGCAGGTGCTCAAACTAATCTCGGCCCACGTGGGTGAGGGACTGAGTTTAGAACTCTAGATCTATTGAGAAACATTTCACATGCACCTAGTCTGTGGACCTGCATCCCACACAGAATTTTAGAATTTTTGAAATGAAAGGAATCTTGGGGACTATTTAAACCAAAGCTTGAAAAGCAATGGTCCGTGGGCCACACCCAGCCTGACAGCACATGCGTACACACGCATGTTAGCACAGGTATTTTTTAACAATATTCAAATTAGTTGCCACCTAAAAAATTTTTTTAACATTATAATGTGAAATCTTGAATGATTGAGAAACTGTCACTCTAATCCAAAGCCCACATCCCCACATGGCAATGATTGGACAAAGATCCCAACCTTCCCTCTTTCAGGATGTTTTTACACTTGGTCTGGGGATGTGGTTTGGATTTGTTTCCCTGCCCAAATCTCATGTCGAATTGTAATCCCCAATGTTGGAGGAGGGGCCTGGTGGGAGGTGACTGGATCATGGGGGCAAACTTCACCCTTGCTGTTCTTGTGATAGTGAGTTCTCATGAGAGCTGCTTGTTTAAAAGTGTGTAGCAGAGGCTCGCTGTCTTCCTCCTGCTTCAGCTACGTAAGTCGTGCCTGCTTCTTCCTCACCTTCTGCCATGATTGTAAGTTTCCTGAGGCCTCCCAATCCACGCTTCCTGTAGAGCTTGTAGAACCTGTGAGAGAATTAAACCTCTCTTCTTTATAAATTACCCAGTCTCAGGTAGTTCTTTATAGCAGTGCGAGAACAAACTAATACATCTGGTCTGCTCAGATGTTTCCTGTTTGGGTTCTGTAGGCATGTTAGTTCACAGACCCAGATTGAGAGCAATTCCTTCCCCTTTATAGATAATGAAACTGAGGCCAAAGTGAAGATGACAATAAGCCCCTCCCTACGACGGTCATGGGAGATATCACCAAGAGATCATGCAGTTCTTTCCTTGATCACAGCCTCAGAATCCCTCTTAACACAGTGCTCTGTGTTGGCAGCCATTCAGATAACCAATCAGGTACCTCAGGGATAAGAGATTTTGCTCAGGGTTCCCTAACTCTGCTCTATTAACCTTAAGGGCTTGCTCTCATCTGCTCTTGATAGTTTTGGGATTGCAAATGAGGAGACATAAACAGTGGGTTTGCTTCGTTGCTGTGTTGCAGGTTTGGAACAAGAGATCACTGGAGGGCAGGGCTGGACGGCAGCAAGGCCATTTTCAGGCTATGATCTTGGGGTCACCTTTCTACCTCTCTCAGCCTTGTTTTACTCTTCAGTGGAAGAGACGAAAAAGCATTTGACATTATTGTAAGAATCAAATGAAAGACTGTGGGTGGAAGTGCCTAGCAAACTGTGAAGGTTGCATTATCATTTTATTAGGCATGGTATGCAGTACCCATAAGGCAAAGGTCTCCCTCTCTGACTTCCTTGACTCCAGGGTAAATTTGAATTTTGACATATATTAAAATGTAGCTTGGGAGATATTCTGGCAACCGCACACTGTATGTTTTGCATTTGGCTTCCCTGGCCTTTGGTCAGGGTTGAACATGCATTTCAGCAAAAACATGATTGTAAGAAAATATTTCATTAATCAAATGCAATCTCTTTCTTTATAACCTCTGCATTACCGACCCCCTACCTGGCCCCAAAAAGGAAGGCTTGCTGCTTGCACAGACGCCTCCCTCATGGCTCCGAACCATACCCCTGAAGACCTCGCCCAGCAATACACGTTAGCCCACACAACCATGTTTTCCTTTCCAAACCCTAAAAAAAGAAAAGAGCCCTTTCTCTTTTCTTTACCCAGAGTAATCCTGAAATTATGCACCATATCCGGAAGACAGACATGGCCCCAAATTTAATTTTCTGGTTTCTGCAGAGCTGACTTAATCAGACCAGAGTCGAGGAGGGATCCCCCAGGGATGTACCCCCAGAGCTCTGCTACGGCTCCCAACCTGACAAGCCGTGAGACACGGTCACAACACTTTGCCCAGAGCACCATGTGCCTGTGTCTATGTAGGTCTCTGTGTGTGTGGTGTGGGTGCGCACCTGTGTATATGGCTTGCATGTCTGGCAATTGTGTATGTTGACTGTCTCTATCTGTATCCATATGTGCCTCTGTGGTGTCTGTGTGTGGTATGTAGTGTATCTGTATGTGTAGTGTATGTGTGCATCTGTGTGTGTTTGGTGTGTGGGGGGGTGTGTACACACATGTATGCAGGTGGGGGGTATGTGCAAGCATGTGCATGTGTCTATGATGTGTATGTGTGTGTCTGTATGTGGTGCATCCATGTGTGTATGCCTGTATGTGGTGTGGTGGGTGTGTTTGGCATGTGTGCATATATCTGTGTGTGGTGTGTGTTTTGTCTGTGTGGCATGTGTGTGTATGCATGGTGTGTGTGATTGTATGTGTGCAAGTGTGTGTATGTATGGAGTGTGTCTAGGTCTATATGTGCCTCTGTGTGGTGCATGGTTGTGTGTGGTGCATGGTTGTTTGTGGTGCATGTACTTGCACACAGGTGTGTAGTGTATGTGTACGTGTGTGTGTGTGTGTGTATGGAGTGTGTCCGTGTCCGTGTGTGCCTCTGTGTGTGGTGCATGGTTGTGTGTGGTGCGTGTACTTGCACACAGTTATGTGGTGTATGTGTAGGTGTGTGTGTGTGGAGTGTGTCTGTGTCTATGTGTGCCTCTGTGTGTGTGGTGCATGAATAAGGGGTGTGTGTGCATAGGCACTCAGGTGCGTGCACGTGTCTACAGTGTATAGCATGTGTGTCTGTGTGCCCGCGTGACCTGTCACCCATGCCCTAGGATGAAGAATTGATCGTGGGCTCGATCCTGGGGTCCCTGGGACAGTCCCATGCCTTGTTCTCTCCCATGTTCCTCATGGTTATGGAGAACAATGGTTTGGCGAGGACTGGCAGTGCTGTGAGAGATTTCCAAGGTGATTCACATCGAAACTCCCCGTTTGACAGAGAGGGATCTGAGGTACAGAGAGGGAATGGGACTTACCAAAAGTCACAAAGCAAGTTGGTGATGAGTGCGAGGCTGGAACCGATTTCTCCTGCCTCCCCGGCCAGTGTGCTTTCTCCCTGGACCCCTTCAGGGAGGTCACAGCCAGCCTGCTGGGGAGCTGGTCATAGGGAAGGACCTTGCTGGGATTTGGGGATGGACAGCTTGGCTACATGGATTAATCAGGTGGGAAACTGCACGAGCGATGTCCTTGAGCATGAGTTGACAAACGCTTCTGTGAAGGACCAGAGTAAATATTTTAGGACTTTGTAGCGCAAGAGGCAAAATTAAAGCTATTTTGTTGGTACTTACATAACCATGTAAAATGTAACCCACTTAAAAATTTAAAAACCATTCTTACTCCTTGAACTGTGTGAAAACTAGTGGCAGCTAGATTTGACCCACAGGTCTACTCCTGTCCGAGGCGCTGAGAATCAAAACAAACAAGTAGACAAATCTGAACTTACGAAACCCCAAACAGGAGCAAACACAAGAAGGTCAGTGCCAGCAGCCGAGAGCACAGAACAGGCAGCAAACAAAGAGCCATGGCGGTGTTGTGTGAGAAGTGCGGAGCTGAGGTCACAAACTGGCCTGCAGAGATTGGGGGTTGGAATCCCAGGTGTATGGCGCTCAATCACAGACTGTGGTCAGAGAGAGGGTCCATTTTCCAGGATGGTCCAAAATGAGGCAACGGAGAAGAACTCCATAGCAGGAGCAGTGCTCAGGGGAGCAGGAGCCCTGTAGGCTGGAGGGACCTCGGCAGATGCTTGTCCAGTTTTCTCATGGGTGGTAACCTCACACTGCCTGTCCTCAGTGCCATGGTCCACTTGCTGAATGAATGCCCAGGCCTGAAATCTTTGCCCAGTGTCTTATTTGGTCATTTTGTGAGCTGCATGTGTATGTGGGTGTTTTAGTCCATTTGGGCTGTTATAACAAAATATCATAGCCTAGGTGGCTGATAGACAACAGAAATTTATTTCTCATGTTCTGGAGGCTGGGAAGTCAAAGATCAAGGCACAAGCAGTTTCGGTGTCTGGTGAGGGCACGTTTCCTGGTTCATAGATGGTGCCTTCTTGCTGTGTCCTCACATGGTTGAAGGGGCAAGCTCTCCCTCTGGGGTCATTTTAATAATCCCATGCATGACAGCTCCACCATCATGACCTAATCACCCTCCAGAGGCCTCACCTCCTAATACCATCACCTTGCGGGTTAGCATTTCAACGTATGAATTGGGAGTTGGGGGAAATAAACATGCAGGCCTTACCAATGGTCCACAGCCCCCAGGATGACTACTTCTGCTGCAAAACCCCTAACCCTCAGCCCACCCCACAGCTTCACTTGGCATCCACTTGGCATTCACAGCTTCACTTGGCATCAGAATAAAGAATTTGAGCCCAGGCATGGTGACTCACACCTGTAACCCCAGCACTTTGGGAGGCCAAGCAGGCGGATCACTTGAGGTCAGGAGTTCAAGACCAGCCTGGCCAACGTGGCGAAACCCCATCTCTACTAAAAATTCAAAATATTAGCCGGGCGTGGTGGCAGGTGCCCGTAGTCCCAGCTACTTTGGAGGCTGAGGCAGGAGAATCGCTTGAACTTGGGAGGCGGAGGTTGCAGTGAGCTGAGATCGCACCACTGCACTCCAGCCTGGGTGACAGAGTGAGACTCTGTCTCCAAAAAAAAAAAAAAAAAGTATTTGAGCCTAGTTGACCTTGCCTGATATAATGCAACTAGTCAGATGTATAATGCTATAGGATTACAGCCCCCGTGAAGGCTGCTGATGAAAGACAATGGGGAAGGAACGTCCCCCACTGTCTTTGAAATGTGTATTTAGTAGTTCATTTTGCCTAGAAGGAGAAATGACTGAGAGTACAGATCTACACAGAAGAATGGGCAGTACCCAGCACCAGAGAGTAAGCTCCAGGAAGGCAGGGTTTGGGGGTTTCTGTTTTGTTCACCATTTTATTTATTCTTGATGTATAATAAGAGCTTAATAGTCCAGGTGAGGTGGCTCACACCTGTAATCCCAACACTTTGGGAGGCCGGGTGTGGGGGGGTGGGGGGTGGATCACAAGGTCAGGAGTTCGAGACCAGCCTGGCCAATATGGTGAAACCGTGTCTCTACTAAAAATACAAAAATTAGTTGGGTGTGGTGGCACCCGCCTGTAGTTCCCAGCTACTCGGGAGGCTGAAGCAGAAGAAGCGCTTTAACCTGGGAGGTGGAGGTTGCAGTGAGCCGAGATCGCGCCACTGCACTCCAGCCTGGGCAACAGAGTGAGACTCCATCTCAAAAAAAATTAAAAAAAAAAAAAGAGCTCAGTGATATTTTTTATTTAAATATTCTTTACTTGATTCTTTCCTTAAGGATGGTCAAGGGCTCGAAAAGGACAAGAATGGGGATTGATAACATGGAAGTTTGAGGAAAATATATATGGGTAGCCCTTTCAGCGAGATCTTGGGTATAACGATATGTATGTACTGTTTGAATGATCATCAAAAGTCCATCTGTGGAGAGAAGGCTCTTGATAATCAGGTGTCCAGACATCACTGGATGTCAGTTCAGTTGCCCATGAACAAGCAGGCCTGGTGGCAGGGATGCGACAGCTAACCTCATAATTTAGTTCACAGACTTCAGGACATCAAGTAAAATTGTGAATGAACCAGAGGAAAACTAACAGAGCACAGAAATGGATATATTGATAAATGGGACGTTTTGCTAAGCACTCACTTGCTCATACGGGGGTAGGTGCATTAGGTGGAATATGGGAGCTATTGTTTCCACTGCTGTTTTTGCTTGGAAGTTTAAATATGGAAATTGGGGTACACCGGGACATGAAGTATCCAGAGGCATGGGCCGTGGGGGATACTGTAGATTTGCTTATTAATTGCCCATTAAACTCCTTGCAAGATGTTTTCCCATAATGCAGAAGGGTAAAGCTAAAATGGCATTGGCCGAGTGTGGTGGCTCACATCTGGAATCCTAGCACTTTGGGAGGCCGAGATAGGAGTTCGAGATCAGCCTGGGCAACATAGGGAGACTGTCTCTAAAAAAAAAATCATTTTTTTAAAAAAATAAATAACATGGCATATCCCTGCCTCCTTTGCTGCTGTGTTCTAAATGTGAACCAGGTTTTTCCAATTCCAACTCTCCTTCATGATGCTGAGTGTGGGAGGGAGGTGCATGAGGAGACAGCTTGACATGGGCACCCCTTTGCTGCAGTGCAACGGAGGCGAGGCCTTTAGTCCGCAGCTGCAGTATTCTCCCTGTCTGGCAGCCTCCTGCGGGGCAGCAGCAGCAACTTTCTCCACCATGAAAGAGGCAGCATGGTCCTGAGGCTGAGCTCCTCCTGAAATCTCAGATTAGAGTCTGTTCTTCAACAATTTTGTGAGCCATTTTATACCCCATCATAAATCCCTTTCTCCTTAAGCTAGTTAGAGTGGATTCTGTTTTTTGCAACTGACTGCTGACTGATTCTAGACTCTCCCCTTAACAAGCATCTTCAGGACACTTGTAAGCCCATAAGGGAGATCCCGGACTCCTGGCAGTAGTTGCAGGGCAGTACTTTGGGGTCAGAGTATGCATCCTAGAGAATGTAAAAGAAGATACTTCTTCAGAACCTGCCTAGCATGACCCAGGAAGGCATTTGGGATGGGGTGGTATAAATAGCTTCCAGTTATGGAGTGTGTCCTATGGGCTGAGCACTGTGAAAGCCCTTTACACATACTATCCCATTTAATCCGCCCAACCACATTCCTTTGAGATAAGTATTCCAGAAGATGGGAGAACTTTGTTAAGGTCCAATGCCTTGCAGATTTGGTTGCTTGGAGCCAAACACTGATCAGGATGATTCCAAGCCTGTTCCTAGAACAGTTTCACCGTCACTTTTAAGGGAGTAAGTTAAGAGCAAAAGAGAAACTTCACATTTTTTTTCCAGGGCCATAAAAAATCATATTTTTAAAAATAAAATTTTTAGTGATCTTACTACTGGGAATTTATCCAAAGGAAAGGAAATCATTATATTGAAGAGACATCTGCACCTTCATGTTTATTGCAGCACTGTTCACAATAGCCACGATATGGGATCAACGTAGGTGTCCAACAACAGATGGATGTAAAAAATATGGGATATATACACAATGGAATACCATTCAGCCATTAAAAAAAGAGAAATCTCGTCATTCGTGGCAACACGGATAGAACTAGAGGACATTATGTTAAGCAAAATAAGCCAGGAACAGAAAGTTAAACACCACATGTTCTCACTCATATGTGATAGCTAAAAAAAGTTGATCTCATAGAAGTAAAAAGTAAAATGGGATACTAGAAGCTAGGGAGAGTAGGAGGAAGGAAGCATAGGGAGAGACTTGTTAAATGATACAAATTACAGCTAGATAGGATAAATAAGTTCTAGAATATTACACCACTGTAGGCTGACTATAGTTAACAACAGTATATAGTTTCAAATAGCTAGAAGAAGGATGCTGAATGTTCCCAAAACAAAGAAATGATAAATGTTTGAGATGCTGGATATGCTAATTACCCTGATCTGATCACTTACATTATATGTATCAAAACATCACTGTGTACCCCATGAATATATAACATTACTATTTGTCCATTAAAAGAAAAGAATTTTAAGTGTGGAAAGAAAGAAAATATGTAAGCTGATGAAAAAAGAAGGAAATAGACATTTTTCTAGTGTTCAAATCATACAGTGCTTGTCCTAAATACTGCTGAATTTGCCACTTGGAAGGGAAGACTAATCTGTTTTGGAACATGCCATTATTTAGCATGTAACTTTTTACTATTTCTTGATTATAAAGATATCATTAAAAACTGCAAAATCAGTTTTTGAAATGTTCAATGCTTTTAAAAATTCAGATCTTTTCATTTACTAGATTGGCAAAACAGATTATTGATAAGATTCTATTCATTTCATTCTAATGAAAATAGAAATGAAATAAAATGGAACAAACAATAAATAAAATTTTTGGCCAGGCGCAGTGGCTTACGCCTGTAATCCCAGCACTTTGGGAGGCCAAGGCGGGTGGATCACGAGGTCAGGAGATCGAGACCATCCTGGCTAACATGGTAAAACCCCGTCTCTACTAAAAATACAAAAAATTAGCTGGGTGTGGTGGCGGGCGCCTGTAGTCCCAGCTACTCAGGAGGCTGAGGCAGGAGAACGGAGTGAACCCGGGAGGTGGAGCTTGCAGTGAGCTGAGATGGCGCCATTGCACTCCAGCCTGGGCGACAGAGTGAGACTCCGTCTCAAAAAAAAATAAATAAAATTTTTATTTGGAATCATTTAGAAAAGGTGCAAAAACAGCACAAAGTTCCCATAACCTTCACCCAGTGATACACTCTGGATGTTTGTCCTTCCAGATTTCATGGAATCCCCAGTGCTGGAGGTGGGGCCTGGTGGGAGGTATTGGATCACGGGGGAGATTGCTCATGAGTGGCTTAGCGCCATCATCCCCCTGGTGATAAGTGAATGCTTGCTCACAGAGATCGGGTTGTTTAACAGAGTGTGGTACTTTTCTCCCTCTCTCTCTTGATCCTACTCTGGCCATATGACATGCTGGCTCCCTGTCACCTTCTGCCATGATTGTAGGCTTCCTTAGAACCTCACCAGAAGTGGATGCCAGCACCATGTTTCCCGTTCAGCCTGCAGAACTGTGAACCAATTAAACCTCCTTTCTTTATAAATATCCAGCTCCAGGTATTTCTTTATAGCTACACAAAAATAGACAAACACACCCAGTCTCCTCTAACGGTAACATCTTACATGTCCATGGGGAATTTGTCAACACCAAGAAATTAACACCAGTGCAATAGCGTTAATGAAACTGCTAACTTGATCTGTGTATCATTGGCCTTTCCACTAATGCCTGTTCACTGTTCCAGGATGCAATGCAGGATTCCACATTGCATTCAGCATTGTGGTTTGTTGCTTTTTACTTTTTGTTATCCCATCACCTCATTCCAAAGGAAAAGGGCCTCAGTGATTTGCACAAGCCCAAAGAGAGGAAACAGATAGCATGAGACAGGCCATGTCTCAGAACAATTTAGAGCAATTTCCCTCGCTGTCCATTGGTAGAGGAGCCCTCCTATTAGAAATTAGCAGCAGCAGGCCACAGTGAAAACCAAGCTGGAGCGGGGAGCAGGGACCAGGATGCACGCCAGTATGCAACTGCAATACGGAATTCCAGCCCGGAAGCCCTGAGCAAGTTGGGGTCTCTCCTTTTGCAGCATAATGAAAGGTAGCAGGACGGAGAGCCAGGGCTGCAGAGGCAGTGACAGAGGAGGCTGGCAGGGCCAAGTAGCTGAGTAACATTCTCACCAAGAGGATTCCACGAGAAGGTGATGGATCTCTCCAATTAACCATGTCATGGTTGGGCTTGGAAGCCGTGGATGAAAACTGAGGTAAGATAATTATTTCCATGGGACGCCTGGTTGTGAAAAAAATCACACGGTCATAAAAATGAATGAGTCGTCCAGCCAGAAACACTAGAGAACTCAGTAAAGATTTAGAAACCGTGTGTGTTTAATGCTACTCTCACAGTGGGCTGGGTTCCCACAAAAGGTGCTAAATTAAAACAAGGAAGGGTAAATCTAGTTTTCTCACTGAAACAGCGTTTTAACCCTGAAGTTCCTGACCCCAGGTTTGATGCTTCTGCTGTGGAAATAAACATGTATACCACGTTTAGTTAACATAAATGACACGTGGCATACCTTTATGTTATACGGATTAAGGCTTCTTCAGATCAGCTAAACAGGGCTATGCCGTGATCAATTCCATATAGACCTAAAAGGCAGAGCATCCCCGTGGACAGAGTTCTGTCTTTCTTCAAAAAGCATGCTGCTTTATTTTTTGGACAACTACTTAGAAGGTAAGGGTTCTTGTTATTCGGGGCCACAAGACTCACAAGTGTTTCTGTGAGGGTACTTAGCACCACTCTAAGACTTTAGACAATGGATCCCGATATGCTGGGTGAAATCACCTCCCTCAGTTGTAAACTCCTTGTAGCCAGCAGTGGTCTTGCTGCGGCCTGATAGTGGAAAGTGATTCTTCCATTTGCAGGGTCCTCTATAGGAGTGCTGGCAACCTGGCTTCATCTGCCCTAAACAAGGCAGATGGAAAAACCAAGGACCGCTCCTCCTTCCTAAAAGAACAGACTTTCCCACCCTTTGCCCTTTCTCTGCAGAACTGCTTCACCAAGTCAAAAACTCAGAGACTCATTTGAATGACATTTAACTCTAGGGCATGCACCACTGAACCAGATCCAAATCTATTACTTTTGATGGCAAAAACCATAATTATTATTATTATTTTTGAAATGGAGTCTCACTCTGTCGCCCAGGCTGGAGTGCAGTGGCGTGATCTTGGCTCACTGCAACCTCCACCTCCCAGGTTCAAGCGATTCTCCTGCCTCAGCTTCTCAAGTAGCTGGGACGACAGGTGTGCACTGCCACACCTGACTATTTTTTTTTTTTTTTGCATTTTTAGTAGAGGCAGGGTTTCACCATATTGGTCAGGCTAGTCTTGAACTCTTGACCTCAAATGATTTGCCCACCTCAACCTCCCAAAGTGCTGGGATTACAAGCATGAGCCACCGCTTCCAGCCTGTAACAACTTTTGCACCAACAGTTCAAAGTCTCATGCACGGCTCTGGACTCCACTTGGATTCATATGGAGACTAAAACTTTGTCTCTTCCTTTACCAGTCATGTAAGGAGTGAGGGGCTACAGATATAATGCTTCTCACTCAAGTCCCCCCACCCCCTATCCCGCCTCACCTCCCAAAGGGTGAGAAGGGTTTAAGATCACAGAGATGGAAAAAACTTAGGAAACGTATTACACACATTATTAAAATAATAGCAAATTTTTTAAAAGTTCTCACTTGGGAGAACAAATTATACTAGAGGCAAAACCATTTTATTTTAAATCCTTCTAATGACAGTGTTCTGAATTGAAGGGTACACTTCTGTTCCTTGGTAAGCAGAAGATTCTGACATACATTTTCCTTTTCTTGGCAAACCAAGGTCCTTGTTAGGAGCTTTTGTTAGCCTGTGGCAGCTCCTGGGTTTACTTGCCGGTTTCTTAGACCTGCCCTCAAAAGTCAGGATGGTGTCTCTGGCTTCTCCTGCATCTCGCAGTGTCCTCCCCTTCTCCTCTGCAGCTTCCAGTGCACTGTGAGTTACGAAACCAGATAGCCAAACCCAAGAATTCTTTGTGAAATAAACTGTCCTGGTGGGGCTTTGATCCCTGGGGTTGGGAGTGAAATGGTTGGAAAGGCGTCCTTTTACCTCTATCTGGGCTAGTGCCTGGATCTACTGGGGGTGCTGTTTCTCTACCAAATGCACCCAGAGTGCATTTTGGAATTCTCAGTATCCACTTGGCCTGCCCATGACCCCCACCCCTGAGACTGTGAACGAGGAGGTCTGGAGAGATGCTGAGAATGTGTTTGAAGATGCTCCCAGATGAGGCTGATATCCACATGAGATTGAGTGTTGCTGTCGCCCTGAGTTCAACCTCTGCATGAAAGAGGTTGAACTGGAAGTCAGAATTTTACAATGTCAGCCTTAGCCACATGTCATCTTTCTTCTCATAACCTCTTGGACAAACTCCTTTACTTCAGAAAACGAATTTCCAAACCACACAGTATTTCATAGACCAAAATAGAGATTTTTATTTCCAAACACAAAGCAGATACATTTTTAAAAACATAAAACAACAGCAAAAACGTCAAACCATCTTTTAGAACACTGCTACTTCCAACTTGCACAAAAGGAAGGGGAGGAAAACGTCAATGCAACTTTAAAATATAGCACTAAGAAGAAACTCCGGGGTCCTGGTGTTCCTCCCTGGATGGCGGGGAAGGCTCCATTAGCTTTGGACTTGATATGAACCGAGATAACACACACATGTTCCGAGACAGTCGTTTGGCTCCAATACTGCTTGCCTTCCCAGAAAGCTTAATTTATTGCAAATGCATGTTTTACCATCACAAATAATATGACAAGAGTAGATATGGTCCCTCTGCGTATTGTTTACATAATAGAATATTTAAAACAATGGAATGTGTTTGTCTTTGACATCAAAAATCATTTATGCAGCATCTACATGCACATATACACACACAAGTGTGAACGCATACACAAACACACACACACAGACACACACACACACACACACACACCCCATGCCATTGCTTGGTCCACACTGCATGAAACACACCATTCCAGCTACATGAACAGGTCAGTATCAGGTTAGTGTAACCAGGTCTCCAGGTACAAAGGATGAAGTGGGTTTGCTCACATAGACTTAGCTTAGGGTAGAGTGAACTTGTTTATGAGAACCTCGTTTATGCAGAGGTTGGACTCAAGGCGATCGCAGCACTCAATCTGGTGTGATCATCAGCGTCATCTGGGAGCAGCTTCAAAAACATTCTCAGCATCGCCCCAGACATCCTTGTTCACAATCTCAGGGGTGGAGGTCATGAGCAGGCCAAACTCACTCTACCCGACCTGCTGCCTCCAGGATGGGTTCTGAGGAGACATGGGGCCCTCCCATGGGACGGATGACAAATGAAACGAAAAAATCCATCTGGGTGGGGGGCTTTGGAATGAGGGCTCTGGTCTTTCGGACTTGAAATTGGAGGGAAAACGTAATCGTTCCTCCAAAGCTGGTATTGGAAACTTGCCATTTTCCCAACACACACACACAGAAAGAGAGAGAGAAAGGAGAAAATTTAGGACCCACAGAATTAAGCCCTCTTTCAAAGCAGGTTATCTGCTATCCTGAGAAAAAGAGGGCATCGTGTCTAAACCAGCCCAAGGAAATTCCCAGATGACACAGATCTAAGGGGTCATCTGACCTTCCCTTCTTTATGGAGAATGCCAGGGAGAGGCATAAAAACTCTGGACTTTGGGTAAAACGTCCTGAGCCCGATGTGGTCTCCCTGGCTTCTGAGAGACCACAGGCTGGTGTCTGTTGTGCTGAAGCCCAGAGCTGGAAGCCAGGGCTGCCCAGTTGTGCTTCTGCATGGAGATGTGTGTAGTACTCACACATGCTATGCTCACATACGCGTGCATCCCTCCCACCCTGCCCACCCCTTCACATGCACACACAGCTTCCTCTGTCCGCTTCCTCCTCCCCAGTAAAACTTCTGGAACATGCACAAGCGACTGCCTCCTTGTTTCTCCCATGAGAGGAATTGGAACTGCTCAGCAGGCAGAGACCGCGCAAAGCCAACTCTGTCCTCTGCCTGCCCCCGCAAGGGCTGGCCTGTCCGTGCTTTTCCAGTGGGAAGGTAGACAGACAGTGGGTACCTGCTCCCGTCCCCTGGGACCTCATCCTGGTGTTGCCAGCTCCCTTCAGCGGTGGGAGTCAACGGACTTCCCCGCAGGAGTGGGCACAGGAGGAAAGCAGCATGCTGCCCCTGCTTTGGAATGTTGCCCTCCAGCTAACTCACCAGCTGCCAGAGTGGCAGCAGCCCGCGGCCTGCAAAGGAAAGGAAAGCAACTGAGGCCCAGGGAACATTCCATAGAGTGGAGCACTGGGCTCGGAGCCAGTCATGCCTGGGTACAAGTCCCAAATTTACCACTCCCCGCCTAGCTGGCTGCTCTGAGGCAGGCTGCTGACCCTCTCCACACTCTGGTTTCTGATCATGACTCCATAGCACAGGCTTTTTGAAAGTGTCATGACCATATTGCAGGCGCTCGGGGTATGTTTTCTTCCCTCCCTTTCTCATCAGAACAGGAAGAGGGACTGTAGGACTTTGTCCCTCATCTCCACAGAGGTGCTGGGGATGGGCTGGCCTGGTGTTCCTGGTTGCTGAGCTCAGAAGCAAGCGTTTCAGAAAGGAAGCCCAGGATCCTCGGGGGAAACCGAGGTCCCTCCTTATGATTGCTGTCTCTCGGCTGGACAAGGTGGTTGGGTTGGGGATGATGTTACCATGACAACCGGAGAGCAGGTGCTGGGAGATGCTGAGTCCTGCTGACTGTGCTTTAAGGCCCTGAACATCCTGCTGAACCATTTGCTTTTAGACCACGAGCCTGTGTTTTAATGTTCTTTTAGAAACAAATTCCTCCTTGTTCTTACTTTGAAAAACAGAAGTCGTTTCTCTCATACACAGAAGCTAAGGGAGAAACGACAGCTGGTTTTAAGTCCTCTTTGACTCTGGGCCTCTGCTGAAGCAGCCTGCAGGCACTGGCAATTGGGTGATGAGGGCCACCTGTGGGGTGCCCCCACCCACTTTCCTTTTCAAAGCCTCAATTGTCTGCTACAAAACAAAGAGCTGGCCTGGAAAGGCTCAGAGATCCTCATTTTCCAAGATTTGCACCCAGGAGCTCCTCAAGCTCAAGAAGAAATGAAAGCAAATATGCATTGCCTGGGCTGAATCCAAACACAAAGAAAGTGTTCAAAAGCTTAGCCCTGGGTGCTCACCGCCAGGACAAAGACGGGAGGGGCTGTTCCTGCACAAAAACTCTGGCAAGCTGGGCAGATCTATTTGTCGGTTCCCAAGCCTTGCAGGAAGAATGTCTACAATGCCTTTGGGTAGACCTGAAGGACTCAGGGTCCCCTGAGAGGAGGTGGCAGGCCGTGGTGGCAGGTCACTCTCACACTGCAAGGATGATGCCTTCGAGTTCCACACAAGGAGCATACAGCCAAGGCATGGAGGGTCAGGACAAACTCTGGTTTTCTCCTCCAATTGTAGCAGAGACAGCGAAGTGCCACTCCAAGCCACCCTACCCTTCATTCTTACTAGAAGAGCCCCCATCTTTTTGGGGCACATGTTCCCAGACTCCTTGCAGATGTGGGGGAAAACATGTGACACAGTCCTGGCCAATGAGATGAGAACGGAAGTGGCTGGTGGAGCTTCTGGGAAAGCTGCTAATGAGGAGGGCAGATTCGTCTAGTTCACTCCCCTTCTTCCTACCTGGAACCCAGATGAAAAATTGGAGGTACAGCAAGCATCCTGGGCCATGAAGTGACTGTGATATAAAGGAAGGACAGTTGCAAAGCCTTGGCTCTGACATCCATAACCTGAGGAGACGATGCCAGCAACCGCCTATATCTAGACTTCTCAGGAGGAGAGAAAAGTAAAGTCTCTGACTGGTTTAAGCCAAAGTTGGTCGGGGGAGGAGGGATTCTGTTACTCGTGGCTGAATCTAGGGATTTCTCTTCCAGATGCGAGCCCACGCGCACAATCCTAGGATACCTAATATTTCAGGGAGCACTGAACGCTCCAGGGCTGACTTCCCTCCTTACCAATAGGTGGGGGGAGGTGGTAAGGAACTGGACCAATGTCACACAGCCCATCAGCAGCAGAGTTCCAACTCAACCCTGTCTAGTGCTGAGCAGTATCAAGCTGTCATCCAGTGGGTGCAGAGACCGACCCCCACTCCTGGAACTAACTCCCTGAGCTCACTGGCCAAACAAGAACTGCTGAGGTCTCAGAGTCCTAACCTGTAAAATGGGTACAAAGTTGGAACAAGACAGTCTATGGAAGCCCTCCAACTCTGACAGCCTGAAGAATCCAGGTATCCTCCTTCAACAGAGAACTTAGCATTTCCTAATCCATTTTGCCTCCCCTAAAAGTCCTACTTGGCAGTTCATCCCATTGTCTGCTTTCTGGGGCTAGTTTGTCTCACCCAATTACTAGATGAAGGAAAAATGATTTTTTGATTGGGAACATCCTAATTTTAACATAAATTCAAAAAAAAAAAAAGAAAAAAGAAAAGGAGACCAGAATTGAGAGCTTTCTGAGAGGGCTGGTACAGGTGTAAGGATGTCAAACAGGTTTTGCTCACATAAGAAAATGATTGATTGGCAGTAGCTTGGAGTAGTTTTGAGGACTGTGAGGTCCATTGGGTCAGAGAGTGGGGAGTGGGAAAGGTTGGTGATCAACTATTTTGATGTCTGTCTTGGAAGCAGCAAGGGCTGTAGTTGCCCACACCTCCCTCCAATGCTGACCTAGACTGGTGACAATGAGATTGGGGTGAGAATTAGCTGAGTGCCCATGAGAGAGGGAATTAGGGCAGGATCCCGCTGGGCTATGGACACAGAGGCTTCCTGGCAATCACTGCAGACACCGGTGAAAAACACTCTGATTACAGAATCCAAAGGAAGCCGCTGGCATCATAGGGTGACAGCCACAGGCACAGCCTCCCTGGGGGGGTCCCTCAGCTCCTCTCCTCTGGGGAGAAATCCTAGGCAGGGGGCAGGAAAGGGCAAGAGATTATCCTTGAGCATGGACACGCCAACCCAGATGATCCCCAGTGGGGAAAAGTGGGCTTCTCAGTTTGGCATTTCCAACCACACATTTTTACCAGGAAGACAGACTAATAATTGGGCTAGTAATGGACACGACAATCAACATCCACAGCCTTAGCCTTAAGCCTCCCCTTGAAGCCTCCAGGAGCCTCCCAAGCTGTGTTGTTCTGTGACCCAGCACAGCCCAACACACTTCTGACCTCCTGAGGCTGGGTCAGTCTATTTTCCCCTCCTCTGCCATGCCCAGGTCCTCTCCCTGCCCGGCCCAGCTGCCCTGGCCTCCTTGACCCACTTCCTCTGCCCGGTATGGTTCATAGTCACAATGGTGGCCTCCAAGAGGCAGCAAGACACTCTCATGCCCTGTTCCGAGCTCTCCCACTGTCTCCCCTGTGTGGCTCTTCCAGTTTCTGTGACAGTGGGCCTGCCCCCTCTGGAAAGGCAGATGGGCAAAGTCAAGGGCAATGACTGCAATCCCGTTGGGCATCTTCAATGGCACAAACCCTTTTCTTCGTCTGCAAGCTCCCTGAGGGCAGGGACTGGGCTTTGTTCACCCCGAATCTCCCAGCACAAAGCCTGGCACAGGCTGGAGAATGCTTGTTGCATTGGATTAAGATGCAAAGAGGCACAGGGCACTTCTGCCCACCAACCAGGGGAGAGAAAGCCGCAGACCCCGGACAGCATCCGAATGGCCAGTGGGAAGGCAGGGCCAGTGAGCACCTGGGTTTTATTTTTTTAGAGGCCACAGCTGGCAGGCTCCTGGCCTCCCCTGAACCCAGTTGCCACAACTTTCCACGATGTCCCTCTTCCCATTTCTCTTTCCTTCTCTCCCTCGGGGACTCCTGCACTAAGCAATCCTCAAGCTGCTCTCTTCTCCCAACCATCTCCTGGGTTCCCAAACTTTCAGACAGCATGTTTTTCCAGGAAGAATACTGTATGGGGAGCAAAACCAACATAGAGTTGGCAACTTTTTATTTTGTCCAATGAGGGCTCCCAAAACACAATAGAAACCATCAAAGAAGACAGAGCCACCTTTACCTATCCCTCATTTCCTAAAGGCCATTGAGCACCCTTGAAGTAGGAGGGACATAATCCCAGAATGAAGAGCCAGCGTTTGGGCAAAATAAATCCTATGGAAAGAAAAACTCAAGTTGTTCCCTCGTATTGTTTCACTTGCCTTTGGTCAGTGAAAGCTTTGCCACTAGCGCTTGTCCTCAGAGGAAAGTTGGGAACCATGAAGGCACAGCCTGCCATTCCCATTCTCTTTTTCTCTCTCTCTATCCCTCCCTCCCTCCCTCCCTTCCTCCTTTTCTCTCTCTTCTCTCTGTCTCTTTTGCTCTCACTCTCTCCTCTCACCCTCAAATTGTGGTAAAATAAACATAACATAAAATTTAGCATCTTAACCACTTTTAAGCACACAGTTCAGTAAATCAAGCCTGACATCACCTCTGGCCTTTGACTCCCTCTGGCCCACTTCCCCGTCCGCCCTCTCCAGCCAGACCACCATAAAGTGCAGTTCCTCAAAGCTTCTGCAAAGCCTCCCAGCTTCCCAGTCAGGCCTGGCTCCAGTCTAATGGAAGAGATAAGATCCCCTCTTTACTCCCTAACTGTGGGCAGCCCCAGCCTCCCATCCCCTGCAAGGCAGGGCAGGATGATGCCACCGGTCCCAGTTTGCCAGCTGTAAAATCCATTAGGGAACATCCAGCACAAACCACCCGCCTTCAGGCCTTTTCCTGCCCTCTGCCTGTCATTCTCCTTGGCCCCCAGGGTGCAGAGGGTCCCCAGCTTCCTTCCCCTGAAGATGCCCGGAGACAAGCATCTTTGGACCCCCGGTCCCTGCAGGGAACTCCAGCCAGCTGCCTGAAGCAAACGGGGCCTGAGAGATGGAATTGGGTCAGGTCATCCTTGACCCATTTCCTCTGGAAGGGAGTCGGGTGTCAGGAAACACATTTGCCTTTGGGTTTTTAATGTAATTCAACAAACCACAGCTGAAGCTCTTATCCTGTGCTGGGCATTGGGGGTGTGGAGTTCTGTCATTCATGACCGAGGACCTCATCATGAGACATTAGAGGGGCTCATCTTCCAGGTGAGCAATGTGAAGATAATGATAGATGGCCCAAGGGAATGTGCTGCTGGTGGTGACTCATCTCAGAGCTGAGGGCAGTCCCTCAGGGAAACATTTGGATGCTCCGCTCTGGCCATGTCCCAGGCGAGCTGATGGGCAGAGAGTTCTGCCTGCTTGCCCAGGGAACTCCATTCCCAGAGGCTACAGAGACTGCAACCTGGTAGAACCAGCCTGAAGCCCCCCTCCAGCCTGGGCTTTGGGGTCCTCATTGCCCCATGTTGTGGGTTTGGACCCACTTCAGCATGAGCAAGGGTCTTTATATCTTTAAGCCTCAGGGTTCCATCTCAAACATGGGGGTAAAACAGTATCAAACCCTGGGGGCAGGTGTCGATGTGGGAATTACATAAAGCAAGGCTGCAAAGTGCCGCCCAAGGGGCTCAAGCACCCACGAGCACCAAACGAGCACATTCTTTGTCTCCCTTGTCGGTGTTCCCTCTGTCCCGCCACCACTGGGCACCTCCCAGGGTCTCCTCGCCTCGTCTGCTGTCAGTACCTGCCCATCCCTCCCGCTCCCAGCTTTTCTTTTTAAACACCCTCTGGGTGCTGCATGTGCCTTTCCACATGCAGAGAACGGGCTAAGAAAGAAAGGGGTGGGAGGGACAGGTAAGCAGGGATAACTAATTCATCAACCGACCCACTGGTGGTCCTTTCTCCCTCCTCTCCTTCCCTCCTCTCTCTCTCTCTGACACACACACACACACACACACACACACACACACACACACACACACGCCACAGCGCCACCTTTCTCAAGTAGCACCTTAAAGCTCTGCATGGCTGTTAAAGAGGCTGGAAACTAAAGTCATAAGAATAATTGCCTGGCTCTCCTTTAAGCAAAGGAGATTGCACTTGTGCTTGGAAGCACCAGTAACTGGGCTGTTACGTTATATTACAAGTATATTTATATGAAAATACTGAAAATATCAATTCTTTTTTAAAAAACAGTTATGCAAACAAACAGACTTGATGGCATCATTATCAAAATTTAAAAAATATAGGTAGATATTCCCACCCCCGCCCGCATGTTCCAGCTTCTCCTTCCCCAACATGTGGTATATGTGACAGGCTGCATACATGCCCAGTGGCTGTTTTTTTCATGTAGTTGCTGACATGAGCGGATCATACCACAATGAGCAGGGTACCACCTGAGGGCCATGGTGGCCAGTTGGGCTCTGGCCTTGCTGCCTCTCACTGTGTGGCCATGGATCAGTTTCTTCCCCATTCTGGGCCTCAGCTTTCTCACCTGTGACATAGGAAAGTGGACACCTGGCAAGGCCCCCCCACCCACCCACCCTGCCACTGCTCTGACTTCCAGGACTGGACATCTGGGCTTGGCTGCCTGGGCTCACTCAGCTCCTGATTTTCCAGTAAGGTGGTCGCCTGCAGAGAACGGCCCTATGGCTTGGTTTCCAGATATCTGGAGAAAAGTGTGCTTTCTCTTCTTCCATGAAATCACAAATTTCTCTAGATATTTGGAAACCAAGTCACAGGGTTGTAGGATCTACTTTTTGAACTTTTCATCCCCTGTAGTTGCCAATTCTGCATGTACTAGTCTTGTAGAAATAAGTTAAACTGAAGCAGCTTGAGGGAAGGAACTTGATGGAAGGATGGAGAGTCTACAGGGCTTGTTTTCCAAAGAAAAGTGTTGTTTGGAGGAGCATAATTATAAGCCTACAGCTTATCATAAAGCTATTCAAAAAAAAAAAAAAATGGCCAGGCATGGTGGCTCATGCCTGTAATCCCAGTGCTTTGGGACGCTGAGGTGGGCGGATCACCTGAGGTCAGGAGTTCGAGACCAGCCTGGCCAACATGGTAAAACCCTAACTCTACTAAAAATACAAAAATTAGCTGGGCATGGTGGCAGATGCCTGTAATCCCAGCTATTTGGGAGGCTGAAGCAGGAGAATCGCTTGAATCTGGGAGGCGGAGGTTGCAGTGAGCCGAGATCGCACCACTGCACTCCAGCCTGGGCAAAAAGAGCGAAACTCCATCTCAAAATAATTATAATAACAATAATAATAATAACTCAGAGCCAGGCTTGTGGATGGAAATATAGTGCCCAAGTCACATTCTGCTTAAAGTTGTAACAAATACAGACGAGTTAAAAGAAAAAAAAAAGTACGCTTTCTGAGTCAGCCCCAAGGGCTCTCCTTGGCAGCACGGGTTTCCTGCCGGTGAAATGTCCTAGTTGCCTAGGACCCGGGTCCCCAAGGGCAGAGCTCACAGTGAAAGGCAAAGGGTCAGTGTGTGTGAGACAGCAATGGTGCTGGGTATCAGGCCCTCTTAGGTCCTCAGTTTCCCCTCTACTTAAAGGGCCTTTCTGGGTCTATAATACCTTATGATTCCAAAGCCGGACAGAAGGTCCGAGGAAATCCCCTCGTATTTGTAGTTGAACAGACAAAATCCATTTGTAGAGAGTGGGCATTAAGTACTTTTTTAAAGGGGAAAATTTAGTGTTGATTTAGGAAAAACATGATCCAGTTGTAGAGCACTTAGGAACCATCCCAGAGTTCCCTGGCAAGGAAGGGATGAGTTTCTGGCCTCGGGAACTCACATGGAGTCACCGCGGCCCCAGCCCAGGTGGTGCATGGAGCCCAGCTCGCCTACACCTGGCTGGAGAGGGCCTGGTTTTGGGTGGCCTGGGCCCTAGTCCCATATGGGGATGCACATGAGACCTTCTTGGCCCCATAGACCTGCTGTCTCCAGAGTCTTTTCTGGGAAGCGGAAGGAGAGCCCTTGAGACAGGCTGAACTCCAAAGCAGATTCTCTCACCTCTGTCCTGGACCCTCGATCCCTGGCCCCTGGCGTGGCAGATGCTTCCCTTCTCACCTGCAGCTCGAGCTCTCGACGATGAAAACTCAGTCCAGGAGCAACAGAGGAAACACATCTTTCCTGGGCACTGCCAGTGGGTGCTGCCCACCGAGTGTGCCTCACCATTCTGCATGGAAATCTTAAAAATCAAGCTTGTCTTCTTCCCTTTCTCCCTGAATGAAACACACAGAGCAGGATCTCACCGTTTCATGGGGGCTCGGTGTCATCACCAGGGACAGTCCTCATAGGTCTGTGTGATCAGAAGCCGCTGAGAGCTGGGGTTAGGGCTCCGGCATGCAATGCCTCCACACAGCTGTGCTTTCTTAGTTCGGGGATCTGCTCTCTGCAGCTCTTCTTTTTCTCCCTCGATATCACTCTGTCACTTGTCACTGCTATCATTGAACCTGCCTCTGGTCATTGCCATTTCTACTTCTGACACGTGGCAGCTACTCTTTGTGGTTGTTAAAACTAGACAAGCATACTTGTTCTCATTACGCATAAAGCAAGAGTCGCTGGGCACCAAGTGAGGGTCTATGGCGCTCTTCCACGTTGCAGCTCAGAGGCCTTTCATTACATCTGAATTCTGGGATTCGCTTTGGAGAAGAGGTTGCCATGAAAGTGACATGTTATTGTTCTTGCTTTCTAGGGTTGACTGCAGACCAAGTCAACAATACCACAAAATCCCATTGGAGGGAGCCATTGCTAGGAATTTTCCCAACTCCAAATAGAACTCGTATATGAAATTATACATACTGAGCATTTACATACAGATCATATAAAAATTCTAGACATTATTCCCTAGTCACATGTAGTACACATTTAGTATAAATAGACTAAGACAACACTGTATAAAAAGTAAGTGTCTTCTGGGAACGCTGACACAGCACTGATATGGATGCAGCTCTGCAGTCTTTGCCCTGCCCCTGTTTCCAGTTTCCCTGGCGAGCATCCTCAGGAGGGGCCCTGGGACTGATGGAGGTTGGAGGAGAAAGTCACCTGTGTGCCCCAGTGGGTTAGGTGGGTGGTGGGCCATTGTAGCGCAGCATGAGCGTGAAGGAGCGGGCGAAGTTGTTGGCCAGGGTGCAGCTGCGGTCCTCTTCCCTGATTGGGAGCAGGAACAGCAGGAGGAGGAACAGCAGCAGAAGCAGCTGCAGTGGGAGCGCCACACAGCACGCCCTCCGGAAGAGGGAGCCCAGTCCTCGCCACCGCCGAGTCTGCGGAACCAACACAGCACAGGTGAGTGGGCTGGGGGGCTCTGGTGGTGGGGGGCAGGTTCAGGGGGCGAGGAGGATGCCAGGAGCGGTGGTAGCACTGAACTGACTGTATGACAGTACACATCTCCAGGTTCTCATCTGTGAAACAGGGCTAATGTAAGTTTTAACAGAAACAGGGTTTCTGCAGTTTTCCCAAAGCATTCAAGGCATGAAAGGAAGAATAGAAAACACAGTTGCAGGCTCTGCCATTGTGACATATATCTTTGCCTGGTGTAGCAGAGTGCTGGCTGTGAATCCTAAGGTCACTTGACTTCTCTGAATCTCTAGTTTCTCATCTTCAGATGGGGCAATAATGGCACCTACATGACAGAATTGTCATGAGGATCCAATGAGGCAGAGCCTGGCACATAGTAAGTATGTACCAGCTGCTGTCATGATTAGTATGCATCCTTAATATTTCACCATCTAAATCTTCGTCATCACCATCATCACCAGCATCAAATTTATCATCGTCACTTTCTTCCTCCTCTTGTCTTTCTTCCCTTTCCTCTTTTTCCTCCCCCTCTTCCTTTTCTTTCTTTCTTTTTTTTCCTTTGAGATGGAGTCTCGCTCTGTCGCCCAGGCTGGAGTTCAGTGGTGTGATCTCAGCTCACTGCACCCTCCACCTCCCAGGTTCAATCAATTATCTCCCTCAGCCTCCCGGGTAGCTGGGATTACAGGCACCTGCCACCATGCCCAGCTAATTGTTTTGTATTTTTAGTAGAGATGGGGTTTCACCATGTTGGCCATGCTGGTCTTGAATCCTGACCTCGTGATCCACCCTCCTTGGCCTCCCAAAGTGCTGGGATTATAGGTGTGAGCCACCGCGCCTGGCCCCTCTCTTCTTTTCCTCCCTCTTTCCTTCCCTCTTCTCCCTCTCTTCCTCCTCCTCCTTTTATTTCATCATCAATTTCATCACCATCACTATTGCCATCAGTATCACATGAAGGTTAGTCTCACAAGTCCAAATGCCTAATGGACTTCTCTGCTACAATGTCCCTGAAAGTGGCCAAGAAAACATTTCCTAAGTTCTGGAGGGACTGGCCAGGTTGTGGCTTCATGGATGTCTGACTGCCAAGGAGTGCAGGGGCAAGAGCTGGTCACTCAGAAGAGTGAGGCCCTCATGGTCAAGATGCTGCAGAGTGCAGGACGAGCCCAGCTTTTAGGATCCTAGCAGACTGGGTCCCCACCCAGACTCTGTTACTCAACAGCTATGTGACCTTGGGCAAATCAATATTGGATCCTCTGTTATCTGCTCTGCAAAATGGGGATCAAACACCTACCCCTATTTGCTGGGCTGTGGTGAGGGCTCAAAGCAAAGGTATATATATACCTTGATTGATAAATGTACCAGTTCTTACTATTAGTACTATTAATACTTATTTATAATAATAGTGCTAGCACTATTAGTAACTGTTAGTGACATTCATCACTATTAATATTAGTAATCATAGCACTAGTACTATTATTATAGAATATATCTGCTGGCTCCCTAAAGAACCAAGGTTCACCCTCCAGGGCACCAAAAGCCACAGTCCCGTGATGATGATAGTGATAGTGACCATGGCGATGGAGGTGATGGCAATGATGGCAGTGATGCTTGATGATGGTGGTGATGCGATAATGATCATGACGCTAATGGTGGTGGGGTGGGGGTGGGGTGGTGAGAGTAAGGTGGTGATGATGGTGATAATGATCATGGAAATGGTGATAATGGTGATGATCATGGTGACTGTGATGGTGATGGTAAGTGTGAGTGATAGAGATGATGATGGTGATGGTGATGATGGTGATGGAGGTGATGGTGATGGTGATGATGATGATAGTGATGGTGGTGGTGGTAGTGATGGTGAGGGTGATGATGGTGATGAAGAAGCACTGTTAAATGTAAATGTTCCTGGGAGGTTCTAACCTGGGCAGTTCTGTCTCTCTACCTCTCCTCTCTGAGTCAACTCATGTATTCCCCTGCTCCAAGTATCCCCTCCAGATGATAACGCTTAACCCTGTGCCTCCAGTCTCAAATGTGTTCACTCACCAAAGTCTTTAGACACTGATTTTATAAAACAGGCTGATTATAACCATGAATAAGTACTCTTGGCTGCATGTATTTCAGCAGTGACTTCGGGAGTGGAGGGTGGGGGTGGGTGACACATTGTTTAAGCGGCTGAATGAGTGTGAGTTCACAGAGAAGGTGGTTCTTCCCATAGCTGCTGGGTTGGGTGGGGCCAAATCTCTGACCCATGAGACCCACCCAGGGAGAGAGAAAAGGGGCAAGACAATGAGCTGGAGGGCCACCCAGCCTGGGTTTCCACTGCAACTAACAACCTGTAATTAAGGTTCTCCCAAATGGAGGGTCTGCTTACAAGTGTCCTTTTTTATTTGCCCCTTCATTCTCAGAGTTAACACTTTGCTTATTCAAGAGAGGGGCTGTGCCTTGGCCATGATCCTCTGGGGAAAATGTCTTTGAAGGTCCAAAAAGTGTTTATACATACAAGTGTTGACAAGGGATGGTCTTCTCAAAGGATTCCTGCTGCCTGCCCAGTGCCTGTTTACTTAGACCTCACGTCCTCACTTAGAGGGCCCTGGATTCCAAAATGCTCTTAAAAATAAGACACCTTTCAATATGTTTCCCAAATGCTTAGGAAAACACACACACACACACATACACACACACACAGACACACACATACACACAACCTTCTAAGAAGCCAACAAGAAAAATGACAATCTTGGCTCTTCCAAAGAGAGAAGGGGCTTCCTCAGGAAGTTATAAGCTCCCTATCTGGTATGGTTTGGTTGTGTCCCCACCCAAATCTCATCTTGAATTATAGTTCCTATAATTCCCATGTGTTATGGGAGGGACCCAGTGGGAGATAATTGAATCATGGGGGCAGTTTCCCTCATACTGTTCTCATGGTAGTGAATAAGTCTCGCAAGATCTGATGGTTTTATAAGGGGTTTCCCCTTTCACTTGGCTCCCATTCTCTCTTGTCTGCTGCCATGTAAGATGTGCCTTTCTTCTTCTGCCATAATTGTGAGGCCTCCCCAGCCACGTGGAACTGTGAGTTCATTAAACCTCTTTTTCTTTATAAATTACCCAGTCTCGGGTATGTCTTTATCAGCAGCATGAAAACGGACTAATACATCATCCCTGAAGGTAGGGAAGCAGGGGTTGATGAGCCCATGGGGGTGGGGAGGGAGTATATGTTGTGTAGAGGAGTTAACATACCCAACAGAGGCTCTGACCAAGAGTCCTCCAAGGTCTTACATGATGAATCTGAGACTCCAGATTTCTGGGGATCGCAGGCTAGAGTTCATCACAGTCCATGAGACCTAATCTTCTACCATTGGTGAAAGGGGATGTGGGGGAAATATAAGGTTTGGAGTCTTGGGTTCTAACCCTGACTCTACCACGTCCTAGATGTGTGATCTAGGGCATGTCACTTAGCCTCTCAGAGCCTCAGTTTCTTCTCTGTTGGGAGAGAGTGATACTTGCCTACCAATGTAGGAAGGATAAATGAGGCCACGCATGCTATGCATAAAGTGCACAGTAGGCACCCAATAAAGGCTCACTTCCTTTCTCCTCTGGCTGATGGGTGTGGGGCAGAGAGGCAGCTCCTGCAAGCCCCACAAGCTTCCCCTCTGCCAGGGATGCAGGGATTAGGCACCATCATCACCTCCAGTCCCATCAGGGAAGAAAGCACTGCCCTCCTTAAACGCTATCTCTCAGCTCCTTAAAGACCCTCACGTCCTATCGCCACAGGGCCTTTGCACAGGCTGTCCCGTGTGTCTGGAATGCTCATTGCCCTTCTTTCTCCACTCCACCTGGTTAGCGCTGACTGATCACTCTAATCTCACCCTGAGTCACTTCCTCCAGGAGACCCTCCCTGGCCTTACACATCCTCAGGGCACCCTTTCTTCTGGATCACTGATTAAGATCTGTGCTGCCCTTAACTCCTCGGAGGCGGGGTCCACATTAGTCTTATGCTTTACCGTATCCTCAGCAGTGCTCAGTAAGTATTTGCTGAATGAATGAAACCATGAATATAAGGCTCCTTCCCTCCCTGCACCTCTGGCCATCAGCTTCTCCCTCAATACATCGGAGGCCACCACTGAGACATGGGCCACCTGCTGTCTGCGAGCTGTTCTCACTGTGCCCATGGTTCACCAGGATATCTGGGCTCCACTTGTTAGTGAACTCACTAACTCAGGACCAAAGGTCCTGAGCTCCACTCTTCACCTCACTCAGGGGCCTCCTAGGCACCTTGAGCATCTCTGTGAGGCCGACTTTCCTATGCTCATTTTACAGAGGAAGAAACTGAGTCTGGGAGAGTACCCAGTCCAAGGTCACACAGATAGGCTCAGCTCTCCAGTGTCACTCCAGAGCCCAGGCTCTTCCTACTATCCCACGTGGCATTTCTCACAAGAAACAGCAATTAGAACGACAACAAAAGTCTCTGGGGCCTCTGTTGTTCAACCGGGATCTGTGGAGGATGGGTGTGCTCTGACCTGGGGCCTGGAGGGAGGAAGTCACATCCCATCACCACTGAGGCTAAGGGTCTTAACTGGGACCTGGCCAGGTCTCAGTACCCACTACAAAGATGCTTCCAGGCAGGCACCAAGCGTGGGACGGTGGGAGGAGGCCCACTGAGCCAGCTGCTCTCTGGCATGGAGGGTGCGCCCGCCCCACTGCCTCTCATGAAACCCTCACTGAGCCACGTGTTGGCCTCTGAAGGCCCCTCTGAGCACTACTCAGTCCCTGCTGGCTTCCTCCTCCTGGGTGTCCCCAAGACTCCCAGGAAGGGGGTGTGGCCAGGACCACTGTCTTGCTCTGGCAGTGCCAGCAGGTCTTAGGGCAGCCCTGGTTTCCCGGACTGGGCCCTGCCACTTCTGACTTGGATGTTGTCTTTGCTAAGTTCTGGGCACCAGAAGCACTGAATTACAGCCCTGCGTTCGCTCCCCGTAAGAACTCAGAGGCTCTGGGAATTTCCCACACGTGGACACGATGGCAGTGGCTGGGCAGGGGGCTGGGTTCGTCTTGCCTCCTCACTGGGGTGGCTCTGCGTGGATGTCAGGACACAGAGATGTATTTTTTCAGTTGATTTTGGAGAGGGAGAGGGATGGGACGATCTGAGCTGGCCTGTGGTTTAGCTAATAGGTGAGAAGTGCCCATGGATGTAATGATGGAGTGATATTGTCATTACTCAAGCAAGGACGGAGCCTCATCCAGGAGCGGATGTATGACCATAGGCTTCCTCTCCTCCCGCCACTTCCCTTCTGCACCTTTCCTTATCTGCCATCCCCCTGTGAGCAGGCTCTGCTCCTAGGATGGAGACCAAGGTCAGTGAGGGTCTAGGTTGACTCACAGGCACCTAGTTTGGGAAACTGGGTGATCATGATGCTTTTTGCTGATAGGGGCACGGGGATTTGATGGGCATAGGGATTTGATGGGGATGGGGATTTGATGGGGATGGGGATTTGATGGGCATGGGGATTTGATGGGGATGAGGATTTGGTAGGCATGGGGATTTGATGGGGATGGGGATTTGATGGGGATGGGGATTTGATGGGGATGGGGTTTTGATGGGGATGGGGATTTGATGGGGATGGGGATTTGATGGGGATGAGGATTTGATGGGGATGGGGATTTGATGGGGATGGGGATTTGATGGGGATGGGGATTTGATGGGGATGGGGTTTTGATGGGGATGGGGATTTGATGGGGATGGGGATTTGATGGGGATGAGGATTTGGTAGGCATGGGGATTTGATGGGGATGAGGATTTGATGGGGATGGGGATTTGATGGGGATGGGGTTTTGATGGGGATGGGGATTTGATGGGGATGAGGATTTGATGGGGATGGGGATTTGATGGGGATGGGGATTTGATGGGGATGGGGATTTGATGGGGATGGGGATTTGATGGGCATGGGAGGTCAGCTTTAGATGTGATGAGTGGGAGGTGCCTGTGGGACCCCCAAGGAAACATCTAATGGGCAGTTGAGGTTTTAGGACTGAGGCTAGAAGGAGAGACCTGCATTACAGATGAAGCAAGAGCTCACGCAGTCTGAAGACAGTGCATAACCACAGGCGTGGAAGGAGGTGACAGGGAGAGTCACCTATGAGACGGTGCAGAAAGCCACAGGTGTGAGAGGAGATGCCAAGGAGAAAATGACCCAAGAGACAGTGCATAAACCAGAGGCCTGGAAGGAGATGCCAGGGAGAGCCACCCACCAGATGGTGCATGAACCACAGGCATGGGAGGAGATGCCAGGGAGAGTTACCCATGAGATAGTGTGCAAACCACAGGCTTGGAAGGAGGTGCCAGGGAGAGTGACCCAGGAGAGGGACAGGTCCTGGAGAACCTGAGGATGCCACCCATGAAGAAAGAGGCATTGTATTTCTAGTGCCTCTACCCAGCCCCTACAGGTCACTTATCCATTACAAAAGCAATGGTAGCAACTTCACAGGGAGAAGCCTCTCTAAGGGCGGCCATTCTTAACTGATGGTCAGAGTGAGCACAGCCCATGTGCGACATGCTGACGACATGTGTCTCCTGATAAGAGGCACAAGTAAACCACAGCACCGCTCTGTGACATTCCTGCCAGGAACCTGCCACCAAATCCAATCACAAGGAAACAGCAGGGAAACCCAAACCAAGGGATATTCCACAAACTGTCCGGCCTGTACTCAAAAAGGTCAAGGTCAAGAAGAATTAAGAAAAACCTAGGAACTGGGACAGACTGGAGGAAAACAGAGATGTGGCAATAAATGCAATGTGTGATCTTGGATTGGATCCTGGACTGAGAAAAAAAATCTACCAGTAAGACTGTAAGTGGTACATCTCCAGACAATGGAATATAATTCAGTGGTCAAAAGAAATGAGCTATTGGCCTGGCACAGTGGCTCATGCCTGTAATCCCAGCACTTTGAAAGGCCAAGGCAGGTGGATCACTTGAGGTCAGGAGTTTGAGACCAGCCTGGCCAACATGGTGAAACCCCAACTCTACTAAAAATACAAAAAAACAAATTAGCCTGGTGTGATGGTGGGCACCTGTAATTCCAGCTACTCAGGGGGCTGGGGCAGGAGAATCGCTTGAACCTGGGAGATGGAGGTTGCAGTGAGCAGAGATTGCACCACTGCACTCCAGCCTGGGCAACAGAGTGAGACTCCATCAAAAAAAAAAAAGAAAAGAAAAAGAAAAAAGAAATGAGCTGTCAAGCCACAAAGACACTGAGGAACCTTAAATGCATGTTGACAGGTAAAAGAAGTCAGTCTGAAAGGCTGCATAGTGTATGAATCCAGCCATAGGACGTCCTAGAAAAGGCAAACCGTGGAGACAGCAGAAAGATGTGTGGTTGCCAGGGCCTGGGGAGAGGTGGGGAGGGATGAGTAGGTGGAGAACGGGATTTTCAGGGCAGTGAAATTCTTCTGCAACATACTTTAGTGGTGGCTACTGGTCATTAGACCTTTGTCCACACCCATAGGTTGTACAATACCAAGAGTTGGCGCTCATGCAAGCTGTGGACTGAGTTAATAACAATGTATCAACTGGTTCATCAGCCTTAGCAAATGGAGCACACTAATGTAAGATGTTAATTAATGGGGAAGATGGAGGAGGCTGGGATGAGAGGAGGTCTATGGGAATACTTTGTACATTCTGCTCAATTTTTCTATAAACCGAAAGCTGCTCAAAAACGAAAGTCTATAAATTCAAAAGAGACTATTGAGACAGCTTAAAATTTTAAAATATGGACTGTGGATTAAATAACAGTATTTTATCAACATTGAGTGTTATCAACACTGACCTAGATAGCTGGCAAACAATAAAACAAAGACAGAAGTATCAGGATAGAGGCAGCTGGAAGAGGAGGCCGTGGTCATCGACCCCAGTGCCCCAGGGCCAAATGTGATAAGAACAGCAGTTCACTGGTCTTAGTGAAGAAGTAGCTACTGGGTACCTCACTGGGGTGAATTTCAGAGGAGTTGTGGGGTGGAAGGTGAGTGACAGAAAGACGAAGAAATAGAAAGAGCAAGTGTAGAGAATGCTTCTCTGGATCTCAGTAGTCAAGGACTAGTTTCAAATACTTCATGACCAAAGTTTTAGCACCAACTTGTTCACAAATCATCAAAGACTGATTGCTTCTGGGCTCTGTAGACGGACGGAGTGGCGAGGCCGTGGGATGACACAGAGCATGGTTTGAAGCCTGTCCCTGGCTCTCCCTTTTAGAGGTCAGAGACTGCATGGCCCTAGCAAAGCCCAGGCCTTTAGTTGTGACCAGGGAAGAAGCAGATTTGACCTGCCCCCGGAGTTCCACAGTAAGTCACAGGGGTAAAAACTCAACCTATGTTGCCCCTCCCAACTCCCATCTGACCCCATCCCACGTGAGAGAGAAGGGGCCAAGGGGCCCAGAAACCATTTCCTCCCACTATAAAAGGAGAAGGTAGTTGTGAGTGTTAAAGACCAAGCACACGTGTTCCCAGCACAGTGCCTGACACACAAGAGGGATTTTTGCAAAAAAAAATCATAATTTTTGTGGGCGGCAAGCCACCCAGGTGCCGAGGAAAGAGACCGAGGGCACGAGCTGTTCCAGTATAATAAAATATATATAATAAGAATAGTTATACTATTGGGAGACCGAGGTGGGTGGATCATGAGATCAGGAGATTGAGACCATCCTGGCTAACACAGTGAAACCACGTCTCTACTAAAAATACAAAAAAAAATTAGCCAGGCGTGGTGGCAGGCGCCTGTAGTCCCAGCTACTTGGGAGGCTGAGGCGGGAGAATGGCGTGAACCCAGGAGGCGGAGCTTGCAGTGATCCAAGATCGCACCACTGCACTCCAGCCTGGGTGACAAAGCAAGACTCCATCTCAAAAAAAAAAAAAAAAAAAGAATAGTTATACTAGATATAGATCTTAGATATGATTATATATGAATATCATTAATCATTAGTTTGTAGCAATTACTCTTTATTCTAATATTATAATAATCCTCGCTCTATAATCATAAGCTAGGAAAAACCAGGCCATACAGAGATAGGAGCTGAGGGGACATAGTGAGAAGTGACCAGAAGACAGAGTGCAAGCCTTCTGTTATGCCCGGACAGGGCCACCAGAGGGCTCCCTGGTCTAGGGGTAACGCCAGTGTCTGGGAAGACGCCCATTGTCAAGCAGACCGTGGTCTAGCGGTAGCTTCAGTGCCAAGGGGAAACACCCGCCACTTAGCAGACTGGGAAACGGAGTCTCCCTTTTCCCAGGGGAGTTTAGAGAAGACTCTACTCCTCCACCTCTTGTGGAGGGCCTGACATCAGTCAGGCCCGCCCGCAGTTATCCGGAGGCCTAACCGTCTCCCTGTGATGCTGTGCTTCAGTGGTCACGCTCCTAGTCCACTTTGATGTTCCATCCTGTACACCTGGCTCTGCCTTCTAGATAGCAGTAGCAAATTAGTGAAAGTACTAAAAGTCTCTGATATGCAGAATTAATGGCATAAGCTGTCCTCTCTCTCTCCCTCTCTCTCCCTCTCTCTCTCTGCCTTGGCTGCCAGGCAGGGAAGAGCCCCCTGTCCAGTGGACATGTGACTCATGTGACCTTGTCAATCATTGGAGATGACTCACACTCCTTACCCTGCCCCTTTTGCCTTGTATCCAATAAATAACAGCACAGCCTGGCATTCGGGGCCACTACCGGTCTCTGTGTCTTGGTGGTAGTGGTCCCCAGGGCCCCAGCTGTCTTTTCTTTTATCTCTTTGTCTTGTGTCTTTATTTCTACAATCTCTCGTCTCCGCATATGGGGAGAAAAACTCACCGACCCTGTGGGGCTGTTCCCTACAAATTTTGAGAGAAAGTTATGATCTAACATGGAATACTCACTGAGATTTGGTATTACAGTAGCTCATTCAATCTAAGACGCTGATTATAAAGTGCACCATTATTTTACAAACCGCTAAGAAAGAAAAGAACAGCAACCAAGATGGTGCATCTGATTGGAAAGCCCACATCAATATGGGGGACCAAGGGAGCTGCACCTTCAATGTAAGGAGAAATGAGAAATAAACCCACCTCACAGAAAGAGGAGGCAAGGAAATTCCAGGTCTTCTGTTGGCAGTGGGTGAAGGATAGGAAATCAAAACTCTTCCTCAAGAGTTTGAACCACACAGGCTGGAGCTCCCCAAGGTTGGCGGTCTCGGTTTACACAATCAGTGTGGTCCAAAGGAAACCCAAATAGAACACAACCCGCAAGCAGACATTTTAATTTAAAGGAATCTCAGGTTGGGGGTGACGGGCAGTAAACCTAAATCTTCACTGGAAGAACTACATTGTAATAAGACACCCGAATTCCAGAGATGTGAAAATGTGAAAAATTATGAGTCTTAAAACCTATGAAACACAGTCAAATAAATAAAATGCTACTGTCAGGTCACACAACATCTGGGTCTATATTCCAAGAGCCCACATATGAAATGGATGGGAGATGCCTGCTCTCTGCTTCTGCAAACTAGCACTGCCCTATTTCACCCTGGCTCACAGAACCTTTGACCAATCCATCCCCAACTAAAAGTTTGTCTCAGGTAGGGCTATGCCGCTTCCCTGGGCCAATGCAAGGAATGCAATATAGTTGACTCACAGCACAACTGCAACTCAAAAAGCAATGCCATTTCACGTGTCTCAATGCTGCAGGCAAACACACCCGCAGCAGTGAGTTGGCAAGTGCCTAGGCAGCTGCAAATTTAATAAATCTTAATTATTCTGTTGATACAAACAAGCAGGCTGAAGCCACTGACGTAGCTGGGGCTTTCAATGACTTGGAGCATGGAGGGAGGAAAAAAAGTGTGGAGAACCAACTGCTCATAAATAATTAGCTTTGGGATAAGTATTTTTCCCCCTTTCCCCTTAGACCAAAAATAATATGTGGAATGTTTTCAAGTTGGCAAGATTACAGCCTCTGAAGACAGCACCTACTTGCTACCTGCCAGGCCTGTGGATGTGCATACGTGCATGCGTGCGCATAACCACACAGGCATACGCCACACTCCAACCCGTGAAGAATCACGCACACACCAAAGCTAAAGGAGGATTTCCCCCTTGGATGTGTCGTTGCTCCCTTCGCTCTCAGAAAGAAAAGCAGGACGGTGTCTGCAGAAGTCTCCCAGGTCCCCATTCACACAGCACTTGAGAACCTACTATGTGCCATGGTTACAACAGGAACTTTGCTACCAGGAGCTGAGTGGACTCGCATTTAAATTTGGAAGACTGCGGCTAAATGACTCACTGAAGGTCACACACGCTAATGGTGGAGCCTGGGTTTGAACCCAGAGTGTAAAGTGGTGGTTCTCAAAGTGTGGTCCCCAGGCCCCCAGCAGCAGCATCACCTGGGATCGTGTTAGAAATGCAGGTTCATGGGCCACCCTAAAACTGATGAATCGAAAACTCTGGAGGTGGGGTCCAGCAATCTATGTTTTATCAAGCTGTCCTATAAATGAGCCACAGATGGTCTCCGTGTAGTGGCCCCCATGTTGTTTACTTCTTCACAGTGGGCTGAGATCCGTTAGCTCAAAAGGCAGCAAGCACCAAAGTCAGATTTTTACACATCCAATTGTTTTAAACATAGCCCAAGTAAGCAGATTCTTTAGTCATTTAGGGCTTTCCGTCTTTGCATACCCCACCAAGCTGTGCCCAACGTCTTCTGGTCATAGACAAGATACACCTCAGGGCTACATGGATCACAAGTGGTGTGACCTTCAGAGCTCTCTGACCCAGAGATTCCCACTGTGCTACTGAGCAACATCAGCTGGACATGTGCGCTCTGGTCCCATCCCCCTCTCTCCACCCAAGCAGGATGTACAGTCTACAGGACAGGTCACTGCTCTTCTGTTCACTGATCTTGGCACAGTCAGAACTAAGGAAGGAAGGAAGGAAGGAAGGAAGGAAGGAAAGAAGGGAGGGAGGGAGGGAGGGTAGAGACAGCAATGAACGCTATGGCTGTGAACATACCACAGTAACACATTAATTACAGGTTGTAGGAACCTGAGGCTGTGCTGGAGGGCTGGTGTTAGCCAGCAAATGTCACTACTCAAAAACATTTAGTGTGCACTTACTATGTGCTAGGCACCATGGCTAGACACCAGGGGGACCAGACTTGACACCCACATGGATCCTGGCCTAGGGGCTGCATAGGTGGGGGCTTCCAACCAGAGAGAGGCTTAAAGTGCAGGAGCTAGAGTCGGTCTGGACACAAGGTCCTAGGTCCCCCGTCTCCCACCAGGACCCACCAGGCTGGCCTGTGTAGAGCACCTGTCCTTTCCTGATGATTTTCCCTTTCTCATGAGAAGTGTGTTTGTTATTCTAAACTGGGGGGTGTTGGGGGCAGGGCTTAAGTGATCAGAAGCATTTCTACTTTCATATACAACAGTTCACACGATCTTCAAAATAAGTTCATGAAGTAAATAAGGTTGCCATTAATAGTTCCATTTTAGGCTGGGTGCAGTGGCTCATGCCTGTAATCCCAGCACTTTGGGAGGCCGAAGAGGGTGGATCACCTGAGGTCAGGAGTTTGAGACTAGCCTGGCCAACATGGTGAAACCCCGTCTCTACTGAAAATACAAAAATTAGCCGGGTGTGGTAGCGCATGCCTGTAATCCCAGCTACTTGGGAGGCTGAGGCAGGAAAATTGCTTGAACCTGGGAGGCAGAGGTTGCAGTGAGCTGAGATTGTGCCATTGCACTCCAGCCTGTGTGACAGGAGACTCTGTCTCAAAGGAAAAAAAAAAAAAAGCTCCATTTTATAGATGGGGAAAGTGAACCCCAAGGGGCCAAACAACTCCCTCGAAGCCACAAAGCCAGTTGGTATTGGGCCCAGAGCCCAGCCTTGATTTTGTGACTGCCCTGCCCAGTCCATTGGTTACCCACTCTCCTATAGATGTTACTTATGACACCAGCCAGAGGCCAAGAAGAAATCACAGATTTCTAGGAAACACAGATTCCAAAGAATGAGAGATCTCAAGGAACTCAGAGCTCCTTGGATCAGAGCATGCCGGAGGAGGCTCGTGTCATTACGGGCCAATGCCTAGCAGGAAAACACAGCATTCATTCCCTTGGAAACAGTGGCACTAGGAGACACCGATTTACACTTGGCTTTTCCAGAAATGGGGAGACACCCCAGGCCCCAGGGAAGTCTTCTCCAAGTCACAACGTGGAAGTTTAACAACATGAGTTTTGGATTCAGAGGCCAGAGACCACTGAGGGGCTGAGGCCTTCCTTGAACAAGTCACTTCAGGCTTGCCCCTTCTGTTTCCTCGCGCTGAAAGTTGAGATTATACTGCCTCCTAGGTGTCACTGGGAGAGTTACAGGAGAGGCCCTAACCACAACTTAGCACAGTTCCTGGCACACACAGTGGATGGCCAATACATAGCATCTCGAGTAATAATCATACCTATTACTCATTGTTGTCGTTATTACTGCTGTTATTGTTATTGCTTCAGCCTGCAAAGACCCTGGGAGTGACTCTGAGCACGGCTCAGTAGGGTAAGTGGAAACACCTGCCTAGTAGAACTCAAAGGCACAATCCCTCCCTCTCCTGTCCCTACCGAGCCCCATAGACTCTCCATCACCAGGGTGGCCACACCGTCCAGTTTGCCCGCAACAACCCAGGTTTCCTGGGACAGTCCCGGTTCACACCTGCTGTCACAGCATAATCATTGGTAGCATCTTTGTCCACTCCCCAGCGTGTCCTGATTTAGGAGGGTGAACTCCAAGATCCCCTCTCTGCTATGTGCCTGTCCCAGCGGAGGACTCTGCACACCCTGCCAGCCTCCCCCCAAGCCTGGGGCTTCTTGAAATCAAGAATCCTGGGGCCCAGCACAGCGCAGCCCAGAGTTGATCCCCCATAAATGTTCTTTGGTCTTCCTGGAACCTTCCAGAAAGCCCACGAGTCTTGCCCCAGTGTCACGGGCCCACCAACCCTCCAGGCACCCTGCCTGCTAGCCGTGTGGAGCAGATGGCAGACACTGTACCTTTTGGAATCCAGTCGGCTCCCCTGGAGAACTTTGTGTCTGTTATTTTAGGGAAGGAGAGGAAAAGGGGGGAAAAAAATAAGTTAAGTGAGTGAAACTTAAATCCCAACAGAGCCTGTAATGGAATATTCGTTTTGTCAGGGGAGTGTTTCTTTAAAACTTCTGGTCATCTGGACAGCCTGAGCCAGCAGATGATTCGATTTAATGAGCTTTTTAACACACTTCAGGCCCAGCTGGGATTCTGTCTGGAAAGGCCGTGGCCAAGGCCGGCGGGGGCCATGGCCAACCTGGCTTGGGCTGGGCTGACACCTAGTGGCCGTCTCGGCTGCTCCCGGGCCAGGAAAGCCTGGGGCGCCCAGCTTGGGGCTGGGGTCTGAGGCTGAAAGGGCCCTTAAGGGCCAGCTCACCACCCTCCTCAGACTTAGGGACCTAGGAAACTTAATGTCCGTGCCTCAGTTTCCTCATTGGTTCACAGGGCATATAACAGCACCTCCTTTAAAGGGCTGTTATAAGGACATAGCATTGAGCAAAGGTTATGATCATTACTAGTTTTGCTATTATTATTATTATTATTATTATTATTATTATTATTATTATTATTTGGTGTGAGGAGACACAGGGGCCCCCGAAAAGGAAGGTGCTTGCTCAACTAAGACACAGGGCAAGTTAGAGACATGGGGCTGGACCCCAGGGCTCCTGATGCCACTCCAGTGCTTCCCCAGGTCACGCCTACAACACACGGGTGTGTCTGCAGGCTGGCTCTGCCACTGACCACCCACGCGGCCTCGGGCAAGGTTTTTCACTGCTTGGAGTCTCAGCTCCCCTCTGCAGTCTGGAGATACAATGACTTGAGCAGAGGGGAACCGTACAGACTGAATGGGACGGTGCACACAGGGCCCTCGGCTTGGGAGATAGGAAGCACTCCTTACACATTAATTATGAGGTCACTGCTGTCCTGACTGGGACTTCAGCCTCATGAGGTGGTTGGATGGCCAAATGGCGTCACCTAAGTGCCCAGAACCCATGAGTGTCCCTGTCCTCTGCCTGAGTGGTCACCACTGTCTGGTGTGTGAATGCACAGGGCAGGGTGGATGCAGGCTTAGCACTGTATCCCCAGGCAAATACGGCCCAGCTATAGTCCTGTCCCTGGAATCTGGGACCTGCACATCCTTGGCACCTACCAGCAGGTGGCCAGAGTCCTTCAGCTTGGACTTGTACAGCATCCACTGGTAGCGCAGATCTTCCAGCTCATCCGAGGTCCCCCTTGCTGGCCCGAGACGAAGGAGGTTCTCAAAGAGATGCTGACCTTCTGGCACCCGAGCCTCCAGCTCCTGGGGGAAACAGCAGCGTCATGGTGCGGCTTCCAAATGGCCCAGACAGCCCCACCTGAATGGTAAGGATGGGTCCATCAAATTTCACTTGACAGACAGGTAGGCAGGGAGGAGGCAGACAGAATCCATAAAGTGGGACTCCCATCTGTGCAATTCAAGCCAAGGCCTAGCCCTTGCTCTCAGGAATGCTACAGGATGGCCTCCTGCATGGAACGGGCAGCTGGGCTGCAGACCTCCAGTGGTCACTTCCAAATATGACATTCCAGGACCAAGTCCTCCAGAGGGCTTGACTAGAGTTCGCATCATTCTAAAAGCTGTCATTGTGAACATGTCTTTCTGTTAGCATTTTGAGCCTGGCAGAATGGTGTTTTAATGTGCAGATTTTTCTCAGGAAATAGAAGTACTGTGTTCCCTTGGGATGGAAACTTTTATTCTCAGGACTCCTGAGAGGTGGTGTGATGGGGCAGTAGGAGCGGGGCTATAAATCCGGGAGCCCAGTTTTAAATCCTGGCTTTGGATCCTGGCTCTGCCCCATTCTACTAGCATGTAATATGGGACACCTTGCTTAGCTTCTCAGAGCCCACAGGAATGTATGCTGTACAAAAAGCAAGGGGGTTTAACTTGAGGAACGGAAAGTCATTTCTGATATGGCTGGAGTTGGGTGGTGGTGCGGTGGGGGGAATGAGAGGAGTAGCCAGATATGAGACAGGAGAGGCAGGCAAGGAAGATTTCCAGGTAATGGCCAACTAGATAATTGGGACCAAACCTCCCACTAAGGACAAAATATTTAAAGCATTTTAAAGGCATAAAAGTATTAACAAAAGAATGTGAGGCACACCGGGCCACAACTTGGGAAAGAATGAAAACCCAGGGCAGTCAGTGCTGTGTTCAGATCTGCTTTTGCCCACAGAACATTTGCCAATTTGGAAGGAATAGCTGTAAAACATCTTTGCTTTTGGCAGCCTCACTGGGCTGGGGAGACAAAGGCCAAAGTCTGGGGCCTGCAGAGGTAGAGATTCTGATAGGGTTCATTCACCCTTTTGCTGAGCTCCTAAAGCCTTCACCCTATTAAAAATGAACCAGAAGTAAACCTGGACCTTGTGTAGACTTGCAGCCCAGTTCAAAGTCATCTTAGTAGACCAGGGAAACTCAAGCCTTGAACTTGGATTTAGTGGTCCCAGAATGAAAGGTCCCTACTCGCCTGGCAGTAGCAAATAAAATCAACTCTGGAGGAAAAGATTATCCTAAATCTTTTTTTTCTTTTTGAGACAGAGTTTCGCTCTTGTTGCCCAGGCTGGAGTGCAATGGCGCGATCTCGGCTCACCGCAACCTCTGCCTCCCAGGTTCAAGCAATTCTCCTGCCTTAGCCTCCCGAATAGCTGGGATTACAGGCATGCACCACCATGCCCAGCTAATTTTGTATTTTCAGTAGAAACGTGGTTTCTCCATGTTGAGGCTGGTCTCGAACTCCTGACCTCAGGTGATCCACCCGCCTCAGCCTCCCAAAGTGCGGGGATTACAGGCGTGAGCCACCGTGCCCTGCCTATCCTAAATCTTAAATCCCTCTTATACATATTTTGGCAAACACAATGTCTAGCACACAAAGCAGCCACATGAAGACACAAGAAACCAAGAGTAAGAACAGGCAGAAATAATATACAACAGAAACATTCATAAAATGCCTTGAGATGTTAGAATTATTAGATACAATCTGTAAAAAGCTATGTTTACTATGTTCAAATAATTAAAAGATAGGTTTAAAAATTTCAGCAAGTATCTGGAAGGTATGAAAAATGATAGAGTTTCAGTTAAGACAGGAGCTATAAAATAAGAAAAAAAAAAGATAAGAAAAATGATAGAGTAGATTATTAAAAGCACCAAATAGAAGTTCTAGAACTGATAACTGCAACAACCAAAGTTAAGAACTCAGTAGACACGTGTAACAGAAGATGAAACACAGCTAAAGAGAGAATTAGTAAACTGAAAGATGAATCAGAAAAACTATCCAGAATGCAAAACGAAGAGAGAAAAGGATGAAAAATACACAGGAGAGAGTAAGAGACATAAAGCACACAGTGAGAAGTAGTTACATATGTTTAAATGATATCACAGTAGGAGAGGAGAAAGGGAACAAGGCAGAGGTGATATTTTAAGAAAGATTGTTAGTAGAAAAAAATACAAGTAACAAGTTTGGGAATTAAGAGAAAAAAAAATAAGGTTAGAGAGTTTTCCAGAAAGATCCTAGACCACAGATTCGGGAGTTAAAATGAATCCCAACCCAGATAAATAAAAAGAAATTCAAACCTAAACATATCATGGTAAGATTGCATAAAAATAGGGAAACAGAAGTGAGCTAGGGCCTGGTTGAGAATGGCCTTGAATAATAAACTCAGGGGTTAAACTCTATAGTGAAAGGTTTTCATTAGGGGGAGGACAGGGTCATATTTGTTATTCTGGCTGCAGGATGAGCCATGACCTAGATGGGACCCAACAGGAAGAAAGGAGGATCAGCTGGGAGGCTACAGCCATAGTCAAGGCCAAAAATGGTAAGTGCCTAAATTAAGACAATGGTAGTGCGAGGGAAGAGAAACACAAAATATCTAGGAGGTGGAATCAAGGAGCTTTAGCAACTGATTAGATGTGGGAGTGAAGAAGACAGGAGAGAAGTAGTAGTTCAGTTGCAAAAATGGCTGTGACTTTCCCCATCTCCCTCCCCCCAGCCATATCCATACCCACTGCAATATGACTTTGCCATCCCTTCCATCAAGTAGTGGAGTCTCTTTCCCTTTCCTTGACTCTAGGCTGGTTTTGGCAAACAGAATGCAGGGGAATTAATGTTATGCTGGCTCCTAGTCTTGACCTCAAAAGTCCTTGCCTGCTGCTATTGCTCTTTTCTGCCCTGCCTCTGCTATGAGAAGTCCAAGCTGTGCCACAGGAGTATACGAGATGTGTAGTCCATGTCATTCTCATCTCTAATAGCCCACCAGCCCCTAGAAGTAGAGACACCCAACTGACCTACAACTGACAGCAGACGGACTGGAGGCACTGCCCGGTTGAGTTCAGCCTAACCTGCCATGCTTCTGAACCATGGGTTAAATACATAGTTATTGTTATCAGCCACAAACTGTTGGGATGGTGTGTCACACAGCAATAGCTAAGTGACAGGAGTCAAGTGATTAGTGGTGATATTTTCCAAGTAGGGAACTACATAAGCATGCTGAACACACGAATGAATGCCAGAAAAAGTTCTAAAATCTTTGAACCAAAAAAGTTTAAAAGCGATTATCTATACACAAGGGAGAACAGCTCACAAACTGTGGGTGTGTTCCTTCTTTTGAAGAACTCCCTGGTGGCAAATGCCTCTGTGGGTGCAAACCTTATGGATGAGGGACCTTTCCTGGGGAACAGACCTGCAGCTTCGATTTTCTGGTCCTCAAGTCCTCAGCTGTAGAAGTTCTCATTGCGATGATTCTAACCAGCTTGGAGTTTTCCACCTGCAACCACTGCCCAAAGTTCCTCAGGAGCTGGGAGAAATCTTCATGGCTCCCTTCTTCTTCCTGTAGAAGATTTGCCTGTAGGATCACACACGGCCAAAGCGTCAGAGGTGAAAGAGCCCCCCTGGCCATGTGTCCTGGGAATTCCACCTGAGGCAGAGGGGCAGGGACCAGGACAAGATGCCCAAAATGGCGACGGGAGAGGCCTGGGGGATGAACAATGAATCTCTACTCAACATGGTCACATTTAAGGGCCAAGAACATTCCTCACTGTCCCCTTTCTGGTCCCCTGAGAGGTGACGGAAGCCACCACCATCTCTTACCAGGATGGCTATACAAATAGTCACCCTTCCACCATGCTTGCCCCCTCGGGGCTCCATGACCGGAGTGCTCTGTCTATGATGCAAGCCCATTCAGCTAACTTCTTGGTTATCCACATTGGTGCCTCTCACTACTCCCCAGTGTGACCCGGGAGTCTTGGTTCCACTGCGCATGCTGTCTTCCCTGTCCTCTGAGCCTGGGCCTGCAGATGTGTCTTGGCCCCTCAAACTGGCACTCGAATTTCTCCCTCTGCTCTTCACACATACTGTCTCCTCTGTGGGGAACACACCTCTCTCCCTCCTCTCCTCACTGCCACTCAGCCGTGAAAATTCAGCTGAGATGTCTTATCTTCCAGGAGAGGCTTCCCGGTCCTGGACCTAGGAACTGCTGCAGGCTCCCATAGCCTCTGGCCTGTCTGCCAAGGTGCACCATGTTTTTTTTGTTTGTTTGTTTTTTGTTTTTTGTAAATCCTTATTTAACAGCCTGTGGATGCCACTCCCTTGCTTCTTTCTTTTCAACAAAGCTCAGTTTGTTTAAAGGCAGTAAGGGAAAGTGATGGGTAAAACAATGTAGTTAGTTCTTTTTTTTTTCTTTTATAAAATATAGTCATGGCACAAAAATAGACCCATCTTGTATGATTTTAGTTTCCATTCTGGGGCCAGCAGGAAGTGTTCGGCCCCGATGCTCTCTCCCTTGCAGGTGCTACTGCTAGTGGCTCACAGAGGTGAGTATCTCCCGGGCCCAGCAGCATGGGCCTATCCCGAGAGCTTGTTAGAAATGCAGAATCGAATTGTGGGCCCTAGCCAGATCTACTAACTCAGAGTCTGCATTTTATCTTATTTCATTATTTTTTGTTGATTGATTGATTGATTGAAATGGGGTCTTGCTTTGTCACCAGGCTGGAGTGCAGTGGCACAATCACAGCTCCCTGCAGCCTCAAACTCCTGGGCTCAAGTGATCCTCCCACCTCAGGCCCCTGAGTAGCTGGAACTACAGGAGCACACCACCATGTCCAGTTAATTTTTAAATATTTTTTATAGAAATGGGGTCTTGCTATCTTGCCCAGGCTTGTCTCAAACTCCTGACCTCAAGCAATCCTCCTGCCTTGGCCTCCCAGCCTCCCAAAGTTCTGAGATTGTAGGTGTAGCTCACCATACCCAGCCCAGAACCTGCATTTTAATACAAGGCTGTGTGCCCACTGAAAAGCTCTATGCCGGATTCCAAATTCTCTGAGGGTCAGAAGCGTTACTCACGGCTGTATCCTAGCTCTGAGCACAGTTCTTGGAACAAAGTAGCACTCAGCAAATGGAGGAGTGGATGAAAGAATGAATGGGAAAATGAATAATTTGATGTATTTGAATAACAAGGAATAACTTTCTTTTCCACAAAGCTCAAGTTTGTTTAGAGGCAGTAAGGGATGGATGAAACATGGCAGAAAAGTTTTCCCATCTTGTATGGTTTCGGTTTCCAATCTGGGGCCAGCAGGAAGCTTTCAGCCCCGACACTCTCTTCCCTGCAGGAGCTGCTGCTAGTGGCTCACAGAGGTGAGTATCTGACTGGCTAAGGGATACCCCTACTGCCCTGGTGGCCTGGCTCTGCAGACTCTGGGATCTCTGAGGTCCTCTGTGGAGTAGGATCAAATGCTCTTTGGCCACAGCTGGGGCAGGCTCAAATGAGACAGGACGTGGCCAAGTCCTCAGAGCAGAGCATGTTGCCCCAGACAGGGAGGGGCCTGTGCTGGAGACCCCTACCCACCTCTTGACCTGGGGCCTGGCCCCTTCTCCCACAGCCCTGCTAGACAGACTCACGCGTCGACGATGCCTGGGAATAGGATCCATGGGATTGATGAGAAATCCTGACTTTGGGATGTTGTTGGTGAAAACCATTTTCTTCCCCGAATCCACTTCCATCCTCTGCAGATGCCAGTTTCTGATGAGGCTGAGAAGACAAACTCAGCCCAGTCAATGCAGAGATGTGGTGGGGACCCACCAGGACATGGGAAAAGTAATAGAATTGGGGAACCACGGGTCACGAGTCAGTGCCCCCCACTGAAGTTTGTGAGAATGTTCCTGAGGCATGCTCACATCCGGTTTCTGACTTTAAACTCAGAGTAACCTGTCATGAACGTGCGTACGCCCATAGATGCAGATGGGGAAACTGAGGCTCAAGCCAGTATAGACTGGAGGCTAACTCCCAAGACGGGGACATTTCCTGGCTCCTCCTGCTCCTGCTAGAATAGCCAACTGGGCCAAAGTGTGAAGGTGCCCACGGCCCCTGGCTCCACACTGGGCAGCACCCTGGCCCTCTGCTCCACGAGCACCTGAGTGTCCCTGAGTGAGAAGGGGCAGTGTCCCAGACAACGCTCAGAGCCTAGGAGGCACTCTCACCTCAGCAGACTTTCTTCCAGCAGCCTCAAGGCCCGCCACGACTCTGCCAGCTCCCTGAGCTCCTCCTGCACCACGGCAGCACCCTCCGGAGAAGACTTCTCCATCACCAGCCAGCCCTGCGCTTCCACCAGGGACAGCTGGGCCTCCTTCTCCGGGAATTCTGCCACCAGCCTCTAAAGGACACACGGACACACAGACACACACACGGTGAGGGTGGAGGGAGGTTTCTGCTCCTTGGTGTGGGAACGTTGGCCTGTCAAGGCTGCTTCTTTGGGAAGTGGGTGAGGGAACCACCGCCTTACCTCAAACTCGGCCTCTTGGGACTCGGCATCCCCCGGGCCCGCCTCTCCCCGGTGTGCCTCCAGCTTTTGCGTGGTCACAACGATCCACTGCCGCAGCTCCAGCAGCTGGTGGCTGAAGGTGCAGTGCTCCTGCACACTCTGCCGACACCTGTCCACAAGGTCCTGCAGCACAGCCCGGGGAGCCCAGGGCATCCTGAGTGCTGGCCGAGGGGGAGACCCCCGCACCACCCCCACCCTGCAGGGCTCTCACACCCGCTGGGGACCCCAGGGCTCCCCACCAAGTAGCACCACAAGAGGCTGGGCTGGCCCTTCCCTCCACACAGCACAAGGAATTTACCCTTGGAAGATCAAATCTGGTTTAAAGCCTATCTTACTTTTAGGAAAACGACCAAGTCTAGGTGAGGGTGGGGGAAATTGGATCTCCTGTCCACCACTGATCCAAGTGTAAATTGGCTCAACCACTTGTGGAAACCACGGGTCAGAATCTACCCAAATGGAACGTGGCTGTAGCTGATGGCCCAGCCATTCCACTCCCGGTGTATGTCCCAGAAATGGGAACATATCCTCACCCAAGGTCATACATGTGACAGCCCCAAGTTGGAAACTATCCAAGTGCCCATCAAGAGTAGAATGAATAAATACACGGTGGTATATTCACACAATGGAATGTTTTACAGCAGCAAGAATGAACAGTCTATAACCACATGCAATACAGCAGATGAATTTACAACCATCATCTGGAGAGCTAAAGGCCAGGCACAAAAGAAAACATTCTGTCCAATTCAATTTAAATGAAGGATAACATCAGGCAAGCCCAAGCTATGTTGCGGGAAGCATGAAGTCAGAGCCCCCCTTGAGGGTCGGGAATGGTGAGCTGGGCATGACCGCAGGCACAGAGGCTTTGGGAGGCTGGTAATATTCTGTGTTTTAGTTGGGTGCTGGTAACACAGATGCATTTAATTTTTAAAAAAAGTAATCGAGCTGCACACTCAGATATTCACGTTCAGTCTTTCTTTGTTCTTTTTCCTGAGTACTGTTTCCTGGGCCAATCTATTGTTCAGCTCTCTGTCACCAGGAAAGGTGGACACTGTCCCCAGAAGGGCAGCCATTCTCTATGCCTCTGGCCACCCAGCCTGAGACCCTTGGAGCTTTCTTTACATAGCCTGCCATGAACCAGTCAGACCCCAGGGCCTGCCGTTCCCATTCCAGCTGTGTTCCTTGAATAAGGTCATCATGACTCTCTGCAGGGCTACCATAGGCCCTGCCTTCTACATTCCACAGACACTGACTGAGATCGCTGGATACCAGGCCCATACCAGGGGCTGGGGAGACTGCTGCCTCTGTCCTCAGTGAGCCATCAATGAGGGCCTGAGAAGTTATCTAAAACTCCACTTCTCTGAGTTGTCCCTACCACTGTCCCCTCCTGGTCCCTGTGTGCCAACATTAGACCAGACGCCTCCAAGGGCTTCCCGTACATAGAGCTGTGATCTCCAACATCAGATACCTGCCCCCCAGGGGGACACAGAGACTGCCTCGCTGTGGGGAAGGACATATTAGATTAACAAGCACTGGGTACCAAAATAATAAAAGGGCAATTTCTCTTTAAAGAAGAATATAAACAATCAATAAGAATTGGAATATCATCATTTTGCAACACCGAGTGATGCTCAGTTAACGCTGCTTCTCGTAACGACTAATCTAGCCCATCATTTGGATGGAGGTATTAGGAGACTTTTGCTGCTTCTACGGGTTTCTATGGGCTCCTGAGGAGTGAGGACAGTGTGTCCTATTTCTCTACTGCCTCGACCTTGAAACTACTAACTGCTAGTTTATTGAATGTAATTAAATGAATTCAACCAGACATTAATCGTCACTTACACCAATGGGGCTCCACAGGTGATGCCTTATGTCCTGGAAACTGGTGGGGAGGGTTTGCAGTTGCTGCGATAGAGGTGGTGAGGGTGATACTAGGTGGAGTGAGAGGGATGGGTGCTCGCATTCCACCCTGGGGTGGATAGTCCACAAATGCAGAATTTGCCCACATCCCACACGATTTTCTCATGTCCTCCTAATATCTACAGCAGTAAAAAACCTGCTTGGCATGACCTGAGCTCAGACTGTCACTCCAATCAACACACAAACACAAGGAAGATTTTGCAGTTTTAACAAACATACTGACTTCTCTAGAGCTGCACCCTTTGTGTAAGTGGATGGAAGACTGCTCTTGGGTTTGATCAAAGTGCTATCAAGCGTTGTTCCCATTTCAGAAAACCACATCACTAGAGGCCGTGATGGTTGTGCCACCTGACACAGCATTTGCGGCTGTCACACAGGGAGGGCACGTTCTGACCACCTCCTTATGTCTTGAGTGTGGCCATCTGGGAGTACTTACATATTGGACAATATTGTATTATAATTACTTTCCTTTGATTTCTCTTTTCTATTTCCTGGGTGGGTATATTCCCTATGAATTTCAGGAGTGTAAAGAGGAGGTTAGGAATGTTTGGTATGAAATAGGGCGTGCAATGTCAGGTAGGAGGGAGAGCTCTCACTGCCTCACTGGGTTTTCTTGAGGTGTGAGCACCAGAGACCCTGCTTTATACTCCTCAGGGCTTGTTACAACGGCAGACCCAGGACTCCATCTGAATCAGTGTCACAGTGGGGCCTGGAGTCTGCATTTCCACTTGTCCTCAGGCCAGTTTTGAAGGAGCTTTGAGTTCCATCCCTACTGCTGGAAGGGGACTGAATCCTGGACAAACCCTAGAAAGAGCTGAGGTGGCCACTAGAGGGCACTGGCGATGAAGCTCTGTGGCCTCCAGGCCTTGTGCAGGCTGCAAGGGACCCGAGGCCGCCTGTGTTCTGGGCTGCCTAAGGATCTCAGCAGCCTGCTCTCTTCTTTTGCCGCTTGGCCCTAATCTCAATATGTAATTGTGCATTGGCTTGTTTGCTTGATGATTAATTGTCCATCTACCCAACTGGGGCGTAACTCCCAGGAGAGCAGGGGCCTGGGCTGTCATGCTCTGCTACCTCCATCCTTAGGGCCACCTAGAACACTGCCTGGCATATGGGAGGTGCTCAATAATTGTCTGTTGTATGAATGAGGAAGGGAAGAAAACAGGGAGAAAGAAAAAAGAGAGGTTAGAAGGAATGAAGGCAGGAAAGGGGAAGAAAGGCCCCAGGCGTGTTGGATGACAGGGGCCGGCTCTCTGTCAAAGCACAGGCCCTTCTGCCAGCCCCTTACCTCCAGAGACCTCTGCAGGGCCTGGAAGTCGGAGGAAAGCTGGTCCATTTTGTGCTGGTGGTTGGGGTTCTCCTGGACCAGAGGCCTTGCAGCCTCCATCTGTGCCCCCAAGTCCAGCCCCTCTTCCTGCAGCCCCTGCAGTAGAGAAGGGAACAGGTAGGCTAATCTTCCCACCTCTCCCTCCCTTGGGGTGGCCGATCAGGGCAGAGCCTCTGAGTGGGAGAGCCTGGGAGGGGTGAATTCCCCAAGGCGGTGGGGCTCTTTCATACCAGCGGAAGTACCAACCACATGGCTGGTCTGATGGGCCCACTCTCAGGGCTGGAGAGATTTTAAAAATCAGACAAAAATATTCTGGGACACCATGAAAATAAACTCTGCTACAAGACAGATGGCATCTCTGGGGACAAACTCACATTGGGACTCATACTTGATGACCACCTCTCATTATGAGGAAACACGTCCCAATTTTAGTTTTAAAACCCAAAATGCACTATTTTTTTTCTTTTTTTGGAGACAGAGTCTCACTCTGTCGCCCAGGCTGGAGCACAGTGGCACAATGTGGGCTCACTGCAACCTCTGCCTCCTGGGTTCAAGTGATTCTGGTGCCTCGGCCTCCCAAGTAGCTGGGGTTACAGATTCCCGCCACCACGCCTGGCTAAATTTTTTGCTTTTTTAAAAAAAATTTTTTATTTTAAGTAGAGACAGGGTTTCACCATGTTGCCCAGGCTGATCTCAAAATCCTAAAGTCAGGCAATCTGCTCACCTCCCAAAGTGCTGGGATTACAGGCGTGAGCCACCGCTCCCGGCCTAAAATGCACTATTTTTAATGTCTTCTAGAGAACACTCTCAATTTATGTATGAGCTGTGCTTGGGTTTTAAAGAGAGAACTATTGTATCACGCGCATTTTAAAAAACCATCAAGTTCCTTATCCAGCCAACAATGATCAACGGTCAGCCTACTTACAGTCCACGTTTCAGAACATTTATTCTTAATCCCAAAGTTGGTTTAACTGAACACCTCTGGACTCATTAAGAATACTTAGCAAAGCAATTCTAAAAACAAATACCAATGTTAGACTTTGGAACTGAGGAGTAAACAGAAAGACAGTTTGTCATTTTGCTGAGCTCAAGACTCAGTTGTTTGAGGTCAGGAACCATCAGATAAATAAGCAGAGGTTCTGTTGAGGTGAAAGGTCAGATCTCAACTAAGGGTCTAAATTTCTGGCTCACGGCAGCTGTTGCTTTGCTGGTTACTGCTAGAGGGAGACGCTGCTTCCAGGTGCAGCTGAGCACCTGGGCAGGAGTGATTCAGGCCTCACAGACCCCTCACCTGCAACCTTGAGAGCTGGGCCTGTTTTCCAGGAAGGTCCCGCTGAAGCCCCTTCTCGGCTTGGACCCTGACCTGGAGGTCCAAGAGCTTCCTCTGCAGGGGCTCAAAAGCTGCTCCAAAGTCTTTGTGCTGAGCGAGCAGGCTCTGCAGAGACACAGGACAGTGTGCACATTAAGAGCGTTCCTCATGAGCACCGTGTTGTGAGACCCGACCCGTTCAGCCAGGCTGCTCTTCGTCTCGGCCAGCTCATGCTCATTCAGGCGCCACCCCCTCCAGGAAGCCTTCCCTGAGCCCTGATGGAGTTGGGTGCCTCTCCTTAGGGTCACTACAGCGTCCTCACAGAACACTTTGGCCACATCCCTCCAGAACTGGGGCAAGCTACACCCCTCCACCCACCGACCAAATCCCACCAGAGGCCTGTTTTTGTAAATAAAGTTTTATAGGAACCCAGCCATGCCCATACATTTATAGCTGCAGTGGTGGTGCTGAGGAGCTGCGACAGCGACTGCCTGCCCTGCAGACTCTAAAACCTTCACTGTCTGGCCCTTCACAGAAACAGTCTGCCAACCCTTGCTGTAAAACAGCACTTTGATGTCTTCTAGTAATTGCCTACTTATTTGTGTCTACCAGCAAAAGCTGTGAGTGTTTGAGGGTGAAGACCTTGGCTTCCTTTCTTCATCCCCCCAGCTCCTAGAACTGCACCAGGCCCTGTGGATGGAGGGAACATGCACGGGAGCTGAAATCATGGGCTGGGTCCTGGCTGTACCCCATATGGACCATGAGCCACCTTCTTGACCATTCTGCTTCAGTGTCCTCGTGTGTAAAACGAGAAAAATAACAGTACCTCCCTCATAGTGCTCTTATGTGGATTAGATAAGATCAAGGATCTGGAGCTCTTAGCAATGCCCTGGCCCATAGCCAGTGCCCCATAGATCATAGTTATTATTGTCATCATCATTAGATGCTCAGCAAACATTTGTTACCTAAAAGAATAAGCTGTCCACAACATGCCATGCCATGTCATTGATGTAGTGTAGTCATTTTGAAATGTGTCACTAATATGAGCTTCCAGCTCCAGGGTGGTTTAAATTTTACAAGGACTTTTATCACCATTTTCTTATTTGACCCTCCTGTCACTCTCTGCAGAAGACTGGACTGGATTCAATTTGATTGCAGGGGGTTTGGGGACAGGGCTGGGAGGCAGACAGGTGGTGGCTAGGAAACCAGTTAGAGGGACCATGCAAGAATCCTACCCAGTTTACACATGAGGAGGCTGAGATGGTCAGGGACAAAGGGATACACCCAGGGCCACACAGTGGCAAGCGGCAGAGCTGAGTTTAGAACATAAGGCCATCTGCCTCCCCAGTGGGTGCTCCAGCCCCGTGGCCAAGCCAAGTCCCGAGCAGATGCCTGGTGCTGCACACCTGCAGTTTGCTTTTCCTCTGCAGGAGGCTGTTATGCAGCAGGTCTCTGTCCCTCATGGAACCTGCCACCTGCTCCAGGAGTGCCGTGGCTCTCTCCTGGCCAAAGATGCCAATCAGGAGGTCTTTCTTCAGCTGCAGCATCGTCAGCAGCTCTTTCAGGCGGGAGCTTTCCATCAGGGCTGCCTGTGGGAGACAAGGCTTCCGTGAACCACAGACCGGGCAGGACACAGCTCAGAAACAGAGCCAGGGGCACAACTGTTCTGGCTGCAACTGCTTAGGAAGCTCACCTTTGTGCAGGTGTCTGAGGAAGCAGCAAACTCAAGTAGAAACAAAATGAGCTGGCAGGAATGCGCTGGCAAGGCCCTGAGTTTCGGGGTCAACTTTGATTCCTCTCTCCCCTCCCACATCTGTCTTGATACTCAAGCCTGAGTAATATCCACCTCCTACAGGCCTCAAAAGTCTGTCTCCTCTCCATGGCCTCTGCCCCGACTGCAGTGCACCCTCAGCCTTGGGCACCTGGACCACACAGCTCCTGAATGGCTGCTGCCTCCCAGTTAGTTGGCTCCCCACCACTGGCCCACCACATTGCTGCAGAACCTAGACCCAGCCAGCTTGATCCTCTACTCAGTGATCCCCCGTCACCAACAACAGTGGACACACCCCCCAGCGCTATCTGCAACAGTGTTTTGGACATTTTGAAGGGAGCTACAGGCCTGTAGGAGCATGTTCAGAGAGAATTCAGGAAGGCTTCCCAGAGGAGGTGATACTCAGCAGACTACTGATGTGCAGGAGTTTGCCAGGCAAAGAGGAGAACTAAGGGGGCTCAGAGGCCTCCTACAATGGCAGCAGGCTGCCATATAGCCCGAACTCTGCGCAGCCCAGGCCCTACCTCCTCCAGGAAGCCTTCCCTGACCCCATTCCCAGCCTACAATCACTCTTCTTGCCCCCAAAGCCCTGCAACTCTTAGAGCCTGAACCAAGCCTCCGACTCCTGTTGCCTCTCCAGCTGTTTCAGGTAAGCACCTCTTGCATTTCTAATCGAGAGTCTGGGGTTCTGGAAGCCACAGGTTTTGTCTTCGCCCAGAGTTCTTTCATTTTATACCTGATGATGTTGCTGAGAACCCACTCTCAGACTTAAAACACTGAGCTAGGCACGGGGTTGGGAGAGAAAGAACAAAGATTCCAACCCAGGTAAGTCACTTCAATACAAGACAGAAAGTGGTCATTCTTTTTTTTTTTTTTTTGAGCTGGAGTCTCACTCTGTTGCCCAGGCTGGAGTGCAGTGGCACGATCTCAGCTCACTGCAAGCTTCACCTCCTGGGTTCACGCCATTCTCCTGCCTCAGCCTCCCGAGTAGCTGGGACTACAGGCGCCCACCACCACACCCGGCTAATTTTTTTGTATTTTTTTAGTAGAGACGGGGTTTCACTGTGTTAGCCAGGATGGTCTCGATCTCCTGACCTCGTGATCCGCCCACCTCGGCCTCCCAAAGTGCTGGGATTACAGGCGTGAGCCACCGTGCCCAGCCAAGAAAGTGGTCATTCTTTAAGCAAAGCTGGAGCTAGTGCCGTGGGAGTTCAAGGCAGAGGTGGACACTCCTGGTTGGGGAAATCGAGTACTACTTTGAAGAAGGCAGTACTGAAGACAGGCCTTGAAGGGCAGGTGTTTCTGGAAGAGGCAGTGTAACCACAGCTGATACAGCTGTACTGGCATGACCTGCACACCAGGGCATCTAGCTTGTGTTCAGTCACACAGAGGTCAAGCCTCTCACTGTAGGGGAGTCAGTCACCTTTACCCCCTTTTCACCAAGCTCAGACACAATATCATGGGAGTTAAGAGTTTAGGCTGGGGACTTGAGATCATGAGTCTGGATTATGTACTAGTTGGGAAGCTATGGGCAGATCTGAGCCTCAGTTTCCTCTTTTGTCAAATAGGTTCCCTGGCTCTGATCCCTCATCTGCAAAATAAGAAAGATCATAGTAGAAATGGAAATAAAACTACCTGTGCATAGATATTCAAAATATGTGAATTATGACAATAAAAAATCAGAAACAACCTAAGCCTTTAATTGTGGATACACCGAATTATGTCACACTCCAGAACAGAATATGATCCAGCCATTGAAAATGATCACTTTTATTTGAATGATTTTAAATGATGCTGAGAACAAAAGCTCAAATGTGTGGAGTGAGAATATCAGAATATACAATTATAGAACTTGATCCCAAATACATAAAAATTGTAATTAAATCTTCTGTCTCTTGGTGACCATATCTCATGGAAATATCTAAATGGATTTAATCAGATATAAAGGACAGATTTGGGATCTTCTGATCTAAAATTGAGTTTTGTGACACATATGAAATTCACTCCAGGATGCCCTGAGGAGTACCTAGAAAAGATGGCCCACCATCCTTTGGAGCATAGGGCTGGGAGAAGGGGCCCACTGGACCCTTGGAAAGAAAGGCCATGCCCTGCAGCTTAAAAACTATTAAGAGAGGTCTGGTGCAGTGGCTCTTGTCTAATCCTAGCACTTTGGGAGGCCGGGGCAGGCAGCTCACTTGAGGTCAGGAGCTCGAGACCGGCCTGGTCAACATGATGAAACCCCGTCTCTACTGAAAATACAAAAAATTAGCCAGGCATGGTGGTGCATGCCTGTAATCCCAGCTACTTGGGAGGCTGAGGCAGGAGAATCTCTTGAACCCGGGAGGCGGAGGTTGCAGTGAGCTGAGATCGCGCCACTGCACTCCAGCCTGGGTGATAGAGCAAGACTTCGTCTCCAAACAAAAAGCCACGAAGAGAGAAAACAAATTATTGTCCCAATGTAAGCCCCAAGCGGAAAATCACAAGGGTAGACGTTTCAAAATGCAGGCACATGGCCAAGTAGTGTACCCAAGGGTGAGCAGGGGCCAACCCTGGTTATTGGTTCTCCTCGGTCATACCAAGGTGGCAGAAAAGGGGATGGAGAAATTGCCCCAACATGTTCATCCCTGTGGCTTGTGGGATAATGGGAGCTTTTTGTTTTCTTCTTCACACACCTTTACACTCTCCAAGTAGGTGTGCCTTTTATAATCAGAATGATTATACATCTCACACACGTTTGAGTCTTTTCCCACTCTTTGTGTCTAAGAATCTCTAGACACAAAATCATTTTATGGACTTCAGAGTTCAATGATGCCAGAGACAGTATGTACAGGCACACTGGGGACACCACAGTGACGGGCATCATGAAAGATGTTGTCTTCTGCTCATCCCACAGCCATACCTCCTTCTCTCTTCCCAAACAACCAGCATTTTGGGATGCAAAGTGCTCAGTTCCGAGGCACTGAGTCTAATTGGTACAAAGCAGTTACGGTAATCCCATCATCCTTGCCGATGATTGGGCCAGGAATAATCAATCATATGACCTTGACCAACCAATGAGATGTGAGGGGAGTGTGCGGGTGTCAGGGGAAGATTTGAAAGGCGGAAGTAGAGGTGGAGAGAGCCCTGTGCATCCGCGGCTCCATCCGGAGCCAGTTGTTGTTCATGGGAGATGCACGTTTGGAGCCGGAGCAGCCATGCTGGGGCCATGAGGCGAGACCTGGCTTAGAACTACAAAGGGCTTGGTCCTGGTGACACCACTGAGCTGTGGCCTGGCACCCTGGACTGCCTGAATGTCGCTGTTTTAAGATACCGCAGGTCAGGTCAGGTTTCTTGCCACTTGGAGCTGCAGTAAAGGCAATGGCCTGAGAACGCTGCTCTCTCAGGAGTGCTAATGCCTCCACCTGGGAGATGCTTGCGGGTGGGGAGCGTCCGTACGGAGCCCCGGGTTAACCCCCAGGAGCCGAGCTGACCTTTGTCAGTGTAACAAGCAAGCATGGACGCTCCCTGTGCACCAGGACTCAGCAGACCGGGCGCAGTGAGCTCTCCCCAGATATCCGGAGGACCCGGAAACGGACCTTCCCCTGGGAGAGAGACTGAAACACCATGCCCCGCCAGTGGCCCACCCCAGCCCCACCCAGTTGGCAGGACCACGGTTACCTCGATCTGGGGCAGGAAGGTGTGAAGGGAAGGCAGGTCCGGCAGGCTGGCAGTGACCTCCAAGAGCCGCTGGGCCAGGGCCTTCCACAGCTGCAGATCCTGCAGAGGCCGCTGGAAATGCTGCCACAGCTCCACCGCCGCGGCATTGCGCAGCCTCGCGCTCTTCACCTTCAGGCTGCAAGGAGCGTGGAGGGAGAAAATGAGGGAGGAGAGAGAGTGGGTTCAGTCCAGGGATGAGGCCTCCGCCAAGACCCTCAAGAGGCCCAGCATGCACTGCTCCCAGGGTGGGCCTTCTCCTGTTTCAGTTGCTGGGAATGTCTGCAGCAGTAGACAGAAGATGTAGCTGGAAGGGACTTTGATTAATATCACTATGAAAAGGCATCAGCAGCAGGCCTGGGGTCTTCCTGAGGACAGACACTGGGGCTCCTTGGGACCTGTAGTCTCATATAATTTACATTCATGGGCAGGATACGGTGGCTCACACCTGTAGTCCCAGCACTTTGGGAGGCCAAAGCAGGAGGATCACTTGAGGCCAGGAGTACGAGACCAGCCTGGGCAACATAGCAAGACCCCATCCCCCCCAAAAAAATTTAAAAATTAGCCAGGCATCATAGTGCATGCCTGTAGTCCTAGCTACTCGGGAGGCTGAGGTAGGAGGATTGCTTGAGCCCAGGAGTTCGAGGTTGCAGTGAGCTGTGATTGCACCACTGCACTCCAACCTAGGTGACAGAGCGACACCTGTCTCCAAAATAAATACATAAATAAATAAAAGGCACGAGTGTTCTCTGATTCTATAGTAGGTATAAAGAGCTGGGAGTTTGGAGCCAGACAGGCCAGCTATATGACCTTAAGTGGCTCAATATTAACAAGCCTCAGTTTTCTCACCTATGAAATAGGCAACACAGTGCTCCTCTCATATAATCATTCTAAGTGTTAGATGAGATGACACATGGAGACATTATTCTTCCAGTAACGGAAAAATAATTCATTCAGACTGGCCCTCCCACTGAGTACAAAAACAAAAGATGAAAAAATTGCTTGATCAAAGTTTTAAAAAACAAATAATAGAAATGTGAGTCTAACCAACTTTGACCCTGAGGGCATTTGCCAATCTGGAAGAAATAGCTACAAAACTGAGTTAGGGTTTTGGCAGCCACTCAGGATAAGGGTCTATCAAAAATGGGCAGATTCTGAAAACAGCACCTCACATGAAGCTGGGATCGCAAAGGTCCATGCCCTCAGGATAAAAGTGCACTGCAAGCAAGCCAGTCCAACAGACGGATGGCCCAGCTTCATGACCAAGGAATACAAGCCTTGAAGATAAATTATGGAGACCCTAGACCAGTCCTGCCTGCCCCCAGGCACCTGGAAGAAGCAAACAAAACCCTTTCTTGAGTAAGATACCGTCATTCTAGGCCCATTTAATTTCTACGAATAATTTTTCAAACACAATGTCCAGCACCAAGTCATAGGAAACCAATACCTGAAATCTCAGTGAGAGAAACCAGAGGGAGAGGAAGACCCTTGGCCACTCTGTCTCCCTGCCTACTTTGTGCACAGGAAATCCAACCCCCCAACCCCAGCCCGACCCCTACCTTAGCATCCCACGGGGGATCCAGGCCACTGCCCCAGTTTTATAGATGTAGGCCTGAGCACGCTGTGGGATGAGAGCCACACAGCAAAGGTAGGAGCTCCCTTTGTTCATTCTGAAGGAGCTCCCTGTACCAGGCAGAGGTAGGAGATGCACGACAGCTGCGTGGACAGTTGTACCATGTTCAGAACACCTCGGAGGCTCATGCAGTGAAGACAGGTAACAGATTTCAAATCAACACTTTGCTCGGTTCCACACAGGGAGGATACAGGGCTGCTGCATTTGCTAAACTAGGAAGCTGGAGGTCCTGCTGTGCCTGAGCCCGGGGGCTGAGGGACACGTGGAGGCTGGTCTGGAGACGGCTCAGATGTTGAAGTCAGCATCCGAAGGCAGGGGAATGGAGTCTGTCTATTGAAAAGCCCTCCCTTTGGGCCATCACCCCTCCCCAATGCTAACCTGCATGAAGAGTCATGATAGGATGGGTGGCTGAGCCACTAGCCTGGATAAATGCAAAGTTCAGGCCTCTTTCTGGGAGCAAATGCAAAACAGTCAAAGGGGACAGTGTCTGAGCCAAGTGAGAACCTCTAAAAGCCAGTCATTGAGAGGTACAAAGAATGATTTAGAAGTTACTATGTTGTAGGAGAAAGCAAGCCCGCCTTCTGGAGATGGGGAAATGTGGGTTCCAGCACACCCTGAGTCCCACCACCCTTGGCCTTCCCAGATACCTCTGATACTCCTGGATGGTAGCGATGACACTATCAGAGAGTGGCTTCAGGTTGTGAGGGAAGACGATGAGCTCCTTCAGCTGGGCTTGCAGCCGGTCCACCCGGGGCTCCTCCGAGGCCAGCGCCGCCCGTGTTGCCTGCAGCACATGACGACACCGCAGCGGGAGGTGAGGCTCCTCAACAGGATAAGTGTGTGTGTGCAGGAGGGTGAGCGTGGCCAGTGGAGGTGGGCTAGGCTAGGAAGAAACTGTCACCAGGGGCAGGAACTGGGGCCCCACTCTTGAGCTCAGCCCCTACCCTCCCATCTCTAGCTCCATGACCTGGAACTCAGCCTTTACTGTCTGGTGCTGGGCTACAGTTCTGCTCTTTATTGCCCCCTACCTCCCAGCATTGCCATGGCAAACACTAGCTCCTAATGGTACAAATAACTAATACTCAGGGGACACCAATGCCAGGCTGAGCGCCCTGGGTGTCCCATTCGTTTAAGCCTCACAACAGTCCTGAAAGGCTAGTCTCCGTGTCCCAATGTTATTTACAAGGAAACTTGGGCTAAGAGCTCTCTGACGGTTGCAGAGTCTGTAGATGGTGGACCGGACATCAGAGCAGGGCCTCTTCATGCCTCTAAAGGTGCTTTGTGAACCCGGTTATTATTCTCGGCAGGCCTAGAAGCTATTTGCATGGACTATTCCTAAGCTGCTTCACTTCAACATGTGCAAACACTCCAGACACAGCCTTTCACTGCTGTCCTGGGAAGTTCCACGTTTGACCTTGATCTGCAGGACTCTCAGCCCCTTGCTTGGCCCTGCTCAGTAGGAGGCAGGGTGGGGTAGTAGAAAGTGCTGGGCTTTGCCACAACACAGAGCTGGCCTGGAGACCCACCTCTGTCTTTTCCTAGCTGTGCACTTTGGGCTGTTTCCTCTTTGATAAATGGGGCCACTCTCACCAACCACGTGGGTCGGGTGATATTGACAAGGCACTTGGTACAGAGCAGGGATGCATTAGTCCCTCCCCATCCCCAGCTCCCTCAATCCCAGGAGGCAGCCTTGTGCTTCTGTCCTTCTTGACCATACCGACCTCTGACCGATCCTCCATTCACAGGGAACCAGGGGCAGCTCCAATTAGGCTTAGCCTGGGGTGACCCACGGATGAACAGGGTTTAGAGTATTAAGCTCAAGGGAGAAAGCACAAATAGAGGGAAGGATTTTAGGCAGCAGCTGGGGCAATAGGGGCCACTATGTAGGCAGAAGGACACAGAATCTGCCCAGCCAGCCCTGTTCATTCTCAAAAATGTTCCTATTGCTATTCAATTAGTTAGCAAACATAATGACGTCTATGAAAGTTTTCACGGAAGACCAGACACAGTTGGTTTGTGGGAACTGGCAGGTTGAAAATCATTCATGAAGAAGCCCAGCACATCAGTGGTCAGGAAAGCTGGCCGGCCTGCAGGAATTCAGCAGGAAGGGCAAGGGTGCAGAGGGTGAGCAAGACTGGGGGCTGTCCCTGGAGAGAGGCCTGTCCAGGCCACTGGAAGGCCCATCATCAACTTGAAGCAGTGCTGGAACACCCAGGGCCCTCATTCCTGGGAAGGACGCTGCCCCATGGCTGGGTGGCCTGGCTAAGCATGACCTTTTTCTAGGCTCAGTTCCCTCCTTGTAAAATAAGACCACATCCCTTCCAGCTCTGACATGCCATGCTGGGACCTATAATGTTGTCAGGTTTAGTTTGCTGATTCCTTGGGAGGCTCAGGAGGGTGGACCCTGCCAGGTAGTTGCATTTCCTGACCAGACGCTGGATAAGCTACAAATCCACCCTGACTTCAACCTTTGCTGCAAACAGTCTCCCTGAAACAGATGAGGGTCCTGTTCCCGTCAGCAGAGGGATAACACAAGTCATACCCAGCCCTCTGCTCTCTCGGGAGCATCCCAGGGTTGCAGTCCCAGGGGGGATGGATCCACTGATGTCTGGATTCCTGGTCTGTTCCTCTTGCTATGTTAATTTTCTAGAACTGGGAGCCTGAGCTGGCCCAGTGGTTGGAAGCATATGACCTTGAGTCAGATTGCCTGGGTTCAAGTTAAAATCCCTGTCTCCACCTATTGGATGTATAACCACAGGCAAGTCTCCTAGCCTCTCAGTGCTTCATTTCACACATAACAGAGGTTAAAGTAATTTTCCGAAAGCCACTCAGTTAGCAAGGGGAGAAACTAGGACTTAAACCCAGCTAGTCTGGCCCCAAAGTCCCCATCCCTCACCACTGTGCCACACCACCTCCAAGGCGCATTGAGGCAGACAGTCCTAAAGCAGGGGACAGTTCCCTTTGGAGGAAGGTGATAACTGCAGGGTAACCTGTTCTGCTACAAGATCGAATGAGAAGACAGCCCTTTGTTTCTCCCTACTAAAAATATTTTTGCGTATGAGCAGAGATTAGAAGGAAGAGAAAACATATAACAACAGTGGCAGAGTGCAGGTAAGATCTGGGATGGCTTCCCTTGGAGGTATCTCCTCTCATGAAGTCGTGATCCTGAGTTAACAATAAATAAAGACAGAGGTGGGGAGGGCCGTTGCTTCTTATTTTAAAACTCTCTTTATCCACAAGTCAAGCTTCAGTTCGTATACCTCGGGGGAGGGCTGGGGAGCCTCTGATGGGATGTCATGTCGGGGTCTGGGAAGCACCCCCCACCACCGTGGGCCTCTGCTGCTTGGCCTCCTAAAGGCCCATGTTTGTTCCCCATGATCTCCACATTAAGAGTTTCCCCTTCTGATCCAATATTCCCTGTTCCACGCAGAGGAAGCCCACACCTTATCCCACCACTGGGCAGGAGAGTAGCTTTGAGGCCCAAACCTGGCTGCCCAATCCCCCTCTGCTGTTATTTATTCACAGACCTACCATGTGACTCTAGGGATGTTGGGGAAAAAAGTCTCTGTAGGCCCCAGCTTCCTCATCTAGAAAATGGGGATAAACACCCAACTTGTCTACTCCCCGCTCAGGGAGCTGAGATACCAAGAATCCCGGAGAAACAGAGTGAGTGTGCTCAGGGCTCAGCCCGATTCTCCATCACAGAGGAGGTCTGAGTGCCAGGACCCTGGGCACAGACAGCACCCTGGGCTCCATGACTCGGCCAAGCACGCTTACCGAGTAGCGTCTCCAGTGTGCCACCAGCTCGTCCTCGGTCCCCGCTTTCGCCGCAGGCTGCAGGCCCTCCTGGGCCAGCCTCTGCAGGACCATCCTGAACTCACTGAGCTCAGCCTCCAGCTGCTTAATCTGCTGCTCCCAGGCTCCCCTGGACCGGAGCAGGCCCCGCAGCCGCTCCTCCTCCTCCTCCCAGAGGGCGCGCAGCTTCTCCAGAACTTTCCTCATCTCTTCCAGTTCTCCGGTGATCTTCTCTGCACCCAAAGGAGAGGTGTTCCGAATGACACCCGCAGACTGCTCCTCCAGCGTCTCCAGAGACTCCTCGCCCCTGGGAAAATCTTTGGCAATGTCCTGAAGAGGGTAGAGGGGTGAGGGAAAAACAGGCAGGGAAAAAGAATACAGTTGCTGCATTTTCCAGAGCAGACCTGGGACTGCCCTGCAAAACACTGATTCCTGGAGTCCTGCGTTAGAGCCAGAGAGGGGCCTTCCCAAGGGCTGGACTGTCTGCCTTAAGTAGCATGGACTCACAACCTGAGAACCCTATTCCTTCCCCATAAGTCTTTTTCAAGCCATTTGATTAAGTCAAGGAGAAAGTCTCTGTTGGGTGCTTCTGTCTTGAACACTTTCTGACATTTGTTTATCTTCCTTTCCATGCCTTCAGCTGGAAACAGTGTGGAGCCAAATAGAACCAAATGGCTCCGTTCGGTTTCATTGTATTTATTTGTGTGGTTATCTACCTATTTGGAATTGGCACCATCTTTTCCATTTATGACAGTGATATGTTTTCTTTCTAAATAAATAATCATCAGTTTTTTTAAAAATGAGTCCATTTAAATACAAATATTAAAGAAATAGTTCAGATACTGCACAGTTGTGGCAAAATGTATCAAGTGGTTCTTGAATTATTAAAGACATTTTACCCACTCAGTTTATGGAGGGAGTCAGAGGCTCATTGAAAGCCATTCAGCAGGTGAAAAGTGGGGAGCCCACGTCTCCCGATGGCAGACCTGGCGCCTGCACCACGGTTCTTCTCCCTTGGCACCATTGCCACGTGGGCTGGATCGCTCTGTGCTGTGTGGGGCTGTCCTGTGCACTGTAGGATGGTTTTGCAGCATCCTTGGCCGCCACCCAGAGGCAGTAGCAACATCCACCCCCTCTACCCTCTTAGGACATTGCCAAAGATTTTCCTCAGGGCGAGGAGTCTCTAGACACTGCCAAATGCCCCCCATTGGAGACCCACCAGCCTAGACCATGCTTCTGTGGTCCTGGGTTTCCAAATGCTCTGCTGGCCAGGGATTTCCATAAAGCCTCTGAGGACCCAAGCGTTTAGACTAGATTCCACACTTCTCCTCACGGGGGTCTGTGGGCCATGGGTTCTTATATATTCTGTGGCACCAAGCACTGTCCTATTAAAGAAACTATGACATAGGTCAGGGTGTGGTGGCTCACACCTGTAATCGCAGCACTTTGGGAGCCCGAGGCTGGCAGATCACAAGGTCAGGAGATCGAGACCATCCTGGCTAACATGGTGAAACCCTGTCTCTACTAAAAATACAAAAAAATTAGCTGGGCATGGTGGCGGGTGCCTGTAGTCCCAGCTACTCAGGAGGCTGAGGCAGGAGAATGGTGTGAACCCAGGAGGTGGAGCTTGCAGTGAGCTGAGATCGCGCCACTGCACTCCAGCCTGAGCAACAGAGCAAGACTCCATCTCAAAAAAAAAAAAAAAAAAGGAACTATGACATAGAACCCACCCTCTGTGACTGTCCCTAGGGTCCCTCTGGTTGAGACACAGCTGGGGATTACCTGCAGTGTGGAGAGGCGCTGCGTGATGGGCAGCTTGCAGTTCCGCCCCAGGCAGCCATTCACCTTCTCCACCACCGCCTTCAGCCACAGTTGGAACTCGTCCACACCTGCCTGGTACTCCTCATGCTCCCGGGCCACCTGCTCCAGCAGATCTACACGCTTCTGTGGGAGGAGGAGAATCACCAGCCATGAGGGTCCCCAGCCCAGACAGCCCAAAGGCCAGAAAGCCCGTAGCCTGCCTGGGTGTGTGTGTGTGTGTGTGTGTGTGTTAGCAGGGGGTGCAACCAACCTCTAGCCCTTTCTCTAGACACAAAGAGCTCTCAGATACTCTGTTCTGCCTTACAAACAATATGCCAAGAGAGTTGGCTTTGGAGACCAGAGCATGTTGGCACTGGGCCCTGTCACTATGCAGCTGGCTTTCTTGTTTGCCACATCCTAGGAATGGCATTCAAGACTGAGGTGCGGCAACAGCAACAACATTAGCACGACTACTACTACATCACACTGTCATTCTGAGCACTCGCCAAGGTGCTGGGCACTGCTCTAAGAGCTTGACATATATGAGCTCAGTGAAGTCTCCTGACCACTCCATAAGGGGGTACCATTACAGTCCCAGTGTGACAGATGAGGACACCAAGATACAGAGAGGTAAAGTGACTTGCCCAAGGTCACCCAGCTAGGAAAGTGCCAAGATTCAATCCGAGCTGGGTTGAATGCTAGAAACCAGCATTTCTAGCTCCATTACACAACAGTGTCCACAGGGTATGCAAATCAATGGCAAGCTGCCCCATTTCCCCATGAATACGGTGATGTGTGTTGCATGGGTTGGAATCATCTCTATTTTCAGCCAGTCCCACCAAAGGTCTTAACAACACAGGGGTAAGATGATGTCCTGAGGGTGGCTGACATTTGGAAAAACAGTGGTGTCCTGCTATGAGCCCCCACTGTACTCCCAGAGACTAGGTTTTTCAAAACATGCCCTGATCACAGTGCTGTCTCCCCATATCCCGTCATGGCTCCCCACTGGCCCCAGGCCCAAGTCCAGTCCTTACAGCCTAGCACTTCAAGGACAGGTGTCCATGATGTAGCTCTGTGGTCCAGCAGTCAAGACCCTGGGGTTGGGATCCCACTGCCTGTGGCTTGAACCTTGGCCCCACCTTGGGTACCTAATTAAACCCTTCTGTGCCCAAGTCCCCTCATCCATATGGTATGGTTAATAACACCTGCCTCATTGGGAGAAAGTGAGATGAAATGGGCCAGAGCTCACCCCTAAAACAGAGCCTGGCAGCTGGTAAGTGCTTAACAACCTTGAGGCATTGCTGATTGTCTCCTGCCTTCTCCAAGCTCTTCTCACACCTCCAGCGGGTAACCAACTGCAGTACTAACCCCAGGCCCCCTTCTCACTCTGAGGCCATGCCCACTGCCCCAGGCTGAATTAACAGCCTTCCTTCTGAGTTCCCAAACCACTGGGATGCAACTTCATCACAGCAGTTGTCCATGGCATCGTCACCCACTGGGGGATCCAGGAGGTTCCTAGAAACAAGGCTGCCCCTGTTATTTCATCTCCCAGGGTCTAGCTCAGGGCACGCCCTGTGAACGCTTCCTGAATGGCAGGAAGCACAAATCTGGAGTGTTTGCCATCAGAGGAAAGTTTCCAAAGAGAGCCAAGAAAAGGGAAAAAGGAGACTCATTTAATAAGCACCTATGCTAGGTGTGCATGGAACTTCAAAGAGTTATCTTATTTAACACTCAAACAATCACAAAACCCTCCTATTCTGCAAATGTCCAGACTGGAGCTGGGACATTGCAGAACTCTTTTGGTCTTACAGAAAAGATTCCAATGGCAAGTGTCAGACTCCAAAATCATCGACTGTTTCTGTCAAGGGCCACCCAGGAAATGCTTTTAGCTTGGCCTGCCATATGGAGCTACTCCACCGCCAGCATGCAACTTATGTTGTAGCCCATGAGTAGCCACAGATAATGTGAAAAGAATGGCCGCATTCCAATAAAACTTTAATTATGAACACTGACAGGTTTTTCATATCATTTTCACACATCAAGAAATATTTGGCTTTTCATTTTTTCCCAACCATTTGAAAATGTGAAAGCCATTCTAGCTCATGCTTATAATCCCAGCATTTTGGGAGGCTGAGGCAAGAGGATTCCTTGAGCCCAGGAGTTCAAGACGAGCCTAGGCAACACGGTCAGACGTCATTTTTACAAAAAATCAATAAAAACATTAGCAGGGTGTGGTGGTGTGCACCTGTAGTCTCAGCTACTCGGGAGGCTGAGGCTGAAGCTAGGAATGGGCTGGATGTGGTGTCTGAACCATAGCTGGCTGACCTCAGCTCTTCACCATGGAGCCAGGCCCTGTCCAGGAGGGTTCTGACCATCTGCAAATCTAAGTCAGACATTCTCAGCTGGGAAGAGTGAACGGGTAAGTGCATCTGAAAAACCCCTTAGCTCTTTCACATATGCTTTTTTCTTCTTTGGGAAGCTCCTCACCGAATCTAGAAATATGAATTCATATAAACCTTGCAACCACCACTGCAAGTAGGAGAAAACATCCCGATTTTAGAAATGGGGAAGCCCAGGCTTAGGACCAAGCTCTTCAGTAGAGATCTGAGAAGTTCTCTCAAGGCTGGGCATGGTGGCTCGTGTCTATAATTCTAGCATTTTGGGAGGTGGAGGCAGGAGGATTGCTTGAGCCCAGGAGTTCGAGACCAGCCTGAGAAACACAGTGAGATGGCATCTCTACAAAAAATTTAAAGATTAGCTGGGTTTGTGAAGGGCGCTTGTAGTCCCAGCTACTTGGGAGGCTGAGGCAGGAGGATCGCTTGAGCCCAGGAGGTGGAGGCTGCAGTGAGCTGTGACTGCACCACTGCACTCCAGCCTACCTCACCTGACAGAACAAGACCCTGTCTCAAAACAGCAACAACAACAACAAAAATTGTTGAGCACTCCAACTGGGGTTGTGAAAAAGAGAAATAACATTGGAGGCACCATACATTCTTATTTAGAAACCTAGTTTTATTTTTTATTTTTTGAAACAGAGTCTCACTCTGTTGCCTAGACTGGAGTACAATGGCCTGATCTTGGCTCACTGTAACCTCTGCCTCCTGGGTTCAAGCGATTCTCGTGCCTCAGCCTCCCAAGTAGCTGGCATTACAGGGGTGCACCACGATGCCTAGTTTTTTTTTTTTTTTTTTTTTTTTGCTATTTTTAGAAGAGACGGGGTTTCACCATGTTGGCTAGGTTGGTCTCGAACTCCTGACCTCAAATGATCCACCTGCCTCAGCATCTCAAAGTGCTGGGATTACAGGCGTGAGCCACCATGCCCAGTCAAAAGCCTATTTTAAAGTTATAGTAACTGAAATGGCTTACAACTGGAATCAAGAAAGACAAAATTCTTACAAAACATGGGCCCTGCTTGAATCTGAAAGTGGAGCAAGCGAGGGGACAGTCCCCTTCATGCTTCCCGCCTGCAGCCCTAAGGATGGCTCCGGGGCTTCGGCAAGCTCCCCTGCTGGCTTCCCCTTCCTGCAGGGTTATTTAAATCCGTCAAAACTCTCCTGGAGCCTCCTCCATCAACAGGAAAGGCTCATTCATGAAACAAAGTGGGTCAGGAGTAACAGACAGAGGCTGGATGCTGGGCCCCTGGCCGCGCTGATGGTGATAGATGCAGCCGGGAGTGAACTCTCCCATGGAAGTGCCGGCCGTGGCTGCTAGTGTGTGAAGGATGAGGTGCTGGCACCCGGAGAAGTCCAGGGTAAATAAAAGTCTGTGTGATGGGGAGCAGGTGCTCAGAGAGGACCTCGGCAGGAGGGGCAGGGATCCAGCTGAGATCCGTGCCAGGCATAACAGTCACAGGGCAGAATCCAGCCGTGCTGGAGAATGACGGGGTGACAAACGGGAAGGTGCTCAACCTTCTCGTTAGACCCAGCAATTACACCATCTGCGGCGGGCAGAGCTGTCAGGAATGTCAAAACCTAACCAATTAACAAGGGTGGTGCGGATTTATGCCTCTGCAAAGGGCTGCACGAGCAGCTCTGATTCATCACAAGCAGCTCTGATTCACGGCCAAGATGCCAGACAGACGCGCCTTCTGTGAGGGCCGCCACGGGAAGCAGCGGGGGTGAGGATGCTTCCATGTGCCTGCCTTTGGGAAGACTAAATCGGGATTAAAAACAAACAAACAAGCCCCTCCCCGCAGCCAGCCTGCCCTGTCTACATTTCACTTGCAAACACTGCGGGCTGACAATGTGCCATTGCTCCCCTCTGGGCTTAGCCTTGGCCCTAGTCAAGAATCTCCCTCTAGCAGGTGGTCACAGAGGCTCCAGTTCAGGGAGGACCCCATGGTGCTTCTGTGGTTCCGTCCCCATCAACCCTAGAGGCTGTGCTAATTAACATGATGGACGTCAAAAATGGGTTTTCCTCGTTGGAGCAGTGGCCTGTTCTAGCATGGCAAGCAGTGGCAATGGGCTCTCATAGGTAAAAGTAGGGGCACTAACCTGAACCTAGAGACCAATCCCACCCCGAGGCCAGGCCTCGACCCCCAGGAAGGCACGAGGACAGAACCATCGCTGGAGTCAGACGACTGCCCCAAGAGAGACCTTTTATGCAGGGGAGGTCTTCATCAAGCTTTCAGAGCAGGGACTGGGAGGCTGGGACCACCAAGGATCTCTGCAGGCTGCTGGGTATGTGGAGTGCCCACCCACCTTGGGATGAGGCTAGAATCTTCCCCCTTTGTCTGGGGCTGGAGGGCTGGGGACACCCAGGAGGTCAATGCCGGGGGCTGCATCCCACCTTGCTGATGAGGAGCTTAGGATTGAGTGGTTGGATCTCTGGCCAAGGGCGATGGAGAAGTTTGCCCCGCTCAGGAGCCTCTCAGGCTTCGGAAGAACATGGCACCCTCTGGATCCACGAAAGCTCCATCCATAGAATCTGGTGGATGCTATAGCTCCTCGCCCCATAGAAATGCACACTCATACCTTCTGAATACAAGATCAAAGAGGCTGCAGGGGTCCGCGTGGCCCCTCCCCACCTACCCCTCAGTTCTCCCCATGGCCAGCTTCTAGAGAGACAGGAAACACCTCCAGGGTACACCACAGCCCTCCTGTCTAAGAGCTGACCGGGCTCCCTGTGAGTGAGAACAAAGTCCTCAAGCTTGCAGGAAGACTTCATGAGGGGCCATGGCCTTCAGCCAACAGCTGAGAAAGCCAAAACTGAATTCACTTCTCCATGCAGGGTCCAGCCACCCCACAAACAACAGCGCCCCATTTCCACATTGGCATCAGCATTGACCAGCCATCTGGCAACTCCAAGGGCTTCCACCATGGAGGGAGTCTCCCCCTCACCGCACCCCAAACCTCCCCCATCACCGCTGTCTCCGCACATGACACAGCCTTCCATGCTCCTGCCCCAGGACACTGCCAGGCGGGCCTTTGCCTCTTGAGAGCCCTGGATGCAAGGGCTCCCTCTTCAGCAGCTCAAACCTGCCTTTCACTGTCCCAGCCTGACCACAGAAGCACCCGGGGCCCCAGCTCATCCTGATGGTCACAGGTGCAGACACTAACGCAGGACCTGAGTCGCAGCTGCAGGGAGCGCCACCTTAGAAGTCATCAGCACCTCTGGCTTTTTCTACTGGGCCGCTGGTGTCTGACGCACAGAATGTTTTTTAATCTAAAAAATTAGTCCAAAAGGCCAGGTACAGTGGCTCACTTCTGTAATCCCAGCACTTCGGGAGGCCAAGGCGGATCACCTGAGGTCGGGAGTTTGAGACCAGCCTGACCAACATGGAGAGACCCCATCTCTACTAAAAAATACAAAATTAGCCGGGCATGGTGACACATGCCTGTAATGCCAGCTACTCGGGAGGCTGAGGCAGGAGAATCACTTGAACCCGGGAGGCAGAGGTTGCAGTGAGCTGAGATCATGCCATTGTACTCCAGCCTGGGCAACAAGAGTGAAACTCAGTCTCAAAATAAAAAAAAGAGTCCAATAACAACTTCTCCATCTACTTCATAAAAAGACTGGGGGAGCAGATGAGGTCAGAGACAGGAAAAGGTTAGAAAAAACAGCTCTCACTGATAAGAGCTGTGATGTCTATAGCGTTTTGGATTGTGTGAGGGGAGAACTCCCTGGAATGAAAATGAGGCTCTTGGAGGCAATCCTTTCAGCATCTGGGCCAGAATTGATGCTCACTCAGCACCCCAGCATCCACCCTCACGTACAAACATGCACACACACCCATGCACATACATGCAAACCTGCACACACACCAACAACTTTTTATCTCATCTCCTCCACACCCTGCACCAGGCGCTCTCTGCTGATTGGCACAAGCACCTGTTTCCTGTAAAGCCACAGCAAAGAGGCTGTGGAGCCAGGCACCTGTCCCAGCTGGGCCAGAGGGGCAGACCTGGAGAGAGAATTGCCATGAAGCCTGCCCATGCCACACGGGCCTTGGCAGGGCTGGATGAGGGCCAATTGGCTGCCTCTGCAAGAGCCAAGTCGAATCCCCGCCTTGCCCATCCATTCTGGGCCTTGCGCAGTCTCCTGGAGCCTCCTGTGGCTCCTCTCTGGGGCCCTGCGGGTTGCTTGCCTTCAAACTGCAGGGGTGGAGTTCTCATTATTTCAACAGATAGTTCTGAGCACCTGCTGCATGGCAAACAGCCATTGTTGTTCCTATTTATTCTCACTGCTACTGAGAGTAGAAGTCGTTCTTTATATTGGCAAAATGCTTGCCAGTTTTCAAAGAGCTCACATGTAACCATACAGCCCCCACAACCTGGGTGCAGGTCAGGTGAGCTGCCCTGAGGCCACACAGCTGGGAAGCAGCAGTGCCTGGCCTGGAATCCAAGTCCCTTCCCAAGCGCCAGAGCCTTGTTCCTGGTGGATTTTCTAGTTCTGCTTATCACAGAGCTTATTTCCCTTAAACTGTCAGCATGAAGAACCCAGGAGATGTTCAGTTTCAGCGCTATAGCCAACTAGAGAGCCAGAAATGCCAGATAAAATGTAACATAACAAACACCGTTTCAATGCAGACCCACGTCACACCAAGGGAAGGGATATTCCCATGGGCCAGAAGTAAAGATGCCCGGGAAACCACCCTGTTAAGCTCACACAGGTGCCTGAAGTCTTAGTTACTAGAAGCTTGGGTTTAATGCTCAGGCTGGAGTAAGAAGTGAGACTTTGGGCTCAGAGGCAACAGAGACCACTGCAAAAAGACAGAGCCTCAAGTGGCTGCCCGCCCCCACTAGCCAAAGGGTGAAGTAGAAAAAAAATATTGTTACAAACGCAATCTGAGAAGGAAATGTGCATGTTTTAGCCTGGGCCTAAAAACAAACAAACAAAAAAAACCAATCACCCTTCAGAATATGGAGTTGGGGCCTATTGTATGATTCTGGCTTGGGGTTCACGTTTAGAATATCCGCCTGATCTGGGAACCCCCAAGCCAATTCACTGACATGAAAATAGGAGTCGTGAAGATAAACCTCAGGAGGAGCCCAGCTGAAGCCAACAGAAAGCCACTCTCAGGTGGTGTCCCAGCTGCAGGCTTCTGCAGATGCATCCTGCTTAGGCTGAGCTTAGAGCTCAAAAGGACAACACCCCCCAAGGAAACAATCTACCATGTCAGGGGACACATAGGTGCCTGACGTGGAACTTCAGCCTTAGACCTGGAACCTCAGCCACTAGAAAAATCTGATGGGGACTGTAAAATACATATGTTTAGAATGATTGCAAATATAAGCTATATCTGGGAGGAATGCAAAATCTCAGGGGGAAAATGACATAATTTGTTAAAAAGAACAGGGAGACATAATACAGAACCAAATAAAATTTCTAACAAATGTAATTGAACTTGATAACTCAATGAACTGTTTCCAAATAAGGCAAGAATGGGGTGAGGAAATGCAGACAGAGAATGGACAGAGGGACTGGGGCAAGGGCAAGAGAGAGCAAGGAGGAAACACTGAAGGAGAAGGATTAAAGGGCAGGAGGAGGAAGGGAGGGGAGGAGGGAGAGAGGAAGAGAGAGAAAGGAGGAGAAGGGGGAAGCTGTTTGGATCAAAGTGAACATCACAGTCCATCAGTCAGTCGGTCAACACACCTATATGTATATTAAGCACTGCGAAACACTGGGTATCTGGACGGTAGATAATGGTGAGTGGGTGGTGGAAGAGTTGGTAGGTGAGGATTGGGGGATGGGTAGCTAGGTGGGTGGATGGCTGGATAAACGAGTGGGTGATGGTCAATAGTGGGTAGATAGGTGGTGAAGGGGTAGGCAGTGGAGAGATGGATGAGTGAATGGGTGAGTGAGGAAGAGGTGGCTGGGTTGATGGGTAGGTGAATGAGTAGATAGATGAATGCGTGGGCGATTAAGTGGTTGAAGAGATGAATAGCAGATTGATCAGGCTGGTGGGGAAGTAGATGGATGAGTGAGTCAACAGATGGGTGGGAGAATACATGGATGAACAAATGGTGGGGTAGATAGGTGAATGGGGTGGTGTGTGGGTGGATAGTGAAGGGGAGATTTGGTGATTTAGTGGGGAGGTAGATGGGTGAGTAGGTAGACAGATGGATGGGAGGGTGGTTGGATAGTGAACAGGTGAGTAGATGGATTGATAGTAGAAAGATAGATTGATAGTAGGTAAATAGCTTGATAGTAGGCAAACAGTGGCTGGAATGGGTAGATAAGGGTGGATACATGGATGGGTGGGTGAGGATGTAGCCCACTCAGCCTCACCCTCACCTGGGCCTTGGCCTTCACTGCATCGTACTCAGCCTTCATTCTCTTCTGGGCATCTTCGTCCACGCTGGGGTCCCCGATCCTGTTGAACAGGGAGGCTGCCTCCTCCAGCAGCCGGTCCAGGAGCACCGCCTGGTTGTCCACGTTGTGCAGCAGCACCTGGGCGTGGCTCAGCTGCCACTGCTTCTCCTTCAGGCCCAGCTGGAGCTCGATGTGGGGCTCCAGTGTGACCATCATCTTCTGGAACCAGCGGTAGAACTCATCTCGGGCCAGCAGGTACTCGCTCCAGTGCAGCCACACCCACTCGATGCGGCTGTGGGCACAGAGACCTCAAGGTTGTGAGGGAACCAGCCACCTGCCTCCTGGGTCGGGGGTCTGTGCTGTCACCCCCTCCCCAATACTAGGGGGCTGTGGTCTGGGGGCATGATGATGCCCTTTCTGGCCTCTGAGTCACCTGGGCAGCTTGTTGACACTCCAGATTCTAGACCCTCCCTCAGTCCTACTGGATAAGACCCTCTGCCCAGTAAATAAGCTCCCTGCGTGAGGGTAGGAGCCAGGGGAGCTCAGACTCCAAACTTCCTCCCAGAACCACCAGTTTTGGGGATGCATCTTGGGGAGCCGTTTACCTCCAGCACCTTAAATCCTGGCCCTGAACTCCCACTGTCAATGCACAGACACCCCCAGTCATTTCTCTTTGGCACTGGGGCTCTAAACACAGTTTCTCCAGGCCGCTGGCACACGCACACCCACTAATTTTAGGAGCAGACTGCGGTTGGGATGTGTCCAGTCACCTGCAGAGCACTTTGGATCTGTCTTTACTAACAGCAGGCATGGCCTAAAGCTCAAGCTCAGATCCCCAGCCTGTCTCCCTGGGGGCTGGTGGTCAGTGTCCTTAGACTGGCTTCCCAGCAGCCTGCTTGTCTCTGACCCTTCCCCATGGCTGGGGTGAAGGAGGAGCTCCTGCCATGTGGAATGCTGCCCCACTGACATCTGTGACATCTGCATCTGTGGGCTCGTTGCACCCAATGGGGACGGAAGGCTGGGAGCCTGCGTGTGCGTTCCAGGGGTGCTGTGAACTCACTCTGCAACCCTGCCTCTTCACATGCCTTAGTTTCTCCATCTCTAACATGGAGGTGGCTCTATCTCCCCAGCCAACATCAAGTCACTGTGTTAGGAATTTCCAGCGCAAGGATTTAGAAAGCAGGAAGCACTGTGCAAAGTCATTCCCATCTCCATGCACATCCTTGCTTTATAAAAATGGAGATGATCCTGGCAGCTCTTGTTTACTGAGGGCCTACTTTGTACCAAGCAGTGTGCCTCGCTCTTGATATTTGCTATCCCCTCCTAACTTCCTAACAACCTTCAAGGAGCACTTGATTACTCCCATTGTCCAGAGAGGTGCTTGAGGTTCAGCGAGGTCAGGTAACTTTCCCAAACCACATAGGAAGTAACCAGCAGGACAAGAGTCAATGCCAGGTCTGTCCGAGTGTTTGCTCCCCACCACCCCCTGTCCCGGCCAACCACCACCCAGCTTCCTGGTACAAGCAGGGACTCTGGCTACAGTGCTAGCAGGGCCCCAGGCCTTCTTTCTCCAGAGCCATTGTGCCATGCTCTGGAGGATGCACACACGGTAAGTCTCTTAGGAATTGTTGACAAAACACGCTGGGTTCCCAGTGTCTATTATCATCATTCAACCTGATTATAATTAGAAAGAGGCAGGCAGGGCTGGCCCTAATCCCAAGAGAATATCCTGTCCCCCAGAATCCCAGGACTGGAGAAATGTCTCTTGGGCAGAGGGCCCAAGCTAGTGTCACAGTGGGCAAGGAGGGTAAATGGCAGCTGTGGACAAAGGCCCTGGATGCCCTACCTGTGACAGTGAGTCATGTAGGTGACTGTCTCCTCCCATTGGGCCTTGATGTCCTTCAGCCGGGCCAGGATCCCGGGCTTCTGGTCCCCAGGGCAGCATGCCAAGAGGGCTTCAGCCATCCGTAGCACGAGGTCCACCCTCACACGCCCCTCGGGCTCCAGCTGGCATATTTTCTGTTGTGGACACACAAGCCAGTTTCCAGGGTTGGCAAAAGGCAGACAGGCACAACCTTGGGAAGATAGTGGCATGGTGCAAAGAGCCAGGACTCGAAGGCCAGAGGATCTGGGATTCACATCACAGCCCCTGCACCCCTTCTTGTGGGGTCTTGGGCAACCTGCTACTAGCTCTGAGGGTAGGAGGCGGGAGCAAAGGCGATTAGCATGCTGGGTGCTGTCTGATGAATGGCTCTCTCCTTCCCCACTCGGCCCATTTCTAGAGTGTGAACTCAGACAAGTTTCATTCTCTCCTTGGACTTGGTTTTCTCATTTGTAAAGTGCAAGTATTAATCGTATCTATCTCTCAGATTTTTTTCAGGATTAAACGATGAGAAAATGCATGTGAGGTACATGTTTCAGTGTGCAGCGTGAGCATCTACCTCTCAGGGGGACTGCGAGGAGCTGGCCCAACCCAGGGCCCAGCTGAGCCTCCAGAATCATCTCTGTCTTTCGCAGTTTGCACCAGAGCCTTGCTCCTGAGGCTGCTCCCACCAGAGACCAAGAGCAGCTGGGACACTGAAGCAGCTCCCTTCCTGGGAGATGCTGAGTGAGTGACTGTAACTCACAAACAGCTCATGTTCCTGCAAACTGCCTTAGAACCCACAGCTGTCTGAGATGGCCCCTCCTGACCCTGCTCCTTCCTCCCTGCTCTTCTGGCCTTGGGATCATATCTGCATCCCTCTGACCAGCCTCTCCTGGCTCCCTTCCTCCCCATATTCTCCCAGCGGGATCCCCCTAATAAATACCATGCACATTTCATCTCATCTTGGTGTCAGCTTCTTGGAGGACTAAGACCAATGCATGATGTCCAGCAAATAGTAAGTGTCCAAGTAATGCTAGCTATTGTCATTGCTGTTACTATTGCAGTTCAGGGGCAGCTAAGGCTTGGTCTCTGTAGGCAAATATGACTGGATTCCAATCCCAGGGCCACTCCTTACTGCTGCTGTGACCTTTGTCACAGGAGTTACATTCTCTAGGCCTAAGAATGAGGGAAGATAAGCATTAGGTAATGTAGGGAGAGCCATGAGCACGCTGCCCAGCCCACACCGCAACCCAGTCACTACCTGCTCACTATTATTATTATTATCCTTATCTTTGGATCTGTCTTTACTAACAGCAGGCATGGCCTAAAGCTCAAGCTCAGATCCCCAGCCCGTCTCCCTGAGGGCTGGTGGTCAGTGTCCTTAGACTGGCTTCCCAGCAGCCTGCTTGTCTCTGACCCTTCCCCATGGCTGGGGTGAAGGAGAGCTCCTGCCATGTGGAATGCTGCCCCACTGACAGCTGTGTGACCCCAGGCAGGTCACTAGGCTACTCTGGGTCTCCCTTTTTCATCCTGAGACAACGATAACAGTCTCTGCTTGTCCACCTCCCAGGGTTATAATATTAATTTTAAAAACACTTTTATCCAGGTACAGTGCTGCATGCCTATAATCCTAGCACTCTGGGAGGCTGAGGCAGGAGAATTGCTCGAGCTTAGGAGTTTGAGACCAGCCTGGACAACACAGTGAGACCATGTCTCTACAAAAAAAAAAAAAAAAAAAAAAATTAAAAATTAGCCGGATGTAGTGGCATATGCCTGTAGTCCCAGCTACTTGGGAGGCTGATGTGGGAGGATCGCTTGAGCTTGGGAGGTCGAGGCTGCAGTGAGCCGTGATCAAACCACTACGCTCCAGCCTGGGTGCCACAGCGAGACCATGTCTCAAAAAATAATATTAAAAATAATAAAAATAAAATAAAAACACTATGAATTAAACATGGGTATAAGTTAGTGTACTTTGTAAACTGTTGAACAATTATGTAGACCCTTCCCCAATGTGTGCAAATGGGCAATGGTCCCCATCCTTTTTTTACTCCATACAATAATCGTTGATGATGACGATGATGATGACGATGATGATAATAGTATAGAAGGACTTCCCCTCCTACCTTTGTTATCAAAGAGTGAGGCAAACAAGCTCCTTCCAAAGGCTGTCTCTGTGTGCATGTGAGTGGGAGGTGCTCAGGGAGAGTGAAGAATGGGGAGATTCCTCAAGAGAGGGAAAGAGGGTTTGTTTGGCCAAGTAGCAGGATGTGGCAGGGGCCCAGGGGGTGGTGGCCACAGCAAGTACCCACACAGGGACCCCGAGTCCCTCTCAGCAGCGAGCAGTGATGGGGAAAACAAAAGTACCATAGTGGCCAGTGTGGCCTGAAGACCCAAGGGCCAGTGTGGAATGTTCTAGACTGAATACGATTATCCACCCAGGATGTTTCACACCACCCAGGGGCAGGGTTCCACAGCATGGCTGAGGATGAATTTGTTGCCATTCAGAGAGAGATTTAATTTGATTAAAAATAATAGTAGACCAGGCGTGGTGACTCATGCCTGTAATCCCAGCAGTTTGGGAGACCAAGGCAGGAGGATCGCTGAGGCCAGGAGTATGCAACCACTCTGGGCAAGACAGTGAGGCCCCATCTCTCCAAAAGCATTTTTTTTAATTAAAAAAAAAAAAAAACTAGCCAGGCACAGTGGCATATGCCTGTAGTCCTAGTTACTCAAGAGGCTGAGGCAGGAAGATTGCTTGAGCCCAGGAGGTTGAGGCTGCAGTGAGCCATGATCACACTACTGCACTCAAGCCTGGGCAGCAGGGCAAGAACCTGTCACTAAAAAACTAAAAATAAGAAAAAAAAGAGCCGGATGTGGTGGCTCACGCCTGTAATCCCAACACTTTGGGAGGCCGAGGCGGACAGATCACGAGGTCAGGAGTTTGAGGCCATCCTGGCCAACATGGTGAAACACCGTCTCTACTGAAAATACAAAAATTAGCCGGGCATGGTGGCGCACACCTGTGATCCTAGCTACTCAGGAGGCTGAGGCAGGAGACTTGCTTGAACCTGGGAGGCAGATGTTGCAGTGAGCCGAGATCACAACACTGCACTCCAGCCATCACACCACTGCACTCCAGCCTGGGCAACAGAGCAACACGCCGTCTCAGGAAAAAAAAAAAAAGAAAGTAAGATGATATTTCTGATTCCCAGAAATGTGAAAGGAGACTTCATATTCCCCAAGCTAGCAACACAATAAGTCCAAATTTACAAACAAGGGAGCTGGGGACCCACAGAAACCACCAGCCTTGAGGAATGATTCTCTACAGCTGCCAGAGAAGCCTCCTCCACACCTGCTCCCAGCTTCAGCTCAGATGGAGTCCAGCTCTGAAAATCACAGGAGCCAACAACTCTGGGGAAGAAGTGAAATTCCATCTCCCTTGGCCACACCCAGAAGGAGCAGCCAGGTCTGGAATGTCCCATGCGGACAATGGCCCCTTCTCCAAAGCCTGGTGTCCTGACTGTGTGGTCCCCCCAGACCCCTGGACCTTCGTCCTTCTTATCCTCATGAAAGAGGCACAGGCTGGACAGAAGGGGACACAAAGACCCGAGACCCACTGCCTTTTCAAGGGAGTGAGTTTGATGCTTCTTTACCAAGGCAGAGGAGCTGGCTGGTCCAAAGGCAGGCAAGACACCAAGCCCCCTTCCCCGACCTGGAGAAGAAACGTCTGCCCTGAAAGATCAACCTGTAGGAAGTTTATTGGAGGCTTGAAGCCAGGGGAGGCCAGAGGCTGTGGCTAGGCTGGAAAAGCCGAATTTTGAGAAGTAGATTCCACTCTTTTTCACTGCGCTGATGATTACACTCTTTGGCTGGTGTGAGATTCTTTTATAGCCCATCACCAGCAAGGACACAGTCCAGGAGTGCTTGGCAAGGTCTGCGTGGCCAGCTGGGAGAAAGTACTTGAACTGCAGCCACAGAATTATTCCAATTTGTCGCAGCCAATGAGGGCAAGGGGAAGGTGGGGATCGGATGTAAGGAAACACCTTGGAGAGAAGTATCAGGAGACCAGGAAAGTGGAGGAATGGGGTTAATCAGGGTTTTCCCTCAACCCAGCCAAGACCAGGTGACCCCCAGCTGAGCATTATGCTGAGTGCTAGGGTCCTGGATGAACAAGCTGGTAGGAAAGAGGGCTGCAGATAAGAGCGCAGACGACTGCAAAAAGGGCCAGGAGAGACCGCAAAGTAGTATGAGAGCTCAGGGAGGGATGGGAGAAATCCAGGAAGGCTTTGTGGAGGAGGTGGCATTGGCATGAAGCCTGCAGGTCTCTAATTAAAGACAACTGGAGAAGGATATTTGAGCAAAGGTAGGGAAGTAAGATATATTGAAGGATGAATGCATTGGGAATCCAAGCCTTGAGAAACACCAGGGTGCTCCTGACCAAGACGGTGGCCCAGAAGCTGGTGAGGAAGCTGCCTGGCTCAGGCCAGGACCCAGATACAGGACAAGGGAGCCTGAGATCGTGCCACTGCACTCCAGCCTGGGCAACAGAGCAAGACTCCCTCTCAATAAACAAATAAATACATATGCTGGAACCTGGGAGTGTGGCTGGAAGCTCCTAAGACCCACTGCTGGAGGCTCTGGGGATGGGCAGGGACACTTGGTATGCTGTGTATCCCAGCTTCTAAAACCACAAGAAACGATCGCCTCCATTTCGCCAGCTCTGCCAGCATACCCTGCACTGTGCATACAAGCATGTCTATAAATGATCCTCCTTAATCCTCCCTCCTTCCTGAAAGGCAGCAGCTATCACTCTCCCCGGAAGCAAGCTGAAGCTCAGAGAGCTCTGGGAAATCCTCCTGAGGTGCCACAGCCATGGCAGACTTTGGAGCCCGGGCCTGCAGACCCAGTAGCCAAGCTCTCAACCCAGGAGCGATGGGTTCTCCAATCACACCTTACAGAAAGCCCCCACCCCACGAGGATTCTGGAGTTTCCCTTAACCCCTCGGGAACACAAGGGGTGAGGGGGTTCATTCCTGCTCTACAGATGGGAACATGAGGTCCCGGGAAGGCATGGGACATCCTCCCGGCTGCATGGCTATTAAGAGTCAGAACTGGATCAGAGCCCACGTCCCTGTCACTGCAGCAAACAGGCACTGGAGACAAGCCAACAGAGTTGGTGGAGGAAGCACAAGAGAGACCCCAGCACCCGGGGGCAGGTCCCATGGGTAGGTCGAGAGGCACTAGCTGCCCCCTCTTACCAGCTGGCAACAGGAAAACGTTTTCTTTCTTATTGTGAAATTGGTTTTGAAGTGGCAAAACACACAGTAAATGAAGCATGCCGGAGCCCCGTGGGAGGAGACACTGGCAGAACGCTCAGGCCATGACTCCCCTCTGCCTGGACTCCCACCCCCTCGGGGCTCACAGAAGTGCTGCCTCTGGCTTCCAGGGCCCATCCACCCTGGTCCTGCCAATGTGTCTTCCTAAGGACCACCCTTGACTTTGCTTAAACCAGAACCACCACCTGGAGGGAAAGACCCACCAGCAAAGGGTAGAAAGTTTAAAATGCTAAGCACCCTAACACAGTGGGCACACAGGCAGGGCTGTGATGCTCACAGACAGGTAAGGTCAGGAGCTGGGGCTGAGAAAGGCGGAAACTGGTCAGGAGAGATGCACGGACAGGAGGGTTTCATTTCTTGTGCACACCCAGACCCACACAAAAAAGCATTCCAAGCAGAGGCAACACATGGACAAAGGCTTGGCGGTGGAAGGTCTACGAGGTCTTCTGCCAATCAAAGGAGGGCGTGAGCTTGCAAGGTGTGACAGTGGCTGGAGCTAAGGCCGGTGTAAGCTTGGGAGGTGTGACAGTGGCTGGAGCTAAGGCTGGTGTGAGCTTGCGAGGTGTGACAGTGGCTGGAGCTAAGGCTGTTGTGAGCTTGCGAGGTGTGACAGTGGCTGGAGCTCAGGCCAGTGTGAGCTTGGGAGGTATGACAGTGGCTGGAACTAAGGCTGGTGTGAGCTTGCGAGGTGTGACAGTGGCTGGAGCTAAGGCTGGTGTGAGCTTGTGAGGTGTGACAGTGGCTGGAACTAAGGCTGGTGTGAGTTTGTGAGGTGTGACAGTGGCTGGAGCTAAGGCCAGTGTGAGCTTGCGAGGTGTGACAGTGGCTGGAGCTAAGGCCAGTGTGAGCTTGGGAGGTATGACAGTGGCTGGAACTAAGGCTGGTGTGAGCTTGCGAGGTGTGACAGTGGCTGGAGCTAAGGCTGGTGTGAGCTTGTGAGGTGTGACAGTGGCTGGAACTAAGGCTGGTATGAGCTTGCGAGGTATGACAGTGGCTGGAGCTAAGGCTGGTGTGATCTTGGGAGGTGTGACAGCATGGAGAGCTAAGGCTGGAAAAGAGAGTGGTGCAGATAGTGGGGGACTTTTGAAGCCAGGTGAAGTTTGCTTTTCCTTTGGTGGACAGTGAGAGCCACGGAAGGTTTTAGAGGAAGAGAATAACATCATGGGACCCACGTTAGGGGTGTGCCTCATACATGCTTGTGCAGTTGCCCTGATTGTTTGCATACGTGTCTCCATGAGGCTGGGAACCCTCAAGAGCAGGGTGGGCCTCACCCACCTGCACAGCCCCAGCCCTGGCATAGGGATGGCAGAAAGCAGGGGGTATTCCACTCTTGGGTGATCTGTGAGGGAGCTTCCCAGACAGAAGGTGAAGGGAGCACAGCAGAGAGCTTGAACGTGACAGGGCTCTGCAGGCACAGGAAACGGTGTGAGGAGACTCCATTTCCCCAGTTGCAAATGCAGACAATGGCTCCTGCCTCTGGATGAGGCGGTGACACTGAAATCAAACACTGACTTGGAAAGGTGATGAGGATTGTTAATTCCCACGGTCCACTTCCAGAAAGGGCATGAGATATATGCAATATGGTGCACAGTGCACAGAATCGAGAAGACAGCACACACAAAGGAAACACACAAGGAACCAGCTGTGGGGTCACCACTGCTTCCAGCCTGGCTGGGTGACTGGTTTGCTGCGGGAGAAGGCAGCACCCCACCCCACACTAAGAGCAACCATTGTTGGGTGATAAATTAGAATTATGGGATATCTAAATGGATGTGACCCCAGAGGTGTGGAAGTCAACTGCTCCATTTGCAGATGGGAAAACTGAAGCCCAGAGTGGGGCAGGGATTTGACCAAGGTCACACAGCAATCTAGCATCAGCAAGGAGATTATAACTCCGGCCTCCGACTCTTAGCTCAGTATTCTTCCCTCTTGTCCCCAGGCCACGGGCGACCCACCCTCAGACAGGGGCACCACGATGCCAGGCCAGGCACTGGGCACCAGCACTTAGTGCTACATGGTCTTGTGCCAGGTGGGGTGGGTAAAGCCAGACTATGGTTCTGGAGAAGCTCAGGAAGTCACTCCTTGCTGGGCAGAGCCCCTTCCCCGCTCCTCTGGAGGAAGACCTTGGCCAACCCAGATCTGGCAGGGACCCCAACCAGGCAGAAGCAGAGAAGGGGTGGGAAGCCCCCCAGCAAGGGCTGGGGACCCACCAGGCTGCACGGGTCCCCCCTGCAGGGACAGGAGGATGAGAGGACAGGCTCTAGTTCCTTGTCATCAGAGTGTGTTCCAAGGACCAGCAAAAATGGTATCACCTGGAACTTGTCAAAAGCAAAGTCTCGGACTTCACCTCCATGACCCGATCAGAGTCTACACTTAAACAAAATCTCCAGGAGATCTGTGTGCACATCAGAGTTTGAGAAACATTGGTTTAGTCCACCGTTGCCTTTCACAGATAGGAAACCTGAGGTCTGAGGGCGGGGTGGGATGGGGCCAAGACCACAGGGCCATCTGAGGCCACGCCTCTGCATACCTCGGTCTCCCACAGCCTGGCCTCCAGGGCCGCGCGGGGTCCCTGCGTGTTGTCATTGACCTGCAGCTGGTCCTGCACAGCCTTCATCCATGCCTGGGCATCCTCCACGCTCCTGTCAAAGTCGTCCTGGGGCTGCTGAGTCATGGCACCTGCAGGGGCTGAAGAAAGGGCCACAGATAAGGCCAACAGGCAGGAATGTAGGGGGCTGCAAAAAGACCCCCGGCAGGACACCTGGGACAGGCCCACTCCCACCACCAACCCTCCCCTGGTGCTCCCAGTTGGGCAATATGGCCAGAGGTGAGCACGTTTGTCAGGAATGGAATTAGGCAGGGAATGAAAACAGGTCTGGCCTCTGGGAAAACTGGCCTAGGGCTCTGGCCTGGCAAAACTGCTTTGTCTTTGGCCTCTCAGGTTCCCTGCTTCCTCTTCTCGAAGCTTGAGGCCCGGAGGCAATTCTCGTCTGTCTATTCAGATTGCACGCTCTCCAAAAGAGGACGTCAAAACCTGCAGTCCGAAACGTCTGGACCCATAATGATCTTGATTTGAATGGATCAAAGAGGCCTCAACCTAAGGAACACTGTTCTGGGCATGGGCCAAGCTGACACCAGCCCTGAGCTCTCCCTGAGATGAACTTCTCAGGCTGGGGATGGTCGTGTTAGGTTCATGCCATCCCCACCACTCCACCAACCTGGGTCCATGGGCAGGTCCTGCTAAAGTTACCCACTGAGCCACTCCCCTCTGACCTCTGCGCAGCACTCCTCGCAACCACTGAAAACGAACATAATGCTCGAGATGCAACCCGCTTGCTATGCCGGCCCTAGGTAACACCTGCCTGCTGGCATAGGTCACCCACCAGAGACCCCTTTTGCTGGACTGTCCATTTGACTTCCCCTGGGCTATGGCTGCAAAGCCTCAGATTTTCTCCTGTGACTTTCTTAAAATCCCAGTTAGTCCAGGCAAAACTCTTCTGTATTCCAGTTCTAGTTGTCTGCATATAGCAACCATGTGACTGCTTTGAACTAAAGTTATTTGTATTTGCATTTTATTCAAAGGGATTGTGTCTGGTTTATCCTCCAGTCTCCCACAATACCTTGTACAGAGTAAGGCCAATGTTGTTAAATGAGCCCAGAATGGGTATAAAGTTTAACACATCAAAAAACTCAACATGGCATTATTTAAAATGGCAAAACAAAACCAGAAACAACCCACATGCCTAATTATAGGGGATTGCTTAAGTAAGTTATGGTACACTTGCACTTTAGAATATTATGCAGCCAGCAAAAAGGAGGCTTAAAATGAATTTGTGAATGGTAATTTTTAGGATATAATGGCAATACCAAAAAAGAGACAAAATTATATATTAGGTAGTCACAACTCAACAACTAGTAAAAGCAAAACAAAACATTAACAAAAACTACACTCATAGAAAAAGGCTGGGGCCGGGCATGGTGGCTCATGCCTATAATTCCAGAACTTTGGGAGGCTTAGGCAGGAGGATCGCTTGAGCCCAGGAGTTCAAGAAAAAGGCCAGGATGTCTTGCCATTAAAGGGTCTATGTGATCAAGTCAGGGCTGTGTGCAGTGGCCTTAGCCCCTTCCAGGCCTGGCTTTTAAGCACATTCCATGGGAACCTCAGGCCTCTCTCTCCCTGGCATTGGGGGAGAGGCACAGTAACCTTGAAGGCCACTTGGTTGAGATGGGTAGGACCACCATTGGAAGTTTGTTTTTTTTTCCCTTATTTTTCTCTATTAAGCACTTAGAATTTACTTTACAATTTTTATTACATTACAGTAAAAATCATCACTATTAAAAATAAAAATTGTCTTCACTCATCAGTTAGTAAGTATCTACTGGGAAGCTGGGCACCATCCCCAGGCCCTGCACGGGGCCAGAAGAAGCTTCGGGGAGAACCCACAAGAGAGAAGGAGAAAATGGAAGAGGCCATCAGACGCGTGCTGGGCCAAAGGATGTGGGCTGGCCAGGGGGAGGTGGGCGACGTAGCGGGCTGTGCTCTGGAAACCCGTCCTGTGATTCTCCCAGTGAGTTGCTTTCCTTTCAGACCTGTTTTGACTTTTTTTGTAACAACTTAATATGTTCCCTGTAGCCACTCCCTGCCTTTGAATGCTTTACTTGAAAAGTGCATTGGATGTGCAAGCATTTAAATGTATTTGTTGTGGCTCTAATTTCTCAGCTAGTGTGTGACTTGAATGGCTTCCAAAAACTCAGCTTTTATTTTTATTAAGCAAAGAATGGGAGGGACAGAGACGAGTCCTGCTGAGTCTCAGATGACAGGACAGTGGGGAAGCGTGGCTCTAATCATCAAGAGGCAGCGAGGCTTTAGAGCACCCCTTCTTGTTGGCAATGCCCGTGACCTGTGAGGCTCAGTGGTTGGTGTCTGGAGGGTATAGCAGATGAAACCCAGGGACCCGGTGGGGTTGAGCAGGCGGGGATGCTCAGACCAACCGAACTGTGGGCTGGGCGAGGCTGCAGGCAGAGTTCAGGAGACCTGAGCCTCCTCTGCAATTCTGCCTATTTTGCTTCAGTTCAATGAAACACAGGACTTAAGAGGCAGGCCTGATGCTATGATCGTAGCATCCAATAAGCAGACAGCAGACACTATCTTACTCTAAAGAAGCTCTCAGAGGAGCTTCTTTACCACCTAATGTGGTATCAGGGACAGTTGAACAGGGAGTCTGTGAGGGACCTCTGAGGTTGTGGGTTGAGAGGGTCGATGTTACTGTGACCCCTGCACGCCAGGTCCTGGGGACCAGCTTCTGCCCTGGGACTACCAGACTGCTCTGGGTCCTCCCTTTTTCTGCCCGTCGGACCCCTCCTCAGCCAGCCTAGAGCACTGCTTCCTGTGTCACCACTCCCTGTAAGGCAGGACGAGGTAAGCCAGCCTCCCACAGCCATTGCACAGGCGCTGGTCACTCCCTGAACCCCTTGCAAGGAAGAATGGTCTGGGGGACACTGTCTATTGGCAGAGGTATACTCTTCCTGTAAAGGGTCAGGTAGAAAATGTTTTTAGCTGTCTCGGGCCACATACAGTCTCTGTTGCATAGTCTCCCTTGCTTTTACGACCCTTTGAAAATGTCAGACCCTTTCTTAGCTCACTGGCTAGACAAAAACACACCACGAGGGCACTTGGCCTATAGGCTGTCGTGAGCCATCCCCTATCTCAGGTGGTCCAAGGCTACAACCAGCAACTGCAGAAAGCCCAGCAGGCAGCAAAGCTAGCTGGCTAAGTGACCCCACCGGCACATGTCTGGGAAAGAGTCAGCCATGAGGCCAGAAGGACCTAGAATTGGTCCCAGTGGTCAAGTCCCCATGACTCACTAGCTGTGTGGCATCTGGCTGGTCACTTAACCTCTCTGGGTGTCCATATTCTCATCTGGAAAATGGGGATAACACCTAGATTTAATTAATTTAAAAACCCATCCAGGTGCAGTGGCTCATGCCTGTAATCCCAGCAGTTTGGGAGGCTGATACGGGAGGATCACTTGAGCTCAGGACCAGCCCAAGCAGCATAGTGAGACCTCGTCTCTACCAAAAAAAAAAAAAAAAAAAAAAAAAAAATTAGCCAGGTGGAAGGATCACTTGAGTCCGGAAGGTCCAGGCGGCATTGAGCTATGATGGTACCACTGCACCCTAGCCTGGGTGACAGAGAGAGATTCTGTCTCTAAAATAAATAAATAAATAAAAATTTAAAAAAATTGCCCAGAACCTGGAGCACACACCATGCTTGGAAATAGTTCCTTTTTACCAAACGCACAGGTGTTGGGTGGAGGGCTTTCCATCCTTGGGAACCTGCATCCAGACAGCAGCTGTCTCACCAGCTCAAGGTTGGGGGAGCATAGGAACTGGGTTACCAGCTGATAGACTAATGAATCAGTGCACTAAGTGGCTGCTGAGTGCAGGTGCTGAGGATGTAGAGACAGACCAAGTGTGGCTCTGGCCTGGTGAGGCTCCATGTCCAGTGCAGTGGGGGTGGAGGGCGGGGATGGACGCACAGTAAGGCAGCTACAGTGAGGCCAGCATGAGTTTTGAGACAGGAGGACAGGGGCCACGGGACCTCAAAGGAGTGGTTGTCACCTGGCTTGAGGAAGGTGGCTGGGAGGCACTGCCTGCTGAGGGCACCAGAGCTGGCAAGGGTTAGGCATTGGAAGGGGCGGGTAGGAGACAGCTCCAGGCCAGGGTGTGTGGAGGAGGGAAGCACTCTGCACTCAAAGGTGGGCTGAGACTGGGGTCACTGCAGAAATGGCAGACGCACACGGCCAAGGACAATGAGAAAAGGTTGCAGGAGTGAGCAGAGCCAGCATGCCTCTCTGGCACGGGAGAAGTTTCGTCTCTGGACTGGTTGAATGGAGATAGGATTAAAAAATAAATAAATAAATAAATAAAAAAGAACTGTGCAGTTTCCAAACAGTATTGCAAAAGAAATGTGCTCAGGGGTAAAAAGAAGCAAAAAAAAGTATTTTCTGTTTCCAAGCCCTGTCTGGGGACATCCCTGGGGTGTGGCTGCAGGCAGCGGGAGAGTAGGGCTCTAGGCGTGTCTCTGAGCTGTCCCCACTGAGTCAGTGAGAGGGCTGGCCATGAGAGTGCTGACCCTTTCTGGGTCATGCTGGCGCTGGTGTATGGAGGAGACAGAAAGGAAACAGCCTTGGGTTTGGGTTTCAGCGTCCATGTGGTTATCACAAATGACAGCGGAAGAGAAGTGATTTTTTTTTCATGATGGAAACCCCCGAGCTGGGGCAGATGATGTGGCAGGCTTGAGACCGAGCCCATGCTCAGAACACAGAACCTGGGTCAAAAGCTATGGGCCTGGAAGACCAGCCAGTCCCCCAGAGGTGGATAAGGTCTGTGGGCATGGCTGGAGACACAGCCTCCCCAGGAATGGACAGTAAGGATGCACTTTGGGAGAGGACAGGAATCTTCCAGAATCTGAGCTCCAGGCTTTAGCCATCTTCTCAAAATGGGACACCTTAATTTGAGTCATAAAGAAAGCTCAGAGTGCTTTGAAGAAGCTGAAATATCATAAGGAAGAGTGTGGTTGACTCAGGGATACTGGAAAACGTGATGCAAACTGAAAAAAAAAAGGCCAGCCATGGAAGAGAAGGTGCTAACACTCATGAAATAAGGACAGGCCCACACCACGTGAGGCCCTTGTCCAAAAGCCACCCCGTTTGGGCCTCCTGGCATCCCGGTCTGAAAGGCAGCCCCAGCCCATCTCAGCAGCAGCAGAAGGGGAGTAGCGGGGCTGCCTCTCAGCTGAGCTCTGTGGCCCATTAGCTGGCGGCCTGGGCAGAGCCTCCTCCCCACCCCCGACCCCAGGCACAGCAGCGGCATCTACCTCTTAGAATGCTGCGGGGCTGACTGGGGCAGGTGTGGGAGCACCTGGTCAGTAATAGGTGCGTGGGGCACAGGAGCGGCTGTTACCTTCCACAACCCTAGATAAGAATGCGCAGACTGCAGTCACTGGCCCAGGACATGGAGGCACTTGCAGTAGTGCTGACATTTAAACCTTGTTCTATTGGATTCTGAAGCCCGAGATTCTCACTAGACCATATTGACTCCAAAATAAAGTTGAACTTCACCTACCGTGGGGCATCCAATAGAACTGCCCCTGGGAGGAAAGCAAGCCCGTGTGAGTCAAGGTCCAATCAGCAGAGTAAAGCCCCTCCGAGTCCAGCTATGAACCAGGAGGGTGTAATGAGGAGGAGGAGCTGAGAAGCTGCGAGGAGACAAAAGGAAGCCCAGAGATCAACCCCTACGCTAGAGAGACAAGGCGGGGAGGCAATGTTAGATGTTCCTAGACCCATGTTGGGGGCCGCTGAGCAGCAGGAACTAGAGCCCCAAAGGAGATACATCTGCTGCAGGAGACACCACCCAGGGCGGAGAGGCTGTCAGAGAAACCCCCAGCCGACTACTTACCTCTGGTCCTGCCAGAAGCCAGTATAGGGGAGCCGGGACAATGCAGCCCGCAGGGGGTCAGCTCTCCTGTGACCCAGGGCAGAGCAGAGGACGGGGAGAAATAGATGTGTGGGCCCCCAGGCCAGGGCTGCCCCTGTGGTCCATCGGGTAACTGTGAATGTCCATCTGGACACCAGCTCCCTTTGCCCGATTCCAGGCCTGAAAGCAATTGGCCGAGATGCAATTTGGTCTCTGGGGGACCAGGCTTGCAGGAAGGAAAGGATACTGGCACCTGGCACTGAAAAAACGCCCGAGGCAGATCGCCTGCTGGGTCAGCACGTGGATTGCCAACTGAGGCTGAGGGCCCTGTGTCCTGGGGTCGCTGGGTCCAGACCTCTCTCCCTCCCTTCCCCTTCCCCGGCTCTCCAAAGCTCAGGGTGCTGGGTGGGGCCCCTACTTGGCTTTGCAATGCCACTGGTGAGGGGCTGATGCCCCATAAGGACCAGGTTCTTACCTCTGTCTCAATCCCTCCAACACCCTAACAGCAGTTTTTAAAATTCTCTGGGGCCAGGCGTGGTGACTCACGTTTGTAATCCCAACACTTTGGGAGGTCAAGGCAGGCGGATCACCTGAGGTCAGGAGTTTGAGATCAGCCTGGCCAACATGGTGAAACCCTGTCTCTACTAAAAATACAAAAATTAGCCAGGCGTGATAGCGTGCGCCTGTAATCCCAGCTACTTGGGAGGCTGAGGCAGGAGAATCGCTTGAACCCGGGAGGCAGAGGTTGCACTGAGAAGAGATTGCGCCACTGCACTCCAGCCTGGGTGACAGCGAGACACCATCTCAAAATAAATTAATTAATTAATATTATCTGGGAATTTGAAAACACTAATTCTTGTCATTCAGTGATCCAGAGGCTCCAAGAATCCTGCTCAGGTCCTAACCCAATCTCGTTAGCGAACTCCCCTGAAACATGAGAGCAAGCCCCTCCCGAGCAAAGAAAGCGGCAACGTCAGTTTCAGGGAGTGACTGTCATGTGGCGGGCATTATTTGTCCCATTTTACAAAGAGGGAAACTGAGACTCGGAGACACAAACAGTCTGCTGAAAAGTGGTGGACCCAGGTCCACCAATGACAGTAAAAGCCGACATTTACCCGGTGTTCTGCAGGTGCCTGACTGTATGACAAAAGGTTTGTAGGTATTAACTCACTTATCCTACATAGGCCCAGTGACACATTCACATTATCCCTACTTTACAGCTGAGAAAACAGGTTTAATGATACTAACAACGCTGCCCAAAGTCACCGGGATGCTAAGTAGCAGAGGCAAGACTTGAACCAAGGATGACTTGAGTCTAAACTCTTTGCTATTAAATCCCCTGGTGCCACACAGCTTCCACGGCCCTCTCTGTCCCTCCCAGAACCCCACTGGTAACTGCCGAGTTCCAGGAAGGTAACTCCAGGGCAGGAATCTATCTTGAGCTGCAGCTCAAGAATCTAGAGTTCAGGGAAACCAACTGAGCCCCCCAGCTGCCAGGCAGCCTCCGTCACACTGTGCCCGCTCACTCCAGCCCTGTGCCAACCCAGCTGCCCACTGACATTCTGCTCTGGAACTCAGAAGGCGTTGGGATTCAGACCCAGGTAAACCCAGGTAAAACCCCAGCTCCCATGGCAGGCCCCATTAGCGATTACAGCCTGGTGCCCCTGCTCTGTCAAGCTGGCCGGGGCCGCCCACCACAAGCTGACCCAGAGTTCTGGCATGGGCGTGCTCGCTTGCCGTGACTCACTCGGCTGTCCTGTGACTCATTCCTGCCCTGCCACACACATTCCCACCCTTATCCTCTCTTTCCCACTGCTCTCTTATGCTTGGATGTTATTTCAGGAACTGAGTTACAGCTGGTCTTAATCCCAAAGCTTTTTCCAATGGATTCTGGGAACACAATTTTGTTTATTTATCACAGAGGAGGTTGCACCAAGAGGATAGACCTTGGCAATCTTCTCCTCTGTGGCACTGGCAGAAGGTGATTCTCAGAACAAAGTGTGTGAAAGGAGGGATAGGAACTCAACGGTAGCGCCCATGCATTATCTCATTTAATCTCACAACAACCCTGCCAGGCAGCTAATCCAAAGTGAGGAGCAATTACTGGGCTTCATTCCGCCTTAGAGGTGAGCAGACAGAGGCTTGGCAGGTTAAGGGACTGCACCAAAGCCATGCGGGCTGCAGGGCCACGCCACCCTCTGTCCACCAGCTAGGCATGGTTACACAAGAAGTCCCACCTTGGAAAGGGTTGTGAGGTCTACTCTACAATTACAGCCACAAAGGACACTGGCCAGGGACTGCTTTGGAGGCAAGCGGTCCCGAAGCCATTTTAAGTCAGTCCCACTGTCACAGACCGGTGGTGTCTGGTAGGGAAAGCCAGCTGCTCTCTGATGCACCTGCTTCTCCAGATACGCCAACCATAAAACCCATTTCCAGTCTCTCTTCAATGAATGAAACCCAAGTTCCCTAGGCATAGTCTGGAGGATGCCAGGATTTCCACCTGGGAAGTGCTGGCCTTGGCAACACACAAATACAGGTGTTTGAGAGGGAGAGAAGACACCAGGGCAGCTAAGAGGGAAATGGGACAGAGTGGAGGGGGCAGAGTGTATGCAAGGTAAAAAGAGGTCCCCAGCCGTGGTAGGGATGAAGGCCAGGCTGCTGCAGAGATATGTTCCTAGGGCAGGGTGGGTGGCTCCAAGGGGTGGGGCCTTAGCTCTTGGGACCAGGTGTGATCGTCTCAGGCTCCAATTGGACACTTTGAAGGGGAGGGCTCCCAGGAGGTTCAAGGGGGCTCCTGAGGGGAACCCTGGCCACGGAGTAACAGGGGCTGCTGGCAGTGTGGGCGGAGCCGGTCAGAGGGCAGGCAGGCAGGGCACTGGCCATCTGCTGCAGGTCAGAGAGCACTGAGCAGGGTACCAGGGCACAGGTACCAGCCTGGCTGGAACATTGAGTGCCATGGGCCACTGGTGTGTGGACAAGCCAGTCAATGCAGCGGGGTTGGTACTGGCTTTTCACACTGGGAGTGTGACTTATGCATGGGTTGTGAAATCTACTCAGGGGTCTTGATCAAAAGTGCTTTGTAAGGAAAGAAGATAGAATAGAATGAAAAATATCACAGTGCCTCTCATGGATGAAGGATAAATACTGTTTCATGAGACTGTTGCTTGTTTGATGGATGTGTTGCATATGTATAAATGTAGAATGTATTTCACTGAGAGTTATGATTTAAACAAAACCAAAATCCTTTGAGGAACGGTGGATTCGCTCAGTGATTCTCACACTGGCGCCTGCCTCAGAGACACCTGGGGGTCTTGTTAAACCACAGATGGCTGGATCCCACCCCCAATTTATAAAACTGGGGGCTAAGAATTTGCATTTCTAATGAGTATTTAGGTAACGTTGACACTGCTGCTCCAGGACCTCACTTTGAGAACCATGGGCTTGGAGGATGTCTCAGCCTCCCGTAGATGAGAACAGATGATTCTAACCATGGGCGTGAGTGTGTATTTGGCAAATTCATCCACACGGTGGGAGGGCGGTTGGGGCTGGGTCCTATTAGCTTTGAGTCAATGTAGGCCAAGATTAGAAATCAGAAAGCAATGAAACTGCAAAGAACCCCTGCCCTTCTTGCCTCAACTGCATCAGTCACTTCTGTTTCTGAAGAGCAGAGCAGGCTTCCTCCTCTTGGAGAAGGACAGAGTGAGGCGGGGCTGCTGGCCCCCTCCCCACATTCCAATGGGCTTCACTTCACACAGCTTCCCTGGAGCCACCTTAATCAATAGACCTGAGGCATTCACTTGAGAGTGAGAACGCACACATTCCTCAGATGCCCTGAAGGTAAACTGAGAGAGTCGGCTGCTCCCCGACCAAAGACAGGACGCCCTAACCTACAGGTGCTAGGAGCTCTGCAACCCCACCTTCTGATGGCCACCCCTGCCCCACAGCCCCTAGACCTCCCAGGAATGCCGAAATGCTCAGCGTTTTTTTCCCTCTGCCCTCACCAGGCTGTCTCCTCTCCCTCTCCCCTTACACCACTCCCTCTAGGATACCCAGCATCCCCACAGGCTCAGCTCAGATGGCTCCTCTTCCAGAAAGCCTTCCCTGAATGACTGACACAGCCATGGCCACTCCTATGCAGACATCCATCTCAGCCTGGATCCCACTGGACTATAAATATCTGTCCCCTCATCTCTCCTGCTCCTCACTTCACCTCCTTCGTGGAGCTCAGCACCTGCTCTGAGTCAATATTAATGAATGCAACTTCTCCCACCTCACCCCTGAGGACCAGCAGAGTCTGATTTGGGACAAGGGTCAGGGGAGGGACAGAGGTGCAGACAGCAGCCTGCACTCAAGGGGTACACTGCACCCCCACCACCCCTTATCAGCTCCATCCGCATGATGCCAGGCAGAAGGGAGAAGGGCTGTGTCCTCTGGAAGCCCTGGGAAAGCGGCCCTTCCCCGACCCCACACATTTCAGTGGAAACACACTCCCCAGTGCCCATAGATGAAATCTCCAGGGCCCTGGCCCCTGAGGAGAGCTCCCATCTGCTCTGGGGCAAGGCTAATCCCAGGTACTGAGCCAGCCCCCAGGCCCCCATCACCCCCAAGAAGATCTGGCCCAGTGGGGCAGTGCCACCCAGGATGTCTGACCCCTGGTCCCTGCATCTGCCTGCACCTTCCTCAGTGACCCACCCAGCACCCTTGACAACATGGCACTGACACCTGTCCCCCAGGCCACCCCCCACCCCTCTCCCAATGTCTTATTGGCCCTGGGAGTCAGAGGTGCCAGGCCTTACCCTCCCCGCCAGCGCCTCATGCCTTCTCAGGCAGGGGTCTTCCCCACAGAGGGACCCTCCCTGAACCCCCCAGACCTGCCTGGCTGGCTGGCCCTGCCTTCCCTGACATCTCCCTCTTCCTGGGCCATCTGTACTGCAGCCCAAGGGAGCAAGAATGGTTCAATGACCACACACACGTCACCACAGTCCTCCTCAGCCCTAAACCCCAGCGGCCCATGGACAGACGCTTTTAAAGCAAAATTATGGCTGCACAAGAACACATCCTCAGAATGTACTCTTTTCAACAAGGACTTGAGAAATGACAGCCTTCTACTAGATGAACATGTCTTTCCATTGAAAAGGACTGTGCCAAAATATAGGGTTTACACTTTTTTGTTTTTATTACACGCAAGTTTTTAAACTTCACATAAAACTCATGGTCTCCAAAGAAATCCTCCTGACACCCCAAGGTGAGGGACCCCAGCCTGAAGGATAAAGTCAGTGTTCCTTGGACCCTCAAGGACGGTGCCTCCTGCCAGCCCTACAGTCCTAACTGGCCAGGGTGCTCCCTGCGCTGCATGCCAGCTGCACCACACTGCCTGTGTTTCCAGAATATTAGAGTCTGGGTGCCACAGCTCCAGTTAGTTCTGCCTGGAGAGTCCTTCCCCCACTCTGCCCCACCCGCCCCTCCGCACCTGCTTCTAGCTGACTCTTCCCTGTCTCTTTCAGCTCACAGCCACTGCAGGTGCAGAGGAGAAATCTTTTCAGCCTCTGCTCCTCCTGGTAGAAGCGACTTCTCCTTTCTTTGGGTCCCCACAGGGCCCAGTGGCTGTTGCCATTTATGACATGTTTACTAAGCATTTGACATGATTTTCTTATATTCTCTTACATTCTTTCTTATATTTCTTACACCTTGGAGGTAGGTCCTGTTATTGTTCCCATTTCTCAGTGAGAAGACCAAGGATTGGGGAGGCCTGGCAAGGTGAGGGATAGAGTGAGACCCGGAGCCGGCACTTCCACCGCGATGCCGTGTTTCACTGTCCGTGTTGCTGGCACGAACCACAGGAGCTCCCTGAGGAGGGGTTTGTCATGTTCATCTTCCTGACTGATCGGCTGGAGATTGGAGCTGCCATTATTTTAAACCACCTTCTTGGGGGTATAATTGGTAAATAAGACACTTCACATATTTCAGCTGCACAGTTTGATAAGTTTTAGATATACACCTATAAAGCCAACACCCGTCCATAAAATGAACATACCCGCCTCCCCTTTAAGCTCCCTGGCTGGTTTTGTAATTCCCACCTCCCACCTACACCCTCTCCCAGCCACCACTGATCTGCTGACTGTCGTTGTAGATTTGTTTGCATTTCCTAGAGTTTTGTACATGAATGGAATGGGATGACACAGAAAATACAGGTGACCCCTGAACAACACAGATTTGAACTGTGTGGGTCCCCTCATACACAGATGTCTTCTGCCCCTGCCACCCTCGAGACAGCAAGACCAACCCCTCCTCTTCCTCCTCCTCCTCCTCCTCAGCCTACTCAACATCAGGACGATAAGGATGAAGAACTTTATGATGACCCACTTCCACTTCATAAACAGTAAATACATTTTCTCTTTCTTATGATTTTCTTAATATCATTTTCTTTTCTCTAGCTTACTTTATTGTAAGAATATAGTATGTAATATATACAACATACAAAGTATGTATTAATCAACTTTATGTTATCAGTAAGGCTTCCAGTCAACAGTAGCTATTAGCAGTTAAGTTTTGGGGGATTCAAAAGTTAGACTTAAATTTTCAAGTGTGCAAGGGCCTGGTACCCCTAACCCCTGCAATGTGCAAGGGTCAACTGTACTCTTTTTAGAGAGAGGGGTCTGATTTTTTCACTCAGGATGGTTATTTTGAGATTCATCCATGTCGTTGCCTGTATCAGTGGTTTGTTCCTTTTTGTTACTGAGTACTATTCCATAGCATTCCTGTGCCACAGATTGTGGATTCATGCACCCACGGATGGATAGTTTCCAACAAAGCTGTGATGAATACTTGTGTGTGCACATATGCTTTCATTTCTCTTGTGTAAATACCTAGGAGTGGAATGGCTGGATCACATGGTAGGTGTATATTTAAGAAACTGCCAAGGCCAGGCGTGGTGGCTCACACCTGTGATCCCAGCACTCTGGGAGGCCAAGGTGAGAGGATCACTTGAGCCCAGGAGTTTGAGATGAGCCTGGGCAACACATGGAGATCCTGTTTCATAAAAGAGGGGTGGGGTGGGGAGGGAAGGGGAAGGGAGGAGAGGAGAGGAGAGGAGAGGAGAGGAGAGGAGAGGAGAGGAGAGGAGAGGAGGGACTGCAAAACTGTTTTCCAAAGTGGCTGCACCTCTTTACATACCCAGCAGCCATGTGTGAATTCCAATTCCTGCACGGCCTTGACAACACTGTACGGTCAGTCTTTTCATCTTAGCCCTTCTGGTAGCATGTCATGCTGGCTCACTGTGGCTTGCATTTCTCACTGGTTTTGGCATTTGTGGTGTAGGACGGCCTAACTGAGCTCCCAGACTCTGTGCTGAGCACTTCCCAGGGATCTCCTCCTTGAAAGCTCCTTGGTGTGCTGAGCACCGGGCCTGCTGGCTGATGGCTAAGGGGGTGAGCAGCTGAGTGACTGAGTGACAAAGACACTTGGCCAACAGGGACCTGCTCCAATTCTCAGGGTGCTGCCAGCCAACTCCCTGCAGGCAACTCTCTGAGGACAGAACCAAGCACCATGAAGCAACAGCCAAAGCCAGTAAAAGCAGAAGACAAATGGAGTCACCCACAGGTGCATGGGGCTTTCTGAGCTCCCCAGCAGCACATCCATGGGGCCTCTCTCCCATCTCCTACAGGTCCCAGACAGATTCCTGTGTAGGGCCTGGAATTTCTGAACAACTCATGCAGCTGCCAGGGGTTCTCCTGGAATAAGGATTGAAAATCAACAACTTTTGAGTTCAGGGACCTGAATCCAGTCCAACTCCTCTGAACTCTGAGCCTTTTGTTCTCATTTGAACATAAACTGCCTCTGGGCACAGCCCTTGCCTATTTTGATCACAACACGTGGCACTTACTGACACACAGTAAGTGCTCACACACATTTGTGAATGAAAGATACATCTGGAAAATATAAACTACAATACCTACCTCGGTTGGTGCTTAGTAGGTACTCAGAAAGTGTTCTTTTATTTGATTATTTTTAGAGACAGGGTCTTGCTATGTTGCCCAGGCTGGTCTCAAACTTTCTAGGCCCAAGATTTCTGCCTCAGCCTCCCAAGTAGCTGGGACTACAGTCACGAGCCACCATGCCTGGCTTATTTTTTTTTGAAAAGAAAGAAGTGTGGAGCCAGGATGGACATCTCTCTGCCCTCATTAGTCCTTGATTTCACATGCTGCTGGCTCAGGGGAACTGAGAAAGGCAGGAATCAGAGGCAAGAGTGGGCCTCAGCACAGACTCTGTAACCCCAAAATAAGAGGCTTCCTTCAGGCCACGAGTGGGGGCAGAACAGGCTCTGGAATGGGGTTAGGAGTCATGGTTCCAGCGTGGGCTCCACCGCCAACTTGCTCCCAAACCCCAGTTTCCTCAATGGTCAGAGTGGAGCAATAGTTCACACCTGACTTCCACCCACTCTGAGACGAGTGAGCTTTAAGTTGGAAGGTTGTTGTGAAGGACAAGGCAACGTCCGATTCACCTTGGGGCTTTTTCTAACGGAATCAGTTAGTAAGGGAAATACACGCTGCTGAGAGGCCCTGCCCTATCCCAATGTAAAGGACTATCACCGTCATCTCTTGTTCTGGCAAGCTAAAGGCTAATTATACCATATTTCCATGTTATAACGCATAATAGCCATGGGCTATAACCGATTATGGCATGCACAGCAGTCTGGAGTAAATGCTATATTGTTCCAAGCTATAATTCCAACCTGTAACAGCTGGAGACCTTGGCAGGAGCTAGCTCTGTGCCCAGCTATTTTCTACAGCACCATACAGGGCTTCAGAAGCAAACATCCTATCAGGTAGATGCCATGGCCAGCCCTTTATTACAGATAGGAAACAAGGCACAGAGATATTAAATAACTTTCCCAAAAGCATGCAGAGCCAAGATTGAACTTCAGGCAGGCCAGCTGCAGAGGCTTCCTGTTACCCTGAACTATACTGAGCTTGTAGACAAGTGTCCAGCAAGCCCCTGGTCAGCATGCTGAGGCTGGCTGCAGAGCCAAAGGTGTAAGTCAAGTAAGAGCTGCTGCTGGTTGGTGGGTGAAAGAGCTATGAAGAGTTCCCCATGGTGGCCTGACTCCACAGCTCAACCTGACACTCTTCAGATATGGCCCAGGGCAAGTGTTCACCACATGGGCCAGGCCTGTGGCCCTATCGGCAAAGCCATGCATTGCCATCCACCTTCTCACACCTGCAGGCTGTGGCACGCAGTACCAGCCAGCATGCCCCACTCAGCTCTGCATCATCCGTTGATATGTCTACCTTCCCATTAGAATGTCCCGCTCAAGGGCAGAGGCTATGTCTCATCCCCTCTGTATCCTCAGGCCTGGGACACAGCTGGCACAGAGGAGGAGGGCAGTGCTGCTTATTCAATAAATACACACAACATCAACTTCTTGGAAAGGCAGGACTGGCTGTTCTTGGGGCCAGGTCAGGGTAGGGAGTTGCTGGAACTGCCCCCAGATTTTAGGCTGGCTCTAGATCTCGGGTTGCGGGGTAAGCCTCACGGGATGACAGGACATTCCAGTGAGCCAATGAAAGATTCTGTGGAAACCTCCCTGCAGGTAACATGTGACAGTTGGACTTGTCCTTCGGAATTCTCTTATCTAGCTGTGCCGTTTTATGGATGAGGAGACTTAGTGAAGGAAGTAGACCCGCCCAAGATCTGGCAGCAGCTCAGTGTAGAGTGATGGCCAAGACCTATCTTGTGCCTCTGAGAAGGATCATTCTATTTCTTCAAAATGACTCACAGAGAAAGAAACAATCAACCCTTGTATTTACAGACAGTTAATTTTCAACAAGGGTGCCAAGACAATTCAATGGAAAAGGATAATCTTTTCAACAGTGGTGATGGGACAACTGGATATCCACATGAAAAAGAATGAGATTAGACTCTTACATCACACCGTATACTAAAATTAACTCCAAATAGATCAAAGACCTACACGTAAGAGCCAAAGCTACAAAACTCTGAAGAAGAAAACATACGCATCAATCTTCCTGACCTTGGAATACGCAATGGTTTCTTAGATGTGATAGCAAAGGCACAGCAACAAAATAAAAAAATAGATAAATTAGGCATCATCAAAATTAAAACTTTTGTACTTCAAAGGCAAAAATGTTAAAAAAAAAAAAAAAAGTGACACCATCAAGAAAGTGAAAAGATGTCCCACAGAATGGAACAAAATTTTTGCAAATCACATATCCGATAAGGGACTTACATCTAGAAAATCCAAAGAACTCTTAAAACTCAATAATAAACAGACAACCCAATTATAAAATAGGCAAATGATTTGAATAGACATTTCTTTAAATCATACCTACATCTAAGATGGCCAATGAGCACACTGAGAAGCCCAGAAAGCACAGAAAAGATTCTCAACATCACTAGCCATCAGGGAAATGCAAATTAAAACCAAAATGGGATACTAATTCACACCCATTAGAATAGCTATAATCAAAGGAAGATAATAACCAGTGTTGGTGAAGATGTAGGGAAGTTGGAACCCTTATATGCTGCTGGTAGAAACAGAAAATGGTGCAGTGACTTTGGAAAACAGCCTGGTAGTTCTTCAAATATTAAACATAGAGCTTCCATCAGATCCAGCAATTCTACTCTTACATATATACTCAAGAGAAATGAAAACATATGTCCACACAAAAACTTGTGCACAAATGTTCATGATAGCCAAAAAAAGTGGGAGCAACCCAAATGTCCATCAACTGATAAATGGATAAGGAAATCGTGGTCTATCCATACAATGGAATATTATTCACCTGTGAAAAAGAATGAAGTGCTGACATATGCCACAATATAGAGAAACCTTGGAAACGTTGTGCTAAATGAAAGAAGCCAGTCACAAAGGTCCCATGTATTGTATGATTTCATTGATGTGAAATGTGTAGAACAGGCAAATTTACAGAGGCAGAAAGTAGATTAGTGGTTTCCTAGGGCTAGGGAGGTGGGAGGGTTGGGAGTTGACTGTGAAGGAGTGCAGGGGTTCTGTTGGAGGTAGTAAGAATATTCTAAAAATGATTGTGGTGACGGCTGTACAGCTCTGTGAATATACTAAGAGGCATTGAGGGTAGGCGAGGTGGCTCATGCCTGTAATCCCTACACTTTGGGAGGCCGAGGTGGGAGGACTGCTTGAGGCCAGGAGTTTGAGACCACCCTGGCCAACACAGTAAGAACCTGGCTCTATTTTTTTTTAAAGCACTGAATTGTACACTTTAAATGGGTGAATTGTATATTATATGAATTATATCTCAATAAAGCTGTTTTTTAAAACATCAGCATCCCAAAACTAGGAGGGCCATTAAAACTGACCTAATCTAATCAACCATCTCTGCTTGAATTTCCTTAAAAATACACCCACCAAAGGCTGCCAAGATTCTTGAACACCTTCAGTGATGGGTGGCTCACTGCCTTCTTCAGGCAGCCTATTCTGTTGTTACATAGCTCAGGCTCAAAGGAAGTTTTTCCTTCCAGGAAGCTAAAACCTGTACCTTATAAATGGGGTGCCAATGTAAAGGAAGCTAAGAAGCTGCTTGAGACCTTTTTTTCCAAATGGAGAACAGTACGTTCCATTTACTGAGCAGGTATTAGGTGCTAGTCAATATGCCCCTCCCTCTCCAAGCATTTATTAATGCACTTGCTTTTTAAGACAACTTTAATGGTTGGTATAATCATCCCCGTATCAGAGATAAGGAAACTGAGGCTCAGAGAGGTGAGATAACTTGAGTATAAAATTTCAGAACTGGTTTTGCCCAGGAGGCAGAGCTGGAATTTGAACCTAGGTGTATTGAACTCCGGAGCTGCAGCTGTCCCAGCTGCTGAGCCAGACTGCTTCTGAGAGCCTGACACCATTTCAGCATCCCTATGGGTCTTATAGACCTTATATAAATGACATGAAATTTTTGAATCAAACAACAGAACAAACAGAAAAAAACTCTGCCTCCCAAAAGAGATGCTGAATGCAGCCCCATGGGATGGGCAAAATGCCTGCCTGGGAGAAGAGGGGTGGCCACCAGTGGCTGCATCGCTGTGGGAAGCCAGCCGCCACGGACAGCCTTAGAGGAAAATAAAGCTGAGTGATGCCCTCAGGGGCATACAAATAGCCTTGAGCGCCAGGGTTCTCAACCCAACAGCCCATCATTTGGTGTTTGGAATTCCGGTGAGGAATAAACTCCCCCTGTGAAAGCTACTCAATCCAATTCAATAGCATTTGTTGAGATAATTTTTTTTTAATTTTATACTTGAAAGGTAGGTCTTAATATTCATTCCTGTTTTATAGATGAGAATACTGAAGCTGAGCAGTTTCATGGCCTGCCCAAGATTCCAGAGATAGTAGCTGGGAGGCGAGAATTCAAATCTAACACCATTTAGCCAGGTGTGGTGGTGCCTGCCTGCAATCCCAGCTACTCAGGAGGCTGAGGTAGAAGGAGTTTGAAGCCAGCCTGGGCAACAAAGTGAGACCCCTGACTCTTAAAAAAAAGAAAAAAAAAAGACCATTTGACTTCCACATCCAGATGTGCCTGGCGCGGTGCCACTAGGGCCTATAGGTTTCAAGCTCGGGTTCTCCAGATCACAAGCTCTAAATGAGAGTGCTATGGGTGTTAAATGCAGAGGCACAGAGCCTAGAGAAAGGAGCAATGATTCTTATGAAGATTCCAGGAGAGGCTCATAGAGGAAGGGATACCCTGGCTGGGATGTGAAGGATGAGCAGGGTCTGAATAAGATGAGAAGTGGGAAAGGGCATAACGAGTGGATGGACTGGCGAGACCAAAAGCTGGGAGATGGGGAAGTGCAAGGCCAAGTTCAGGCTGCAGGATGGGTTTGGCAATTGTTAACAAAGAGAGACGGGAGGAGGCCATACTGGAGAGCAGGCTGAGGGGACTGAACAGCACAGGATTCCAAAGGGTTGTGTGGGTTTTACTCTGTGGGCAATAGGGAGCCAGTGAGGGTTTGTGAGCAAGAGAGTGGCACAGCCTACTCAGTGACAGGACCCACAAGCAGTCAGGGCAGCATCTGCTCAATGGTGTGAAAACCACACTGGACCAAGCAGGGCCCTTGCAACAGGGCACCTTAAGTCACATGCTAGGAAATGCCTTGTAAGGTGCCGTTTAACCCTAAGGCATCCTATTTATTGTAAACCTGCTCTTCAAAAAAAAGGCCATGGGTGCTGGGCGCCGTGGCTCATGCCTGTAATCCCAGCACTTTGGGAGGCTGAGGTGTGTGGATCGCCTGAGGTCAGGCGTTCGAGCCAGCCTGGCCAGCATGGTGAAACCCCGTCTCTACTAAAAATACAAAAATCAGTTGGGCGTGGTGGCAGGCACCTGTAATCCCAGCTATTCAGGAAGCTGAGGCAGGAGAATCGCTTGAACCTGGGAGGCGGAGGTTGCAGTGAGCCGAGATCATGCCATTGCACTCCAGCCTGGGCAACAGAGCGAGACTCAGTCTCAAAAAAAAAAAGAAAGAAAAGAAAAGAAAGAAAAAAAAGGCCATGGGTTCAGATAGAAGGGTCTTTTCTCAAGAACTGATTAAGCTTGCCAATGTCTAATGAACTGTGAGAGCAGCCTCCATTCCTTCCAAGAGTGTCTGTGCCCAGTCTGTCCTTACAGTCCTTTTCCCAGCAAAATGCCCAGCCGGGCCCACCTTGGACAATGCTGTTTGACAGTTAAGGAGTCTCCTGCCTGCTGCTACCCTGTCTCCTGCTCTGGGTTCATCTGCGACCCTATGATTGTCCTGGTAGGTGTCAAGGTTATCACTGGGTCTTGATCTTAGGGTGCCAAAGGAGACTCCTGTTGGTTGGGTAAAATGTTATCAAATGCTACTCACAATGGCAATAGTTCCCATGGGTGAGGCCTGCTGTGTGCCAGGCACTGGGCAGACACCATGAAGGCCCCCATCAACCTTCAAATCAGGGGTCATCGTGCTGCCTGACAGATGGGGAAACTGAAGCTGGCTCTCCTGCCCACGTCAGACAGTGACTGAGGCACCAAGTCAGAAGCAAGGCCAGGCCTGCATGGCTCCAGCACCTGTGCCAGGCTGTAAAATGTCGGCAGAATGAGGAAGTGAATCAGGAAGGCAAGGGAGGAGGGTTCCTTTTTGACTCAGAACAGGATTTCCCATCTCACACCCAACTGACTGAGAGACAGACGGGGTGGAGGGTGAGCCCCAGTGGCTCATGCTGGACTGTCCCCCGTGAACAGTCCTAAGCCTGGGACAAGCCCGAGGGGCCAGTGAGGCTTGGGGTTATGGCAGCTGGGCCTGCGAAGCCTTCCCCAGTGGGCCTCTCAAGAGTATGGCTTGAAATGAATCAGGCAGAGCACCTTGACAGGGCAGCGGCTCCAAAACCCAGGTCTCTCCCACCTCTCATTCCACTCAGAGGGGCCGGGAGAAGATGAAGGCCATGCCCTAAAAGGACCCTAAGTGGATGGGCAGAGAGTCAGGTTGTGGTCGTCTTGTCTTCTGATCAAGAACTATACCAGACCCAATTTCTCTCCTTTCCAAAGCTTGGGAGATGCTTAATTCACTTAATGACAAATCCTTCAAAGCCTATGCCAGACACTGTGGTCAGTGTTGAAGATCACAGAGATGAACCAAACAGATAAGAGCATCCTGCCCTGACAAAGCTCAATGTCTCTTTCTTCTTCTGCAAAGTGAGTGTTGCATTTGGAGGATTCTCAACACTGTGGACTCCCTCCCCTGATCCCTCCACTCCAGTCTCTCTAACATGGCATTTCTTAACATGGGACCTTCTGGAATCCACCCATTTATGAATGTCCTGTGGGAAGCCCTAGCTAAATTCACATTCCAAAATGTGTCTGTGAGCTGGGGATTTTAACCAGCCTCCTCTGACATCATTCCTGGGATCGGGGGTGGGACCTGGATGGGCCACGAGGGCTCCATGAAATCTTAGGAAGCTTGTTCTCCTGGTGAGAACGTCTGGAATTCCCTCCTCCTCCCCTAAGACCCCCTATCTCACAGAAGATAAGAATATGTTTGCCACAAGCAATCCACAGTGTCCATCATTACATTCTCATTGTAAACAGCTCAGAATATTCTATGGAGTGAAGGTCACAAACTTTCTTGAACCACTTCCTTTTTCTTGGACAGTTATATTGCATTTATGTTTTCTCCAGGCAACTCAAATATTTGCAAAGTTATCATTTATGTAGCAAGTGAGCAAGCTGTGGAGTCTTCCAGCCATGAAGCAGCACTCCTGCCGGGCTCAACTATCCACTCTCGTACTCTTACACCCAAATGGTATTTTTCTGATCCGGAGCCATTGTTTTCTTAGGGCTCTGCACTTGCTCTTTAGCATCAGCTGCTGGCCCTCTTTTCAGGGCCATTTTAAACAAAGAAATAAAATTTGTGGTCACTTGGCCCGAGCTGGAAGATTAGGGCCAATTCAAATCTGGATGGTGTGAGGCTCCAGGGCTGGGCTGAGGGGGCCTGGCAGGGCTCACTCCTGGTGAGTCACTGCCCCAGCCCCTGTCCCCCCACACAGGGATTCACAAAGGCCTGCTTTTCCTGGGACACTTCCTAACAGCTGCTAAGGATTCAAACCTGACTTTGCTGCCAAATAAGCTATGTGGTCTTAGCCCAGTATATTTAACTCCTCTGACTTTGCCTTCTCATCTGTAATATGGGGATGGTATTAGCATAAACTTCTCACTGCAGATCTGAAGACTAGGTGAGTTCATATTGGTAAAGTGCTTAGAACAATGCTGGCACACAGTAGGTGCTATATAACAAATAAATAATAAATTTGCAAATGTGACAGTTTTCCCGAGGGGAGAAAAAAAAAGATGCAATATAACAGTCCAGCAAGGAAAGTTTGTGACATCCACCCACTCTACAGCATAATCTGGCCATTTACAACGAGAAATTAACACCCTAGAATAATGCACGGTCTGCAGAGAAAAAGAGCAGACTGCAAAGCGCTGCACTCTAGAGCGAGGGTTGGCAGACTGTTTCTGGAGACGGTCAGAGAGCAAGGCTTTTAGGCTTTACAAGCCATATGGTCTCCGTCACATCTCCTCAAATCTGTCATGGTAGCATGAAAATAGCCACAGATAGCATGTAAATAAATGAGCATGACTGCGTTCCAACAAAACTTTATTTACAAAAACAGGTGGCATTTGACCAGCAGGCCACAGTTTGTCAACCCCTCCTGTGCAAATCATTCAAAAACTGTCAAAAAAAGATGAAGAATGAAGCCGGATGCAGTGCCACGTGCCTGTAATCCCCACAATTAGAGAGCCTTAGTCAGAAAGACCTCTTGAGCCCAGAATCCAAGGCTGCAGTGAGCTGTGACAGGAGCGCCACTGCACTCCCCTCCAGCCTGGGTGACAGGACAAGATCCCAACTCTTAAAAAAAAAAAAAAGGAAAAAAGTAGCATCATAGAGCAGTGAAATCATGTGTACATTTCTAAGATTTCAATTTCCTTAAAGTGGTATTAACAATTTTTTTTAAAAAAATTAGAGGCTTTTAAAGTTACATTTTAATCACAATTAAAAGATTTTTGTTTGTTTGTTTGTTTTGTTTTTTTGAGATGGAGTCTTGCTCTGTCACCCAGGCTGGAGTGTAGTGGCATAATCTTGGCTCACTACAACCTCCACCTACCGGGTTCAAGCGATTCTCCTGCCTCAGCCTCCCAAGTAGCTGGGATTCCATTCATTTCACCAGAAATCTGGGATTATAGGCATGCACCACCATAGCCAGCTAATTTTTGCATTTTTAATAAAGACAGGGTTTCACCATGTTGGCCAGGCTGGTCTCGAACTCCTGACCTCAGGTGATCCGCCTGCCTCAGCCGCCCAAAGTGATGGGATTACAGGCGTGAGCCACCGCTCTGGGCCTACAAATTCAAAGATTTCATAGTTCCACTAGACTTTCAGAAAAAGTTAAGAGTATTAAGTCCAGCATTCAAGTTACATGAGACAGAAAAGGTACAGACTTTGAAGTATGTATAGAATAGGACTGCATCTGTCTTCTCCATCTACTAGCTGTGTGACTCAGGCAAGTGTATTCACCTGTCTGTTCCCCAGATTCCTCATTTGTAAAATGAGGATGACAATGGCACCCATAAGCATGCAAAGAGCCTGGCACTGAGTGAGCCTGGTGCACCATAGGCCCTCAACACAAATAAGCCACCTCTCAGTCCCCCCCAGGCTGGATCCGGCTGGCCCTGGGTCTATGGCAGCAGGACAAGGCGGACTAGAAAGCCTGGCATGCTTTACTTTCCAGCTAAAAAAAATACCCTCCACAGTTTTCAGCTTTGGTTTACAAAAACAACACAGAACCATTCGAATCTCACTTTTAATTTAATAACTGGCACCCCAGCCTGAGAAACGGCAGGGTTCATTTCAAATGGGAGTTCTTGGCGGGAGTGAATCTCAGAGCTGTACTCACTGAACCCTTAAGGAGATCCATGGCCCTGCAGTGCCTGGGCCCTTGACTGGCAGAGCCAAATCCTTTCCTGGATCCAGAGGCTTAGGCACGAGGATGTTTCCATTCATTTCCCGGGAAACCTGCCAGTTTTGCAGGAGGCAGGGGGACCAGAGTCCTCTCTTGGCAGAAAGGAGCATCTAACGGCTCAGGGTCAAAGGCTTTTCTGAATGAACGCCTCCTGTGCCTCACAGCCTCCACCTGAGAAAGTCCAAGAAGTTTAACAGGACATTCAAAGTCCTTCTCCATCCATCTCTGCAGCCTCAGCCTCCCCTACTTCCCACCTCCTCTACTTGCAGTAGGAACCACCTGTGGCTCCCTGTATGCATCATTTCTCCCCTTTGCTCCTGCTGGTCCCTCTGCCCTTCTCTGCCTGGCTACATTCACCCATTGGCTTTGGCATCACCACCTCCAGAAAGCCTTCCAGGATTTTTCATAGTGTAGAGGACTGGGAACTAACATTACTAAGTACCCATGAGGTATTTGTACACATCAGCTCATTGAGTCCTCCCACCCACCGTTAAACCAGAATGACTGGCTTCTTTTTGTAGATAAAGAAGTTGAGGTTAGATTCAAAGTGGCTAAGTAACCTGCCAAAGGTCACACAGCAAGCAATCCTGCCCCTTTCTTCTCCCCAGCAGTCCCTTAGCAGAGCCCAGGCTGTTTTAAATTGTCCTCATTCTGCTGGGGCTGCAGGATGATGTCCACTGAGTTACCTAGAAGAATCCCCTGTATCACTAACTCTTGTCTTTTTTTTTTTTTTTTTTTTGAGATGGAGTTTAGCTCTTGTTGCCCAGGCTGGAGTGCAGTGGCACCATCTCAGCTCACTGCAACCTCCGCCTCCCATGTTCAAGCAATTCTCCTGCCTCAGCCTCCAGAATAGCTGGGACTACAGGCACCTGCCACCACACCCGACTAATTTTTTTATTTTTAGTAGAGACGGAGTTTCACCATGTTGGTCAGGCTGGTCTTGAACTCTTGACCTCAGGTGATCCACCCGCCTCGGCCTCCCAAAGTGCTGGGATTAAAGGCGTGAGCCACTGCGCCCGGCCTACCTCCTGTCTTATATCTGAGATATCCAGAGGACCCTTGAGACCTTCTCCCCAGAACCTTCACCTCCTTGGAGTCCAAGGTCGACTGTTAACAGGCTGTACAGGTTATAATTAGTACCTGCTTGTTCCTGCCAGAACTTTGAGACGCCAGGTTTACGACGTGCCTGTGAGAAGCCGGGCATCCAGCCTAGGAACTGCCTTTTGTCCCGCTGCTCTCTATGGATCCCAACCTGAAGGGGCTACCCTCAGGAGTGAGTGATACCTTGCAGACGCGTAGGTGTCCTCTTGAGTCCCCAGACCTCAGCACCAGCGGCCGCCCACAGCCAGGCAGCAGGGAGAAGCTGCCCTCTGGGACTTTGCTTTGGCCCAGCCGGACTCAGCGGGAGGAGGCTGCCTTCCTCCTGGAGCTGGCCTGTGTCCGGGGCTGAGCTCCCCATCAGACCCAGAGAACAATGCCCCACTGTTGTGTGCAGCACTTGGAAGCTGAGCAACCACCTTCATGATTCCCGCTGATCCTCTCCCTGACCACCCGTGGGACAGTGGCCAGCCATTTTAACATCTTTTCCCTCGCAGGACCCTGGGTTGTCCCCAGCAGCCCCATAGCAGAGTCACTGACCCTTCCTGCTGCAGCTACAGCTCCAAGGCCACCCACCCAACTGGAAGAAGCAAACGGTCAGCACACGAGCCCCATTCTTTGTACTCCCAGTGGGGGATCGGGGGCGGTGAAGCGGGAGGGACACACGCTTGCTTCCCACACCAGGCACAAAATCCCGTCTGACTTTCTAAAATATTTTCTCTCTCCTCTCAGACAATACTGGCTTTAATGAATTTCTCTAAAGGGACTGATGGTCCACACGCTTTGCATGAAAGGCAAATGCCACTGTGCCCAAGTTGACTACGCTACGACCCAGGGGACAATGCATGCCTTCTGCCTCCATAGAATGGGCACCACATGTGCTGGGCCTCAGCAATGTCCACTCTGTGGAGCTGGTGACTCCATCCCAGCCTGCAAGCTGCTGGCAGGGGCTCAGGTGACTCATCTTCTCCTTTGCATTTTCTTCAGAGCACACGCAACCTTCTGATATGTTCTTGTTTATTTATTTGCTTGCTTGTTGACTCTAGATCCTTCTAGAATGTGAGTTCCAACAGCACAAAGTCCTTACCAATCTTGTCCATGACTCCTACCTGACTGCCCAGGACCGTGCCTGTCATACGGGAGGCCTCGTAGAGGAGCTGGTGACTGAGGGAATGAACGGATCTTTGCTCCGTGTGTTCAGCTCTATTCATTCTCTCAAGGCACCTCCATGGGGCATCCAGGTGCCACGTGCAGCAGAGGAAACACTAAGCTGGAGACCTGCCCTCGAGGAGCTCACAGCGCATGCGGAAGAAAGATGCATCCACAAACAGGCCCGATTAGGGAGCTCAGTGAGGTTTGGTTCAGAGGGGACACAGCAGGGGCAGGAGAAACTCCACTCAAAGGGAGGGCTGGTCAGGAGCAGTCACAGAGGAGGAGACTCCTGAGCTGAAGGGACAGTGGAGGAGGTGGCCACAGGAGGGAAGGGCATGGGGGGAAGCAACAAGATGTGCAGCGCAGCAAAGCATGAAGTAGCATCTGAGTAGTTTGTCCCCAGCGGGGAAGAAATGAAGGTGGAGAGTCTCAAGCCTCATTCATTCATCCAACAGCATTTACAAAACACTCTGGCCTAGAGCAGGCAGGGGTTGGCCCCAAGCACAAGGAGGTTTTCTGTCTTCACAGACTCTTGCGGGGGCACACAGACCCTTGAAGGATAGCACAGGGGCTCTGGGAACACTGCGAAGGGGCAATCTAGTCTGAGGGTGCACTAAGGCTCAGGGGAGAGATGATTCCACCTTTACTCCTTCTACCAATGACTTGACCGCCCAGTGCCATGGTCAAAGTAGCATGACTTTGACCTAGGATGACCAATTTATCCTGATTTGACGCACACCATCCAGGTTTTAACCTTGAAAGTCCCAAACCCCAGGAAACCTCTTAGTCTTGGGCAAACCAGGGACAGTTGGTCACACCAACTTTCACCCTCATATCCCCTTCCAAGACTCCCAGACTGTCCCCCACTCTACTGACCCCCCACCCCCACCCCCACCTTCCAGCCACTCACAGGGGCTGGGTTCCCAGAGCCTGTGTCCTCAGAGCTAGCCAGAGTCACGAGCAGCCTTTCCTCTGGGATGGAGAGGGAGACTTGCTCTGGGTTATGGACGGGACAGCCGCCTACAGCCTGTGTGTCCTGCCTTTGAGGCCCCATCTTCCCCGGCTGGCTCCTAATCACAGCTGCCACAGGCTCTCAGATCCAGTCACTGTCTTCCTTATCTGAGCTTTATCTCCTGAAGCCTCCACAATCCAAGGACAGGCTTCCTCCCGGGCCTGTCTTTGTGCATTCAGGAGATCCACTGTGGGTGCCCCGCAAGCCCACGTGCCAAACTGAAGCAACAAGCAACTAATTACGACACCACCATCTCCATTTTGCAGAAGGAAAACCAGCACGTACAACCGGTCAGGAACTCACCTCTGGCATTCGTTTCACAAGGCCCTGAGGATTCCATTATTCCAAAGCAGCTACTCACAATCTTGACATCCAGAACCTTCTAGAGCCCTTTCCGCTAGCCCCGCAGAGACTCAGAAACCACAGGACTCAGAAAAACTTAAAGTCTTCCCCAGATGCTTGTTTCTAGGTTTCTAAAGTAGAGCTCCATGTCGAGCAGCGAGTTTCCACCAAAGACATTCACAGAAAACAGTCAGAGTGGTGCCACTCCAAGCTGCTGGAGGTCGGACTCCCAGCTTGGAGGCCCCCCAAACAATGCTGGTCTCCCCAAGAATCTAAGGCACGGGGATGAAGAGTTACAAGAGCCCTAGCTCTCATGGGAAAGGTGCTAATGATTAAATTAATCCCATTAGCAAGCCTCTAGAAAAGTGGATGTAATCTACCCTCAAGTCCCCTGCAAGGGCATCTCATGGAAAGGGCTGGGTTTTGCAGCTCACACTGTTTTCTAGTCCAACCATTTATTATTAGCCTGAGACCTTGGAAATGCTCCTTAACTTCTCTGGGCCTCACCTACCATGCAGGGTAAGCATTGCCATCCACCCCTTTGTATACCAGTCTCTAACTCTTTACAGACATGAGAGAGTAATAGTAAACCTTCACCAAGGGCATGCTATCTGCCAGGCATTGGGCTCAGTCTTACAAGGATTCTTTCACTGATGCCGTAGGTCCTACTGTTCCTGCCTATTTACAGATGAAAGAACTGAGGCTCAGAGAGGCTAAGTCACCTGCCCTAAGTCCCACAGCCAGTATATGACAAGTTTCCTCTGCTCTTAACCACTAGACCATTAATATTTGCTGAATGAGCAAACAAATTAACACTAGGTTCTATTTTAAACAGTAGACACGAGATTGAGACTTGTTTCAGAACTACCTTTTTTTTTTTTTTTTTTTTTTTTTTTGAGACAGGTCTCTCTTTGTTGCCCAGGCTGGAGCACAGTGGTGTGATCACAGTTCACTACAGCCTCGACCTTCTGGGCTCAAGTGATCCTCCTGCCTCCACCTATCGAGTAGCTGAGACCACAGGCATGGGCCGCCATGCTGGGCTAATTTTCATATATTTTTTGTAGAGATGGGTCTCACCATGTTGCCCATGCTGGTCTCAAATTCCTGGGCTCAAGCAATCCTCCTGCCTCAGCCTTCCAAAGTGCTGGGTTCCAGGTGTGAGCCACTGTGCCCGGCCAGACCTACGTTTTTAAGAACTGAAATGCTTAGAAGAGTGACTAGCTCAAACCTGCAAGACTCACCCTCCACTGCAGAGGCGGCTTCTAAACAGGAGGCTGCAAACCATGGCCCACTGCCTGTTTCTGTACAGCTGTTGAGCTAAGAATGTTTTTTAACATTTTTAAGTTGTTGGAAAAAATCAAAAGAATAATAATGTTTCATGGCATATGAAAATTATGTGAAATTCACATTCCAGTGTCTATAAAGTTTTATTGGAACACAACCAACACCCATTCATTTACATAGCATCTGTGGCTGCTTTCTCGATATGATGGAGAGCCAAAATATATTTACATATTTCCTTTCTGGCCTTTTACCACAAAAGTTTGTTCTAGAAGCTCCAGAGGCCAGTGCTATTTATCAGCCCAAGGGAATTACCTCACCCTACCCTCTGCCTATCAGCACAGCATTCCTCCTGGTCCATTATCCTAGAAAATTCTATACTAGTCCTTTCAGCAAACTGTGACACAATCTGGATAGCCAGCTTTACTGATGGGCAAAGGTTTCCAAATGCTAAGAATCGTGTCTCCATCAAGGCTTTCCCTCTGGCATTTATCCTACTTACAGTCATTTAGGGGGCCTTTGCCACTAAGCTGAGTTCCCCCCACACTGTCACAGTTGTTCTGCTGAAACCATCTCCCCACATCCTCCAAGCACTATCTGAATCATTGCTGGACTGGGTCCCACCTTCCCAGGGCCTCACGGTGTGAATTACTACATCAGTTAAAAGACAATAGGAGGCCGGGCACAGTGGTTCATGGCTGTAATGCCAGCACTTTGAGAGGCCAAGGAGGGAGGATCACTTGAGCCCAGGAGTTCGAGATCAGCCTGAACAACATAGCAAGACTCCACCTCTATCTAAAAAAAAAGAAAAAAGAAAAAAGAAAAAAGACAATAGGAGCCTCACACAATCACTCACAAAAGAAAGGCTCACCGGCCAACTCTCCAGTAATAACAGGTAGGGGCCAATGGACACAAGTGGAAAAAGCTGGCTAGGGCCAGGCAGGGCCTGTTTATATCACATTCTGTTCCTGTTTCCCTTCTGGGGAGCTTAAGACCTGGGGGAAGGGACCCTATTCGATCTACGAAGTCCAGGCCTGGGAAGCAGCAGTGCTGGGTCCTGCCTTGGGACTCCGGGCAACTCCCTTCCCGCCATGGCTTGGTTCGCCCAAGCACAAGTGAAGGAGCCGGGCTCCTGTGGGCACCGGGGTCCTAACGTTGCATTCGCTGAGTTTACGCGGCAGCGCTGAACCCCGGGAAATGGCCCTGATTGCTGGACAGGTTGCTTCTCAGGCTGACCCTATGGTCTGGGGAAGGTGGAGCAAGAGGGCAAATGCATTGAAACAGAGATAATCTAGCTGCACTGTCCCTGGAGAGCTCTGAGTAAAGCCACACCGGGAAACCCTGCTATGCATACAGCCACTCTCAAGCCTGCTTACCCCACTCTCTGCCAGGCCAGGTGGCTAGTGCCAACAGTCCTGGGTTAGCGATCTCATTGGGCAGCCCTCAGATCTGTCAGAATATTGGGCCTTAGAGGTCATCTAGTTCCGCTTCTTCACAGTGTGGCCATTTGTGCATTACGGTCATGATTTTGACTATATCTGCCATGCAGACACATCTACATCTTTTCTAATTAATATTCTTTAATTTGACCCATTTAAACTTGTTTATTTTAAAAGAAGTTTTTTTTTTCTTTTTACCTTTTTCTTTTTTTTCTTATAGCTAGATTAAGAAATATATTTTTACCTTAAATAAAAAAACAGGGTCAGGATCAATTGCCATATATCATAAGATAATGAACATAAACAATGTTTAACTCTATCTGGATAATGGTGCTGGTTTACACCTGGGGCCTGCTCATGGTTAGAGACAGAGAGAGGCTAGTGTTGGAGAGCTGTTAAAAACAGATTAGCATGTCACTGAGATGTTCACCTAGACAAGATCCAGAGGTTCTCAACCATCCCTGTGCATCAGGATCACCTGGGGAGCTTTAAAAAGCTACAGATAAGCAGCCCCACATCTAGAGATCTCTCTAACTCATTGGTCCAGGGTGGAGCCCAGGTGGTTATGAGAAGGCCATATAATCAGAAGGATTAAAAGAACAAGTTAAAAAAATTTAAAAAAAATGGAGGGGAGATAAAGAGATGAAGAAGGAGTGGCTGTCATTCAGTGCCCTGGGCTTGTACCACCAAATTTATCCTGGCAATTACTAGTAGCCCCTAATCCAAATTCACCAAGATCTAATCTAGTCTAAGCCCCTCCACTGTATTGAGGAGGATCCTGAGGCTCAGGGTTGGGAATGAAACAGCAGGACCTGCTGTGGTGATATTGACTATTTTCTGCATAGTTAATTCCATAAAAGAAAAAAATCACATTGGCCAGTTGCAGATGGCTGGTGCTCCGGGCAGGCAATGAATGGTCAAGGTGTGTGGTCTGCACCCTGTATACCTCTAAAGGAGGACACTGTCTGTGCACACGGGCGCAGGCTTGGCTGGGTCGACTCTGGCCCATCATGCCTTCCTAGACCTGCCAGGGCATGAGCATCGGCCAGCAACACCTGAGCCAAGGGCTGACCCACCAGCAGCTGCGCCCTGTTCAACTCACTGCACGTGCTGGGGACAGAGGCAGGCAGAAGTGCTGAGCTCCCTTCCAAGTGACCTGCATAAATGGCAAAGTCACGTCCTCAGCTAAGGAGCACCCAAGGAAAAGAGGGAGAACTTGGAGAGGCTGGGAAGGGAATCCATTGGAACGGGCGTGACCCAGCACCTTCTGCTTGCTGGGAATCCCACATCTGTTATCTCATATGAGCCTCACAGTGACTCTGCAGGGAAGGTGTGGCCAGCCCCATCTTACAGGTGTGATACCCAGGCCCATGGAGGTTATGTGACTTGCCACAGGCGACAAAATCAGGGTCCCAGCTCAGATCTGCAGGATTCCACCTGAGGTCCAGGAGCACAGAGAAACTCCATCAAAGTCGAAAGTCAAACTTCCATTGCACAGATGGCACCAGTGACGCCTTGCTCTGCTGGCTAAACTAACAATAGTGATGACCCCTTACCTCCATGGGGTGGTCCGCAGTTCACAACACATCCAGCGAGGCGAGGAGCGCGGCACCTGCACCCCCACCTTACAGCAAAGAGAGTTGAGGCCCAGAAAGACTGTGCCTCTGGGCAAAATTTAAGGGTCCTTCCTGGTGCCCCGCCCAGCCCCCTGAGCTTCCCTATCATGGAGTCACAGTCCCCTAGGATGGGACTGTTTAAAGCACACACCTCACCCACTGGACTCCTCCCACTGGGCAGCGCTGTGTCTCTGGCATCTTCCTAGTTCGTGTCCACCTCAGCCAATGTCAGTACGTTGAAGAAATGCCATTGCCCAAGGCACTGGTTACAAAGCGGAAGAGCCCAGATCCCAGCCGCAAACACGTGCTTCTTTGGCTCCCAAACCAAAGTTGGCTCCAGCTAAGTGCTGCATGACTAACCCTGCAGCTTCCTGCAGGAGACCCAGATAGGAACTTACGGGGCTATCCTCTTATCTGCTCAAAGGAGCACATTAGGAAGTGAAGACTGCGGCCAGGAGAGCCTGGCCTGGATCCCCCTCCCTGGGCATTTGGGTGTTTTTACCCAGATGGAGGTGGGACAAGAGACGCCACAAGATGAAATTTTTTTAAAAATTAATTTTCTAAAATTATGCCTGAGCAAACTTGAGTTTGAAATCAGCAAACAGATACATAGGCAAATCACAGAAGCCAGGCCTGCTCGCTGCCTGGTGCTGGATAAATGACAGAAATTAACCTGGCAACCCCAACTGGCTCACACCCAACCCTACAGCCACTGGCTTGTGGTCACCAAGTTCTCAACAGCTAGTGAACAAGTGGCGGAGGGGTTTCCCTAGGAGAAAAGGATGTGGTCAGAGAAGACAGGGTAGGGTGCTCCGGGGTGGGCCCTGGCTCTGGAAAACCTTTGGTGTTCCTAGCCCATGTGACACTGGTCCCACAGAAAGGATTTCCTTTGAGGAATGGCCTGGCAGTGTGAGAGCCACTGGGGGCTGTGGAGAAAGAGCCAGATGTCTGGTTAGGAGGCTGAGTGACTCACCACTTCCAGCCCACAGCACTCCTGGCATGGAAAGGCCAGTGTAGCCTGGGAGTTACCTGCCAGAACTCTGGGATCAGGTAACCTGGGTTCAATTTCCAACTCCACTGCTAACTGAGGTAGCTGAGGGTGGGTTACTTAACCTCTCTGCCAAATGGTAACAACATCAGAGCATCCTTCATTGGGCTGTTGTGAGGATAAAGACAAAAAAGGCAGAGAGCACTTAGACATTCAGTAAGCACTGAACAGGTATGAGCTGTAAAGATGAACCATGCAGGAATCTTAGATGGCACCCAATGGACTCCATCGGCCCATTCACTCGTTCATTCATTCATTCTAGAAATATGGACAGTATTGAGCAGCTTTGATGGCTGGGCTCTGGACAGATAACAATCCCTGGCCTTATCTTCTTCTGGTACAGAAGACAGACAATACACTCAACTGCAAATAATTAACACAAATAATTTCAGGGTGACAGGACAGAGCATGTTGGCAGGATGGGATAAGTGCCACTGCGTGGGCAGGAGGGTCCCTCTGAGGCCGTGACTGTGAGCTGAGATCTCAATGCAGAGACGGTGTGGCCGGGGGAGGCACTTTTTAGGAAAAGGAAAGAACAAGAAGCCAAGCTAGAGGGAGAGAAACTTGGCATGAGCAGGAGAGAGAACATCAGATGTGAGTCCCAGGGACGCCAAGAGATATTTGCAAGGTTCCGGGGCCAACCCCCAGAGAACCCAGGAGAATGGAGAATCTCCAAGAGGACAGTCCCCTGAAGGGGGCCGCAGAGGGAGATGACACATATTGCACCTTCTCTCCCCAGCCTCAGGTTACGGCTCCAGAGCTCACTTTTTTCCTGTGTCCTGGAAATATTAGGATCTGTCCTTCATACTACATTCAAGTGAGCTGTAAACACCCCTAAAGTTAATAAGATCCTATTTTAAAGCCTTTTAATTTAATAATAGTAGTAATAATAGCGTGCTCTCTCTGGGCTGGGAGCAGGGATGTGAGGATAATCCTGTCTCCAGCCCTCAAGGCGGGCACAGGCTAGTGGGGAATCACTCTTGAAACTGTTGATTAGTATCAATGGCAAAGTGCAACGGGAACAGGGAAACAGAGATCACCAACCCTGTAGGAGGTGACTGAGGAGGACTTCCAGGAGGAGGTGATGTCTACCCAGGTGTTGGTGGGAAGGGGCAGGGAGAAGGAGAGCTGAGTGGGGGAGCAGCTTGAGCACAGGTGTCCAGGTGAGAAAGGCCACGATGAGCTAGGGGCTTTATGGTCCTTGGAGGTGGCCCAGGTTGTAGAAAGCTGGGCCAGCTGGGAACGTGGGACCTAATCCTCAGAGCAAGGCGGATAAGCAGGGAGTCACCTACCAGTGATCTGGACCCTCCTGGGCTGAGGGGGTGAACTATAGTGGCCAGACCCAAGTCCCCAAACACCTACTTTGAGGCTGTGGTCCTTGAATGAGAAAACATCTGAACTTCAAGGTACCTTAGAAATCTCCTAATCTCAACCTCCCTCTTTAAAGAGCAGGAAACAGAGACTAGCCCAGGTGAAGGTCAAATGCAGGCTCCTCCCGTCCTTAAGGAACGAGGCTACCCCAGTGCGTCAGCCAGCTGCATTATTTCAGCAAATGTCACTTGGGAGGGGCTCAGCCCTTTTCAGATCTCAAATAAAACTGTTGGCTTAAATTAGAATCCAACCAGCCATGGTGGCCCACCCTGTTCTGTCCATGCCTTGGTGATCACCACACAGGCTGAACGCTGAAAGCCTGCCATTTCATTTTCATCAAGCAACCAGCCCGAGTTGCGTTACACCATGAATATCAGTGAAACAAACTCTTAGGGAAGGTGGTTGTAAGGTAAGAGCACTGGTCAGGGAGTTAGGAGATACCATCTTGGCCCTGAAGTACCTGCAAGACTTGAGCCAGCCATTTCTGCTGTGGAGACTCAGTTTCCCCATATGTAAAAGTATAAGCGTAAATCATCTCTGAGGCTCAGGCTGGCTCCACTGCAGCTGTGACTCCTAAATACTTCTCCAGCGCCCACACACAATCTCTCTGGGCATGTACATGAGCGTTTGTTTCCTAGTCTCTGAAAGCTGCCTTACCCATGTAAAGTTCTCTCTTATTAGGTCCTTACTAAGCCCTGCCCCATGGGGAGGTATCACCAACCCTGTTAGATGGGAAACAAATGGATTCACAGTGCAGCAACTGACCAGGAAATGGATTCACAGAGCAGAGGGTAGAGAGCAAGGGCTGAGACCTGGGCCCAGGTCTCCACTGCCCAGGGGAGCATCCATACTGGGACACAGCAACCGTGCATTAGGAAAACCACCATCTGAAGCCAAGCAGTCCTGGAACACAGGTCTCTTTGAGCCCTGTTGTCTGTGACAGGCACTTCTGCAGAGGGAAGGCAGGAAGAATATCTTTGATGAGAGAAGAAGATGGCCAAGAATCAAAATGTGCAGCACTTGGTCGGGTTTGGTGGCTCATGCCTGTAATCCTAGCCGAGGCCGGTGGATCGCCTGAGGTTGGGAGTTGAGACCAAGCTGGCTAGCATGGTGAAACCCCATCTCTACTAAAAATACAAAAACTAGCTGGGCGTGGTGGCAGGTGCCTGTAGTCCCAGCTACTCAGGAAGCTGAGGCAGGAGAATTGCTTGAACCCGGGAGGCGGAGGTGGCAGTGAGCCGAGATTGCACCATTGCACTCCAGCCTGGGCAACAGAGTGAGACTCCGTCTCAAAAAAAAAAAAGTGCAGGACCAAAATGGGATGGATTCTCCCAACTCCCGATGCACCACTGCCCATGCCACAAAGGCAGTGGGCTTCCTTGCAGGAGAGCAGCAAGACAGAGGTAGAGCTTTAGCCTCTAGATCATCTCTGTGATCTGACAGCTGGAAAGCCATCACCCAACTGTCCTCCACCAGGGCATTTCCCCATGGCCCGCCCAGGCTGGGCTGGGCTGCGGAATTTCAGCATCTAAGGAGTGAAGAATGTGCTCATAGCACAATGCACTGAAAACAAAAGTGGCTCATCCTTTCCACTCCCGCTCTGGATGAAAGTCCTGCTCCATCTTCACCTGCTGCGTGATTTGGGTCAAGGCACTGAACCTCTCTGAACCTGCTTCCCCCACTGGAAAATGGAAATAACCATAACTGCAGCACTCAATTGTTTTGGGAATCAAGTACGCCTGCAAAAAATAGGATGAGTGAGAGGAGCTCTTTCCTAAGAGGACTTCCTGTAGGAAAGAAGATTCTAAGCACTGCTTCTGTGTTTTCTTTGAGGATGTTTCTGTTCATGTAAGTTCTAGAAATGTGTGGTTCCATCGTAAAATGTAACTCTCTTCTGACTTTTTAAAAATAAAATGATCCTGGGCCAGGCGCGGTGACTCACGCCTGTAATCCCAGCATTTTGGGAGACCGAGGTGGGTGGATCACGAGGTCAGGAGATTGAGACCATCCTGGCCAACAAGGTGAAACCCTGTCTCTACTAAAAATACAAAAAAATAATAATAATAAAATTAGCTGGGCATGGTGGCATGCAACTGTAGTCCCAGCTACTCAGGAGGCTGGGGCAGGAGAACTGCTTGAACCCGGGAGGCAGAGGTTACGGTGAGCTGAGATCACACCACTGCACTCCAGCCTGGGAGACAGAGCAAGACTCCTTCTCAAAAAATAAATAAATAAATAAATTAAATAAAATAAATAAAATGATCCTATCAGTTTAATCTCAGGTATACTTCCCGTCTCTCTCCCTGAGTGCCCTAAGGAGGAGCCTTGTGACCCAAGACTCTCACTGGTCTGTCTGTCGGGTGGTGTCTGCATGAGAGTCACACAGCTGTGGCAGCCTGGAGAGAAGTGTATTCCCTACGTGTGTGACCTCGGCCAGGACACTTCGTTTTGTTATAAAACCAGTAGATTGGTCCAGGTGACCTGAGGTTCCTTCCAGCTCAAATATTTCAGGATTTTATGATTCAGAAGCATAAATCATTAGGCCAGGACCTTTAAAAATCCTGTTGATCATCTGAGGTCATAGAGTGTTATTATTATCTTACTTGTTGTATGATTTGGGAAGACAGAGATCATGTCTCCTACATTAAAGATCGTGTCTCCTACATAAAGATTTATGACACATAAAATCATGTGTCATACAACAGAATTTTTTGCTTTATTTTTTAAATCCAGCCAGATTAACATTGGAATCTGAGGAGAGAGGCAGATTTTCTAAGAAAGCATCTGAAAATGCTCCACATGATCTTTTAATTTCATTTGTATTATGTAAGATTATATATATATAATGGAATATATGCGCCTCCTATTTGTAAATAATGAAGCATAAAAATATTTAAAAATAACGCCCTTAGCCAGGCATGGTGGCACATGCCTGTAATCCCAGCTACTCAGGAGGCTGAGGCAGAACAATGGCTTGAACCTGGGAGGTGGAGGTTGCTGTGAGCTGAGATTGTGCCACTGCACTCCAGCCTGGGCAACAGAGTGAGACTCTGTCTCAAAAAAATAAATAAATAGGCTGGGCACGGTGGCTCATGCCTGTAATCCTAGCACTTTGGGAGGCTGAGGTGGGCAGATCACGAGGTCAGGAGATCAAGACCATCCTGGCTAACACGATGAAACCCCGTCTCTACTAAAAAAAAAAATACAAAAAATTAGCCGGACGTGGTGGTGGGCGCCTGTAGTCCCAGCTACTCGGGAGGCTGAGGCAGGAGAATGGCGTAAACCCGGCAGGTGGAGCTTGCAGTGATCCGAGATCAGGCCACTGCACTCCAGCCTGGGTGACAGAGCAAGACTCTGTCTCAAAAAATAAATAAATACATACATAAAATAAATAAAAAATAACACTCACAAGCCTACCACTGGACTGAAGAAACAGAACATAATGGATCCCACTGAGAGTGAAACAGACATCTCCCTGATCAATTACCCACTTCTCCCCAAAGATAATCACCTTGATTTTGCATTATCATTCCCTTGCCTTTTTCTTTTTTAAACCAGCTTAACTTTGTGAAATAGAATCTACGTATAAAGGCATGTATAAAACATACATGTAATTAGCCAGTAACTACAAAGTGATCTCCTTTGTAACTGCCCCCCCGACTCTCCTGATCCTCTCTCACCTTTCCTCAGCACGCGTGGTAATGCTTGGCTTTTATTTAAGCTAATCACCTTCTTGCTTTTTGTCGTCATTTTACTTCTCAGCTATGTGTCACTAAACAACTCATTGCTTAGTTTGGTTGTGTTTTGAGCTTTTATAATTGCCTTAGCAGTTCTCCATGGAGATGCTAGGATTCTCTATACCACGTCTGCAGCCTAGAAACCCAGGCGAGAGATCCAGGCTGCACTCTGGTGTTACAATGATAGTAGAGGGTTAGTAATAATAAAAACCATCAGTCCTATTTATGGTGTGCCCGCACCATGCCGGGCATTCTGCTAAAGCATCATCCCCAGTTACCTCAATTATCTTCGCAGCAACCCCAAAAGGGAAGTATTTCAAGAGGTCAAAATTAGGGCATCAGCTTCCCAAACTTGTCCCCCGTCCACTTCCTAGCTTCCTAGCTGCTCAGCCCCAGAACATCATCCCTAAGTCCTAAAGCAAAGGTTCCTTTCAGGATGGGAGGGTCAGGAAACACTGCTGCTCCTGGGTTCCTATCTTTGTGGTCCAGTCAGGCTGCTTAGATTATATATATATATATATATATATATATATATATATTCAGAATCCATATTCTTTTCCAGCAAGTACTGATGACTTAATGAAGACAAGCATCCTGTCCGGTCAGTACTGTTTTCCCAGTGATGAACGTACAACTTTGTCCTTGGATTGTCTAAGATAGGCCATGTGGTGCCAGGAAGAGCATCAGGTCAAAAGCCCTTAGTTCTAATCCTGGCTGTACCACATCCAGCCGCTGGATATCAGCCTTCTCATCTGTAAATGGGCAAGCAATGACAGCCTTGCCTACTACCAGATCCTAGGAGGTGAGAGGCAGGAAGAGCTTTGGAAGACCCCACGAACACATTTGAGTCCCTCTGTAGGCTTCTCTAGAACCCTTCAGAGTTGAAAGGGGTGACCAGGAACCTGGGAAAGAGTCCCAGGGCAGCCCAGGGTTGGAGCTTCAGGGCCAAAGTGGTTAACTGAAAATATTCATTATCACCCCGCCCAGGCTGGAGTCCCCTGGCTTCCAGTTTTGAAGCAGAGGTCAGCTAGGCGGTGTAGGACACTGCTCCTGGGTTGACCAATGGGCCACATCAATGGGTCAGCTGTTTGGGGTCAAGAGCCTCCTGCCCTCCCTGGGGCCAAGGGCCAGCTTTCAGTGCTGGGAGGACCATGAGGGGGGTGAGCCAGGACTACCCACCATTGACAGACAAGGGGAAATCAAGGCAGGGAGAAGAGGGGCAGAGGCAGAGCAGAGGGGAACCCAGGTATCCCGACGAGGCCCCTTCGCCTCAAACTGTGACACCTTCTCACATGTGCTGTGTCTGACACCATACAAAATGCTGATCAGGGCAAAGCTCGTTTAGTGCTCATGAGGCCCTGCGAGGCAACACCTGCCGTGCTATGGTTAGCCCCTTTCCACGGGGAAGGACGCTGAAGCTCTGAAAGGTGAAGCAACTTTCCCAAGGCTACACAGCCAGGAACGGGCTAAGGCAGGACTGGACTCAGGCAATCCAACTTGACTGCCCCATTCCTAACAGCTGGACAATGCGGGAAGCCTAGCTGCCCAGTGGGTTCCCAAAGGCTCCAGGGTGCTTTTGACGTTGAGCTGGGCCTGCCCAGTCTTGCCTCCCGGGGCCGCCAAGCCAGGGCCCCCCGGCAGCCCGCTCCAGGCTGCATCACAAGGCAAAGGGGCTGCCCAGGCATGGCCAGGTCCATGGCTGCTGGAGAGCATGCAAAGCACCCGAGCAGGAGCCTTGTTCCCATGGAGACAGACAGAAAGGACTCCAACTCACTCTGAAGTGTACCTGCAGGGAGCCAGGTGCCAGACTGTACCTGGAGGCAGAAACCTGAGCCTGGATTCTCACCACTTCCCTCTGTGCCACCAACACATCCTCAGGCCTTCTTCTCAGGACCCCCAGCAAGACACGAGTTCCAGAAATAAGACATCCCAGCCCACTTCCCGCTCAGCCACCCCCAGAGGGGCCTCTCTGGTTGAAAACAACGCCTGGGGCCAGCAGGCTTGGCACAGCTGTGGCTGTCAGCCTGCCGAGCACCGTCCGGCCTGAGGAATGTGCAGACCCACATGTGCTGGAGCATCCCGCTGGGGCACAGTGACAGGAAACTGAGCAAAACAGCTCGTTGGCACTGATATGCCCCTCCCACCTCCCAGCTCCTGACTCCTATGGGCTGTTGGCTGCCCTGGAAGTGCAGGCGGCAAGCCCAGGCCCTTCAAGAGAGCCAGGCAGTGTGGCTCTGGGCAAATCACTCCCCCTCTCTGGGCCTGTTTCTGCTTCTCTTGGTGGATGAAGGACGCTGTCCTGCCAAGCTCAGAATGGCAGTGATTTTATGACATGCTCTCCTTTCTGGGAGGACGGTCCATTCTCCTCATGCCCTCATTCATGTGGGATGGGGCATGCCCCCAAGACACATCAAGCTATCCCACTAGCAGCCCTTGGCTGTAGAAAGCCCCCCCACCCAGTGCAGGGATAAGGGTGACCCTTCAGAGTTGAAAGGGGTGACCAGGAACCTGGGAGAGTCCCAGGAAAGCCCAGGGTTGGAGCTTCAGGGCCAAAGTGGTTAACTGAAAATATTCATTATCACCCCGCCCAGGCTGGAGGCCCCTGGCTTCCAGTTTTGAAGCAGAGGTCAGCTGGGCGGTGTAGGACACTGCTCCCGGGTTGACCAATGGGCCACATCAATGGGTCTGCTGTTTGGGGTCAAGATCCCAAGACCCCAGGGGAAGTCAACATCCATCTGAGGCTCTCTCAGGCCCTGCAAGCCATCTCTGGCCTCACTGCCCTCCCCTTTAGAAATGTGGGAATGAGGCTCAGAGAGGTTGAGCTGCTTGCCAAGTTTGCATAGCCAAAAGGCGTCTGAACGAAACTGAGCATTCGGGGTTGGACTTCCCCTCTTCGCCGCCTGCTCTGCTCTCCCAGGCACTACTGAGCGCGCTCGCGGTCGCCAGGAGCGGATTGGGCCCCCGCCGCGCGCAAGCCTTGGTGACAGGTCAGCCCGCCCCTAGGGGAGGCAGAGGGAAGCCCCGAGGAGGCACCCGGCCCGCTGGGGCGCGCTGCCCGGGGCTTTAGGGCTTTTTCTTGTGGGCCGGCCGAAGCTCCCCGGGGTTGAAAGGAAAGGCTCGGGAATTTCGCAGCCAGCACAGAACGGTTGGATTTAAACTAAAAATACCCGCCCGCCCGCAGCTGTCACGCCGGGGCCCCCGCCCCCGCGCCGGGCGCGCCTCCCCAGGTCCCCCAGACTTTCGGCGCCCCCGATTCCCGGGGCTGTGTCAGAGCTGGGCCAGGGGCTGAGGACCCCACCCGCCCGGCCCCCGGCCCCCGGCCCCCGGCCCCAGGCCTGGCCTCCCGGCCCCGTGCCACTTACCCTCCCGGAGCGTGGAGGAGCGCGGCGCCGCGGGTAGCTGGGGCCGAGCCTCCTTCCCTCCTCCCTGCGTCCCGGGCGGCTCCGGGGCGGGGCAGGGCTGGGGCGGGCCCGGACACCGCGAGTACCCCCGCCCCCGCCGGGACCCGCCCGGTGGCCCCGCGGGAGAGGCCGCGCCCCTCTCCGCACGCGCTCAGCGGAGGCCCCGGGTGCGCAACCCCAGCCCGGCGGACATCCTGCGTGGCCCCGGGGACCAGGGCCGAAGAAAAGCCTCACCGCTCCCTGTCGCGGACCCGGGGCGGGGGTTAAGGGGGGGGTCCTGTCCACGCTTGCCTGGAAAGCAGCCCGGAGCCCTGGCCCCTGTCTGTCTCCCCGACACACACACAGCCACCCACCCTCTTCTCATCCTAGGGGATGGCGCGGAGCTGCCTCTCCGGGAAAGTTGGATCTGTGCGCCCAGACATGGAAAAGGGATTAGGACACCGGCAGATCTTGCCCTCACAGAGCGGAGGTGGGGGCCTTGGAAGGGGCACACCGCCCGTAGGCGCGAAATCCAAGAAGAAAATGACACTCATCAGCCAGCCTCGCGCGGGGAGAAAGGGCGGGGTGGGGGGTAGTGGCACCCTGCCCGTCCTCTCCCACCCCCACAGTCCGGGCCCACAGTCCAGGAGTCACAAGGGATGTGAATCCCCAGGCATAATGTGAACCCCCAACAAACCCAAGGCCTCAGAATGCGCCTCACCTCTCCCTCCCCACCAGCAGAAACATCCTCCCACTCTCCCAACCCCTGCTCCAGCCACGCCAACCCTTTAACCTTGTCCCAGAATGTCTAAACTGTATCTGCCTCTGTGCCTGTGCACATGAAGTTGCCTTGGCCCGGCGTTTGCTCCACAGCCTTCTGCCAAACTCCTACTGCTTGATGGCTGGAAGCCTTCGCACCCTGGCGCTCTCCTCCCAGGTCAGCAGTCACTGGCCTTCCTGTGCATCCAGCCCAGCTTTGAACAGTCCTGGGCCCCAACCCTTATCTTTTTCCGAGTAATTACATGGTTGCATGATTGGCTTCACCGCCTCTGGATCAGATGAGCGCTACTAATGAAGGATACAAGTTGTAAAACTAGGTTTTATGTGAACTCCAGTCATCACAGTTTAGGTGCGGCTAGCGATTTTACAGATGCGGGGTTAGTAACTGGCCCAAATCCAGGGCTTCCGGGATGCTGTTTTCCTTTTTTGTTTCTTAGCAGGGATGGCAGATGTTTGTAGAACAGATCCGTGTAAAAGTCAGTATCCTAAGAGATTAAATTGTAAAGCAGGACAAGATAGTTAACGGTGTGTGTGTGTGTGTGTGTGTGTGTGTGTGTGTGTGTATGTCTTTTCCAAATTGAGAGGGAGGTAGAAGAATTAGCCAAAACCCAGGATTCACTCTGAGGTAGACCCACACCTCTTAGTTAGATCCCATTTATTAAGCTGTAATTATTCACAGCGTTGCTGAAGATATACACAGGGCCCCTCCCATCTCCCTGCGACTGACTGGTTCCAAGTATGCTATTATATGTGTTATTATCACTGTGGCTCAATTAGAAGTGCTGCCGAAGGCCTTGAGGTTGCCACAGTCAAACTGCAGGTGCAGGCAGCGAGTAACAATGATTATAATGCCTGCATCTGGATCGCGCTTTTTGCTTTTCAGAATGCTTTCAAATGTGTCTCCTCATTAAATCTCTGCAAACATCCTCCAGGTAGTTAGGAAAAGTTTAATGAGTTTTGCCTGACAAGGGAAACCAAGACACAAAGAGGGCAGGTGACTTGCACAAGGAGAGAGATGGCTCCCCCAGGCTGCTCCAAGGGTGGAGCTGGCCACTGTAACTCAATGTCCTGCAGGAAGAGATGGTTGGGTACAGTTAGGAGCTCAGGCTCTAGTGCCAAAGTGCCCAATTTGCAACTTTCAGCTGATTACTCATACTTGGTTTCCTTTTCTGTTGAATAGATCTAATAATAGGAGCTTATCTTGTATGGTTTTGTGCCTGGTATTTGAGCACCCAACTCAGGCGAGCTGTTATGTTATGGTTCTGGGAATGGTATGATTGCTACAGTTTCTGCCATACAGCTATTCAGTCTTTCGTCAAACATTCCTGAGTATCTACTATGTGCTAGTCTCTGGGAATATGAAGAAGAATGAGGCATAGACTACTACCTCCAAGGAGGTCAGGGTGTAATAATTCTGTGTCAGGGGACCATGGTGCACAGAGATGAACTGTCCCTCCTGCTGCCGGTGCAGTGCAGAGCACCAGTTCAGAGCAGTGGAGATATTCACTTTCCAGGCCCAGCTTTGCTACTTATTTAGCTGAGTGAATCTTACACTGTAAGATTCTGTTACACATACAGTGTGCACATACAGTCTAATCTTACACTGAATGTGACCTCTTACAACATTGGTTTTTCTCATCTGTTAGATGGGGATAGCAATAATTTTTCATAGGTGAAAACACATGTGATAAACATATTTTATAAAGTACAAAATACTGTGCAGATAGTTTTGTTATTATCAATGTGATTGTTATTATCTTGGGCTTTACAGGGCTTGCTGCTTTTCAGAATACTCTCCCATTCCATTGCTTTTCTTAGAGTCTCGCTCTGTCACCCAGGTTGGAGTGCAGTGGTGCAATCTTGACTCACTGCAACCTCCTCTCAGATTCAAGCAACTCTTGTGCCTCGGCCACTTGAATAGCTGGGTCTACAGGCACACACCACCACACCCAGCTAATTTTTTGTATTTTTAGTAGCGACAGCATTTCACCATGTTGGCCAGGCTGGTCTCGAACTCCTGACCTCAAGATATCTGCCTGCTTGGCCTCCCAAAGTGCTGGAATTACAGGTGTGAGCCACCATGCCCGGCCATCCATTACTTTTCTTAAGCCTGACATAAACATCACATCAAAAACAGAACCCTATTTTTTATTTGATGCCAATCTTTTTCTCTCCAAAGTAGTCCACATGGAAGGAAAACAAAAGTTGAGTAAGCAATGCGAAGGGATGGGGCAGTTTACAACTAGGAAGTCCACAATACCTTCGTCTTCAGCATTACCTGCAGCTACATAAGGGGGTGGACATGAAAACCCATCTGGAAAAAAAAATCTGGCAAAGGATTGGGGGAAGAGCCCCTTTGTCATCTCTGGAATTGAACACAGGAAACCCCGCCCTGAGACCTTCCTTTCAGAAGCAGCCCAGAGAGGGAACCACAAGAAGGGCACTAAAATTATGCTGTTCGGAAGTTCTGACTCACTTGGCAGCGCGGGCTGTTTGTGCAACGTACCAAATGTCCTCCAAAAAGCGAAGTTTTTACCACTCTTTCCCTCTGTCCCTTCCCTGCAGCCAGCATCTCCACCACCACTCATGGGGAAGCAGGAATCAATTTAATAAGCCTGGGGAAATTATCTGGGTCTGTTTCACATTTGCTGTTGGTTAGCCAGCTTCAGTGGCAATCTGCACAATCCTCATTTTGTAAGCATGATTTTTTCAGTTGTTTGTGTGTGTGTGTTCAGTCTCCACAGATAGATTACAACAAAAGCTGCAATGGCTTTTCTGGCTAATAAAACACCTCATGGGTAAACTGAGGCAAGAGAGTAGGGACGAGGGGCATTGCCCAGGGTTCCAGGATAGGAATTGCTGTTCAGAACATTTACATTCCCATCTCTCCATCTCTAGCCTGGCTTCCCACTTAGTGGTGAAGTACATAAGTGCTTTCAGCTTAATACGGATGAAAAGCTCACATTAAGGGTGCCCACTTCTGGGGTGCCCCATCAGAGAGGTCTTGGTCTGAGCCTGGAGAGCTCGTTCTCAACCCAGTTCTGCTCTGAACTTTTCCTTCTTCTTTGTTTTTTCCTTGCCGGTTCTCCAAGTGTTAGCCTGTCCTTTCCCACTTGGGTGCTACATGTGCTTCTAGGGTGAGCACAGCCAGCACCCTGGTTTGTTCACTTCCTCATGGGCAGCTGCCACCCATCAACTGAGCAGAGGTACCCCTCTGGGTGGCAATGAGTCATCTCAGTACCAAGCAGGGGAACTGGAGTAACTTGGAATATTCCTCTACATACATTTAATTGTACTGCATTTATAAAATACAATTATATATAACATACAGGACTGGATTCTCGGATGATGGGGTTCTAACTCTTGTTAAGGCTGCTAACTAGCTGTGTAACCTTGGGTCACTTCTAAGTTTTTGAATCTGTGAAATGAGAGAATTAAAAAAGATTTTCTCTAAATTATTCCCCCAATTTAAGTAACTATAAGAAATATATATATACACACACACAGTATTATATACAATGTAATATATGTAATGTAATATACATAATACATTATGATATATTGTGTGTATGTGTGTATATATATATATATATATATATATATATATATACACACACACGCATACATATATATATTGTATTGGCTGGCCAGGTACAGTGGCTCACTCCTGTAATCCCAGCACTTTGGGAGGCCAGCGTGGGAGGGTCGCTTGAGCCCAGGAGTTCAAGACAAGTCTGGGCAACATGGTGAGACCCCGTCTCTACAGATAAATAAATAAAATTATCCAGGCAGGGTGGTGCATGCCTGGTTTCAGCTACTTGGAGCTGAGGCAGGAGGATTGCCTAGGCCTGGGAGGTCAAGGCTGCAGTGAGCCATGATTGCACCACTACATTCCAGCCTGGGTGACAGAGTGAGACCCTGTCTCTCTCTCTCTCCATTATATATCTTTTTGAAAAAAGAAGATCTTGTTTGTATTAAACAATCATCATTTAACATAACTAAACACCACTACTATTATACTCCAAGGAATAAATACTAAGATAAACAAAAGTGTTAAAGGAAAATTGATAAATTTTATTCCTAAAAAATAAAATCTGGCTGGGTGCGGTGGCTCATGCCTGTAATCCCAGCACTTTGGGAGGCCGAGGAGGGTTGATCACCTGAGGTCAGGAGTTCAAGACCAGACTGGCCAACATGGTGAAACCCCATCTCTACTAAAAATACAAAAAAAAATTAGTCGGGCATGGTGGTGGGTGCCTGTAATCCCAGCTACTCAGGAGGCTGAGGTAGACGAATTGCTTGCACCCAGGAGGCAGAGGTTGCAGTAAGCTGAGATCAGGCCACGGCACTCCAGCCTGGGTGACAAAGTGAGACTCCATCTCAAAAAAAAAAAAGAAAAGAAAAGAAAAAACAAAAACAGAAAACAAAGAAAATATACAAAATTCTTCTGGAAGAGGTCTGCCATGTTTCTCGTTTCTCCCAACAGTGGGAAGCCTGGTCTATTCTTTCTGCTTCTGTTGGGACTACTTTAAATGCATGTGGGTTTTTTGTTTAATTAAATGCTTTATTTTGAGACCACTGTAAATTCACATGCAGTTGTAAGAAATCATACAGAGAGGTCCCCTATATGCTTTACCCAGTTTCCACCGATGGCAGCATCTTACAAGACAATGGTACAGTATCACAGCTAGGAAACTGACAGACACCCACACGACACAAAACGCTTCCGTCACAAGGATCCCGCATGCTGCTCTTCCCCCTTTCCCCATTCCCTCCTTAAACTCTGGCAGCCACTCCTCTGTTCTCCTTTCTATAATTCTGTCATTTCAAGAATGTGATAATAATGGAATCACACGGTGGGACTGCCCTTCTCCACTCAGGGTAGTTCTCTGGAGCGTCACCCAGGCTGGCTCCCGTATCGAGTCTGTGCCTCCTCGTTGCTGAGCAGCAATCCACAGTGTGACGGATGCATCACGGGCTGGGTCACCCTTCCCTTGTTGAAGGACATCCGGGTTGTTCCTGGTTTTTGGCTATTATCAATAAAGCTGCTATAAACATTTTGTACGCACATGTGTGTCAATATACATCTTCACATCTTAAGTTTCAGCTGTTGGATCTAATACCCACTTACAATCCCATACCATCAGATTTCTCTTACTTTTTCCTAGTGATGAACGCAGCTAGTGATGAAGGATGTTTAAGTGTCCAACAGTTGCCCAGGATTGGGTCTTGAGTTGCAGAAATCTAACAAAAACCAGTTACATGGTTCTTGCCATCAAGAAATTTACAGTCTGTTGGGGAAGTGACATTAAGACACACGAATCATTCACAGAACTAAGTAATGCTGCATGTCATCAAATGCGAGACTGCATGGTACAAAACTGACTTGTAGAGGAACCCAGAGACAGGAAAGAGAAGTGACAACACGAGTGTTTGGGGAGTCCTCTGGATAAGATGTGAGATATATCTCAAATGATGGACACAAATAATGATATTTTATATTTATTAAGGGCTTACCTACCATCTGCCACACACTGTTCTAAGCCTTTACCTATATTGTTAATTTAACCCTCATCATCACCCTTCAGGATAGCTCCTATTATCATCCCATTTTCCAAATGAGGGAAAAAAGGTGAAAACTTGGCCATTCACCCAGCTATTATGTGACTCACCTAGGGTACACACTCAGGCAGTCTGACCCCAGCACCCACTCCATCGCTGTGGATTCTGTCTCATAGCAATAGTGGTCATGATTCAATTCCATTCTGTTTCTTAGGTTATATTTTCCACACACAGCATATGCTATAGCTATGCTGAGCCTTCTGGAGGAAGGTTATTGATAAGTTCAAACACTGTTCAAACAAACCAGCACCACTGTTAGTAACGTAACAGGTGAGAAGTCTGTGTGTGATGTATCTGCTGGGGTGTGTGTGTGTGTGTGTGTGTAAACAGCAAGGCTGAAGCCTCCAGTTGTGTGATTATCTGTATATGCAGCAAAACACGCACACACCACACACATCAAAGTTCCCAGCTCTATATGATAAAACACAGAAGCAGCTGAGCCCATTTCAGATAATGAATGTGGTTTTGTATTCTCTGAATTGCTACATACCAGGAAAGTCACTTCCAGGCTCAGCTACCTCCTGAGTTGCTAAACATACAAGATGTGTGATCACGCTTCGCTCACAGCACTGATGGCTGCTCACCCTTTCAGCTGTATCATTTCGGTTAAAACAACAGCATACCACGAGCCCGGCATGTTTGCTTGCTTTTGTTTTGAAATCTAAATGCAGCCTTGATAATGTCGGTGCTTCCATCGATGGGGTGGGTGGCAGAGTGAAAAGCTCCCTGGATCAACATCTCCTGACTTGCTGTCTCTCTGAGCTCTGCATTTCCCAGTCGGCTGGGCAGAGGCGAGCCATCTCACCTCCTCCTGTCTCCACATTTAGAAAATGGGGCCAGTTCTTCCTGTTTTCCCTGTAAGAGCTGCATGAGATTCACATAAAGATGATGAAACGCACTGCAAACTTTAGATTCTGTGCAAATGTGTACGACTATGGTAAATTAAACCCTCCGCTTACTATGCTTCCAAAGAATGCTTCACGACAGACACCAACTCAGGAAGAGGCTGTGAGTAAGGAAGACTTCCCCACTAGGGAGGAAAATGAAGCTTTCCGTGTTTTTTTTTTAATCCCTGGAGACATGTTTTTGAACGTTGCTGAAGTGTTCTCTCCTTGCTTTGACAAGTGTGGCTGTTCTGAACATGTGATCATATTGGAATCGCTGTGTGATAGGCAGAGTGCCCAGGAAGCCAGGGAGGCTCTGAACCCAGCCCTGGCAGACACACGGAGGTGTGGCCTTTGTACCCTCTTTAGGGCAGTGGAACCCATGCAGGGCACCTGCACCACCCCCACCCATCCCATATGAGCAGCCGGTGCTTGGCTCTTCCGGGAAGCCCACACTTGGGGCCCAGCCCTGTCCCTCTATCCTAGCGGCATGGGCTGGTAAATGCCAAATAGGTCCATGTATCTTATAAAACCTGCTGCTCTTGATGATAATTCTTGACAGCCCAGGACACTTCCCTAACAGAGAAAGTTGTTTCATTGCAGTAGTCTAGTTCCAAAACCTTAGAATCTTATTGCCAACAACTGGCATGGAACACATGCAGAACAAACATTTTCCAACAGGACTGCCGCAGGTCCTTGCAATGGCAATAGCTGCAGCACCTGGCCTAAGATTTTAAAGAACTTTCATCCTAAATTTCTTCTTTGATGTTGTAGACTTGGTATGCAGAGAAAAATGGCCAGTGTCGCTAAATGCACCTCCTGGTTAATTACAAAGCCCTATTCAGCAGACAGAAGCAACCTCTATAAACAGGCAAGAGGTGTCCTCAGGTATTTCAAAGGTCTCGGCTAGCACCATGCCAATGGGATGAGTGCACCAGCTTCAGCAATCAAGCTTGTTTCATCATCCAAATGGAAACATTTCTGCAAAATGACTGGACTCTATCTGCTCTGTTCACTAACTACAGAAATGGCCTAAAACAAAGGTTCACACACAGACAAAAGTAACAGCCAGAAGACACCTGACAAATTCACTGGCCCAACTCTATCACGTTGCAGAGCCCCTTAGAGGTGAAGCGAAGCGCCCAAGGGCAGCAAACACTGATTGCATCAGCCCACACTGTGTTTACCTCCATTGCAAAATCCACGAGACCCTGGGTCCTTACCTGGCCTCTCTCTGTGGCTTCCTTTTTTTTTTTAAGAGACAGCCTTGCTCTGTTGCCCAGGCTGGAGTGCAGTGGTACTATCATAGTTCACTGCAGGCTAGAACTCCTTGGCTAAAGTTATCTTTCCACCTCAGCCTCCCAAGTAGCTAGGACTATAGGCACACACCACTGCTCCCAACTAACTTAAAACTTTTTCTAGAGATGGGGCCTCACTATGTTGCCCAGACTAGTCTAGAGCATGTGGCCTCAAGCAATCCTCCTGCCTCGGCCTCCCAAAGCTCTGGGACTACAGGTGTGAGCCCTCATGCTCAGGCCCTCTGTGGCTTCTGGTAAATTCCTCTTCCCTAAAGCACTTGCTCCTAGTTCTCCTCATGGCCTGTCCCTCCCCAGCGATATGCGTTCCCCAGGTTTTCTTCTCTGCACTCCTTCTTGCCCCCCCACCCGCCCAAATCTCCTTTATCAATAGATCCAGACCCGTAGAGGCAATAATCTGCATACTCTCTCCCTTTATTTCAGACATAACCTGATGATTTAGATGTTCCTCAGGCACCTGGAAACAGAAATGTCCAAAAGTAATTCCTGAACTTACCTTTCCAATCCTCCTTCCCCCTCCCGCTGTATTCCCTGCATCATCAAGTGCAGTCAGTGGCTAAGCAAAACCCTAGGAATAAGCCTGAATCTTCCCCTCTTCCTCCCAGCCCCCTCCCCACAGTCAGCCAGTCACCAAATGCTGTCATCCCTACCTTCAAAGAACTCAGCTTGCAGCAGTGCCCTTCCCCCATGCCCCCACCCCAATACCTGCAAAGGTTAAATCTGATGACCCTCTCCTAAGTGGCCCCGTTAGCTCGGCCACCTCCAATCCATCAACACTCCCGCAAGGGTGATCTCTCAAGCACTCTGCAGCTTACACTCCTCCTGGGACTCTCCCTCATCCAGAGGAGGAGAGCCCAGTCCCTTACCATCTGTCCTCCCCTCAGCTATGTCCAGTCCTGCATTTCTCAAGAAACGGCCTGGCATTCTCCCAGTGGACCCAGGGGCCTCTGTGCCTTTGCCCTGGTTGCTCCCTCTTCCTGGAATGTCCCTCCTTTTTATATAGAAGCACTTTACCCTTCTCTCAAAACTCAGTTCAAGTGTCACCCCCTACTAAGCTTTTCCTATCCCTTAGGCGCTGACTGAGCTTTTTCCGAGAGCTCCATTCCCTTCTCCAGTTCTCGGGGGCATTCTTGCATCTGTCCCCATCACAGGACTGCGAGGTCCTTGGGATTTGGCAGCCTCTTACTCCACTCTGTATCCTGCTTAGCGCAGAGCCTGTGGGTGCCTCACTGAATGTTTCTCCACCTCCTATGGCACCTGTGCTCGATATTATGAGTTTCACACAATTTGGGATTTGCTGAGATCCTGCTCTGTATTGTTCACCAGGTTATGTATTCTTTATTCAAGAATTATCTATTGAACATATAGTAAGTGCCAGGGATGGCACTAGGGCACCAGGTTACAAAAATGAATCCTACCCAACTAGAAGTTGATGGCCTAGTGTGTGCGTGGTGGGGGTGGGGGGAGGAATAAACAGATACAATTACAATGCATACACTCCCTGAAGAGGTTCTGATCCCCAACCACTGTGAAACAGGGCTGGGTAGTAGCACAAGTGAGGTGGTTATATTCTTTGAGGCCTCTAATTGTGTGTCCTGGGTTGACATCAGCATTTGCAGAACCACTTTATGGACGGCCCTTTCTGACGTAACGTCGGCTGAGCTCTCTTATCAAGCCCACTGGTTTACACAGTTAGAAAAATTCAACTTTACACCAGTATTATTCAGTCCCTCAACACCTGATGAAATGTACTAGGTATTTCCAAGGTGTCTTCCAAGTACTAACATGAAGTATGTAACAGAGTTAGAATAACTTTATCTGGCACAATGGAGTAAAGTATTCCTTTTTTTAACATAACCTTAAGCTGTGTGTGTGTGTGTGTGTGTGTAGTTTTTGTTGGCAAGCTAAAATAAACTGCATGTTTCCTTGACTTCCTATTCAGAGCATGGGGAAAAGAATTTCTTTTTCTTGCTCGGAAGCATAATACAAGGCACTAGTGCACAAGGAACAGTCACGGGTGAAGACTGTTCGCCCCTCCTTACATCGAATGCCCCAGAATGCTGCTTTTTAAGAAGAATCCCAGAATGTCTGCCTCTTAGTGCTTCACCTTTCACTTACTGTTCAGTCATTGTTTCTTTCTGCTTTTAGTGTTAGCCTTTTAAAATTTACTGCTTCTGATCTGTTGTGGTTATATTAGAAAACTAAGTAAGTTAGCTATTCCCTAAAATAAGAATAGCACTTGGGTAAGAACTGAGAGACTTTTCCTAGAATTGAGCAAAATGATTAATTCCCAGAGAATGTATAATTACAGGGGCAGCCCTTATTGGCTCTTGCCCCAGCTTCCTCAGTAAAATAGACTAGTGCCCCCTACCTGCCTTGCCAGGAAAGACAGAGACTCATTCTATTATAAAATGTATTTCTCAAAACCAGAATGACTTTGAAAGATGTGTTATTTTTCTGAACACAAGTAAAAATTCCTTCAAGTAAGAGGATATTATTTGCTCTGTAATTAGACAGCCAATAGTATGTGTGGATTATCACGGATCTGTGGCTGCATGGTATGAAGAGATGAACCAACGGGAATATCCCATTGATTTCACATCGACTAGACTGGCATGTCCCCTCAAGGCTGCACTCATACAGCTATGATATGAAAATGCCAGATCACCGTCTATCTGGAGAGGGAAGAAGGTTTGCCAATATAACAGCTTCTCCTCAAGTCACCCAATTTTGCCTATGTAATAAAGCTTATGCAAAAAAAACTCCTTTTTTTTTAAACAAAATGTAATTGTTTTATGATAGTCTTTTTTTTTTTTTTTAAGATGAACTTTTGCTCTTGTTGCCCAGGCTGGAGTGCAATGGCGTGATCTTGGCTCACTGCAACCTCTGCCTCCTGGGTTCAAGTGATTCTCCGGCCTCAGCCTCCTCAGTAGCTTGGATTACAGGCACCCGCCACCACGCCCGGCTAATTTTTTGTATTTTTAGTAGAGATGGGGTTTCACCATGTTGGCCAGGCTGGTCTCAAATTCCTGACCTCAGGTGATCCATCTGCCTCGGCCTCCCAAAGTGCTGGGATTACAGGCATGAGCCACCACACCCAGTCTTTTGATAGTCTTTTATTAAAACTCTTTGAAACTGTGGCTCACTAAAATTTGATATCAATGAACAATATCTCACTAGGATACCCTTTCAAAAAATATTAAGTTTAGAATTAGCAAATAGGATTTTTCTGGCTGTAAAAGGAGAACAAAAAAATTTAAAATCCTCCATTTTTTTTTGCCAGCAAAGGAAAATGAATAATTAATGCCTCATCCCATTTCTAACTTGAATCATCCCTCCCCTCCCTGCAATTAAACTGGGGTGAATTTCTTTTTTGCTAGATGAACTGTTTTCTATTTATTTGTTTATTTCTGAGACAGAGTCTTGCTCTGTCGCCCAGGCTGGAGTGCAGTGGTGCGATCTTGACTCACTGCAACCTCCACCTCCTGGGCTCAAGCAATTTTCCTGCCTCAGCCTCCCAAGTAGCTAGGACTACAGGCACCCACCACCATGCTCGCCTAATTTTGCATTTTTAGTAGAGCCGGGGTTTCACCATGTTGGCCAGGCTGGTCTCGAACTCCTGACCTCAGGTGATCCACCCGCCTCGGTCTCCCAAAGTGCTGGGATTACAGGCATGAGCCACTGCGCCAGGCCTAGATGAACGATTGAAGAAGGCTGGAGCAATGGGTTCCCACAATAGCAAGACTGCATTTTGAAGGCATGAAATTATTAAAGCTCAAAGACTGAAGTACAAAGTGAAATTCTGACTCATGATAAAGTGTATTTATGGCCTTGGCAATACATCTTAGCAATTATTCAAAAGAAAACAATTAAATTTCCTAAATGTTCTTCTGGCTGCAAACTCAGTGACTATCAGAGGGAGACATAAACTTCTGCTAACAGATAAATCTTCCTAACAGGTTGGATACACAACAGCACTGCCTCCTTACTCTTTCTATTCTGCGATCTAGGGACCTTTTCAGGTCTCTGGAATGTAATAATTTGAGTTATAGAAACTATCTGCTGGTTAAAAAAAAAAGAAACACATAATACTACAAAACACTGCCATTAAACAGGCAGTTGGGGAAAATAAACAATTCTTTCATCACCTTTAACCAAAAGGCTTAACAAGTTTTACGATTACCACTTAATTCTCAATACCACTTTCCGGGAGATATGATTCAGGCCCATGTCCTTGTTATTAAATAAGGCTTGCAACAGAATGAAATCCAACAGGTGTATGACTTTCAAGGCACGCAGCCGAGGAGCTTGGCCCTCAATGCGAGAAAGCAGCGTGGGGACAAGAGGAACATAGCTTTCAGAAACAGCAGGCTATAGGCTTAGATTTTTTTTTATTAGATTTTTGGTTTTCTGTGTGTTTGTCTGTTTTTTTGAGTTGGAGTCTCGCTCTGTTGCCCAGGCTGGAGTATGCAGTGAAGTGGCGAGATCTCAGCTCACTGCAACCTCCGCCTCCTGGGTTACAGCAATTCTCCTGCCTCAGTCTCCAAGCAGCTGGGATTACAGGTGCCCGCTACCACGTCCGGCTAATTTTTTGTATTTTTAGTAGAGATGGGGTTTCGCCATGTTGGCCAGGCTGGTCTTGAACTCCTGACCTTAGGTGATCTGCCCGCCTTGGCCTTCCAAAGTGCTGGGATTACAGATGTGAGCCACCACGTCCAGCTATTAGATCTCTGGATTGAACTTTTGTCATTTTAATTTACAAAGCCCAAAAATCATCTGTGTATCTAGTATATATGCAGAGCCAGCAAAGATAACTGGGATAGTTGATTTTCTACAGGACTTGTTGGTGATGCTATGAATCAGCAGGAAAACAGAAATTGCATGTGAAGGCAACAAAACTTAGAGACACAAGTGCTAATGTCTATCAACATATTATATTAGAAAAAAACATAATTTGGAGACCAAAATGTCTGAGAACTGTTATCCTAGGGTTAATGTATGCTTCGAATGAATTCATGTATACACACAAAAATTTAACAAAAAAGTACAATCTATGCAAGATGATAACATTTGGGGGTAAATATTTATGAGCAGAGAAAGTACACACAGATTTCTTACAACGCTGCAGCCTTTATATGAAGAAATTCTTCAATTATATACAAACTTCGGCAGACATCAATTTGGATTTTTCCAAAATCCAGAAAGGGGAAAATAGATGTGGAAAAATCTGAGGAAAATCAAAAAGAACTCAAGTACTCAGCGACGTTTAAGACCAGAACCCAGGACTACACCTCCACCCAAATTCCAGGACAAAACTGGGTTGTCATGGCATCTGGGCTTTTCATAAATGCTCACCTATCTCCCACGGTCTATTCTAGACTGAACTAACCAGATCTACAGCATGCCCTTTCTCTTCAGTGACCCAGTGACTCAGGGCAGGTGAAGGGAGCAGGACTTGTGTGACACAGTGGAGGCTGGCCTGCCTTCCTGTCTCCAAGATGTGGGCGGCAGGGATGAGCAAAGCCTCGGCCAAAGAAGTATTAATAAACCAGCTGCCTTGTCAGATAGAGGTAGTCGAAATCCAACAAGCATTTCTATCTCCACAATAGGGACTAGAAAAATTCTGAGGGCTGCATTTTGCTTCAGTTTCTTATACATTACATTATTTTTGGTGTTATCAGGGAATCCAGGTAGTTCCAGGGTTGCAGTGATGCTCTAAAACTACTAGATGATAGCTCAGTGCATCACAGAGGAAGCTTTCAGGTTCCAGCTCAGGTCAATAGAATCTGCTATTTTAGCTTAGGAATGCGTGGTGGTTCGGCCCCTTGTACAATCCAAGCAGCCATTTTGCCCTTAATATGACATTTGCAGAATGTTCTGGCCAGCTCAGATAGACACTTCTGTACCACACGTTCTCATGCAAACACACCCTCTCATTTTCTAAGAACAAACAAGAATGCAGCACTGAGCATAAAATGAACAGGGCCAGTGCGGCGGCTCACACCTGTAACCCTAGCACTTTGGGAGGGCAAGGCGGGAGGAGTATTCGAGACCAGGTGTTGGAGACCAGTCTGGGCAACCTACTGAGACCTCATCTTTTTAAAAAATAATTTTTTAAAAAAGTAAAGGTACAGAAACACTGACATGTGGAGTGCTCAGATAAAGCATCACCTTCAGTTCAATAATCTGAACTCTAGTTCTTCATTTGGGGCTGATAAACGGAAGAAGCTATCTCAGATATGTGGAGGTTTACACGATGAATTCAATGGCGAATTTGTTTTTGGAGAAGTGGATAGAAAACAGGAGTTCTACCAAATATAGTAAAGCCTTATCTATAAATAAACACAAGGAAGAAAAACATTTTTAGGATGCCTGAGTCAGCATGTTTACACGGCATGATTATTTAGTTTGGGGTTTAACCAATCCTGTGACTCAAATCCCAGGATTCTCAGAAGTTCCTGAGTACTTCCCACCCTCACCTCTTCACTAATGTTCACGAGGCAGGAAGCCATCACATGCTAAGACAGGCCATTTACTCAAAACACCCAAAACATCTGGTCATAGATGCAGACTGATGACAACTGTTTATTTAAGATGTATATTTTGTCATGTTTTCATCATAGGACTAAAGAGGAATCTCAAAACCAAAATGCCAAACTTTATGCAAAAGTCTGATACTTTGGACGAAGTATTTTGAATACTGTTTTCTTTGCTTCTTAAGATCACTGATGTTTGGTGCTAAGTATTTCACTATATTTTGGGTTGTTTTATTAAAAATTTAAATTTAGATGTATTGTTTCAATTTCTTTGGTTCAGATACATGATCTGTTTCCTGCCCTTGCTCATGCTATCAAAATAGCTCCTTGAAAGAGCACCAACATGCTTTTCCATATCCTTAGCATTTCACACACTGTATGTTCTTATCATATTCTACAAAAACACGGCAACTTCACTATGATTTAGCAAAACACAGGCTTTGTACTCTTCCTTCTCAAGGATTACTCTTAATCTTTAATGGCAGCTGCATTCTCAACTTAATACAACGTTCAACAAATAAAAAAGACAACTGCTTCTGAGCCCAATATTATACATTAGGTAAGGAACACGATACTCCTCATTACTGTTCTGTCTCAGGATATAAGTTTGCAAATTCTTCTCCTGATCTCAGTCAACATAAAAGCAGAATTACAGTTTAGAGTGGGCAATGAGAAAGGTGGAATCAAAATAGACACAGGGAAGGCCATAAAGAGTTCGCAAGCATAAATGCCTGATAGCAAAAACGATCACAGAAGATTCCAAAACCACAATCCTGCACAAAGGCCATCTCAATCTTACACAAAAAATACTTCTGCAATGCCTGCCGAGCACCTGCCTGTCCAACCTGGGACTGGTGTCACCTTTGTTACTGATCCTTGTAGTCAAAAATAATTATCTCAAAACAATTATGTAACCCTCCTCATTTTTCCTTTAAAGACCTTTGTCTTCCTCTATCTCCCAGGATACACACAGTTAACTATCGCATGCATTTTCTCATTGCAGTGCTCTATTCCTGAATAAATGCCATTTTCTTTTAGAGAGCCTCTCTCTGTTCGTTATTTAAGTTGACAGCAACAAACAGTTTAGGTTTTTGGCAACAAATCACCAATATTTACTTAAAAACAAACAAAACACTTACAACACAGGTAGGAACAACAGGTTATTTTGGAAAGAGTTTAATATATTCTCTATTGTTAAGTGCACCAGATGCTGGACTTCTGAAACAACAATTATGCTTCTGCATAATAGCTTTTTCTACATATTTCTGTTCATGTTGCTTGTTCCTCTGATTTACCTGGAATCAATGAATCTGAAAAACAAAAAGATTCTTTAAGCACCTGGTAAATTTCAGGTCCCACATTAGAAAATGAGCAATCATCAATAATATTGATGGGGGTGAAAATATGACATTGAGACTTTCGGGTAATGTGCCGAGTTTACTTTCATAGTTTACTAGGCTCAGGTTTCATGCCGAAGGATTATTTGAAAGACTCACTCACTGACATGATTTTCTGATTTTAAATTCGAACACTCTCAAAGCATAAACAGATCACCTCCAGCAACATTGTAAAAAAATACTCAAAGTTTAAAAAAAAAAAAGTAACTTGTGGCAGTACTTAGTGTTCAACAGAAAACACTCCATCTGCTAAACAATATCTCGACTGCAAAGCTTCTCTTACTGTTGGCGGATAGATAATGACATAGCCCAGTCATTATCACCGTGGCAACAGTGACCAGAAACTATCAGAGGAAAATTGCACATGGAACAGCTGGCTCTCGAGCAGGCATGCCTCAGCTTCCTCTGGAGTATGCTTTTTCTGCAAGTCTGGTGTGCTCGAGGGTACCACCAACCCTGTGCGGCTCCAAGACTACAGATTATGTAGCAAGTCCACTGGTCCTGCTCTTCCGGATTTATTCTTCCCGCCAATAGGAGCACTTACCACGTTCCAAGCATCGTCCTAGGCACTGAGGATACAGCAGTGAATAAAACTGAGTGCTGGGTAGGAAGTCAATAACCAAGCTAGTAAATAACTGTATATTGTCAAGCACTGGTAAGTACAAGGGAGAGCAGAGCAAGCAATGGGCCTGATGAGGCTTGCTTTGTCTCCTCTGCACTCCCACACTGCTTTGTATCTGCTTCTCATTTCTCACGATGGGTCCAAGCTTTGGGCACCAGGTCTCCCTGGACATTCCGCGCTGGCACTGCGCCTAGCACCCAGCGGCTGCTCAGGAAACGTTTGTCGAACGAACGAATTCACTTCTTAGTTCCCCATTCAACAAACCTTTCCTGATCCTAGGCCCAACAGGTTAAAAGGCTGGAGGGCCAACGAGGCTGGAAACTCAGAGGCGGCCGGGGGCGGTGGCTCACGCCTGTAATCCCAGCACTTTAAGAGGCCGAGGCAGGAGGATCCCTTGAAGCCAGGAGTTCGAGACCAGCCTGGGCAAAAAAGTGAGACATCGACCCCCCGCCCCCGCCGCCAATTCCGTCTCTACAAAAAGGAAGAAAAAAAAAAAAAACCCAGAGGAAATCACACAGGCAAAAGCGCTTTACAAATTTTAAAAATGAAAACTGTTCTAGAGAAATAATCGCGCGCCGGAGGCGGAAGCCCCAGAGCCTCAGCTCCCACGTGGCGGCGGAGCCAGGGAAAGTCCAGGAGCCAAGGCTACGGCCCGAGCGCTGGAACCCCGGTCAGGCTCCGGCTCCCCGCCACGACGAACTGCATGCGGCCGCGGCGCTCCGGAGGCGCCCGGGGACGCTCACCTAAGCTGGGAGAGGCGGATACCCGCCCGGCCTAGCCCCGCTACCTCCCAAGAGACCAACACGACAAGCGCGCGCCCACCGCATTGCCATGGCAATTCAACCGCCGCTGACACCGGAACCGGAAACTTCATCAGGAGGTGACCCCTTCCCGGCGTTCCGCGGAACGGGCGAGTCCCGCGCCTCTCCCAGTTGTCTCGGCGTAGTCCAGCTGGCCTCATTGGCTCACAGGAGGAAAGTCGTCTTCCCTCTTGTTTTGCCTCTCGTTGCCCTGCAAGCGTGACCCTGATGGACATCCAGTCTCTCCAATTAACTAACAAAGCGGTTGCCGACGACCAATAGTAAGGCAGTAGGATGAGGCTCCGGCATAAGGCCCACCTCCTACCTGCCGGGCGGGACGAGCAACATGATTGGTGGAATCGAGTAATTACTGATCAGTATTGTCCAATCACGGAGGGCAGTTTAGAGCCGGCCCAATGAGGGCCTCCAGGGGGCGGGTCGGACTGCCGCGGGCCGGGGAGCGCTCTGGGTGGCCAGCTGTGGGCCCGGGCCGTCGTGGGCTCCGGCTTGCGTGCGGAGATGAGCGGGTCCCTCGGCCGAGCTGCGGCGGCTCTGCTCCGCTGGGGGCGCGGCGCGGGCGGCGGTGGCCTTTGGGGTCCGGGCGTGCGGGCGGCGGGCTCGGGCGCGGGCGGCGGCGGCTCGGCGGAGCAGTTGGACGCGCTGGTGAAGAAGGACAAGGTGGTGGTCTTCCTCAAGGGGACGCCGGAGCAGCCCCAGTGCGGCTTCAGCAACGCCGTGGTGCAGATCCTGCGGCTGCACGGCGTCCGCGATTACGCGGCCTACAACGTGCTGGACGACCCGGAGCTCCGACAAGGTCAGGCCAGTGTGCCGGGCAGGCGCCCTCCGCCCCGGGCCCAGGAGCATCGCTGCACGAGGCCGAGGGGTTCCGCCGCGCCGGGCTGGGGAGCGGGGCTCCATCCGCCGGGGTCTGTCTGAAGGTTCGAGCCGGGTTAGGGCGAGGAGTACTGCCCTGGAGTAGAGTCTGGGCTGAGGGTGTAGTTGATTTCACTGGGTCTTGAGGATCTGGGGCTCTGTACTGTTGCCAACTTGAGCAGTAGGTAAAGTCCTAAAGGTTCACTTATCCTCACTTCGAGCTAATATAGGCGTTTCGGGGCGATTTGTCAATGACTGACTCGGAGGAGGGTGGCCCGCTGCCTGACTGCTCTGCACGGTTAGGAAACTCATAGTAAGGACCCACTGTGAGATAGGTACTTTCGCGGACACTTTGGGGAGGTTGGAAGCCATTGGCCTACTCGTGGGTAAGGTCTAGGGCTGTCGATGGTGGGGAGAGGGCTGAGGTTGCCCTTGAGGCTAGTGAGGTCGGAGGCTGATCTCGCTTGGCTCACGGCTCAGGGTGTCAAGCATCATCCTCTGTGGTTGCTACAAGCAAAGGGTTGGGACAGCTGTCGGCTGACCTTAGTCGGGATCTATGTTGTCGGGGAAGAGTCATGACATTTGGCTTTAGATACTCAAGCACAGGGCTGAATTTATGTGGGCCAGGGCTTGGAGAGGTTTGTGGGGAAAAGAAGCAGCCCTGGCTCCTGGGCCCTGGGCTAACTCACTGGCTCAGCCTTGGAGCCCAGGGGGCCAGGGCACCAGGGACCAGATGGATTAGGCCGGGAGAGGGAAGGCTGCAGCTAATAAGCATCTTTTCCAAGTACTCCACGTGCATTCGCCAGTCTTATCTGAGTAGGGGAGGAGGAAGAGGCCAGGCACAAGGGCCTGCTCCTTGGCCAGGATGGTCAGGGTTGGTGGAAAACTGGGAAGGCTGTACCTTTTCCTTCTAGAGAGTGACTTAGGATACCTGCATCCCAGTTAGAGACTTTCAGTGACTGAGTCCCTGCATGTCCCTAGCTAAAAAGAGGTGCCAGTTGTGTGCTAAAAATAGGTGCCAGGTTCTCTGTTACTCTAAATTCGAAATTACTAATCATAGTCATTGCTTACAATGATGAGACAGGCTGGTGTTTGGAAAAGCTTTGGGTTGACATCCTCTTCTGTGGCTAATCAGGTGTAAAACTTAAGTCACTCACCTGCATTTGAGGATAATGAGACAATTTGGCAAAGTTTGTGTTAGGAAGCCAAAGTAAAAATTATAGAAAGTGTGTATTATTTTACCTGGCACAGAAAGCACCCGGTAAATGGTAGCTGGCTTCGTATTAGCACTTGATGGTTTTCAAATGTATTTTTTCCCAGATTATCTAGTCCTTAAAGACTCTTGGGGATAACTGATCCTCCATTTGCTGTAGGTGATAGTGGTGGTGGGTGGGACCTAGAAAGCATGTTGAGTTGAGGAGTCGAGAGGGCAGGTTCAAATTACCACGTATATGTAATATTACCATGTGTTATTCTCATGACCCTTTTGTCTTCCTTGTCAACTAGTATGCCACCAGTTACTGGGCTCAGTTTTATCATGTGCAAGGCAAGGGACCTGCAGTCTTCCTTCGAAGACAGCTTCTCTGCTTAAAAGAGGAGTAACTATTTTGCAGTCTTTTGACAGAGACCTTGCAGGGAGTCCCCTGCAAATTGCCAATATGGCACTAGTAAAAAAGTGGTGTTGTTATCTCGCTTAGTATCATGTTTCGAGGGTCTTTGGTTTGTGAATTTATTTTCTCTTGTTTAATATAACTGGAAATGAGATATGCTGGAATATAGCTAGTAAACGGAAAATAGGAGCAAAAATACGAATATGTACTGATAACATTTTATTTTTCTGTCTTTTATCCACGTCTGGTGTCTGGTTTCTGAGCTTACTTTCTTAAGTTTTCAAACAGCAGCGACAGGAATTTAACCCTTACATTCCTTGACCACTGAGTTTCATCAGATTGCTATTTTGGTTAATAAACGCGTTGCATATATATTGAATATAACATACCTCTTTTATTGATTAGAAAAGTAAAGATTAGTAAGTATTAACATTTGGACTGGGCAGGGTGGTAAAAGCACGTTCCCCAAATGGGGATTAGTTCAGCCAGGTTATTAAGACTCTTCCCCTCTTCCCTATACAGCTTTATTTACCAAGAGCAACTAACGGGCTGTCCGATGCTTGCTTTTGCCAGCCGAAACTATGTTTGTACACCAGATCCAAGGTCATTTCTAGTAATAGGAACGGAGCTCTTGCAAAACTGGCCTTTTGTTGGTTCTTATGCCAAGGAGACCTGAACTTTACAAAGTGCCTAAACCGGAGGAAAACATTCTTTCCTAGTTTTGAGTACTGGGTTCCCAGGAGTGTGATACAGACACATCTTGAGACTGTGACCCAAGGAACAAAGGTGACTATGAGGCAGCATTGTGTTCTGGCCTTCTCAAGACCTTCTTGTCCTTCTCTTTTTATCTGGAGTGCACACAGAAGACAGTCACAAAGGGATCAGGTCCCAGTAGACTGACATCATCATTTCCTAATCCTGGTCTTAATAAAGGAACTTATGCTCATGGAAGCAATGTAGAAAACACTGAAAAGTTTAAAGAAGGAAAATCACCTGTAATTTATGGAAACTATTGTATTAACATTTAGATCTAGTTCCTAACAGTTTTTTTTTTTTTAACACATTGAGACCATGCTTGTCTATACATAGTATTTTGCCCTCCAGAGACGAGGGAATATGTCTTATGCCACTGCCTGTGGTGCTGTGTGTACCGCTTATGCAAAGCAAGCTTTCAGTGAGCATTTTAATAAATAAATAAATACTGCTTTTATTTATCATTATATTGCAAACTCTGCGGCCTTAAAGGCATTATAAACATTTGCTGCCGATTTAGATCATCATTGTAGTCCTTGCATCTGGAACAGTGACAGAATAGGGACTCAAATGATTTGTTGAATAAATAACCATATCCTGTTGTTGAATGTTTATTAAGCATTTGAAAATACGCTCCACCTTTTCAGTATCAGGGAATTGAAGACAGTAGTGAAACATGTCATGCTGGTGAACCTTAAAAGTTGGATAACAAGTTGTGTGTATGTGCTTGTGTGGTGCACATGTATGCTGCAGATGGGAGTATAAAATGGTACCAACACTTTGGAGGAGTAACTATCAGTACCCAGTCAAGCTATGGGTGAACAGAGCCTAAGACCCAGCTGCGTGACTCCTAGGTATATATTCTAGAGAGGGGGATCTGCAAACTTACCCTAGTAAAGGGCCAGAGACTAAGTACGTCAGGCTTTGTGGGCTGTGTGGTTTTTGTTGCATCTATTCAACTCTGCTGTTATATAGCCTGAAGTCAGTCATGGGCAATATGTAGATGAATGAGCAGGCTGAGTTTCAATAAAACTTTATTTATGAAAATACAGCTTTAATTACGAAGTAGACTGGATTTGGCCTGAAGACCATAGTTTATCTGTCCCTGGCCTAGAGACTGACTTCTGCATGTGTGTGTTAGGACATGGGTCCCCAACCCCCAGGCCAGGGATCGAGGACTTACAGCAGGAGGTAAGCGGTGGGTAAGTGAGCTTTACCGCCTGAGCTCCGCCTCCTGCCACATCAGTGACGACATTAGGTTCTCATAGGAGCACAAACTCTATTGTGAACTGCACATGTGAGGAATCTAGGTTGTGCGTTCCTTACGAGAATGTAACTAATGCCTGATGATGTGAGGTGGAACCGTTTCATCCCGAAGCTATCCCCACCCTTCCCTGGTCCGTGGAAAAATTGTCTTCCACAAAACCAGTCCCTGGTGCCAAAAAGGTTGGGGACCTCTGTGTTAGGATACCTGTGTTGGCGCGTTCATTGCAGCATGGCTTGCAATAATGAAAAACTGACAGGAAGGGATCTTGGTCTATTAGCAGCAGACCAGATAAATAAACTTTAGTCACATGATGGAAAGCTAAACTGTAGTTAAAATGAACTAGATCTAGATGTATTTAACATGGCTGAATCTCAAAAATACAATATTTAGTCAAAAAGCAAGTTGCAAACACGTAATTATGGCATAATACCATTTGTATATGTAAATGTTAAAGGCATAAAACAGTCCCATATATTGCAGATATGTGTGCAGTGCACTTGTAGCTCCTGGGCAGGAGTGAGATGGCAGCTAGAGGGTAGAGGCCACCTCTGGTGAGGGACTCAGGTAGCATGTGGTTAAGAGTCTGGGCTTTTGTACTCCTGGAAGCCTGGATATAAATCCTGGTTTCACTGCGCTGTCACTGTGAGTTTCGGTAAGTTACTTAACCCTTCTGAGCCTTAGTTTCTTCATCTTATGTAAAGTAGGGATAATTGTACCTGCCTTGTCAGATTTTTGTAAAGATTAAATAAGATTATTTTTGTAAAACGCTTAAAGAGTATGAAACTCAGTAATCCTTAACTCAATAAATGGTATATATATATATATTTTTTTTTTTTTGAGAGAGTGTTACTCTGCTGCCTAGGCTGAAGTGCAGGGGGCAATCTCGGCTCACTGCCACCCCTGCCTCCCGGGTTCAAGCGATTCTCCTGCCTCAGCCTCCCAAGGAGCTGGGATTGCAGGCACCTGGCACCATGCCTGGCTAATTTTTTTTATTTTTAGTAGGGACAGGGTTTCACCATGTTGGCCAGGCTGGTCTTGAACTCCTGACCTCAGGTGATGCACCAGCCTTGGCCTCCCAAAGTGCTGGGATTACAGGTGTGAGCCACCGCACCTGGCCTGAATGGCGTTTTCATTACTTTAGGGTATACTTAATCACTTTTTCCTGCTTTATTTTCCTATGCTTTTTCTGTTGCCTTTCTCAGAAAAGCATTACTGTGAAGGGTGGGTGGTGGAGCATGTTGGTATGGAGAGAATGTCCACACTGTACCTGGTACTATGCTGGGAGCTCAATTCATTTCATTCCTTAGATATCATGGAATCTTCATAATATGTGAGGCGTAGAGTATATTCCCATTTTACAGATGAGGAAACTGAGGCTAAAAGATTAACAGATTTGTCTGAGGCTACATTTACAGGCTAGCAAACCAGATCTACTGATCCTTAAGCCTGTGCCTTGCCCACTCTGCCCCGTGCCTTGCTTTTCCTCTAGTGAGGGTCTACTGATTTCCGTGCTTTCAGCTCAGATCATCTTATCTCGACTTAACGCCATTCTCTAAATTAGAGAATATGAAGAAATTGTGACTCTCAGAGGTGGTGTAACTTGCCCAAGATCACAGAGTCTAGTAGGTAAGAGACAGAGTTGGAACTCATATCAGATTCTGAAGCTACTGTAGTGAGGTTCTACCAGGAAAAATAAAAAGAAAGAAAACTATGATTATGCTGCTCTCGTAATTTAGTGTCCAAATCAGGAGTAATGCCCAGTGTTCTGAATGTGATGAATTTTGAAAAATACCTTTTGAAAGTTCTGGAAGGGAATTTTAAAGTATCATTTCTGTACTCTTTCTGGGTTGATACTTTGGAATATGAATTTGTTTGTATGGGTTTTTTTGGTGGAGCATTAGATGCGTGTAAACTGACTTTGTAAGATAGCCTCCTAACTCCCAGTTCCTAGTGTTACTCTGCCATATAACTTTGCAGTCAGCATTTTCTGCCCCAGATGGAATCACCACCGTCTATCACATATGAAATAATGATTATCATTAAAATTCATTCTTGGATGTGATTTTCTAATTTTCAGGAGTAGCTCTCTGATTCTGAGTTAATTTCAAGTGATATTTGTAAGAACTACCACTGCATATTGCAGTTTTTGAAAACTAAAGTGTGAGAGAGATTAACCATGTGTAAACAGTTACTTGTGGATCCGCAGGATTCATTTTAATATTCAACTTATGAAGAGTAGTCTTTTATTATTATTAGGAGTTTCTCACTTCACTCTATAGGAAGCAATTGGGTATTTCCTTAAATATTTAAACTGGTAATCAACTTTCTTAAAAATGGAAAAGAGCATAGTCATTAAGAAGGGTGCCAACGTTTGGCCTTGATGCCAGCTGCCTATTACACCTATTCATCTAAAAATTAAAGAAGCAGCTAAGTTTAATTTTGATAAACCGTCAGCTGCTGTCAAGAACAGGCAGGTGGCTCATGAGAAGTTAGTATCACTTGCATGTGGCTGTGTGTGTTGGGTGTTGAGAATGTCTGAAAGCCTGCTTGTTTTGATAATTTTGGTGGTAAGGATTCTGGGGGTCTCCCCTTCTCTCGTAGTCAGGACATATGATCAACAGCAACATAAAGTTTAATCAATGAGGCAAGCCCAATGCTTCGATTGAGTGTGATACTATAAAAGTGATTGATGAAAAGCAATTTTACTTTAAAAACATGTATTTTTTGGGTAAAACATGTAGTTTTGGGTAGTTCTCAGGCAGCAAACATTTCCATTTTTGGTGTGTTTCAGAAATTATAGACATCCATCAAAATAAATCAGTAAAAATTGATTATCATGGAAAGCTTCACACAATATATTATTCATTGAAACAAAACAGGTCGTTCATGCACATAAATGATTCATTTGTATAAAAGGTATTTAAGAAAGTTGAAGATAATGAAAAGAAGCTCACGTTTACTTTAAATATTTCTTAATTCTCGCACCCAGCTCTCAGTCATCATAAAGGTAAAAGTTTTGTAATCGGCATCATTGTAAAAAGTGAGTTTTGATAGACTTTGTATTTGAGGACAGAGTTTGAAGAAAGTAAAAAAACACACAAATTATGCTAGTTGTTTTTGTTGATGGAGCATCAAACATCACCATGATGAACAACTTGAATTCATCAGGGTATTCTACTATGTCTAGATATTTGGCATTATAAAGACATTTTGATGATTAATGGAATTTACCCTTTATTGGCAGCTGCCAAAGAGCTAGCTGTTGTTTCTTTACTAGCACCCAGAGTGGCTGAGAGGTGTCCTTTTGGAGGCCTAGAGCAATGTAACCCTTTCTTAATATGTGAAGTCTGGAGAAGGAAGATAAAGCCCTTGGTTCAGGGGCTTTCTTTAGGGCTGTCATTTAGAGCAAAGTCAGTTTTTTTAATAAGGCAATAACTTTTAAGAAAAAAATAAATAGTATATTGGGACTTGTGATATAACTGAAATCAGTAATTTTATTTGGAAAATGTTTGATAATAAATTATAGGGTATCAAGAGCAAGTTTTTGTATTTTTAGTTTGTTTACATAAAAATCGATTTGTGTAAACTGTACTGGACTTGAACAATCTGTTGACTTTTCCGTTTTGTTTATCCATATGCTCATTTTGGCCATTTAAAAATATCTATCTATGTAAATATAAAAGTGTCACATAAGTGTTAGTTATTATATGCCATGCTTTGACCATCTTCGTTTTTAACATGACCAATACAGGCTTTTTAATGGCCGACTATGTTTTTGAAAGCACAGTCATCTCAACATACAAGTAGAAAAGGAAGTAGACTGATGAAGAGGAATGTTAAGAGTAATCTTTTATGTCTTAAGATTGAAGCCACATTTCTTTCTTACCATTTTGTTACAGTCATCATCCTTGTGGCTCAGAATTGAACAGAGTAGTTGCACAGCTGCGCTGTCACAGAGTGTCCCTCATCTCATGTGTGTCCTCAGAGCCATTTGCACACAGGACTGATCACATGCATGCTGGTTGGTTTCTTGGCTGCTGTGAGCGCTTAAGAGCAGAGCGGGTCTCACTCCCCCACCCCTCAGCCCTGGACAGGGACCTTGCTGAGCTCTGGGCCTTCATTAGACTCACCAGTCACTTCGGGTTCTGCACAGAGCCTCATCATCCACTCCACAGAGAGCCCATCACAGTGGCTGGATAGATGGGAACTGACAACCCATAGCTGTGGGACAGGGATTTTTCCCTGGGTAAAAGTAATTGTTAAAAATTAAAAAAAAAAAAAACTCAACAACTCATCATCTCGAGGAGAAGTGACTGACGGCCTGCACCAACTTAGACAGTCACAGTCATGAAAAGTGCACAGGTGGGATTGCCCGAGTTGGCCATGAATTACCGTGATGGATCCATTTGGAAATGAAGTTGGTTGTGACATTTCTTCAAGTTTTGTTTCGCTTGAAGCTTGACTGGTAGATGGAGAATTTTGGCCTTATGTATCTTATGTGACTTGCATTACCCAGTCCAGTCCTCTGCCATTAATCTAAGGTCCGCAATGTATCAGGTATTTTACTGAGAATCTTGCTTACCTAATTCTCACAAAAAAAAAAACCTTGGGAGATGAGGGTGGAAACAGGATGAGAGGTCAGGTGACTTGTCTGAGGGCTGACGGTTTGTAATTGGAAGAGTCAGGGCCTAACCACTGGTCTCTTTGACACAAAAACTCATGCTCTTAGTGGCAAGCACAGTGTTCTCAAGATTGGGGGAAGCCAGGGAGGGACAGTGGGTTGTCTGCTACTAGTGGGTCAAAATTACATATTTAGTCATGAATGGTTCAGCTTTTACCATTTAAATAACAAATAAATGTTCTTTCTCCATAGGCATTAAAGACTATTCCAACTGGCCCACCATCCCGCAAGTGTACCTCAATGGCGAGTTTGTAGGGGGCTGTGACATTCTTCTGCAGATGCACCAGAATGGGGACTTGGTGGAAGAACTGAAAAAGCTGGGGATCCACTCCGCCCTTTTAGATGAAAAGAAAGACCAAGACTCCAAGTGAGGGCGGCCAAGTCCTCGCTGAGCAGAGAGGGAGCCGTTCATGTCAGAGACTCACTGCCAGAAAAGCCTTACCCATTTTGGTTTTCACTATTGAGACCGCAACTGCTTGCACTGATCATTTTGGTTCGTGAGCAGTTGGTGATTTTAGTTGGTCTGGTGTTCGGGCTAAGAATATTTTATTGTGGACTTAATTACAACCACTGCACTGTAATGATTCAATGCTGTATTATGATATTGCTGTAAACAAAATTCATTCTTATATTGTCACTTATTCTTTGCCTGATTCAGAAGTTAAATAGGAGCTTTGGAATCATTATTCATGACCCCTCTGCAAATGTGTCAGTCTCCAAAGAGAGTATCTCCCCCCAAATTTTGTGTAGCTTCTTTTGTTATGGAAAATGGTGAACAAAAAAAGAAACTGTGATAACTGGGGCGTTGTTTTTTAAAATAAACTCCAGCACAGGGATGCTGTGCATGCCTGAGTTGATTCCGAAGTGCATATGTCTGTAAGGATTTGGAGTGCCTGCAGTGTTTTATGTGTGGGAAGTAAGGGTGAGTCTCATATTCTTCTATTAAATTTGCCACAAGAATTGCCGTCGAGCCCTGGTCTACTTTCTGGGGGAAGCAGCTGTTTGGATGGTGAGTCAACTGTGCAGCTGGAGGCGTGGGTGGGCTGGAGGGAGCAGAGGTGGGTGAGGCCGGAGGAGGCGGCCCCACCTGCCTATCTCTGGAGCCCTGTGCTTGGCACACTGCTACAGTTAGATAGGGAGACATCGTCAACAGTCCACCGAGCTAGGGGATTTAATGAGTATTTTACTTCTTAAAAAGTGGGGACTTTCTAAAAGAGGACATAATTTGGAATTGTGGCAGAGATTCTCCCAGTGTCTGGTGTCTTTATAAGACCTTTCCATGAGTTCTGCATCCCGAGACTGGGGCCTGGTAGAGCCTGGGGCTGTGCAGAGGCCCATGGGAAGGAAGCCCGCCTGGTGTGGCATGGAGGCTTTGTTCATCTCCAGGGACTTAAAGAGAGCGCTTGTCTAGAAACATATCTTTACGGTGGCAGAGGTGGGAAGAAGGATGCATTTTCTCATAATAAGGGCAAAAAGGACAGAACGGCTCTTTTCCCCAGAGCTATTCTAGAGGCTTGTTCTTCGTTGCTTATTTAATCTCCTTGAGTTCCTCTCGAGAATACTCTAAAAACAGACTTCCTCCATGAGGTCAGGCTAGAACTGATGGAGTTGCCCCTGCTCCCCTTCCCCAGAGGTTTTGGAAGGGGAAGGAAAGCTGTAGCCCCACGCCCCCACCCTGGGGACTGCCCCATCAGATTAGAGCACTGCTCCTCAGCAGTCACCCACCTCACCGTGTTAGAGAAAAGAAAAATAGATTATTCTCAGAAAAAGGTTATTACATTAATTGTCTGCTACATCCCATGATACCTTTATGTCTTCTGTAAGCTAAGGGACCTTAGGATCTAAGAGGAGGTTAAAACACATCCATTTGAGCCATTTGGTTTAGAAATGAGGGAAGCAGGAGCACTAGAAGGATCTACCTTGCCCTGTAGACAGAGTCACCATGAATAAGTCACTTCATACTGCCTCTGGATGGATACAGGCCGTGGACCAGAGGCCGGGTCTGCAAAATTGTCCCTTGCCATCACATCTAGTGAGGAGTGTGATACGTTTTCACAATTTTGCTTCTTTTGGCTTTTCCTTGAATCTGCCTGTGTGCCCTTAGGTTTCATCTGAAAAGCGAAATGATGAGAAACTTATTGATGGGAAGCATCAATGTAAGAAACCTCTCTAGAATATGATTGGAGCTAGGAAAAGGCTGCCAAGTGAATAATTTGACTCATGCTTATGAGTCATAGTGAGATCATATCAAAGTCACTAGGGAACTTATAAGTTGAAGGAATCACTGGGCTCTACGAGGAATGTAAGTCTTCTTTCTCAGAGTTAATTAATAATTTTTTTCTATATGCCTAACAAATCTCTACCAAGTAGAAAATTGAAGATGCTATCTAGTGTAAGTCTGAATAATTTTGATGGTCTGCATAATTAGAATTCACTGTGAGAATTAGAGCAGAGACACAGAGGTTCCTTGTGCAAACAGCAGTATCACGCACCTATTTAAAATGCAAGGACTGCTTCTCGGGTTTAAATGCACCTATTTAAAATACATTAGGCCTGTATTAGTGTGATTATATTGGATATTTGTCATAGCTTCAGGGTCTGTGTGATTAGACCCTTAGAAATCAAGTTATTTTAGAAGATTAAACATTTTATGATTTCAGGTAGTTTTTATTTTTTTCATGGATTGGTAGTTACATAAATGGCATTCTGCTTCATTAAGCTATGAGTTTTAGAGATATCTTAGGACAGAAGATAACTTTTAAGTTGGGTTTCGTTTTGTTGGCAGTGTTTAATTCACTTGTGTAGAATCTGGGAACCGAAGCTTTCCTTTAACTTTTCAAGCCATAGCAGCCAGCTTAAGAGAGAATTCTTGTTACATTTGTTAGGTTTACTTAGATATTTTGACATAAATTATATTTTGAGAAATCAGGTCCCTTGTTTGTGACAGGAGGGACTGTGCTAAGGGTAGAGGAATGACTTGTGTCGGCAAGGTTTCATTGGTGCAGATTGATTGATTGATTGATTGATTGATTGATTGAAAAAGGGTCTTGCTCTGTTGCCCATGCTGGCGTGCAGTGGCCTGATTATGGCTCACTGCAGCCTTGACCTCCTGGGCTTAAGCAATCCTTCCCACTCAGCCTCCTGAATAGCTGAGACTTCAGATGTGCACCACAACACCTGGCTAATTTTTTTATTTTTTAGAGACAGGGTCTCTGTGTTGCCCAAGCTGGTCTTGAACTCCTGGCTCAAGCGATCCTCCCACTCTGGCCTCCCAAAGTGTTAAGATTACAGGCATGAGCCACTGCGCCCAGCAGAAACAAATTTAAATGTGAGGTGAGAAAGCTTTCATGTGGGTTCCTGAGAGCCACCGACAGGAAAAGATATATATTAGGGGATGGCCACACAAAACACTGATTGTTTTAAAAATTTAACATTCCACTTAAGAATTGTTTAGTAAATCTAAAAAGCAGCTTTAAATTGTGCCTAAGAACCATATAATAGCTACTATGAAGCAGAGCAGAGGAATGGTGAAGAGAAAAGCCATTTTAAGGTCCAGGGGCTTACAGAGACGCATGGGGTGACCAGGTGGACTCTTGTAAAGCCACATTCCTGTCTTATTTCCTGAGAGTAGCATCACTTTAGGTCTGAAAGCTATGTGGGCATTTTGCGTGAGGGGAGCATTGTTTTCTTGGCGGTTGCCCTGGGAGCCCAGTGCAGGTGAGCTGAGGGCAGAGTCTCCCTTAGGGCAGAGATGCCACTGAAGGTGCACCTCACCTCAAAGATCCCTATCCTGGATTCAGTCAGAATAGCCATGTTATTCTCCTCCTTGTGAACCTCCCGGGGCACCCGGTTGTGTCACAGTGAAGTCTCTCCTATCCCAGAAAGCCTTCCCTGACCCCAGACGGAACAGACCCTTTAATCCACTCTACAGCCCTGTTCTTTGTTCATCACTCCAGGACCTAACTGCCTGTTACTTGGCTTTATTCAGATCCCCTCTGGCCAGCATACAGAGTGCCCCAAAAAATACATTTAGAAAAGAGTGAAGAATTTCCTTTCTTCATTCCTTTTGGATTAGTCACAAGAAATGTTAGGCTATTACAGGTTACAGCCTCGCAACACCGCAGTAGCTAAGAGCCGGGACTCAAGTCACCCTCCCTGGGTTTGCATCCCAGCACTTGCTGGGTGTGCTACTGACCTCAGACGACTTAGTAACCTCCCTTCCTGCTTAAGTGGGCAAATAGCAGATGCCACCGACCTCAGGCGTGTTACAAGCTTAGATGACAGCACCCTGTCGAGACCATGGCTCATAATGAGCTCTCACTGTAAGTTGACCTTGACAGTTAATGTTGGATTACACCTGGACTTGGTACCGCGCTGTGGTATCCACCACCGTTCGGAGGGTTTAAGGGAGCAGAGAAGGACAGGCTGATGAACACAACATCGTTCATGTTTGGTTGCCCCTGGAACATAGAGACTCATTGTTGAAGGCAAAGGACAGATCTAATCCTTGTGATGATCTATCAGTGGACTGCCCAGCAGCCCTAGGGGACGGCAGGGCCTTCAGCCAGAAAGAATTCCCTGTAAAGTATCTTTCCTACGATTATAGTTTGACTTACTGCCACCGAGTTTTATTTTTAAAAATACTGCTTCTATTTCATACCAAAGTGGAGAGTCTTTTCTGAACCGATATGTTAGACAGTTATTGTGTTGAGTTATGCTTCAAAGAATGCAGTTTAACCTTGAGCTAATTCTAATTTAGCAGTAGCAAGGATTGTGACACTGGGTTCTACTGTACCTCATTAGCCATTTTCACAGGGATTCGTTTTGCCAGAAAAAGGAGGTAGAAATGTTCGCCGGTTCCTAGGAAATTTGGTGAGCAAATATGGAAAGTATTTCCAGATTATTGATGTGTCTTCACTAGTCCTGAGCAAGCTATCAGCTTTGATCATCACCACCACCGATGAAGCAACCTTCCTGGGGAGGCCATGCTGAGCCCGAGTCTATGGGGACCTCTTCTGGCTCCAGACCCAGGCTGGGCAGAGGCTGAGACTTCAGCTGGGTGTCAGATACCCCTCACCCCTTGCCCTGATCTTGGGGGCGTTAGGGTGCTGTCAGAGTCTGACATAGGTATTAAAATATTTCAAATCTCAAGGAGAACTTCAGAGTTCTTCAGTACATTTACAAGTAAATTGTAATCCTGGGAAACTAGCAGCACACTTCCTGTTATTCTGGCTTCTTAAATTCTTTTGTTTTTTGTTTGTTTTTGAGATGGAGTCTCTCTCTGTTACCCAGGCTGGAGTGCAATGGCGCGGTCTCGGCTCACTGCAGCCTCTGCCTCCTGAGTTCAAGCTATTCTCCTGCCTCAGCCTCCTGAGTAGCTGGGATTACAGGCACCTGCCACCATGCCCAGCTAATTTTTTGTATTTTTAGTAGAGACGGGGTTTCACCATGTTGGCTAGGCTGGTCTCAAACTCCTGACCTCGTGATCCACCCGCCTGGGCCTCCCAAAGCCCTGGGATTACAGGCATGAGCCACCGCGCCTGGCCTTTAAGTTGTTTTTTAACTTTTTTCCATGATTCCTTAGTAAAGTCTCCTTAAAATGATTCTTGGGAGAGCAGAGGGCAAGGGGCAGTGTCAGTTACACCTGACTAAGTTACTTCAGTTCAGGTGCACTTCGTACAAAGTGTGGTGGGATGTCCATGTCCTAATCCCTGGAATGTGTGACTGTGTTACCTGGGGTAAGTTTAAGCTGTGTTTAAGTTCAGGATCTTGAGATAGAGAGATTGTCTTGGATCACCTGGGTGGGCTTAATGTAATCACAGGTGTCCTGGGCAGGAGGGAAGCAGAGGTTGGAGTGATGTACTCTGAAGAGGGCGGAAGGGGCCACAGGCCAAAGATCGCAGGCAGTCTCTAGAGCTGGAAAAGCCAAGGAAACGGATTCTCCCCTGGAGTCTCCAGAAAGAACACAGGCCATGATTTTAGCCCAGTGAAAGTCATTTTAGACTTCTGACCTCCTGCCCTGTAAGATTAAAAATTGGTGTTAAGCCACTAAGCTTGTCATTTGTTACAGCGGCAAAAGGAGACTAATACACCTGGCTGCCTGGATTTTATGGTGGATGCTTACTTGGTATAAGCAGACAGGGGGAAGGGTCAAACAATTATTGAGCATTTAGATCCGTAATTTGTTTCTCACCAAAGATCTGCAAATGTGGGATATTCTCTCTTCCTTTCAGATGATGACACAGAGACTGGGAGGGGGTCAGGTTACTTGTCCAAGGTCACTACCTGGTGGAATTTGAGCTGTGATCAGATCCATATTGTAGCACCCTTCGGAGGGCCGGCTCAGTGAGTGCAGCCGCTTAGTGCAGCTCTGGCTGTGGTGTCCAGAGTGTTCGCCCTGCAGCCCTGAGAAGAACTGAATTTGAGCTTCAGTTGCCTGTTGAAAGAGCCAGGGAGGCCAGGAATTTTGGAAGTTGCCCCTGGCCATCCACTATCAAGTATGTGAAGGAAGCAGAGGGTCCCACCTCTGAGGTCAGACAAATGGAAGGTGAATGCAAATGATGCCTCCTTGCAAATGATGCCAGGGAAAGCCTCCTGGGCCCCGTGTGTTGTGCGGACAGGTGGCCAGGCCAGAGGTCCCACTGGACTTCACTCTGAAATTCCAGACAGCAGGAAGTAAACAAAGTGCTTTACGAGCGAGTTCCCGCGGTCTGCTGGTCTTTCCCTGCACTTCCGTCCGACCTCGGTCACAGCCCTGGGTGGGGTCAGATATTTCTACCCATACTCAGGGCCACCTGTTGCCCCAAGTTCTCACTTCCTGGCAGTGTCCCTCTGCTAGCCCTTGCTGCTGCCCCCACCTTCCTCTGTCTGCCCGCCACCCCCCAGCCTTTTCCTTGGTCACAGTTGTCCTTTTGTTACCTGCGGTTATCAGAAACATGGTCAAATAGGGTATAAGCTTTTAGTATCCCATTCATTTGAAATTTTAACCTCGTTTTTAATAAAACAATGCATGCATATAATTAGTCAAATGATACTTTAAAAACTACAGTAATAATGAAAAACAGCACTCTCCTGCCTTTTGATCCATGGGTCCTGCTCTCTATAGGAAACAAATTTCCATTTCTTAAGCAGTTTCTTCTGTTTCCCTCCATATTTCATTTTCCTTTCTCTTCCTTTCTTTTTTTGTTTTGTTTTGTTTTTTGAGACAGGGTCTCACTCTGTTGCCCAGGCTGGAGTGCAGTGGTGCAATCACGATTCACTGTAACCTCGACTTCCCAGGCTCAGGCGATTCTCCCACCTCAGCCTCTCAAGTAGCTGGGAATACATGTGTGTGCCACTACGCTCAGCTAATTTTTTGTATTTTTAGAAGAGATGGGGTCTCACTGTGTTGCCAGGCTAGCCTCAAACTCCTAGGCTCAAGAGATCCACCCACCTGCTGGGTGGACCCCAAAATGCTGGGATTACAGGCGTGAGCCACTGCACCTAGCCAATATTTTTTAATGTGCTTATATTGCTATTTCTTTGCTAATAAATCAGATATTATCTAATCTCTTTGCCATTTTGATAGATAAGAATGCTCTCATATAATCATCAATCTACCCTACTTCTCACTGTTCCCTATACAATTAGCGCAATCATCAGTCTTTACATTATTATTGACAATATATATGTTAGTGAAATAAATATATATAAATAAGCAAATGCTGTATTCCTTTTTTTAACTTTTATCTCCATTTATTAAAAATTGCCTTTTTTTAGTTGTTTATTTTCTATTTGATTATTTTGTATTGGATTTTTATACAGTGCACAGGCATCTGCCAAATACCTGTCAATAAAGTTTTTCAACAGAAGCATCAGATAACTCATAGTAGCCCTTGCCCCCTGCCAAGCTCCCTCCTGGAATCCTCCACCCTCCAGCTGCCCTCTGATGTCTATCATCATCCTTGCTCTTCCTGTGTTGAGTTTTCTGTTCCCTGTGTCCCGCATCTTGGTCTTTGTGCTTTATTCCTTTGCTCTGCTGGAGCACATCCTGCCAAAGCTTCCTAAAGAAGATGCATGGGTGGTTCACTTTTTGAGACCAGGTCGTTGGAAAAGGTTTCCTTACTCCCATACTGTTACACAACTTGGGTCTGCCTGCTCAGCACAGTAAGACCAGATATCCACACTGAGGCTTCGCAGCAGTAGAAAGGAAGCCATTTATTTGCAGGGCACCATGCAGGGAGGACCAGGAAGCAAATGCTCAAATCCTGACTCCCCTGATGGCTTGTGGGTAAGGGTTTTTAGAGGTGGGGTACATTTCAGGAAAGTGGAAGCTACAGGCATAATCATGAATCAATACATAGAGATTACACATTGGTTTTGGCCTTGAAGGGTGGGATATTGTGAAGGAGGGGTGGGGCTTACAGGTAGGTTCAAAGATGTTCTGATTTGCAATTGGTTAAGGAAGAGAAGCTTTGTTTCCAACTTTGGGGTCCGTAGAAAAGAATATTATCTCAGGCTCATGGGTGTGGCTCCCTCCAGGCCCCTCAGGAAAAAACTTAGAACAAAGAATGAAGTCCAGACTTCAGTCCCCAGTTCCCTTATCTGAGATACACGTGCCAGTGATTTGTTGGGTGGGGGTCCGGGTTTCTAAAAAACTCAGACATATGTTAAGATGGTATCTCAGTTTCTATAGGGAACCAAATATCTCATGGCTAACTTCCTGGCTACTAGCTTAGGCTGCTATTACCTTCTTGCTCACCAAGTTGCCTACTTAATTCTTAGAGCTAGCTGGTGCCTCGAATTTCCCTTGGAAGCTTCATGGGACCAGGGGGCCCTGTTTTGTTCCCTGGTGCACTCCAAGTGCTTAGAATCACGCCCAACAGAGGTAGGAGCTCGCTATTTACTTATTGAATGGATAGACGGGTGTTAGGGCCACAGCTGTAGCCAGACATGGCTCCTCGTAGGCAAGTGAGGGGCGTGGCTGAGAGCACAGAAAGCTCTGCCATGACAGCAGAGTCTGCCTGGGCATCGGGAGGCACAGAGCGGGGGTCTCCTGGGGCTGAGGGCTATTGAGAAGCGATGCCAGCATGAGTCTTAGAGGACAATGAGCCTGGGACCACCAGGCAGCAGCAGACAACGTTCCTTAGTAGGTCATCTTTGCTGTCACACCCTAAGGAGATGGTGTGCAGCTGACAGTTGTGGCCCTGTCTTAAGTGGATAGGGTCCCACAAGATCATGTGTTGTGCTCAGCAGTGATTATGCTGGTAGAACCTGTACCTTTACATTGAGCCAGACCTTGAATGTGTGGCAGGCCCTAGGCATGTCGCACTGCAGGTGTGTGTGTTGCTGAGTTGCAAGTAGCCACAGGACCCCAGACACACCAGCACCACACTTCGACCCATGCACTCAGGGACCCTTGCCCTCTCTGGTTGCTCCCCTGCCCGCAGGACAGCGAGTCAGTGGGTCCAAGGGCTGTGATCACCTGAGCCCTTGCTCTCTTCCTCCCCAGACCCTAATACAGGTAACAGGGTCTAGGAACTCCCTGCCCCAATGTTCAGGATCTGCGTCCAGGCCCATGAGCTTCTAACCCAGTCCATGCTCCTGAAGAAAGGCAGCACCACCACCCTGGGTGTAAGGACCCCTCTGCGGGAAGGGTGTGGGGTATTGTGGACAGAGCCTGAACACAGAGCTCTGTTGCTCACACTCAGACCCCTCTGGGTGCTGCACGTGTGACCCAACAAAGCAGGTCTGGACGCTCACTGCTGGCCGAGCCCAACTAACAAGAGTGACATCTGATAGAAAGAAAGTGAATTTATTACCCAAACTAGTAGAGGGGAGGCAGCCGAATTCCTGTCCAAATTAACCACTTCAATTTTTAGCAGGAAGGCAAGAGTTTAAAAAAGAAAAACTTGATAAGGAAGGCATGGAAGACTTGGGCTGAGCATAATGTCTGTGTGTCTTGTTTTGGTGGCTGCGTCAGGTCCCAGTCCACCTGGACCTCGGGCTGACATCATCTCCATAATGGCCGGGCTGTTCATCAGCCGCCTTGAGGTCATCCCTGAAACTTTGCAACTGGGTCTCCAGACTTGGTCTGTTTCAAGATCAGCCCCTGGAACTTCTAAGAAGGCACACAATTAGATACTAACATACAGTTAGACAAACGTAAAGAGAGTATGGATGGTGGGAAAGGGAGGGGCATGGAGTCTATTTTGAGGCTAAGGAAAAAGGCTTTTGCAGTTTCCCTCAAGATTGTGTCTTGAAACCCAAGAGAAAGGGAAAAAAGTTTGAAATGCATTTTGAAGTTAAGCTGCCCAGTTACACATGGAAACACGGTTGCTCTCCCTATACCCGCTTAAGGATGTGACCTGGGGTGTCTCTTGCCTCACTTTGCATGCTTGTTTATGCTTCTACCTTGGGGTCTCTCTTGCCTCACTTTGCATGCTTGTTTATGCTTCTACCTTGGGGTCTCTCTTGCCATTGCAGGGGAGAGTATTTGAGGAACAGTTCAATGGGATTTAAGACTGTTTGAGAGGAACCCACAGAGGGGTGGGAGATCACTGGCTTGGGGCATTCTGGGCTGAGCCGTGGGCTTCCTTTTGGTTCTGTCTCTGGGTATGTGTTCTTTTGGTAGGTCTGTGCCAAGAACAAGCTTCACCACTAGGATGGCTGCCTGGGAGCTCTGGAAAGAGAAGTGGACAGCCACAGGACTGGCTATTTGTATCTACAGGCAGGTGGGCTCAACTTGGATGTAAGCATCTGCAGGATTCAGCAGCCAGAGGGACACTGGGACTGGGGCATTGGATTTGGTATCAATCACGCTAACCAGTCTCTTTTCTCCTCCTGCCTCCACAAACCAGTGGTGTGGGCTTTTGTGAAGGAGTCTGCCCCCTTCCTTCATGAAGTCACAGTGGGAGCCTCAGAGCGAGGCATTTGGGAGTAGGCAGTAAAGGGCTAACTGAACAAGCTGGGAGTTCCCAAAACCCTGCCCCTTTCAAAGAAAGAACTGGCTTTTTATCTCCTTCTGGGAGATAACCCAGCAGACCTGGGAATACCCTGCCTAGGAAAGAGTGCTTTTGTGTGCCCAAGGCCCTGGGCCCCATTGGGTCAGTTTGACCTCTGAGGGGCTAGAAACTGAGGAATCCCTGCACTTTGGGAGACCAAGGCGGGTGGATCACTTGAGGTCAGAAGTTCAAGACCAGCCTGGCCAACACGGTGAAATCCCATCTTCACTAAAAATACAAAAATTAGCCGGGTGTGGTGGAGCCTGCCTGTTATCCCAGCTATTTGGGAGGCTGAAGCGCAAGAATCGCTTGAACCCAAGAGGCAGAGGCTGCAGCGAGCTGAGATCGCACACCTGCACTCCAGCCTGGGCGATGGAGCAAGACTCTGTCTCAAAAAATAAAATAAAATAAGGGTCAGAAGTGAACTCTGGGGCCTAAGTCAGTCATATGGGCGCTCCAGCAACACCCTTGGATACCACGGCTCGGTCTCACATCTCTCTCTTGGGTGAGCTTCCGTGGCTGTCAACACTTTGAGTGTGTCATCATACATTGCTGCTGGAAGAAACGCACGCTGTCTGACTCCATTGGGAAGCATATCTGGAAGCTCGTGCCTGGTCTCTCCTGGACTCCACCCTATGCACCATTTACCATTGCTTAAAAAAAAAATCTGTATCCTTTCACTCTACTAAACCAGACAGCAGCTGTTCTGAGTCCTGTGCATCCTTCTACGGAATCATGAAGTCTGAGGTGGTCTTGGGAACCCCCAGCACAGAGGGAGAATCTCCAGGTGGCTGGGCTTGGAACCCCCGAAGGATCATTTCTTTTTTTTTTTTTTTTTTTTTTTTTTGAGACGGAGTCTTGCTCTGTCGCCCAGGCTGGAGTGCGGTGGCGCGATCTCGGCTCACTGCAATCTCCGCCTCCCAGGTTCACGCCATTCTCCTGCCTCAGCCTCCGGAGTAGCTGGGACTACAGGCGCCCGCCGCCACGCCCGGCTAATTTTTGTATTTTTAGTAGAGACGGGGTTTCACCATGTTAGCCAGGATGGTCTCGATCTCCTGACCTCGTGATCCGCCCGCCTCAGCCTCCGAAAGTGCTTGGATTACAGGCGTGAGCCACCGCGCCCGGCCCAGGGATCATTTCTTGGTAACTTCTTACGAATTACCTCTACCACTACCAGGCAGACTTCGTGATTCTTGGACCCATGAACTTTCCCATTGTGCCTGGTGCATAGCTGGTCAAGACTGGAACATGCAGGCAAAGTCTTTTCTAACTCAGGAATGACCATGGAGAAACGAACAGAGTAGAGAAATGGGCTTACAAGACACGGTTCACTCACCTTGGACTTGCTGCCCACTTGTTAGACTTATTTCCTAGCTCAGACCCCTCACTCCCACCCCCAGAAGCTCACACCTGCATCTCTACTCCTTTAAGGATCCAAGCTAAGAGAAACACTTCTAACTCCTCTCTTCCACCTACCTGAGCGTTTCTCAGCAGGGATTTCTTGCCTAGGCTTCAGCCTCCTCCCTTGGCCAGTGTCCTTCGGAAAGACGCCTGACCTCTGTGCCACGTGGTAACCCCAACCCTCATCAACACACAGTAGGGAGACTGCGGAGGGATTGTTTTGTAGCAGGACATTGAGCAAATTGCTTCTCTTCTCTGCCTTTCAAAGACATCTGGATTTTCATTTATTTATTTTTGAGACACCGTTTCACTCTGTCCCCGAGGCTGGAGTGCAGTGGTGCGATCTTGGCTCACTGCAACCTCTGTCTCCCAGGTGCAAGGGATTCTCCTGCCTAAGCCTCCCGAGTAGCTGGGATTACATGCAGGTGCCACCATGCCTGGCTAAGTTTTGTATTTTTAGTAGAGATGTGGTTTCCCCATGTTGGCCAGGCTGGTCTCAAACTTCTGACCTCAAGTGATCCGCCCATCTCGGCCTCCCAAAGTGTCAGGATTACAGGCATGAGCCAGCGCACTGGGCCTATTTATTTAATATTTACATTTGAAGACTTTACCCAGTGTTGACTAATGGTAGCAGAGTTGGCCACTAGAGATACTGATTTAAAGCAGGAGCTTGGGCTGAACCCAGCTGAGAACTAAGAGCTGAAATGAACTTATACTAGCTAGTTGAACTCCAACTCTCATGGAACCGCTTTTTGTGTTTCTAAGTATAAGGGAAAACACTGCTTCCCATTTTTTCCCAATGGGAGGACTTTTGAAAACGTTTTGATAGTTTAAATATAAAAACCTTTATGGATGTGGATGACATAGTCAACTATATTAAATATATGGTACACCAACTATGTTAAATGTGTTTTAACACACGCTTAACATTTTACCAATGAGAGCATTGAGGAACAGAGAAGATGTGTAACTTGACCAGGGACACACAGCTGAAAAAGCGGAAGAACTAGAAAATATAAGGCCAGGCAATTGGCGCTGGAGCCCACAATCTATTAATTTAGCTACATTTAATATATCATCAAGTAATACATTTATTTACAAATGTTGCTTTTCTTCTCAGCTTGTGAAACAACTACTAAAATGCTCTGCTGGAATTTTCAGCATCAGTGTCTCTCATGACTGGAGCACTTTTTGAGCTCTGCCACAAGTTTCCAAGAGCAGCGCTTCTCAAACTTCTCAAACGTGATTGTGCATGTGACTCACCTAGGGATCTAATTCAAATGCAGATTCCTACCGCGCATGTCTAACAAGCTCCCAGGTGTCTCCGCTACTGCTGCTGGTCCACACACCACAGCATGAGAATCAACGTCAAGAGTGCCTTTCCTTGACTTTTTTGAGACAGGGTCTTGCTGTGTTGCCCAGGCTGGGGTGCAGTGGTGTGATCTCTGCTCACTGCAACTTCCGCCTTCTAGGCTCAAGCGATCCTCCCGCCTCAGCCTCCTGAGTAGCTGGGATTACAGGTGCACACAACCACGCCCGGGTAATTTTTTGGTATTTTTGGTAGAGACAGGGTATTGTCATGCTGCCCAGGCTAGTCTCGGCTGCCCAGGCTGCTCCCGAGCTCCAGCGACCCACCCGCCTTGGCCTCCCAAAGTGCTGAGATTACAGGCAGGAACCACTACACTCAGACTACCTTTACTTTTATTTAAGTTTTCTGAGCTGGAGCAGTTTTGAATCCATGTATGACCACTTCCATGAGCATTTTATCTTAAGCACATTAGGACACTGAATTTTTTTTTCTGTAGGTGTTTAACCATGGTCTCTATGATGTAACTACCCATCGATTTGCTTTTTAAAGTGATCTTTAAAAGGCTTGTTTACCGTATGAAAGAATGCTCAACATCACTAATCATCAGAGAAATGCAAACCAAAACCACAATGAGGTATCATCTCACACCAGCCAGAATGGCTATTATTAAAAAGTCAAAAAACAACAGATACTGGCCAGGCTGCAGAGAAAAGGAAACCCTTATTGGTGGGGATGTAAATTAGTTTACATTGTTTGGTGGGAATGCAAATTAGTTCAGCCACTGTGGAAAACAGTTTGGAGATTTCTCAGAGCATTTAAAACAGAACTACCATTCCACCTAGCAATCCCATTACTGGGCATATATCCAAAGGAAAATAAATCATTGCACCAAAAAGACACATGCACTTGTATGTTCATCACAGCACTATTCACGATAGCAGAGATATGGAATCAACCTAGGTGCCCATCAAAGGTGGATTGGATAAAGAAAATGTGGTATATATACACCATGGACTACTATGCAGTCATAAAAAAGAATGAGATAATGTCCTTTGCAGCAACCTGGATGCAGCTGGAGGCCATTATACCAAGTGAATTAATGCAGAAACAGAAAACCATATACCACATGTCCTCACAAATGGAAACTAAACATTGGGTACATATGGATGTAAACAAGGAAACAGTAGACACTGGAGACTACTAGAAGCGGGGAGAGGGAGTCGGGAAAGGGCTGAAAAACTACCTATTAGGTACTATGCTCAGTGATGGAATCATTCCTACCTCAAACCTCAGTGTCATTCAATATATCCGTGTAACAAACCTGCACATGTACCCTCCCAATCTAAAATAAAAGTTGAAATTATATATAAATATAAAAATATATATGTATATATAAATATAAAAATATATACATATGTGTATATAAAAATATATACGTGTGTGTGTGTGTATATATATATATATATTTTTTTTTTTTTGAGACGGAGTCTCGCTCTGTCACCCAGGCTAGAGTGCAATGGTGCTATCTCAGCTCACTGCAACCTCCACCTCCTGGGTTCCAGTGATTCTTTTGCCTCAGCCTCCTGAGTAGCTGGGATTACAGGCATGCACCACCACACCCGGCTAATTTTTGTATTTTTAGTAGAGACAGGGTTTCACCATGTTGGTCAGGCTGGTCTCGAACTTCTGACCTCGTGATCTGCCCGCCTGGGCCTCCCGAAGTGCTGGGATTATAGGCATGAGCCACCGCGCCCTGCCGAAATTCTATATTTTTTAAAAGGCTTATTTACAATGTCGTTCAACATTCCAGCTGGGATTACTAGCTGTATCTGGTTTAAACGTGTTTGGCCAAACAGCTCACCTTGAGGTCATTTCAGGCTAATGTGGCTTCCCCAGAAAGACTGTAGTTATTTAAACTAAAGTAATTGAAAGAGTGCCCAGTTATGTAAGAATCTGGAAAGATTAAACAATAAGCACCTATTCTTTTCAAGAGATAGTCTTGGGAAACGTGAATCTTGCTGATGCAGGCCTTTTGCTTACAGAACTCAGCTGGGCCATGCACTGGCTGTGCCCCAGCCCCCGTGGCTTCTTTCTCACGCTGTCAGGCTTGGACCCACCCTCTGCTCTTGTTCCTTCTCTTTGGAAATTCTTCTTTCCTACACATCTACCTTCTTCTCATGATTCAGATCTTAATTCAAAGAGGTCTTTTCTATTGTCCTGGCTGGAGAGCAAACCCCAGCTTATTCCACCAGAACCCCAGTCAGTATCATCTTTTTTTTGTTTTTTTTTGAGACGGAGTCTCACTCTGTCACCCAGGCTGGAGTGCAGTGGCATGATCTCGGCTCACTGCAAGCTCTGCCTCCCGGGTTCACTCCATTCCCCAGCCTCAGCCTCATGAGTAGCTGGGACTACAGGCGCCTGCCACCACGCCCAGCTAATTTTTTTTTTTTTTTTGTATTTTTAGTAGAGATGGGTTTCACCATGTTAGCCAGGATGTTCTTGATCTCCTGACCTCATGATCTGCCCACCTCAGCCTCCCAAAGTGCTGGGATTACAGGTGTGAGCCACCGCGCCTGGCCCAGTATCATCTTTTATTCTTCTTCCTTCTTCATGACATTTACCAATACCTAAAACGAGCTTGTATACAAATGCATGTATGTACACAAGCATGTATGTATATAACTACATGTGTGTGTGAGAGATGGTACAGCATGTTTACCTTTTGCCAGAATGCAACTTCCAAAAGGGCAGAAACTATGTCTGTCTTATTTTTCTAAGGGCTTAACACTATTTATTGAATAATTAACAAAAGCTCATTCCTTAGACTGTTTAGGATGCCATAACAAAATACTGTAAGCTGGGTGGCTATAAAACAACAGAAATTTTGGCCGGGTGTGGTAGCTCATGCTTGTAATCCCAACACTTTGGGAGGTTGAGGCAGGCAGATTGCTTGAAGCCAGGAGTTCAAGACTAGCCTGGACAACATGGCGAAAACCTGTTTCTACAAAAAATACAAAAATTATCCGGGTGTGGTGGTGCATGCCTGTAGTCCCAGCTTCTTGGAAGGCTGAGGTGAAGGGATTGCTTGAGCCCAGGAGGTGGAGGTTGCAATGGGCCATGACTGTGCCACTGCACTCCAGCCTGGGCAACAGAGCAAGACTCTGTCTCAAATATATATATATATTTCTCACAGTTCAGGAGGCTGGCAAGTCCAAGATCAAGGCCCCGGCTGATTTGGTGTTTAGTGAGGACCCACTTCCTCATAGCTAGCGGCTTCTTCCTATGTCCTTGCATGGTAGCAGGGATTAGGGTGTCTTTGCGGTCCCTTTTATAAGGGCACTAATCCCTCTGCTGAGGATTGCACCGTTACGACCTGATCACCTCCCATAGGCCCCATCTTCTAGTACCATCACCCTTGGGGTTAGTTAGGATTTCAACATAGGAATTTAGGGCAGACACAAACATTCGGACCACAGCAGGTTGCTTTTGGTTTTGTTTTCAATGCTAAGTGGATCAAATCCTTGCATAGTCTGAAATTTTACTCCAAAAGGTAAAATATCAGGCTAGCATTTCTTTGAGATGGCCTGTTCTAAATGCTTTTGTTCTGGTCTGACACAGTCATATCATGGGAAACCAGCAGATGGCGCTGCTTCTCCGGGAATGAGCCCCGTTATTGCAGGTGGCCTCCATCTGGCTCCCTTCTGCCTGCAGGTGCACTTCTTATGCTTCGCCACCACGCGGAGCCGCGTTCTGCACTCTCCACCTTCCCTAAGTAAATTCTCTATGTGAAAAACAAATCAGGGAGATTTCTCTATGTCCCCAGGTAGAGCCCGAGTCCCGTACATTCCACATTTTTTCTGACCTTGCATCCTTCCCATCATTTCAAGGGCCCGAGGGAGAGCGTTTGGGCTCCAGACAACACAATCATATCAGAAACGTCGAATGTGTCCACATCCATTTTTTTTTCTCTCTGGAAATGCTCCCTTTAATAGGCCAGAATAGGGCTTCGAGCTGTCCTAGAGAGAGGGGCAGGAATTTGGGCACTGAAGACCAGAATCAGAACCTGGCTCCCATTTACCTTGGACAAACCACTCAAGCTCTCGGAGCCTCAGTTTCCTCATCGGTAAAAAGGAGAAAATAATAGTGCCTCCTATCAAAGAATAAATAAAAGACATAGGTAATATAATAAGCCAATTAATTTGCTTATCTATGAGGGAAACAAATGATAGATTGACTTCTACATGGGTAGGATTTATATAGGAGACACAAGAGAGAGGGAAAAAGGCAAAAATTGAAAAATCCCAGACAGTTGGGGGTAGCCAACTTTGTTTTCCTTTCCTTAGTTGGGATGTGGAGTAGGTGGTATTCAAAGTATCCTCCCCTTGGGCTGCGGGTGGTCATCAAAGAAGGTAATCTCAATTGTTTAAGGACTCCCCAAGAGCTTGTGGGTTTGACTCTGCCATATTCAAGACAGGCTATCCCTGCGCTGTCTGTCAGGGTCCTTTGATAGCACCTTCATTTCCCACCTGACTGAAGACTCTAAGAATACACATGATATTGTGCTGGAAAATGTGACACGCCGCACACAAATTGCAATTTCCAAGTAGTTCATTGTCGAAAGCTGCTGCCAAATTGGTTGCCACAGCCAGACACCTGGAAACCCCATTTGCCTCCTTCTTCCAATCCAAACAAGTCCTGTTGGTATCTGCCCCCAAATATCTCTTGAATTGCATTTCTTCTCTCCACACCAACCCCTTACCATACCCCGTATTTCCTAACTAGCCCCACCTGTCCATTACCCGTGCTTAAGAAACCACACACCTGTAACTCATCCTGGATTCAACTATGCAGTGGTTCCCTTTGTGCCAGAAAGCTCAGGACGACCCCGGCAGTAGCTGCTGAGGCCCTGTGGCTCTGGGCCCACTCTGGTGATGTCTTCTTTGGCTGTCTGTGCTCCCTCACATTCAGCTGCTTTCATTCTCCTGCAGGCTCCAGGCTCTCTCATCCCTTGGGTCTAAAAAATGCTGTCCTCTTTGGGAGCTCATTCCCTCTCTTTGAACCTTCTCTCATCCAGATAAAAGTACTCATCCCATGGGGCTCAGCTGAAAACACCTGTCTCCGGGGAGGCCTGCCTGACCCCCTAGCATAGGTCACATCTCCCTATCCTGACGTGTGTCTCCTGGGTCCCCATCCCTTCACTATCTCAGCCCTTGGGAGGTCACTTGTCGCCTCCACTAGAATGAAAATTCCCAGAGGGACCTGGCATAGCCAAAGCAGTAGGAGTGGAGGGGGAAGGTGGAAGCTTTGCTTTGCTGTAAAATCAGGCTCAATGTGGCGTCTTCCTCCAAGTCTTGCCTGGTCCATCTAGATAAAACCTGCTGCCTCTCTCCTCTGAAATCCTACTCGCTCTGTATGACCAGCCCGACATCAGGCTTAGCTGTATGAGTGTTGTGAACACTACTGGATTGTAAGAGCTCTAGGAAAGCACCATTGCACAATGGTTAGGAGAATGGCTTAGGAGCAGCGAGCCTGGGTTCGAGTCCTGCACCCCTCCTATTAGCTGAGTGATCATAGGCAAAGTACACATGGCCTCAGAGCCCCAGGCTTTGTCATGGTACAGACGCACTCACAATACCTGTTGTGAGGACCAAGGACGTAACACATCAAGCCCAGCCCTGTGGGCACTTTCTGCAACAATCAGACTGATCACGGGCTGCCACTTCATTTGCATGGGGTGAACACCAAGTGGCCAATGGGAAACCTCCAGTGGGTGGGTACTTGGACCTCAGAAGATTCTGTAACAGGGCCCTTGAGCCGCTGCTCTGGTCACTCCCACCCTGTGGAGTGTACTTTCACTTTCAATAAATCTCTGCTTTCATGTCTTCATTCTTTCCCTGCTTTGCTGTGCATTTTGTCCAATTCTTTGCTCAAAATGCCAAGAACCTGGACAACTTGCAGTCAATATCCTTTACTGGGCCGGGCACGGTGGCTCACGCCCGTAATCCCAGCACTTTAGGAAGCCGAGGCGGGCGGATCACCTGAGGTCAGGAGTTCAAGACCACCCTGGCCAACATGGTGAAACCTCGTCTCTACTAAAAATACAAAAATTAACCAGATAGTGGATGCCTATAATCCCAGCTACTCGGGAGGCTGAGGTAGAAGAATTGCTTGGACCCAGAGGCAGAGGTTGCTGTGAGCTGAGATCGCGCCATTGCACTCCAGCCTGGGCGACAGATCAAGACTCCATCTCAAAACAAACAAACAAACAACAAAAAAAAATCCCTATTGGTAACAAACTGAGTGTGAAGCCTAGCAAAGGTACGCAGTAAATACTGAATGAGTGAGTGAACGAATAAAAAGAAAATCACAGCAAATCATCACTTTTATTTGGTGACTCAGTTCTTAATAACAGGCCAATTTTAAAAACTTAAGCTTAGAAAAAGAAGTGCCTTGTCTAAGGTCCTTGAGCTAGTTCCAACCCAATGGGGCCGAGACCTGCCGGTGGCTGCACACTTGCTGTTAGTTCTCCCCACGCTGCCATGTCCCCAGAAAGGACACCCGTGAGGCTGAGCTTTGCTGAGAAGGTGCCCGGGATATCTCATGGGCAGGGAGTGGTAGGGGTAGACCCTCCCAGTCCTTCCAAATGCCCGTGGAAATCTGCTGGCAGCTGCAAAGGCCTGGCCCAGACACCCTCAGAGATGTTGGTTAATGTGTGGGATTCAGAGGCCCAGGTGTCAGGGAAAATAAAGACAAGGATGCTGGCTGGCTGCCTTCCTCCTTGGCAGTTTGCAAAGTCAATGAGTCAATGTCCCAGAACAGGGCCTTTGGGGAGAAAAGTAGCCAGCTGCGGCTGTGTCCCTGCTGGGAGTGGCTTGCTGAGAACAGTCTTGCTAACCAGCTTCTGTTGGGTTGTGCTGTGTTTGTGGGGTCAGAGTGATGATGGTGTTATTGGCGTCACAAAAAACTGCATGTGGGGGTGCGGTCTGAGCCCCAGGGTCCAAGCTCACTGCTGTGCCGCCATGGTGATCGAGCATCGCGGGTTCCCCTCGCTGTGGGTTTGGGATCAGGCAGTACCTGGTATGGTGCTTGTCTCTTACTGTGAGACCCTGGGCAAACCTGCCCCTCCCTTCTACTCCACAGGCCTTTTCACCTGTCAGAGGGGAGAAGAGTAACATCTGGTTGGGCACAATGCCTCACATCTGTAATCCTGACACTTTGGGAGGCTGAGGAGGGTGGATTGCTTGAGCTCAGGAGTTCAAGACCACCCTGGGCCACATAATATGACCTTGTCTCTAATAATAATAAATAAATAAAATAAAAGAGTAGGCCAAGCACAGTGGTTCACACCTGTAATCCCAGCACTTTGGGAGGCTGAGGTGGGTGGATCACTTGAGGTCAGGAGTTCGAGACCAGCCTGGCCAACATGGTGAAAACCCATCTCAACTAAAGATTTTTAAAAATTAGCCAGGTGTGGCCAGGTGTGGTGGCTCACGCCTGTAATCCCAGCACTTTGGGAGGCCGAGGTGAGCGGATCACGAGGTCAGGAGATCGAGACCGTCCTGGCTAACATGATGAAACCTTATCTCTACTAAAAATACAAAAAAAATCAGCCGGACGTGGTGGCGGGCACCTGTAGTCCCAGCTACTTGGGAGGCTGAAGCAGAAGAATGGCAGAACCCAGGAGGCGGAGCTTGCAGTGAGCCAAGATCGCACCACTGGACTCCAGCCTGGGCAACAGAGTGAGACTCCGTCTCAAAAAAAAAAAAAAAATTAGCCAGGTGTGGTGGTGTGCATCTGTAATCCCAGCTACTTAGGAGGCTGAGGCAGGAGAATCGTTTGAACCCGGGAGGGGGAGGTTGCAGTGAGCCGAGATCATGCCACTGTACTCCAGCCTGGGCAACAGAGCAAGATTCCATCTCAAAAAAAAAAAAAAAAAAAAAAAAAAAAAAAAAAAAAGAGTAATACCTAAGGGAGTATTTGTGAGTTTTAAAGAAAAAAAAAATGCATGTAACATGTCCAGAACAGAACCTGGTGCATTGGAAGCTCTGAATAAATATTATCTTATATCATCATCATCATCATCATTAAGTGGGAACAATTGTTGAGAAATTGATATCAATTGTTTGTAAGAAGTTTTCTAGAAAACACATTGGCCCCCACTCTATCCCCAAGCCCTTCTCAATGGTAGCTCCTAACACAGTGCTGGAGTGTTTGTTAAATGGCCAGGAACTGCTGCTGTTTAACCCGGGGCCTTTAATTGGTGTTGCTGTATCAGGAAATATGGAAGAGGGATTCCCTGGCACCTTTGCTCAACAACCCTGCCTATCTAGTATGGGTCTAGGTGTCTTCATTCATCCATCCATCCCTCCATTCATTCATTCATCAAAGCACTTTTATATACAATATATACTTGATGCCAGGTACTGTGCAAGACATCAGGCACACAATAGAGAGCTAAACCGGGCATGGCTGCTGTGCACAGGTAGCCAGTGGGAGCCAGGCCTTAATCAGACCATCCCATTGATGATAGAAGGGCACTGAAGGACAGGGAGGCTGTTTCCATGAAAGGAGACCTGGGCGTGGGGTGGTCAAGTAAAGCTTCCAGGAGGAAGTTATGCTTCAGGTGAAACTGGAAGGACACATGGGATGAGTGGAAAGGACTTGGACACAAGAGGAAAGGGGAAGGAGGAAGGCAGGGCCCTGCAAGAGCTGGAACCCCCTGGGGTGGGATAAAGGAGGGCACTCTCTTTTGACTCTGGGCATGTTGTAAGAGGAACCTGTTTCACACCAGGGACATTAATAGCAGCCAAATCAGCCTTGACCCCAGAGCAGAATGGGAGACACTGTCTCTTGTGGACATGGAATGGGGGCTGCATTTTCAGCAACAAAACTGGAGGGGGCGCTCCAGGTCCAACACTACTCTGGCTCATATTGTCTCAAGGCTGTGAGAGTCCAAGAAATAAGGATCACAGCAAAGAAGACCTTGTTTTTCTCACTTCTGACCTGGTGCCTTGGTGAGCGTTCCCCAACGCATCTTAACATACATTCATGGGCCCTAGAAGGGCACTGGATTAGAAACCAGCGAATTGGGAGTCCAGCTCTGACTCTGCATGGCCTACCGCCATCCACCAGGAGCTGGGCAGCTTCCAAGGGCAGTGGCCAGTCTGTTTGGCCGTGTCCCCCACCCAGCATAGTGCCAGGCCTATAAAAGCCTTGGTGGGGCCGGGCAGGGTGGCTCACACCTGTAATCCCAGTACTTTGTGAGGCCGAGGCGGGCAGATCACCCAAGGTCGAGAGTTTGAGACCAGCCTGGCTGGCCAACATGGCAAAACCCCATCTCTACTAAAATACAAAAATTAGCTGGGTGTGGTGGCACATGCCTGTAATCCCAGCTGCTAGGGAGGCTGGGGTAGGAGAATTGCTTGAACCCGGGAGGTGGAGGTTGCATGAGCTGAGATCACACCACTGCACTCCAGCCTGGGCGACAGAGCAAGACTCTGTCTAAGAAAAAAAATGCTTGGTGGTGTTTGTTAAGTGATTAAAATCTAAAGACAAAGCTGGCAGGAACCAACTAGAAAACCAGTCACCTGAGAAAGAATAGGTACATGGGCAGCTGTGGGCCAAGAGCCCAAGGCTCCACTGGAGCTCATAGAACTTTGTGAACCTGTAGGTGGATCTCTTTCATCAGTTTTGGAAAATTCTCAGCCATTATCTCTCCAGATACTAGGTCTGCCCCGATCTCTGGCCTGTTTTATGGGACTCTAGTTACACAATGTTACGCTATTTTCTCATGTCCTGCATGTCTCTTTTACTCTGTTCTGTTCTTTCCACTCTTCTTGTTTTCTGCATGCTTCAGTTTGGATATTTTCTATTGACCTATCTTCAAGTTTATTAATTCTGTATTTAGCTGTGTGCATTCTGCTATTAAACCCATCTAATGAGTCCTCAGTTTTATATATTATGTTTTTCAGGTCTAGAATGCTATTTGCTTTTTTCTTTTTCTTTTTCTTTCTTTTTTTTGTTTTTTTTTTTTTTTGAGACGGAGTTTCCCTCTTGTTGCCCAGGCTGGAGTGCAATGGCGTGATCTCGGCTCACTGCAACCTCTGCCTCCCGGGTTCAAGCAATTCTCCTGCCTCAGCCTCCCGAGTAGCTAAGATTACAGGCATGCACCACTGCACCCAGCTAATTTTGTACTTTTAGTAGAGACAGGGTTTCTCCATGTTGGTCAGGCTGTCTCGAACTCCCAACCTCAGGTGATCCGCCCGCCTCAGCCTCCCAAAGTGCTGGGATTACAGGCGCCCGGCTGCTTTTTTCATAAATTGCAAATTCTTGATTTAAATTCTCGATTTTCATCTTTTGTGCATAATTTCTTCTATTTTTAATGTATTCATAATCAGTACTTCAACATCCCTCTTGACTAACTTCAGAATATGAGGCATCTCTGGGTCTGCCTCTATTGTCCATTTTTCCTTCTGGTTACTTTTTCTTCTTCTTTGAAGGTCACATTTTTTTAAAATTGTGTGATGACTGTTTGGTGTAAGAGATCCATAAAGGCTATAGATGATGCTATTTTCCACCAGAGAGTTTTCCTCTTTCCCCAGCAATTGGGCTGGATCATGGCTGGGGTGGACCTTACGTAGGTTCAGCCCACCTCTGGTTTATATCTGGTCTTTGAACATGGCCCTCCTGGATGTAAAGTTTCTCTATTTCCTCAATTCTATGAACGTTAGCTCATCTTGTCCTTTGTTGATTCCACAGCTTTTCAATGTCTATAGAGTATAATTTTGGTAACTTTTCCATTTTTTTCCTAATTGTTACAGCAGGAACCCAGGCTGCTGTGACCTACTGCATTCTATACAGAGGTGAAAGTTGGACAAGCCATTTTGTTGTTGTTCATTGCTGTTTTCCCAGTACCTGGGAGAATATTTAGCACACAGTGGATGCTCAAAAATATTATTGGATTGAGTCCAAATATTGGACTTTGAATAGAAAACTCAGATTTAAGTTTTGATTCTAGCTCTGGGGACCATGGAACTGTTATTTCACATCTCTGAGGCTCAGTTTCACCATCTGTAATATGGTGGTAATAATATCTTTCTGCCTATAGAGTTGTGAAAAGAATAAAAAGAGAGCTTATATATAATGTACTTAGCACATCGGAGATATCAAGCAAATTGAATACCTAAGATGTTACTTATTCTACTTTTCCTACTCTGCCATGCATTTAAGTTATTTGAGTGTAATGATGACTGTGGTGGTGAAGACAAAGGGTGTGAGACATAATTAAAAGATAGAATTGGAGATGTTGAGATAAGGGAGAAGCAGAAGCTGAGTATAAAGTCCAACTTTCTGCACCGTGGCCTCGGAGCTGGCATTCCCTGGGCCAGTTATGGGTGGGTTTCACACTTTTCTATTGCCTAGGGTTCCTTGGCCTAATGACAGAGTTCATCAACACTGTACAAATGCACGTGCAATGGAGTGGTGTTTCCATTTGTGTGGTCACAGTGGGGAGTGGGGAGAGAAATTCTAAGAGATAAACCCCGGCATCTTTTTTTAAGATGACTTGAAACCCATCTAGTATGCAGACTGTGGGGGCCAAGTGCTATTAGCCACTATCAGGAATTATTCATCAAGTCTAGTCATGTGAGAGGGGCTTGGAAGCCCTTGCAGTTTCTAATCACCACTGGTGTGTGAAATAGATTTTAATTAGCATACAGGTTGTAGGAGTCTTTGATCAGTCCTGCCATTTGGATCATATAACTGACCCAACAGTTTGAGATTCTCTAAGCCCTAGTAATAAATAGCAGGGAGAAGAAGAGGCTTAGAATGTAATAATCATGGCTCAGCCTCGGGTTTGGGATGATAAAGCTTCTTGCTGAATATATGCAGGCCTTCTTGATCCTGGGCATTAAACAACTTTTCTCTCTCTCTTCTCTCTCTCTCTCTCTCTCTCTCTCTCTCCTCTCTCTCTCTATCTCACTGTATGTGTGTAAAATAAGTTTGGGGAATTATTTTCTAAATATCAACATTTAGGGGGCTGGGGGTTATTTGTTAAATATCAACATTTCCAAAAAAATACAGGTGTCTTCAAATCAACCATTTTTGATAGCCAGAGATCACAGTGTGCTGGCAGTATGATGGGTTTTCTTAGCAAACTGAGGTAATCACACTAACCACTTTCATGGCATTTCCCAGGGGACCAGCGTTTCCGGAGGCATCAGGCGGAAGGCAGAGATCTAGGATCTGATTGAAAAAAACACCTGCAATCAAATGCATTCTCAAACCATTTATCTAGGTACAGGTGTGAGCATAGATTTAGGTGTAGGCATAGGTATAGGTATATGTATAGATATAGATGTACCTAAATCTATAATCCTTGGAGATTCTTTGTCATCTCTGAATCTCTGCCTTCTCATCTCTAAAGTGGGTTTAATAACAGTCTCTCCCTGATGGAGTTACTGTAAGGATTAAATGAGATACCATAATCTAAAAATCCTGGCAGAGTATCTTTCCTCTTTCATGTTTTTCATTTTTGTTGTTGTTGTTGTTAGATTGTTTGTTTTTGAGATGGAGTCTTGCTATGTTGCCCAGGCTGGAGTGAAGTGGCGCGATCTCAGCTCACTGCAACCTCCCGTGTTCAAGCCATTCTCCTGCCTCAGCCTCCCAAGTAACTGGTAGCCGGGATTACAGGCATCTGCCATCACACCTGGCTAATTTTTGTATTTTTAGTGGAGACAGGGTATCACCATGTTGGCCAGGCTGACCTCAAGTGATACACCCACCTCGGCCTCCCAAAGGGCTAGGATTATAGGTAGGCACCACCACACCAGACTAATTTTTGTATTTTTAGTAGAGACAGGGTTTCACCATGTTGGCCAGGCTGGTCTTGCACTCCTGACCTCAAGTGATCTGCCCGCCTCGGCCTCCCAAAGTGCCAGGATTACAGGCATGAGCCACCGCACCCAGGCTTCATTTCTTTTTTCTAACTTTTCTTGGTTATCTTTCCAGCTTCCTCTTCCCGATGAACTTTAGAATCATTTTGTCAACAGATTTTCTTTTTAATTTATGCTCACCTACACACATTCAAGGCATTGAAAAATAGCCGCAATTTCAGCCTGTCCTCAGCCCTGCAAAACATGGGCGGCGTTTGGCAGGAGATGCTTCCGCTTTCACCTTCTGAGAGCCAGTGGTCACCAGCCTCACCTCTCTGCTGGCACCTGGCAAAGGGAAAATAACTTGCTGAGGACTCTGGGAGGATTTGCTCATCTCTCCATCAGCCTCACCCTGGCAGTGGGATTTCTGCTTCTCCTTTGAAAGGCAGTCTGGTGAGACGCTGATAGTGATGCTGATCTGATGCTGGTGCTGATTCTAACGCCAATGCCAATTTTATCAGTTATATAATAACAGCAACATGAATAGTATTTTTTGAGTATTTGTTCTGGGTCAGAAACTGTGCCAATCATTTTACATATTTTATCTCCTCTAATGTAGTCAATATGGTACAGGAGTTGGAAGCTTTTTCTGTAAAGCATAAAAGCATAAATATTTTCAGCTTTGCTGGCCATACGTTCTCTATTGCAACTATTCAACATTCTTTTTCTTTTCTTTTTTTCTTTGTTTTTTTGGAGACAGAGTCTCACTCTCTCACCCAGGCTGGAGTGCAGTGGCGTGATCTCAGCTTACTGCAGCCTCTGCCTCCCAGGTTCAAGCAACTCTCCTGCCTCAGCCACCCAAGTAGCTGGGATTACAGGCATGTGCCACCACGTCTGACTAATTTTTGTATTTTTAGTAGAGATGGGGTTTTGCTATGTTGTCTAGGCTGGTCTCAAACTCCTGAGCTCAAGTGCTATTCCCACCTTGGCCTCCCAAAGTGCTGTGATTACAGGCGTGAGCCACTGTGCCCAGCCTCAACTTTGCTTGTATAGTGCAAAAACAGCCATAGCCAATACGTAAACAAATGGGCATGGCTGTGTTCAAATAAACATTTACAAAAACACTCAGTGTGTTGAATTTGGCCCACAGACCATAGATTGCCAACCCTAGCAGAAAGGAATGGCTCAGAGGGGAGACTCTTCAGCCAGACTGCTTGGATTCGAAACCAAGCTCTGGCACTTTTTGCCTCTGGAGCCTTAGGTGAATTATTTAGCCTCTTTGTGGTGAAGTCCCTCAACATTCTTCCTTTCCCTTTTTGTATAATAGGTTTTTGCCAGGCACAGGGCAGTCCAGAATAGAGACTCCATTCCTCAGCTCCCTTGTAGCTATGTGAGGCCATGTGCCTACGTCCCACCCAGTGGGATCTGAGCCAAAATGTCATGTTAGTTTCTGGGAGGTCTTCCTCAAGAGACAGCCCCTGTCTCATTTTTTGGTCTTTGCTTTGTTTTATAATCCCTTCCTCTATCGTGCTGTTCTCATTGGTGCTGCCAGCATGGCCCATGGGCTTTAGTCAAGGCACTGTTGATGGGTGCCCAGCTGCATTTCAGACTTGTTATGGACTGGGAACACCTAGGTATGTACTGCTCATTCCTCACTATACCCCTTAGATGGGAATGCTATTTTATTTATCCTTTTACTCTCTCTCCATTGTGTACTAGCAGTGGTACATGAGGGGAGACATAATTGTCTCTTTCATTTTCATATTTTTAGATTGAGAGGAACAGCACTTGAGAAGTTGTACCTGAAGAGCCTCATCCACACCTGCACTTGATCTCTATGATGAGGTCCTGGACCTTAAGCCTGAACCTGATGCCATGGTGGACTGAAAGTCAGGATGTCTTAGGAGGCCACGAGTCAATTTTGCATGTGAAAAGAATGTACATAGTGGCTAGAGGCTGGATGATGCTAGCTTGCCTCCAAAGATAACCACTATTAATTATTTTACCTGTATGCACATGCTACTTTCCCATCGAGAAGTGAAGTCTCTTCTTCTAACTCCTTGAATCCAATTTGTGCTTTGACCAATAGATACAAGAGATGATATCCAAGGCTAGGTCATAAGAAGCTTTATCGCTGCCAGCTGAGTCTCCTGAAAAGTTTGCTCTTGGTATATACCCTTTGGGAATCCAATCACCACGCTGTGAGACAGCCCCAAGCCCACACAAAGGCCATGTGTGGGACTTTTGGTTCCTATAGCTCCAGCTGAGCTTCCAGCTGACAGCCAGTGTCAACTGACAGCATTGTGTCTGCACCAACTTGGACAGCAGGCCCAGTTGAGCCTTCAGGTGACTGCACCTAGATCGCCATATGACTGAAACCTTGTGAGAGGGCCCATGTGAGAACTTACTCCCTAGCTGAGCCACATCAACCCACAGAACCATGGGTGATAATTATAAATTGTTTTAAGCGACTCCGTTTTGGGGTGGTTTGATGTGTTAGTAGCAGTAAATCCATACTTGTCAGTAGCAACCTCAATTCTCGCCTCCTCAGAAGAAAGAATTCAGTCGAGGGGCATAAGGCAGAGTGAGAGACTGAGGCAAGTTTTAGAGCAGGAGTGAAAGTTTATTTAAAAGTTTTAGAGCAGACCAGGCACTGGGCCAGGTGGCTCACAACTGAAATCCTAGGGGAGGCCGAGGTGGGCGGATCACTTGAGGTCAGGAGTTCCAGACCAGCCTGGCCAACCATGGCCAGCATGGTGAAACCCCGTCTCTATTAAAAATACAAAAATTAGCTGGGCATGGTGGTAGGCACCTATAATCCCCGCTACTCAGGAGGCTGAGGCAGGAGAATCACTTGAACCCAGGAGGCGGAGGCTGCAGTGAGCAGAGATTGCACCACTGCCCTCCAGCCTGGGCGACAGAGGGAGACTCCATCTCAATCAATCAATAAAATCAAAATAATAAAAAATGAAAGTTTCAGAGCAGGAATGAAAGACAGTAAAATACACTTGAAAGAGGGCCAAGTGGGTGACTTGATTCAAGTGCATGGTTTGACTCTTGACTTGGGGTTTTATCTGTTGGCATGCTTGTGAGGTCTACGTCTCTTCTCCCCTGATTCTTCCCTGAGGTGGGCTGTCTGCATGCACAGTGGTCTGCCAGCACCTGGGACAGGAACATGCGCAGTGTGTTTAACTGGAGTTGTGCGCATGCTCACTTAAGGCGTTCTTCCCTTACCAGCTGAAAGTTTCTAGACGAAGGGCATATACCAGTTAAACTCCGCCATTTTGCCTCTCAGTGTTCAAGCTTGAGCCCACGCATCCAACTCCTGAGATCTTACTGGGAAGCTGCTGATCATCAGTTTCAGGTGTTTCTATCTTTTGGGAGACTGCCCTTCCCTGATGCTAGCTGTAACCAATTATTATTTTAGAGAGACAGTTAATGACCACCTGACCATCACCTGACGGTCAGCTGACATTCCTGGTCGGGAGGAGCCCTCTCCTGCCCTGCTTATGTCTGCCTGACTACCTACTGTAATGGACGCAGCCAGCTGGAACATCGGCTTTGCTCGGTATCATGTAGTATTAGATTTCCCGGGCTCCTTTGCCATCTGGGTTCTTGGTAGTTTGGGCTAATGGGAAGCACTAGTGGGAGACTCAAAGGTGGGAGGAAGGAAGAAACCTTCCTTCTTTCCTTTTCTGCTTCTTTCTCTCTCTCTGCTTTTGTTGGCATCTCCTGCAATGGCTGTATCTCTTCCTTGAATCTATGTCTCCTCAGAGAGACCCTCCCTCTGTGGTTCCATCCCCCAGGGGGCAGCTCTCATTGTATTCTAGCTCCTACCAGGCTGCCCCAGCTTCTAGCTCCTGGCAAATGTCTGTTACCCTTCCAGCCTCAGGGGTGGCAGCAGCTCACTGTCATTGCTACACCGTCCCATTGGGCTTCTCATCATTTTCCTCACCCGTGTAACCGACTTCTAGGATTTAAATTCTTTCTACTTGAAACACCTAAAGTGGCCTCTGTTTTCCTAATTTGACCCTGGAGGATACAGCGTGTAAGAGGATAACATAGTCTAGTCCAGCAGGCCAAGGAAGGTTTCCCTCCAGAAGGGGTGTTTGAGTCAAGGTCTCAGAAATGACTAGGCTTTCCGGGCATAGGAGATAAAGAAGTGTAATGGCCCGAGGGAAAGGCAGATTGACATATTACAAGTACTGGGGCAGGCCGGGCACGGTGGCTCACTCCTGTAATCCCAGCACTTTGGGAGGCCGAGGTGGACGGATGAAGAGGTCAGGAGATGGAGTCCATCCTGGCTAACACGGTGAAACCCCGTCTCTACTAAAAATACAAAAACAAAATTAGCCGGGCGTGGTGGCGGGCCCCTGTAGTCCCAGCTACTCAGGATGCTGAGGCAGGAGAATGGCGTGAACCTGGGAGGCGGAGCTTGCAGTGAGCCGAGATTGCACCACTGCACTCCAGCCTGGGCGACAGAGCGAGACTCCGTCTCAAAAAAAAAAAAAAGGACTGGGGCAAAGTGGGCAATGTTGCTGTGCCACAAAGAAACCGAGAGGGGGACTGTCATGAGATAAGGTTGAAGTTTGCAGGGCCAAAGCAGGGGGCTGGCAATCCTTAGTGCCAGTTAGAATCACCTGGAGATTAAATATATATAAACATATAGTTTGTATATATTTATATATAATATATATTTAATATGTTTATACTGATATAAGTATATATCAGTATAAATATATATTTAATATATCAGTATATAGAAACAAATATTTAAATATATAGATATATTTTATATTTTTATAGATATATATTATATATAATATAGAAAAATCAATAAAAATATATACTGATAAAATATATCAGTATACATGTATATATACACCAGTATATATAAATATATATTAGTATATTATATATATACTGATGCTCAGACCTCATCCCAGATTAACTGAATCAGAATCCCTTGGGATTGGGCCAATATGATTCCTATATGCAGTCAGGGTTGAGAACCGCTGGGCCTTGACCATGCAGGGCCTTGTCAGCCATGATCTTTATCCTGATCAATGGGAAGATCCCAAAAGGTGGTGGGTTCTCTGGCTGTAGGGTGGGGAAGTGATTGGAGGGGTCAGGAATTGAGGCAGAAAATCCTGTAGGCAGCTATTTTAGCAGATCAACATGCTACTGGCTTGCTGAGCATGGGAAGGGACAAAAACTGGTTCTGTACTTGCTGGTGAGATTCTCCAGACTGACCCCACTCAGTTCCTCACATCTGCCATCTTGCTCTGGATTTTCCTACTCCCTGTTGGTTCCCTTCAGCTGGGCTCTGTCCTCGTGTTCATCTGCCCTGGAAAGTTTCCTGCTAATGAACCCTCCCCAGTACCCATCCCTCTTTCTCCTGGGCAGATGGATGCAGCCATTCCACATCCCTGCAGAGGCTATTCTGGCAGAACCTAATATCCTAAACTCCTTAAGTACCCTGAATTTTAAAATTGTGATTGTATTTGGCAGTGTTAATCAAAAATTGGAAGTACTGGAATTAGAACCTTTGGCCAGAGACTCTCCGAGTTGAAAGCCCTCCCTTAGAAATAGCCTCTTCCAACCCCTGAATTTCATTATCCAAGAAGATCCATGAGCTCTGGAGAGTTCAGGACCCAGGTCTCCTAAGGACTTCTGCTTCCCTGGCTTTCCTTCACATCTTTCTGTCCTAAGGATTTAAGACCATGAATTTGCAAATGCTCTGCCTGAAGTGTGTACTGAAGCTCTGGAGACCTCACCCGGATTCCCAGGGCCATAATTATCATAATAATGTACAAACGAGAATCTTTCTGTAAATTTAAACCACTGCATTTTCACTTCTTGCTTTGAATTTGGTTTTCTTGCAGCTGCTCCCTCCAGGGGAGCCAGAAGGCTTATTGTCCCAAGGCAGGAGAGGCTGTGTGAGACCTGGTTTTGAAAGCTTTGAGAAGAGAAGAAGTGCTGGGATTCCTTTATCTCCTCCATTAGCATATCAAGGACAAAGCCTAGAGGCTCTTAGGGATCCCCATGGTCTGCTTGGGGAAGACCAGGCCACCATTGAGAGTGGAGTCAGGGAGGCTCTGGGAGAGCAGCCAGCCCCATGGGAACCTAGAGAGTCATGGGAGAGAAAGGAGGAGGTACTAGAGGTTGGAAGGCCAATGAGGCAGAAGCTTGTTTTCTGATTTTTCTTCCTGGGCCCAAGTCTGGAAGATAGGGTGTTGGATCCATGAGGATATTCATGGCAAGGAGGAGGCTGTTGCCTCTGGCCCTGGAGCCCACCTTCAGAAAGGTGCCAGGAGGGTCAGCTGAGGAACCTTAAGTTTTCGCTTTCTCCTGAGTGGTACAGAGGCTGAATGAACTGCCCAAGGGCCTGGCCTGGGCAAGGGAAGGTGGCACTCAGGCCAACGGGCTGGCTGGAGGTGACAGCAATGGCAATCCAAGAGGGATCCTGCACCTCTAACAAGCCCCAAGATCAGACTGAGAGTTACCCTGGCCCCCAGGGGCTCCAGGGGCAGAGGTGACTGTGGGGACCCATGCATGCCAGGGGCACATCCAGGTGTTACTGGTGGAAGGTGTCCAGGTTCTTGGCGTCTTGAACAAATAATTGGACAAAACGCACAAAGTGAGGAAAGCAAAAGCACAGATTTATTGAAAATGATAGTACACTCCACAGTGTGGGAGCAGGCCGGAGCATAGGGGCTCATGAGCCCTGGTTACAGAATTTTCTGGGGTTTCAATACTCTCTAGACGTTTTCCACTGGTTACTTGGTATATGTTCTATGTATATGAAGACAATGAAGATAAGTTACAAAGTCATTTACTCAGAATGTGCCCAGAATATGTAAATGGAGAGGATGTTATTTGGTGTGTGCGGTCTATGTAAATGCAGAGGACGAATATGAAGTTACAAAGTGTAAATGGAGCGGATGTCACTTGGCGTGTGTGGTCTATGTAAATGGAGAGGATGTCACTGTGTGTGCGGTTTATGTAAATGGAGAGGATGAATGTGAAGTTACAAAGTGTAAACGGTGTAAATGGAGAGGATGAAGTGAGGTTACAAAGCCATTTATATTCCATTTGATTTTGTTCTAGGAAGTCAGCATGGATCAGCCTTACGTTCATGGCCTCCAGGCCCTATTCTCCTGCCTCACAGGGACCGGCCAGGATCTCTATCCTTACAGCACGTTGGAATGTATATGCTCCTCTCCCCACATCGCCTTAGGGAGCAGGCAGGTGTCAGGGGCAGCACAAGGACGGCCAACAGGACAGGTGCATAAGTAAGACTGATACAATTTGAGGGCTCAGCTCTGAGAATACTCTAAACAGGATCCAAATAACATTGTTGCCTCCTAACCAGCAGGTGGGAGCTCAAGAGAAAGACTAGACTTGTTCCACATTAAATAAGTAATAGTATTTTTTCCCTTGAACATCTTGATCATAATATCAATTAAATGTGTGGCCCTGATTCAATAGCTACCATTTATTGAGCATCTATTTTGTGCCAGACTTGCTGCTGGTATTTGATAGTGCAGTGCCTGACAAGTAGACACACTGGCTTAAATGTCATTGTTACTGGTATTATTGTTACAATGATGTTTTAATCCTCCCAATGTAATTAAGCCTTTATTATAAAGATCATAAGATGTTCACTTTACTTATTTCCTTGTCCTTTTCTTCCTCCGTGCATGCTTGCTTGCACGAGGGAAGTCACTAGTAATTGATTAACTTCCTACCCTAACCCCCAGGGCTGCCTGCAAGATTGATGAACTGTTTTTCTTTCAAAGAACAATGATCCTTAGGTCATGCAGACCTCCTTGATAGCATCTAGGAGTTTGTTTGGGCCGAGGAACTCAAACAGTTTTGAGTATTGGGGGAATCCATCTCCTGCATACCTGCTTTGCTCATAAAAGCCCCCAGTTATGTTAAAAGGCAGATTGGATTTGAGAGGCTGCTTCTCCTGCCTTCTTGCTTTAGCCGAGTCAAATAAACCTTCCTCTGCTTCTAAGTGCTGATGTGTCGGTGTTAGGTTTGCTGTATATCAGGTACATGAACCCAAAATTTGGGGTTTGATAACACTAACAGCTCTGCACAGTAAATATTGTCATCCAGTCTTACTAATGGGGAAAACATGTGCACAGGACTTGCCCAAGGTCACACATTTAATCAGTGGCAAAGTCAGAGTTAAAAATATTTATGTACTTTTTTTTGTTTTTATAATTCAAGGATGTATCACTATTTTATGTACCACGAAGAAAGAAAAACAGCTAACTATTAAACTATAATACAGTATTTCCTTCGCATTTAGAATTTTTGTTGTAAACTCATTATAAAGAGCTCTTTTAAACTCAGTTAGACATAGGCTTTGCTTATTTATTGTGCTTTTGCATATATAGAAAAGAAAATATGAGTGAAATAAATTGGTTAATTATTTTAAAAATATCTTCACCTTCAAACCCTTCTTCTTTTTTTAAATATTGTTTTTAATCATATGATTATCTCAATAGAGAAACCCTACTTCTTTTTTTTTTTTTTTTTTTTTTTTTGAGAAGGAGTCTTGCTCTGTCGCCCAGGCTGGATTGCAGTGGCGCGATCTCGGCTCACTGCAAGCTCCGCCTCCCGGGTTCACACTATTCTCCTGCCTCAGCCTCCCGAGTAGCTGGGACTACAGGCGCCCGCCACCATGCCCAGCTAATTTTTTGTATTTTTAGTAGAGACGGGGTTTCACTGTGTTAGCCAGGATGGTCTTGATCTCCTGACCCAGTGATCCGCCCGCCTCGGCCTTCCGAAGTGCTGGGATTACAGGCTTGAGCCACCGCGCCCAGCCGAGAAATCCTACTTCTTTTAAATAACTTTCCAACTCAGAGTTACAGATATCCTCTGTGTGATCAAGGGTGTTGGCAATGCAATATTAAAAAAAAAAAAACTTTATATTTTGGAACAATTTCAAATTTAGAGAAAAATTGCCAGAATAGTACAAAAATTTCCTTTATACCCTTCAGCAGATTCCCACATTTTTTATCTGATTACATCACCTTATCATTATCTGTGTGTGTGTATGTATGCATGTATGTGTCCATGTACGTTATTATTTTCTGAATCAGTTCAGGTAAGCGGCAGACATGACGTCCCTTTATTCCTAAATACTTCAGCATGATTTCAAAAAAAAGGACATTTTCTGGCCAGGCACAGTGGCTCATGCCTGTAATCCCAGCACTTTGGAAGGCTGAGGTGGGCAAATCACCTGAGGTCAGGAGTTCAAGACCAGCCTGGCCAACATGGCAAAACCCGTCTCTACTAAAAATATAAAAATATTAGCCAGGTGTGGTGGTGGGCGCCTGTAATCCCAGCTACTCGGGAAGCTGAGGCATGAGAATCGCTTAAACCTGGGAGGCAGAGGTTGCAGTGAGCCGAGATCACGCCACTGCTCTCCAGCCTTGGGGAGAGAGTGAGACTCTGTCTCCAAAAAAAAGGACATTTTCTAATCTAACCATAGAACAATGATTAAAACCAAGAAATTAACATTGATACAATACTATTATATAACCTACAGATTTTATTCAGATTTCACCATTTTATCAATAATGTCTATTACAATACATAAATAATATAAATATATTCGTTAAATATAATATTTATATGTTAATTATTATACAATAAATAAATATGCGTGTATATTTTTTTCTGGTCCAGAATTCAATCCAGGATCATACATTACATTTAGTTGTTGTGTCTGTTCTTTCAATCTGGAACAGCTCCTCAGACTTCTTTTATCTTTCACAATCTTGATATTTTTTTCAAGAGTACAGATCAGTCATTTTGTATGAAGTCTTTCAGTTCAGATTTGTCTGGTATTTATGAGTAGATTCAGGTTTTGCATTTTGCGGGGCACAGTTACCACAAAGGTACATATATGGCCTTCTCAGCTTAGTATGTCAAGAGACACATGATTTCAATTTGTCCCATTTAGAGGAGGCTAATTTTGATCACTTGGCTAAGGTGGTATCTGCCAGATTTCACTGCTGTCACGTAACAGTTTTTCCTTTTGTAGTGTATTAGTCTGTTCTCATGCTGCTACTAAAGACATACCCGAGACTGGGTAAATTATAAAGGAAAGATATTTAATTGACTCACAGTTCAGCATGGCTGGGGAGGCCTCAGGAAACTTACAATCATGGCAGAAGGAGAAGCAAACACGTCCTTCTTCACATGTCGTCGTCATCAAGGAGAAGTGCTGAGCCAAAGGGGGAAAAGCCCTTGAGAAAACCATCAAGTCTTGTGAGAACTCACTCACTATCATGAGAACAGCAGCATGGGGGTAACAGCCCCACCTGATTCATTTACCTCCCACTGGGTCCCTTCCATTTATCAACTTTGGTGTCCCCACAGCTCCAGGGTGGGGAAAGAGGAAATAATACTTTCCCTCTTTTACAGAAGACGGGTTGAAGATCCGAGAGGCTGAGTCACTTCCACAAAGTAACACAGCTGGTAAGTTCCAAGGCTGGGCTTCTTGCTCCAAGACTGGTGCTAGTTCTGGAGGAACCAGGACGCTCCTGGATTTATCCTCTGGAGTTTATGGAGCAGACCGTGCACTGCCCTACTCAAAGTATCTTGGGTGTAAATGAGAAGTAGACTACACATGAGAGGGAAATTTTGGGCTGAGCTGGACTTTATAATAAGAGAAAGTGATTGGAAAGCTGTGGGATTTGCTGAGAGACCTTTGGGAAAGGAACAAGGACATTCAAAAGAGTGTTTGGGGAAAATAAAGCCATTTCTGGTTTGTACCAGCCCCCTTTGGTCTTATGCAGCACCCTGCCTGGGAGCCCACACCTTGCTCGACCTGTGAGGGGCACTCCACCAATGTTTGTTCAATGACGCCGGGAATGGATCAGGTGTCAAACCCTGTTAGGCTATGTGTGGGTGGATTTGACTTGGGGTTCAGTCCTGGGGATGCTATTACAGAACCATAATTGGTTTCTCAGAGGTGATTTAGTCCCTTGTTAGCAGACTAGAACACTTGAGGACTTCAATCTACTGACATTTAGATTGCCTTGGGAGAACAGCCAGCAATTCTTACACCCACAGATTTTAAATGCCTGCATTCAGCATCCCTGCAGCAGGCTCCAGGTGGAATTCTAATGGGACCAGCCTCCAGTCCCTGGACCTTAGCCGTGGAAGGAGAGAAGAGGACATCTGCACCTCCTCTCAGAGAAAGCCTGATGCCTACTAAAGGACTTGGGTGGTGGACGCAGTGACCCTCAGTCTGGAGCTTGTTCACTGAACATTGGAGACTATCATTTGCGCAGATGGTCTTGGGCCTCTATGAGCAGCAGGCTGCACCCCACAGTGACCTCCTCATTCTACTCTGAGGCATCTTCATGAAAGCAGATGTCCATTGAAAAGCACCCAAGTGCAGTCTCAGCTGATGAACTTCAGAGGCGATTGAGACAAAGGCTCTCGGTCCCCTCTGCCCTTGGATGGTGCCTCTGGTATGCACTTGGCCTCTGTGTCTTTATTTAGACTGGTCACTTCACAACCCATCATGTCACCCCACCCCTAACCGTGCCCACTCTGGGTCCTCCCCTCAACTGCCTGACTTCCCACTTTGAGCTCAGCAAAGGCAATAGATGTTTTGTCTGCTTCGATACCCTAAATGCATGGCGTGGAAGCTGGCACACAGTGGGCCCTTGAAATTTGGGAGTGAATATGTATATATATTATATTCCAACCTCAACTTTCCTCACTGCTCCTCATAGTAGGAATGGATTGTAAAACTTCCCAGAATGTTCAAGAGGAGAAAGGAGAGAAAACAGCCTGGAATTTGAGCTAAGGGGCCCACAGCCCAGCCACCAAGCCATCTGTAAAATGGGGTGGGAATATGACATGAGCCACAGGGGTGCTATGAGGGTTAATGAGGTCACCGTGCGATGTACCATGCCAACATGAATAACCAGACCTCTTGATATCATCATTTTTGCATTGCCTGGAAAGTGCCTGATACACACTACATACTCAACAAGTGTGATGGGGTGTCCAGAGGAAACTGGTCTATAGAATAATTTTTATACCAGGCTATACTTTCCTTTCAAAGTTCAAAGCTGTGTTTGCATTCTGGAATGGAGTCCTTGCTCCAGGAGGGAAGCCTTGTGTATTAGGGTTCTCTAGAGAGACAGAACATATATATATATATATATAACATATATGTTATATAACATATATATGTATATAATATATATAATATGTATATAACATATATATGTATATATGTACACACACGTGTGTGTATGCATATACGTATATGTACACACACGTGTGTGTATGCATATACGTATATGTACACACACGTGTGTGTATATATAACATGTATAACATGTATAACATGTATATAACATATTATATATAAAAATACTTTATATATATATGGGAATTTATTAAGTATTAACTTACATGATCACAAGGTCCTACAATAGGCCGTCTGCAAGCTGAGGAGCAAGGAGAACCAGCCTGAGTCCCAAAACGGAAGAACTTGGAGTCCGATATTCCAGGGCAGGAAGCATCCAGCAAGGGAGAAAGATTCAGGATGAGAGGCTAGGCTAGTCTCTGCTTTTCACATTTTTCTGCCTGCTTTATATCTGCCAGCAGCTGATTACATTGTGCCCACCAGGTTAAGGGTGGATCTGCCCTCCCCAGCCCACTGACTCAAATGTTAGTCTTTTTTGGCAAGACTCTCACAGACACACCCAGGATTAATACTTTGTATCCTTCAGTCCAATCAAGTGGACACTCAGTATTGACCATCACACTCTGTATTAGTTCGTTTTTCATGCTGCTGATAAAGACATACCTGAAACTGGGAACAAAAAGAAGTTTAAATGGACTTACAGTTGCATGTGGCTGGAGAGGCCTCAGAATCATGGCAGGAGGTCAAAGGCACTTCTTACATGGGAGCAGCAAGAGAAAAATGAGGAGGAAGCAAAAGCAGAGACCACTGAGAAACCGTCAGATCTCATGAGACATGTTCACTATCATGAGAACAACAAGGGGAAGACCAGCCCCCGTGATTCAATTACCTCCCACTGGGTCCCTCCCACAACATATGGGAATTCTGGGAGATATAATTCAAGTTGAGATTTGGGGAGGGGGGACACAGAGACAACCATATCATCCTGTCCCTGGCCCATCCAAATCTCATCTCCTCACGTTCAAAACCAATCATACCTTCCCAAAAGTCCCCTAAAGTCTTAACTCATTTCAGCATTAACCCAAAAGCCCACAGTCCAAAGTCTCATATGAGACAAAGCAAGTTCCTTCTGCCCGTGAGCCTACAAAATCAAAAGCAAGCTAGTTACTTCCTAGATACAATGGGGGGTACAGGTATTGGGTAAATACACCCATTCCAAATGGGAGCAATTGGCCAAAACAAAGGGGTTACAGGGCCCAGGCAAGTTTGAAATTCAGCAGGGCAGCCTAATTTTAAAACTCCAAAATCATCTCCTTTGACTCCAGGTCTCATATATAGGTCATGCTGATGCAAGAGGTCGGTTCCCATGGTCTTGAGCAACTCCACCCCTGTGGCTTTGCAGGGTATAGCCTCAGTACTGGCTGCTTTCACTAGCTGGTGTTGAGTGTCTGCGGCTTTTCCAGGTGCACGGTGCAAGCTGTTGGTGGATCTACCATTCTGGGGTCTGGAGGACAGTGGCCTTCTTCTCACAGCTCCACTGTGCAGTGCCCCAGTGGGGACCCTGTGTGGGGGCTCCGACCCCACATTTCCCTTCCGCACTGCCCTAGCAGAAGTTATCCATGAGGGCCCCTCCCCTGCAGCAAACTTTTGCCTGGGCATCCAGGTGTTTCCATACATCTTCTGAAACCTACATGGAGGTTCCCAAACCTCAATTCTTGACTTCTGTGCACCAGCAAGCTCAATGCCACGTGGAACCTTCCAAGGCTTGGGGCTTCCACCCTCTGAAGCCACAGCCTGAGCTCTACATTGGCCCCTCTCAGCCACAGTTGGAGTGGCTGCAACACAGGGCACCAAGTCCCTAAGCTGCAAACAGCACGGGGACCCTGGGCCCAGCCCATGAAACCACTTTTTCCTCCTGGGCCTCCAGGCCTGTGATGGTAGGGGCTGCTGTAAAGACCTCTGACATGCCCTGGAGACATTTTCCCCATTGTCTTGGGGATTAACATTCAGCTCCGTATTACTTATGCAACTTTCTGCAGCTGGCTTGAATTTCTTCTTAGAAAATGGGTTTTTCTTTTCTATCACATTGTCAGGCTGCAAATTTTCCAAACTCTTATGCTCTGCTTCCCGTATAAAACTGAATGCCTTTAACAGCACCCAAGTCACCTCTTGAATGCTTTGCTGCTTAGAAGTGTCTTCCGCCAGATACCCTTAATCATCTCTCTCAAGTTCAAAGTTCCACAAATCTCTAGGGCAGGAGCAAAATGCCACCAGTCTGTTTGCTAAAACATAACAAGAGTCACCTTTGCTCCAGTTCCCAAAAAGTTCCTCACCTCCATCTGAGACCACCTGAGCCTGGACCTTATTGTTCATATCACTATCAGCATTTTTGTCTAAGCAATTCACGAAGTCTCTAGGAAGTTTCAAATTTTCCCACATTTTCCTGTCCTATTCTGAGCCCTCCAAACGATTCCAACCTCTGCCTGTTACCCAGTTCCAAAATCGCTTCCACATTTTCAGGTATCTTTTCAGCAATGCCCCACTCTACTGGTACCAATTTACTGTATTAGTTCATTTTCACGCTGCTGATAGAGACATACTCAAGACTGGGAAGAAAAAGAGGTTTAATTGGACTTACAGTTTCCACATGGCTGGGGAGGCCTCAGAATCATGGTGGGAGGCTGAAAAAAAAATGAGGAAGAAGCAAAAGCAGAAACCCCTGATAAACCCATCAGATCTCGTGAGACTTATTCACTATCATGAGAATAACATAGGAAAGACCAGCCCCCATGCTTCAATTACCTCCCCCTGGGTCCCTCCCACAATACATAGGAATTCTGGGAGATAGGATTCAAGTTGAGATTTGTGTGGGGACACAGCCAAACCATATCAGCCCACACAATGAGCCTCTTGGCCTGGATCTAAAATGAAGCCTCCCAAATAGCTGGGAGTACAGACATGCGCCACCATGCCCACCTAATTTTTGTATTTTTAACAGAGACAAGGTTTCACCATGTTGGCCAGGCTGGTCTTAAACTCCTGACCTCAGGCGATCCACCCACTTTGGCCTCCCAAAGTGCTGAGATTATGGGTTTGAGCCACCAAACCCAGCAAGGTCACTTTACATTTGCAAGAATCTCCTCCACATCAGCTTCACCAAACAGGAAGACCCTTTGGTAGGGGTTACGCCTGAGGCTCTGCAGCCAGGCTACTGGGTTGAAACCTGGCCTCTCTGGGGCTACCCTGACTCTGCCCACCTGCCTGGATGGACATTTGCAGAGCCCCTCCCAGCTGAACAATCCCTCACCCCAGATTAATAAGGAAATTAAATTTTCATTCTTCCCACTTCTCTCCTCTGTGCTAAATCACTTCTTTGACTTTCTTCTGTCTCTCTCACTGAAAGATAGAACCCCCTCAAGAGTAAGAGCTGTGTGTCTCATCTCTGCACACCCAACATATAGTGCAATCGCTGATGCCCAGGAGGTGCTCAGACACCTTGCTGAAAGGTGAGCAACCCATGGCACGAAAGACATCAATGGGAGGGATCCCCATCATGTCCTCATTATGTGGGTGAGGCGCTTATCATCACATTTCAACATCTCTGAGACTGGAATGCATCTTACAGTCACTGGGTGGTTGCAGTCATTCCTTCTTGAACACATCAATGCTTGCAGAGTGTGGGTGAACCATAGAAAATAGCGAAGCACTCTTCTAAGAAATTACTATATGTGGTAGGCAGAATAATGTCACCCCCAGCCTGCAAAGTTGTCCACCTCCTAATATCTGGAACCTGTGAATATGTTACTTTCCATGGCAGAAGGAGCTTTGCAGATGTGATTAAACTAAGAATCTTGAGAGGGAAAGATGATCCTGGATTATCTGGGTGGGCGCAGCATAATCACCAAAGTCCACATAAGAGGGAGATAGGAGGGTCAGAGTGAGAGGAGGCTGTGCAGTGATGGAATCACTGGTCAGAGGGATGAGGGATGTGGTCACAGGCTGAGGAAGGAGGACCAACCCTAGAACCAGAAAAGACAAGGAGATGGGTTCTTTCCTAGAGCCCCGGAAGGAACACAGCCCTGCAGAAACTTTGATTATAACTCAGTGAGACTTGTTTTGGGACTCTCACATCCAGAACTGTAAGATAATACGTTTTTCCTGTTTTAGGGCAATAAACGTATGCTAATTTTTTATAGCCACAACAGGAAACTAATTACACTGCATCTCACCATTTGACAACCATCGTAGTTACAATGGATGCTGGTAAGACTTACCAATGGCAGATAAAAATGAGGGGGTGAAAGTTTGATGAGAAACGAGATATTTACATACTCTCCAAATATCTGCCTGTAAGATGGTTATTAACTACATGATATGGTTTGGCTGTGTCCCCATCCAAATCTCATCTTGAATTGTAGTTTCCATAATCCCCACGTGTTGTGGAAGGAACATGTACATGTCACATGTCAGTTGTTATCATTCCCACCCCCACCCCCCTTTTTTTTTTTTTAAAAAAAAAGACAAGGTCTTGCTCTGTCGCCCAGGCTGGAGTGCAGTGGCGGGATTACAGCTCACTGCAGCCTGGAACTCCTGGCCTGCCCTCGTTTTGATGCAGGCTCTGCTCCCTCCTCCCTGGGGGCTGTCCCCTCAGTTGACAAGCACCCCGGCCTTTATGTTCTTCCCACTCCCCACGTGGCTGGGCAGCACAGCGGTTATGATCAGCACAGATTGTGGAGTCAGGCTGCCGCGACTCACATCCCAGCTGTGCCACTAACAGCCCTGTGAACCTGTGTGAATCACTTAATTTTTCCATGCCACTGTCTTCTCATCTGTAAAGTGGGAATAAGAGTTGTGCCTCTCTCATGGGATTGTTGTGAGAGCTCGATGAGTTTTCTTTTCTTTCTTTTTTTTTTTTTTTTTTGAGATGGAGTCTCACTCTGTCTTCCAGGCTGGAGTGCAGTGGCGCGATCTCCACTCACTTCAACCTCCGCCTTCCCGGGTTCAAGCAATTCTCCTGCCTCAGCCTCCCGAGTAGCTGGGACTACAGGCACCCGCCACCATGCCCAGCTAATTTTTTGTATTTTTAGTAGAGACAGGGTTTCACTGTGTTAGCCAGGATGGTCTCGATCTCCTGACCTCGTGATCCGCCCGCCCCGGCCTCCCAAAGTGCTAGGATTAGAGGCGTGAGTCACTGCGCCTGGCCCTTGATGAGCTTTTATTTATGAAGTGCCTGACATGGTGCCAAGGATAAAGAACTGTGAAGATTCTGCCTCTTACCGTTAGCAAAACTCGACTTCTATCAACAAGGATTTGATGAGCACCTAATAGCCGCCAGGCACTGTGTAAGGCATGAGGATCCCGTATGAACATGACAAAGTCCCTGGCCTGCCAGAACTAATGGTCTAGGGGAAGGTGCAGAGAAAAAAAGTGGGCAATTATGATATATAGTCCTGTGGGTGCTGCTCAGGTCAGGTGATATGGAAACATGGAGAAAGGGCTCCTAACCCGGATTGACGGATCACAGAAGGCTGCCTGGAGGAGATGGCAGGAGTGGAAGCCATAAAGGATAGGCAAGAGATGGCCAGGAGACTGGAGGCAAGAGGTGGTGAGTGGAGGGAAGAGCCTCTGAAAGGTGGAATGAGCGAGCAGAGTGTAAAGGCTACGGGTGGTGAGGGCGGGAGTGGGGAGGGACGGAGCCAGGGTGTGAGAGAAGGGAATGAAGGAGCTCCCTGGCTGCAGTGCTGAACACCCGTGATAGGGGGTGGGATGACCTCGCAGGGTGCCCTGGAGGTCCAGGCCTGGGTGCAGTGAGTGGCTGAGGCACGGAGGGCAGGTCAAGGAGAAAAAGGTATAGCTGGGGAGGGGATGAGGATGAAGACGGGGGAAGGATGAGGGGAGACCAGGATGAGGAGGGGGTGTGAGGATGAGAGGGGACAGGGTGGGGTGAGGGTGAGATTTCTGGCTGAGCCTCAGGGCACCTGGCGCCCTTCCTGGGGGCTGGAGGAGGATGGGGAGGGGCGGTGAGCTCCAGGTGGTGAGCTCCGTCTGGGACACACCTGCAGGGCCTGCAGGGCACTGAACTGGAACTGCGTGGCGCGGAGGTGGGCATCAGAAAGCCCGGGAAGGGGGAATCTGGCTGGCATCATCACACAAAGGACGACCGAGTCACCGAGTGAGGAGAGCTGTGGGTCATAACAGGAGAAGCAGCCGGCGGCAGAACACAGAGGGCCCTGAACATTCAGGAGTCAGGCAAGGAGCACAAGGTCCTCGCTTCCCGGAGTTTCTGGACGTGAACAGAAAGCAACACTTTGATGATCATGTGGGCAGGAGAGGGATGAACTTTGGTGGGGTGAGGGGCAGGGAAACCGGACTTTTAGGCTCTCTGAGCATCCCACCAAGTGGCTGTCGGTTCAGAAGACCTGTCCCCAGGGCGACTAATGTCTGCACAAGAATTGACTCAGGTACAGTCAGACCCTCGAGGCCTCCCTGGCTGTAGTGCTGAGCACCCATGATGGGGGTGGGATGATCTGAATTATGGGAGGGTGCTGGTAACAAACCCTTGGAAGCAGCAGGGGCATCGGCCTCCTGCTCCCCATTTACCCTGGGCTCTCCCCAGTCAGCCGCATGCCAGAAGCAGATGTTATCTGTTTGAATTTGTCCCACAGCTGAATTCACCTTCTGAATTTTTCCCAGGTGTTGCTGCTCTCAGTACGGTAGAAAAGGTTTCTAACAGTGGTGCGTTGGAGCTGCCCCAACCAGCACGTGAGAGCTGATGGTTACATGATGAGGTATTTTGCAAGCTGATTATTAAAATGGTCATTTTGAAAAATGTATTACATAAATTTACAATTAAATAGGTTATTTTAAAAGCAAAGTTATATAGGCCAGGCATAGTGGCTCACACCTGTAATCCCAGCACTTTGGGAGGCCAAGGCAGGAGGATTGCTTGAGCCTGGGAAGCTGAGGCTGTAGTGAGCTGTGGTGGTACCACTGCACTCCAAAGTAATATATATTCAAAATACCTCACTTCCTAGTTATTGTATTTTATGTCAGTATTACCTGTGCTTTTGGATTTATTTACATCGATTGTATCTATATGGTGGAAATACTATACTGTACAATATTGTGTTGCTGCACACCTCTCTTTCCAACTGTGTGTGCGGTGGTTGTCATGTTGGTTGGTAGCCTGAAATCCACTATAGTGGGAGCACTTACACCACAGCAATTGGTAAACATGACAAATGTAGGCTCTTCCCTCAGAAGAGCCAGTTAAACCTTTCCCAGCATCACTGTGTATGAGGATTTGTTGGAATCCTATCTCCCTAGGCTTTCTAGAAACATGTGAACAAGGAAACATTTATTGGTATTGATTAGATGTACCTAATTAATTGCTGGTAGTAATTAGATAGTATCTAATTGCTCCTTATAAATATGAAAATAATAAAAAGGTTTAAAGAAATATTAGCATATAGGCAGCACCTTGTGCCTTTTCAAGACTTTAAACATTATGGTTGCTTTCTTAAACTCTTTCTGGGTTTCTCTGTTAAGTAAACAAAACTGATCTAAACCTGGGGTTCTTGTCCCATGGGCCCTCAGGGCAATCGGGTGAAGCCTATAGTCTCTTTTCAGAATCAAGGTTTTACCTGCATAATGCAAAATGTATTGAATTAAAAAAGAAACCAACTATATCAAAATAAAGTTATCAAAATACAAAAATATGTAACATAGTTGCTACTATATGCTTCTTTTCCTTCCTTCCCTCCCTCCCTCCCTTCCTTCCTTCCTTCTCTCCTTCCTCTTTCTTGACGGGGTCTCACTCTGTCATCCAAGCTGGAGTGCAGTGGCACAATCATGACTCATTGCAGCCTTGACCTCCTGAACTTAAGTGATCCTTCCACCTCAGCCTCTCAAGTAGCTGAGACTACAGGCATGTACCACCATACGCAGCTAATATTTTTAAAAAATTTTTTGTAGAGACAAGGTCTTGCTATGTTTCCCAGGCTAATCTCAAACTCCTGGCCTCAAGCCATCCTCCCACCTTAGCCTCCCAAAGAGCTGAGGTTGCAGGTATAAGCCACCATGTCTGGCCCCTTTGTGCTTCTTACACACTAAACAACCAGATCTAATCTAATAACTAGCATAATTTCAAACTAGAGATCAATGTACATGATATTTTGGGATATCTGTAACAGCTGTAACATAGCAGGGAAACATCTGTGATTTCTATTTTTCAGGGCCAGGGGCTACGAAATAATACTCTGCTTTCCTCTCCTGCCTTCAGACCCAGCAGAGAAACAGGAAATGAGAGGCAGACGAAAGGAGATCAAGCTGTCAGCTTGATTCCTGACACAGGCATCATCTTCATCCCTATACTGAACTTCCCAGCACTCACGCTCTGCAGACCTCCTTCTTCAGGGGACACTTCTCAAAAGAAGACATTTATGCGGCCAAAAAACATCATCACTGGTCATTAGAGAAATGCAAATCAAAACCACAATGAGATACCATCTCATGCCAGTTAGAATGGTGATCATTAAAAAGTCAGGAAACAACAGATGCTGGAGAGGATGTGGGGAAATAGGAACACTTTTACACTGTTGTATAAATTAGTTCAATTATTGTGGAAGACAGTGTGTTGATTCCTCAGGGATCTAGAACCAGAAATACCATTTGACCCAGTAATCCCATTACTGGGTATATACCCAAAGGATTGTAAATCATTCTACTATAAAGACACATGCACACGTATGTTTATTGCAGCACTATTCACAGTGGCAAAGACTTGGAACTGAGCCTAATGAGAAATGCCCATCAATGATAGACTGGATAAAGAAAATGTGGCACATATACACTATGGAATACTATGCAGCCATAAAAAAGGATGAGTTCTTGTCCTTTGCAGGGACATGGATGAAGCTGGAAACCATCAGTTTCAGCAAACTAACACAGGAACAGAAAACCAAACACCACATGTTCTCACTCAGAAGTGGGAGCTGAACAATGAAAACACATGGACACAGGGAGGGGAACATCATACACCGGGGCCTGTCGGGGGGTGAGGGGCTAGGGGAGGGATAGCATTAGGAGAAATACCTAATGTAGATGACAGGTTGATGGGTGCAGCAAACCACCATGGCATGTGTATACCTGTGTAACAAACCTGCATGTTCTGCACATGTATCCCAGAACTTAAAGTATAATAATAATAATAAAAGAAGTGCAAAATGGCCAGGTGCAGTGGCTCATGCCTTCAATCTCAGCATTTTGGGAGGCCGAGGCAAGGCAGGAGGGTCACTTAAGCTTAGGGTTTCAAGAGCAGCATGGGCAATATAGTAAGGCCTCATCTCTACTAAAAACAAAAATAACTAGCCAGGCATGGTGGCATGTGCCTGTAGTCCTAGCTACTAGGGAGGCTGAGGCAAGAGGATAGCTTGAGCCCAGGAGTTCAAGGCTGCAGTGAGCTATGATTATGCCACTGCACTCCAGCCTGGGTGACAGAGTGGGAGACCTTCTCTCAATAAGAAAATTAAAAAGAAATAAAAAAGCTTGAGGATATCATGAAGTTTATTAAAGTGTGTTGACGTCACAGAGGTTCAGAGGTAATGCCATAGATGCTCCCTTAAAGCCTGATAACAATGAGGATACACACAGGAGGAGGCCTCAGGTCCCCTCAGCACAGGGACTGTGCACTTGCTGACCCTCATAGGTGTCTACCTTTTCTCTCCAAAGCCAAAAAGACTCATGGAGTCACTTTTTGCCAGCTCTGCTGGAGGGCCAAAGAGAGGATGCTCCTCTGTAAGGCTTCCTGCTCCATCCTGAAAACTTTGATTGGTAAAGAGTTGATCCCAGGTCTGAGCCAAAATCTGCCTTTGAGTAAGTTCTCTCCCTGTCCTTGGGTCCTGCCTCTCCCTTCTGGAACCACATGGAACTGATCTAATCTCTGTCCACATGAAGTTCTCTTAAATCAGCCAAGTCAGCTTGTCCGTCCTAACCAAGCTGTTTTTTGCCTTGCACTTCGGTAGAGTTGAGTTCATGTCAGGCCTTTAAAATATCCTTTTCAAGCATATATTTCAGTAAACATCGATTACTTAATATGCAAGGAGTACAATGGCGGAAATACCACATTCAGGCTCTGGGATTCAACACTTCTGCAAATACTTGGAAGACCTACCCTGGGCCAGGCTGTGTGCCAGGTGAGGGGGATACAAGAAGGAACAGCAGACTTTCAGGTTGACCCTGTCTCGAAGCACCTTGAGGCATGATGAGAGAGGAACACCTGCCTTTGTTGGCTGGGTTTATAGCAGGGCCCTATTTAACTTAACTTCCCCGTTAGACATATACACTGAAAACTGAGAACCCATCTCTTTGCTGTATGCACAGAGCTGGTGATTAAGCCTCCTTCTCTTTTTGCAGAGCATGTGTATAGTTTCAAGCTCTGTGGAAGAAGAAAGAAGGAAGACTCCATGCCAAGTCTTAGATATCCAACTCAATTCAGCGAAGATGTATTGAGGTCTACTAAGCAACAGGCTACGACTCCATCCTTAGGGGCCCCGCTGTTCATTCATTCACAAACATTAGGTTAGGACCCCATCAGGAGAAAAATACAGCAAGTCTAATCCAGGCCAAATGGAAGAGTTGCCAGAAGAGACATTTAAATACATTCTGGTGCAGGTGTGAGAACAGGAGCTGGCCCCTGAAGCGGGAAGAATAAAAAACACTCCTGGAAGAAGTGGCACTGGCTAAGGGCCTGGGAGCACTTTTACAGGCAGATGTTGGGGGTGAAGAAGGCCCTGCAAAAAATAGAATCACCTATATCTCCAATATTGTTTATTTGTACAGCAAAATTCCCCTACCTTTGAACATCGACATTGGAAATTGATTTGGAATTTGCTTATTCTGCAAACATCTTTTGAGGAGGTGCAGTGTGCCCTGTGCTGGGCTGGCTGCTGGGAATGGGGTGACACGTGCCCACCAGTTTATAAGTTCCAGTCTCATGGATGGAACATGTGAAACAGGATTCTCAGGCAGGGTGAGAAATGCAGTAGCCCCTGGCAAGTGTGCCCATGCCGTCGTCTCACTGCACATGACTACGACGGCCCTTCCTGCTCCATCAGGGGCCAAGCGCTGGGCTCATGCTCTGCATCCTGCTCCACAGACACTTCCAAGGGCCTCTTTCACGTGCACTCCTGCAGCTCATGAATAATCACCTTCTCCATCTCAGCCGGTCAATCCCATCAGGTTAGAAACCTACTCTGGTATTACAAAAAAAAAAAAAAGAAAAACAAAGAAATATTCCTGTGACACTTCCTCCCCCTTCAGCCAGGGTCTCACTTCTCTGCTGCCCTCATAATAGCACTTCTGGGTGGCCTATAGTTGCCACGTCCACCTGCAGGGTTCCTATCTTAGCCAATTCCCATCTGTCTCCAGTCACCACCATTCCTCTGAGCCTGCACTAGACAAGGGCAGCAGTGATCCCTGAGTTGCCAAAGCCAGTCATCATTTCTCTCTCTTCATGATGTTCATGCCTTAACAGCATTGGGCCCACATGTGCACACCCTTGATTCTGGAATTTCTTTCTCTCCTCAGCTTCTACACTTTCCTGGCTCATCCCCTCACTGTTGGATCCTTTCGCCCACCTTGGATGGCTTCTCCTTTGCTGCTTGACTCCCAGTGGGGGAGTCCCTTGGTGCTGGGTCCCGGTTCCCTTGGTGACACTCTCCTGTTGAGTCCATCTCATCCATGGCATTATATCCCCACCATGCACCAAGAGTCCCTCAGTCTCTATCCCTTGCTCTGCCCCCTCTTTGGAACTGTAGACATGTACACTCAACAGAATAAGTGACAGCTGCACCTGGGAACCTAACAATACTCAAATTCCACAAGTGCCTGACAGAACGTTCCATTCCAGCTGCCACCTTGAGACCAGCTCCTTCTTCATCCTTCCCTCTGGAACCATGAAGCCCCCAAACCTAGGACTTTGCCTTGATTTCTCCCTTTCCCTCACCCACCTCTCACATCCAAGACCTTATCAACTCTTGCCTTCAAAATGTATCCCCAAGCAACCAGCTTCTCTCATTTCCTTCCTCAGCTCTGTGTCCAAGCCTTTATCTGGTCTCACTGAATGGCTGCAGATGCCTCCTCACTGCTCTGCCTGCCTCCACGCTTGCTCTATCCTCCCATCTCCACCTAGCATCTAGAGTGATCTTCTAAAAATGTAACTTAGATCATGTCCCCTGCCCCCATTACACACTGATATGGTTTGGCTGTGTCCCCACCCAAATCTCATCTTGAATTATAGTTCCCATAATCCTCACATGTCATGGGAGGAACCAGGTGGGAGCTAAGTTAATCATAGGGGTGGTTTCCTCCATGCTGTTCTTGGGATAGTGAGGGAGTTCTCATGAGATCTGCTGGTTTTATAAGGGGCTTTCCCCCCTTTACTCGGCTCTTCTCTCTTCCTCCATCATGTGAAGATCATGTTTGCTTCCGCTTCTGCCATGATTGTGTTTCTGAGGCCTCCCCAGCCATGCGGAACTGTGAGTCCATTAAACCTCTTTTCTTTATATTCAGTCTTGGGTATTTCTTCATAGCAGTGTAAGAACTAATACACACCACTTCCAGTGGTTTCTCACCATTTGTCCAGCCTGTTCCCCGGTGTATGAAGGCCTTTGTCGTCCCAGCCTGGCTTACCTCGGTGCCCTTGTCACACGCTCCTCCTCGCCCACCTCCTGGGGCTGAGCCTCATGACAGTCTTCCTTTTCTTCCTCCAGCCTGTTGTGCTCTTTCCTGCCTCTGGGCCTTGGCTAATCTGTTCTCTTGCCTGGATTGCCTACACGGCCTGCTCCTTCCCCTCGGTTTATCATCATGTCACCACACTTTGATTCTCTGCATTCTCTGAATAATTATTATCACTATCTGATATTTTTTCTGGCTTGTTTGCTTGCTTGTTCGTACACCTGTCTGTCTGCACTAGAATACAGTTTCCAGGGGGATGCAGAGCCTGCCAGTTTGGTCACAACTAAATTCCCAGCATCTTGGATGACACCTAGCCTGTAGTGGGTGTTCAGTACCCATATGTTAGATGAGTAAATGAATAGCACACTGGATGCCCTCGCAGACTCATCTCTGGATGTCTCTGTGGTGCTGCCTGCAAATGCAGCCATAATCTTACGCCCAGTCCTTGAGTCTGTTTCCACCACATTGATTCTGGGCATGGCCAAAGGGACATAGAAAATGCAACTTGATAAGTTGTAGCTGTGTTGTTCCTTGAGATCACCAGAAGAATGCGCTGAGCTAGCCTTGAATGGATGAAAGGCCAAGTGGGAGAGAACCGTGGTGAACAGCCAGGCAGACACGTGAGTTGGGTTTTCTGTGTTCGTCTGGGTCTTCCAAAAACCAGAATTAAGTGTGTGCAAGGATTGTATTAGGGGAAATGCTTGTGTGAGAGAAAATGGAGCAGAGGCAGGGAAAGGCTGGGTGAGCTGTCAGACAGCCATGCAAGTCTGGCCCTTTAAGGAGGAGAGACAGAATGTTGGGAAGAATTGTTCTAGACTGCTGCACAAACTAAGGAAGGCTTGGCAAAGCCATCGGGGAGTCCCCAAGCTGAAGCTGGCTGTCAGAGGTGTCCCGTGTCTCTCAGGGAGAGGGTTTGCCTTAGTGTCCATGCTGTGGGGGGGCCTTGGTAAGGGAGTGGCCCACGGGCAACAAGGCCTCAGTGGAACATGTTGGTGGATTTCAGGGCACGGCAGCTGGGTCCCTGGTGAGTTAAACTCCATGTCGTAGAGGTCTGTGAGGCTCTTTCTCCTGGCTGCCTCACTATTCTCGGTCATGCAGTCACCATCCGAGCCTTCAGCTGATTACAGATGCGTAAGAAAGATTAGTCAAGCCACCAAGACCAGAGGAACTGCCCAGCCAATTCAGAGAATTGTGAGATAAGTGTAGTGCTTAGGCCCTTAAGTTCTGGGATGGTGTATTTCATAGCACAGGCTAAATGATAAACCTCTTTGATAATTTCCTAAGGATAGACTCCAGGAAAGAGGGGAAGGATTTCTGCATATTTAGAAAACACTGAATACATACTGCCAGTCACTTTTTAGAAAGGCTGTATCCACATATCTCTACTGGCAATATATGAGAATGTTCATTTCACTACATCCTCACCCATACTGGGTTTTAGCATTCTAAAACATTTTTGCCAGCTTGCTATGTGAAAACACATAAGCATTGCTGAGGCTCAATTTGCATTTATTTGACTATTGCAGAGCTGAATCCTGTTTTCATATTTGTAAGAATTAAGGAGGAAAGAAACACGAAAGGTGGCTTGCCAGTTAAGAAAGTTTTATTTTAGAGAAAACAAACTTGAGAGGAGCCTTTGGCCAAGTTAGGTTAGAGGCCCACTTTTTTACAGACTAAGATTTATTTATTTTATTTTTTTTGAGATAGAGTCTCACTCTGTCACCCAGGCTGGAGTGCAGTGATGTGATCTCGACTCACTGCAACCTCTGCCTCCTGGGTTCATGCCCTTCTCCTGCCTCAGCCTCCCGACTGGCTGGGACTACAGGCACATGCCACCACGCCCGGCTAATTTTTTTTTTATTTTATTTTTAGTAGAGATGGGGTTTCACCATGTTAGCCAGGATGGTCTCGATCTCCTGACCTCGTGATCTGCCTGCCTCGGCCTCCCAAAGTGCTGGGATTACAGGCGTGTGCCACCGCGCCTGACCCAGACTAAGAGTTTTTAAGGATTTAGGATGGGAGGGTTTATTAGAGGCTTGGACAGCTTCTGTGTTTTTTGGTTGTGCTTATTTGGGAGGGAGAGTTGTGTGTCTGTTTCTATACATTTTTTTTTTTTTTGGCAGCTTCAGGCATACCCCACCCCACCGAGTTTGCTTTTAGCTTCCCTATTTTAATGCACCTGAAGGGAAAGGAATGTGCTTATTAAGTAAGGCCCACTGTTTTACTGGGGCCCATTGTATGAGGGTGAAGTGTTGTAGTTACCCTGGAGACTTTCTCCCCACCTTCCTTCGTGCCCTGGCTGTTTTATTTGTGTTTTACTGTCTGCTCTTTCTGGCTGCTTGTAGTTAGAAGAGAAATGATTTCCTTGAAATGCATGAGGCTAGAAAGGGAGCTGGAACTTAACGTGGTGGTGTTTGTCCGAGATGAAGGTGCTCCTGCTCTGTCAATGTTTATTGGCCATTGGTGAGGTGTTTCTTCTTACCCTTTTAAAACCAAAGTTAGAGGAGTAATCCCTGTCTCCTGTGGCCCTCCTCAGGGGAGCCGCAGCCTCCAGGGGCTGCTCCTGGTGCTGTCAGCGTTCAAAGCAGTCGCTTCACTTCTGCCGCAATTATCAGCCGATTATCTCCCCAATGCCCGCGCTCAGCGCTTCCCTGGTTAACCCGGTGGCTGGAGGGCTGCCTAACGACATTTTTATAGCCTGGTGCGGCTCTGCTTCATTAATTCCCAGCAACGGCTGTGCGTTATTCTCTCTGCCGACAGTGGGGACTCCCTGCTAATCAGGCAGGAGCCGGCAAAGCGGTGAGGTGGCTGCAGCTGGAGGGCAAGCTGGTGAGGTCAGGGGATCACGTGGTTCTCCATCACTGCGTGGTCGGAGGAACCAAAGCTCAGGGAGGGAAAGACACAGTCTGGTGCAGAGCTGCCAGGAGCCACATGTGGTGAGTGAGCACCAGAAACGTGGCCAATCTGAAGTGAGATATGCTGTAAGTGGAAAATGCACACTGAATTTCAAAGATCTTAGTACAAAAAAAAGAGTGTATGGCATCTTATTCATATTTTAAAAATATTACATGTTAGAAGATAATATTTTAGATATATTGGGTGAAACACAATATATTATTAAAATAAATCTCACCTATTTCTCTTTCCTTTTTTAATGCGGGTACTAGAAAAACTTAAATGATGTGTAGTGTGTATTTTAATTGGATGGTGCTGGTATAAGTCCTCATAGGGCATTAGGGGCAGTGAGATGAGAGTATGCATATATGTGTGTGACTGTCTGAGTATGTGTATGTGTGTACATGCATGTATGTGTTAGTATGTACGCATGAGCATATGTGTATGTGTCAGTATAAATACGTGAATGTGTATGTGTGTATATCCATATGTGTGTATGGGTATACATGTACATGTGTGAGTATATGTGTGTGTGCACATGCTTGTCTGTGTGTAAGTGTCTCTGTGTGTATATGTGGGGTATGTGAATATATGTGTGTATGTATGCTTGTGTGTATGTGTGCCTTTGTGTATATGTGGAGGGTGTGAGTATATGTGCACGTGTGTGTATGTGTGCATCTCTGTGTGCATATATGTGGTGTGTGTGTATCTGTGTGTGAATGTGTGTGTGTGTGTGTGTGTGTGTATGTTTGTGGGGTGTGTTTATGGATGTGGGGGGCAGGGAGGTTGACTTGTGCAAAGTCAAAGTCGGAAACCAGATCAAAGCCCAGGACATTTTCATTTCACTGCCTTATGCTGTGGTCTCTATTATATGCCAGGCATGCCACATACACATCTCATTGAATCTGCAAGAAACCCAGTGCTCTCTTAAGTACCATGCTGCCTCACAAGGTCAAGGGCACTAAGTAACTCATCAAGGTCACACACTAAAAAGTGATGGGAATGGGAAGCGATGAAGCTCCAAGCCACTGTCTCTCTCCTGCAGACAGACCCAGGGCCTGTGTTGCAAACCATCTCAGTGACTCCACCATGCCAGCCCTCATGCTGAGGCCGGGAGAGCAGTAGAAGCTGGAAGGAATGATCTAAAAGTGAATTTCCATGTTGCTGTGACCTTGGTACCAGGCCAGGGCACAATCAACCACCATCGATGCACATTCTCTCCTCATAGTCATACCACCTCAGGGGCCAGAACGTGCAGTTGGTCCCAAACCACAAGGAATCAAGGAAATCTCAAAGTTATTGTTGTCTGTTCTTTCAACATATATGTAGAAACAAATACTTGCATGTTAAATAAAAAAATCCAGGGTATATGTGGCTTGGATGCTGGCTCTGCCTCTGACCTAAGTCTTGGTCTCCCCATGTGTATAGTGGGGCTGTAACACCCACCTGTGTGGGCAGTAAATGAAGAAATGTATGTAGAACGCTGGGCACAGCCTAGATGTTCACCATGTGTCACTTCCTATCCCTGTCCTCCCTAGTCTATCTTTGCTTAAAGTTTCCCAACTGCTTGGATTTTATTAATTCTCACTTAGATGATTTCCTCGACAAGTCTAGGTGGGTGACAAGCCAATGCAGTTTCTTAGAATAATAATTTATCTACAGCAACTCCTCTTTAGCAGTCCTGCATTAAGCTCTTTATGTGTGTTATCTTGTGGGGCCGTCACAACAATGCAGTGCATGTGTGCATGTGTGTACCTGTGTGCACATATGTATGTGCATGTCCATGTGTGCATATGGCAGGATGGGTTGGGGAGAGTGACTTGCACCAGTCAGTGACACAGGTGAAAGCCCAGCATGTTCTAGTTTCTCCACTTTATACTCTGAGCACCTTGAATCGAGATCAGTAGAATTTTAGAAGGAGCTGTCAAAGGATCTTGGAGAATGTATTACTCCGTTTTCACACTGCTATAAAGAACTGCCTGAGACTGGGTAATTTATAAGGGGAAGAGGTTTAATTGACTCACAGTTCTGCATGGCTGGGGAGGCCTCAGGAAACTTACAATCATGGCAGAAGGTGAAGGGCAAGCAAGGCACGTTTTACATGGTGGCAGGGAAGAGAGAGCAAACTGCCCCCATGATCCAATCACCTTCCACCAGGTCCTTCCTTTGACACGTGGGGGTTACAATTTGAGATGAGATTTGGGTAGGGACACAGAACCAAACCATATCACAGATCATCTAGAAATAAGTTGAGGATGGAAACTATAAAACAGCATGTTGCAGTTTCAAAGAATTTGAGTCTCTTGTCCTAAATGAATATTATCCTGACAGCTGAAGGAAATTGCCAGTGATGCTGCTACTGCTGAAATGTATTTGAGAAAAGAGGAGTCCTTGAAGACTTGGGATAGTGTGCACTTTTTGAAAAAGAAAAAAAAAGGATATTTCTCCAATTATAGACCCGTCAGCTTGATTTTCATCCCTAGGAAGTTCTAGTATATATCACGAAGCACGTTGAAGAAGAAGTAGTGAAGTCAAGGACAGAAAATGAGAATAAGAATTTGTGTCTGACTAGCTTCATTTCCTTCCTCCATGGAGTTTCTGCACGGGAATCATGCTGTATACTCCTTTGTGTTTCTACTATATTTGTTAGCTATTGGTGTGTAACAAATTATCCTAAAATTTAGTGACTTAAAAATAAACACTTATTATCACTGACAGTTTCTGTGAGTCAGAAATTTTAAAGTGCTTGGCAATGTCTCATGAAGTTACAGTCAAAATTGTGGCTGGGGCTGTGGTTTTCTGAAGGCTTGACGGGGGCTGGAGCATCCTCTTCCAAATTGGCAAAATTGCTCAAATGACTGGCAAGTTGGCACTGAATATTGGTGAAAAATCTCAGTCTCTCTTTATGTGGGCTTCAGGATGCTTGAGTGTTCTCACAACATGGCAGGTGCCTTCCCCCAGAGCAGAGAGAGACACAGAGACAGACAGACAGAGAGAACATTGCAGAAGCCATCCTTTTTATTGCCTAGACTTAAAGGTCCTAAGACATTATTTCTTCCACATTTTGCTCAGTAGAAGTGAGTCACTAAGTCCAGACTGCATGCAAGAGGAGGACAATAGGCTACACCTTTTGAAAGGAGAAATATCAAATAATTTGTGGACATATTTTAAAACCACCCCACTGTCTGGTAATTTAAGAATACTAATATACATTCTGCATATTTACCCACAAACATTTATTGCACATTCACTCATTCAGTGTGTTGTTTTGAGCACCTAGTACATGCCAGCGACTGTTTTGATCCCATGGAGTTAACAGATTAGTGAAGCAATAAACAATGCCATGAAAACTAGAGCTAGAGAGATGCATGTGTGCATGTGTGTGTGGGTCGGGGGGAGGTGAACTTAGACAGGGTGGTCAGGAGGCTGTCCGAGGAGGTGGCATTTCAACTGAGACCGGGAGGATGAGAAGGAGTGAGTCAAGGGCAGAGTGGGAAGCAGAGCATTCCTGGCAGAGGAAACGATGCAAAGTCACCAAGGCAGAAATGAGGGAACAGAAACGCAGTTGGGGTTGGGAGAGATGTGGCCAGAGAGGGGGAGAACAAGATCACTCCGGCCTCCTGGGTTGGGGTAAGCAGCTGAGTTTCCTTCCAAGTGTGATGGGAGGGAGAGAAACAGCAGGGAGGCTTTTATCCTCAACAGCAGTATGAGTTGATTTGTGTGTTAACAAGACCACTCTGGCTGCTGGGACATGGATGATAAGGGCCAGAGAGGAGGCAGGGCATGCAGTGAGCAGGCCACAACAGAGGTCTAGGGAATGGAGATGGCCACTTGAACAACAGTAGGAGCTGTGGAGACAAAGAGAAAAAGGTGGTTTAGGGATGATTCTGGAGATGGAATTAGCAAGATTTGCTAAGTGAGTCCACGTGACAGGTGTGGCAGAGAGAAGAGAGGAAGTAAGCACAGCTCTTCTAGCTTTGACTTAAATAATTGGGTAGGTGATGGTGCCACTTAGCAATATGGAAAAGATTTGGGAAAGAGCTGGTTTTGTGTGTGTGTGTGTGTGCGTGTGTGTGCACACATGTTGGGACTGAGGACTCAAGTGATCAGTTTGAGAAGCCTGTTGGACACCCCAGTGGAGATGCCGAGTCAGGGCTGGCGATGTTCATTTGGAGTCATTGGCATGTAATGGGCCTATATCTGCCTACTCTAAAATGCAGGCAGTGGAGTAGTAGGAAAATCAGCTGCTAGGGCATAAAAGCTAAGAGGAGAATGCATTTTACAAGGAAGAGTCAACCATGTGGCCCCAGCAGAGAGGTAGAGGAAGATGAGAACAGATATGCCCATTTGATTGGGTGACATAAAGGCCAAAAGTGCTCACATGAGAGCAGTCTCAGGGGAGTGGAGGACAGAGGATTGATTGGGGTGAGCCAGAAAGAGAATGTGACAAGAGGAAGGAGAAGCAGGGGCCATAGAAACTCATTCGAGAGGCCAGGCACAGTGGCTTATGCCTGTAATCCCAGCACTTTGGGAGGCTGAGGCGGGTGGATCATCTCAGGTCAGGAGTTTGAGACCAGTCTGGCCAACATGGTGAAACCCTGTCTCTACTAAAAATACAAAGATTAGCTGGGCGTGGTGGTGGGCACCTGTAATCCCAGCTACTCGGGAGGCTGAGGCAGGCGAACCGCTTGAACCCAGGAGGCAGGAGAACCTCTTGAACCCGGGAGGCAGAGGTTGCAGTGAGTCGAGATCATGCCATTGCACTCCAGCCTGGGCAACAAGAGTGAAACTCTATCTCAAAAAACAAAACAAAACAACAACAAAAAAAAACAAACAAAACACACACACACACAAAAGGCAAACAAAACAAAACAAAACAAAACCTCATTCAAGAAGGTTTCTCATGGAGGGAAGCAAAGATGAGTTGGGAGCTACAGGGACATGATGAGCCAAGGGAGATGGCTTTGTTTGTTGGTTTTAAGATAGAAGATACCAGAACTCTGTGACTGTGTGTGTATGTGTGTGTGTGTGTGTGTGTGTGTGTGTGTGTGTGTGCTGATTGGAAAGACCTGGTAGAAAGAGGGAAAAAATGAAGGTTTAGGGAAGAGAGGGAATAATTGCAGGAGAGAAGTCTGAGAGGGGCTTCAGGGACAAGGGAAAGTGATGGTCCTGGTTCTGTGACACATCTATGGCAACAAGAACAAAGGTGGGAGAAACAGGCACCGACTTGTATAGGATGACAATCTTTAAAAGGAGAAGGTGAGGAAGTCCCTGTCTGGGAGTGGGCAGGGGCAGGTTGAGTTGAGGGGAGAAGGTGGGCAATCCCTTTGAGTAGTGGCTGTAAGCTCCCAGTGAGTTGGTTGGATTGCCAGGCTCCATTTGAGATTGGTGGCTATGAGTTTAAAGTGAAGTCAGTTTTTCCCCAGCTGTGTTCAGCTGCTCAGATGCAGGTGAGGGATCGGTGAGTGGTTGGATTCACAGAGTGGTGAGAAAATTGAGGCTATATGTAAAGGAGTAAGGGTAATGATTGATTACAGAATCTAAGTGGGCTAAGTAGAAAAGTTGTAGTGGTTTAAAAAAATGTCCAGGCTGGGTGCCTTGGCTCACACCTATAATCACAGCACTTTGGGAGGCAGAGGCGGGAGGATGGCTTGAGTGCAGGAGTTTGAGACCAGCTTGGGCAACATAGTGAGACCCCGTCTCTGTCTTTTAAAAAAAAAGTCCGTAAGTTTTTTGATATTCCTCTTCTGAAGAGTGGAGCCTTGTTCCCCTCTCCCTGAGCGTTAACTGGATTTAGTGACTTGATCCTAACAGATAGAAAAAATGAACTGCAACAACAATGGATGTGAATCTGTGCCACTTCAGAGACTTGGTTAGAGAAGGCAATGTAGCTTTCTCCTTGCTCTTGCTCTTGGATCACTCACCCAGAAAGCTGCCATGTCGTGAGGATGTGCAGGCAGCCCCATGGAGAGCCCATGTGGCAAAAGACTAAGAGGACTTCTGCCAACAGTGAGTGAGGAACCGAGGCCTCCTACCAGAAGCCATGTGAGGGAGCCATCTTGGAAGTGGGTCCTGCAGCCCCAGTTGAGCCTTCAGATGACAGCAGCCTCAGCTGACAGCCTGACACAACCTCCTGGGAGGCTCTGAGCCAGAGATGCCTGGCTATGCCAACCTTGGGTACCAGACTCTCAGAAACTGTGAGGCCATAAATGCTGGCTGTTTTAACCTGGTAAGTTTGAAACACTCGTTACTCAGTATTGAGAACTAATGCAGCAGTTAGTTCTTTTATCTTTCACTATCATGTAGTAAAAAGTGGAAGGGTTCATGGATCAGAGCCTCTGGGAGGTCGGGGTCCTTCAGAAAGCATCAGGAAGGAGAAGAGGTGGAAGTCAGAGAGGGAGAGGCCTGCAGTGGAGTGGTCCAGGTGCTACAGTGAGGGTACAGCAGAGTTCAACAGCTCTCAGTGTGAACTCCAGCCCTGCCCCATGTGTAGCTGTGCCACGTGGCCCAGGCACTTGACCTTCTGGAGTTCAGGTTGCTTATCTCACAAGAAGACAATGTTGCTGTAGGTGGCATTAACCAGCCACTGGGGGAATCCAGTTCCCTCCCCACACCCCCCATTTCACCACCATGGAGCAGTTTCCGTGCAGGTAAGGAGGACACACAGGAGCCTGCATGGCAGGGAGCAGAGGCGGGACGTCGGCAGGACTTGTGGACCCATTGTGAGCATCTACTCTTTCCTGACCTGCTCCATTGGTGGACTCGCTCATTTATGCAGATGTTTTTTGGTTTTTGGGCTCTCTTGGCCATTGTTTTTTTCTTTTTAAAGACAGGGTCTTGCTCTGTTGCCCAGGCTGGAGTGCAGTGGCATGATAAGGCTCATTGCAGCCTCACCTCCTGGGCTCAAATGGTCCACCCCCCTACCTTAGCCTTCCCCCTGCCCCTTTTTTTCTCCCTTTCACTGATGTGGCCAAAGGGTCCTGGGACAAAACCCATACATATTGTACACCAGACACACTACACATTAGGCATACCACATGCACAACATACATGCCACACACACACACTACACAGTAGACACATCACACACACAATTCCACACACACCACACACAGTGTTAATATGGAAGGAAGGCAAGGCCTGCTGGTGGAGGTGGGGACAAGCATGTGCGCCTGTCCCTTGCGGAGAGCAGGAATCCTTCCGACTCACACCCTTCGCCTAGTTCAGCCCTCAGGCCAAGAAGCCATGGACCTGAGGCCAGTGCCCGACAGCCATTGTAGAGCAATCTGGCCTGGTCTTATCCTCCTGCTTGTGCCTCCCTGTGTCTCTGTGTGTGTGGAGGGGCAGGCCAAGGATCTGGGGACTCAGGATCCAGGCCAGAATGCTTCCCCCCGCCACAGCTAACAGGACCTGCTCGGAGTGAGGGTTGAATGAGATCACAGGTCTAAGCGCTGAGCTGGTGCCTTTTTTTCCTTCCTCCTTAGATAACTCCTGGGGTAGGGAGATTAGTTCCTTCCCATTTTCCTCTTATTCTTGCCCTGTGCAAGCCAGAGGGTGGGCAGGAAGACTCTGCAGCTGGCACCTAATATTAGGAAGAGCCAAGAGAGGACCCACTGAGGCACATTGCCGACTGGAGTGCATGCTTGTCTCCTGCTCCTCACTTCACCGTCCTGTGACTCAGATTGGGTTAGCAAAATGTAGTGGCATCTTTTGGCACAAACGCCGTGGAGCAATGTTGCATGATGACATGTACCACACAGCTTGATGGTTTCACCTCCATCAGAAACACCCCAGAGTGGCCGGGCATGTGGCTCATGCCTGTAATCCCAGCACTTTGTGTGGCCAAGGTGAGTGGATCACCTGAGGTCGGGAGTTTGAGACCAGCCTGGCCAACACGGAGAAATCCCATCTCTACTTAAATTACAAAAATTAGCTGGGCATTGTGGCACGCACCTGTAATCCCAGCTACTCAGGAGTCTGGGGCAAGAGAATCGCTTGAACCCAGGAAGCAGAGGTTGCAGTGAGCTGAAATCGCACCACTGCACTCCAGCCTGGGCAACAAAGCGAGACTCCATCTCAAAAAACAAACAAACAAAAAAAAACAACAAAAAAGAAACACCCCAGAGCTATTGTGGTAACAGAGGCTGCCCAAAAGCCCAGGAAAATTTCAGTGTAGAAAACAGAGCTTTGGAGGCCTAAGAAGGCAGTAAAAATGGAGACTCTTCTTGTAGATGCATTTATTAAAAGGGAATAACTACTAGAGAAGGCAAAGTCATGTAGATGAGGGGTGGAGGGATTTTCAGGAAGCCTCTCTATGACCATCTGCTGGTCCATCCGCACAGCTAAAGCTCAGCCTCTATTTACAAAGACAAGACGATGCATACAGAATGGAAGATTATTTTGACAAACTTACTCTGAAACACAGCCTATTCCCACCCTTAGAAAGTGACTGTACTAGCCTCAGGAGTCACTGCTACACTAAGCTCACTCTCTGGGCCAGCACCATGCCAGGCCTCCTACACTCATGATCTCAAATCCACTCAAAGCCCTACAAGGTCAGGAGTCAGCTGCCCACTTGACTGAGGATCATAAAAGTGAAGCGCTTGTCTTGGGCCATTTGGTGGATCCAAGATCTGAGCTCAAATCTGAACCAGGGTTGGGATACAGCTTGCCACTGTCTGGCACCTGCTGTCTACACTCACTCTCTCACCCCGCTCTATTCTGTGCCAGTCTTTTTCATAGAGCCTAAAAGTCAGATGTGTGTTTGTCTTCACTCTGTACGTCCCACATCAGCATATCTCTCACAGTGACACTAGCCGCATTACAGATGAATTTCCAAATCTTAGTAGCTTGGCAAAATTAAAATTTAGTCCTAATCTACAAAATGCCAGACAGGGATTTTTGACCAACTGGTATCTCTTCTCCATGCACTGTTTTGGGACCCTGGATCCTTCCTTCTTATGTGTGGCTTGCCAACTCTAACCCCCGGTTCCAGGGCAAAGGGGGAGTTCATGCAGGACCATCGATGGGAGAGTTTATGGACCACATTTCAGAACGTGGTCACACCTAACGCAAGGCGTCTGGGAGACGTAGGCTAGCTGTGTGCCAGAAGGAGAAGAAAACGGGTTTGGAGAGTGGGAAGCCTGGCCTGCCACGCCAGCCTGGGCCCCAGCAGTAACTTTTTGAGCTGTGCTATATGGATGTTTATCTCCTCTCTGTCCCAGGGTGCTGAGTGGTGACCAAATTCTTTCAAAAATTTGGGCCAAAAGAAAAGGAAGGGTATATGAGAGTGGATGGTAGAGTTGGGTGGGTTTCAAGCCTTCTAGCTCAACAAGTTACTGTCCCAGGTCCCTAGGACAGTTTCCCCGACACACCCACATGAATGCTCATGAGGCTGTGAGCTCCTAGGAGATGGGCCATGTCCTCTTCATTGCTGTACCCCAAGGTCTAGTTCAGGGACTGGATGCTCAGTAAATGTGTTAAATGAAGAACTGAAGTCAGAATGTTATGTGACAAACCAATCAGGTGTGAACTTGACAATGCACTTCCCAATCACAGGGAGGCTTGAACCCTCTGGAGGCTGCATCCGTAGAGGATTTACAGTGCCTGTCACTCATGCTAGGAGGAGAAAGGTAGAAACAGATCTGGGACCAATTCATAGTATGGGTCAGACTCTGTTGCTTCCATTCACTGAATCCCAATTTGGAGTTCAAAAGTCATATTTCATTAAGATCAGCAAAAGTTCTCTTCCCAAGCCCTGTGAGGAAATTGGAAAATGCCGTTGGTTCTGAGAACTTCAGAAGGGGTGCTGTGAGGTTTTAAGGAAGGGTTCTGGAAGTCCATGGATTTTGTTCTGCTAGAGTAGGAGACAGCAAACTATGGACTAACAAATAAGTCTAGCCTGCCACCTGTTTTTGTATAGTGTCCCAGCTTGCAATGGTTTCTACATTTAAAAAACATTGTGTGGGCCTGGCGCGGTGGCTCATGCCTGTAATCCCAGCACTTTGGGAGGCCGAGGCAGGTGGATCACGAGGTCAGGAGTTCCAGATCAGCCTGGCCAATATGGTGAAACCCCATCTCTACTAAAAATACAAAAATTAGCCGGGTGTGGTGGCATGTGCCTGTAGTCCCAGCTACTTGAGAGGCTGAGGCAGAAGAATCGCTTGAATCCGGGAAGTGGAGGTTGCAGTGAGCCGAGATCACGCCACGTCACTCCAGCCTGGGCGACAGAGCGAGACTCTGTCTCAAAAGAAAAAAAAACCGTGGTAAAGTATAGATAACATAAAATGTACTACCTTAACTGTTTTTAAGTATACAGTTCAGTAGTGATAAGTATATTCACATTGTTGTAAGACTAATCTCTAGAACTTTTTTATTTTGCAAAACTTAAACTCTATACCCATGAAACAACTCCCTATCTTCCCCTCCCCGAAGCCCTGGCCATCACCATTCTTCCTGTGTCTATGAATTTGACTACTCCAAGTACCTCATGTAAGTAGAATCATACAGTATTTGTCTTTTTTTGTGACTAACTTATATCACTTAGCATAATATCCTCAAGGTTCATTCACATGGTGTAGCAAATGTCAGACTTTTGTCCCTTTTTAAGGCTGAATAGCACTGTATGTACATAGCACACTCTGTTGATCCACTCATCCATTGATGGACATCTGGGTCGCTTCCACCTCTTGGCTACTGTGAATAGTGCAGCTAAGAACATGGGTCGACAAAGATCTCTTTGAGATCTGGTTTGCAATTCTTTGGGGTATATATTCAGAAGTAGAATTGCTGAATCTATGGTAATTCTATTTGGAATTTTTTGAGGAACTGCCAAACTGTTTTCCATAGCAGCTGCACCATTTCACATCCCCACCAACAGCGCATAAGGGTTCCAGTTTCTCCATATCCTTGTCCATATGCGTTACTTTGTGTTTTGACAGTTGCCATTCCAATAGGGGTGAGATGACATCTCATCGTGGCTTTAGTTTTGATGTCTCTCATGATGAGAGGGGCTGATCATCTTTTTCATGTGCTTGTTTGCCATTTGTATATCTCTTTGGAGAAACGTCTCTTCAAGTCCTTAGCCCATTTTTAAATTGAGTTATTTGTTTTTTGTTGTTGTTTCTGAATTTTTTACATTTTAAATGTCTAAAAAAACAACAAAAGAAGAAGAATGTTTTGTGACTTGTGAAAATTATGTGCAATTCAAATTTTAATGTCCGTAAATAAAGTTTTATTGGGACACAGCCACACTCATTTGTTTCTATTTTGTCTGTGGCTGCCTCCGTGTTGCAACGTAGAGTAGTTGCAACAGGGACCGTATATTCTGCAAAGTCCAATATCGCACTACTTCATCTTTTACAGAAAAAGTTTGCTACCCCTATGCTAGATTCTAAGAGGTTTAGAAAAAGCCTGCAAGGACCAAAGGGCCTCTTGGAGACAGTTGGGGGCAGCAGAGAGCTGATCTGGTAAAGATTCCATATGGGTCCTGCCGCCCAGAATCCCAAGGTGTCTGGGCTCCAGATCTCACTGAGGGCACCAGGGCTGCTTGGCATGGAAGGGTTTGTGGAAACCAACCTTGTGAGGCTGAGCTGGGAGAGAGAAAAATCCTGCCAGTCCTCCCTGCCTACTTCTCTGGATTCCAGTCTCTTCTCCCTGTAGATGCCAGACTGGTCTTCCTAACACACGAATCTGACCCCGTCACTTCCCTACTTAATGCTCTCCACTAGCTGTCTCTGCTGTTCTTAGAGATCAAGTCCAAGCTCCTTCAGTCTGGTTCCCAAGGTCCTGTCTCTCTCTCTCTGCTTTTATCTCTTGGCTCCATCCATCTGGGATGGCTCAGAACCTCCTGCTCCACCAGTATAAACACCATGCTCCCAGATATTCCATGGTGTTCTCTGGTCTATAGGCCTCGGATGACTTGCTCTCACTCTTACCTTTCTGCCCTCCATGTCTTACCCAGATAACTTCCCCTATCCTTCAAGGCTTAGCCCAGGTTCCACTTCTTCCAGGAAGCCTTCCTTCACCTCCTACTTTACCCAGAACACAGCGAGGTACCCCTCTTCTGGCTCCTTTAATTCTCAGTGTTTATCCTCTCCTAGTACTGCAAACATCGCCATGGTTCCTGAGGGCAGGACCAGGATCTAGTTATCTAGTTATCTACTTACGAGTGAATGAATGAATGAATGGATGAATGAATGAATGAATGAAGAAACAAATTAAACATAAAATCCCATCAAGAAACAAGTGAGAGGCTGGGCATGGTGGCTAATGCCTGTAATCCCAACACTTTGAGAGGCCACGGTGGAAGGATGGCTAGAGGCCAGGAGTTTGAGACCAATCTGCATAACATAGGAAGACCTCATCTTTACAAAACATTTTTTAAAAAAGCACACATACACACACACAAACAATTAGCCAGGTATGGTGTTGTGTGCCCACAGTCTCAGCTACTCAGGAGGCTGAGATGGTAAGATGGCTTGAGCCTGGAAGGTTAAGGCTACAGTAAGCCATGATCGTGTCACTGAACTCTATCTACCCTGGGTGACAGAGCAAGACCTTGTCAAGAAAGAAAGAAAGAGAGAGAGAGAGAGAGAAAGAAGAAAGAAAGAAAGAAAGAGAGAGAGAGAGAGAGAGAGAAAGAAAGAAAGAAAGAAAGAAAGAAAGAAAGAAAGAAAGAAAGAAAGAAAGAAAGAGAAAGAAAGAAAGAAAGAAAGGAAAGGAGAAAGAGAAAGGAGTGATATCATTTCAGGTCAAAAGATGCTTTAGTAGTGTCTAGGGGACATTTTCCAGGTGAGGTTGAGACCAAGGAAAGAATGGTTGCTGTACGATTTTATCTGCATTGATGTCTGGCCCCTCCAGATTTGTAGAGTTGAATGGTTAAGAAGTGTTGCTTCTCCTGCTAGAAAACTTTATGCTACAAGGTTGACAGCTCAAGACCCTCCTTGCCCCTTTTTGCACATTTGGCACGTGAGATGGGCTGGTTTTCATGGGGACTTCAGTGGCCACACTCCACACAGCACTTTGGAGCTGAACAAGGTGGTGATGTTCTGTGGCAGTCCATGAATACCCATTCCCCTGCTTGGGAAACAGAATGAGCTGGTGGTTCCTTCTCTCCACCTTGTCTTCCTCCCTAGGCTTCAGTCCACCTGCCTGAAGTGGACCAGAACCTGAATGGGCATTGGACGACCTGAGTCTGGGGCTGAATCCTGCTGGGCAGTAGCTGTGTGACTTTGGAGCATCACTGGCCCTCTCTGAGCTTCCACTGCTTCCTCTGTGAAGTGAGAGTGAAGACTTCACCTCTTTCACCTCCTGGGGTTGCTGGAAGACCATGTGAAGATTGACCTATGAGTTCTTTCTGCCGTGTCAATGGTTCTTTCTACAGTCATGCAGGTGGCCATTGGGCAGGTCACCTGGGACACAGCCACCACATAAGTAAAGTTGCTTTATCTGCCATCCAGTGCCCATTTAAGGAGGAGCACTTTTTAAATCCCAGCCGGTCTCTCAGTTGTGAGTCTTCCCGAGTGCCACCCACACAACGCAGGTCAGAGCTGGCAAACTCATTTGAGAATTCGCAGGAGGAGTTACTCACTGTACAAAGACTTCTCTTGTCAGATGCAATTTGTAAATATTATTTACACGAGGAAGTTAATTAAGCCTTCCCCTGTTGATTCAGCCCTCCCCTTCCCCCTTGGCAGTGTGTGACTCTTTATAAACGGCATGTGACTTTTAGGACCAATTACTTTCAGGATTTTCCTTGCCTCTATTAATGGGATATGATCTGGGTTTGGTAGAAATCTTATAGTTCCTTTATTTTTTTGAGATAGAGTCTCACTCTGTCACCTAGGCTAGAGTGCAGTGGTGCGATCTAGGCTCACTGCAACCTCTGCCTCTCCAGTTCAAGCAATTCTCATGGCTCCGCCTCCCGAGTAGTGGGAATACAGGTATGCACCACGATGCCCGGCTAATTTTTGTATTTTTAGTACAGACGGGGTTTTGCCATGTTGGCCAGGCTAGTCTTGAACTCCTGACCTCAAGTGGTCTGCCTCCCTTGGCCTCCCAAAGTCCTGGGATTACAGGCGTGTGCCACCATGGCTGGCCTGAAATCTTATAGTTTCAAGTTCTTGCTGTTGAGCTATTTTACCTTAAACATAAATAAAGTGTAGTTATTTCTTGCTTCATTCATTTATTCAACAAATGGATGAAATGTACTCATTTCCTTCAAGTTTGTGCTTAAATCTCGCCTTCTCCATGAGATTTTCCTGGCCACCTGTTTACTGCTGCAGCCTGGTTTTCCCCCAACACTTCTAATCTCCCCTCTCCTCTTCCGCCTTTTTTCATAGCCCTTAACATCTTCTAACACACATAAAAAATGTGATTTGTTATGATTATTGTTTATTTTCTGCCTTCCCAGCTTGAAGTTAAATCCTGTGAGGATGGGGGTCTCTGACTACTTCATTCACATGTGTATCCAGATGCCTGGGACAGTGCCTGGCAAACAGGTATTCAATTAATATTTTTGAAAGAATTAATGAATGAATTCATGAATGAATGAGAAGCTACAAGCTTGTTGCAAAAGACCTGAGCATTCAAGCTAAGACAGAGAATGCAGTGATACTGGCCAATGGAAGGAAGAAGAAAGAAGGCCAGGCATGGTGCCTCACGCCTATAATCCCAGCACTTTGGGAGGCCGAGGCGGATGGATCACCTGAGGTCAGGAGTTCAAGAACAGCCTGGCCAACATGGCAAAACCCGTTTTAGTAGAAAACCAAGTTTCTACTAAAAAATACAAAAACTAGTCAGCGTGGTGTGTGTACCTGCAGTCCTGGGTACTTCAGAGACTGAGACGGAAGAATCATTTGAACCTGGGAGGTGGAGGTCGCAGTGAGCCAAGATCAAGCCATTGCACTCCAGCCTAGGTGAAAGAGTGAGACTCTGTCTCAAAAAAAAAAGATCTGTGTCATATAGTCTTCACAACGGCCCTACAAATTAAGTGATTTATTCTATTTTTACATGAGGAAATGTCTGCGCAGAGAGGTTAGGCCATTTGCTTCAGGTCACAGAGCTGGTAAGAGGTGAGTCCACATTGTAAACCCAGTGCTAACTCCAAAGCTCCCTGCACTGCAGCAGGAATGGGAGAGAGAACAAATATGCTGGGGCTGAAAAGAAGACTTCCTGTAGGAGATGATATTTGCGCCACTTCGAAGACAGGGTAGGTGTAGGATTTGTTATTTGTGATGAAGAGAAGGGTGACCTGCCAGCCCAGAGAGGTGGTCCATCAGGGAAAGAACCGTGGCCAGGGCCCAGGCCACTTGGGAAGCACCCTGGTAGTCAAGAAGGCTGGAAGGGCAAGAATGGGGTCAGCACCAGTTGGGACTGAGGTTCAAAGCTAACACTTCATTTCCAGTTTGCCAAACTAACACATATGCGACTGAAAGATGTGCCGTGCTCTGAAAAGTCCTTAAAATAGACAGATGTTAGCATTTCTCTCTTTCACATTTCCTCAAATGAGGCAAATCCAAGGTGTACCGAAACAAAATAGTACTACCTTTGACGCTTATGGGCCAAAGACATTATAAATAGCCCATTCAGCTAAAAGTCCAGCTGTTGCCAAAACATTTTTTTTAAGACCCTTGGTTCTAAGGAGCACCTACTACAAGCTAGACATTTTGCATCTATTACATGTATTTAAGTACCCTGAGGCCGGCAGCACAATGACCACTTAGGAAATGAGAAAATGAGGGAAGAAATGAGAAAATGAGGGCTCCAAGAGATTATGTTTTATGTCCAAAGTCACAGGGCTAGTGAGGATACAGATAAAATTCCCAAGAATATAGTCACTTGCCCTGATGCCTCTTTTGCCCTTGAAAAAGTGCATATCCCAGCTGTGGAAACACTGCTTCAGTGACCACCAACAGGGTGTTTCCCGTGAAGAACAATTCATTTCACATCACTGTGCCTCACCATTTTAAGGAAATGTCGACATGGTCCTCAGAGGCTCAACTTGATCTGTTTAGCTAGAAAGCTCCTGTGGAGTTAGCAGATGCAGGAAGCTGGGGATCTGTGCTCCTGTCAGCCTTCTCATTTGATGGTGACAGTGTAATCACCACACAGGTTCTTCCTGCCCACTGCACAGACAAAACCAATTCACTGAGACCATGGCATTGCAGTGAAGAAAGAGTTTAGTTGACATGAGGCCAGCCCATATGGGAGAATGGAAGTCGTTACTAAAATCAGTCTCCCCGAAGTCTCAGAGGTTACCCTTTTCAAGGATAGTATGGTGGGCCAGGGAATACAGAATGGGTGCTGCTTACTGGTTGGTAACGCATCATATGGATGTGGAAAATGGTCCTTGTGCACTGAGTCCGCCTCTGGGTGGGGTCATAAGACCAGGTGAGTCATGATCACAAGTCCAGCTGGAGTCATCTGGTCTTCAGACATGCAAAAGTCTGAAAAGACATCTCAGAAAGCCAATCTTAGGTTCTACAATAGTGATGTTATCTACAGGAGTAATCGGGGAAGTTACAAATCTTGTGACCACTGGAACCATGACTGGTTATTTAACTACACCTACATCTTAGCAGAATTCAGGCCACTCTCATTATCCTAACCTTGTAGCCTTACATTAGTTTTACAAAGCAGTTTAGTTTGGGGAAGGGCTATTATCCATCTTTGCTTACATCCTTCAACTATAAATAAATTCCTCCCAAAGTTAGTTTGGCCTTTGCCCAGGAATGCCCAAGCACAGCTTGGAGGTCAGAAGCAAGATGGAGTCAACGATGTGAGATTTCTCTTCCTGTCATAATTTTGCAAAGGCAGTTTCAACAGTCTGGGAAAGCTAAGGACAGGGAGGCATCTCTTACAAAACCAGAAACGTGTACCCACATCACGCTCCAGAGTCAGAGCCTTCCCATTATTTATCCATCCAGCCCAGAGCAAGGTTATACAGATGAAGAAGGTACACAGTCCCTACCCTCAAAGAATTCCCAGCACAGAAGGAAAAACAGACATGTAAGAGCGTACTTTTAGTACAGCTCCATCCAAGCATCTGAAGACATTCCAAGGTGAGAAAGAAAAACTTTAGAAAATTAGAAGCTTTGAAAGTGCTCTCCAATATCTCTGGTTCTGACCCATTTTTCCAAATGGCTCAACAAGGTAGCAGGATGGTTTGAATTCCTTTCCCAATCCCCATTTGGCAAACAGTATTATGTTCCTGAATCATCTTATTTCCACCCACTGTATGGAAGCTCCCCATTACAGACATAGGATCTCCCTAAGATGTATACAAATGGTGTGAGGATGATCGAGTCCAAAGAGTCTCCCAAGCACAGACCTTTCCATAGTGATGTTGTAGGTTGTTAGTACTTGAGCGGCTTACTAAATAACACCTCTCTTTCCCAGCTTCAGTTCAGCAGATGGAGAACAAATATTACCTCTAGTCATTAGGTTGGATGATGCTTTGGTTAGGTTTTTTTGCTGCATAACACATAACCCCCAAATCTTAGTGTCTTATGACACATGCAAAAATATTTTTCTTACTCATTGGTCTGTATTCACTAGGGCAGCTCAGCTTCAGGCTGCAGGTAGGGTTCCCCTCTGCCCTGTATGTCTCTGATTCTGGGACCAGGGGATACGTGTGCATGCTATTCCCATTGACTGTGGCAGAAGTGCTTGAAGGGTAAGCAGAAATGTGTGATGCCTCTTGAAGTCTCAGCCTGGAACTGATATTTTTTCATATTTCATAGGCTGAGGCAAATCACTTAGCTAAGCTGGTCATCTGAGGGGCAGCGTCACACACAACGAACCAGTAAGGAAATCACACACTCCAAGTGTGGAATATGGAAACAGAGGAGGCATTGAGCCCTTCATCAGAAAGTCCCAGCCACTTCTCAAGGGCACAGCTAGACCACTGCTGGCTTCCCCACATGAGGGCATGCCCCTGTAAACTTAACACCTAAGGAAGGGCAGCCCCAAATGCATACTTCCTATAGGAATCTGGGTCTCTAAGAAGAAAGAAAGGAGGTGCTGAACTGGGAATGCCCACTTTCCCTTCCCCTCATCAAAATTCAGAGTGAACAAAGGGTTGGTAGGAGGCCCAGAGCATGACCCTAGTTGATGGTCCTAGAAATGGAAACATGGACAGCAGAGAGAAGATTCTCTCCAGACACCATGAGGGGCACTTGGTCTTCCACAGCCCACTGGGCTAGGCATACGCTCTCTTTGTATGGATGGTACCCCAGGGGCTGCTGTTTGTTCTGAAGGCAACAAAGTTTGTGTTTATTTATTCGCTCAATGTCCATCTATTGAATCTCTATTAGGTGCCAGAACTGTCAGAACCCTTTAAGATCCTCAAGCCGTAGGCTCTCCTGCCTTAGGACCTCCCAGCACTCACCATATCAAACACATTGAAAGACACCACCATCACACATTAGACATTCTCTTTTGGAAATTTTGAAAGCCTTTAAGATAGTTTTACCTTAATTTTAATTTTATGTTTTTTTTCAATTGACAAATGGAGGCTAAAGTAACTCCATCTTAGATGCTAGTCCGCCATGTTGACTTCCGATTAACCCCAGGTCTGGGAATGCCTCTGATTCCCACTTTATCTCCTGTTCCTGTGTAAGAGCATATGCTTACCATAAATCCTGCCTTTAGGTCAAGACGGCCTTGATATTATCACACAAATTCAAGGCTATGATACACACAGCATTTTTGTCCTTTCCTAGAAGGTCAACTTTAATTGTCCTGCACATTCCTTATAGATCACGTGTATCTTTTCCCTGTGGTATATAAGCCCTGGGTCTCTGGGGATAACAGCGTAGAGATCTGTCTGTCTTACGGCCATCCAAGACCACACTTCTGTCTGTAAGTTCCCCAGTAAATCACCCTCTAAAGGCAAACTGGATTTGTCTGCCTTGTTCTTTGGTTTCTCAGCTCCTTTTGCATTTTGGGATCACTTTGTATACATGGCCCTTTCACAAAACAACAAATAAAAATGACATATATTTATGGTGTACAACGTGATGCTTTGAAATACGAATGCACTGTGGAATGGCTAAATCAAGCTAATTAACATATGCATTACCTCACATACTTATCATTTTTTTGTGGTGAGAACATTTAAAATCTACTCTTTTAGCAATTTTCAAGTACACAATACATTGTTATTAACTATAATCACCATACTGCACAATAGGTCTCTTGAACTTATTTTCCTGTCTAATTTGTGTCCTTTGACCAACATCTCCCCATTGCCCCCTCATTTTACTTTTAAAATGATTTGCATTTAAGTAATTCATTGTGATTATCTATGACTTCTCATCAATCATTATGCATATGAGGGATTCTTGCAGAGAGAAAACCTACCCTACAATTTGTTTTCAATTGTAATGACATTCTTACAAACACTAAAGTGAATAATTAATGAAAATGATTTGATGTTTATGTTAATGGACAAACATTAATTTTAAATTTGCTCTCTTTTTTCTATAGTTGAAGCTATTATTTTTTTCACGTCCCAAATATTTTTGTTTGACACTTGCAAATTTAGCTAACCTTAGGTAAATTTAGGCACTAATTTATCCCTAAAGGGTAAAACAGGGCTGAGTACTGTGCAGGAAGCAGCGGAAACAAGGACAGGAAAAGGCAGCAGTCTTGTCTTCTGGAAACTTCCAGTTTAGAAGGCCAAATAGAGATGTAAAAATATAAATGACAACACAGTGTAAGAAATAGGCTCATAGGAATGTGTCCAGGGTCTAGTGAGCACAAGAAAAGGAAGGGACAGCCTTGGTGAAGGCTTTGTGGAGGCCAAGGTGCTTGACTATGACCTGGAGGGTGAGTGGGTGGTCTCAGGATGGTGAGGGGGTGAGCAGGGGTTGTGGCAGGACAGAGGGGAGATGGGGAAGTGATTCCAGTTCTGGGAAAAGATGTAAGGATAAGGGAAAGAGCATGAAGGAACATGGTTGGGTAACTTGGAGTAATTCACTGTAGCTGAAGCCTAGAATGTGAGCAGGAATGTGGTGAGCCTGCGGCAGACGTGGAAGCCTGAGGCGTCATCCTTGTAGCTGGGTACCCAGGCAGGCCTCAGTGGTGTCCTACTTTGGTTTAATGTGGGAAAGTATAACTTCGGAGGTCTGGGAAGTTTTCTTCTATTCAAGTGTGAATTATTGCTCCTGTATGATTTGTGCTGGTTTCTTTCTAAAACTTTGTACTAATAGGTTAATATTTTGCCCCTTCATTTCTTTTATGTTTTGTTACAACAGTCCATTTACAGACACAAAAGGCCTAACAGGGGACTTGTTTTTAATCCTTTCTCTCATCTCCAGGGAAACCCACTTGGGGCCTGTCTGCTTGATCAGACAGCCTAATCATTGAGATCTTTTCTCTGGCTCCTCTGTGGCTATTAATTTAACATTTTTATTCCATTTTTTTTCTCCTTTTTAACTGGAACTGTGACCTAGAAATCTTCATTAGTTTTCTAGGGCTGCTGTAACAAATTACTACAGACTGGGTGGCTTCAAACAACAGAAATTTAGTTCAGGTGGTCAGAAGTCTGAACTTAAGGTGCTGGCAGGGCCATGGCCTCTTTGAAGCCTCTGGGGAGCATCATTTTTGCCTCTTCTAGCTCCTGGTGGCTCTTGAAAGTCCTTGGTGTTCCTTGACTTGTAGTTGCATCACTCCAATCTCTGCCTCCATTGCCATGTGGCTTTCTCCTCTCTGTGTGTCTCTCTGTATCCTCTCCTCTTCCTAAAAGGACACAAGTCTTTAGGCTTGGGACTCAGCTCATTCAGTATGGCCTCATCTTAATTTAACAAATTGAATCTGCAAAGATCCTATTTTCAAATATGATCACATCCCAAGGCTCTAGTAGACATAAATTTTGGTAGGGGGGCGGGGGACACTATTTATCTCACCACACCCTCCATAATTTGATTTGCTGCTTGGTCAGCCCTGTCTTTAGTGCCTCAGAGGTGGATTTCATCTTTGCAACTGCATTTCAGCTTTCCTGCAGGCTTTTATTGTCTCAGCCTACCCTTTTCATCTCAGCCTGCTGTCCTGGAGTCTGAGATTGTCACCTGAAGCTCCTTGGTCCTATTCCACAGAGGCCACATCTTCTGAGATACCCTATAGGTGGTTCCTAACAGTTTCCTTCTGCTTAATGGGGAAAGTAATTTTCAGAGCAAGTCGTTTCTCCTGAGGCTTTCTTGTAGTGTTCCATTTCTCTGTGGCTGTAGCACTTTTCAGAAGTCCTAGGATGTTTTCCCCCCTCTATTGATTCATTCTTAAAAGAGACAGATTCCACCTATCTAGACTGTGTGGACTGCCTTTGGCCGATGATGAAGGAGAGCTGATGCTGAAGGAAGGGGAGTTGTAGCTAACTCCTCGCTCAACTTCCAGCATCCAGCCAGCACCCATTGATTTAGCTCTGCTGAGCTAGGTAAGACTTTCTGTCCTCTCAGTTCTACAAGGAGGATCATTTGCATTAGAAGATGGCTTTCATTTAGACCAGCCTAATCAGAATGGCCCCAGGGAGCATTTCACAAATACAGATTCCCGGGTGTTATCCTAGCGAGCCTGAGTTATTAAGTGTGGGGAGGGGTCCAACAGTCTGTTTGTAATAACTCCACGAGGAATTCTAATACATGGCCAGATTTGCGAACGTTAATGGTTTGTTTCAGATTTGCTTCCCCAATAGGGCTGTGAGCTCCAGAATGATAGCAAATATTTACATAGCACTTTCCTCTGTGCCAGGCACTGTCTAAGCACTTCATGTACATTGACTTCTCACACCAAGCCTATGAGGGTACTATACGTATCTTCATTATCCCCATTTTACTGATGGGACAATTAAGGCACAGAGTAATCACAGCTGGTAAGTAGAGCTGGGATCTGAACGTGTAGTCTTTCGTCTTAAATAATACACAGGCTCTCTTTACGTGACAGCAGAAGCTGTGTTTGACGTGCTTATGAAAGTCTCCAAGTGGCGCAACAGGGACTCAATACGTTATTGTTATGTAAATGATGCCCACCTCCCTCTCCCAGAAGAGGCCTGGTTGATCCTTGTCAGTCGTGTAGGGATAAGGGTGTGGTCAGAACATCTTTACTTTAAAATGCTGCTGACTGTGGCCCAGTGCGGTGGTGCGCTTGCCACTGCACTCCAGCCTGGGTAACAGAATGAGGCCCTGTCTCTCCAAAAACAAAAGGAAATGCTGCTGAATGGAGTCAAAGGTGGGAGGATTTCAAAGGGAAGGCTTGACTGGGGCAGGTGGAGATGTGCCAATGTGTCACATCCCAGGAGGACGCCGGAGACTACTGAGAACCACACATTCACAGGACCCGGGAAGCGGGAGCGAGGGAGAGTGGATTGACAGAGATGTCATGTGGCTGGCTGGCCAAAGCCTGGAGACCGGAACAGCCTAAGGTTGGGATCTTTGTGCTTCCCCGGGCAGCGTGTGTGGCCAGCTGCCTAACCTGGATGGCTAGGACTGACTTTGGGCAAGTCTCTGAAAATTTCCAGGTTGCCATTTCCTCACCTAAAAAATGGGGCAAACAGTGTCTGTTGGTTCCTATCTTACGTCATCAAGCACTTTGCTCTACGAACAATGCTGAGAAATGTTTATTTTCACAGCAGTTAGCATGGGTGTGTTTTGTAGGGATGACCTGTCTTTGTGGAAGGGCACAGGTAAGCCAACTACGGCACAAAAAGGTGCTGGGTCTCCGGGGCCGCACAGGAGCCACGGAGGAGGGGAAGGGTTTCTCTGATGCTCAGGAAGTGAGTCGGCGGAAGTGGGAGCGCGGCAAGCGGATGGAGCCAGCGAGAAACACATAGCCAGGGTTCTGTCGCATGACCCCCGACGGCACCTGCTCCCCATCAGCAGCATCATACTCCGGTAACTTCTGGAAATGCTTGAAAGAGTGGAGTTTTGTGGAAATTGGACCTGGGGCTGGGTTCTGACGGAGGAAGCAGGAAGTCAAGTAGGTGGGGAGAGGATGAGGAGGGAGAAGTCTGGGCACCGGTCAAGTGGACTCTGAAATGGTGGGGAGGGGCTGGACGTTCATAGTAATGTGGAATTGGGCTGCGGGCTAGATTTAATATGATTTTGAGGAGCAGGAGGTCCTCTATGGATGGCAGAGTTATGTTTAAGTGCCATATAAAGTGTTCCTATGTGTAAACTGAACTTCTGTAATTACTGCAAGGGTGTTTAAGTCCCTTACACTCCAAGGCAGTGGTTCTTAAACTTGGCTGTCATTGGAATACCCTGGTCCCTGGGGAATTTTTTAACAATTCCAGTGCCCAGGCTGCACTCCATACCAGTTTAATCACAATCACTTGAGGCAGAGCCCAGACATAGGTATTTTTAAAATTTCCCAAGTGACTCCAAAATACAGACAAACTTGAGAACCAATGATCTAAGGCAGAAATTGACAAGCTTTTTTGGAACAGGGCCAGATAGTGACTATTTTAGGCTTTGCAGGCCAGCCAGTCTGGCACAACTACTCGACTTTGTTGTTGTGGCATGAAATCAGCTATAGGCAATATGTAAATGAACGTGACTGTGTTCCAATAAAACTTTATTTACAAAAACAGGCAGACAGCTAAATTTGGCATGTAGCAATAGTTTTCCAGCCCCTAGTCTAATGCATGGTACAAAATAATACATTTAAGAATACATGGGACTAGAGACCTCCCAGTAGACAGATGGCATGATGGTTAAGAACTCGGCACTGAAGACCTGACTTGGAGTCCCAGCTCAGCTACAAATGAACTGTGTGACTTTGGCAAGGTCCTTAACTTCTCTGTGCCTCCATTTCCTTATCAATTAAATGGACATAACGGAAGTACCTACTCTACAGCATTATTTGAGGATTAAATGAGAGGTAATGAATATAAGAAGCCGGCCGGGCGAGATGACTCATGCCTGTAATCCCAGCACTTTGGGAGGCTGAAGCAGGTGGATCTCCTGAGGTCAGGAGTTTGAGACCAGCCTGGCCAACATGGTGAAATCCCATCTCTACTAAAAATACAAAAATTAGCTGGGCGTGGTGGCGGGAGCCTGTAATCCCAGCTACTAGGGAGGCTGAGATTGCGCCATCGCACTCCAGCCTGGGTGACAGGAATGAAACTGTCTTAAAAAAAAAAAAAAAAAGAAGAAGAATAAGAAGCAGCAGCAAGGCAGTGCCAGCTGAGCATGTAGTACAATTCTTAATAGTATTATTTTTCCTTTTTTTTTTTTTTTTGGTGATTCTTACCATTTTTCTAAACGAAGAGGATCGTGTAGCTTTTTACTAGGACCCTCAGATAGATGCTCTTTGAATAGATGCTGGTTTACTTTTAAGTGCTAGCAGCTAAAGCAACAAGGGAAATGCATTTCAGGGAGATAACTTTTGTTTTCTGACAAAGTTAATTTAATTGCCAAGGAGTAATTAGCATGTTAATCTAGGTCTCAGTTTCTCTCTTATAACCGCAAAGAATGAACTTTGGTAAGAAAGACTCCGAAACAAAACCAAACCTCCAGCAAGTTGGAGAACTGCGGTACCTACTCCCCCAGACCCCACCAGGGAGGCAGGCCCCTGGGTGGGGCAGATATAGTCCTGGGACTTCTAGTATGCCTTTTAATTACCTGTCAAAATCATCTCCAGGGGCCCCTTGCCTGGTTTTCATTATTTTTTTTCTGTCATTATCATGTAAACAATGACCATTTGTTTTCTTAAAAAGATCTTCACTGCAGACAACAAGCCCCCAGGCTGCAAAACCCTCAGTTATGCAAGGTTGGGGTTTAGGTATTGCTAGGCTCTGGGACTTGGAAAAATATCTTGGTACCAAAGGTGACCTTTTATTTTTTTCTCTACCTGAAGTGATTAGTTCATTTGCTTGTCTCCCCCTACCTCCCTACCCCCAAAAAGAGCATAGATCAATCTGAACAGCCTCATCGGTGGAGTGTCAGCAATATCTCACTGTCCAGGTGGTTCCAAAAAATACATCGTCACCATGGAGCTATTTTTACCATTGCCCAGTATTTCTATTTCCTCTGTGGTTTGCAAGGATGGGCATCACTTCTCAGTGACACATGAGCCTCTCGGAGTTCCAGGGAGGCTGACATGTTTCTTGTAGCTTACCCCATCCTTCTGCCTGTCCTATCCTTGAACTTTCTTCCACGCAGCCTAAGCCTTATCTATTCTTGAAAACAGAATTCAAACATCTCCCCAACAGAAAGTGAATGTCTAATTTTCTGGGCCTCCCCGACCTTGTGTCGAAATTTCTTGGCAGGCAGGGAATGCTTTCCCTACTGTGGTGCTGAAAATTCTTCAAGGGCAGAAGGAGTAGGCCGTCTTCCTCTTGCAGAAGACATTGTCAGAGCAGAAAAAGCAGATGGTGCAGGGAGAAGGGTGTGTCCTTTGCAGCCAGAGTTTGAACTTGAGCTAGGTGACTTAATGAGTAAGGCAAATGATCGGACCTCTGAGCAAAATTTCCTCCTCTGTAAACTGAGTATCATAATCCCAGTATCAGAGATTGTGGGCTGGAGGTGGTGAGATGCTCCATATTAGGTGCCTAGCACAGCAGCTGCAAGAATGGGCACACCTAGATGTGTTGATTCCTTGATTTCCCACCTGTTTGACAGGCTAAAGCGTTCATGGAAATGTATGTGGATGGAAGAGAGAAGTGTCATAGTCCATTTGGGCTGCTATAACAATTTATTGCTCACAGTTCTGGAGGCTGGGAAGCCCAAGATGAAGGCACCAGCAGATTCAGTGTCTGATGAGGGTCCGCTTTCTGTTTTACAGATAGCTGTCCTTTTCCTGTGTCCTCACATGGCAGAAAGGGCAAGGGGTCTCTTTTGGGCCTCTTTTATAAAGGCACTAATCTCATTGATGTGGGCCTCACCCTCATGGCCTAATCACCTTCTAAAGACCCCAACTCCTAATACCATCATGTTGGGGATTAGGATTTCAACATACAAATATGGCATAGACACAGACATTGAGACCATAGCCGGAGGGAAAGGAGAGGGAAGTCAGGAGAGTGGGAAGGAAGGAAGGAAGGAAGGAAGGAAGGAAGGAAGGAAGGAAGGAGATAAAGAATGGGAAGGCAGGGGGAGAACTCAGGAAGGAAGGAAGGAGGGAGGTAGGGAGGGCAGGAAGGAGGGAAGGAAGGAAGGAAGGGGAGAAAGAATGGGAAGGCAGGGGGAGAACTCAGGAAGGAAGGGAGGGAGGGAGGGAGGGAAAGGCTGGGGGAGAACTCAGGAAGGAAGGGAGGGAGGAAGGGAGGGAGGGAGGGAAAGGCTCGGGGAGAACTCTAAGCAGAAAGACAGGTGATGAAATGCAGGACCATTGGGCATCCAGGAAGTTCTGGGGTGGGATCACGGAGACCTGTGCCTTAGCTAGGCTGAAACTTAGGCCAGACCAGGCCTGTCCTGCTGCGCTCAGCAGGGCTCATCTTGCCTCAGTGTGGCTGGATGCTTGGGCAAGGCTGTTGGTGCATTGAGGACATGGTACAGCCTGGACAGAGCAGGCAGGACTGCTCATTAGATAAGAGGCTGGGTTCTGAGTTGTTCTAGGCTAAGTTTGGTCAGACAAGAAGTTCTAGAGAAAGGCCAGTGGTTGGTCTCCTTCTGGTGGTTTTGAGGGAAGAGGCCTCATGGTCAGGAGGCAGTAGGATATGCTAGCATCACCCCAGAGCAAAACCTGCTGAGTCTTAAAGAGCCCAGTCTGTTATACCAGGACTGGCTCCCCAGAGACAGGGTGGTGTTCTTTTGGGGCTAAAAGTTCATTTGCCTCGTTCATTTGTTGAACATTTATTGAGTGTCTACTATTTGCTGTGCTGAGTGCTGAGACAAAACATTGTCCCATACTTGAAGGAGCTTCCAGGCTATTGGAGGTCATGGGTATCAATAAGTGAACAGTTTGTTCCAATTCAGAACAATAAGTACTGTTCTGGAACTGAGTGAGGTGCAGATGAGCAGGATGTGTGTGTCAGGGGGCACAGAGAGGACCCTCAACCTAGGCTTGGAGGTGAAGCAAGGCTTCTGAGTATTTTGCTTGGCCAAAAGGGTGGGAAAGATGTTTCATTTGGAAATGCAATATTTGGGGGCTCAAGAGAGAGCATGGTGCCTGCAGCTGGGATATGCTCTGGTTATGATCCTGGGGGAGGCTGAGGGTGAAGGATGCATGGATACCAGGCTAAGGCCTTGGCATTTTATCTTCAAGGCACAGAGGAGCCAGTGATAGGTGAATTTTGACCAGGGGAGTGCTTTGATCTGGTTTACCATCTAGAAGCATCATAGGGGGAAGCTGAGAGTGGTCAAGAGCATTGCCTGGACTTGGGAACCAGAAGCGGGTAATGGGAGCCTGCATGAAGGTTCTAAGAGGAGAGAGGAAAGAAGTGGCAAGGAGAAGGTGGACAAGCATGCTGGGGAGGCAAAGCTGGCTGGCCTTGGTGACACAGTGGATGTGGGTGTAATGAAGAGAGGGATGACCCCTGGGAACACAGAGGCTGCAGATTGGATAGGAAGGGGTAGCTCCAGAGAGAGAGGTCAGCAAGGAGGAAGTTAGGAGTGTTGGGCTGAGACACACTACTCCTGATCTGGAAGGGGGGTGATATGGATGGAGAGAAAGAGCCTGTATTGGTATGTTTTCATGCCACTGATTACAAGACAGGGTAATTTATAAAGAAAAAGAGGCTTAATGGACTCACAGTTCCATGTGGCTGTGGAGGCCTCACAATCATGGTGGAAGGCAAGAGGCCCATCTTACATGGTGGCAGTCAAGAGAGAAGTGAGAGCCAAGCAAAAGGGGAAACCCCTCATAAAACCATCAGATCTCATGAGACTTTTTCACTACCACGAGAACAGTATGGAGGAAACCGCCCCCATAATTCAGTTATCTCCCACTGGGTCCCTTCCACAACACATGGGAATTGTGGGAGCTACAATTCAAGATGAGATTTAGGTGGGGACACAGCCAAACCATATCAGGGCCCTTTTTTCTAAAATATTTGGGAGAAATCTCCCACTCTATGAGCTAGAATGCATTTCCTGCAATGGAAGTTGATACAAATTACATGCATGTGATTTCCCAGGGCCCTTTGCATCCAGGCTGTGCGCACATGACCTGGGCTTCTGCTCCTTGAGTCAGAAGTTTGTGAAGAAGTAAAGATATCCTGGCAGGGCTGGTGGCAAGGCAGCAGCTCCATTGGATCTCCAGGTTAGCAGTGGCAGGGTCTGGGGTCCAGCACTGGTGATGCATCTGTGCCCGGCAGCTCAGCAGCCACGTCTCCACCCAGCGGGGTCTTCAGGATAGTTTGGGGTGTCAGTCCTGGATGTGTAGCTTCCAAGCCTGGTTTTCTAGCCCTCCCCAAGGGTGTAACCTCCCTGATGTCTTTTTTTATTTTTTAAAAATTGTGGTGAATTATACACAGCATTAAAAGCACCACCTTAATCATTTTTAAATGTATTGTCCAGTGGCATGAAGTACGTTCCTACTGTCATGCAACCATCACTACGATCCATCTCCAGAAAGGCTTCATGTTCCCAAACCAAAACTCTATACCCATTAAACACTAACTGCTCATTTCCTTGCTCCCAGCCTCTGGCAGCAACCATTCTACTTTCTGTCTCTGTGAATTTGACTGTTCTAGGTACCTCATATAAGTGAAATCATACAGTGTTTGTTTTTTGTGACCGATTTATTTCACTTAGCAGAATGTCTTCAGATTTCATCCATGTTGTAGCATGTGCCAGTATTTCATTCCTTTTTAAGGCTAAGAAATTTCCCCTGTATGCATAGACCACTCATCTGTCAATGTACTCTTGGAGGCTTCCATGTGTTGGCTATTGTGAATAGTGCTGCTGTGCATGTGGGTGTGCAAATACCTGTTCTAGTCCCTGCTTTCAGTTCTTTTGAGCATATACCCCAAAGTGAGTTGCTGTATTACATGGTAAATCTATTTTTAATGTTTTGAGGAACATCATATTGTTTTCCACAGCAGCTGTGCTATTTTGCAGAGATGGGATTCTTCCTGGGGCTTTAAGTAGGTCTGAGCCTGGGTGGGGCAGGTGCAGGCTAGGTCCTAGGAATTATTCGAGAAACCAGATTATTCAAGTAACTCAGATGAAGGGTCATCTGAGTCCTCCTCTTTCAGGGATTGACATCCAGGGTAGAGAACAAACTCATGGCTCAATGTCATTTCTTGCCTGTGGGACTATTCTGGGATCCGTGTAGTCATTTGGACAGAGACTCCACCTCTTTCTCCCCCAAAACCCCCTTCCAAGATTAGTCATCACCTCCCTCTCATTAGCTCCCATGGGAACACATTAATGGCCTTTCCCCGTAAGCAATACACTTTAAAAATGGCCAAAGCCGGCTGGGCGTGGTGGCTCACGCCTATAATCCCAGCACTTTGGGGAGCTGAGGCAGGCGGATCACGAGGTCAGGAGATCGAGACCATCCTGGTTAACATGGTGAAACCCTGTCTCTACTAAAAATACAAAAAAATTAGCCGGGTGTGGCCCTGTGCGCCTGTAGTCCCAGCTACTCGGGAGTCTGAGGCAGGAGAATGGCATGCACCCAGGAGGCAGAGCTTGCAGTGAGCCAAGATCGCACCACTGCACTCCAGCCTGGGCAACAGAGCGAGACTCCATCTCAAGAAAAAAAAAAAAAAATGGCCAAAGCCTGCCCTGGAGGAACAGTTAGAAAATTATTTGGTTACTTCTCTGCTCGCCCCTCTCTCATTAAATGAGAAAACCTTTTCCTTGGAGGCTGTGAGCACTGACTTGGGAATGAGGATGTCCTGGTTCAATCCTGGCTTTGTTTAATTCTCAGGGTGACCTGGGTGAGAACCCACCCTCTCTGGGCCTCAGTTTCCCCATTTGTAAAACAGAGAGCTGCTTTAGACCAGGGATTCCCAACCCCCTCCCCACCAAGATGCTCTTTGGTTTTTGTCCTTGGAAGGCTATATTTTGAAAGATGTTATCTGTCAGATAGAGCTTATTTTAATAACATTAGGTTCTCCATGTTTTATTAAAGACATCCATAACTTCCAACTAAAGCTTCTGATCACAGTATAAGCAAATTGAGTTGATGTCATTTCATGCAAGAGCTGGTGTGACCTCATCTTGGTTGGGAATGTGATGTTCCCTTTGCAATTTAAAAATATTGAAAATAGTTCTCAGATCCCCATTACTATTCCTGAGGAACCTAGCCTCAGTACCACTGGTAATATGGCAAGACTGCAATACCTGAGTCTTAGAACCACCTCTGTAATTCTGTGAAATGGAAAGAGTGTAGACTTTGGGCACAGAAGTCTGAGTTTTTAATTTTATTTCAAGTCTACTGATTAATCTGGTGTGACCTTGGCAGTGTGGAAAAAAGTCCACAAATTCTTTGAAACTCCTCCCTTCAGATGAGTGTGGGCATGTTCAGGGTATGTGGCCATAAACACTCAGTTCCCTTCCCCTTATGTGTGGACTGTGCATACTTGGTGACTCTGCAACTAGAATGTGGTGGGAAAGCTGATGTTAGACTTTTAGCACTGGAGCACAAAAGGCATTGCAGCTTCTTCCTTGTTCTCCCTCTGAGAGCACTTGCTCTGGAGGAAGATGGTTGCTATGTTGTAAGGACACTAAAGTAGACTATAGGAGTCACCCTCATGGTGAGGAACTGAGGTCTTCTGCCAGCAGCCATGTGAGTGAACCACCTTGGAAGCTTGTATTAGTTTTCTATTGCTGCTGTAACAAATGACCACAAACCTAGCAGCTTAAAACATCACACATTTATCTTGAAGTCTGTAGGTTAGAAGTCCAACAGGGTCTCCCTGGGCTAAAATCAAGGTGTCAGCAGGGCTGTTTCTTTATGGAGTCTGTAGGGGAGAATCTGCTTCCTTGTCTTTTCCAACTTTAGCAGTAGCCTGCATTCTTTGGCTTGTTGCCCCTTCCTCTGTCTTGAAACCAACAACACTGCATCTTTCCGACACTGCTTCTGTTGCCGGTCTTTTTCTCTGACATCCTTTTCTGCTTCCCTTTTCAATTTTTAGGACCCTGTGATTACATTGGATAATCTAGAATAATATACTAGTTGGCAGCCTTCACTCTGTCTGCAACATTCATTTCTTTTTACCATACAATATTTACAGGTTTCAGGAATTAGGGTATGGACATCTTTATGGGGCCATTATTCTGCCTTACACAGAAACGGATCCTCCAGCCCTGGTCAAGCCTTTGGAGGACTGGGACCCCTGCCAATGTCCTGATTGAAAACCTCATGAGAAACTGAGCCAGAACTACCCAGCTATGCTTCTCCCTGGTTTCTGAACCACAGGCACTGTGAGATAATGCACGTTTGTTGTTTTAAGCCGCTAAGGTTTGGAGTAATTTGTTATGCTCCAAAAGATACCAAATACAGGCAGGTTAATTAGCCTTTTTCAGCCTCTTTCATTTATAAAATTGGGATAGTTATACCTTGCAGAACTGTTGTAATGGTTAAGTAGGTCAGTGTTTGGAAAATACCTGGCATAGAGCAGATGTTCCATAAATGCTCAATTTCTTTTCTCTTAGCCTCCCTTTTTGTTTTCTAAAGGGCACCCCAGCAGTGGCAGAAAATAAGGGCAGCCGCCAGCAGCGGCAGAAACTCCAGTCTTTAGCAATAAGTTTGTCATGCAAATTCAGCATCAAGACAAATACCCAAGGCCAATTACCAACCAGACCACCTCCCTTAAACCACTTCTACACAGAAATTCTGATTGATGTTGCCTTTGAGGCACTGCTGGAACTCTTAGAAGCTCCAGGGCACAGCAATGGAAAACCACTGATAGACAGATAGACTCCACTTAGAATATTCACTTTGCAAACAATGAGGTGAGCGTGTCACACACACCACCGTGTGTAACTCTCAAAGATGTGGAGGTGATCTGTGGGTTTGACCAGCTGAAGGAGGGATGGAGGAGCAGCTGCTTCGGCTCTTTGTTATGTAGGAGTTCTCATCAATCGTGCACCAGCCACAGCTTCTCAGGGTGATTACTATGATCTTTTGGCTTCCTCTGAGGCTTGACAATTCAAGATATTAATACATTACCAGGAGTGGAAATGTTTGGAATATTAAATGTCATTATTTTAAAAATGGTTCCTCCATCCCCAAAAAAGTGGTTGTAAATTTAGGAGAGACATGTCAGAAGTGGAGTGAGAGCGTGGGCATGGATTTGTCTGCTTAAAAAAATAAATGTGCCATCTTAAGTACTTTTTTAAAATGTGGCACCATCAATGGGAATGACTTGCTTATTGAAAATGTACAGTGTGGGCTCGGTGTGGTGGCTCATGCCTATAATCCCAGCATTTTGTGAGGCCAAGGCAAGTGGATAGCTTGAGCCCGGGAGTTCCAGAGCAGCCTGGGCAACATGGCAAAACCCTGTCTCTACTAAAAATACAAAAAATTAGCCAGGTGTGGTGGCGCGTCTGTAGTCCCAGCTACTCAGGAGCCTGAGGTGGGAGGATCACTTGAGCCCAGGAGGCAGAGGTTGCAGTGAGCTGAGATCATGTCACTGCACTCCAGACTGAGTGACAGAGTAAGACCCTATCTCAAAAGAAAAAAAGAAAATGTACAATGTATAGGTGGGGCCCTTAGAGGAAGAAAGGAGGTGAGAAAAGACAGAAGAAGAATGCAGAAAAACTGTACTGGGATTAGAGCGGGGACCTGAGGATTGGGGGCAGAGGAAGTTGTCAGAATGATTCCAGTTGGCAGACTCGAGCACTGGAGAAGGTGCTCTAAAACTCGCAGATGCAGGAAAAGGACAGAGACAAGACAGACATCTTAGAGTGAGATAGATACACATACGAGACATACATCACCCAGTGAGGAAAATGGAAGAGTATTTGCGGGGGCTCAGGCTGAACAGAGGAGTTAGTGACACCGCAAGGAAGGGTGAGAGCATGTGCCACAAGCTAGAACCAGTGCAGCTGGGCCAAGGAGAGAGGGTGGGAGGGGAGGGAAGATAGTCATGCTTGGGATCAACTGTTTAGGGCTTTTCCTACGTTCAGTTTTTTGTTGTAATATTTACTGAGCATTTACTGTTGTGTCATGTCCAAGCTAGGCAGGAGGGTGGGATCTGCAGAATAACGCATCCCCTCCCCAGAGATGTCCATGTTCTACTCCCTGGAATCTGTAAATATATTAGCTCGCATGGCAAAGGGGAAAATTAAGATTGCAAATTAAATTAAGGCTGCTAATCAGCTGACTTTATATAAGGAGATTTTTCTTGGATTACCTGGGTGGGCCTGGTGTAACCACAGGGTCTCTACGAGTGGAAGAAGGAGCCAGAGTTAGAGTCAGAGAGGGAGAAGACACTAGGAGAAAGGTCCAAGTGTGAGAAGAATCCAGCCTGCACTTGCTGACTCTGACCATGGAGGAAGGGGCCATGAGCCAAGGAATGTGGGCAGCTCTAGAAGCCGAAAAGGTGAGAAGTGGATTCTCTCTCAGCCTCCGGAAGGAACGTAGCCCTGACGGCATGCAGATATTAGCCCAGGCAGACTTGTGTGGGATTTTGAACATACAGCATTGTAAGATAATAACTGTGTGTTATTTTAAGCCACTAAATATGTGGTGATTTGTAATAGTAGCCATAGGTAAGTCATACAGAGGGGAAGGCATTTTTTTTTCGAGATGGAGTTTTGCTCTTGTTGCCCATTCTGGAGTGCAATGGTGCGATCTTGGCTCACTGCAACATCCGCCTCCCGGGTTTAAGCAATTCTCCTGCCTCAGCCTCCCGAGTAGCTGGGACTACAGGCATGTGCCACCACACCTGGCTAATTTTGTATTTTTAGTAGAAATGGGGTTTCTCCATGTTGGCTGGGATGGTCTCGAACTCCTGACCTCAGGTGATCTGCTTGCCTCGGCCTCCCAAAGTGCTGGGATTACAGGCGGAAGGCATATTTTAAGCTCCATGTCTGATTGTTCATCCCTGGCACTCATCGCCTGGTACAGGCTCATTAACGATTTGTGGAATGAATGAATAAGTTAGGGCTCCTTAGTCAGTGTTTCTGGAATGAACAGTTAAAGATGCCAAGAGGATGGTGGTCTGGTGGGGGAGACAAGGCCGTGAAGAGTCCCCATGGAGTGAGACTGGTGCTTGAGCAGGCATTAACACAGAGGCTCACCACAGGCACCCACCTGCCCTGGGTCGGCGGCCATCACAGATTCGATTCCCAGCCAGTGGACTCTGAAAGGGAGGTTGCGTGCAGGAAGCATATTGGGGCTATTGTGAGCAACACCTGCAGCGGTGCAGGGCAGGGAGCAGGGCTGGGCAGAGGCAGAGGCTGCCATGTGGCATGGTTGAGCATAGGAAGCTCTAGATGGTTCTTCAGAGTTGCACTGAGTGGAGGCCAGCAGCTGCCTCTCTGCCCTGGGCCCCACTGCCCGCATCGACAGTGATCAGGCTGGAAGGACGGCATGGCCTTGGGAGAGGCAGTTCTCTTGGTAGAGGGCAATTCCTGGGAAGGGACCCAGCGAGGATCTCCCAGCCTCCAATAACCCCACAGCTGGGGAGGAGAACTCGGTCCTGAAGGAGGATCTAGGTGATGCCCTACAGCATCTGCTCTGGGAGGAGAGAGGGAGGAGCTGGCGGAAGAGACTCCCTGTGGACTGGGGCTGTAGAGCAGAGGGCAGAAGGGATGTCCAGGCTGAGAAAACAGCTGTGGCAAATTGTGGAGGCCTGGAAAAGTAGAAAAGATGTGGGTCCTGCAAGTCTTTGGGGACATCTGGAGGGAAGTGTGCAGAGGGGGACTGGACATTGGTGAGCAAGGAGCCTGGGAGGCGAGTGATGACCATGTGATGAAAGAGCTTGCAGATGAAACAAGGAGGTGGCTTCATCCACTGGGTCAGGGTGTGGCAGGATAGGGTCTGGATAGGCTTTGAAAGCTTTCTGGGGCACAATTCAATGCAGAGGAAGCCATGGGAGGCAGGGAGGCTGCAGTCCAGGTGAGGGTGATGAGGCTGCTGGTGCTGGCTCAGTTACTGCAGGGCTGAGCCAGGGGACCTTGGCAGAGTCCCCAGGGCAAAGCTTGTCTCCAGAAATCTCCTCACAGTGTGTGTGTGTGTGTGTGTGTGTGTGTGTGTGTGTGTGTGTGTGTGTGTTGGGGGATGGGGATTAGAGTAGGATCTCTGCATTGCATGTGCTGGAAGGCACTGCTAGAGGGAATGGCCAGGACCAGGGAGGATCATTGCTGGGATGAGTCTTCTTTCCTTTTAATCCTTGGGATGACACTGATGAATAACTCACCTTGACGTTGGCAGTAGTGCCCAAGAGGTCAAGCTGTGGTGAACCCCAGGTGGGCACAGGTCTGAGATGGGGGTTAAGCATTCTCCACTGGGAGGGGTCACAAGAATGCCAAGGGAATGAGAGCCACACAGCCCAGGGGAGTCTGAGGTGCCAGAAGCAACACCAGGGACTGGGGCAAAACCCTGCTGTTTTGGCCCAGAGGGTGTCATGACCCTGCTACTTTGACCTCATTGTTCAGCAAGCCACTGGTGAACTTGAAAGAAATAATGATGCTAAGCACAACCACCTGGCAGAAGCCAGGATAGGTCCAACAATTGCTCAGTGAATCCAAGCTTTGTTGTATGACCACATGGACAAGATAAGCCATGCCCAGACCCATAGCTAGCTGCCCCATGCATGCCAGGGGTGCCCCCAGCCAGCACTTCCTGAAGTTGTAAGATGCAGCAGCTCTGTGCCTAAATCGAATCCTATGAAAACAATTTCTAAAATGACTAGTGGACATGGGGAAAGCAAGACACAGCTCATAATGTGTGGAAAACTATTTTAATGTCTTACATTAGTTCAATGGAGTTCATACAAAAAATAGTTGCTTACCAAAAGTCACTATTATCATAATTTTGATTCCAAAGCTCCTACATATAAACATGGGATAAGCCATCTCTGAGGTCACAAGGGGAAGACCAGCATGGCCACTGGGTCAGACTGGCAGGGTCAGAGTGTCCTGAATTCCCAGATGGAACCTGGAGTTTAATTTGGAGCAGATATAAGAGTGGGCATTTTGGAGTACAGCAGAGAGAGGCTGTTGTGGCCTCTGTCCTAGTGGGTCTTGGTAACACAGTCATGAAATCAAAGAGCCCCCACAAGTCTGATCATTATTGAGTGCTTTCTGTGTGTCAGAGGCTGTGCTGGGTGGTGGTCAGGGAGGGGGTGTTACAGGCTGATATGGTTGGAGGAGGGGCCTGCTGGGAGGTGATTGAATCATGGGGGTGGACTTGCCTCTTGCTGTTCTCATGATAGAGTTCTTATGAGATCTGGTTGTTTGAAAGTGTGTAGCACTTTCCCCTTCACTTGCTCACTCTCCTGCCAGCCATGTGAAGATGTGCCTGCTCCCCTTCACCTTCTGCCATGATTGTAAGTTTCCTAAGGCTGCCCAAGCCATGATTCCTGTACAGCCTGCAGAACTATAAGTCAATTAAACCTTTTTTCTTTACAAATTACCCAGTCTTAGGTATGTCTTTATAGCAATGTATGAATGGACTAATACACAGGCATTGCTACATTGGAAGCTTAGCATAGCTAAGAGGTAGCAGAGGTAGTTTCTCCAATGAAGGAACAATGGAACTTTAGGAGAATTAAGTCAATTATCTCAAAGATAACCAGCTGAGAAAGAGTGACCAGGATTAAAACACAAGCTTGCTGGACTCCAGAGGTCCCACTCTTAACTCCCTGCTGGGCTGCTTCTGGGAGAAGATATATATAAGCCATCAATACACCATTGTGTGAGCCTAACCCCTTCTCCGTCTTTCCAGGCTCCTACCGGGCCAAGCCTCTGCCATCCTGGCTGAATTATTGCAAGAGCTCCCTCATTGACTCTGCATCCACCTTGTCCCCAGCCATCTATTCTTCACATAGTAGACAGTCATCTTTTAAAATTCAAGTCAGATCACATTCCAGCACTGCTCAGAAGCTTCCAATCACTTCCAGCCATGCTCAAAGGAAAAGCCAAAGAGCTTTCTGTGGTACACAAGGCCTTGTACCACTTGGCCTCATCCCCACCTCTCCTCCTTTCCTATTGCCTTCCTCTGGCTCTTGCTGGCCTCCTGCTGTTCCTTGACCAAGTAAAGTAGCTCCTGCCTCAGGGCTTTTGTACATGCATTTCTCTTTGCCTGGAATGCTGCCTCCCCAGATATCTGCCTGGCTACCTCCTTCTGCTCCTTTAGGCCTTTGCTCAAATGAAACCATCCTAGTGAGGTTTCCCTGACCTCTGATCTAAAATTGCAGCCACTCCCCTCCCATTTTTTTGCTTGTCTCCACAGCCCCTGTTGCCATCTGACACATGGTGTGTCTACCTCTGTATGTGGGGCTTATCCATCTACCAGAATGTCAGCTCCACAAGGCCAGGAGTTCTTGTCTGTTTCCTTCACTGCTGTATCTCCAGTACCTAGAACAGGAGTTAATTCATAGACAGGGCTCAACAAAAACTATGTTAATGAATGAATGCAGGTATAGAAAGACAGAGAAAGCATGTCATTGATAAGAGTCTGTTTCTTTCATCATATTGGCCAATGGGCACAAAAGTTGTTTTGAAACAGACAACATCTAAAGACCCCTCAGTTGCTAGACAAGAGTCAGTCTAAGTGCAGGGAGGGCCCTTCATGCCCTTTTGTGGAGTCTCTGTTCTTTTCTGGAATTAGCCACTCCTGTCCAAGGCAGAGGCTTCTCCCTAAATCCCTGGGTGTGTATTTCATCTCTGTCTTCATCCAAGGCCAGGGATGTGCCTTGACTTCTGGGTGTTTTGACCAGTAGGTAAGGTTTGTCCTGCAGCTACCAATGTTCAGGGGAGGTGCTGGGGGGAGGCTGGAGACCCTGACAGTATTGGAAGGTTCCAGCCTGGGAGCATGTGAGAGTGGGGCTGGGTGGGACAGGGCAGCTTCACTAAGCAGAGTGGGAAGAATAGGCATGCTGGATGTCAGGCGCAGAGGTCCTGGGAGGAAATGGCCCAGGACACAGGAGTGTGGCTCCCTACATCTTAATTTATCACTAAACCGGGTTCTTGGTGTATGTGTGTATGTGTGGTGTGTGTGAAGCGTGTGTGGTGGGGTGATGTTATTCCTGACCTCATCATTTGGGCTTTTTCTCAGGAACTTGTGAACTTGTGTAGCAGGGAAGAGCTCTGCAATTGTTTAAATCCTGACTCCATATGAATCTAGGAGATGCTCCACCTGCCTCTGACCCTCAGTTTCTTCATCTACAAAATGGTGGTAATATTCCTACTTCATGGAATTAACATATGCAGTTCAAATAAAATAACCAATAAAAATTGGACCTTGGCCGAGTCCTAGTCTCAGTAAGCAGTTCATATTAATCCTGATGATCACGCTCACAATTTTGCCACTGGGTGGGTAGATTTTTTGGCCATTACTGTTAGTGATTCTGAGTCTCCCAACAGAGCCTGGCAAAATCTTCCTCCCCCTGTCAGCCTCAGCCTGGGTCTTTCCAGAACTGTCAGGGAAGCAGCTCCCCTTCCTCAGCTCCCTGGGCCCAGGAGGGGCGTCATTGTCATAGAAATGAGAGAAGCACGTAGGTAATTGCCTGCTGAAGGTAGAGGGAAGAGGAGCAGGAACCTTTCACCTCACCATCTGCTCAGGCTCAGCCCCATCCCTGCAGAATCCTGAGCAGGGGCTCCACTCTCCTCTCTTCCTTGCACCATCAAAACACGCTCCGGGTGGTGCCACATGAAATCCCCACATGCTCATGCCTCCATTTCTTTTTCTAATTCAAAGACATTCTGGGAGTGTCTACTACACGCCCAGCCCTGGACCAGATGGAAGCATCATGTTTGTTCATCAGTATCACTGACTGAGCACTATTCTGTGTTCAGCACCTCTTGAAGATGCGCCTAACTTAATGCTGAATTTAAAGCCTACAGCAACCTATGGAGACAGGCATACTATTATCTCCATTTTATAGATATACCCAAGGAAATCAACAATAATTCCATAGCATCTCTTAATACCCAGTTGACATCCAAGTTTCTCCAAAAGGAGGACCAAGAAGATTTGACTCAACGTTCCTCTCCCTTTCATCTGAGGTCATCCTGTAGCATATTGCTTCCAGCATTGTCCCTGGACCTTGCCCTTCATTAAGTTAACATGCTCATGTCTTTAGTCATTGGTATTCTCTGCAGTCTAGTGGGGAATGGGGAAAACAGGTAGGTAAACCATCAAGTGGTAGCTACAGTGATGGAGATCAACCCATGCTGCTTTAGGAGCATGAAGAAGAAGCTAATCAGCCTAGGGAAGGCAAGGAAGGTTCCTTGGGGAAGGGATATTTGAGCTGCACACTGAAGAGAGAGAGGTAATGTTTCAGGAAGGAGAAGGCAGAGAGAGCATTCCAGGTGAGAGAGGACAGTAGAGCAAAGGCAAGAACATGGGACATATCATGGGGACATATAGAAAAACTCAAGCAGTTAGGTGTTGCTGGAGTGTGAAGTGCAAAGCAGGAAGCAGTGAGAAGTGAGGGCTACAGAAGTCTGCAGGAGCCAGGTCATAAAGGGCCTTAAAGGTAGGTTTAAGGAGATTGGGTTTATCCTCAAGATGATGGGGAGCTATTGAAGGGTGTGGGTAATGATTTGTGTCTGGTATCACTCTGATGGCAGCAATTGGGAGCCATAATCATATCATATCATATCATTCATTCATTCATTCATTCAGACACTTATTGAGTACCTTCTATGTGCCAGACACTGTTTAGATGCTTGGAAAACAGCAGTGAGTGAAACAGCCTAAAATTCCTACCTTCATGGAACTTAAAATTGAGTGGAGGGAGACAGAACAAATGAATGTAAGGTATGCCAGAGCATGAGGCGTGTTATAGGAAAATAAACAGGGGCAAGAAAGGGTCCAGTAGTGGTGGTCTGTGTGTGTGAGGGGTGTTAGTGGGTGTCTGGAGATGGAGTCTCACTCTGTTACCCAGGCTAGAGTGCAGTGGTGCGATACCGGCTCACTGCAAGCTCTGCCTCCCAGGTTCACGCCATTCTTCTGCCTTAGCTTCCCTAGAAGCTGGGACTACAGGCGCCCGCCACCATGCCCAGCTAATTTTTTGTATTTTTAGTAGAGACTGGGTTTCACTGTGTTAGCCAGGATGGTCTTGATCTCCTGACCTCGTGATCCGTCCACCTCGGCCTCCCAAAGTGCTGGGATTACAGGTGTGAGCCACCGTGCCCAGCAGGTGGGTGTCTATTTTAAATAAGGGGCTGGACGCAGTGGCTCATGCCTGTAATCCCAGCACTTTGGGAGGCCGAGGTGGGTGGATCACGAGGTCAGGAGATCGAGACTATCCTGACTAACACGGTGAAACCTCGTGTCTACTAAAAATATGTAAATTAGCTAGGCTTGGTGGCTGGTGCCTGTAATCCCAGCTACTTGGGAGACTGAGGTGGGAGAATCCCTTGAACCCAGGAGGTGGAGGTTGCAGTGAGCCGAGATTGCACCACTGCATTCCAGCCTGGGTGACAGAGCAAAACTGTCTCAAAAATAATAATAATAATAATAAATATTTTTAAAAATAATAAGGGCCATTAGGGAAAGCTTTTTAGAGGAGTGGCACCTGAGGGAAATGAGGGCAAGAGCTATGCAATTATCTAGGAGTTCCAGGCCAAGGGAGCAGCAAGTGCAAAGACCCTGAGGTGGAAACATGTTTGAGGCATTGCCAGGAGGCCACAGTGGACAGAGCAGAGGGAGCAGAAGGTGGAGTAATGGGAACTGAGTGAGAAAAGTAAGGGGGATGGGCAGCAGATCAGGTAGGGCTCCGTTGGCCATTGTCTTGACTTTGGCTTTTAGTCTAAGTTAGATGGGAAGCCACTGGGGAGTTTTGAGCAGAGCATGACATAATAGGATATGACTTCAGGTCAAATGGTGCTGACAGGTTGAGTAGGATGAAGGGTGAAAACTGTTGGATTTGGCACAGTGATGGTCACGAGTCATGAAAGCAGTTTGGGAGGAGCAGTGGAGTGGTGAAGGGATTTGCAGGAGCACAAATAGACGATTGCTCCAGTGTTGAGTGCTGTCTTGTCACTCACATCTTAGTGGCACAGAGCAATGGCAATCATTTTATTATCTGTCATGGTTTCTGAGAATAAGGGCTTGGCTGGGCAGTTCTGACTTGGGACCTGCCAGGCAGTGTCATGCAGGCCCTCAGTGGCTGGAGCCGGAGCTTGCTGGGTGCTGATCAGGCAGATCTCTCTCTTGCTTTTCATGAAGTTTCAGGGTCTCTCCATGAGGTTGCTGGATAGGGGTTCATTTGGGCTTCCTTGCAGCATGGCGGCCTCAGGGTATTGAAACTGCTCGTAAGAAGGAGAATTTCTGTGAGCAAGGCAGAGCTGTGTGTGTGGCCTTTTGCCCTACCTTGTTGGCCAAAATACTCTGAGAAGCCTACCCCATTTCAAGTGGGAGACATGGACCCCATCTCTCCCTGGGAGCAGTGTGAGAGAATTGGCAGACATAATTAAAAACCTCCCCAAGAACTCTATCAAGGAGTTTTGCAATAAAAAGAACAAAGAAATGGGGCCACAGTGGGAGAGAAGTGTAGGGTTGAATGGCTCATTTTCAAAATGGAAGGGAGTCACTCCATGTTGATCTTGGATGTATGTGATGTATGTATCATGTATCATGGCTATAAAGTATGACTACCATGTATATCATGGGTAGAAAGAGCCCTGGCCCATACTCAGAAACCCTGAGTCTTCTCACTTACAGACTGGAGACCACAAGAAGATGGGGGGCTGCAAGGGTTCCTAGAGGACACTTAATTACATGTCTTTTTTAGAGATGGATAAACTGAGGGCTCAGTGGGTCATGACCTGCCCAGAGTCATGGAGGGAGTGAGAGGCAGAGCCAGGATGAGCTCCCAGGCCCTGAAACTTCTGGGCCAGTGGCCTACACACAGAGCTTCCCACCCTTCCTCATTGGGTTTCTGCAAGCCCTCCCCACCCCAGCACTCTGCAGGGCCTGGGAAGTGAACCAGGTAAGCTGCAGACCTAAGGCCTTATTATTAGAAAGCCCATCCTCACAGGTTGCTCCCTCACTTGGAAGGAGAATGTGGCCAATGTGTCTTGTGCCTTGCTTGGCATGAAAAGTGGGACCTTGGCAGCAGCAGAGGCAGGTGTTGCAAAATTCTAATCTTCTAATGGCTCTGGGACTGTAGAAACCTCGGGCAAGCATTGTGGATTTTGAATTTGAGAAGAGAGAAGAGCTAAAAGAAGACTTCTAGGGCATATGAAAGGCAAGTCCAGTGCCAAGCAAAGTTCCAGAGTACACCAACTATAAAAGGAGGGAGGAGCGTAAATGAAGGAGTCAGTGCTGAGCCTAGAACAGACACTAATCATCCTGGGGCATGGCAGTAATGGGGAGGAGGGGAGCTGGGGGCAGGGGTGCCTCAGCACAAGCCTAGCCACGCATGAGATCTCACTCACACCCCACGCAGCCCATACACCTGGGGTTTTCTTGATGCCATTTTACAGATGAGGAAACTGAGGCCCGGTGTGCAGGGAAACGTGGGTGTCACTGGTGGCCTGCAGATGCCCAGGAAATTGGGTCTTGTTGTAGAAGTATCACCCCAGGACTTGGGAGAAATGCAGACTCTCAGGCCTCCCTCCTCCCTGCAGAATTAGATCTGCATTTTAACAAGACTCCCCCAAGGTGGCCACACTAAAGGGCTTCCCCAGGGTCACCTCACTGAGCAGGGCAGCACCATGATGTGTCTGTCTGACTCCAATGCAAGACTTCTTTCCATTTATGTGTTTTTTGCCCTCAAAAAGCCATCAGAAGGAACTTTTTAAAAATGCAAATCAATATAATGCAAATGACTTGCTTATAATTTTTCTGTCGATTCCGATGTCCTTCAGAGCAAGCCCAAGCACCCCATCGTGGCATTCAAGGTCACAGAGAGGGTAGGTGACTTATCCAAAGTCACATAGCTGAACTCTCCTTCCAGGGGCAAGAGGCTCATTGGGAATGGGGATGCCAGACTTCCTGGCTTAAAAGCAGATGCAGGAGAGCTGGGGACAGGAGGAGGGCTGTGACTCAAACAATTCTTCCTCCTGAACGGCACAATCTAGTAACTGCTGAGGAACTGAACTGAGGGCCAAAAGTGAAGGAAGAGTCAGCGTGGGGTGGTGGCCTCGAGAGCTGAGAGTTGGGGTGCAGTAAAGCACAGAAGACATCTAAAGCCTTGTAAACCTGTTGTCTGGGCTTGTGTGGGGCTCACTTTCCTGGGAGCATTTCTGGAGCCTTTCAAAACCCCAATATTCAGGCCATTTTAGGCTGCTGTGCTGTCAGCCAAGGCCAAGGAAAGGAGGGACAGGGGGAGGGGGAGTCTGGGGGCAGCTGCCCATTCCTGCCGGTGGTTATCTCTATGATGCCCTAACCACAGTCTTGCAAGGCAGGACCATATCCCCATCTGATGAGGCCACCGTCCACACCAACCTTGAGTCACCTTGTCTGCAATGGTGGTGACAGTTTCTGAGACCTTTTTCTATAGCTATATCCATTTCTTGAGATTTTGAAGTGTTTTTATAAACCCCATTCTCTGGGAATATTTTTAATTTTTCTGTGCAGCTGGGAGGATTCTTAGAGAAGAAAAGTGCTGATTTAAGAGAAACTGCATTATTTGTGAAATACAAAATTCATCTTGTGGGTGTAAGAGATGCCTTCGTGGACGGATGAAGCTCCTGGTACTAAGTAGCAGGTAAATAGACCCCACAACTCTACAGAACAGCGTGCTCAGCCTTCCAACATGGATCTGTGCTGTACTCACTGAGCTGAGGGTCCCTCCCATGCGAGACCCTCTCTCCATGCCCTTTTGAGCTTTGTTCTTTTTTGTTTTCCTCTTTAGGAGTGCAGTGAAGCTGCTGTGTTCTCCAGCTCGTAGTTAAGGGCCAGTCAGGATCAGACATCTTGCCCTGATGGAAAAGAAGATGAACAGATACCTCCTGACCTGGATAGCAATTAATTCTGGGGACCTAGATCCCCAAGGACTTTAGGATGAGGCAGCAGTTTGGATTTAGGATCAACATGGTATTTAAAATATAAAAGCATTGTAGTGTTGGGGAAGCATCATTTAAAAGAACTTGTGGGGTCCCTGTCAGGCCCCTCTTGAGACAGGCCAGCCCCACAGAAGAGAAGGCCTAGGGCTGGCTCCCTAGGGTTGTGAGAAACTCCAGAACAGTGTTGACTTCTTTCTTCCCCTAGGGTCACACCAGCATGTAGCATGATGCCTTGCACACAGTAGGTGCTCAGTAAACACTTTTGGACCACTGAATGCAATGACCAATGGATAAAAACATTGTTCTTCCCTTGACCAGATAAGACCCGCTTCCCTGGGCGTCCACAGGCCGCTGGTGATGCACACTCTTCTCTGTGTGGCCTCTGCCTGCCGGGGGAAGCCTTGTGACCAGTTTCTCCCCGCTGAGTCAAGGGAGAATGAGGGGGAGCATGAACATTTGCTTGTTTCCCTTATGGCTTCTGAATCTTTATTTTATTTTTTTTAATGAAAATGTCTACTTGAATTTAGGTAAGGAAGACCTTGCTCTTAGTTTTTGAATTTTGAACTAGAAAAAAAAAAAAGGTCTTTCAATGAACACTAGCAGAACAGTCTAAGCAATCATGATAAAGACCTAATTCCTGCCTCTTTCTCCTGCTCTGATGGAGCTGATGACAGCACAAATGGGAGAGGGAGAATGTAGCAAGGACACTGAAGGACAGAGAGTTGTCCAAGCCACCAGGAAGGTGAAAGTGGGAATTCATTTTCTGTGCCATTGGGTGGTTCCTTAGGAAAAAACGTAGACAAAGAAAAATATTGTATTATTTGTGGAAATCAAGTTCGTATTGCAGGTGTAAGAAATGTCTTTGTGGGTTGACAGCATTTATTGAACATGAGCCTTTATTTTTGGAGCTCCTCCAACGTACCATGCACTGTCACCTTAACAGTTCCTCACAGTGACCCCATAGAGTCAAGAGTCAACTGCATTTTTGCAGAAGCGAGGCTCAGAGAGGTTGAGGGTTGTCCTAGGTATCCAGGTAGCGAGCAACAGAGCAAGAATTTGAACTCGGGTTGTAACTCTTCATTGTATGTGTCAACTTGACTGTGCAAAGTGATGCCCAGATAGCTGGTAAAGCACTCTTTCTGGGTGTGTCTGTAAGAGTGTTTCTGGAAGAGATTAGCATTTGCATGGGTAGACTGAGTAAAGAAGACCTGTTCTCACCAAGTAAGTGGGCATCATCCAATCCACTGAGAGCCCAGATTGAACAAAAACACAGAGGAAAGTCGAATTCTCTCTCCTTTCTCTGACTGGGACATCCATCTCCTTCTGCCCTTGTACATTAGAGAGCTTAGTTCTGGGTTGTTTGAACCCAGTAACTTATAGCAGCTGTCCCCCAACCCTATCTCAATTGTCAGGCCTTTAGACTTGGACAAAATTACACCACTAACATTCCTGGTTCTCCAGCTTGCAGAAAACAGGTCATGGGGCTTCTCAGACTCTATAGTCTCAAGAGCCAATTCCCATAATAAATCTCCTCATGTATATCCCAACGGTTCTCTTTCTCTGGAGAGCCCTGCCTTATGCCCAGGTTGAACAACCGTTCCTGGGTTCTTTTTCCACCTTGCCATATGGCTTCTCAGAACAAGACAAGGCCTCCACTATGGTTTGAGTCAGAAGACTCATGAAGGTTGTATGAAAGAGTTAGCGGTATTTATGAAGAATGGCTAGGGAAATGCTTTTGTCCCTTTGTGAAGAAGTGGGCACCATGGAGTGGGGATGGATTGGAGGGCCCTCTAGGAGAATGAGGCCACATGAACACAGCTGAAGATCATGAAGCATTTTAGGTAATTGCTAATAATAATAAGTAGAATTATTAATATTCATGCTGGCTGCCATTTCTGAGAGTAAATTGTGTCTCAGGAACTTCACATGCATCATCTTCCATTCTCACAACTGTCCTAAGAAATAGATTTGATTCCTAATGTGCAGATGAGTGGTTGAGACTCAGTGAGACAACACACCTTCTCCAGGATCCCACGGTAAATACGTGGTAGAGCTCAGATGCTATCACAAAGCCCAGTAAGGCAGGAAAGCAGGAGGCATAAAAGGGAGGACATCTGGGGCTCAATAGAAGTGGGGAACCCCAAGAGGGCCCATCAACCCCTCCCAGCAGCAGGAAAGATGGTTTTCAGAACCCAAGTCCATTCATTCTCTTTCCTGTGCTCCTTCCCACGGCTTTCAGCTCAAAGACACAATTGGCTCTTTAAGACCAAGAGGGAGCAATACTCTCATTAAAAACACTCACTTTTCCTCTAGCTCATGGCCCTCCACATGACTTCTCTAGCTCATGGCCCTCCAGACAGAACAAAGGGGTCCCAAAATGCCTAGCGTGGAATCACAGAATGGCCCAGGCTTGAACCATCTCTATTCCCAGAGATAGTCACAGAGATGCACGCTATGGGACAGTCTTGGCAGGGTCTTTGAGGAGGAAGTGGATTCAGCAGGATGATGGGGCTGGCATCGTGGATGCCAGCAACGTGGATGCCTGTTGGTGGTGTGCTGATGCTACACACATGCATTCACACATATATGCAGACACATGTACACACACATGCACACACACACTAAAAACACCCACAGACATGCATGCTTTTACATTTATTTATGATAGGTGTGCCCCAGAGAGGAGTATCTTTTACCAGTTGCTCTGGTTGTTTCTGAATTCTGGAAGAGTCTGGACAGAGAAATTCCCAGCATATCCTGCATCTCATTCTTGGTGTGAAGCAGGAACACGCACTCATTCCTATTTGGCTATAGTCTTCACAGCTTTCTACTGTTTCTTTTAAAAGAAGGAAACTAAAATAATATAATTCAATGTTGTCCAGTCAGCTTTGATTACTGTCGGTCCCTGTGTGTGAAGTGCTGTGCTGGCTTGAACGGGACATGCAAAAATCAAGAAGGCAAGGTCCAGTCCTTAAAGCCCTAGAGCAAGGGTTGACAAACCACAGTACTTGGGCTAAACCCAGCCCACCACCTGTTTTTGCAAATAAAGTTTTATTGGAACACAGCCATCCTCATTCATTTACATGTATGTGGTTACTTTTGTGCTCTAATGGCAGAGTTGAGTGGTTGCTACAGAGACTGTATGGCCCACAAAGCCTAAAATATTTACGATCCAATTCTTTAAAGAAAAAATTTATATACCTTAGCCCTAGAGAACTGTATTGGAGAGAATACATGCACCCCAAAAGACAAAGAGCTTGACCAGGCAGCCGTGCTAGGTGCCCTGTGAGCTTTGTGGACAGTAAGTGGCTTCAGAGTGCCGAGGAAGGGTATGTGTGGGCTGAGATAATCAGGGAAGGCTGGTTGGTGGAGGCAGGCTCTGGGTTTTTTAGTGAACAGGAGTGTAGGATGGAGTAGTGGTGGGATGAACACGAGGTCGTTCCAGGTGTGGGCATTGGGGTGAGTTCAAGTGCAGAGGTGAGCACAGAGCATGGCGGGGGTGAACATTTGTGGTTTGGAGCTAATCAGCATCCACTCAGCCATGGCTAGTCATGGCTAGCCCCGATTTCCTTTGAAAGTCGTCACAATTTGCTTCTAATGAGGGTGAACTCCTCCCTGCTTCTGGGAGCATGCAACTCAGGCCTGGCCAATCAGAGCCTCAGGTCCCCCTCTGATGATAGTGATTGGCTCAGGGATGAGCACGTGAACCAGCTCTGGCTGCAGAGCCAAAGAGCCCCAGTCCTAGACTTGTTTTGGTCGTTGAGGAAGCCGATTGTCCCCTCTCCAATCTTCTGGTTGTGAACAAAAGATGGTGTCACTGAGGCAGCCACCTTCCCAGTTCTGGCCCCACAGGTTGAGCCCTGAATCCAGCGGGGCCTACCCCTTCCCCTCCCCCTAGACTTTCCCATTATATGAACATATTTTCGTTTTTGCTTATGGCCATTTGGGTTGAGCTATTTAATATTTGTTGCTTGCAAACAGAAGAGCTAAACAGATCCAGCATATCTGGGGATGCTCTTTTTGTTTTGTTTTGTTTTTGTTTTTGTTTTGAGACGAGTCTCCTCACTCTGTCGCCCAGGCTGGGGTGCAGTGGCGCGATCTCAGCTCACGGCAACCTCCACCTCCCGGGTTCACGCCATGCTCCTGCCTCAGCCTCCCAAGTAGGTGGGACCACAGGCACCCACCACCACGCACGGCTAATTTTTTTGTTTTTTTAGTAGAGACGGGGTTTCACCGTGTTAGCCAGGATGGTCTGGGATTACAGGCGTGAGCCACCGCGCCCAGCTGGGATGCTCGTTTTTTCTGTAGGCTGAGAGTAGCCAGCTCAGACCAACGCTCTGACAAGAGAGCCTGAAGTACTGGGAAGACAGATTTTCCCTTCCTGGGGGCGATTTTGGTGAAGCCCCTAATTTGGGTGAAGTTTTGAGATCCGTCTGAGATTGGGCGAATGGCCTCCCTGGGAAAACAAGAAACAGACACAGGCGGCTGTGGGTGGACAGGCCCCAAGTTAGTTTCGGTTGGAACCTGCTGGAGGGAGCATAGCACAGCAGTTAAGAGCCTGGGCTGCCATGTTTGATGCCTGGGTCCAAACTGGCTTCTCAGGCTTTGCCTCTTGTTCGTTAAGCCATGCCAGGCTCCCTGCCAATCTGCTGACAGTGGAGAAGGCAGTCTCACATAGACTTGGGCTGCTCTGGTCCCTAAAGAGTTACACCTTGCATTGTTTTAATAAATTAATAAACTGGCCTTCTGCTTCTTGCTTCACTCCTGTGGGCTAGGTTAGTGGACATCTACTGAGAACTGGAAAATTCAGTTTCTATGAATGCAAGGTTGAAAGTTGACTCTGGATTGTGATACATAGACCAGGAGGCCTCTGGGAGACAGGATCTCAGGCGTGGTAGCTCCCTGTTGCTGCCCCTGTGCCAGCATGCTTAGATTCTTGTCCAACATTTATTGATCATCTACTGTGGCATTTTACATGCTTGGCTTCTTTTAATTGTCCTGCCCTCACCGTTGAGGAGTTTCCAGTTGGGAGACCTGCCCCAGGGGCCTAGATGAGGATGCTGGAGTGGAGGAGTAGAAGGAGGAGGGGCAGCTGCCTGTAATCCTCAGAACAGCTCTCCTCTGTAGCACACTCTCTGAGCCTCATTTTGAAGTGACTAATCTTCTACTTTTAAGATCAATAGCTCTGAAACGTGTTCAAAGGGAAGTGGAAGGGTGAAATATAGCAGCAGCCTTCAAGCTGGATTTCTGATTCTGTTGGCCAAACCAAGCCCTGAGGCTGTGGCTCATAAATTGTTCTGTGTCTCCCATGCCAGCTACCTGCACAAGAAAGACAGTGATGGCGGGTGGGACAGCAGGGCTGGTAATGGGCTTTGATTGGCAATGGTGTCAGGGATGTCTGCCCCATGTCACTGAGGATGTTGATACCTGATGGATAAGAATCAGGCTGCCTGCCCCAGACAGGCCCACATGGGGACAGCAGGGTCTTAGTGGGGCTCCTCAGAAGCCAGCAGTCTGAGATACTGAGACATTGTAAGCCATTCTCAAAATTTCCACACTGAGGACTTCTCTTACTCATTGTTTTCTTCTTCCCTGGATTCCTGATTTGAAAATTTGGTTGCCAAACTCTGTATATAAAGTGATGTAATAGCTAAGTAACTATATCCATCAGAATTCCTTCCAGATAGAGCCCATATTCCTAGTTGCTAGAATATACAAAGAATGCTCAAAGCTCAACAGTAAAAAACCAATCTACTTAGAAAATGAGGAAAAAATGTGAACAGACATTTCACCAAAGAGGATATAGAGATGGTAAATAACCATATGAAAACATGTCCAACCTCATTAGCCATTAAATGAGTGCAAATTAAAATCACGAGATACCCCTATACACCTATCAGAATGGCTAGAATACAAAATAATGAAGACACCAAATGCTGGCAAGAATGTGGAAAAACTAGATCTCTCCCACGTTGCTGGTGGGAGTATAAAATGGTACAGCCACTTTGGAAAACAGCTTGGCAGTTTCTTGTAAAAGTAAACATGCAACTACCATAAACCCAGAAATAAAAACTGATGTTCACACAAAACCTGTACCCAAATGTTCCTAGCAACTGTATTCAAAATCGAGACTGGAAGCCATTCAAATTTCCTTGCACAGGTGAATGGTTAAACTGTTGTATGTGCATACCATGGAATACTATTCATTGATAATGAGGAGTGAACTCTTAACAGATACAACAATTTGGATGAATTTCCAGATAATTATGCTGAGTGGATAATGTCAATTCGAAAATGTTATATACTGTATGATTGCATTTTGATGGCAATCTTGAAAGAACAGAAGTATAGAAATGGTGACTAGATTAGTACTTGCCAGGCGAGTGGGGAGGAGGTGGCTCTGGCAATAGAAGGGTGGCTTGAGGGGTCCCTTTGATGGAACTGTTTTGTATCTTGATTGTGGTGGTGATTACATGAATCTGTGCATGTGATATATTGCATATAACTAAATGTGCACGTACACACGCACACACACAAATAAGTGCATGTAAAGGGAAATCTGATACAGTGGATCATATCTAATAAGATGGGTCATATCTGAATACAGTGGATTATCAACCAGGGCTTTCTTGGTTATGATGAAACCAAGGAGAACCATAGGAGAAAAGTGAATGAAGAATATATGGAATCTCTCATATTATTTCTTCCAACTGTATGCAAATCTACCATTATTTCTCAATAAAAAGTTAAAAAAAGAGACAGAATTTTGCCTTGGAGTTAATCTAATTAATGTGTTGTTTTGACCCATTTACCTTCTGGGGTAGATAAATCCAAATTGCTGTGACTGGTCCCAGGAGGACCCATAAGAGTTCAATGGTCTGTCCTAGGAGAGTGGTCTCTGGAAAGTGGCCCAGGATCAATAAACTGCTGCTGTCTACCTTTGAGGGTGCTACCTCCAAACACAGTCACATTGGAAGTCAGGGTGTCAACCTAGGAATTGGGGGGAAACACAAACTTTCAGTCCTTAATGGGAATCCAAGTCAGGGGGTCATAAGTTGAGTGTCAGAAGAGAAAGATTAAGGAGGTATTATTAGTGCCGGTGGGCCAAACATGAAGTCTAGACACATTACTTAATCATTACATTCATTCATATAGTAAATATTCACCAGGTACATATATACTGAGTGCTGGGCTAGTTTCTGATGATGCAGAAATGAATGGCTTTATTGTCTTCGTCCTCAAGGCCCTCATGGTCTAGTGTAGAAGACAGACTGTAAATATTTACCATTCAGTACGATGTGTGCTGTTGCAGAGCGTGGCTTGGGCGCTATGGGGAACCAGAGGGCATGGAGCCTGGTTTGGAGGGGCAGGGAAGACTTTCTGAAATATGGGAGACAAGTCGAAGCCTATCTGACCAAGGCACCATGCAGGAGGAGGCGGGACATTCATGGCACAAGGCCAGCATGGCAGCAGTGTGAGGTGTGATGGGTGTGACCCATTCAAGGAACTGCCAGGTGCTCCATCTGAACCAACATGTCTGAGCTGGGGGCCTGGCATGAGGGTCATGCAGTCCTGTGGGTGCCAAAACAAGGTGGTTAATTTTATCCTAAAAACAATTGGCATCTACTGAGGAGTTTTATTTGGGAAGAGGTAAAATTAAATTAGAATGGGCAATGTATCTCTGGAAGCAGAGTGAAGGGGGAGCTGGAGGGGCAAGCCCAGAGGCAGGGCCAACACTGAGCTGCATGGTCCCTGCGATGGACAATCTGAGCCTGAGGTAAACGGGCTGATGTGGGACTGACGGATGCAAGGTGACAGGCTGAGGCTAGGGACCGTCATCACTCCCAGTCACACTGCAAGCTGCAGCAGGGTAGAGCCACATCTGATTTGTCCCCAGTGCCTGACCAGAGTTGGGGCTCAGTGTTTGTTGAGTGAATTCTTACTGCATGGCCAGGGTTTCTGGTCCTGGCAGCTGGGTGGATGGAGGGGTCATATTGAGAATCCTGGAGTGCAGTAGTAGCCAGGTGTGAAGAGTCAAGCAGGTCTGCAGCCTGAGGATCAGCATGGCAGCAGGAGGGTCCTCTGGGAGCTGGTCATGAATTTGATATGGACCATGGGATGGTGCCCACTTTTGTTTGTATCCTGGGGTACAGATCACAGCTCCATGAAGGTTTGAGCTAGGCAGGTGAGCCACGCTGGGAGCAAAGATGGTGGTGGCTAGGTACTTGCTTATCCCTATACCAATCAGCAGGATGTGGGTGGGGCCAGATAAGAGAATAAAAGCAGGCTGCCCGAGCCAGCATTGGCAACCCGCTCGGGTCCCCTTCCACACTGTGGAAGCTTTGTTCTTTTGCTCTTTGCAATAAATCTTGCTACTGCTCACTCTTTGGGTCCACGCTGCTTTTATGAGCTGTAACACTCACCGCGAAGATCTGCAGCTTCACTCCTGAGCCCAGCAAGACCACGAGCCCACCGGGAGGAATGAACAACTCCAGACACGCTACCTTAAGAGCTGTACCACTCACCGCGAAGGTCTGCAGCTTCACTCCTGAGCCAGCGAGACCACGAACCCACCAGAAGGAAGAAACTCCGAACACATCTGAACATCAGAAGGGACAGACTCCAGACACGCCACCTTAAGAGCTGTAACACTCACCGCGAGGGTCCACGGCTTCATTCTTGAAGTCAGTGAGACCAAGAACCCACCAATTCCGGACACAGTGCTGAGAATCATGCCTTGAAATCTAGCAGCTCTGTTAAAAACTGAGCAAGGTGTACTTCGGGGTTGTGTTGAGAAGGTTGGTGTTCAGCTAAATCAGGAGGGAAGGCCAAGGAAAATCAGGCTTGGCACCTGTCAACAGGTGGGACCCAATAGCCAAGCAAATGGTCCTGCAAACTGTACTACCCAACGTTCACAGCAAGGATTCCAACTTCTCACCAGGGCATGGAAAATTTGCCTTCATGTCAACCACCACCTTAGCCCTTGACTACCCAACGGACTCTTCCCAAGTCAACAGCCACTTCCTCCCTGGGGCTTAACAGGCATTCCTTGAAGCCTGCCCCGGGCAGTTAGTCCTTCCCTTTTGTGTGAACTCTCGGCTGTTTTCGTTGTCTGCACACAGAGCAGTGGTCTAGGGAGCGAAGGGTTTTGGAATGGACCTTTTCCTTTCTTAGCTTGCTGTAGGGATTGTGCTTCAGCTAAGTAAAGTGGAAAAACAGAAGTACAAAAGCAACAGCCCCAGATCTAAGGGCACCGTAGCTCTGGAATCTGGATTTTATTCCAGATTCAACCCTCAGCAGGGAGTTGAAGTGGTCAGCCCTGTGCTTTACAAGGCTGATTGGGCAGCACCCATAGTAGAATTGTCAATATAAAGTAATTGAAAGGATCAGAATCCAGGGTTTTCGTTGTTTTTAAGTTTTTAAGTTTTAAAAACAAAGTTGTTTTTGTTCGTTTTTAAGTTTACTTCTCTTTAATCGGTCTCACTTTATTGACCAGGCTGGTTTCGAACTCCTGGGCTTAAGTGATTTCTCCTGTCTCAGCTTCTCAAAGTGCTGGGATTACAGGCGTGAGCCGCTGCACCCAGCCCAGAATCCAGTTTTAAAGAGTTTATTCAAGCCAAAAGCTGGGAATGGCCATCTGAGAAACACAGACTCTAGGAAAATGGGGCCAGGGCCCTGAAGTTAAAAGTTAAAGTCTTGCTTACATAGGCAGAAAGCAAAGACATTTAGTAACCTTGTAGAACATTTTCTTGTATAACTTTTCTTGTTTTAACTTTCTTGTTTAACATTTTCTATGCAAGGCTGGTTTATGAGTTACAACCTATAATTAATTATAGGTTGTTCCCCTGCCTCCACCTTGTTTTCTTTTCTCTACAGCTTGTTTTCATTTCCTTTCCAATTTAAGAATGTGTTTAACATTCTATCCCAGACAATGTGATGGTCATGAAGTCTCTGTCAGAGAGGAAAGAGGGAGTTAATCTATAATGAAGATCAACAGTGAAGAGGAAAGGGGTCTTCCCTGGAACGCTTCAGTCATATACGACATTTTACACAACAATGTAAGTAAGGAAAAAGGCTAATCTATAATCAGAGAAACAAAGGTTGCAGCTGCCTGTTTACATGACTCAGGTCCCATGATCAAATTCCCTTAAGGCTCGAAATATTTTAAAGTTCCAACAGCTTAGATTTTGAATTGCTTATTTTCACAGAATGGACCTGTGTAAGGAGGTATGTGTGGGAGAAGATTCCAGAAGGTCTTGAGACACTCCAGATGAAGGTTGGTGTGGGGCTGTGCTGCTGGAGCACCAGAGAGTGAAAAGAGGCAAGCGATTTATAGTCTCATCAAATATCGACAAGTTTGGGTTTTCCTTTAGAGTTGGGCAGGGCCTGGCTGGACTTCTTTCTCCACCAGTCTCCGGGAGGCTCAAACAAGTTCTGATTTTCAGGTTCTGAAAAAGCTCTCAGGGAAAAAGCAGCTTCCATTCTGTTTTTTTTCCCTTTCTGCATTCTACTTCCCTTTTATTTTTGGCCTGGTAATTTCTGTCTTATCAGCTTTTAGATGTCCTTGAGATTTTTCTTTTCTTTCATTTTTTTTTTTTTGAGACAGGGTGTAAACCAAAAACTCTTTTATTCTTTTTTTTTTTCTTTTGAGACAGGATGTAAACCAAAAATAAAATTCTAAGCCCCGCCCTCCCTGCAACCATCTGAATGGACTTCCTCCTGGGCCAGGGTACTTTTAACCTGAAAGACTGGTTCAGGCCATGATGGAAAGTAGAGGTCAGACAGGACTCATTATACCTCTCTGATGAGAAGCATTTACAATCTATTTTCTCTGAAGCCTGCTACCCGGAGGCTTCATCTGCATGGTAAAACTTTGGTCTCCACAACCTCCTATCACAGCACAGACATTTTCTTTCTATTGAGCCCAGATCTTTAGATAAACTTAACCAATTGTCAACCAGTCAATTTTAAATCTACCTGTAACCTGGGAGCCCCCAACCTCCACCCAACAATTCAAGTTGTCCCACCTTTCTGGACAGAACCAATGTATTTCTTAAATGTATTTGATTGACATCTCATGTCTCCCTAAAATGTATAAAACCAAGCTGCACCCCGACCACCTTGGGCATAGTTCTCAGGATCTCCTGAGGGCTGTGTTACAGGCCATGGTCACTCATATTTGGCTCAGAATAAATCTCTTCAAATATTTTACAGAGCTTGACTGTTTTTATTTGTTAATGATCTCACTCTATCGTCCAGGCTGGAGTGCAGTGGTGCAATCATGGATTACTGCAGCCTCTACCTCCCTGGGCTCACATGATCCTCCCTTCTCAGCCTCCCAAGTAGCTGAGACTACACACATGCGCCACCATGCCTGGTTAATTTTAAAACTTTTTGTATAGATGGAGGTCTTACTGTGTTGCCCAGGCTGGTCTCAAACTTCTGGCCTCAAGTGATCCTACCACCACAGCCTCCCAAATTGGTGGGATTACAGGGATACGATTTTTATTTTATTTTTATAGAGATGGGGGTCACAGTATGATGCCCTGGCTGGTATTGAACTCCTGTGTTCAAGCAATACCCCTGCCTTAGCCTCTCAAAGTTCTGGGATTACAGGTGGGAGCCACCATGCCCAGCCTGGGAGAAGACTTTTAAAACATATTTTGTTTAGGCCAGTCATGGTGTTGAGGTCAGGAGTTCAAGACCAGGCTGGCCAACATGGCGAAACTGTGTCTCTACTAAAAAATATAAAAAACTTAGCCAGGCGTGGTGGCAGGTACCTGTAGTCCCAGCTACTTGGGAGGATGAGGAAGGAGAATTGCTTGAACCCAGGAGGTGGAGGTTGCAGTGAGTCAAGATCATGCCACTGCACTTCAGCCTGGGTGACAGAGTGAGACTCTGTCTCAAAAAAACAAAAGCAAATCATGTTTTGTTGAGTTTGTTTAGCTGTGTATTCACAAGTTGATTGGCATCTCTCAGCCCATCCCAACCCCACCCCGGAATGCTCTTCCCAGGCTTCCTAACAGGTATTCTCCTTTACCTGGATTGCATTTGTAGAAAACACTCTGCTTCAGTGGGAGGCAAGGAACAGAATATTTCTCTGTCTAGGGCATACTCTTCCATGTTATCTGATTCCAATTCTATGGGACCTATTTTACCATTCTGAAAGCTACAGATAACCGATAGAAATGAAAAATAATTCTTGTCTATGGATATGCAAATGCTTATATTTTGAAGAGAGACAACCCTTCCTCACTTCCCCCCAAATCCCCTAGTTTGCTTCCATTTTACACATTCATTTCAATATTTCTCTTCTCTTCCTTCTTTTCTTTTTTTTTAGGTTATCTCCCTCTGTGCCAGGCCAGAGTGCAGTGGTGCAATCACGGCTCACTGTAGTCTCAACCTCCTGGGCTCAAGAGATCCTCCCACTTCAGCCTCCCAAGCAGCTAAGACTACAGGCACGTGTCATCATATCTGGCAAATTAAAAAAAAAATTATAGAGATGGGCTCTCCCTGTGTTTCCCTGGTTGGTCTCAAACTCCTGGGCTCAAGTGATCCTCCCATCTTGGCCTCCCAACTTACTGGGATTACAGGCATTTGCCACTGTGCCCAGCCCATTTCAATATTTCTGATCAATAAATGTGCCTGTCCTTCAGATTCTCCTTTGAATTGGCTGTCACACCTCTTCAGTTTCTTCACTGAGGAGTTAAACATAATCTTGAGCAGCACGTGATATTGTTTAGCTCTGTGTCCCCACCAAATCTCATCTTGAATCGTAATCCCCCTGTGTGTCAAGGGATGGACCTGGTAGGGGATGATTGGATCATGGGGGGTGGTTTTCCCCATGGTGTTCCCATATAGTGAATGAGTTCTCACGAGATCTGATGGTTTAAAAGTGTTTGGCAGTTCCCCCTTCTCTCTCTCTCTCTCTCTCTCTCTCTCTCTCTCTCTCTCTCTGGCCACTTTGTGAAAAAGGTGCTCGCTTTTCCTTCGCTTTCTGCCATGATTGTAAGTTTCCTGAGGTCTCCCCAGCGATGTGGAACTGTGAGTTAATTAAACCTCTTTCCTTTATAAATTACCCAGTTTCAGGTAGTTCTTTATAGCAGTGTGCAAATGGACTGTTACAGCACATATTCATTTTTATATCTATATTGAGTTATCATTTAACCTGTTTTTGAAAATTATCTTTTAACATGCATTTTTCTCTTTCTTATTATCTTCTTTTGCTAAAACCTGTTCTCCAGTAGCTTCCTAAGAAAGGGTGCACAGGAGACCCATTTTTTGAGCCCCTCCTTATCTGACAATGTTTTTGTTTGACCCTAACCTTTGATTAATAATGCGACTGGATGTTGAACTTGTGAAAGGAAAATAAAAACTCAGGACCCCAATTCAGTATGCCAAAAGGAAAAAAAAAAAAGAAGCTGAAAGCTGAGTCATGCAAGAAACTGCCTTTTCTTTTGCTCCTAAGTAGATGGCTACAGATAAAAGATTAAATATCTCCACAGGTAGCTACTCCATGTTCACCTTATCTTATGTAAAGTGCTGATTTACTGAGCAGGAGACAGATATGTAACTGACTATTCCCTAGCTGCTCTTCTCCTCTTGCAATGTGTGGATTACCATACCCTTCCTCTATCCCCTCCAGAGATGAATTTTTCCATGTCTGTTTCCCCCATTTAAATATTGAAGCCCTCACTATCATCTTTGGAGAAAGGGACAGATCATAGACTTGTTTCTGTGATTCTGTGTCCTTTTCTTCCAGGCATGTCCTTAACCTTGGCAAAATAAACTTCTAAATGGATTGAGACCTGTCTCAGATATTTTTTGGTTCACAAACTCTAGGGTGGGAAATATTTCCCCTCAGAACTTTGAAGGCATTGCCCCCTCATCTTCTAGCACTCAACATGGCCATTGAGATTTGATGGCATTTTAAATTCCAACATGTTTATTAATGAGACCAGTTTTTTCTCACTAGAAGTTACACATAAAATACTTAAAATAGTTCCTGGAATTTAATGAACTGAATTAATGTTAGCTATTACTATCATTGAACTATTTTTTTTCTCTGACATTCTTTAATATTTTAATTTTTTTTTCTAAAAGACAGGGTCTCACTCTTTTGCCCTGGCTGGAGTGCAGTGGTGCAATCCTAGCTCACTGCAGCCTCGAATTCCTGGGCCTAAGTGATCCTCCTATCTCAGCCTCCTGAGTATCTGGGGCAACAGGCATGTGCAACTATGGCTGGCTAATTTTTAAATTTTTTGTAGAGATGTGATCTCGCTATATTGCCCAGGCTGGTCTCAAATTCCTGGCCTCAAGCAATCTTTCTAGATTATAGGACTTCTTGGCTTCCACAATTGCATGAGCCAATCCTTTATAATAAATGTATATCCATCTGTATATGTCTTGTGTCTGTCTCTCTACCTATCAATCTATCCATCCATCCATCCATCCATCCATCCATCCATCCATCCATCTATCCATCCATCTATCTATTTTATTGTTTCTGTTTTTCTGGAGAACCCTGACTAATACAGAAGGTGAGCCCAACTTCTCACTGAGGATTCTCAAGCCTCAGCCTCTTGAAGTGCTGAGATTACAGGCATGAGCCACCGCATTCAGCCTCTGATTGTCATTGACAGTGATGTGCTCTACTGTGAGTCTCTTTTACCCACTGTGCTGGGTATTCACTGGCCCTTTCAACTTGGAAACGCGTGTCCTTTGGCTTTGCAAAAATATCTGTAGCATTGATTGCCTGATTTCTCTCCCTCTGATCAGGGCCTCTGCAGCATCCGACTCCAGGGCACTGTTCACCCCATATTCTATGAATGGCGTCCTCTGGAGTTGTGCTGTTGCACCTGCACCTTTTATTTATTTATTTTGGAACACATTGGAGTAAGATGCCAGACTGCCTTGATCCTCTAATTATCTTATCTCTTTCTTCTTATTTTCTATCTTTTTGTCTTTTCATTCTACTTTCCTCAGCTCTTGGTTGAAGAATTTTTCATTCTGCTTATGCCTTAAAAATATCTAAGAGCTTTTTTTTGTTCCCTTTTTTTAAAAGCGTTCCATTGTTGTTTGATGTGTGGGCTCTCCTGTTTTCTTTCTGAGCATATTATATCTAATTTTTGAAGGTTGTATTTTCTCCCTTGTTTTAATTTTCTGCAGATACTTTTTTCTTTTTTACTTTCCCCAATTTGTTTGTTTCTGACTTTCTTCCTCAATCTCTCCTGAACCATTGTTTCTTTTTAAGATCAGAGCAGATTCTTAGGAACTTTTAAAACTGTATGTGGGTGGGATTGTCACCTAGAGTGCTTTTTTGGAGAGTAATTGGATGGTGTGATAATTAATTTTATGTGTCAATTTGACAGGGTCTTGGGGTGTCCAGTTATTTGGTTAAACATTATTTCTGGGTGTGCCTAAGAGGGTGTTTCCTGATGAGATTAGCATTTGAATGGATGGACTGAATAAAGCAAGCTGCCCTCCTCAATGTGGGCGGGCACCATACCCTTGAAGGCTTGAATAGAACAGAAAGGCAGGAGAATTTCTCTCTTGGCCTGAACACTTGAGCTGGAACGTTGGTCTTCTCTTCTCTGTGGACTGGGACTTACACCATCGGCTCTCCTGAGTCTCCAGCTTAAAGACGGCAGATCATGGGACTTCTTGGCCTCCACAATTACATGAGCCAATTCTTTATAACAAATCTATATCCATCAGTCTATGTCTTCTGTCTATCTACCTATCAGTCTATCAACCAGTCCAGCCATCCATCTGTCATCTATCTATCTTACTGGTTCTGTTTTTCTGGAGAACCCTGACTAGCAAAGATGATGAGCCCAACTTCTTGTTGGGGATCCCCAGATATCAGCGGGCAGAGTGTCTCCTTTTGGCACCTTCAGTTTCTCCAGAAATGAACCTTTCCATTTCCATCCTAAGGGATTGCAAGAGCTGTGGACTTGCCAGGAGGGAAGGGAGCAGAGGCCCCCACAGTTCACAATGTAATGTTTCCCTTAAACACAGCCCCCACTTTCAGCTGGGAACCCACCCTTTCCTTGCCGGTGCTTTGTGTCCTCAAGACTGGACATAAGGTGTTGAGGTGTGGTGTGTGGTTTCACCACACAATCATTTGGGGTCTCCTGAGAGAGGTGGGGGGAGGGGTGTGGTCTGCTTGAGCAGGTGAGGGAAATGGATTGGGGTGCTAGCTGGTAACTGTATACTGACTTTCTTTTGTAGAGGCAGGGTCTCATTCTGTTGCCCAAGTTGGAGCGTAGAGTCATGATAACAGCTCAGTGCAGCCTCGAACTCCTAGGCTCAAGCAATCTACCTGCCTCAGCCTCCTAAGTGGCTGGGACCACAGGCATACACCACCATGCCCAGCTAATTTATTTTTTGTAGAGATGGGGTCTCCTATGTTGACCAGGTTGGTCTTGAACTCCTGGGCTCATGTGATCCTCCTGCCTCAGCCTCCCAAAGTGTTGGGATTGCAGGCGTGAGCCACGGTGCCCAGCCAGTATACTGACTTTCAGTCAACCTCATGCTTTCAGTGCCAGTTCTTCTTGGTGCCTGATGATTGCAAACCCAGGATTTATTGGAGAGTCTCTGTTCTTGATGCCCACCCTGCCCCTCCACTTTCCCACACCCCCTTCACCTTTACCATACACTGTCCTCAACTCTTCTGAGGCTGCTCCCAAGTGTTGGGTGCTTTGATCCTGTCTGCCATTGCCTGAGCTCCTGTTCTCTCCATCCCTGTGGGTCAACAGCTTTTATTTAGTTCATTCCCTTACTATCATTTTCATAGAGTTGAGGAGGTAGGGAGGAGATAGAGGCAGGAAGTTATTCTACCACATTTGTCCAGAGTCTGCCCTGTTTGGGGGCATCAGTGGGCAGAGCTGGAAAGCCATGGTGGCTGCTGAGATTTGGAAGTACAAGACCAGGAGGAAGGAAGGAGGATGCTTAGGTATGGGGCTCAGGTGTGGGGTTCAGGTAGCCCGTGCATGGTGAGGAAAGGGAACAAATGAGAAGAGTGTGGTAGATGGTGGTGTGTTCTATCTATTTTGATGGTGGGTCAAAAGAGGGAGGTGAGGAATGGGTTGAGAGGATTTGGCCCCACTTTGAATGCAGGGCGAGGGGAAACCAGCATCTCAGATGTGCCTCAGTTTGTGCAGGGCTAAGTGGGACCCAGAGCAGGAGGGGCAGACTTGGACGGGAGGCCAGTGACTCTGGAGTTTGCAGTGAATATGCAGGGTCCTGGGTGTGATGCTTGGGTTGTTTATCTGGCCTAGGGGAAGCGACCAGAAGGCACGTGCCTCCAGTCCAGCCAGGCTGCAGGTGTTAAAAATCTCTGCAGTCACATTTTCTGGCTTCTCTGAACAGCCCCTGTAGGTGCTCACACATGTACACATGCATGCATATATATTTATATATATATACATTTACATATTTATATATATTTAAATATATTTAAATATTTAAATATATTTTTATATATATTTATATTTTATATATGTGTATGCATACACATGCACACAGATGTACACACACATATGCACATACACATATGCACACACACACCCTACAACTCAGACCTTTCCTTTCAGAGCTACCCCTGACCGAGACTTCCTTGCCATGTTACAAATGAGCATCTCTTTTAGAGTAGTGTAATAGAACGTGGCACTTCTTGATAAAAATAGAATTCTTTGACTTCTGCCCAGGCTGCCTGGTGGGCAGGCTCACAGCCTCGTTCTTTCTCAGCTTTCCACGTTATTAATTTTTAGTGCCAAAAGACAGTTCTGCTGCTCCAGGCCTCCAGCTGAGCTCTGCTAGGTTGGAAGTCCCTTCTCAGCCTGATTCCCATTAGCACAGAGCTTGGAGAAGACCCTTCCTCACTCTGATCCTGCTGTCTGGAGCTGGCAGATGCACTCCTCACCCAGCAGCCAAGACCCATGCTCCTGGTTTAGAAGGGTCCGTCCTGACAGCTATCTCCACTAGGCAGCCCAGGGTTCCTCTGGACACAGGACCCTGCCAATTTATTAGTCACGGTGGCACCGGATAGACACAGCTTCACCCAGTGATCTGCCGGCACTGCTCTCTCTTCCTCCAGTCCTGGGCTTCTTCATGTCCAAACCACGTGGAGAACAAGATAACTAGGATCAGCTCTTTTGGAGATAGAAGTCACCTTCCAGCCTGGGATCAGTGGCATAGTCTCAGCCCAGGTCTGGAGACAGGGAGGCTGCCATGCCTGCCAGCCCCATCCAGCCCCAGCTGGCAGCAGTGTGAAATAGTGCTCGCTAAAATGAGCCTGCTGTTTGCCTAGATGTGTGTTTCCCAATAATTCAGAGACCTAGATAATGGGAAAGGCGAACATCTCGTATCCCCCACTTCCCTCAGCAAAAAGAGAACAGTGCCGCAGCCACAGGCAAGGTGGGTTAGAAAACCTGTCTGCTGGCAGATTATTGTCTGTAACTTGCCTCCTTAGTTCTTCCAACACTCTCTCCTTCCCCCTCCTCCCCTCCCATGGTCCAACCCTGAGGGTTCCAGCAGCAGCTGGGAGGTCTCCGATGTTATCTCAGAGCTCCCAATCTGCTGACATTTGAAAATCTTCTGGCTATAACTTGCTCACTTAGCGGCTGCTGCTCTGCAGCCCTGAGCCCTCCTAAAGGAGACCCTACACAGAAGAGTACAATGTAAACAGCCGTCGCCAGAGTCCCCCCAGCCAGAGATAGCCCTTGGGTACATTTTGCAATATTTTGTTTTGTTTGCTCTCAGACCGGACTTGCCCCCCTTTTTAGCACAGCCCAATTCTACTACGTATACTCCCTCCTTGTTCTTTTTGTTTGGCATTATATCCTAAGCATTTCCCTGCATCATCCAAGCTCTGTGGGATGTCATTTTTAACACCCACACAGCGTCCTCTGGTGTGGTTGTATGACAAGTCACTTAACTATTCCACACCCAAAGCCTCCCCTTTTCCAAACTCTTCCCTGGGACCTCCTGAAGGTAACAGCAAGATCTGAGCAGCGCTGGATGGATCCTGCTCTCAGTCCCCTGTCTGGGAACAACGCTGAGCCTTAACAGGGATGTCAGCTTCCTAGGGCTGCTGTAACAAATCCCACAAACTGAGTGCCTTCAAACATTGTCTGGTAGTTCTGGAGGTCAAAGGTGCAGAACGAGTTTCACTGGGCTGAAACCAAGGTAGGGCTGTGCTCTCTCCTGAGGCTTTAGGGGAGAATCTGCTTCCTGAACTTTTCTAGCTTGGAGAGCTGCATTCCTTGGCCCTTCGTCCCCCTTGCTTCTCTTCCAAGCCAGTAGTGTAGCATCCTCAGATCTCCCTCTGCTTTCGTCTTCACGTTGCCTTTCCTTTTCTGCAGTCAGATGTCCCTCTGTCCCTCTTATAAGGACATTTGTGATGACATTTAGGGCCTATGTGGGCGATCCAGGATCATCTGTAGATCTAGAACTTAAACTTTTTTTTTTTTTTTTTTTTTTTTAGATGTGGTCTCACTCTGTCACCCAGGCTGGAGTGCAGTAGCACCATTTCGGTTCACTGCAACTTCTGCCTCCTGGGTTCAAGCGATTCTCCTGTCTCAGCCTCCCAAGTGGCTGGGATTACAGGTGTGCACCACCATCTCCAGCTAACTTTTTTGTATTTTTAGTAGAGACAGGGTTTTGCCATGTAGGCCAGGCTGGTCTCGAACTGTTGACCTCAGGTGATCTGCCTTGGCCTCCCAAAGCGTTGGGATTACAGGCGTAAGCCACCGCGTCCGGCCACATTATTCTTATTTGCAAAACAAATACTTATCTGGCATCAAACAGATACTTTGCATCCGGCAAAAACAGGTGGAGGTGACTGAAGGCGAATGTGGGAGGTCATGGTGGGTTAATGATCGCCAGCGCTGTCCGGTGAAATCAACCACCTGTGACAAAGGTGGTTTTTCACTTTTACTGAACAAGCATGCTATTCTACAGTAAACTCCTTAACAAATGTAGCTTTTCAAGGTCCTTAGGACTATTACCTTTCAATATTATTGGGAAGTTCTTTGCTCTTCTTAGCAGACTGCGAAACTCAACTTTGTGATGACAAGATACAGAATAAATGCATATTAACTGAAATTCTAGGCTCACACCTATGTGAGCTTTTCTCTCTCTAACAAGATGTCAGGGCCGGTTCAGGGAGTTCATCTCCAGCCACCTGTGCTAATCATCGCCCATCCTTTCCAAGTATCTAATGACACTCCCAACCAAGGTCTCTATAATTTCCAGCCAAAAATGAGTTACAACATATGGAACATCTAATTTTCTGTTTCCATTCTAGTTATTTTATTCTTATGAGCTTGTGGGCTCCATCTACCAACCTCTGGGCAAATGCTCATCTGACTTCCATAGACACACAGCAAGCAGACAACCACACAAAGAGGAAGAGGGAGAATATTTACCAGCCATGGAACATCTGCTCTGTGCTTATATCTCATATGCATTATCTCTAATTATCAAAAGAAGGTATTATTATTATTATTGTTCCGCATTCACAGATGACAAACTGAAGATCAGATTGGTTAAATACTTGTCCAACATTAACTTAGCATTTGGGCATCATAGTTGGAATTAAAACTTGGGTCTGCTCATCTCCAAAAACACCCTAAGCCTTACCACACTCATGGGACACAGCTGCAGCTGCAGGTTCTGAAAGGAAAACTAAAACTTCAGAACCCAGTTCACTATGCCAAAAAGGCAAAAAAAAAAAAAAAAAAAAAAAGCCAAAAGCTGAGTCATGCAAGAAGCTGACTTTCCTTTTGCTCCTAAGTAGATAGCTACAGATAAAAGGTTAAATAGCTCCACAGGTAGCTACTGTATGTTCACCTTATCTTACGTAAACTGCTGATTTATTGAGCATGAGACAAATACGTAATTGACTATCCCCTACCTACTCCGTTTCCTTTGCAACATGTGGATTCAGTCATGTGACCATACACTGCCTTTCTCCTCTCCAGCCTACTTTTCCACTTTAAATATCAAAGCCCTCAAAATCATCTTTGGAGAAAGGCACAGACTAGCGACTGTTTCTGTGATTTCGTGTCTTTTTACTTCCAGACATGTCCTTAACCTTGGCACAACAAATCTCTAAATCGATTGAGACCTGTCTCAGATACTTCTTGGTTTACAAGATGGAGGCTGAAATTAAAGAGAAAGATCCTCACTCAACTCACAGAGGAGCAGAATGGGAAGAGGACTTAGTGAGAATTCCCTGAACACAGGAGAAAACCGAAGCCCAGAGAGTGGATGGCCAAGTCCAAGGTCACACAGCCAAGTGCATCCGAGCAGCGCAGGATCCAGGTTTCCTGCCCCAGTGCTCTTTCTGCAGCCCATGCCACCTGTTTTCATGCTATCTCAGTTCACCTTCCAGCTACACACCTGCAATCAGAAACAGAAAGTCTGAGAGTGTGTGTGGAGCCAAAGAGGGGACAGCAGTGGTGAGGCCAGTTTCATGTCTTGTGATTTATTTTCTCCCTTTCTTTTTGGACTTTAATCTTAAGTGGACAGCAATTTGGAACAGTGTCAGCACCTTGTTGGATTGTGCTGTTTGGGAGAGGTGACACAGAGTATTTTAAAAGAGCAGGTTAAGAACTTTTCACAAGGAATCAATTGAGAGAAAATAAAATAGAAACAGACTGTCCCACATTTGGGCTGAGCACCAAACACATTTTTTTTTTTTTTTTTGAGACTGAGTCTTGCTCTGTCACTCAGGCTGGAATGCAGTGGCGCGATCTCGGCTCACTGCAGCCTTCACCTCCCGGGTTCAAGTGATTCTTCTGCCTCAGCCTCCCAAGTAGCTGGGATTACAGGTGCCCACCACCATGCCAGGCTAATTTTTGTATTTTTAGTAGAGACGAGGTTTCACCATGTTGGCCAGGCTGGTCTTGAACTCCTGACCAAGTGATCCACCTGCTTCGGCCTCCCAAAGTGCTGGGATTACAGGCACGAGCCACCGCACCTGGCCTCAAACAAGCTTTTTAATTGCATTCAGAAGTGCACCAACTAGGCACAGACCTCTGGCATGGAGACAGAATGGGAGGTTCTTGGTGTCTGGCCTGGTCTTGCAGAAATCAGGGAGTTGTGGGGACCAGGCAGCCACTGTGCATCAGATAGGAGTTTCAGCAGCAGGCAACAGAAAGCCTGCCAATGTAGCTGAAATAAGAAGGGCTTATTTTTATCCCTGAACAGAAGCTTCCAGCACTGGTTCATCAGATCAGGGCACTGAGCTGGCATCCCCATTTATACAGTTTTCCTTTCCTTCACCTTTGTAAGATGCCTGGCACAGCTCTGAGCATCAAATATCTGTGCCATGTGGGAGCACACGAGGGGACAAGTGGGGAATAGGGTCTCCTCTGTCCTCTGTCCCCAGGCTGGCTTCTCTCGTGGTAGAAGGACCCCCACAGCACCAGGCCTCATAACTACCCTGCTGGTAAACTGCAGGTGCTGTCACGGCTTCCTGCCTTCGTATATGAAATGTTCCTTGGCAGCTGGACTGCTGTTTGTTTACCGCACGCACAGCTCTGCTGCCTCTTGGTTACACCAGTGAGCTATTGCTCCATGACAAGCCACACCGAAATGTAGCAAGCACTTATTGTTGCCCACATGTGTCAAGTCAGTTGAGTGTTTCTGCCAACCGGGGCCTGGCTTGGCCCACCTTGGCTGAGCTTGCTCTGGTGCTAGGGTCAGCTAGACAGGTCGGCAGGAGACCAGCTGCTCTAGAAGAGCCTGGACAGGATGAATTGGTTCTCCTTCCACGTGCATCTTGCATCCCTCCAGCCAAGGATTTGAACCCAGGTCTCGTCTGACTCCAAATGCACCAAGAGGATGGAGCCCAGAGTGACACAGAGGAAGAGGCCCCTGGATGGATGCATGGGGAAGGTGAGGCCTGGAGGTGATATGCTTGAGATTACCAGGCTCTTCTGAACCTGGGGGACCTTCTCCTATGATAGCCCTGCTCCTCCAGACCCAGCAGGTGATTTCCCCAAAAGCCGCTTACAGTGAACGCACCTGATAGCAATAACTTAAGCATCCCCTGAGAATGACCCTTATGGCAGGTGCAGGTGAATGTGGTTTGGAGTTCTGAGCTAAGGAATCTGGGAGTGGCCAACCTGGAGATTCATTCCTATTCCTTATCTATGAGGAACATCTGAGCTCCTGTCCCGTCCTGTGCAACACGGACAGTACAGGGGATCAAGGCCCTTTGTTTTGGGTTAGGTAAATGTTGCCAGGTGGACACTGTTGGGGGAGGGTGCTAAGTGAAGATGCTATATATGCTGCAAGCTTTTTGTAAGTTGTGTGGCTCTCCTGCCCAGCCCACCACTGCTAGATGCTCTCCCCTGCATGTAAGCCCCAGTAAAACTCCATGTCTCCTTCAGCAGCCCTGGGTCCTTTCTTCAGCCTCTCAAACCTGCTGCCATCCCCATTGGAGTAGATAGGGGTTCAGCATAACAGCAGCCACCAGCTGGGGAAAGGCGTGGCATTTGGAGCTCCCTACATGGTCTTGACTCTAATATGGAGGGAAAGAAAACAGATTCTGCCCTGCTCAGTAAAGCCCCCTACTGGCCTCCCACCCTGGACTGTGGACAAAGCTTTTTTTTTTTTTTGAGACGGAGTCTCACTGTGTCCCCCAGGCTGGAGTGCAGTGGCGTGATCTCAGCTCACTGCAAGCTCCGCCTCCCCGGTTCACGCCATTCTCCTGCCTCAGGCTCCCGAGTAGCTGGGGCTACAGGCGCCTGCCACTACACCCGGCTAATTTTTTTTTTTTTTTTCATTTTTAGTGGAGACGGGGTTTCATCGTGTTAGCCAGGATGGTCTCGATCTCCTACCTCGTGATCTGCCCACCTCGGCCTCCCAAAGTGCTGGGATTACAGGCGTGAGCCACTGCGCCCGGCCAACAAAGCATATTTTTTTCCTCTGAGGTCTTTACCCTATAACTGCAAGTGGTTTCATGACACTGCACATGGGTTCTTATCTGGGGTTGGTAGATTCAACTCAATTCCACAGGTTTACTGGGTGTTGCCTCCCATGCTTGGAGCCAGGAGGATGCAGGGAAATGGGGCTGCCACCATACCCGCTCTTCTTATGATCCCATCACATCATTGCACCCTTTGGGGCCTGGCACCATGCTCTGGCACTTTGCCTCCATCATCTCCTTTAACCTCTGAGCTCTGTCAGGAAGGCATTACTACTATCCCTGGAATACAGACAGGAAAACTGAGTTGGATTGAGGCTCAGAGAGGTTAAGTCACTTACCCAAGGTCACAAAGCTAGAGAGTGGCAGGCCAGCATCCAAGGCCAGCAACACGAGCTCCCTCTGATCCAAATGGTGACTCTATGTTTGATCAGTGCTCTGAGAACTCTCCAAAGATCTTTATCAACTGTCATCTCTTCATTGCCCAGGCCCAGTCAGGGAGCCACTTGGCTGCGGTCCCGCTGAGATTTAGGGGCAGGACCCCTGATGTGAGGTGGAATGCTTGGTCACGCTGTTCAAGCCTCCACCAGTCACTCCTGACTGGTTATGGACACTCAATGTGCCCCGTCCTGTGTGCAATGCAGTGTGGGAAGGGGATCAAGGACCTTGGCTAATCCCAGGCATTTCCCCAGAATGTCCCAGGTGTGGACCCCTTGGGAGGTGCTGGGAAGCAGGCTGGTGTCCCACAGGCCTTGGTTCCATCCCAGCTGTGCTGTGCTAAGCTGAAACTCTTTGGGCAGCTTGTTTCACCTCATGAGACTTCTTTTTCTGAACTGTTAAATGGGATGATTCGACCTCTGCTTGGCTTTTGGTGACGATTAAACGAGATATTAGCTGTAAAGCATTTCATCCCGGGTCTGGTATAGAAGAAGCACTTGATAAATGAAAGCTCTGTTGAGTATGATGATCCGTCACCCCAGGCATCAGTGGGATCTCACAGCAGGAACAATGCCTAACTCCTAACTGATGCCCAGTAAACATCGGGTGGATGCAATGTCCAACAAGACAGATATTCATGTTCAGTTTTACAGAAAAGGAGACAGAGGCCAGAAAAGGAAGAAAGTGCCCAGGTCAGCCGGCTAGTAAGAGGCAGAGTTGAAATTTGAACCGGGTTCTGGCTGGCTGCAGCTCCACTGCTCCACTACTGCACTGTCTGAGAGCCAAAAGGCACCTTGTAGTCAGGCAGGCAGGGAGCTGGCTTCTTGCTGTCCTGCTGGATCCTGCCCTAGTGTGGCCCTCCCTGGAACCAGGGGTGGGGCTGGAGGGCAGGGCACTGAGAGAGAGCTCCTGGGAACTGTACCATCTGCACAAAGGGCACCTGCTGGGCACTCTGCTGAAAGCTGTCTGCAAACACCACTTCCTGCCTGCCTCCCTGGGGGCTCTAAGCTCAGGAGGGGGTGAGGGCCCATGTCTGCACGTGGTGAGGCCCCTGCTGGGTATTGTACCACACCTTCATTGTGCTCAGGGTGGCCAGTGGAGGCCCTTCCCAGACTCGAGCTCTGGTCACAAGCCCAACCCCCTCCTTGCTCCTGTCTGGGCTCACCTGGAATCTCCTGCCTCACTCTGTGGCCAGAGGCACCTTTGGAAGCCCAGGTCACCCCTACTACTCATGCCCCTCATTTGGAAATTTTCATAATCTACCTCTTGTTAATGATTCCATCCCATCTATAATGCTTTTCTATTTTTCTGAATTTTTCCCCGATAGGCTATAACTGCTGCAAAGATAGAGAATTGCAATGATTAATATGCATTTATGTATTTCCAAAAAGTTACCAGAATATCAAACTCATGATTTTGTCTATAGTTTGGTTAGATTCAAGCTATTTTTATATCATAAAACAACTTAAAATTTTTTTATTTTTAATTTTTGTGGGTGCAGAGTGATGTATTTATGGGGTACCCGAGATGTTAGAATGAAGCTATTAAATGTGAGTGTGAACGTTCACCTTTTTGCAGATCACGGGAATTACAAGTGACATCCTGAAGTATGATCACAAATGTTTCAAATTAAGCCTTCCTGCTAAGTTTCCAGAGGTGTGTGGCTCGGACGAAGTGTTTCCAGACCCTGATCTACTGCATGTCCTGCCTGTTGCTGGTTCTTTGCAGCAGTCCATTGACCAATGCTGTCTACAGCTTGAGAGCCTCTGCAGGCCAGGGCTGCTCTGTGCACATCCTACGTTACTATTCAAACTGCACAGCAGCATGAAAAACAGGCCCTTCTTTTCTCTCATTTACACATATGTGAAGAAGACACAGCAAGTGAGAAAACGTGACCGAAAGCCACGCGGACAGGTGGCCGCAGGGCCAAACCCAACTTCCGTGATGTGATCTGGCTACAGTTTGGAGCCCACATATTTCAATAGTTATCCCCAGGCCTGGCACGTCAAAGAGGCTCCAGAAATGTTTGCTGAGTGAGTGATGAATCAGCAATTTCTGATTTTCTCCTAAACTTAGAGAATAAGTGGCTTGTCTGCAGTCACCCAGGGCGTCCCTGACAGAGGTACAAGTAAAGCCCAGATCTCTGCATCTCTGGTTCAAGGCCTTTTGTACTACACACCGCTGTCTCTTTGTCATCATTAAAAGCAAGGCTCAAGGGACATGTTTTCTAGCCTTAGTTCCCCATCTACAAAATGGGCCTCATGGAATGGAATGTCTCCACTTCACTCCAGCATCAACAAGTGGGGAATTCTGATGGATTCAATTCGACTTCTTTCCATGGGCGTGTTCTAAGCAGCCTCTTTGTTCCAGAAGCTGCCCTCAGCCAGAGTTGGATAAGCCAATCCTCACTCCCCAGCCTCCTCTGGATAGGGATGAAGACCCCACTGGGGTTGGAAGTGCAGAGGCAGACAGGTGTATGGAGTCACCTGTAAATTGATTCAAGTGAGCCAGGAAAGCAGCAAAGGAAAGAGAAACCTGAGTGACGACGTGGTGGAGGAACAGGGCTGGAAAGAGGCTGCTGGCTGTCTGGCTTCGCAGCTCTGGCCTCCTAATCAGCCTCGCTCTTGTCTCTGGTGTTCTCTGGCTCTTGTCCATCTGTCTGTGTTTCTTTTTGCCAGCTATTGACTAATCTTTGCTGAAGCTGAGCTAGAATTCTGGTGTTTATAAGCAGGTAACTAGCTGAGCACTAGTTGATAACTTTGGAGTTAGTGGATAACCACAGGGCTGGGCTACTAAGCTTTTTCAGTTGAAAAATAAATAAATAAATAAATAAACACCACACCCAGCTAATTTTTGTATTTTTAGTAGAGACAGGGTTTCACCGTGTTAGCCAGGATGGACTCCATCTCCTGACCTCGTGATCCGCCTACCTCGGCCTCCCAAAGTGCTGGGATTACAGGCGTGAGCCACCACGCCCGGTCACCTTTGTCCTGTTTTCTACAGGTTAGAAGCAAGGCACAAGTCATACCTACATTCAAGGAGAGGGGACCATGCAAAGGATAAACTGCAGGTGAAGAACTTGAGAGCTATTTTAGAAGCTGCCTTCCACACTTTACAATCTACTTTGCAGCTATACTGAGCTCTTAGCAACTCCCTGGGCCTGCTGAGCACCTCTTGCCTTTCTGCCTTTGCGTATGCTGTTCCCTCTGCCTGGAATTCCATGTCTTCTGCCTTTGCCCACCTCATCTTAAGGCCTCTGCTTAGATGCAATTTCTTTGGGCTCTTATTAGCAGCATCCAAATCTGTGCTGGTTTCTTCTCACGCTTACTCTGCATCATAATTTTTCTGTTTACTCGTTAATCCCCTCCCACTCCTGCCAGTACCTAAAGTAAAATCTACACGGGCTTGGCACATTGTGGATGCTCAATGAAGATTTGTTAAATGAGTGAATGATTAAATGAAATAAGCCCCAGCTTGGAACCCAGAGCTGTAATTTCCGGTTGTGGTCCCTGTCCCCTGCCCAGGGGCTGTCTAAGGGCTCATCTCTCCCAGGAGCCCCTGTATCATCTCAGTAACTAGACCAGTACCATATCCGACTTCCCCTGACTTTGAAATAATTTTCACCTGCAATCAGGTGCGCTTCCCTAGAACCTCTCTCGCTGTTCTTTGCCTTTCTCCTTCCCCCGCCTTGTATCTCCGTGGTCCTGCCAAAAATCAGAAGCTCATTATTAAACCAGAAGCTTCCTTGCATTATCCCAGAGACTACAGACAGAAAATATTTGCTTCTATCTCAACTGAGGACTGACATAGTAAAGACTCCTTGAGATGTTAGCTGTCAAGGAGGGGAATAAAAGTTTTTCATCTGCATGAGTAATTGTTTCCTGTTTTATCCAGAGAGACAACAGATTTACATCCCAGACACATTCACACTGGGCCAAGAGCAGCTGCCATTGCAGATTCGAGTCACGTCCTTTTTTCCTTCCTTCTCCTTCTTGGAGTTACAACAGAAGCTGGGGAGGTGAGAGTGCAGGTGAGAGAGGAGGGGGGCTCTGGAACATGTAGCCTGTGAGGAGGGAAATCAGGATGGTGCTTGGGTGGAGGTGGGAGCTGGGCCAGGGTCTTGGCTGGTCAGGAAGGCTGGTGAAGCATGTACTGGGGAGGCAGAGGTCCTGCTTTCTTTCCTCTCTTTCCTTCACACCTACCTCAACCCACTGTCGAGTCCTATCAGCTCTGAAATAGATCCTTCCTCCAGCGCCTTCTCACCTCTCTCTCCACCATTCCAGTCCATGCCGCCTCATCTCTTACTGGGACTTTCACAACAGCCTCCCGAGTGGTCTTGGCTTCTGCTCGCAAATCCTGCAGTGCCTTCTCTGCGGAGCCACAAGCTGGATCTTTTTAATCCGCTCTCGGTTTCTCACAGCCCTTGGAATGAAACCTTGGCCTACAGCCCTGTGTGACTTGCTGCCTGTCCTTACCTCCTAACCTCATCTAATATCCCCTTCCCCTCCTCGTACCGGCCTTTCTGTTTCTCAGACACTCCAGGCTTGTTCTGCTCTTGGACCTTCACGCTGTCTTTCTGTCTCCTGGGAATCTGTGCCCCCTCTGCCAGATCATGCAGCTGGCTCTCTCTGCCCAAATACCCTCTTCCGAGGGGTCTTCCTTGGCCCTGTGTCTGACATAGGTACCCTCCTCCATCACTCCAGCCCATTACAGTGCCATAACACTTTTATTGCCATCTAGAGTAACATCAGTTGGTTTTGTTTATCATCTGCCACCCTGCTAGAAAGGACGTGGATGAAGCAGAGAGGCACGTGCCTGTCTCATTCGCCTCTGGATCTGCTGCATCCAGGACTGTGCCAGCACAAAGTGGGAGCCCGATAAATATTTATTGAAGAAATGAAAGGTGACAAAAGGCAGAAGGAGGGAGACCCCAAAAAGAGGTAAATTTGGTATCTTAGCAAGTGGGTGACTACCACTGTCTGGGGGAAAGCTGATACACGAGGACTTGACAATAATTACAGCAGTAACAATCGCTACTATTTTGTTTTGAGATGAATTTTAGTTTCTGAAATTGTCCAAAGCACTTTTATCAATAGAAACTTGTTACACATCCCTCCAACAGGGAGAAGCAGCACAGGAAGCTGCCCCCTCAAACACTAAAGGCTCCTGGAGCTATTCACAGTGCTGGGGAACAACCAGAGGAGGAGGAGGACAGAGGGAGAGAATACTTTTTTTAAAAATCCCAAACAAAACCAAATTCTATACATGTATATCTCGAGTGAGTAAATGTGTAACACTCAGCAGTCTCCTACACTTGCCAGGTTTTGTGGCTTCATGCAGTAATATAAAATGTGCTTCACAAAGCTAGGAGTTGGCACAGAATATAGGGTTCTGATTCATATTTTAGTTTTACTTTTTTGTAGAGATGGGATCCCACTATATTGCACAGGCTGGTCTCAAACTCCTGAGCTCAAGCGATCCTCCTGCCTTGGCCTCCCACGGTGCTGAGACTACAGGTGTGAGCCACCACTCCCAGCCTGATTTATATTTTATAAAGAGGCAACGATGGAGTACACAGCTGAGCAATCTCTTGCATTTCTGGACCTTGAGCATCAGGAAGCTTAGGGAGGGTGAAAACTCAGAAGAAAGCTCAGAGTTGAGACCTTTGATTTTTTGCCCAGAGAGTCCAGCTAACACACTTTATAACCCAAAAGGCCTTACAAATATTTCAGAGCAGAGGCAGCATTTTTGCACTGGATAAACAAAGGTACGGTAATTTCTTCATAGTTTATTTTCATTACAAGTAATTCTTTTCCTGAAGAAAAATTTATATTTCAGATTTATTTCCCCTCTCAAAGGGGAGGGGAGTTATAATATTCTGTTTCCATAGCACCATTCCTCAAGATCAAACCCAGGCAGGCATTTTTACAGCACACACTTCCATATGTCATTGCTAATCCTCGCAACCTTGAGGAAACTGAGGTGCAAAGGGGTTGAGGAATGTGTTCACCATCCCAAAGCCAACGAAGTGCCAGAACCCAAATCCAAGCTTGGCTGTCTCATCCCCAAGGACGTACTCTTTATGCCGTTCCTTATGACTTTTCATGCAGCAGGTGCAAGGCAGCAAGAATTTGGCTCTTCTGACATTTATCAGGCACCTGGTATGTGCCAGGCCTACTGTAAACCCCAAGATGACATGGTCCATGTCTATCCATTCAGCATCAGAGAGACTGTTATCAGGACTTGAGGCCTGAGACACAGCCCTGAATCAGATGCAGGCCTCTGGTGTTTGCAAAGGATGCGTGAGTATGTGTATGTGTATGCGTGCATTGTGTGTAGGGGTGTGTGTATGTTGGGGGTTGGGGGCAGAAAATGCTCCCTGAACTGTTGGTATTAAGGCAGATCTTTGATGGAGGGACTGGGGTGTGGAGACTTGAACCCTAGTTTCAAAGTGGGGACCTCGAACACTAGTATGGCCAGCAGACAGGCTGGAGTTGCTGAATTGTCAGCTAGGTCTTTAATCCACTCCCCTTCTCTAAATCAGGGTGGAATTGGACTCAGGGCTGGTTCAGGGCTGAGGTTTCCGGGGGATGAATGATTCCAGACAGTGGGAAGGGGTGATGGATGATGAACCTGGCAAGTCACAGGACTATGGACTTGGCTGTATGTTGCATGTATGTGTAAGATCTGAGTTGAGACCTTTGATTTTTGCCCAGAAAGTCCAGCTAACATACTATATAAGCCAGTGAGACCAGCCAGTGTCTGTTCATTGCCTCTGCCTTGCCCCTATGCCTGCCCGCCTCCTATAGCAGGTCCCTATAGCATAATGAAAATGCGAACAACCTTTTCTCTGGACACTGGGGAATCTAGTCTGGTGGATAAAGATGGATGGCTGTTAAACGATCACATCTTGGGCTCTGTGTGTTCAGTGAAGCCTCATTTACCAGATCTCTCTGATGAGAAAGGTGAATGGTGGGGACAAAATACATGCTGTTATCAGAAGTCTGGCGGGGGCCCTGTGCAGTGGCAAGCACCTGTAGTCACAGCCACTTGGGAGGCAGAGGTGGGAAGATCGCTTGAGCCCAGGAGGTTGAGGCTGCATTGAGCTATGATGGCACCATTGTACTCCAGCCTGGTTGACAGAGTGAGACCCTGTCTAAAAAAGGAAAAGAAGTTTAGGGGGAAAGCTTTTAGGAGGTGGATGATGGTTAATTTTAATTCCACCTAACATTTTAAACTTTGGTATGTCAAAAGGTGAGAATTGCCAGTGTCGAGGCATGGAAACCAAAGGAAAACTAGAGGGTTGAGAAGGTGGGAAGGGCCGCAGTGTGGCAGGCGGCAGTTACTGGGATGGCTTCTACTAAAGGAACTCATCGTCCACCACCTTCAGGAAGGAGGCTCCTGGGGCCCTTTAAGAGAGCAGTTTCAGTGGAGGCTGCAGGCAGGTTGGCAGAAACAAGATTATGAGATGGTCTGTACCAGGTATCAGGCTTGAGGGTTAGTGCCTCTAGACTTCTCTGAGAAGTCTAGCTTTGAAGGGAAGGCTGGAGAGCTAGCACAATACTCAATAATAACAAGACCTAAGGCACTTACTGTGTGCCAGGCATGTTCTAAGAACTCAGCACACTTCAGCTCATTTAATCCTTACAACTATACAAAGTTTGTAGTCTTTTCATTATACCTTTTGACAGGTGAGTTACTTGCTGGAATTCACGTGGCTAGTAAATACTGGAGCTGAGATTTGAAAGCAGGCAATCTGGCTCCAGAATCTGTGTTTTCAACCCACATACTATATTGACCATCATGAAAAAATGGTGGTGAGCAGGCTTGTTTCTAAGGATGGGAGGGTCCTCATAATATTTGTATTTACAGAGAGGAGGGAGAGGTGGGTTACTTCCTCTCCCAACCCCAGAAAGCCAGGCATGTTGGCTGGCATCCCTGGGACCTCAGATATTCAAGCAACCATGGCCTTACAAATCAGGCATTCTATTTATTAGAGTTGTGCAGTGAGGTCCCCTCCATTTCATCCCCAGAATATCTCCTAGACAAGTTGGATCCTGCAGGGCCCGAGTATAAATAAGATGGTGCCCTCTGTTGTTATGGAGTAGCTTGGAGCTGGGCCCCAGATGCCCTGTGTGGATTAGATGAGTGATTAGTATTTGGCAATGTAGCTTGAGAGGCTTGCTGAGTTACTGGGGCATATGTCCCCAGCTCACGAGTACCAGCCTGACTTCTGTCAATCAATCAGTGAACAGGGTTTGCAGCGTCCACCAGGTACCTGTGGTGTAGTAGAAGAGAGTTTGAACTTTGGAATCAAACATGCTGAAGTTCAGATTCCAGCTCCTCCACTAACTATCTCTGTGATCTTGGCTAAGTGACCGTCACTTTTTTTTTTTTTTTTTTTTGAGACAAGGTCTCATTCTGTCTCCTAGGCTGGAGTGCAGTGGCATGATCATGGCTCACTGCAGCCTCAACCTCCCGAACTCAAGAGATCATCCCACTTCAGCCTCCTGAGTAGCTGGGACCATGGGGCGCCTGCCATGGCATCAAGCTAATTTTTTATCTTTTGTAAAGATGGGATTTCGCCAAGTTGCCTAGGCCAATCTCAAACTCCTGGGCTCAAGCGATCCACCCACCTCAGCCTCCCAAAGTGCTGGGATTACAGGTGTGAGCCACCGTGCCCATCCTGATGGTTGCTTTCAGAGCCTTGATTCTTCATCTCTAAAACAAAGATAGGAATACTGCCTAGTTTCCATGAGGAGCTTGTAACACATGCGGGCCTCTCTCCCCTCACCCCAGTCTTTGGTTAGACACTTACTATTTGCAAAGACCCAATTTCTTCATCATAAGAAGGCTGCCACCACACTTGAGGGAGTGACCCATTTACAAACAATTGCTTCCTTCTGGGTCATTCTGATGGATTAAATGAAGAACCATTTAAAACCACAGCCCAAAGGGCCAGAGGGAGAGGCAGCAGAGGGAAGATGCAGGTGGATCTTCATGCACTGCATGAGGAAGCTTTGTACCATGGTCAGGAAAAGCTCCAGGCACACAAGGGCAGCCTCCATGGCCAATCAGAGTGCACCTCTCACCTCGGCAACTCTGCTAACCTAAATAGACCAGTCACACAGCAGAGCTGCAAAAGAAGACATGATAATTACAGAGACCCCAGGGGACCGTCTGTGCGGACTGATGCTTTGTTTCTCCTGACCCCTCAGACCTCTCTATTTCACTGCAAACTCTCAATACCCAGGGCCTTTGTTTTGCTGTGAACACTTTCATTCCTGAGTACATTTTCTATGAGGAGTTGGCGGAAGAGAGTCAGAATGAATTATATTTTCAGCACACCTCTGGGTTCATGTTGAACTCGGCTAGAACTGTTTTGACCCAGGAAACAATTTGACTAAAGGATATTTCAATCCAACAAATACTCTCTGGGCCCTTCCAATGTTTCTGGCACTGGTTTGATGCTGAGGACATAGAGATGAATAAGAAATGGTCTCTGTCCCCCAGCTGATAAATTATCATTGATGATCTACCGTGTGCCAGGGACTTTACAAATGTGATTACCATTTCTTACAACATAGTAAGGTAGATAGCATTTTTGTGTTACTGGTGAGGAGTAGGAAGTTCAAAAAGTTTATAAGGTCAAAGTCACACAACTAGTCAGATGTAGAACTAACCTTTGGATTTGGGACTGTTCACCATCAAATCCTATATGCTTTTGATACAGACAGGAGACCCAGAAATACTGGGTAGAAGAGGGTGGTTCCCTGGCAAAGGCCCTACCCTCAAACCTGGAAACCTGCAGCCCTAAATGGGAAGAGGCATTCCTGTTTTCATGCCCAAAAGTTGCCTTTTGGCCCGTCATGTCCCCTATCCTATACCTGTATAAACCCCAGACCCCAGGCTCCAGAAGCAGATGAGGAGACAAACAGAAGAGCAGAAGAATGGCAGAATGGCACAGCAGAGAGAAGAAAAGGAACATCTGAATGTTGAGAGGAATTTGGCTGGGGGCGGTTGGAGAGGAGATTAGCCACTGGACAGCCAAACTCCAGGGGAAGATCATCTTCCCACTCCATCCCCCTTCCAGCTCCCCATCCATCCTGCTGAGAGCCACCTCCACCACTCAGTGAAACCGCTGCATTCATCCTTCAAGTTTATGTGTGACCTGATTCTTCCTGGACATTGGACAAAGACCTAGGTCCAGTGAACTGTCTAACACTTAAGTCATCCACGGACAGCAAGGCTAACAGAACGCTGTAACATGTGCCCACTTGGACTCTGGGAGTTGCAGACACCCACCCATAGGTGCTGCCATGGGTCCGGAGCCCAAAAAGTGCTTGCCCTGGCTCCTGCACCTGCCCGTCTGCATGCTCCCCCTCCGGTAAGGGGTTTGAGGATGTGGCGGCTGAACATAAGAGCTATGCCCCTGTCACACATCATGGGACAGGGGTCAGGGAACTCTCCCATTTCACTTTCAAATATTCCAGGTCCCCTTTTTGTTCGGGAGCCAGAGTCTAATGGAGACAGAGATAGAAACCCTGAAATAGGATCCAGGCAATATAAACCTACACGCTGTAAGCCAAGTCAGAGTGAGGCTGATGTGATAACAAAAGTCTGAATACAAGGTGGGAGACAATTATTCTGACTGAAAGGGAGGCAAGAGTTCTGCCATAGGCTTGATGCTGTGTGCCCCTGGCTTCCTAACTCATTTGCAAATGGAAAATACTATTCCATTGTAGGAACCTTCTTTTTCCATGTGTCTGGGGAAGGAGAAAGAATGGCTGGGCTGAATGAATTTATCCCTTGGTCCTCTTCCAACAAAGCTCAGCTATGAAAGATAAATCCAGCTCTCCCCACCCCCTCTCAGTGGAGCTGGGGAGAAATCAAAAGCCCCTCTGCCAATAATGAGACCAAAGTTTGCAAGGGCAGGACGAGCCCGTGCTAACAGAGAAAGTGTTGTTTCCTCAATTTGGTTTTAGACTGTCTTGTCCTATGGGGGAGAAAAGATCTGCCCTTGGGAGAGGTGCCAACTTTATAGATCTATTAATAAAAGAACTGGCAGGCTTACAGTTCTTGCCAATGAGGAAACTTGAATGAGAGAAGCCAGGCTCAACCTTGGCCAACAGACTGGAGCCCATCACCCTAACTTCACCCCGCTTCTCCTTACCCAACCGTCAAAGGCTAGGCAGCACCCACCCAGCAGCTTCCACCTGGCTGAAGCCTGCACCTGCTTCAGACCAAGGGTTAGATGGAAATTTGGCATGGGAAGAGAGGGCTCACCTGTGGGCAGGATAGACTCTATCCAAGAAGGAGAACTGAAAAATGAAAACCTATGAGACAAGGGGTGATCCTGAAGGCAGGCAGGAGAAAGGGCTGGAGGGAGAGGCACTGGGGAATTTTTCCTGGTGAATACTGAAGTTACTAGATGTTTTGTCTTGCAAAACTCAAGGGAAAACTCTCAAACTCTAATGTTTGTCTATTCTGTGTCCAAACTGTCCTTTTGAAACGGACCCACCTTTCAGTAAAGAAACTTGCATTGGCCTGCCCAGCCTGGTGTGTTAGTTCTGTGGAAACTGACTGGCTAGGGTGGCCACGGGAGGAAGAGCCTGGTTCTCCCTCACCAGCTCCTTGTGAAGAAGGGACCTGGTCAATAAGGCAAACGACACCACTTGCCAACATTTGATATTGCCAAGTGCTTTTGTTTGGCACTACTATAGATTTTAAAAATGTATCTCACTTTTAAAATTTGCATTTTCTTGATTACTTGTGAGATTGAACATCTTCTCATACAGCAACTGGCCGTTTTCATCTCCTTTTCTGTGAATTCTAGCTGTTCCCTATTTTTCCAATGGGTTATTCGCTTTACTTACTGATCTGTAAGAGTTCATTACATATACTGGAAACTAATACTTTGCTATATATTGTTACTATCTTCTCTTACTCTGGTCACTTTTAAAACTTCATGTATTGTCATAAGAAGTCATACTTTTCGGTGGCTCATACCTGTAATCCCAGCACTTTGGGAGGCTGAGGCAGGCAGATTACCTGAGGTCGGGAGTTCGAGACCAACCTGACCAACACGGAGAAACCCTGTCTCTACTAAAAATACAAAATTAGCTGGTGTGGTGGCACGTGCCTGTATTCCCAGCTACTCAGGAGGCTGAGACAGGAGAATTGCTTGAACCCGGGAAGCGGAGGTTATGGTGAACCGAGATGGTGTCATTGCACTCCAGCCTGGGCAACAAGAACAAAACTCCATCTCAAAAAAAAAAAAAAAAAAAAAAAAAGTCATACTTTTGCTTTGTTTGTCATCTTTAAGAAGATCATCCCTATCGAAGGTCATAAACATATTCTTAATATTTTCACGTGTTTATTTTCCAAGGTTAGGTCTTAGAAAATTACAAAATAACCATTTGTAATTTCATGTTGTGAAAGGTGGAGGAAAGGAATTTCATCTTCTTGCCCCCAAACCTAAAACCCTTACTTGCATCTGAGCCGATTCTCCTTGTTCCTTTCAGTTACACTGGAAGAAGAGCCCCTCCTTCCTTCAAGCCAAGTCATCCCCTTGGGCTCTCACCACTTCAGTTTATACCTTGCCTGTAGTCCAGTCTCTCCAGCATCAATTCCATCAGCACAAAGACATAATTTAATTCCTTCTACCTTAAAAAAAAAAAAAAAAAAAAAACAGCTCTCCCTCTCTTAGGGTGAGATGAAGTGGTTGGCAACAGGCCAATGCTACTTTCAGAGGCGTTTGAATCAGAGTGACTCCATTTTGAATAGGGGTTGAGTAAAATAAGGCTGAGACCTACTGGGCTGCATTCCCATGAGCTTAGGCATTCTAAGTCACAGGATGAGACAGGAGGTCAGCACAAGATACACGTCACAAAGACCTTGCTGATAAAACAGATTGTGATAAGAAAAGCCAGTCAAAACCCACCAAAACCAAGATGGCGACAAAAGTGATCTCTGGTTGTCCTCACTGCTGATTATTCACTAATTATAAAATTAACATGATAAAAGACACTCCCACCAGCACCGTGACAGTTTACAAATGACATGGACACATCAGGAAGTTACCCTATATGTCTAAAAGGGGAGGAGCCCTCCATTCCAATTGTCCACCCCTTTCCTGGAAAACTCATGAATAATCCACCCCTTGTTTAGCATATAATCAAGAAATAACCATGAAAATAGCCAACCAGCAGCCCTCAGGGCTGCTTTGCCTATGGAGTAGCCATTCTATATTCCTTTACTTTCTTAATAAACTTGCTTTCACTTTAGCCTATGGACTTGCCCCAAATTCTTGCATGAGGTCCAAGAACCTTCTCTTGAGGTCTGGATTGGGACCCCTTTCTGGTAACACTACAGCCACGCTATGGAAAATCTAAATAAAAATAAAGATTGTATTTTCCAAACCATCGGGGAGCTATGGAAGCAACAAGGGCCAGAGGAAGTAAAATTCTGGAGAAGGGAGGACAGCTCAGAGGTGAGCATCTGCAGATGCCTTTCCCTTCCTGTCATTTGATAATCCTGGGCAAAGACTGAAATTGGTGCTGAGTCCAGTCGGGGGATGCTGTGGAGTCATCAAATTAGAGGCTTGGGGGGGCCTCAAACATCCAGCCAGCTTCCTCCTTCAGAGGTGCTGAACTGTGAAGCTGTGTGATGTGAGAGGCTGACAGGCTAAGCTGAAGACCTCAGGAAAGTAGAGTGGAATTTCCCGTGGTCTTTTTTTTTTTTTTTGAGGCAGTGTCTCTTTCTGTCACCCAGGCAGGAATGCAGTGGCAAAATCACAGCTCACTGCAGCCTGGACCTCTCAGGCTCAAGTGATCCTCCCACCTCAGCCCCGGAGTAGCTGGGACCACAGGCACGTGCCACCACTCCCGGGTACTTTTTGTATTTTTTGTAGAGTGGGGTCTCACCGTGTTGCCCAGGCTCCCTGTGGTCTCCTGAGAAGACAAAGGCTCACCAGGGGGTGGAGTTCCTGAGAACAGCTTGGCAGGAGCTGAAAACGCTGGAGAGCAGGTGAACTGACCCCTGCTGTCAGGCATCTGCAGCTGCTTTTTCCTGAGAACATTAGCTGTGAGTTTTGTGCAGCTGGACAAATGTGGAGACTTGAGGGAATCTCAAATGCGTGGCCAGTACCCTCTCTCCACAGGCTTTTTACAATTTGAAGCAGTTCAGGGCAGGATGCTGAAGAGCAAAGCCAAAACCCCCAAAAGGAAAATAATTTCCTGCAGTCTCTTAGTGTCATGAACAAATGTGAACCTGAAAGAGCCAATCTTTCAAGAAAGATCCCTAGGCCGGGCGCGGTGGCTCACGCCTGTAATCCCAGCACTTTGGGAGGCCGAGGCGGGCGGATCACGAGGTCAGGAGATCAAGACCATCCTGGCTAACACGGTGAAACCCCGTCTCTACTAAAAATACAAAAAAATTAGCCGGGCGTGATGGTGGGCGCCTGTAGTCCCAGCTACTCGGGAGGCTGAGGCAGGAGAATGGCGTGAACCCGGGAGGCGGAACTTGCGGTGAGCCGAGATTGCGCCACTGCACTCCAGCCTGGGCGACAGAGCCAGACGCCATCTCAAAAGGAAAAAAAAAAAAAAAAAAGACAGAAAGATCCCCAGTGGCTAACGAGGCCTAAATGTGAAATAGTAAAATACAGCCAAGCAGCCATCTGCTAACTAGAAATCACATAGGTACTCCTGAGTTCCCAGAAATCCAACACCTCTGTTTGACTTGGTGACTTTCAGAGCACGCCTAAACCAACCAATCAGAGCCCACCTGCCTTGACCAATCAAGGCTCAGCTGTATCAACTAATTGGAACTACCTGAGTCTGAATCTCTCATTTGCATAAATGGACCTGATTGGGAACCTGGGTGGAAACTTTTGCTACAGAACCCCAACCCTCCCTTTGTGCTCTGGAACACATCTTGTTTTACACTGAAGGCTGCATCTCCCTGGTTTGCAAACTATTCACTGGAATATAAAGTCTCTTTCCTCCAGTTTCCTTTCCAGAGAATTTTGTTCACAGTGCTGAGACAAAGACCTACCAGACTCTTGATTGAGGGTCATACTCTAAGAGCAGGGCAAACTAGAGATAGATAGGCAATTTTTTTTTTTTTAATATAGGGTCTCACTCTGTCACCCAGGCTGGAGTGCAGTGGCTCAATCTTGACTCACTGCAGCCTTGACCTCCTGGGTTCAAGTGATCCTCCCACCTCAGCCTCAGCTGGAGCTACAGGCATGCACCACTGTACCCAGCTCTTTTTATATTTTTTTGTAGAGATGGGGGTCTCACTGTGTTGCCCAGGCTGGTCTCAAACTCCTGAGCTCAAGCGATCCACCCACCTTGGCTTCCCAAAGTGTGGGGATTACAAAGTGAGCCACTGTGCCTGGCTGGATAGACTGATTCTTATCCAAACTGCATCTTAACCTTGACTCAGTTTAGTCCCTATTGGGATTAAACTGTTTAATACTTCACTCTATCTGCCTAGCAGAGAATAGGGTTAACTCTACTTGGGGGGAAAACGCTAGAGTCTTTCCAGTGCTTTTATACAAAATATTTGGCATTCCTTTAAATATTACTCAAGAGAAAAGACCATTTAACTAAAAACCAAGAGAAAAAGTAGACAATAGAAGGAGGCCCACCAGTAAACCAGAGTTATTAGACAAGAACTTTAAAGTAACCATGATTATGTCCAAAGAAATAGAATGATGGACAAAATGATTAAGAGTGTAGAGATTATCAGATAAAGTTTTAATCTTTAAAAAAAGCATCAAATGGGCATCCTGGAACTAATAAATATAATATTTGCAGCAAAGAAATGAATTGTTTGAGAGCAGATTGGTTATAGCAGATGTCAGCATTAGTGAACTGGAAGATAAACTAATAGAAAACATCAACATTGAAGCTCAGAGAGGAAAAAAAAGGAAACAAAACAAGAACAGAGCATAGAGAGCACGGTACACTTGTTTAAAGGGTCTGACAATGTGTAATTGGAGTCACTGAAAGAGAGGGAAAGGGAGGAAAAGAAAGGATGAGACGGGAATAGTTGAAGATACAATGGCTAAGACATTTCCTCAAATAGTGGATAAACTATTAGAGTTAAGTCAATTTATCTAGGTCTTAGATATAGTGTCAATGCACACAAACCAGTTGCATTTTTTTATAACAGCAACAAACATAATACATAATTTGAAATGACATTTAAAATAGCATCAATCAAATACTTAAGAGTTAATTTAATGAAATCAGAGAGAACAGTTAAAGACAACCCAAAATATGGAAGGATACACTATGCAATTGCTTCGGATCGTAAGTCTTAATATGTTGGAGATGTTAATTCTCTTCAAATATACCTATAGATTCAACACAATCCCAATCAATCTTAGCAGGCTTTTGGAGGTGGGGAGGATTAACAAGCTGATTTTAAAATGCATATGGATATGTAAAGGGAAGAGAATAGCTATATTAGGGTTCTCCAGAGAAACAGAATCTTACAATAAGATATAAAGACCTATTTTAAAGCTATAGTAATTAGCAATGTGGTATCAACACAAGGAGAGACAAACAGACTAATGGAATAGAAAAGTGTCCAGAAACAGACTCATACATAAATGTTCCCAGATTTATGACAGAAGTGATAATACCGTACAGTAGACAAAGCATAGTCTTTTAAATAATTGGCATTAATTGGATATCAACATGGAAAAATTAATCTAAATAAAATCTTTAGAAGAAAATAGTGTACATAAGCAAAACTTTCCTAAACCCTCATTCTTCAGTTCCGTGGTTGGGTTGACTTTCTTTTACCACTTTGCAAGTTTGCTCTGCTCACTGTCTGAAATAAGCAGAGCTGGAACTTGGATGTTCTTGTTTTTGTTATTATCTGCACAATCCCCATCCAGTCTTTTCTCTAGTAGTCATGATCTACTTGATACTAAGCCACTCTTTGGTTTTATCATTAGTTCTAACATTAAGTGCATACTTATGTCACTCCTTGTCTCAAACACTCATTGCTCATCATTCAAAACCAGCTGCTGGGACTGGCGTGTTTGATGCTTACAATGGAGCATCAATACCACCCCTGCCCCCACCACCACCACATTCTTATTCTTTATCATATGAGCTTGGATAATCCTCATTATTCCTGATCTCCAGACACACCCTGAATTACCTCTCCTCCAGGTCTACTCATGCTGCTTACTCGGTGGGACAACTTTGCCAGTTCCATCTAAACCATGCCCTGTCTAGGCTGTCTGCCTTTGGCATCTTGTCTGCCCTGCCATTTTGGCCCAGTACCTAGGAGGAGCTGAACAGAAATGTGCAGAGGTATCAGTGACTCTTACCCAGCCTTCCAAGCCCTGCACAGCGCCTCCTTGTTTGTGGTCTGGAATCCTTCCGGCAAGTGGGTGTCCAGCCTCAACGTCCCCAGGGCTTGGGGCTTGTGAAGGGCTCCCTCTGCTGGAGGAGGAGAGCATTGGGCCCAGGCATGAGTGCACCATCAGTACCAGGCAATCCTGGGAGCAATTCTGGAGAGATCAAAGTGGTTCTCAAAGACATTGGTGACACCTACCCCGGAGAGTGAATCCTTCAGGTCACAGGTACCAGAGATGGACAACTTGGCCAGAAGACATAGCCTTATCTCACTTATCTCAGACATGACATGGACAAAGACCAGCTGAAGGACCAGGAACCAAACTGTTGTCACCTGCAGCTCCGTGGCTTTTTTCATACCAGGTCCAAGGGTTGAGGGATGGGAGACCTGGCCAAAGAGGGTGATCGGTGAAGCAATCTATTTTCCACCTTGAGGCTAACTGGTAGTTATTTCTTTCTGCCTATGGAGACCTCTGCTTACCTTCTGACCACCCACTCATGGCAAGGTGTTCTCAGTCTCCATCTTCAGACCCCACCACCATTTCTACAGTAGCCACTGTGGATCTCCCTACTCCAGGTTCTGCCTCTTCCATGTAATGAGCCAAACTTGGCCAAGGCAGTCAACAAGCAGCATGCATGTTAGAGCCAGGAACAGCTGGGTCCATATCCTTCCTCTGCTACCCACTTCATTCAGGTTGCTAAGCCACTCAAGCCTCTGATACTTCATCTATGAAATGGGGGTGACGGTCTCTAGTTTATGGAGTTGTTGGGAGGTGTTAGTGAGATACCCTATGAAAAATGCCTGACATGGCATAGGGGCTCCCCACATATTAGGCAACCTTTACCTCCAACCCCACTGACAGCCACACACCTGCCCATCAGGGAGTGAGGTTGAGAATATCAAAATATATATTTGCAACAGAAAATGATAGAGATAAATAGCAATTGCATTGGGGTTACAAGGGTAGGAATGATGGATTCTGCCTGGGAGAGGGAACTAGTCTGAGAACATAACTATTGACCAGGGTATTTCAAGTATTCACTATGTGTCAGGCTTTAACACTATACACACAGCCTCATCTGATCCTCAGAGGAGTCCCATAGGGTAGGTACCTACAGCAAACAGGCTTCAGGGGGGCCCAGGAGACCAGGGGTCCCCATGATCCCTGCCTCCTGGTATTCATAACCTTGAGTAAGGATAGGACCTACCCCTGACCAATGGAATATGGCAAAGGTGACACACGTACGTGATTCCATGTATGGATCACATTATATGAGACTGTGATGTCCCTTGTCTTCCTGGCCCACTCCATTCCCACCCCAAGTGTTGGTTCCTTGGAAAAACACTGGGGATGGAGGTGGAATTGCTGTGAAAACAAGACTCAGTCCTCCACAGAAGCTGCCCAGGGAGTTCTTCAAAAGTGGTTATCCTACCTGCCATTTACACTGGATCAGGACTGTCCAGAAATCATTTTCACATCTCCCCAGCAGAATGGCATCATCTCAATACTAATCTTCACTTGAACTAGAAGAATCATGCTTGTGGTTTTCAAAAGGAAAAGGTTCCTATTCATGGTGCATTTAGAAGCAGCCCAGGGTGCTTATAGAACGGACCTGCTTCTTGCTATGTTCTTGAGCTTCTGAGGCCTCTTGACAAAGTCGAGCAAGTAAGACGACCAGGCCAAGTGGGCACTCTGGGCCCCATGGCCAAGGATGGGCTGGCCAGGTGGCCACGTGGCCTCCGGTGGCCTTGTTTCTGTGGGCTTTATCTGATCCTGAGCTCAGATGCTGATAGTGCACTGGCTTATTTTCTAAGGAGAGGGAGCTTGATTTGTGCAGGATGCGCCTTCACCAGATACCTCCAGGGGCAAGAGTCCACTGAGGTTACAGCGCCCCCCGCCCCCCATGCCTCTAAGCTCTAAGCTCAGAGAAGGGTCCCTGACACAGAGTCCTGTTAAAGGAATGGCCACAGGGATAGGAGAGACCAGGGTCGTGCATGCCAGCTCAGGATCTGGGGCAGGATGGTTGGCAGGGGGTCGTGGGGAGCAAAGGAGGGGAATCACCTGACAGAAAATTGGGCAGGGGTGCTCAGGGAGGAGGCTGCGGAGGGACTGGGACCAGTGGAAGGGAGGTGGAATAGGTCTTAGGAGCCAAATTCCTTGCAGAGGCCTGGGGTGAAGCCTGGGCAGCTCTATCCCCGGGAGCCGCCCTTTTGCCTCCAGCAGCTGCCGGTCCAGCCACAGCCCCTCCAGGAGACCCAGGCCGGGTTCCTAACTCCGCTGCTCTTTGGCCTCGTCCCTGCCTAGCCCCTGCTGCAGGTTGCTTTTTTCCCCCCTCCTCCTCCTCCCTCCTCCCTCCTCCCTCCTCCCCCTTCCTCCTCCTCCCCCTCCTCCCCCGACTGGCCCCGCCCCCACTGCCGGCCCCGCCCCCACTGCCGGCCCGGGCCCCACCCACGCCGGAGCTGCTCCATTTAAGGAGATTGCGCAGCTGGAAAGCTACACGTGTGAGCCTAGAGGCGGGTCCCGGTTGCAGACTTGCCATGGCCTCCGAAGCTTCTGTGCGTCTAGGGGTGCCCCCTGGCCGTCTGTGGATCCAGAGGCCTGGCATCTACGAAGATGAGGAGGGGAGAACCTGGGTGACTGTGGTCGTGCGGTTCAATCCCTCGCGTAGGGAATGGGCCAGGGCCTCCCAGGGCAGCAGAGTGAGTCCTGGGCACGAGGGGAGGCTGTGGGGAGGGCTGCGCACTGACCCCTGCCCGTGTGGGACCGCGGTGGGGGTCAGAGGGGGCCGTTCTCACCCGCACTGGAAAACTCACTTCTGTGCAGGTCTAGGAGCGCAGCAATGTCCATGCCCAGCCCTGGCCCCAGGAACACCCCCCGTAAAGGGACCACAGGCACAAGCTTATCCACATGAGATAATGTGGTCCTGCGTGGTGAAGCCGAGGCTAAGGTAGCTCAGGGCTTAGTGCCATTCCCAGTGCCTGCTGGGAAGGCCCACAAATGGGGCAGCTATTGAGCTGGGCTTTGTGGGATGAGTAGGAGTTCTCCAGGTCTAGAAAGGAGGCAGGAGTAGTATAAGCAAAAGCATTGCAGCCTGGAGGCACCAGGTGGGCCAACAGGATGAACATGACATTGGTGTCAGATTACTGATCTGCAAAATGAGAATAATATACCTCTGTGGCAAGCTAGTCACAGACATGCTCACATACATGGCTCACCGCCTGAATGGCCTGGGGAAGCATTTGACTGATAACAGATTCTGGAAATTAATTCAGGAGGCTTGGGTGGAGTCCTAGATTCTTTACTTTTCAAAAGCTCCCCAGGTGATAATGATAATGACTCAGGAAACGGCTGTAGATGAGGGCTTTAGATCACAGCCAGTCTTTGAGGGATGAAGTAAATACAGTAGCGTTTCTGGTGTGGGTGGCGGTGGGGAATTGATTCCAGGACCGACTGTGGATGCTCAAGTCCCTGATAGAAAATGACCTGGGTAGTAATTACATATAACCTCAGCGCATCCTCTACTATATTTGAAATCAGATTACTAATAACACCTAATGCTACACCTACACATCACTTCAAGCTCTGCTTTTGGGAACTTTGTGGAATTTCTTTTTTTCCCAAAATATTTTTAATCTGAGGTTAGTCGAATTCATGGGTGCAGTATCCATGGAAATGGGGGGCTGGCTGTACCTTAGTGTAATGTGGTAAAAGCATATCCGGATATTTAAAATGCCATTTAGGGCTGGGCGCGGTGGCTCACGCCTGTAATCCCAGCACTTTGGGAGGCCGAGATGGGCTTATCACGAGATCAGGAGATCGAGACCATCCTAGCCAACATGGGGAAACCCCGTCTCTACTAAAAATACAAAAAATTAGCCGGGCGTGGTGGTGGACGCCTGTAGTCCCAGCTACTCGGGAGGCTGAGGCAGGAGAATGGCGTGAACCCGGGAGGCGAAGCTTGTAGTGAGCCGAGATCGCACCACTGCACTCCAGCCTGGGTGACAGAGTGAGACTCCGTCCCAAAAAAAAAAAAAAAAAATGCCGTTTAGGTCTTCGTAAACAATTCACTGCCTGTTTGTTTGTTTTTTGAGAAAGTCTTGCTCTGTTGCGGCTGGAGTGCACTGGTGTGATGTTGGCTCACTGCAACCTCCACCTCCCAGGCTCAAGTGATTCTCATGCCTCAGCCTCCCGAGTAGCTTGGATTACAGGCGATTTTTTTTTACAGTTAATTTTTTTTGTTATTTTCAGGAGAGACAAAGTTTAATCATGTGGGCCAGGCTGGTTTTGAACTCCTGACCTCAAGTGATCTGCCCACCTTGGCCTCCCAAAGTGCTGGGATTACAGGTGAGCCACCTCGCCCAGCCAGTTCACTGACACTTTAAACAATATAACACATTTCCTAAAAAAAGTTCAAATAGGTTATTTCAAAAAATGTTGGTAGAGAACATGGAAAGGCTTTTCTGTACATACACTAAATAAAGCATGCAAAAATTGTGGAGCAAATATTTTAAGTTTTTCAAAAGCCTGAAAAAGTGTTAATGGAGGGCACTGTAAAATGGTGCAGCCACTATGGAAAACAGGATGAGGATTTCTCAAAGAAAGAATTACGGCATAATCCAGCAATGCCGCTTCTGGATATATACCCACAAGACTCTGAAGCCGGAACTTAAGCATGTATTCATACATCCATGTTCACAGCAGTATCATTCATACTAGCCAAAAGGTGGTGGCAGCCCCAGTGTCCATTGATAGATGAATGGGTAAACAACACAAACCATGAAGTATTCACCCTTAAAAGTCAGACACACGGATGAAACTTGGAGCCATTATACTAAATGAAATATGCCAGTCACGGAAGGACAGATTCTCTTGTATGAGGTACTCAGAGTGGTCTCATTCATAAAGTGGAATGGTAGCTGCCAGGGGCTGGAGGGAGTCGAGGATGGGAAGTTAATGTTAGTAACAGGTACGGAGTCTCAGTTTGGGAAGATAAAAAGTTCTGGAGGTGGATAGTGCCGACGGTTCCACATGTCAATGCACTTAATGCCACCAAACTGTACTCTTAAAAACAGTTGGCCGGGTGCGGTGGCTCACGCCTGTAATCCCAGCACTTTGGGGGGCCGAGGCGGGCGGATCACAAGGTCAGGAGATCGAGACCATCCTGGCTAACACGGTGAAACCCCGTCTCTACTAAAAATACAAAAAAATTAGCCGGGTGCGGTGGCAGGCGTCTGTAGTCCCAGCTACTCGGGGGGCTGAGGCAGGAGAATGGCTTGAACCTGGGAGGCAGAGCTTGCAGTGAGCTGAGATCCAGCCACTGCACTCCAGCCTGGGCGACAGAGCAAGACTCCGTCTCAAACAAAACAAAGCAAAACAAAAAAAACAGTTAAGATTTTTTTTTTTTTTAAATGATTCAGTGGAAATAGAATGGATTCTTCAAATAACTTAGCCACGGGTGGGATAAGGGACCTACTTAGTAAGTATTTTTTCCCCTTCTTTCTTAAAAATAGATCGATGTCTTAGGGTGGGAATTAGGCTTCCTGGGCGACACATCTAATGCAAAGATCAGCCACCTTTTTCTGTAAAGGATCTGATGGTAAACATTTTCCACTTGGAGAGCTATGCTCTTGCAGCTACTCAGCTCTGCTATTGCAGTGCAAAAGCAGCTAAAGGCAACGGTAAAGGAATGAGGGAAGGAGCCTTAGTTTATTTACAATAAAGCTTTATTTGCAAAAGCAGATGCAAGCCAGACTTAGTTTGCTGATCTCTGATCTACAGTCAGAATACACAGAGAAGGAGAGATTTTGCCGTATAATTTAAAATACTTCTCTTTGCAAAAGCAGTCCATAAAAAAAGTGAGGACGACAAACTGAGAAAAATTATTCACAACATGTCTGATTGATAGAGCACTAATATTCTTAATTCAAAAAGACATTTTATCACAAAAGAAGACAAATACTTAGAAAATTGTGCAAAAGACTTTCCATTTTGTTGCATAACGTAGGAAGCTTTGGTTTTACTTTTCCTATCATCTTTCTAACTTCCAGTACCAGCCTAATTTTGTTATTTTTATTATTATGTATTTATTTTGAGACAGAGTCTTGCTCTGTCTCCCAGGCTGGAGTGCAGTGACCTGACGATAGCTTACAACAGCCTCTACCTCCCAGGTTCAAGAAATCTTCTCACCTTAGCTTCCCGAGTAGCTGGGACTGTAGGCACATGCCACCATGGCCAGCTAATTTTTTATTTTTTGTAGAGACAGAGTCTCATTATGTTGCCGAGGCTGGTCTTGAACTCGTGGCTTCAAGCAGTCCTCCTGCCTTGGCCTCCCAAAGTGTTGGGATTACAGGCATAAGCCACTGCTCCCAGCCTTATTTCGTATATTTACTATAAGTGTGTGAAGGTCATGATCAGAACTGCCATATATTTTGGCGGGAAAATCTATCACCCTCAGATCCAGAGTCCATGGATATCTTGTTTTTAAAACGAAGATTTAAAAAATTACGGCAATGGCAGAGATGGAGCCCCAAGAGAATACTCAGCTTTAACCCAAGGTGTTGACAGGTTGGAAACAGTGGCTAAATTTGGGGATTGCAGTGGGGCGAGGCAGGGTGCAGGTCAGAGGGGGCCAGAAGGGCCCCAGCCATCCTAGATGGAGCCACAAGTACCAGTGCCAAGGCTCTTGGTCTGGAATTCTGAAAACATTTACCTCTGACCCTGGCAGCCCACTGGCCATTGCTTGTGTGCAGCCCAGTTGGCAGGGAACCCTATCCATGATTTGCCGCCTCTTTTCTGGTCCCTTCAGTATGAACCCAGCATCACAGTGCACTTGTGGCAGATGGCAGTGCATACCCGGGAGCTACTCTCCTCCGGCCAGATGCCCTTCTCCCAGCTGCCCGCCGTGTGGCAGCTCTACCCCGGGAGGAAGTACCGAGCAGCGGATTCCAGTTTCTGGGAAATAGCAGACCATGGCCAGGCAAGTGTGTGGTGGTTCTAGGTGAAAGCGACAGGTGGCCCCTGGTGACTGCCGTGGCCCTCTCTCTTCTGTGCCCCTGGCCCCCTTGGGGTTCTTGTCTGTCCTCTTCCTGTTGCTCAAGTCTTCCTTCAAGGAGGCCTGAGTGTGTGTGGGTGGATCGGTGCATGAGTTCCCATGTGGGATGCAGGCAGAGTGGGTGAGGGAGGGAGGGTTGCCTTCCCTGGGCTAGGGAAATCCACAAGCTGGAGTTCCCACCTGCCTCACCCCTGCCTGCTGCTGCTGCCAGCCTGCATGGGCGGCCGTTAAGGCCAACTGGAAGAGCATCTCCCAGAGGTTCTGATGGCTGCTCCCTCTCCTGCAGATTGACTCTATGGAGCAGCTGGTCCTAACATATCAGCCGGAGAGGAAAGACTGACACTGGGAGTGGCTGGTATGTTGGGGCCCTGTGCGTCTCAGTGTAGGGATCAGACGAAAGTGAGAAGACCTCTCCTCTTTTCAGAAAGACGGCGTGGCCTCCTCCTCCCTGCTGTTTGCTGAGATTTTTCTTACATAGCCACCTGTCACCTCTGTTCCCCAGCCCCTTGGATGTGATGGTACACAGTGGGTGGGCCCCCATAATAAGTTCCTAAAGCATGGGATCTCATCGAATAAGACTCATCATTTAATCCTTGTGAGAATTTTGTGAGGTGTACGTGTTAATGTCCCATTTCACGACGAAAAGACAAGACTCTGGGGATGGGAATGACTTCCTCGAGACCATACAGCCAGGAAATAGCGGTGAATCTAGTGATCTCGGGTCCCTAGATTTAACCATGGCACTGAGGTGCCGTGTGACGGTGGCCTTGGAGGACCCAGCACTGACCCATAGAGGGCTCCTCTCAGATGGGCAGCAGCTTGGAGCAGGCCAGGCAGGGCCTGGGCCATTGGAGGGGCTGGCACTGGACTTGCCTTTGACCCCAGCAGCTTGGATGGGGTGCCGGGCTCCCCCATAGTTCACTGACTGTCTCCTTTGGTCTTCTCGCAGGCCCTGCTGGCCCTGCCTCTTCTGGCCTGGTGTCTCCTCATGCCCCCTCAGTGAGGATCTTCATGTACCTGCTCTTCTGTTTGCACACCCAGCATAGCCTCCTTGCAGGCAGAAGGCAGTAGGGCCCCTGCACACTCAGTTTCTCTCGTTTTCCTTAGTTATCAGTCCTGTCCTGTCCCACTCAGGTCTGTACTTAGGGCAGCTGGCCTGGATGGGCTTCACTGGGGCCCTGTCTGTGTGCTGAGCCAGTTTCCCCTGCTGGCTGCAAGCTGTGGGTTCTTTCTCCTCTGTGCCCCTCATGCTGATCTTCTAGATGCCACTCCCAAATCCCCTTCATACCCACCAGGATGTGTGCCCAGCCAGGCCTCCAGCACCCCCAGTGCAGCTCGTGATTGGAAACTCACCATCGGCAGGCAGTGGTTCGGTTTAAGAGATGGCATTAGAGGGAGCCCAGTCTGGATGTGGACTTGGATGCCCTGTGGGTATCAGTTCTGCTGACACTTTGGCCCGAAATAGATCCAGTGCTGAGCAAGCAATGTACACCAGAGCCTCAGTGAGCCCATCTGCACAGTGGGGAGCATGGAGGGATGGGTTTGGCCTGTGCTTCTGCTTATTCAGTCCTTCAGCTCACGGAAGGGATGCTAGTCCGTGAAGGTGACCTCACAGTACTGGTTAATTAAACTTTATTGCTCACTGTCCACTTTTGTGCTGAATTGGAGCCTCTCTTTGACCTCTTTCTAGCATAGAAATGGCAGCTTCTGGTACCGAAATGTTAAGGTAACATTTTAATGATCCATTTCATATTTTTCCACACTGGGAAGGAAATTGTGATTGGTCCATTCAGCAGCAGGACGTCGGCGGGAGTTAAGGAAGGGGAGGAGACTCGTGCGGGCTCTGGGTGAAGCCCTGCTGTGAAAGGGCAGGAAAGCCCGTAGTGGTCACAGGAGAACCGGGAGCAAGGGAGAGCTCCCAAAGCGAGACAATGCAACAGCATGTCATTGCAGGAGATGCAGAATGCAGGTGCAAGGGAGGAAGGGCCCATGTGTGGGAGAGTATGACATGACAGAGGAGCAGAGTCCTTGAGCAGGGAGGGATGAGGCAGGGGGCCAAGGCACTGAGCAGTGCCACCATTGTGACCAGGAAGAAGAGGACGATACAGTGCAGGTCAGGGTGACCATGCAGTGGTGGCAAGGAGAAGAGATTCCCTCCCTCATGTCGCTCACAAGAAAAAATCACCCATGGGCTGAAATCCCAACCTTACAAAATGAATCTGTAAAAGCATTCATAGAAAGTTTGGGGAAATATGTTCATGAACGTGGGGTACAGAAAAACCCAAGTAAATCACAGGTGTAAGCAAAAGACAGTGTAAGACAAACTTTTTCAAGTGAAGCATTTCTGTATGACAAAATATTAGGAAGCATCAATCACAATTTAGCATGGTATATAAGGCACGCCAGTGTTTGCCTGGAGCAGGCTTGCTCAAGCCCAGTGGTGTTGCGGGGAGGGGCTGTCCTGTGCCTTGTAGAATGTTTAGCAACATCCTTGGCCGCCACCCACTGGATGCCAGAAGCATCTCCTGACCGCAGCTTGTGAGAACCAAAAATGCCAAATGCCTCCTGAGGGGGCAAAATTGCCCCGGGCTGAGAATCACTACCCTAGATAAACACTTGCACATGTGGTATACACAAGAGGTATGAAGAGAGAGCACTGTGGTAAGAGTTCAGATTCCACAGTGTTGGCATGGTTAAAGGGAGGCCCCGTGAGCAGGAGCTGGGTGAGCACTGCAGGCTGGCATTGTACCTTCTGCTGAGAAGCTTATGTTGATCTGGCAGCCTGGTCTTTGAGGAACCCTCTTCCCCTAGCCTGCCTTCCCTCCCACTGGCCTGAGTCGGGGGTATGCAGGAGAGGGTGCGTCATGCAGCATGCATCCCAGTCAACATAAGGATTTCATGATGACACAGGGTCTCGCTCTGTCATCCACGCTGGAGTGCAGTGGCGCGATCGCGGCTCACTGCAAGCTCCGCCTCCTGGGTTCACGCCATTCTCCTGCCTCAGCCTCCCGAGTAGCTGAGACTACAGGTGTCCGCCACCACTCCCGGCTAATTTTTTTGTAATTTTAGTAGAGACGGGGTTTCACCGTGTTAGCCAGGATGGTCTCAATCTCCTGACCTCGTGATCCACCCACCTTGGCCTCTCAAAGTACTGGGATTACAGGTGTGAGCCACCACGCCTGGCCTAGGAAAGGTTTTTATTGTTAAATGGGAAATTTACAAAGCCAGAGAGGGAAGGAGACATTGTTTTCCTACCCACAGAAATGTGCCTCCCAGAAAGGAGCCGGCTCTGCTGGATACCCAGTGGGTGTCTGCATCCAGGAGAGAGAATTCAGTCCCTTAGCTGCCTTCTTATAGTGCAGGCTGGGTGCAAGTGCAATGATGAAGGCTGCACAGACTTCCTGGGTACCAGGTGGGTGGGGTCTGGGAATGCCAGCCGTCCAGTGCCTGGACACTTGGGGTCTATATGTAACTGTAATAGATTTGTTGTCAAATGCGCACATATCCCAACACTGGGTCGCAGCAGAGAAAGCAGTTGAATGGTAGGGTCACCGAAGGAGGGGATAGGAGGAAACCTCAAATCCATCTCCCAGAGAGTAGGACTGGGCCAGTGGAGATTGTTGATTGATTGAAAAGTGCAGGATGACATGGGACAGGGAGATGAAGCAGCTGTATTCTCATACTGATCTGTTCCTCTGTGGCAGTCTTCAAACTGGTTGCTGGAATTCAGACTCTGAAAAACATCTTAAGTGATTTATTCTAATGTCAGAGATCCTGTCTATAGGAACGAAGGGGATACAAATAAATTATTAAACAGTCAGTCTTATAATCCTAAAGTCAGAAATCCTATCTGTAGAAACATCGGATATGCAAATGGTCACTATCTAGAGTGCTACGTGACTTTCAGCAACAAGAAAGTGGGTCTAAGTGCAGCCTGATCAATGCTTAATTATAACTGTATTTCTGTCCAGAACCCAGCATGCAAACTGCAAGGGGGGCAGTTTCATATGGGAAGTTTCAGGCTCCCAGGATTAGGGAAGGAAGTCATCAGTTCTTTGGGAAGTAGAGCTCGGGTGCTGCTTCTTCCTTGGGAAATAGGCCCTTGTCCCTGCCACCTAGGATACCTCTGCTCCTTGACCTTAGAGCGCTATTAGTCCTATAGCATTGGGAGGGGCCCCGAGCCCCCAGCTGGTCCCCAGGGAGTCACACTTTGGGATCTGCTGCCCCTCCTGGGTGCTGTCCTTCACCTGCTGGTGGTCTGCGTGCTCTCCTGGCCTCACTGCTGAGGTCTGCAGCAGGACAACGCATAGTCTGTGCCTGGTGACTCCCAGGGTCTGGGTGACTTGGCTTCACCTGGGATCCTACTACTTGTTCTGCCCCAACTGTTAGCTGTGACCCCTTTCCAGCTGCCATCTGGGTGGTCCACACCCAAGCCTCTGCTGAGGTCAGCTTGCCCTGGCACTTGGCATTGGTGCTGGATGTGGCATGGCGGTGCCCCACAGAAGATGCGCTCCAGGGAACCTCTCACCCCACCTCACCATAGTGATATGGGAGTTAAAAAGGAATTATTTAGGCAGATAGCAAGGGCGTGAGAGTCCCCGGTAAGGCTTTTCTTCATTTTTTTTTTTTTTTTGAGACGGAGTTTCGCTCTTGTTTCCCAGGCTGGAGTGCAATGGCGCGATCTCGGCCCACCGCAACCTCCGCCTCCTGGGTTCAAGCGATTCTCCTACCTCAGCCTCCCAAGTAGCTGGGTTTACAGGCATGCGCCACCACACCCAGCTAATTTTTTGTATTTTTAGTAGAGACGGGGTTTCTCCATGTTGGCCAGGCTGGTCTTGAACTCCTGATCTCAGGTGATCCACCTGCCAAAGTGCTGGGATTACAGGCATGAGCCACCATGCCTGGCCAAGGCTTTTCTTTTTAATGAAAGCAGCGCCAATCGTTTTCTAACAAATAGCAGCCTGCAAGCTGGGAGCTTTCATGGGTGAATGCTGGCAGGAACTAAGGACTAGACACATTCAAGATGGCAGACTTCTCTGCCAGCCACATGTATTTTAAGGAGCAGACCAGATGGGGCCAATCAACTGGAAAGCCCAGGGGCATAAGATCCGTGTGAGTGACCAGCCTTCCCCACCCAAACTAATCTGTGAGCCATACATAACAAATCAGATACCACTTCCTCAACTGGACCACGAAACTCAAGAGCATTCAAACTGTCCTTTTTCCACTTGGAGACCCCTTCCTCTATAGAGGAAGCTATTTCTGTTTCTCATCTCTTCAACCTATTAAACCTCTGCTCTTAAACTCCTTGTGTGTGTCTGCGTCCTACAAGGAACTCCAGGGTATATACCCCAGACAAAGTAGCCACTTCAGTAGTGGGCTCTTTCGCATTGCCTGGGCCCAGAGGCTCTGGCCCAGGCTCCTTTTGCTGTTACGTTTCTGTAACATTGTGATACAATAAGAAATATAGATTTGGTCTCCATCCCCAGGTCCCAGCGTAGGGCTCCTGAAGCCTCTGGAATTTTCTAAGTGATAGGAGTGAGAGGAGCATCTTTTGTTCTTCATAATAAACCCCTTTCAACCTACCATGTGATTACAGGATTGGAACTTTTAGTCCCACCCTCCTGACCTCCAGGAAATACAAAAATAACAGTGTTTCCAAACACTGGGAAGGGGAGGAGAAAGAAGGTAGAGGTAAAGTACATAGGTTTTCCCGTGGAAGGAAGTCCAGAAAATACAGTTGAAAGATCAAGTCACAGAGCTAGGAACATATTATTTAAAGGAAAAGCTAGAATTAAGACTCATAAGAAAACTAACCAAAATTGGCAGCAGCAGATATGGACAGGAGGAGAGAGGAAGCACAAGGATGCTGTTTCCTCATCCTTCACAGGGGACAGTTGGGAGAGGTCGTAGAACAATAAACAGAACGGCCACATAAAAGCTCTAAAAGGCCGGGCGTGGTGGCTACATGCCTGTAATCCCAGCACTTTGGGAGGCTGAGGCCGGTGAATCATTTGAGGTCAGGAGTTCGAGACCAGCCTGGCCCACACGGTGAAACCCCGTCTCTAATAAGAATACAAAAATTAGCCGGGCGGTCGTAGCGCACGCCTGTAATCCCAGTTACTCGGGAGGCTGAGGCAGGGGAATCGCTTGAGCCTGGGAGGCGGAAATTGCAGTGAGGTGAGATCACGCCCCTACACTCCAGTCTGGGTGACAGAGTGAGACCCTGTCTCAGAAAAATGATAAAAGCTCTACAGGTGCAATTCAGACCTTCTGAATTACGTAAGAAAAACAACCTTCCCAAAATATATTTGAACCAGTAAGAGAATTCAACAAGTTAAGTGTTTATACATTTAACATGTAACACCCAACAGTTTTCTTGTATATAGACATGAGTCAGTTAGAAAAAAAAAATGGGTGATCAATGTAAAATACTTATATGAAGCAAATTTTAAAATTCTGAAGGACAGTAAACAAGTCTTGAATAAACCTAAAAATCTTAAAATAGTCATGTGAATTGGACAATTTACCTCTATGCCTCAGTTTCCTCATCTGTAATACAGGGACAGTAAAAGTAGCCATCTCATGGGCTGTTGTGCAGATTAACATATCGGGCTAAGTTAGTATTTGTAAAGCTCTTAGTGGTACATAGGGCTATGGAAAAGCATTGTCTAAATCAATCGGAGGCTTCGTTGTTGCAAAGATATAATATCTCCCTAAGCCTATTTATAAATGTAATGCAATCACAACAAAGAACTTAAGAGTTTTGTACCTGGACAATTTGAACCTCAAATTGATATGGAGAATTTAAGATGTGAGAAAAGCTGGGAAAAATCTGAACGAGGAGAGCTGTGAGGGTGGACTAGAGTTAGCAGCCATCAACAAGCAACCCAAAGCTGCAGCAACAAACCCTGGTGGGTAGTCACGCAGGTGCAGGCATCAAGAGAAGTGAAAACGGAAGAGGCTGAGGGAGAGCTGAAAACACAAGTGGGAATTCAGCACACGAGTGAAGGCAGGTACAACATGCCACTCTGGTATAACGATTTTGTGCTAATAATGGCCCTTGATAAACAACAGATGCACGAAGGGCACTCTGCCTTCTCCTTTCTCTTCCTGAAAGCAAGAGAGAAACCTCCACGTGGAAGATTCCTCCATCAGAAGGAAAGTGACACTCATCACTGGGGCTGGGAGTTGAGGCTGAGAGAATTCTGTATAAACTAACATCATAAATGAACCTTTCTCCTTTAGCCACAAGGAATTTGCCTAGCCCGAGGCCCCTTTCCTGGTCACATTTTCCACAATATACTACTCTTTGTCCAAAATCAGTGTTTAACTCTGTTTCTTTGGGTCTTTGTTTCCTTATGAGGGGCTCCTGTGTCACAGAAAACTTACATTAAATCAATATGCTTTTCTCCTATGAATCTGTTTTATGTCAATTTAATTCTCTAGCCCAGCTGAAAATGCTAAGAGGGTAGAGGTGAAATTTTGCCTCCCTTACACAATCAAGGTGGCATTTCAAAGCACTGCCAAAGGATACATTAGTCACTAAACAGCATCATTGAGACCTGGCTAGCCATTTGCATAAAAAAGTTGGATCACTACTTCATTTCTCATATAGAAGTAAATTCCAGATAGATTCATGATTTAAACAAAGGAAATGACAAAAGGATAGATGAAAACATGAAGAAAATTTATTGTGGAGCAGAGAAGTCCTTATTAAGAAAAACCTGGGCCGGGTGCAGTGGCTCACGCCTGTAATCCCAGCCTTTGGGAGGCCAAGGCAGGCGGATCACGAGGTCAGGAGATCGAGACCATCCTGGCCAACATGGTGAAACCCCGTCTCTACTAAAAATACAAAAAATTAGCTGGGCGTGGTGGCAGGTGCCTGTAATCCCAGCTACTCGGGAGGCTGAGGCAGGAGAATCGCTTGAACCCAGGAGGCGGAGCTTGCAGTGAGCCGAGATTATACCACTGCACCCCAGCCTGGAGACAGAGCAAGACTCCATCTCAAAAATAAAAAAGGAAAAAAAAAAAAAAAAAGAAAAACCTAAACCCAGAATACACACAAAAAAAGCAATACATATGACAGTGTTAAAAAATAAAACATTTCTGCCTAGCAGAAACAACAACAACAAAATAAAGTACAAAACAACTTAACCATGGTGAAAACACAGATCAGTATGTAGAGAAACACTGACAAAGGACTTCTTTCCTGAATGTCTAAAGATTCTTCATGGCTGTTTCCACACTTCATTCATCCCTCACCAGCTTAGATTCTGTGTTCCAAAAACTCCTTCACACACATGGGAGACTGTCTGCCCCACTCTTGTGTATCACTTGCCAGGTGAAATGCCACATTTGGTGGAACCCACTTTGCCTTATTTTCTAAACCTGAGAGAAAAATATTGATAGACAAAATACTCATAAAAACAGGCTGACAATTTCCACTTTGAATTCCTGCCTGCAAACCTCAAAAGGCCAGATCTGCTCAGCAATTCTATCAAGTTTCTCTGGTAAGTTGGTTTCCCCTGGATCGAAGATGGCTGTGTCAGTCTATCTGTTCTCATATGTGCGATGTCCTTGCCTTATACGTGGCTGAAAAAGAGACCTAATATGGGGAATTCCCAGAGGGGCCTTGCCTGAAGGGCCCACACAAAGCTCTTCCTGCCTTCCTGATCACTCTGCTCGGTTTCTTTCCATCATGGGACTTCCTTCTGTGCTAGAATGCATACCCCCCTGAACCTAGCTCAGGGCCAAAGATTGAGCTGAATAAACAAATACCAGAAGGGAGAAACAGGGCAGATTCTGGCAACATCCGAACCACACCACTTAAACTAACTTGGGGCAAGTAACTTCTAGTCTCAGAGCCTGTTTCTTCACCAAGAACTTGGGGGTAACAAGAGTACTTACTTCTTCGTAAGGCCTAAAGGAGATAATCTGTGTTAATCACACATCACACTAGCTGGTCCACTGGAATCACTTTTTGGACCAACTGCCTTTCTCTCTCTCTCTTTTTTTAGCTTTCCTTCTTTATTAAATTCCCTTAAGCATTACTCATAATTCAAGTTTAAGACAGAACAAATCTCACAAAGGATTTATGGCTAGTTCTCTTCTTCTTATAAATGAACCCATAAAAAAGCATCCCCTAATTCCTCTCTAGTTTTTCTAACCTCCTTGCTTTTCTAAAATTGAAAAAAAAAATTCTGGTGTACTAAAACCAGAACCAAGTTTCCTCAACGTCTTCAGTTAAACTACCTTTAATTCCTCAATCAAGGCATACCACACAATGTTATCTACACTTTGCAGTAAAGGACTCTGAGTGGCTGGTGTTTTTTGCTTAGTGTAACCATTACACAACAGTATGTACTTGTCACCCCTGGCCTCCTAAAAAAAATCCAGAATTTATTATCTTGACCTTAGGTGCCAAATGAGGCTGGCAAGGCTTTCTCCTGGGGTAAGATCGTAGGTGGTTAGGAGTAAATAAAACCCCAGCTTTGTGACTCTGTATGACATCACACACTTTCAGCCTAGCATTGCCAACTACTAGGCACATTACCCTGAGCTTCTTGTAACAAAGGTAGTGATGTTCATTTTAAAAATATCAAGAAACAGATTAATAAAATTCAGAATATGGTATGTACAAATCCATCTTTACGAAAGGGTTTTCTAGAATTTCAGGAGAAAAAATGCATAATATACACATTTTATTCTTTTCCTTATATATACAAAGACCTTTGTTATAAGTAATTACAAAGCTAACGATACAGTTTTACTTCAGGTTTAGTTTTTCCTGCTGTGACATTAGCATTTGACTACATTCATTCTGAGAGAGCCTGAAGCAAAGGTAGGTGGGGGTGCTTGTCACCCTGTTGAACAGTTGCCCAAGAAAGTAGAGATGTTGAAAAAAGGCAGTTGTAACTTGGAGCAAAAATCGACCTAATTATTTGTGATTATATGCCATATTTTTTAAGGTGAGCGTCTCAAGCCAATTGTTTGATTTTTTAAAAATCGAGCAAATTGTGTTATTCTTGCAACATTCTTGATCTCTTCAGTTGCAGACCAGTAGTAATTCCTTCTCTCCCGCTTAAATTATATGATAAAGATGAAAGGACAGACGCTGACATTTAGTTTGTCTCTCAGTGCTTTCTGTGATCTTTTTTCAAAGTAAAATAATCTTAGGAAAGGTTTTAATTTTTTCCTCCTAAGAACACAATGATGCTTTTCACTGAATGTGGACAATATCATAAAGGAGGAATGTTGAAATTTATGGAATCCACTATATGGCAGATACTTTCCATCTGTTACTTGCTTTAAAACTAAAATCCAGGCCGGGCGCGGTGGCTCACGTCTGTAATCCCAGCACTGTGGGAGGCCGAGGTGGGCGGATCACGAGGTCAGGAGATCGAGACCATCCTGGCTAACACGGTGAAACCCCATCTCTACTAAAAATAACAAAAAAATTAGCCGGGCGTGGTGGTGGGCGCGCCTGTAGTCCCAGCTACTCGGGAGGCTGAGGCAGGAGAATGGCGTGAACCCGGGAGGCGGAGCTTGCAGTGAGCCGATATCGCGCCACTGCACTCCAGCCTGGGCGACAGGGGAGACTCCGTCTCAAAAACAAAAACAAAAACAACCCAAAAGCCAACACCATCACAACCCAATGGTGGTTCATTTTGCCTGCTGCCCTGAAAAAATGCAACAGTAGCAGGTGTTGCAGGGCCAGTTGAGTGAGAAGAGGGAGAAATTTCTCGAACCCATCTCCCTTTTTGGCCTCTGACCTTTTAGTTGAAACAAAATTAGTTACCTATAGACTTAAGTGAACGCTATACTGCACGTAGGCACATAACCCCAACCTATATAAGCACTAAGAAAATTGCAACACTTTGAGTTGGTCTGGTGGAATTATCTCCAGCCTTCTCCCTGTATCCGGTTATAGCAATAAATTCCCTTCTTTCCTAGATTATCTGCTTCTCATTATTGGGCTATGCGAAAACACAGCCGACCTGGCCCAGTTCCAGGAACAACATTGACATGGTGTTAAATCCAGAGAAGATAGCCCCAAGTTAGAGAACAAAGTTGCTCTGCATAATAAAGTAAGAATGTTGGTGTTTCAAGGATTACCTCTGTAAAGGGAGGAGGAGGGTGCGGTCTGTGAGGCAGAGAGGACTTGAGAAAAGATGCAGGTGGTGGGGCTTTACTGGGGTGGTGGTAATGCTGTAACAATGCTTAAGGGTCTTTTTCAAAACAAAGTTTCTAATATCCCACTTTAAGCTGTAGTCTGAATGTTAACCCCCACCCCTCCCTAAACCCCCAAACTTAACCCCCAAACTTAACCCCCAATGTATCCCCAAAGGCTGACATCGGCAGCCCTGTGGAGAAAGAATCAGAGTAGTGTTCACTGTAGGGTAGGGTGATGTGCGTGGAACAAGAATAGGATCAGCCATAAACCAAACGGAATCAGTGGATGTTAGAGCTCAAAGTAAGGGGTGATGGGGAGAAACGTAAGACCCCATTGAAATCCTTGGAGAGATTGTGAAAGGTGATGTGGGAGGGAGAGTCAAGCTAAATTAAGTCGAAAAAGATGGAGTGCCCCATCCGACATATAGATATAGGGAGCACAGGGCATTTCACAATGAACCAGATGGGATTATAAAACTATGGTCAGTCTATTATTCTTATACAAGATAGGCTAAATATGTGTGAGTCTCTCTTAAAATGAAGCTTTACTGTGGTTACACATGACCTCCAAGTTGTGGGGATGAGTAGAAATGAGACACTGTGTTACTTAACTCACTACAGTCCAGCCAGTAAGATGATAAAGTGGCTATGGTTCTTGCTGTCCTTGCTTAGTGAGCTGATAGGGCCAGTGTTGAGGAGAGGCACCACCAGGTCAGAACAGCCCTGGCCATGTTCAGCCTTTGGGGGCCTTCTAAGTCCAGGGGCCCAAGTAATTGGCATCTTAACCAGTGAACCTGCTGTGTAAGTAAGTCCCGTACTACTGCACCAGGTACCAACATTGAATTTATAAGTTTTAGTATTGAGTAGTACAAAGAGCTCTCCCATATTATTAAAATGTGTTTAGTAGTTTCAAGAGCTATAGAATTTTCGCCTCAAACTATAAATGATCATTATAGTTAAGTATTTGTGAGAGAATTTTCTTGCAAAATTTCTCACTTAAATTTGTAAGTTGTATTTGCTGTAGGAGGTTCACTGACAATAAATTCATTGAACTAGCTCAAGTTAACTCACTTGATATACAAAAAGGTTAGAATCTTTGAGAACTGGTGTATTTCCGCAGGCATTTCCTCACTGTGAATAAAGTTGTTTTGTAAGCAAAATACAGTGACAGTAACAAAGTAACTTTAAAACACAATAAGATTCAGGGCAAGATGCTGACAGTGGCATTGTTTTTCAGTTTCCCAATTCTCCTCACAAAGTCCAGAAGAGCAACCAGGAGAGCAAAAGAAAAACTGAGTATAGAAAAGTAGGAAAAAAAAATCAGAATAAAAAGATGGAGAGAATTGAAGAGAAAGTGATGGATATAACAGGCAACGAAGATGCAACATATCCATAACAGAAGTCTTACCCCCAGACCCCCTCAAAGAGGAAAGTAAGGCAGTGGGTAGAAACTACTAAAGAAAACATTGCTGAAGACAAAAAAGATGACTTGAACCTGTGTACCTGAAGGGAACATGATGTGCCTAGAACATATAAACAAAAACAGTCGACTCCAAGACATAGCCTTAAAATTATTGTACGTTATAGAACAGAAATCTGTTTGGCATAAGATAAAATGACCAAGTAACTTACATGGGATTAGATCTTCACAGAAGACTTTTAAGTTAAAAACACAGTGGAGTAAATGGAGTAACGTAGTACAAATACCCAAGAAAAGAAATGTAACACCCTCCCCACTTCGGGATTTTTAAATTCAGCCAAATGACCTTCAAGTAGAAAGACCATAGACAAACCTCAATGAAGAGGAAGGAAGGAATCAGGAAATGATGTTCCTGTGAGCACTCCCTGAGTAATCCACTAAGCTATGAGCTTCACACAATCAAGAAATGTTTAGGAAGCTTTTCATTAGGACTAGTGGTGAGAAATGAATATGTTTAACTGAAGAACTAAGACTAAATAAAGGGCACGAGTGTGAGAAATCCTATGTGTTTGTTACATTCTCTGATAATAAAGGTATATTTCAGTTATCAAAAATGGGATAAAAGGGAGAGAATATACCAAAAGCAAGCTTGATGGCTGCCTTGGAGGTATCACTTAGCACTTAAAGAATATTACTTTAGATGCTTTGGAGAGAGAGAGGGGTGGGGGAAGGAAATGTTAGTGGTTTCAATTCTGCTCACAGTAGGGAATCAAAAGACGTGCACCACCCAACAGGTTGGCCACCAGTCACATGTGGCTGTTTAAATTTAATTAATATTGAATAAAATTTTAAATTAAGTTTCTCAATTATACTAGCCATATTTCAAGTGCTCCATAGTCACAGAAGCTAGTGGCTACCACATTGGGCGACACAGATTCAGAACATGTCCAGTATTATAGAAAGTTCTTTGGACAGTGCTACAGTAGATAGTATTTTTAAAGGAAAGGCTGGTCAGGTACAGTTGTTCATGCCTGTAACTCTGGCACTTTGAGAGGCTGAAGTGGGAGGATTGCTTGAGCCCAGGAGTTCAAGACCAGTCTGGACAATATAGTGAGACCTCATCTCTACAAAAAATTTAAAAAATTAGCCAGGCATGGTGGCACTCATCTGTAGTCCCAGCTACTCAGGAGGCAGAGGTGGGAGGTTCGCTTGAGCCTGGGAAGTAGAGGTTGTAGTGAGCTGAGATCGCACCACTGCACTCCAGCCTGGGCGACAGTGTGAGACGCGGTCTCCAAAGAAAAAAAAAGTAAAAGAAAAGAAAGAAAAAAAGAAGGGCTGAGGAAACTACCCTAAGATATTAGTCTAAAGGTATGAAATGAAAATGCAACATGAAGAGAATACTAAAAAAGAATGTAGAAAACAGTCCCCATAGAGAAAAATTGTATATGTATATAAAAACAAACATAAAACAATACTAAGACCAGTACATCAGATACATCAATAACTGAAATGAGCTTAATTCACTAATTCAAAAAAATGCATCAAAATCCAACCTTTTTATACACATGCACACATATACGAATGAACATGCCTAAAACAAAGAGATTCAGAAAGATTTAAATAAGATGCTACGCACAAATATGCCAGACAAATGCAAATTAGTAGAAACAAATAGACACAGTTCATGATCTTCATATCTGACAAGGTAGAAATCTAGCCAGAAATCACTCAAAGAAAGGATAGTTCATTGAGCCAAAGGCTACACAAGATATAACAATCAACATTTATGTGGCCGGTAACACAGCAACAACTTTATGAAGCATAAACTACCAGAGATTAAAGGAGAAGATGGAAATATACTAATAGGAGACATTAGTGTATTTTTTTCAGGATGAGATAGAACAAATGAACAACAATAATGATGGGGAACACAGAAAACCTAAGCCATATTAATAATAAAGCAGAGATTTATATCTCTGAACTTAGTTGAGAGAAATGCCTCCTTTTCAAATGTACAGGGAACAATCATGAAAACTGAGGACATCCGTGTGCATTTGATATATAGGCATAATTTACACAGCCCAATATGTTTATTTATTTTAATTTTATTATTTTTATTTATTAATTTAATTTTATTTAATTTTACTTATTTTTCATTTATCTTTTATTTATTTATTTATTTATTTATTTAGACAGGGTCTCACTCTGTTGCCCGGGCTGGAGTGTAGTGGTGTGCTCTTGGCTCACTGCAACTTTGCCTCCTGGGCTCAAGCGATTCTCCCACCTCCGCCTCCTGAGTAGCTGGGATTAGAGGTGTGTGCCACCATGACTGGCTAATTTTTGTATTTTAGTAGAGATGGGGTTTCACCACGTTGGCCAGGCTGGTCTCAAGCTCCTGACTTCAAATGAGCCGCCTGCCTCGGCCTCCCAAAGTGCTGGGATTACAAGCATGAGCCACTGCTCCCGGCCTTTTTATCTATCTATCTATCTGTCTGTCTGTCTATCTATCTGTCTGTCTGTCTGTCTGTCTGTCTGTCTGTCTATCTATCTATCTATCTATCTACCTTAGAGATGAGTTCTCAACATCTTGCCCAGGCTTTGACAGGCAGAGGTGGGGGGATCACTTGAGTGCAAGAGTTCAAAAGTAGCCTGAGTAACATGGTGAAACCCTATTTCTAATAATGATATTTTTAAATTAAAAAATAAAATAAAATTTCTAGTATTAAAAAGTTATATATGATACCAAAATCAGACAAAGACATCACAAGAGAAAACTACAGACCAATACTTCTTATGAATACAGATATAAAAACCCTTAACAAAATACTAGCAAACCAAATCCAACAGCATATAAAAAAGATTATACACTAGGACCCAGTAAAATTCATCCCAGAAATGCAAAATGGTTCAACATACCAAAAAAAAAATGAGTGTATTACACCATATCAATACAATAAAGGACAAAAACCAACATTCCAATAGATGATCATCTCAACAGATGCAGAAAAAACATTTGAAAAAATCTAACATCCCTGCATGAAAAAAACACACTCAATAAACTGAGACTAGAAGGGAACTTCCTCAATCTGATAAAGGACATTTATGAAAAAGCCATACCTAATATCAGACTTAATGGTGAAAGATGAAGATTTCTAAGATCAGGACCAAGGCAAGGATGTCCACTCTCACTCTTTCTTTCTTTCTTTTTTTTTGAGATGGAGCCTTGCTCTGTTGCCCAGGCTGGAGTGCAGTGGTACAATCTTGGCTCACTGCAACCTCCGCCTCCCGGGTTCAAGCGATTCTCCGGCCTCAGCCTCCCAAGTAGCTGGGATTATAGGCACCCGCCACCACGCCCAGCTAATTTTTGTGTTTTTAGTAGAGATGGGGGTTTCACCAAGTTGGCCAGGCTGGTCTCAAACTCCTGACCTCAGATGATCCACCCATCTCAGCCTCCCAAAGTGCTGGGATTACAGGCATGAGCCACCGTGCCCGGCCCACTCTCACTATTTCTATTCAACACAGTTCTAGAGGTTCTAGCCAGGGTAATTAGGCAAGAAGACAAAAGAAAAATCATCCAGATTGGAACAGAATAAGTAAAATAAATATCACATCATACTTGTGAGGATGGCCATTATCAAAAAACCAGAAAACAACAAATGCTGGTGAGGCTGTGGCAAACCCTTGTGCACAGTTGGTAGGAATGTAAAATGTTGTAACTGTTATGGAAAACAGTATGGATGCTCTTCAAAAAATTAAAAACAGAACTACCATATGGCTCAGCAATCCAACTGGCAGGTATTCACCTAAAAGAATTAGGAAACAGAATCTTGAACTGATATTTGCGTGCCCATATTCATGGCAGCACCATCCATAATAGCGAAGAGGTGGAAACCACCTTCTATCCACCGGTGGATGAATGAATGAGGAAATGGTGGTGCATACATACAATGAAACTTCATGCAGCCTTAGAAAAGAAGGAAGTCCTGCCATATGGTTGAGCCTGGAGGACATCACGCTAGGTGAAATAAATCAGTCACAGAAGGACAAATACTGCATGATTCCTACTTAGATGAGGAAGCTAAAGTTGTAAAAGTCATAGAAGTGGAAAGAAGGGTAGCAGTTTCCAGGAGCTGGGAAAGAGGAGGCGATGAAGAGTTGCTCTTTAAAGGGCACAGGGTTTTAGTGATGCAGGATGAAAAAGTTCTAGAGATCTACTGTACAACAATGTTCATATAATTAATAATACTGTACTGCACACTTAAAAGTCTGTTATGAGGGCAGATTTCATGTTAGTTTTTTTGTTTGCTTTTTTTTGTTCAGAAAGGGTCTTGCTTTGTCACCCAGGCTGGAGTGCAGTGGCAGGAACACGGCTCACTGCATCCTTGACTTCCCAGGCTCAAGCGATCCTCCTGCCTCAGCCCCACAAGTAGCTGACACTACAGGTATATACCACCACGCCAGGCTAATTAGATTTTTTTTATCATAATAAAAAAAGAGTAAACTTAGGAATCAATTTAACAAAAGAAATGCAAAACCTATACTCGGAAAACTGCAACATGTTATTGAAAGAAATTAAAGAAAATATAAATATATATGTAATAAAATATGTAGAGGGAGGCTGGGCACGGTGGCTCACGCCTGTAATCCCAGCACTTTGTGAGGCCAAGGCGGGCAGATCACCTGAGGTCAGGAGTTCAAGACCAGCCTGACCAACATGGTGAAACCCTGTCTCTACTAAAAATACAAAAAATTAGCCGGGCATGGTAGTGGATGCCTGTAGTCCCAGCTACTTGGGAGGCGGAGGCAAGAGAATCGCTTGAACCTGGGAGGTGGAGGTTGCAGTGAGCTAAGACCGCCATTGCACTCCAGCCTGGGCAACAACAGTGAAACTCCACCTCAAAAAAAAAAAAAAAAAAAAAAAAAAAAATATATATATATATATATATATATATATATGGAGGGAAAAATATGAGGTATTTAGAATACATTGGCAAAACAACTTTGTGTTTCCAGCCAAAACCCTAGAGTCAGTCTTGTGGAAAACTGAGATTCTGCATTGCATTTAGTTAATTTATTAGGGCTATTTATTCTTACAAAACAGCATTTCTTTTTGTAAGAAGTAATCCTTTTGCTATGTTTTTAATTTCCACAGCAAATTAAATCTGCACAGCACTTGCCATCCCCTCTTCCTAAGAATCTAGCTCCCTCTTTTTCAAGGCCCAATCTTAAATGCCATATCCACAGACAGGAATTTCCTTGCCAGCCAATCGAACTCCCTACCATTACCCTATTCTATTTTCTTCTGGGATTTTGCACCTTCTTTTTATCTTTTTCCAGAACTAAGGCTGCATGAGAATGGGGCCTTCACCTTGTCCCTGCTGAGTCCCAGTTCCTGGCACCGTTCATGGTGATGGTCAAATATTTGGTCAACAAAAGAATCTCGCACAAAAGCTTTCCTCTTTCTGGGTCCCCGCGTTCCTATTCGTAAAATGAGGCAGCTGCCTGATCTCCCATGGTCCCCCTGCTCTGACTTTCCACGATCCAGCCCTGCTGAGAGGCACCTGTACAGTAATTGCTCCCACAGACCAAACTCCCCTGCTGCCATGGTCTGTGCAGGGTGACCGGGTTACAACAGAAGATACAAACCCTGGCACGTCGGACGTCAGTGCTTCTTCTCTGTCTAGTGCTGGTTAAGAAACCTGGGTTCAGAGACTGTAAAGCGGGAGAAGTAGTGTTTTTCTTATACAATTCTCTTAAAGCCCTTCAGTTATATATCCCGCTGAATCCTCAGAACAACCCTCTAAGTTCATCTCTGTGACAAGAAAGCTGTGGACTAGAGACACAGGGAAGTGGGAAGGCCAGGATTCGACACAGGATGGATTCCCTTCTCTGGAAGGCATCCCCTGGTAATATCTGAGGTCCAGCTACTGTCTATAGAGGTACAGGAGGGGCAGCAGGGTCTTGAGAAGGGAGCAAGAGGACAGGGCACAGGGTGGGATCTGCTGTGACTGCAGGTCATGGGAGGTGGGGAAGGGAGTCTGCTTGGGGCCTGAGTGGTCAGGGACAGCTTCAGGCAGGAGGGGCTTCTGCTGGGATTGTGAGCAGAGAGGATAGAAGTTATCTGTGCAAGGACAGAGCCTGGTGAATGCCCAGGTAAGGAGGAGGCAGAGCTGGCTGGGGCCGAGGGCACATGGGAATGAGGAGGGTAAGGAGGGCAGGACCAGATGGAGGCAGGGGGGGCTCTGGAATACCGGGCATTGCCAACAACATTTTTGAGGTTGCTTACTCCAATGGTTCTCAACGTATGCCTCCAAGAACACTGGGGTTTTAAGCATTGGATTACACGGGGAAAAAATTGTAGTCCCTTATCTCCAAAGGAAAATAAATAAATCCATGAATATTTTTTATTTGGGGGCTGCCTATTCTCACTTCTCTCCACCAGAATCTAAGTCAAGGATAGAAGCTGATTCCGCACGAAGTTAGATAAACTATCTTGCATTTAATCAATCATTACAAAAAGTATTCATGCCACATACAACTTTGTAACACCCAGGTGCGTGACCATCTATAAAAGGGGGGAAACCCAACCTCTATCCCTTTTCCACGTGGGCAAGCCAAGGGTTCTGAGGGCTCATCCACAGGGCTCGCCGGCCTGGCCTCCTGCTGCGTCCCGGGATGTGGACCACTGACCCAGAGGCTTCTGAGTCCTGAGCACAGATAAGGGCTCCTTTCAGGCCTTTCCTTGAGCTGCACGTGAACCTGTGTGGGCAGGCAGCGTTTGCAGGCGTGTTTACGGGCAGGCAGCGTTTGCAGGCGTGTTTACCGGCAGGCAGCGTTTGCAGGCGTGTTTACATGCAGGCGTAGCACCATGTGAGACCACTGGTCCAGGGTTTCAGAGGTCCTGCTCAGGTGAATCGGCTGTGTTCTCACAAGTTCACGGAGCTGAGTGGGTGTGCAACATGAAATACTAGTGCTGTGAGGGACAGAAGGGACAGAAAGAGGCTGAAGACCATCATCCAGCTGAGAAAAGCCGAGGCACAGGTATAGCTGGGCACCTGGAAGAAGCTCTGCCAAATGGAATCCTCCTTGGCAGGAGTGGTAGTGCTAAGGCGAGCAGAGTGGGCTACAGGCAGGTCCTGCAGGCCCTGGGTAGAGCTCATCCTCTGTCTGTCCATTCCTCCCAGACCCCAGCGTGGTGGAGAAGACACAGGCATAGTAAACGAAGGTGAACAGAAACACAACATCCCCATTGTAGGCTGGCCAGGCTCAGGCCCTGGGGTGAAAGGAGACAGGTGCTGCCAAGACCTGGAGAAGGACAAAAGAAGACAGAATCAAGGGTGAAGGAAAGGACCAGGCAGTGGCGAGGGGTGGTGCTGCTGGAGCAGGTCTAAGTGGGAAGCCTAGTGGTCAGGGATGGCCCCCAGAGGCCTTCTGAGCCAAGGCAAATTCTGACACCTGGGTCTGTAATCTGAAGATGTCACTATACTTCAACTCATTTCTGAGTTTTGTACTCTTATTTCCTCAAAACTCAATAGCGTATCTAATATCTGGCTCAGCTGATATAATCAAGCACCAGTGCTTATTTAATAAAGCAATGGTAAGGCCGGACGTGGTGGCTCATGCCTGTAATCCCAGCACTTTGGGAGGCCGAGGCGGGCAGATCATGAGGTCAGGAGATCGAGACCATCCTGGCTAACACGGTGAAACCCCGTCTCTACTAAAAAAAAAAAAAAAAAAAAAAAATTAGCCAGGTGTGGTGGCGGGCGCCTGTAGTCCCAGCTACTCCGAGGGCTGAGGCAGGAGAATGGTGTGAACCCGGGAGGCAGAGCTTGCAGTGAGCTGAGATTGCACCACTACACTCTAGCCTGGGCCACAGAGCCAGACTCATCTCAAAAAAAAAAAAAAGCAATGGTAAATGAAAGTGCCAGCTGAAACTTGTGAAGTACTTTATAGATATGAGCAGCTGCGATAAAGGGGGCTGCCTACAAAGCCCTTGGCTCCCGAAGTGGTAAGGGAGACATGAGTGCCTCCAGGAAGCCTCTCCCATCCCTAGGGACCCTCAGATGGCAGCAGTCGGGGAGGGGTTAGCACTGCCTTCATGGAGAAGGGGTGGTCTTTCTTTCTGATACAGCCACTGTGGACTAAGAGGGGTCAGGCTCCAGTGGAGCTCACCATACATCAGTCATCTGGCAGCAGCTCGAGAAGCATGTCCTCCACGCCGTCAATCTGAGAGGCAGAGAGAGAGAGAAGGCATTGATCGGCCAGAGCCCTCCACTCCCTCCATTCCTCACTCCTGCGCCTTCCCCTAGCTGGAAACAGCAGGTAGGAACCCAGGTGTGAGGATTTCAGGGGCTCTTGGAGACTGCCCCTCCTCCCACCAGCCTTCAGCCTGTGACTGCCCACCAGAGATGTCTTCCTGCGGCTAGCTGGTGGCTGGGAGGAAGTGGAGGTAGGGTTCTGTTAGAGACCTCAGAGGATCTATCTTCTCTCTGGTAAAGTCCTTTAGAAATCTGCACTTGTACATTTCCCCCATTTTTTAATGCTTTTGGGACTGGGATGGAGGGAAGATAAACCACTAAGGCCAGACATGGAGGAGGGCAAACCCAAGATCACCCGATGGACCTCTGGGAGAAAGACACTCACCTTGATGTGGTACACTAAGCGCCAGAAACTGGAGTCTGAGGATCGGTATCGTCCATCAGGGTAGAGCTGCCACATGATAGGCAGCAGGCTTGGGCCTATCTGGGTGGGGGTCATAGGCCTCCCCAGGACGACGTCTTCCCGACGCAAGAGCACCCGTAACTGTAACCTATCCTTTATCTGAGGAGAAGAAAAGGACAGGGCATACTTTCAGGTTCCGCTTGCCAGGGCTTCTCCAGGCGCAGAAAACCGGAATCCCTCCTGCCAGCCATCCACCCATCTGGGCAGGGGTCCGAGTGTGAAATGATGGTCATCACTGTTCCCTGAAGCTCACTTCCTTAGGCCATGCATGCTCCTCTCAGGGACTCTGGCTGGGCCAGGACCACCAGCACACACACGTGTCTAGCCACCCAGACAGGGCCATGAAAGGCACACTTTTTTCTGGCGGGTTGCAGCGGCTCACACTTGTAATTCCAGTGCTTTGGAAGGCAGAGGCAGGAGGATCGCTTGAGGCCAGGAGTTTAAGACCAGCCTGGGTCACAGAGCGAGACCCTGTATCTACAGGAAAAAAAAAAAACAACAAAGAAAGAAAGAGAGAAAAAGAATACTGGCCTTTTCAATGATGTGAGGCAAAATCTGTCCCACAGTTTGCTAGTGGGTTATTTTTTGTGGAGCATGTATCATGATTTTATGAAAAACTGTCTGGTTCGTGGTTTTGGTGTCACGTTGAAGAAGAGATTTCTCAGAGATTTAAAAAAAGAAATCCACTGAATCTTCAAATTATTTCTTCAAATTTTGATTTTAAAAAAGTAAGTATTTAACTTGATTTTTAAAGTAAAAACATATTTAAAAAATTGAAATGCCAATAAAAATGCAGATTTTGTGGTGGTTAAGAGCCTAGAATTCCAACCCCATTACCTACTAGCAATCTTACCTCGGACAAATGTACATTTTTGTGCCTCAGTTTCCCATCTGTAGAGACACAGTCAACACTCAATAATTTTTGATTGCTACTGGACATACGTGTTCTAATATATTTTTTAATTTTTATGCTTTCTTCAGTGTATGTTTGGAGAGAGTTTGAACATTTTTTGACTCTTTTTCATTGAGTAAATCCAAATACTTGTAAAAGACTTATCTATTTCTTTAACAAAAACTTAACATGGATTAAGGACCCATCTTAAGGCATCACACATTAAAAAAGTCAATATTGATTCAATACCGGCGCTTATACTACGACATCACTTGTTAAATTTGTTTTCTAAATAAAGCCCAGAGGTAGTGGAAAATACTTCACACTCTAGGCCAGTGTTTGCTATGCCTGGTTGACCCTAAACTGTTGAGGGTTCTTTTTAAAAATACAGATTTCTGGGACCCACCTGAGATGATTCCGATAATCGGCCATATGGATGAGTCACTTAGAGATACCCATTTTTAAGGATTAGGACCCCGAAGCCCAGAAAATGCCTGCTGTAGTCAACATTATAGTCACACTCCACAGGCACTGGGTCCACCCCTTTGACCGACATTCCTTTGCGGTTTTCCCACCCTTCTTCCCTGCCTGGAGAACTCCTATTCATCCTCCAGAGCCCGGCTCAAAGTGGCTTCATCTGTGGGGATCCTCCCTGCCCCATAGTGAGTGCTCCTTGAGTCCTCGCCCTTCCTAGGGCATCCCAAGCTCCCAGGGGCTGCCCCTGCTGCCTCGCCATCCGCTCCAAAGCTGGCTGTACCTCGATGGTTAAGGGCAGCCAGGCGTGCTGCTTCTCGTCCAAATACACGAACTTCTCCCAGGCCCACAGGCGGTCCGGGTGGTCGGTGACTGCCTCCCCGAGTGTCGGGCACTCGGCCATGGCGTCCTCGGGCCGCCTAAGAAGCAAGAGCCAGAGCCTCTCAAGGCCGCTCGCTGGTCCCTGGGATGTGGGGCCGACCCTTTATATCCGGGCAGCATGCGGCCGCCACCAAGCGGCGGGGCGGGAGGACGGCCTTGGGGCGGGACCCCGGGTCGGGAGAACGACCTTGGGGCGGGGCGTAAGGCAGGATGGGGCGGGGTTTGTGGGGGTCTTGGTGGCAAGTGAGGGTCCCGCGCAGGCGCTACGTCCCGGCCTGACTTGCTCCCTGGAACGGTGGCAGCTCCTGGGAACGCAGACCCGGCCCCAGCTGGCCCGCGCCTTCCTCGAGGCCCCGGCCAGCAGCGACACCGACCGCCGCCCTCTGCTGCTGCTGGAGAGGCACCGGGGTGACCTTGGCCCTTTCTTCTTCTGGAAGACCCCCCCGCTTCCCTCGGCTGCCGGACCGGGACTCTGGGCCTCTGCTGGGAACTCACAGTCGACACCAGGATGCCCAGAGCCAGGACCCACTCCTCATCTTATGGGATCAGAAGAGACCCGCGCGGGCCTGAGTTAGGCCTGGGCTTTCCCGGGTTCCCTGGATCTCCACCAGCCTGTGCCTTTGAGTGTCAGAGTACGTTTTTTGGCAAAGGACAACTCCTGACGCTCCCTCTCCCTCTTCCATACACAAAGCATGCGTTTTCCACAGGTCTGATGTGCTGTGGACATCTAATAGCTATTACAAAATGGAGAATCATGGGTTTTTGCCCTTGGGCTTTGAGTTTACTAGTGAAAGCATAGTTCGAAATGAATACTTAAAAAGAAATCCCTCCTTCCACCCTAAGATCAATGGATTTGAAAAGTGCCTGGTTTATATGATCAAAACCACCCCTCTGTAAATTACAAGCAATAAGGAAAACAATTTCACTTTATTTTGCAGTAACGCATTCCCACTAAGGCAATTAAGAAAGTCATGCACAATGAAAAACATGTGAAACCAGCTCCAGCCTGGTTCAAACATCACCATGGGATGGAGTTTGGTGTCTCATCTTCCAGCTCTTTCCCAGTTCTCTGACCAGGCACTAAGAACATAATTTGTGATCCTTTGAAATATCACCAAAGTGGAAATTAAGAGATCTGATGAGGACATCTGATTCACCTGGCAGCTGGGTATCTGCCTCTTTGCCTATCCAGAGAGCCTAATTCCCAAGAAGGGGCTGAGAGGGCCTAAGGTAGTCGAGACATAATGGGATTTACCAGGAACACAACATAGAAGAGAAAAGCCAAGGGAAGTTGGGGGTGGAGTGAGGGCCCTTGAGCTCAGCAAACCTCTTTTCCACTGTAGCCCTTAGTGGTGTTAATATTTAATATGCAAACTTAAAGGTTTCATGCTGATTTTCCTGTGAATGGCTCTTGACTCCAGACCTAGATAGCCACAGAGCAAGATGACAAGCTCGCTAATAAGCTCTGTTGGGGAGGTCTCAGCCCAGGCCAGAGCTGTGAAGTGAGAAATAAGTCCAGTTTAAATAGTGCTGCTGGGATGGACTTTTGTGGCCAGGGAAGGGGTACCCAGGAGCCAGTGTGGCCACTGACCCAGCCTCATCAATGGCCCTAGGATCCAGAATGCCACAAACAATGGAGCAAGAATCAGATCTGTGTGTCTGGGTAAGCAGAATGTTCTGAGAATATAATTCCTTTTTCCTTCTTTTGTAAGAACAATTTATTTCTTCAGTTTTGCATGAGGGCTTCTTAATATTGAGCAAGAATATACATCATTATTGCGTGAGATTTAGAAAATTATTTGAGAGAGGGTTCCAATAAATGAAAATGAATTAAGGATGTCTGTGGAGTTCATTGGGCAACTTATAGAGCCCTTGAGCTTTTTTAAGTGAACATTCCACAAGAGGGGAAACAGTAGCTATTGCATAGTCTCAGAGCTGTCTCTGAGCCTCCGTGGCATGTTATCTGCCCCATCTAAGGGTTATAAAGGCCATAAGCCTAGCTTTAGAATTTTATGTTCCTTTCCAAGTCTTTGTTAGTCTGATTTCCCTGAGGATAAGCAAATGGATGTTTCACACAGAAAGCTACAGGAAGCAATCATTTTGACAGAATCCTTAATGGATGCGTTCATGTCCTGATTTAGATCTAGTTTTGCCTTTACCACGATCACCTGTGAACTTGACAAATCCTTTGCAACTTGGCCTCAGTGCCATAGTTTTGTAATGAATGGGGCAAAATACCTGCTCTCTAAGCTTGTTTCTAACTCAGTAGGCCCCAATCCTCCTATAACATTGCCTAGTGGGAGGAGGGAATAGTTAAGAAAAGAGATGGACAAAATATATGATGTTAGTTCAGGAATGCCTACAGTTTTTGGTACAGTGGCTGTAGATCAAGGACCCCAGTGGAATTCATGGGAGCCATTCTTCTTGTTTGGGTTCCAAAGAAGGGGTTGAGGAGTAGTCAAGGCCATCAGGATGACCTTGACTCAAAGTGTTGTCCCTGGACCAGCTACAGTAGCATCACCTGGAGCTCGTAAGAATGACAGAATCTGGAGCCTCCCCCAAGACTACTGAGTCAGAATCTGTATTGGAACAAGACCCCCAGGTGATTCACGGGCATGGTAAATGTTGGGCTATATGGAGGGAGGGTCAAGAGGGAGAGATAGGGGGTGTCTGATTCAACACACCAGTGCCCTCCAGATTTCTCCAACTATGACACAGGACTTATATCGGTGTTTGTGTATCATTTACTTCCAGGCTATCTTATTTTCTGCCAAAATCACCTCTAATATATAGAGTGTTTTCCTCTTAAAAGAAAATCCTAGTAACCAAGGTCATCCTCACCAACCCTGGGGTCCTTGATTGTCAATGATTATAGCAAGCTGGAAAGAGCCTATTTAGAGGCTACTTAGGTGTTTAGGCCTTTGGGCCCTATGATGACTGAGCCTAAACCACTAAGAATCACCTGGGAAGCTTTAATGAAACACCTGCGCCTGGATCCCACTCCAAACCAATTACATCAGAATCTCCGAGATTGAGGCTTGAGAAAAGTAGGTGATGCTAACACGTAGGCAGGGTTAAGTACAATTTCTCTAAGATCTGAGTGACTGTTTTTGACGTGTGCACAGATTTATAAATCTAAATAACTACGAAAATGTCAAAGCTATTCTTTCTACCATCAATTCTCATTGTAAACTTCACCCCAACTCCATATTTTACTTCTTTCCCTTTGCCCTACTTTGCTGCTTCCAATCCTTCGTGGTCAGGGATCCATAGCCCTAAGTTTATTGGAATCATAAGGGTCTGAGATCTTGCTAATGTGTAAAACACAGAATCTGTGATATATATGTAGCTATTAAGGCATCCATGCCTGGAGTGTTTTGTTTGTTTGTTTGTTTTTTGAGACAGAGTTTCCCTCTTGTTGCCCAGGCTGGAATGCAATGGTGTGATCTTGGCTCACTGCGACCTCCACCTCCTGGGTTCAAGCGATTCTCCTGCTTCTGCCTCCCGAGTAGCTGGGATTACAGGTATGCGCCACCACGCCTGTCTAATTTTGTATTTTTAGTAGAAATGGGGTTTCTTCATGTTGGTCAGGCTGGTCTTGAACTCCTGACCTCAGGTGATCCTCCCACCTCGGCCTTCCAAAGTGCTGGGATTACAGGCATGAGCCACCGTGCCCAGCCTGTTTTTTTTTTTGTTTTTTTTTTTTTTTTTTTAGTTCCTAGGTCTGGGCCATAGTTGAAATAATTAAGGCTGCTGATCAAGTGAGTTCAGGGTACAAAAGATGTTGTAGCCTTTACTCATAAGGGATGAAATGGTATCTCTAAATTAATGGAGAATCTGAGACAAGGATATTTCAAGTAGAAATTAGGGACTGATCCTACTCTGCCCACTACATAGCTATCATCTCTCTCTTTAAAATTAACAGTTCTAAGGAACTTAAAGCTTCTCCAACTTTAAGGTGTATATGGAGATTTTATTTAAATACAGATTCTAATATGGTAGGGTTGAGGCGATTCTCAAGATTCTGAATTTGTAACATATTCATATCCTCGGAGTTGATACAGGTACTAATGGTCTATAAATCACCTCTGGGTGGCAAGGACCTATACTAACCCCCATGCTACCCTTGATACCCACACAAAACACAAATGAAAAACACAACTCACAACCCCTACTCAAAATGCAGCGAATAGTTGATTCTGCCAAGCTAGCGAGTGACCAAGATGTGATAGAATTGCACTGGACACTTTGAGCTACAACTGTGGTTGCCATTTGCCAGAGGCAAGTTAAAATTGACCTACATTTGTACTGGAAACATTTCTCAATCCTGGGATTACTCCACACCTTGGGTGTTACTGTCCTACTGATGCTATGATGCCTACAGCTTTGTTTTTGTTTTTCTGTTTTGTTCAAAAATGTTTTAGCTATTCAGACCTTTTGTGGTTCCATATGAATTTTAGGATTATTTTTTCTGTTAATGTGAAAGTGTTGTTGGAATTTTGGTAGGGATTGCGTTGAATATGTAGGTTGCTTTGAGTGGGATGAACATTTTAATAATTTTAATTCCTTCAATCTATGAACATGAGATATTGTTCCATTCGTTTGTGTCTTCTTCAGTTTCTGTCATGGGTATTTTGTAGTTTTGCGTGTTCAGATCTTTCACCTCATTGCTTACATTTATTCCTAAGTATTTTATTATTTTTTGTAGCTATTGTGAATGGGATTTTTAAAATTTCTTTTTCACATAGCTCATTATTAGTGTATAGAAATGTTACTGATTTTTGTATGTTGGTTTTTGTATCCTGCAGTTTTACTGAATTCATTTATCAGTTCGAACAGCTTTTGGATGGAATCTTTAGGAGTTTTCTATACATACAAGATCATGTCCTCTACAAACCGAGACAATTTAACTTCTTCCTTTTCATTTGGATGCCTTTTCTTTCTTTTACCTGTTGCTCTGATTAGGATTTCCAGTTCTGTGCTGATTAGAAGCAGTGAGAGTGAGCATCCTTCTCTTGTTCCTGATCTTAGAGAAAAAGCCTTAAACTTTTTACTATTCAGTATGACATTAGCTGTGGACTTGTCATATATGCTTCATTGTACTGAGGTACATTCCTTCTAGACCTAATTTGTCGAGAGTTTTTACCTTGAAAGGATATTCAGTTTTGTCAAATGCCTTTTCTGCATCTATTGAGATGATCATATGGTTTTTGTCCTTCATTCTGTTAATGTGATGTGTTACTTTTACTGGTTTGTGCACGTTGAACTATCCTTGTATCCCTGGGATAAATATCATTTGATAATGATGAATGATCCTTTTGATGTGCTGTTGAATTCAGTTTGCGAGTATTTTGTTGAGGATTTTTACATCTATATTCATCAGGGATATTGGCCTGTAATATATTTTTTTCTTGCAGTGTCCTTGTCTGACTTTAGTATCAGGGTAATGCTGGCCTTATACAATAAATTTGGAAGTATTCCTTCTTCTGCAATTTTTTGGAGCACTTGGGAAGGGTTGGTATTAGTTCTTTAAATGTTTGGTAGAATTCAGCAGTGAAGCATCAGGTTGTGGGGCTTTTCTTTGATGGGAGACTTTTTATTACTGATTCAATCTTCTCACTTGTTATTGCTCTGTTCAGATTTTTTGTTTCTTCATGATTCAGTCTTACTAGGTTATATATGTCTAGGAGTTCGTCCATTTCTTCTAGTTTATCCAATTTGTTGGCACAACATTATTCATAGCAGGCTCTTATGAACCTTTATATTTCTGTGGTATCAGTTGTAATGTTTCATCTTTCATTTCTGATTTTGTTTATTTAGGTCTTCTCTTTTTAGTCTAACTAAAGCTCTATTGATTTTGCTCTTTTCAAAACATCAACTCCTAGTTTCCTTGATCTTTTCTACTGTTTTTCTAGTATATTTCATTTATCTCTGCTCTGATCTTTATTATTTCCATTCTTGTGCTAATTTAAACCTTAATTTCTTCTTCTTTTTCCAGTTTGTGGAGGTATGATGTTAGGTTGTTTATTTAAGATCCTTCTTTTTTGATGTAGGCATTTATTGCTATAAACTTCCATCTTAGAACTGCTTTTGCTACATCTCATATGTTTTGGTATGTTGTGTTTCCACTTTCATTTGTTTCAAAATATTTTTAAATTTTCCTTGTAATTTCTTCTTCAACCACTGGTTGTTTAGGAGCATGTTGTTTAATTTCCACATACTTGTGAATTTTCAAAATTCCTCCTATTGATTTCTAGTTTCATGCCATTGTGATTGGAAAAGATACCTGATGTGATTTCAATTTTTTTAAATTTGTTAACACTTGTTTTGTGGCCTAACATATAATCTATCTTATAGAAGGTTCTCTGTGCTCTTGAGAATATATTCTGCTTATGTTGTATAGAATGTTCTGTATATGTCTGTTAGGTCCATTTTGTCTAAAGTGTAGCTCAAGTTCAATATTTCTGTATTGATTTTCTCTCTGGATGATCTCTCCATTGTTGAAAGTGGAGGTATTAAGTTCCCTTACTATTATTGTATTGCAGTCTATCTCTCTCTTCAGGTCTATTAATATTTGCATTATATATTTAGATGCTCTGAGGTTGAGGGTATATACATTTGTAATTATTTTATCTTCTTGATGAATTGACTCATTTATCATTATATAATGACCTTTGTCTCTTTTTATAGTTTTTAACTTAGTCTCTTTTTTTATGTAGTCAATGTTCTCCTGAATTAAGGTCTATTTTATCTGATGTAAATATAGCTATCTCTGCTCTCTTTTGGTTTCCATTTGTATGAAATATCTTTTTCCATCCCTCCACTTTCAATTTATGTGTGTTCTTAAAGGCAAAGTGAGTCTCTTGTAGGTAGCATGTAGTTGAGTCTGCTTTTTTTCTTTTTTTAAATCAATTCAGCCACTCTTTTTCTTAGAGAATTTAATCCATTTACATTCAAGGTAATTATTAATAGGTAAGGACTTACTACTGTAATTTTGCTCGTTGTTTACTGGTTATTTTGTAGATCCTTTCTTCCTTTCTTGCTCACTTGCTGTTTACCTTTGTGGTTAGATGGTTTTCTCTAGTGGCATGCTTTGATTCTTTACTTTTTATCTTTTGTGTATCTACTATAGATTTTTGCTTAGTGGTTATCATAGGCTTACATAAAACATCAAATAGTTACAATGGGCTATTTTAAGCTGATAACAACTTAACCTTGATCACAAAAACCTCTACGCTTTTACTCCAGTGCCCCTCCAACTACATTTTATATGTTTGTGTAATAATTTACATATTTTTATATTGTGTATCCCTTAACAAATCATTGTAGTTGTTATTCTTTTTAATAGTTTGGTCTTTTAACCGCCCCCCCTTTTTTTTGAGATGGAGTTTCACTCTTGTCACCCAGGCTGGAGTGCAATGGCATGATCTCGGCTCACTGCAACCTTCACCTCCTGGGTTCAAGCGATTCCTGCCTCAGCCTCCTGAGTAGCTGGGAATACAAGCATGTGCCACCACACGCGGCTAATTTTTGTATTTTTAGTAGAGATGGGGTTTCACCAGGTTGGCCAGGCTGGTCTCAAACTCCTGACCTTAGGTGATCCGCCCACCTTGGCCTCCCAAAGTGCCGATTACAGGCGTGAGCCTCCATGCCTAGCCTTAACCTTCATACTAAAGATATAAGTGATTTACACACTACCATTTCAGTATTAGGGTATTGTGAATTTGACTCTGTACTTACTTTTACCAGTGAATTTTATACTTTTATATGTTTTCCTGTTACTTGTTAGCATCCTTTTCTTTCAGGTTAAAGAATTCCCTTTAGCATTTCTTGTAAGGTATGTCCAGTGGTGACAAACTCCCTCAGCTTTTCTTTTCTGGGAAGTCTTTATCATTTCCTAAAGGACAGCTTTGTCAGGTAAAGCATTATTGGTTTGCAGGGTTTTTTTTTCCCTGAAGCATGTTGACTATATCATCCCACTCTCTCCTGGCCTGTAAGGTTTCTTCTGAGAAATCCACTGCCAGCCTTGTTAGAGCCCTCTTTTATGTGATATGCTTCTTTTTTCTTGCTGCTTTCAGGATCCTCTCTTAGTCTTTGATTTTTGACAGTTTGATTGTAATATGGCTTGGTGCAGTCTTATTTGGATTGAATTTGATTGGAGACTTTTGACCTCCCTATACCTCAATATTTATATCTTTCCCCAGATTTGGGAAGTTTCTAACTTTTATTTATTTGTTTATTTATTTTCTTTGGTGCCCCTTATGCACCAGGAAGCTTTTATTTTTTTAGATAAGCTTTCTGGTTTTTTTTTTGTTCTTCTCTTCTGCTTCTTGGTCATCCATAATTTAAATATTTGTTCTCCTGATGCTGCCCCATAAATTCTTTAAGCTTTCTTCATTGTTAAAGTTTTTTCTTTTTTCTCCTCTGACTGTATACTTTCATATAACCTGTCTTTGAATTCACAGTTTCTTCTTTTGCTTTATTAATTCTGCTGTTGATGCTCTCTGTTGCACTTCACATTACATTCACCAAATTCTTCAGCTCCAGAATTTTCATTTTTGCATATGATTTCAATCTCTGTTTATTTTTGTATATGATTTTGATCTATTTTGTTCATTTATGTTTCTCTGATTTAATTGAATTGTTTTTTTGTATTTTTATTGAAATTCTCTGAGCTTCCTTATAGCAATTATTTTGAATTCTTTGTCAGGCAGTTTATATATCTCCATTTCTTTTGGGTCAGCTACTGGGAGATTATTGGTTTTTTGTTTGTTTTGTGGTGTGGCATACTTTGGATATTTGTCTCCTCTAAATCTTATGTTAAAATGTAATCTCCAATACTCAAGGTGGGACCTGGAGGTATTTGGATCACAGGGAGAGATCACTCATGAATGGCTTGGCAGCCTTCCCACAGTAATGAGTAAGTTCTTGCTCTATTAGTTCATGTGATATCTGGTTGGTAAAGAGTCCGGGACCTCCCCCCAATCTCTTGCTTCCTCTCACCATGTGACATGGCCCTTTACCTTCTACCATGAGTAATAGCTTCCTGAGGCCTCACCAGAAGCAGATACTGGTGTCATGCTTCTTGTACAGTCTACAGAACCATAAACCAAAATAAACTTCTTTTCTTTATAAATTACCTAGCCTCAGGCATTCCTTTATAACAATGCAAAATGGACTAATACAGAAAAATTAGTACTGAGTAGTGAGGTATTGCTATAAAGATACCTGAAAATGTGAAAGTGTCTTTGGAACTGGGTAACAGGCAGAGATTGAAGGAGTTTGGAGGGCTCAGAAGAAGACAGGAAAATAAGGGAAACTTTGGAACTTATTAGAGACTGGTTAAGTGGTTGTGACCAAAATGCAGATAGAAATATGGACAGTAAAGGCTAGGCTGACAAGGTCTCAGATGGAAATGAAAAACTTACTGGGGGCTGGAGCAAAATTCACCCTTGTTACTCCCTAGCAAAGAACTTAACTGCATTTTATCCGTGTCCTAGGACTTTATGGACAACTAAACTTAAGAGTGATGACCTAGGATATCTGGCGGAAAAAGTTTCTAAGCAGCAAAGCATTCCAGAAGTGGCATGGCTACTTCTAACAACCTACAGTAAGATATGGGAGCAAAAATCCTCAGCCTGTTCATGTGGTAGAGAAGGAAAGAGCATCTTCAGGAGAGGAATCCAAAGGAGAAGGATCCATGCAGGCTGGGGAGCAAACTCTTCTAGAGAGATTAGCATGACTAAAAGGGAGCCAAGTGCTAATATTCAGTAAAATGGGGAAAAGGCATTACAGGAATCTTCCAGGTCACCCCTCCCATCACAAGCCAGAGGCCTAAAAGGACAGACGGGTTTTAGGGGTCAGGCCCAGGGCACAATTGCCCTGTGCTGTCTTACCTTGCAATGCTACTCCCCACATACTTGCAGCACAGGCTCCAGCCTTGGCTCAAACAGCCCCAGGTACAGCTTGGGTCACCACTCCAAAGAGTGCAAGCCATAAGCCTTGGGGCTTCCACATGGTATTGGATCTGCAGGTGTGCATAATGCAAGAGTTATGGAGACTTGGCAGCTTCCACCTAGATTTCAGATGTATGGGGAATCCTGAGTGCCCAGGTAGAAACCTGTCACAAGGGCAGAGCCCCTACAGAGAGCCTCTACTAAGGCAATGATGAGGAGAAATGTGGGATTGGAGCCCCCATACAGAGTCTCCTCTAGGGGACTACCTAGTAGAACTGTGCAAACTGAGCTAACACCCTCCAGACCCCATAATGGTAGAGCCACCAGCAATATGCACTCAGCCTGGAAAAGCTGCAGACATTCTACTCCAACCCATGAAAGCAGAGCCACATGGCCTGCACCCAACAAAGCCATGGGGATGGAGCTGCCCGGGGCTTGGAGGGCCTACCCCTTGCACCAGTGTGCTCAGGATGTGGAACATGGAGTCAAGGGAGATTATTTTGGAGCTTTAAGGTTTAATGTCTGCCCTGTTGGGTTTTGGACTTGCATGGTACCTGTTGTTCCTTTCTTTTGGCAGATTTCTCCCTTTTGAAAAGGGACTGTTTACCCAGTGCTTGTATTATCATTGTATCTTGGAAGTGAATAATTTATTTTTGATCACACAGCCTCATAACTCTAAGGAATTTGCCTTGAATCTCAGATGAGACTTTCGAGTTGATGTTTGGAACAAGTTAAGACTTTGGGAGACTACTGGAAACGGATCATTGTATTCTGCGATATGAGAAAGACATGATGAGATTTGGGGGACCAATGAGGAATAATATATTTTGGATATTTGTCCCCTCCAAATCTTATTTTGCAATGTAATTCACAATGTTGGAGGTGAGGCCTGAAGAGAGGTTTTAGATCATGGGGGCAGGTCCCTCATGAATGACTTGGTGCCCACCCTATGGTAATGAGCGGGTTCTTGCTCTATTAGTTAATATGAGACCTGGTTGTTTAAAAGAGTATGAGACCTCCCTCTTTCTCTTACTCCCCCTATTGCCAAGTAATATATCTGCTCCCCCTTTGCTTTCTGCCATGTGGAATAGCTTCCTGAGGCCTCACCAGAAACAGGTGCTGGTGCCATGCTTCTTGTACAGTCTGAAGAACCATAAGCCAAAATAAGCCTCTTTTTGTTATATAAGCTACCCAGCCTCATGTATTCCTTTATAGCAATGCAAATGGACTAATACATGGCGATATGTATTCTTGGCTTTTCATGTTTCTTGTTGCCTTATGTTGAATTCTGCACATTTGTTAAGATCAATCCCTTCCAGACTTTATGGGCTAGTTTCAATGTGGAAAGACCTTCTTCTACTTGGAGGTGTGAAGGCACTTCCTGGATGCTGTGTAGCAGTTCTGACACCAGTGAGGGTGCCACTGTTGTCAGACAGTGTCTCTGTGCAGCTCTGTCAGCTCAGGTGTTGATGTTGCTGAAGATTGCAAGTGGCCAACAGTGTGGATGTCTGCAGTGGTGGTGAAGATTGTTGGGTTTCACTGGTAATAGCTGCTAAGATCTTCTCAACTTCTTTTTCTCCAACTGGGTAAGTTGTGGACAGGAGTTCCCTTTTGGTACTGGGTCCAGCTTGTGGGCCGATTTGCATTGGCAGTGGCATTAGTATTGATGAATGGTACCCTGGAGTAGCCATAGAGCTGAGATCTGAAGCTTGGGCATGTGTGGAGGGACTATGGCTCTGGGGTCTGCTGGTGCCTGGGAGAAGGCACCCCTACTGCTGCATTGGTAACAATATATGAGATGTGAGTGCTTGTGAAGTGTCAGCCAAGAATGGGAGCACAGACATAGTCAGAGTTACAGTGGCTCCGGGGTTAGGGCAGGGCCTAGTTCTCTGTGGCAGCTGAGCAGATGCCTGAAGTATAGGCATGTACATGTGCAGAGAGACCTTGATTCTGGGCTCTGGGGTGTAAGCTTGTTCTATGGCTATGTCTCTGGTGTCTGACACACGGGTGGGTGTAGTGCAGCCACAGAGCCTGGTGTCTGGAGTGTGTTCACTCGTGGGGCAGCTGTGGCTCGTGTGTCAGGGTCATACCCAAGGGAGGGTGGTGGCTGTAGTCTTGAAGCCACACAACAGCTGTTTCTTGGGCGGGGAAAACCCTACCCAAGGGTTTTTTTCTCTCTCAGATTCACCAGTGAAAATGGCTGTTGTTCAACCTCAAGGCAGAAGATGGTGTTACACCCTGAGAAACAGGCTGTTGGGGACAGGATGGCTTCTACCATATGGCTGATGCCAGTAGCCTCTGCCTTTCTTCTTTGTTTCTAACCATTTTCTGGCATCTCTGTTCTGCCAGTCTCACAAGCAATCTTTTCTGTGCAGGTATTCTCTGTTTTTTTTTTTTTTTTGAGATAGAGTCTCGCTTTATCCCCCAGGCTGGAGTGCGGTGGTGTGATCTCGGCTCACTGCAAACTCCGCCTCCTGAGTTCAGTGATTCTCCTGCCTCAGCTTCCTGAGTAGCTGGGACTATAGGCACACACCACCATGCCCAGCTAATTTTTGTATTTTTAGTAGAGATGGGGTTTCACCATGTTGACCAGGATGATCTTGATCTCTTGACCTCATGATCCGCCCGCCTTGGCCTCCCAAAGTGCTGGGGAATGGGCTTTTGAGCCCTCCCAAGGCTATTTTGGTTTGTGGATACCTGTCAATATTTGTTTTGCTGTTTGGGAGTGAAGGCTGTTTTCTTTTACTCCACTATCTTAGGTGACATCACTCTACATTTACTTCTTATATCTATTTTTCCTTCCTAGATTCACTTCTTGATGGAGTAATTCCTCTAAGAGCCCTTATATATAAGGCCTTCGTGTGATTAACTTTCTAAAGATGTGCCATCCAATATGTGACCATTGTCCATATGTGGCTATTGAACATGTGAAATGTGCCCTGGATTTCAAAAATGACATACATGCATGCACACACACACACACACACACACACACACAAACACACACAATGTAGGTTACTCATATCCCCATATATGCCAGCATTCTGCATTTTGCTTATACATTTTGCTTTTAATCTTTGTCAACAAAAAACTCATGAATTTCTTAGTATTCTGTGTGTTGTACAAACAGATGGGCTCTGAGCAGAGCCTGAGAGGCTCCCATAAGAGCAGAGACATGAGCTGTAATATGTAGACATTAAATCGCCTAAAAGCTGCACGGAGAGCTTTTCAGTGACTGTCGAGTCCTGGAAACTCTCCTGGACAATCAGCGCTGCTGTTCAAGTACACTCTGGGCAGAGATGATGTCACAGTACCTCTCCATAAAGGAGGACATTATTCTTACATTTAATAAATAAATTGGAATTAGGAAAACTGTAGGGGAATTTGGGTAGAGGTGGGAAGCAGGCATTCAGCAGTCAGGTGCACCTGGGCAGGAGGCTTGCTGTGGCCTGGGTCCACAGGCCTGAGGATGGGAGGAAGCTGAGATCAGGCCAGGGTGTCTCCAGGTGGGTGAGGCCACAGCGTGGTGCACTGAACAGGTGAATAAATATAGCCCTGCATAAATTACTCAGCAACGAAGTGGAGCTGGGGAAGATTAACCAGGATTACACTGTATTTATAAACATGGGTTTTAAGCTCATTGTTATTAAGAAATATAACTGAGAGGGTATCATGGAAGATTCACTAACTTTGGCAAAGTGGAACAAAAATAGTAACAGTATTTATTTTTTTTGTATCACTAATAAATGAGAGTATTACATATAAGTCAGAGATTGCAGCTTGAAGTTCAAAGCTAGGCATCAGAGTCCTGTAATTGTATGCAAAATTTTCTTTATATGTAAATACATGACTTCTTTTTCTAGGGAGAGGGTCTAAGACTCTAAAAGTTAAGAACTACTGATCGTGTGGTTTATATTCATGATAACTGAAGTTTTTCTCCATTTATGACAACTTAAAAATATCATTGGCAGTAGGGGGTGGGGCAGAGAATTCTCCCTCTAGAGGACAACATCACATCTATCCTTGAGTTCATAAAGGTAGTAGACTAAATATAAATAAATCTTCTTTTCTGGGCTCTATCATGTCAAGTTATCGCACCATGTAATGATTTGGAAATGTTCACAAGGAGCCTGAATGCATCCCCTGATCAGGCTGCTCACCCCTTAAGAGTTAAAGTCCGTGCTCCCCCGACTCCTGTATTTCTTAGCTCCATTTGCCTTGCAAGGTGCTCATCTACTTTCTCTTCTCTTCCTGTTAGCATCACTTTCTGATAGTGTCTGTGCATCTTCATTCTCCTAATCTGTTGTCTAATTTTACATGATCTTATCTGAGTGAGAGGCTAGGGATGGCAAAGCCTGGACAACACCCATTTTTCCTAAAGCTTAGTGACCTCACTAAAATCTTTTTCATTTCCTAGTTTCTGTTTGAGCCAAAAAGCTGACCACTGGATTAGTCTGGGCATTGCTATATTGTGTTAAAATTGAGCAGAACAGTTGTGGCAATAACCTCTGGAGATTAGAATATATTGCTTGAAAATCAAGCCAAAGAGTTGCTGTTTTTTTTCCTCATTTTAATTTCCAACCCTCTATTGCCTGCTTTATCTCTTCTCAGGCTTCTGAGTGCCGCTGGAGAAGGTCATAGCATCTTTCTGATCTTATACATTCATCATGTCTAATCCCAGCTCAGCCCACTCAGCAGTCTTGATGATTTATTTCATTACTCACATTGAAGATTTCAGACTTATGCTTTTCTAACTCCCTGTTGGAATGTAAGCTCTATAAGGGCAAAGCTTTTGTTTTGTTTCATTGAATCCTACACAGCCAGGAGAGAGCCTGTCACACAGGAGATGCTTAAGAAATACTTGAATGAATGAATTGCTGTCCAGAAAGAAACCTTATATTGGGAAATGGCAGAAGCTCATTGGGCCACCCAGAGTGGGGCGGAGGGTAGCACAAGGAGCCACTAAACTCTACCTTAAATTCTTCCCTAATAACATTGGTGAATTGGATTTCCTGAGATTAAGAACTTCTTTTCATTAAAGAAAGTAAAATTCCACAGAGGAGGAGAAAATATTTGCAACGTACAGAACTGACAAAGTGCTCAGATCCAGAATATGTAAAAAAAAACTCTAACAAAGTAGCAGAAGACTCACTTCCCAGATTCCCCACCTCCTCATATTGTTATATTGGTGATTAGGTTTTAACAATATGAATTTTGAGAAGACAAGCAGTCAGACCATAACACCTATTAAAAGATGCCGCATTCCCCTTGCTGAGATAGTAGAATGGTAATCAATAAATACTGAGGGAACTCAGAGACTCGCACCGGCAGGAGAACAGGGTGATAGTGGGGAGAAGGCCAGCAAGAAAACGTGAGCAAAGGAATCTGTGTCACAAATAAGTTCAAGGGAAGGTACTATGCCTGGATGTGCACATAGGCCAGATTTATGCTTCTTTCCACCCAAACATCTCAGTGTAGCAAAGAGTAACAGAGCATCATTGCCGCCAGCATACCCCACCTCCAGCCACAGGGTGGTTTTCTCCTCTCAGAATAGAAAGAATGTACGATCAGGTTTTACACTGAGTCATTCCATTCCCAGGGGCATGCAGGATATGGAGGCCTTCCTCTTACCTCAACTGCAAGAGGCCTTCCTCTTTTACTAATCCTCCTCAGCACAGACCCTTTACAGGTGTCGGGCTGGGGGATGGTCAGGTCTTTCCCTTCCCACGAGGCCATATCTCAGGCTGTCTCAGTTGGGAGAAACCTTGGACAGTACCCGGCTTTCCTGGGCAGAGGTCCCTGCAGCTTTCCGCTGTGCATTGTGCCCCTGGTTAGTCGAGACTGGAGAATGGCGATGACTTTTACCAAGCATACTACTTGTAAACATATTGTTAACAAGGCACATCCTGCACAGCCCTAGATCCCTTAAACCTTGATTCCATATAACACATGTTTCTGTGAGCACAGGGCTGGGGCTAAAGTTACAGATTAACAGCATCTCAAGGCAAGACAATTGTTCAGGGTACAGATAAAAATGGAATTTCTTATGTCTTCCTTTTCTACATAGACACAATAACAGTGTGATCTCTCTTTACCCTACAGTCTGTAAGAGAAAGTGCTTCTCACCAAAATCAGCCAGGAGCCCCTTTCAGGTTTTATCTAAAGAAAACCTGTCTTTAACCGCCAGCCACATTTCCTGTTTCTTTCTTCTTTCTTTAACTCTTACACTTTCTTCTTTCGCTTATTAAACTTTTGCTCCAACCTCACCCTTGGTGTTCTCGCTCCTTGCTTTTCTTGGTTGTGAAACAAAGAACTTGGAGTCATGCCTTGGGCAATGAGATTGCTTCACCTGGATGGATGTGATGACTCGGTATTGTAAAGATGTCAGTTTTCCCCCAAAGTGGTCGACAAATTCAGTGTGATTTCAATCACAATAAAAACTTGACATATTCTAAATTTTTATGGAAGAATAGAGTTCTTCTAGCAGCAAAGTTAGAGCAAAGAGGGTGTTCCTTATGCATTTAAAAATATTCTAATAGCTATAATGATAAAATGAGGCATGATTTTTCCAACAACAGACAAATAAATCAAACGAATAGAGGAGTGAACCCAGTATTTATGAAGATTACATGTAAGATCAAGGTATCATCTAATGAGGAAAGCATGAGCCTTTTAATAAATAGTATTTTGGAAACTGCCTTACTATATGGAGAAAGCTAGGTTCCTATCCTTCACAGTGTTTTAAAAACAAAACAAAACCCCAAAACAAAAACTCTAAATGGATTAAAGAGGCACACATGAGAGGCAAAACAATATATATGTTTGTGACTCAGGAGTGCAGAAGAATCTCCTTAACAAACCCTCAAATTAGAAAGCATACAGGACACTGGGCACGGTGGCTCATGCCTGTAATCCCAGCACTTTGGGAGGCTGATGCGGGCAGATCACCTGAGGTCAGGAGTTTGAGACCAGCTTGCTCAACATGGCGAAATCCCGTCTCTACTAAAAATACAAAAAAAAAAAAAAAAAAAAAAAAATTGCCGGGCATGGTGGCGGGTGCCTGTAATCCCAGCTACTTGAGAGGCTGAGGCAGGAGAATCACTTGAACCCGGGAGGCGGAGGTTGCAGTGAGCCGAGATGGTGCCACTGCACTCCTGCCTGGGGGACAAGTGTGAAACTCCATCTCAAAAAAAAAAAAAAAAAAAGAAAGATACAAGAAAAAAAAAGAAAGCATACAGGAAAAAAAAAATGGGAAGAAAACGATCAGCAAAAATGACAGGCAGGTACCAGGACAGGGAAATGTATTTGCAGTATCTAAAACCTATGAGGAATTAACATCTAGAGCATTCCAAGAGCTTTTTTATATCAGCAATATAAAGACAAAAAGTCTAAAGGAAATCGCAAAGTCTATACAGAAAATTCAGATGGAGAAACCCCATTGCTTGAAAAGAGGTGTTTAATCATAACACTAGTCAAAGAAATGCAAATTAAAGCAACATAATACCAAATCACACCCATCACATTGAAAAACAATAGGAAGTCATCTAATACTGAATTCTGGGGAGTCTGCAAAGAAGAAAAACCTGCAGGCATAGGTGGTAGGAGGGTAACGGATACAGCCTTTCTGGAGATCCATCTGGCAGGATTCTGAGATTAAGTATGTGTACCTCCTTTGACCCAGCAATCCCACTCAAAGATGTAATCCCCCAGAGTAATAGTTGCTATAAGGGTGTTCAATTTAGTATAATTTAGCCCCAATATCTAGATTATTGCCTGAAGGATAAAAGCACTCAACAGATGTTTGTGAATCAGGAAATGAATGAATGTCACAAAGAGAGCAGAAAGTAAGCAATCTGCACCTGTAGGCATGGATAAGTAAAATGTGGTATATCCCTATGAGGGAAGAGGATACTACAGTAGTTACAAGGAGCAAACTGTATTTATGTGGAGCCACCTGGATAGACTGCAAAAGCACCTGTCAAAGGAAGCAAGTGAAAAACGGAATCAGATTTGTTGAAAAAATCCCATTCATGTAATTTTTAAAACCACACCCCTCAAATTATTTTTTAAAAAGTTATACATCCAAACAAATATTAGAAGGGAAATTGGGAGGACGCATAAGCACTAGATTGGATGCTCCATAACATCGACAGAATAATGGAGAGAAATAATGAGATACCAAAGGGGCATCTTGCCTGAAACTGTTACCAGAAAGGGGTCCCAATCTGGACCCCAAGAGAGGGTTCTTGGATCTCACGCAAGAAAGAATTCAGGGTGAGTCCATACTGTAAGGTGAAAACAACTTTATTAAGAAAGTAAAAGAATAAAAGATGGCTATTCCATAGGCAGAGCAGCAGCTTGGGCTGCTGGACTAAGGATATATATTTCTTGATTATATGCTAAACAAGGGGTGGGCAATTCTTGGAAATGAGTGTTCCTCCCCCTTTTAGACCATATAGGGTGACTTCCTGATGTTGCCATGCCATTTGCAAACTGTCATGGCACTGGTGGGAGTGTCTTTTAGCATGCTAATACATTATAATTAGTACATAATGAACAAATAAGACAATCAAAGGTCACTTTCATCACCATCTTGGTTTTGGTGGGTTGGGGCTGGCTTCTTTATCACAACCTGTTTTATCAGCCAGGTCTTTATGACCTATATCTTATGCCAACCTCCTATCTCATCCTGTGACTAAGAATGCATAACCTCCTGAGAATGCAGCCCAGTAGGTCTCAGCCTTATTTTACCCAGCCCCTATTCAAGATGGAGTCTCTCTTGTTCAAATGCCTCTGACAAAAATGTGCTAATGTTCCAGGAAGTGACCATGAGGAACTCAGTTCTGTGCACCTGAGCTCCTAAAAACCACCCACCTCCCAAAATTTCAGACCAGCTCTTGGTACAGAAAGTGGTCAGAGGAGGATTCTATTCCTTGTTTCTTGCCTCCCAACTCCCTTTCCTCCCTGCCTTGAATAACCTCTTTCTCCCTCTGTGCATCCATTTACCTGACCAGTCCCCACTCCCAACAAAGTGCCCAGTGCTCTGTGTCTGTAACACAAGGTGAAAGCCTTTGGGAGCAGAAAAGATAGTTTTCAGACAAAATTCAGTCTGCAACATGAGAGAGCAGCAAAATTAAAGCCCCAAGCGCTTTGTCCAGAGTTATTCTCTTTAAAGGAGGAACTTGGCAACTTGGCATGCACATGTTGCTCTCATGGAAGACAGAGAATGACAAAGTAAGCGATGAGTTTGAAAGGTTTTTACCCTTGTACAAAAAACAACTAAGCACCTTCTGTTTCCCTAGTTCAGTGCTGAGGAAAGAGAAATTTACTCAGGTACATTATCAGTCACCCTGTCTGCTGTAGCATAAGGAATATAGACCTTGGAATCAGACATTCCAGCATTGGCCTTGGGCTCTGTCATGCACAAAAAGCCATGTGACCTTCAGCAAATTGAGTCATTGATGATACTCAGTTACTGTATCTTTAAACTGGGGCTATTTATACCTATCTCAAGGACTGGTGAGGGAGTTAGGGTATGTCAAACTGGGAGCCCAGTGCCAAGATCTCCTTTAGGAATTACAGCCTGTTGGGGAAATAAGACACATGCTTTGAAACTTAAGCAACCATCTTGCTGGATATAAAACCAATATACAAAAAATTCAATAGTATTTCTATGTGCAAGAAACAGAAAGTAAAATTTTAAAAGTACTATTAAAATAGCGTATTATTCATATATAAATATAACAAAATATGCATGATTGTATATTGAAATTTGCGAAACATTATAGAAAGGAAACTTAAATAAATGGAATGATTCAATATATCATGCATCAGATCACTCAGTATTATAAAGCCATCACTCAAAGCAATCCCAATCAACATCCCAGCAAGTTTAATCTTTTTTTGTTGTTCTTGTCAGAAATTGACAAGTTGGTTGTAAAATTCATATGGAACTGCAAGAACCAAGAACAGCCAAGGCCATTTTGAAGTAGAACAAACCCCGAGGATTACCAGATGAAAAGCTACAATAATTAAGACAGTATGGGCTGGGCGCGGTGGCTCACGCCTGTAATCCTGTTACAAATAAAGTTTTGGTGCCGCAAAAGAAATAGCACTTGAATATAAAATTTTCTTTTTAATTCTCAGCAAGGCAAGGTACTTCTATAGAAGGGTGCACCCTCACAGATGGAGCAATGGTGAGCGCACACTTGGACAAGGGAGGTGAAGGGGTTCTTATCCCTGATACACGTGGCCCCTGCTGCTGTGTCGTTTCCCCATTGGCTAGGGTTAGACTGCACAGGCTAAACTAATTCCGATTGGCTAATTTAAAGAGAGTGACGGGGGTGAGTGGTTTGGCAGGAAAAATGGTTATGACAGAGCAGGTAATCGGAATGAGTCAGGGTGGAGCAGGTAATCGGAATGAGTCAGGGTGGAGCAGGTAATTGAAAAAGGTTGCTTTATGACGAAGTTCAGTTAAAAGTAGAAGGCAAAGAATTGAACATATGACATATTGATTCTTTGAAAAGAAATTTAGGACTCATATCAAACAATCCCAACACTTTGGGAGGCCAAGGCGGGTGGATCACCTGAGGTTAGCAGTTCGAGACCAGTCTGACCATCATTTTGAAACCCTGTCTGTACTAAAAATACAAAAATTAGCTGGGCGTGGTGGCACATGCCTGTAATCCCAGCTACTTGGGAGAATGAGGCAGGAGAATTACTTGAACCCGTGAGACAGAGGTTACAGTGAGCTGAGATCACACCACTGCACTCCAGCCTGGGGGACAGAGTGAGACTCTTGTCTAAAAAAAAAAAAAAAAAAAAAAAATAGCTTGGTAGGCTCAAGGATAGAAAAACTCCACAATGGAACAGGATAGAGAGCCCAAAACAGACCTAGAAAAGAGACACCACGAGCAGTGGGGGAAAGGATAGCCTTCCCAGCCATATATGCATGGACCAAAATGAATCTCAATTCTTACCTCACACAATGTACAATGGATTGCAGATTTAAACAAGAAAGATTTTTACCTTTTAAAGGAAAACATGATCAAATGTATTCATAATCCTGAAGTAGGCAGATTTCTTAAGGAGGACATAAAATCACTAACCATAAAAGAAAATCTTATAAATCTGGACTAAATTTGGATAAAATGAAAGATGCTCATCATGACACACCATTAATAGAATGAAAAGGCAACCTACTTCTTCTATAAAGTAGTAGAAGATATTTGCACTACATGTGTCAGAAAAAAGACTTGTATTCAGAATATATAAAGAACTCTTACAAATCAACATGAAAAAGACAAGCAACCCAATATATAGGTGGGCAAAACACTCAGACAAGAGCTTCACCAAAAGGGTTATCCAGATATCCAATAAACATAAATAAGCTCTACCTCACTGGACATCAGGAAAATGCAGTTTAAAACCAATATTAGACATCAATATTACATACTTACCAGAACTGCTAAAATGGAAAAGAGAAAATACTAAGTGTTGCTAAGATTGTGAACAACCGGATTTTCATATTTTGTTAAGTATACATTTATTCAACCACTTTGGAAAACTGACAGTTTCTACTAAAGCTGTGGTTTTGCTTTCCACATTTTCAGTTATCCATGGTCAACTGCAGCGCAAAAATATTAAATGGAAAATTCCAGAAATAAATAACTACTAAATTTTAAACTGCATGCTATTCTAAGTATTGTGAAGACATTTCTCACTGTCCTGCTCTGTCTTGCCTGGGACGCGAATCATCCCTTTTCCCAGCATATCCATGCTGTTTACACTCCTTTCCAGTTGCCACTTAGTGGCCATCTTGGTTTTCAGTCTGACTGTCGAGGTATCGCAGTGCTCATGTTCAAGTTACCCTTATTTTATTTCATAATGGCCCCAAAGTGCAAGAGTACTGATGCTGGCAATTTGGATATGCCAAAAGGAAGCTTTAAAGTGCTTTCTTTAATAGAAAAGGTGAAAGTTCTTGACTTAAAGAACAAGAAAAAAAGTATGTTGAGGTTGCTAAGATCTACAGTAAGAACAAATCTTCTATCCATGAAATTGTGAAAGAAGAAAAAGAAATTCATGCTACTTTTGTTGTTGCACCTCAAACTGCAAAAGTTACAGCCACAGTGCATGATAAGTGCTTAATGAAGGCAGAAAAGGCATGACATTTGTGGGTGGAATACACGAACAGAATCATGTTCAGATTGACAGCAATTGGGTTCAGTATTATTCCAGGTTTCAGGGACCCACTCTTCTTACCTAACAGGAATGTGTGCACATGTCCACCAGAAGACATGTATTGGGAGGTGCATTGTAGTGCTATTCAAAACAGCCTCAATCTGATAAGTACTTGAAAGCCCTTCTCAGCAATGAGAATGAACAAACTACAGCTATGCACAAAAAGATGGATGAAATTCACAAACATAAGGTTGAGGGGAAGAAATCAACCATGAATGAACTTCACAGACATTCTGTGGGCAAAAGCAGACAGACTCAAACAAGTACACATTGTATTACTCTATTCATGATTCCATTTACAGAACACATAAAAACAAGCCAAGCTAATCTGTAGTGCTGGAAGTTAGAAGAGGGATTACCCTCAATGGGGAAAGGTGGTAGCTGGAAGGGGGTATACGTTGAAGGATAATGGAGGTGTTAGTTATGATCTCCTTTCTTGAGCTGGGTGCTGGTCACACAGGTGCATTTGTGAACATTCACCATGCTGCATACTCAAAATACTTGCACTTTGCTGTGTGTCTATTATACTTCAGTTAAAGGGTTTTTATTATCAACATTAAAATTAATGTCTTTGGTGAAGCTTCTGAGTACTTTGCCCACTTATGTATTGGGTTGTTTGTCTTTTCATGTTGATTTGTAGAAGTTCTTTATATATTCTGAATAATAGTCTTTGACACATGTACTGCAAATATCTTATACTACTTCGTGGGTTGCCTTTTCATCCTTTTAATGGTGTGTCATGATGAGCAGTTAAATAATAAAGAGAAGTTGTCTGAAATGCTGACCATCAAGAACCAAAGGGGCCAGGTGTGTTGGCTCATGCCTGTGATCCTAGCACTTTAGGAGGCTGAGGAGGGAGGATTGCTTGAGGCCAGAAGTTTGAGAACAGTCTGAGTGAGACCCCATCTCTACAAAATTAAAAAAAAAAAAAAAGGCTGGACACGATGGCTCATGCCTGTAATCCCAGTGCTTTGGGAGGCCGAGGTGGGTGGATCACTTGAGGTCAGGAGTTCAAGACCAGCCTAACCAACATGGTGAAACCCCATCTCTACTAAAAATATAAAATTAGTCGGGTGTGGTGTTCATGCCTGTAATCCCAGCTACCTGGAAGGCTGAGGCAGGAGAATCATTTGAACCTGGGTGGCGGAGGTTGCAGTGAGCAGAGATTGTGTGCCATTGCACTCCAGCCTGGGCGACAAGTGAGACTCTGTCTAAAAAAAAAAAGGAACTTAGCCAGGCATAGTGGTGTATGCCTGTAGTCCTAGCTACTGGAAAGGCTGAGGCAGGAAGATCACTTAAGCCCAGGATTTCGAGGCTACAGTGAACTATGATTTCACCACTGCACTCCAGCCTTGGCTTCCTGAGTGAATGAGACTCTGACTCAAAAAAAAAAAAAAAAAAAAAAGAAAGAAGAAAGCCACACACACACACACACACACACACACACACACACACACACCAAAAAAAAAAAACAAAACAAAACAGGATGAACACAGGCTTAGATGCTATGAAAGTTTGGAGTAGAAGTGGTTGGTGTGGCCTGGAGAGGTCCCAGGGGTCTTCTTGGATAGGAGCATTTAAACAGCCTTGAGGGCTTTTGATGAAGGGAAGAAGCCCTTTGGCTCTATGTAAAAAAATAACCTTTGAAAAATAGGTTGATGATTATAACTGGTTCTTTCGATGCAGGGAAATTTCTGACCAGCCTCGTGTAATTTTGAAGAAAATGATTAAAAAGAAATTTCAGTGTGATGTGGTAGGTACAGAGAGAAGCATACTTTCCTCTGTGAGCCTAATAAAGTTACTCACTTCTCTGAGCTGCAGTTTCTGCATCTGTAAAATGAAAAATAATGCCTCTTCAGAGGGTTATGAGTGTTAAATATGATGGTTGGCATGAAACTGTTAGTGTGGAAAAAAAGAACCCTAGACAGCCTTTATTAGTCCCTAAATAAACAGTGTATTGTATATCGGGTTTAACCATAGCAAGCCTTTTCTAGATCTCCCACCTCCAAGAACCTGTGGGTGACATTGATAAATATATAAACAGCTAACTTCAGGCTTCCGCTCTCCAGATTGGAACAGTTGTTCATCAGCACAAAGGCTGAGGGTGTTGGTGCTGGGATGATTCACAGAGAGAAGTGGAGTGGGTCTATGGTCATTATGCAGTTTATTACTTAATTCCCTTTGGCTGCTCCATGCCCTGCCTAGAGATGAAGCAGCACTTTTATTTGAGGACAAGAAGCTGGCTCACAGTGGGTTTGTGTGTCCCCCATGCCAAATGTGCTTGCTTTGTCAGACTCTGCAAGGTTGCTCCCTCCTGCTGAAATCCTGGAGGTGCAATGTCATGAGTTACAGGAATCCCAGGATACAGGAGATGGAGAATGAACTCAAAACCTTTACTGCCAAATTTGCTGCTCCTTGGGATTGTACCACCTCTTTCCTGGTCTCCTGGTAGCAGCCTCATATTAGACTTAATTATGCTAAATTATTTAGGCTAAATTATCTCCCTGTACCTAGACTCTTCTTATCATGCCCTCTACCAAGTAAGATCTTCTACAACAGGAATCTGAACAGGGCACTGCCCTGGGGATAAAGTGCCAGCTCCAGGGCAGACTATACAAGTTTCTCTGAGATCTGGCCTTGTAGAGTGCTGGAGGCAGAGAGACCATCAGGATGGTTGTTGTGTCCTGAGAGAGGGACGATGGTGGTTCAAACAAAGGCAGTGGCAGCCGGGAGGTAAGAAATGAGCTGCTGAAAAAACTATTAAGGAAGTAGAATCAATAGGAAGTAAAGAATAATCTACAGGAAGTAAAGTCAAATCAACAGGAAGTAAGGTTGAATCAATAGGAAGTAAAGAAGAGTCTGCAGGAAATAAAGTCAAATCAACAGGAAGTAAGGTTGACTCAACGGGAAGTTGAGTAAAATCAATGGGAAGAAAATCAGCTGATTGTTGTGTGTGTGTGAGTGTGTGGTTGAGGGCTAGGCAGGGGGATGAAGAAGGGAAAGGAGGAGTAGATTTTCTTCCCAGATGCTTTCCTGGAAACAGTGTGGTTGGGGATGCTATTTACTGTAATGGGAGCATAGTGAGAGAAGCAGGTTTTCTTAACCTGCCCCCACCATCCCCTACCCCTGGCCCCCCAGCACCCCAGCCACAGAACCTGAGAGAAAAGTTCACAGTGGGGTTGTTTAGTTGAGAATGTAATGCCAGAAATCAGGAATGAGGGCCTTGGGAGGTGAAATGGGAAGGAGAGACCCAAGGCAAGGAGACATTATTCAACTGGCCACCACCATGAGTGACTGGTTGCTCAATCCCATGGAACTTCTGAGTCACTTTATGAAACGCATCTCAGGACTGTCCTCAGATGATGAAAGTGGAAGGAAGGCATTAGCTCCTATCCCTGTTGGCCCAAAGCTGCCCATAGAGTTAACATCCTACACTTTTGATTGCATGGATCTGAGGGCCCAGGAGTGTGACACCCTGAGAGAAGCCCAGGGGTAGGGCACAAGAGACATACAGCCCTAACCTGAGAAAAGGCACTGCCAAATGGCACCTGCGCAAAGCCAGTTGAAGCTCGGTGGAACAGGCCATCACAGCAGTGGCTGGAAAGAGATGGCGTAGAGGGCAAGAGCGGTGGACTCCATCTCAGAGAGCTGTGTGAGAGTGATCCAACATCCAGTTCAGAGATGAATGTACTAAAATATAAAATGATACCTGAACTTGAGAAGCCCACAATCTTGGAAGGAGGACATTTAAACACAAGTTACACAGCAAGGTGGGGAGAGTGCCGTTGCTGCTAATTGCTGTGAATATAAATATCTATTTACTTTTACGGGGCACTGCTTTAAGTATATGCTTTACTGTAAATTCTCTCATTTAATTCTCACAGCCATCCTATCAGGAGTTAATATTATCCCCAGTTCACAGATGAGGACATGGTGATACATTGTCCAGAGTCATAAGCTAGTAGGTGGTACAGCCAAGATGCAAACTGTTTAAACCCTTTGGAATGATCAAAGGAAGTAGATACTGGATCTGATGAGTTGGAGGGGGCAGATCAGCCATGAGTTGGTTATAATGACACTCCTTTGTATATAGTTAGTGCCATTTTTGCAAAGGCATTTACAAATATGGTTTAATTGATACTAATAATACAAGGCAGGAGTCATCGTTGTCATCTTTATTTGATGGAAGAGGAAACAAAAGCACAGAAAGGTGAAGCATCTTTACCCAGATCATTCAGAGGATCAGCAGTGGGGCCACTGCCGGCCACTGGGCAGCTGATGGCTAGTAAATCTCCCTTCTGCACTCTGCTTTGGAAGAAGGATGACCAGAAAGGCCTGGGCCCATTGGCATTCCAGCACTGTCCTCAAGTGAGTCAGGTACCACTATACAGACTCAATTTTACCTTCGGTAATTTCCTCCTTCTGTAAAGATTTATTTTAGGCTATAGGGGGGCAAAAGGATTCCTCACAGTTAAAAGCATTTGCCGCTCATACCAATGTCCACTATGATCTTCACCCTGATTCTGGACATGGAGGGAAAGGTTTGTTTCCTTTAGACCACATCTCCTGGGCCGGCCATGGGAGATGGTGACAGAAGCTTGTGACAGAAGCTACATTCTAGAGAGCTGAGGATATTTGAAGATATGTGAGTCAAAAGTGGGAGTAGAGAGCCTGGCCCAGGGCAGGTGGGCCAGGCCTGAAGTGAGACCATGAAATAGACAAGCCCACAGAATCACCCCAAGAACCAGGGGGACAAGGGTGTGGCGGGAGGACACTGTCCCTACCTCTGAGGATGGAGTTTGAGGTCTGTCTTTTCAGCCTGCTCACAGCAGAGGCCCTGAGGACTCATTTCCTGGCTCTGAGCCCCACTTTTCCTGTTTGGCTTATTGGTTAAAGGTGTGGACTGTGGAGTCAGCTTCATGTGGGACTGACTCCTCCACTAGCTGAGGGGCCTTGGACAAAGCACCTAACGTCTCACTGCTTGGTTTCCCCTCTGTAGATAGGAGATGTTGATAAGGGCAGTCAGGAGGATTGGATGTGTTACCTTAGGCTGAGTGCTGAGGAAGAGGCCTAGTGTACAGGGCATTGAGAAGTCACGTCTGAAATATGAGACATCACTCAGCCTTGCCCCGAGGCTGTTGTGAGATCAAATGAACACTGTAAACTGCAAGGCAGGCAAGGCAGGCAAAGCTACCACGTGGGAGACACTCATGCTCCTCTACACGGAGCCCTCCCCTTTTAAAACCTGCCCTCCAAAGAGGCTCTGGAATCAGCCTTTTGAGCCACACTCCCTGTCATCCAGCTCTCAGCATACTTCCTCCAGCCTCCACACCTGCCACCTGCCACCTTTCTCCTTGGGATCCCCTCTGCCCAGGCCAGCTGTGCACGGAACCCACAACCATGAGCTGCCGGCCCTGGCTCTTGACCACCAGGCTCAACACCCTCCTTTGACCAAAACACACAGTGTGAGCCTGTCTGGGGCCCCACTCACTCAGGACTCTAACATTAGAGTCCTCTGATGCTTGTCTTAGTCCAGAGACCGAACCGTTCATCTTTGTATTCTCTGAAGTGCTGAGATCAGTGCCAGACCCAGAAGAGATGGTTCAGAAACAGTAATCATGATAGTGTGTGTGTGTGTGTGTGTGCGTGTGTGTGTGTGTGTTGGAGAGGGTGGTATGCACAAGGAGCTAGGCTGCATGTAATCCTCTCAGCAGCCCTATGAGTTGCGGACAATTAATATCTCTATTTTATAGGGGAGGGTACTGAGTCATGCACAGGTAAGTGACTTGCCCACAGTCCTACAGGTAAGCAAGAGAACAGAGATTCCAGCCTAGGCAGTCTAGCCCTCAGAGTTGTGCTTTAACCTCCAGCATGTGTGGCCACTCTGGATGAATGGGCATTGGGCTGGATGTTGGATTGGGATTGGATTGGTGGGACATATTGCCCATAGCAGCTCATCAAGCAAGATTTTTGTTGTCCTAACTCCCACCCCCACCTCCACCCCACCCTCTGAGTTATTCTGCAGGCAATTTGACCCCAAGGGGACCCTAAAATGTACTGTAACCCCAATTTGACCCCAAAGGATATTATTGATTTTACTACTCTCTGCAGATGGAGCTGACACATCTGACTACTCTTCCAAGGACTTGGAGCCTATTTTTCCTGGAAGAGTGGATGCATTTGCTGTGAGTCTTACTCAGCTCCTTGGTCCAGTTGCCTTCCAGTGTGGCATAAGGGGTCCAGACTGTGTCCACTGCCCTCAGATACCCATATCTACCTCTGGAGGAGCCAGAAGAAATTACTCTGCACCAGATCCTGGGGGCAGAGGATGGAGAGGATGCTTAAGAAGAATCAAAATGTACCCACCCAAACCCTCTGGAGGTGCTTAAGAGAGAAGCCATTGGAATCACACCTATTGCTTCCTGGCTTGTAATCTTGGGCAATTTGGCTGGCGCCTCCCAGGGTCTTAGCTTCCCCATCTATGACTTGAGATGATTCCTAAGGTTGTTGTTTTTAGTAGCCTTTGAGCCCCATTGTTCTGTCTTCTGACCTTGCATTGGCTCTTAGATCCCCAGGGCCCTTTCCCTTTTCTGTCTGCAAAGGTAGGTAGCACAGCTGGCTGGCTCTTCAATGCAATGTGCACTGCTACAGTGAGGACCCTGGACAACACCTTTCATTGCACTAAATAGCATCACAGTTTTTTTTTTGTTTAATTTATTTATTTATTTATTTTTTAAGAGGAGCATAAAAAAGTATAAGTACCTTGGCAGGATGTTGACTTTGCCTTCCTAATTAAATCTAGGGGAGAATCCTTGTGGAAAAGATGCCAGCAAAATGTATCTCTGAAATTAATTATGATAGCTGAATCAGCATTGGATGAGCAATATCTTTCCTCTTATCTTCCTCTGACTTGGATGATTTTAAAAATTCAGTTATTCATTCTCTCAGCAAACACTTACCATGCTTTTGGGCACTGTGGTTAAGCACTGGGGATTTGGAGATAATAATAATCAGGATGCCTGGCGTTGGGTGCCAGAAGCTAGAGGAGGCATTCTTCATGCATCATCTTATTTAATCCTAACTCTATGAAGCAGGTGCTCTCACTACCCCCATTTTTACAGATGAAGAAGCAGGATGAACACGATTAAGTAACTTATCTAACATCACCAATGGTCAAAGGCAGACCCTAGATTCAACCCAGTTATTCTTCAGCAAGTTGGTAGGGGAACTCCTTACGCTTTCTTTGAAATGGAGCAATTGCCATTTTCTCATTCTTATGCAGTGTGTCAAAACCACTCTAGAAACTCTTTTATTTTTATATCAGGAGTGCAACAGTACTCTTTCTGGGCAGTTATAGCCTCAAGACAAATCTCCTAGCACCCCCTCTTAGTCTAACTGCCATCCCTAAGTCTCTTCTGTCAAGTAAGTCTGTGGCAACCCCCGTAGAGAGACAAAGAGTAAATGCATTAGTGCATCAAAATCTCCCATGTGTTGAGATAAAGGTCTCTATAACATATAAGGCAGACACAAAGGAGAGTCAGCTCCACTTAAGATGATGGCCTGGGCACAAAACTTATGTTAGTTCATATAGGTAACATCAGCTGCTGTAACAACTAAAGTCCCAAGTTCCAGTAGATTAACAAATGCAAATTGATGTCTCAGTCCATTGTGGGTATGATGGCTAATTTTATGTGTTGACTTGACTGGGCTAAGCCATGCCCAGATAGCTGGTTAAATATTATTTCTGGGTGTAGGTGTGTCTGGAAGGTTGTTTCTGGAGAGATTCTCATTTGAATCAATAAAGAAAATTGCCTTCACCAATGTGGGTGGGCACCATCCAATCTGTCCAGGGCCCAAACAGAACAAGAAGGTAGAGGAAGGGTGAATTTGCTATCTCTATTTGAGCAGGGACATCCATCTTCTCCTGCCCTCAGACATCAGCACTGTAAGTTCTTAGGTCTTTGGATAGACCAGGACTTACACTATCAGCCTCCCAAGTTCTGGACCTTTGCATTGGATTGCAACTTATACTGTGGGTTCTCTTGCTTCTCAAGCCTTCTGACTGAGACTGAATTATATCACTGGCTTTCCTGGTTCTCCAGCTTGCAGACAGAAGATGGTGGGACTTCTGAGCCTCCATAACATCAAATTAATATGTGTGTGTGTGTGTGTGTGTGTGTGTGTGTGTGTGTGTGTGTGTGTGTGTGTATCATATTGATTTTGTTTCTCTGGAGAATTCTGATGAATATGGTGGGTACTCTTGTTTGGAGGTGGTCATCCCCAAGGCCATCCAGGTAGCCATGTCCCTCTCATCTTGTGGCTTTGCAATCCCATGGGGTCTCACAGTCCTTTGCTGGATCCTCTGTATCTGGGTAGGAGACAGGGAAAGGACAGGGGCCAACCATAGGAGGCTCCCATGGGCCAGGCTGTGAGTGAGTCCCATCACTTCTGACTCATAGTCCAATGTCCAGAATGCAGAGACCCTGGCTTCAGAGGAGGCTGGGAAATAGGGTATGGCTATGTGTGCAAGAGGAAAGGGAGCAGGTTTGGAGAGCAACTGGTCAGTTTCTGCCACAGGCCTCCACACTCAATCCATCCCATTTTCCTGAAATTGCTTCTCTGCAAGTGTCTGTTCCCATTACAGTGTGCCCTTAAAGGGCAGAGGCCACTTTTCACTGGAATCCCATGCTGGAACACAAGGTCTTGGGCATAAAAGGAGCTTGACACATTTCTATTGGCTGACAGATGAAGGCATCAGTGAAGACTTGGGTTGGATATATAATGTTATATATCCATCCAGTTTTATATAATTTTGGATTAGCATTGTGATTTGCAAATGTGATGCTTACTTGTGTACATGAAGGGTTCTGATTTGGAAAAGAAGGACCTTCTTCCATTGGAAACCAACTTGTTCTTTCGATCAAGCAAGACTCAGCACCGTCATTCATGGGATGGCAGACAGACTATGTAAACTAGCCTGTGTGTTATTTTGGCAATAATAAAATAGGATGGCAAACATCATCATTCTATTCAAAAGAGAGAACCTTTTCTTTGGCAATGACTGTCATTATTGGGTTCATTATGTGGTTGATCAGGAAGCCCCCTCAAGAGTCATTTGCCATTAAGGAAAGACAGGCAAAGGCTAGTGGGGGTGACAACAGCTGCCAAATCTTTTTAAAAGCCCTGAAATATCTAGACCAGGGTTCCTCAGCCTCAGCCCTACTGACATTTTGGGCGGGATCTCTCTTGTGGGGGTGTCCTGTGCATTGTAAGGTGTTTAGCTGTGTCACTGGCCTCTACCCACTGGATGCCAGTAGCTGCTCCACAACCGTTATGACAATCTAAAATCTCTCTAGACATTGTCAAACACCTCCTGGAGGTCAAAATCACTCTGGGCCGAGAATTACTCATCTAGAGAGTTCCTGATGAAGGATGCAGAGGCAAGGACCACATTTCCCAGCTCTCTCTCACACCCTCTGTAAGGAGCAGCATGGATCACCAAGCACTATTGTTTCTGACAAGGCGTTTGCACACTCCTCAGTTATGTTTAAGGAAAACGTGGCTGTGAACACTATCTCAGCTGTCGCTTTCTAGCCCCAGTGCCGAGCAAAAGGTCAGGTTGGAGGGATGAGGTGAGCAGCTCAGGCTGCCTCAAAGGAGGCTGTTCCAGCAAGATTGTTCCATGCCACATGTCACACCGGGTGGCATCCACAAAGGGACCCTTCTGATGGAATCTCAGAAGGGGGTCTCTCCCAGTGGGCCTAGGTCAGTAGAGAGGACTTGGTCATAACATGAGATAGAAAAGCCAGCATTCCTCCCTGGTCACCAGGTGTTGGAGGGTCATCGCCTGGCTTCTCTGCCCCATGACCCTAATTCAGAGAGAAGAGAGCATTGCTCAGTGTAACTCTCTTACTTTAAAAAAGGGTTCTCTGCAACATGACTCTATATTTGGTGTCTCCTTTCTGTTTTCAGCTCAACAACAACCTTGGAAGGTAGACAGACTGGAAAGCATTGGCCCTATTTCATGGATGAGGAAACTGAGACTAAGGTTGAATGACTTTTCCCAAGAAGAACTCAAATCATTATATCATGGACCAGATGAGTCCAAGCAACCCAAGTGTTTCCAGTGTGCAGGCTCCTGTTTGAAATGCAAACTTAGTTGGAAATTTGGGGTTGTTAGATTCCCAGCCATTTGCCATGATGAGCCTGGTGAGGACACAGGGTTTTGCAGAACATGTATGCCTCTCATCCTCCCTTAGGCAGGATACCTGAGGGATGGGTAAGAACCCAGTGGCCAGGGGAGGGGTTGGGGTGCTGGGGACGGGGTGCTTGTTCTTATGCATGTGGTGAGGACAACATGTGCAATTGTTCTTGTCCAGGACATGTTAGCCATCATTGCCCCTCTCCTGTTGTGTTTTCCTGCTACTCAACACAGTTGGTTCTGTTCTCCATAAAACAGTGATGAATCCCTCACAGGGGAATAGGTCTTGTTTTTGTTTTTGAGTAATGTAATGAAAATCTGGAAAGAGTTCACTAGTTCTGGAGAAAAGATAGGCCCTCGCTCTGTGGCTTATCCCCATGCCTATTACCTTGGACGCTTTTGAGTATGCTGTTCTTCAAAGGATGCTCTTGTTTTATTTCAGAGTAATTAGTATTTATTAGATTAGCATTTTTTAATGAGACAAGCAATTAGAACTCAGTGAGCTGGCAACATAACAAAGTAAATAGAGGGCATGGAGGTGGGGGATCCAGCTCAAAGGGAAGTGGAAGGGTCACCCACATCTTTCCAATGGTCCTGGAGGTACAGGGGCAGCAGGACAATGGGACATGTGGCTTATTGGGAAAGTGAGGGACGGAAGGGAGCTCCTATCAGCCTGGAATTGAACTGCAGGCACTGCATTCATTTTCATGCTTAACCCTCTCAACACCCAATGATAAAGAGCTGCTCTCCAGGAATGCCTGGAAATCCCCTGCGTCTCCATTAAACCAACATATTTATGAGCTTTTTTGGTGTATGAGGTCCTTTTATTTGATTATCACAAATTATGAGACTTCTCTATTGTTATCCCTATTTGACAGGTGGGGAAATTGAGGCCCAGACAAGTTAAGGGTCATAAACTTAAAAAAGCAAGTGTTTACTGGCAGAATTGTATGGAAACCCAGGCCTGCCCCTTCCATGGCACCATGCTGTATCTCAACCTTGATCATAATGAGGTGTGACAACAAGAAACGGGGTCTGGGCCAAAAGATAGACGATGCATTTTGCGTGGGAGACAGGTTGCTGATGCATTCAATGAAGAAACAATTTCCTGACATTTTGCATTTGGTTGTGGGCAGTGTAAGGTGAGGGAGACAGAGACTAATTAGATTTCTGGGAAACAGAGAAGTGGGTAGCAGCAAGATAGGAAGGAAGCTGAGAACTGGAAGGAGGACATATCCTCAGGGTGCAGACAACTGCGTGAAATGGGGGGCAACCAGGATGCCCTTTAAGAAGGAGAAATTGAAGCTGAATGTCGGTCTAGGTGCCCGCCTAACTAGAATAACCAGAGAGACTTCAGAGAAAATGAGAACTGGGGAGTGACAGTGACTTCTGGCACTCAGACAGTGGTAAAGCTCATTGAGATGAATGTTTGAAATCCAGTTCTCTGCAAAGCCAGGAAGGAGACCATGGGGATCCCTATTTACTTTCTGTTTCTAGGCTCCATTGTGTCTCTCTTCTCAGAGCCATAAGAAGAATTTCTGAAGGCATCAAGTGCCTTAATTAGATTGGCAGGGTCACAGCCTCTCTTTAACCCTTTTGATGCACTCAAATGACCTGTTTCTTTTAAGTAATTAAGCGTATGCAATGTTTCTTATAGAGGATAAATCATTTTCTTGCTTGATCACATTTTCTACTTTGGCCCTTAAACTGAGAAATTCTATCTTTTTGGAAATGATGGAAAGAGGTTGTATCTGTTAGTTCACTCATATCAATTCATGACTCCCATAGATAGGAAGGGGACTTCATTGGTCTGGAGGAATGGGCAAAGGGACTGAGCATAGGTGTCTTGAGTTCTTCTGGGCTCTCCCTATTGGCATATCCAGTCTAAGATAATGTGTTTTCCTTTTGCTCCTGTCCTTCCATGGGGTAAGCAAACCTAGGTGAAGCCCAAATCAGTCTTGGCAACTCAAGACTTAGCCCCTCTGTGATTAATCAGGTAGGATTAGCCCCTTTCTTAGCCCCTCTGTAATTAATCAGGTAGGAGTCAGTTTCAGTTCTCCTTCAGCTGCTTGGAGAGGTGTCTGCTCTGCATATCTGGCTTTCCCATTGTGTATATTCCATGATCTTTATGCTTCCCAGAGGAGACGATAGCTATGCTGAGATGTGAAAAATTACTGGGAATCAGCAAAGAGAAGATGCATTGGAAGAGCCATCCAAACAAAGGGCATGGCATGAGCAGTAAGGAGGTGAGACATGGGATGACGAAAGTAGGGACGGGCATGTGTCTGCTGTTTCCACAGCACAGGAGGTGAGGCGGGGAGTGGTAGGAGTCAGACTGGAGTGGTCAGTTTGGTCAATATCATGGCATCCTTAGATGCTGAGCTCTGGAGCTCTGACTTTATGATGTAGACTAATGAGTCCTAAAATACTTTTCTTAGAAAGCCAGTCCTGTGAAATGCTCCTTGGGAAAAGTCCTGAGGCCAAGTATGTTTGGGTAATATCTTAGAGATTCCCAATAAACAGTAGCCCATTGGGCACTGAGAAGTCCTCCAATGAAGAAGACTATTCAGTTGATTAACTTGGTAACCATTTTTAACATTCTGAAAAGCCATTTTTAAAAAAACCGCTTTGGTAAACACTGCTTATGGGCAATCCAGGGTCTTTGAAAGGTCTTAAAGAAGAGAGTGATTCTATAGGATTTATCTTTAACAGTGTGGAGAATGGATTTGAAGGAAACAAGGCTGTGTATAGGAGACCAGTGAAGCAAGGGTTACAGGAATTCAGGGGAGAGATGCTAAGGATACACAGAGCACTAGGAGATATTAGGAAGTAAGCAGTTTCAGAGACATTTAGGACATAAAACAATCAGAACCTGGAAATCTATTGGATGTGATGAGTGAGGGAAGGAAGAGTCAAGGATGACTTCCAGGTTAAATCAGGTTGATGGTCATGTCATCAACTAAGAGAAAGAGCACTTTGATATGTTGACTTTGAGGAGTCAATGGTATGTCAAGGAATAGATCAGGTATGCAGATAGATTTGAGTCTGGCTCATGGAAGAAGTTCGGGTTGATGATACAGTCTTTGGAGTTGTCTGTATTTAGTTGGTGATTTGAATAAGAGCCCCCAGACAAGCGTATGTGTAAAGTTAAAAGAGTCATGGTCTACTACTAAAACGTTAAGGAATAACTTCAAGGGGCAGAAAGAGGAGGAGGTACCTATGAAGAATTTTGAGAAAGAATGAAAGTGGTATGAGATAAACCAGAAGCTGTTGCTCCATAGAAGTCATGGTGGTAGGAGATTTAAGAAAAGTACAGTGACTCACAGAGTCAAATCTAAGAGACAGGCATAGTGAGATGAGGCATGGAGGAAGGATGTGGCCATTGGCTGTTGGAAGCTCCCTGATACCTTTCTGAGAGTGGTTCCAGGAGGGCAGTGGGAAGGAAGGCTGATTTTAATGGGCTTGGAAGTGAATGGAAGTCAGTGAATGTCATGGAAGGCAAGTCCTTTGACAAGTTGGGAAGAGAAAAATATGAGAGATGGGATGACAACTGAAGTGAGAAAGATCTAAGTATGGAGCCAGTGAAGAAGGGGAGGCTGAGGTGCAGGAAAAGACGGGACAATTTATGGAACAACAAGAGCAAAGATGGAATTAGAGAGTTGAAAAAGGACAAGTGGAAGGTTTTGACAACAGAGTAGGGAGCCCAACTGAGGAAAGACCATTAATTTTAGTATATTTGATCAATGTAGTTGCATGATTTTCCTCATGCTTGGCAATCTAGCATAGAAATAGAGAAGGTGGGGCACTGCATTGATGGAGTGATGGAGTTTCATCAGCTGGTTGCAGGGCACAAGAGAGGAGCAAGGGAATTAAGGATGTTGGTGAAAGAATGGCTTAGAAAGTCCATGTGGAGTAAAAGCACCAGAGGGATGAAAAATGGGCACAAACAATCCCAAAGACTGGGAGAAAAAGGACAGGCTGAAGGGGGAAGAGTGCTGATAAGGCCAATATGAAATAAAGTCTTGAGAAGATGGGATAGTTAGATCAGAGTATCTAATACTAGACATTATGACTTCAGAGGGAGGAAGGTCCCAGGGATGAGGAAGTAAAGGAAGTGGCTCAGAGAATAGATACTGAAAGGTCAATGAATTGGAGGCATAGGTGTTGCAGGGCCTGCTGCAGGGATGATGAGGCTAGAATAGATGACTTCCAAGGCCCCCGCTGGGTTTGCGATATAATGTGCTGGAAGGTGTCAGCCAGCATCTCCAGTGCTTGAGGTATACCTCCACCTACTCACTCAACATCTCACCCAGATGTCACACAATCACCGTGAACTCAACTGGACAAAAATTGATTTCATTGCATTGTCCCTGAAGCCTGCTTCCCTTCCTGTGCTCCCTCTCCCAGTTAATGGCCCACCACCTATTCAATAACTCAAGTCAGAAATCTCCCCAACACAAGCCTCATCATTTCTATCTTTGATATATCTCACAGTCCAGTGCTCTCCTCTTCGTGTCTCCCCAATACTATTACCACTTCACCCTCATGGGCCTCTGCTCTGTTACAGTAACTGCAGCCTGCCTGGTTTTCCTACCATGGAAAGCTGCCCCCACTCCCTCCATTCTGCCTTCAAGGTGCTCCTACAGTGATTCCCTTAAACTGTTACTCAGAGCATACCATTTTTCTGCTCAACAACAGAAGTTCGAACCCTTAACCAAGCATTCTATGCCCTTCAGTATCTGCTTCCAACCTCATTTCCAGCTTCATTGTCTGTATCTTCTATTCACACATCTTCAAGTTCCAGCCGAAGGAGTCTATCTCCTGTCCATGGCTTCTGAGTGTTCTAACTCTTTTTCTTTCTTCAGGCTGTTACTTCTGCCTAGAAAGTCTTCTACCTCCCCCAGTATGCCCTTTAAAATCCCACCCCCTTTTTTAGGACCAGTTCAAATGTCACCCCTTCCATTAATCTAATCTCCGTTTGCCTCTCTCCAACTAAAAGTAATATGCTCCTTTTGTACATTCGCAAAGGATTTTAATGAAACTTCATACAGTTACAGCATTTTGTCTGGGCTTCTGGTCAATGCCATGCACATCTCACCTGCCCTGTAACGCTGGGAGCAATTGGGAGTGGCAGCCAAGTCTTCATGTTTTTCCACATTGCTTCCTTTGAGGTAATGGGGGGCCTGTAGTTAGAGCCAAGTGGGAATCTCAGCTTCACCGCTTGGAAGCTGTGTGACTTGAGTACGTTTCTGAACCACTCTGAGTTTTAGTTTCCTCAACCCTAAAACACGGATAATGATACTGACCTCCCAGCATTGCTGTGAGAATTAAATGAGGTAGCAAAGGCAAAGCAATGCCACTTGCCTGGCACATTGTAGGTGCTAACTAAACACCTCCTTTCCCTATGAAGTCATAGTTTTGAGTATGTGAAAAAATAAATGGAATGAAGGGAATCAGTTGTTACCTTTTGGACTCTCTTTTGGAGAGGACCTGTGGTATGGCCTGGATCTGTGTCCCCACCCAGACCTCAAGTTGAAATGCAATCCCCAGTGCTGGAGGTGGGACCCAGTGGTAGGTGATTGGATAATGGGGGCAATTTCTCCTGGTTTAACACATCCCCCTAGTGCTGTTCTTGTAATAGAGTTCCCAGGAGATCTGGTGATTTAAAGGCATATGGCACCCCCGACCTGGGCTTTTCCTTCTGCTACAGCCATGTGAGACATACCTGCTTCCTCTTTACCTTCCACCATGATTAAAAGTTTCCTGAGGCCTCCCAATAAGCCGCTATGCTTCCTGTGCAGCCTGCAGAATCATGAGGGAATTAAACCTCTTTTCTTTATAAATTACCCAGTCTTGGGTATCTTTTATAGCAATACAAGAATAGACTAATACAACCTGTTTACCAGGCAAGGGAAAGAAGCAAGGGGGTAGGACCAAAGAAGATTTCTCCTTTTTTACTTCCAGGATTTTCTTTAATGAACATCTCTTATGTTTTAAGTTAGAAAGCATTTCTATAAGTGTCTGTATATACACAAGAACATACATATAAGTATTTATATATATAAAACACTTGTAAGTTTATAAACCCTTATATGTAAGTATATATGTATACACGTTTATATATGTATATGTGTTTATATATAACATATATAAGTATATATGTGTGTTTGTAGACATATATACACACACACACATATATATATACACATATATATATACACACACATACTTATTTTATATTAGAAAAGCCTTTGTTCACTGACCATTCCAGAAATGTTTTGGGCTTGCTCTTGAGTTTTCATCTGAAGACTGCCAGCTAAGCCTGCTTTAAAATGATCGTCTCTCTGAATAGTCTTGAAGTTACCCAGATCCTCTATGGAGATCCCGCTCTCCCCTCATTTTCACATTCAATTTCCTTTCATTTTTCTCTAGGGCAACTCCTGCAATGAGAAGTTTTAATTGTTGTTCTCCACCAGGATAGGAAAGGGCACACAGAGCATGTTTAATATTTTGTTTTTCCTTTGGGAGTGGGTGATGGACGAGATGCATTCATGTGCTAATTCATCCCCAGATCATGTTGCTGCCATTCTCTTTGAGGTGGGGAGAACCATCATGCTGAGGATCCTGAGATATGCAGGGGCCACTCAAAAGCCCTAGAGAATGAGAGGTGCTGGGTGGGGATGGGGGCCAATGTGAGTCTGATGTGGGATGTAGCTGAAAGAATACTGGTGAGGAGACAGCCCCATCTGTGTTTGGTCCCAGCTCTGCTGTGTCCTTACTTTGTGACCTTAGGCAAATGCCTTATCTTTCTGGCCCTCAGCTTGGTCATTGGGAACATGAGAGCACAAACATCCATTTCCTAAGCCTCTTGGAGGGCTAAGCAAAGGTCATTAAAGACCCCAGCCAAAACCATCATTCTCAGCAAACTATTGCAAGAACAAAAAACCAAACACTGCATGTTTTCACTCATAGGTGGGAATTGAACAATGAGAACACTTGAACACAGGAAGGGGAACATCACACACCGGGGCCTGTTGTGGGGTGGGGGGACAGGGGAGGGATAGCATTAGGAGATATACCTAATGTAAATGACGAGTTAATGCAGCACACCAACGTGGCACATGTATACATATGTAACAAACCTGCACGTTGTGCATGTGTACCCTAGAACTTAAAATATGATTAAAAAAAAAAAAGGAAAGAAAAAAACTCATAAAATAAAAAACATCACAATTGTAAATAAGGACAAAAAAAAAAAAAAAAAAAAGAGAGAGACCCCAGCCACAGTTTCTATGCATGAAGTAAAGGCTCGATAGATGAAATCCCGGGCACCCATGGCTCCTCATCTGACTGGAGAATATGCCTTTTCAGAGAATGCTGACATTCACGTGACATTCAATTTCAAGGCAAGCACCTACTAGGCATGTCCAGATGATATGGACATGTCTGCCTCTGTCCTCAGGACATGACAATCTAGTGGAGCTTGGGGAAGGATGAGGAGATATTGTCAGTCCTCAAGTTCAGAAGAGTTGGCTGGACCGAGCAGGGTCCTAGGGAGTGCGTCGCAAAGGCGGCAGAAGACTCCAGAAAGCAGCAGGAACAACCCATGCCCAAGATCTGACGCCAGAGGCATAGGCTTTGTTCCTGAATATTGACATCCTTCATTCACAGATGAAGAAACAGAGGCCCGGGAAGGTTCAAGTGTCCTATCCAAAGACACAGGTTCTGCCTGACATACGGAACTCAGTAGCCACTTCTTGTATAAGTTAGAAAACTGTGATGATGCTCTTACTGCCAACTGGTCTTCAGAAGGTTTCTGGTCCTCCCCACCCTTCCACAATCCATTCTTCCTACTTGATTGCATCATTGTCCTAAGGAGCTGCCCTCATTCCTGCATGCTCTGGTGCAAAGACCTTTAATGGACTCCCACAGCACATGCGAGTCCTGGGGACAAAATCCAGGGCTCTGCAAAGCCTAACTTCAACTCACCTGCCCAACCTTACCTCTGATTACAAAGTTCTTCTTGGTGGTCTCCTCCTAAGCACTCTAGGCTCTGGATTGCTATAACCTTTCATCTCACAATCCTTGTCATTTCCTTCCTCCATGCCTTTGTTTATCTTAGTACTTTTCCTCACCATTTCCTTTGTTTTGCAAGCTCCTCCTCAGCACCTCCTGCCTTTGAAGTTCTAGTTAAATGTGACCTCCTTGGAAAGAACCATGTCCTGTGCTCACAAGGCACTGCCTGTCCCTCTGGAGTTTCCCCTTCACATCTTGCCATGGAGTGGAGCCATTTGTGTTCATTACTCACTCATGAGTGAGCTCCTCAAGAATGGGAGAATGAGGCTGATTTGCCTCTGTGACCCCAACTCCCACCCAGGGTTTGGCATGGAGGAGTTGCCCAGTATGCACTTACTGAATAAATAAATAAATGAGCATAGTTCCTGTTCATCTGCCAGGAGCTTGGGGTAAACAGGGCATGGTGGGGTGGGATGGGGTGGTTGACTGGAGGAATTGAGAACATATGAGTTGCTGAGAGGAGTGGGCTACAAAGGCTAAGAAGGAGGCTGGGCTCAGACAAGGAGCTATGGTGAGAATCCGGACCAGCCTGGGAGTTGTGTGTCATAGGTGCCATGATGGAGGTGGTGGGTAGACATCATAATGCCTGTTAGCATGTAATAGATGCCTATGATGTGCCCAAACTTGTATTGGATTCATCCCATGCCTTCCTTCATTTGCTCCTTATAATAACCCTACAAAGCAGGTTTCATTATCACCATCAGTTATTATTATTCTTATTTTTCAGACAAAGAATTCAAGACTAAACTGGGCATGGTGACACGCACCTGTAGTCTCAGCTACTTGGGAGGCTGAGGCAGGAGAATCACATGAACCTGGCAGGCGGAGGTTGCAGTGAGCCGAGATTGTGCCACTGCACTCCAGCCTGGCCACAGAGCGAGACTCCGTCTCAAAAAAAAAAAAAAAAGAAAAAAAGAAAAAAGAAGAAGTCAAGACTAAGAAGAGTGAAGTATGAAGTAATTCACCCACAGACACCCAGCTAGTGAGTGGCAGACCTGGAAGACAAACTAGTTCTGTTTGGCATCAGAATCTATGCTGTCAGCCACCTCACCACATTCATGTGACATCCAACAAAGTGGTGCCTTCACCTGCTACTAAGTCTTGCTAGGGCTAGTTCCAGAGCCAAGACTATGAAGTGGACAATGATCTATGAAGCGCTAAGTGAACAGATGTCATGTAAATAGCTTGGATCTCTACGTGCATGTGTGCATTGTATATGTTTACCAAAGACCTTGTTACAGTGTTTTTAGGCATGGCTCACTTTATAAAGGTCATCACAGTTGGCCAAGCTATCTGGTATTTATTACTCATTTGATACTCACACCTGCTCAATGATGCTGGTATCATTACTCTCCATAATGATTTTCCTATCATTTTACAGATGGGGTTCAGAAAGATCAGGTGGTAGATCCATAGTCACACTCTAGTTAATTGATAGGACTGAGAATTCAATGCATGCCCACTGCCTTCTCTTACAAGTCTTGGGGTATTTGAGTGTAATTCAATAATGACAACCCCTTCACTGTCCAAAAGGGGTGAATGAAACATCAAGCTGTCACAAAGGCTAGGTTGGAGGGCATGGCTTATATCCTTGGGTAAGTAGGCTTACTAAACTTAAACCCTAAAGTTGAACTGACTTAACTACCCCGTCCCAGCAGCTGGAGTGGGACAGGACACTGGGTCTATATGGAGAGGGGTCTGCCCAGATTAGCTTTAGGACGTGGAGAAGCAGAGAACTCATGTTCCTACAAACAGGTTCACTCTCAAGATAAAGACAAGGAACCAAACTCAGCCTGCCTGCTTCATTTTTTCATATTTGCCAATCAGATAAGTCACTTCCGCCCCCAGAGAGATTTAATAAAGGAGCAGAGAAAGACTTCTAATAAAATTCCCTCCATATGGAAGGAAAAGGAGACATCGGGAGTTACGTTAATCATGCTCATTTCTTAACAGTGCAAATATCAAGAGTTAGAAATTAGAGTTCCTGGCTGGGTGCGGTGCCTCACTCCTGTAATCCTAGCACTTTGGAAGGCCAAGGCAGGTGGATTGCCGGAGCTCAGGAGTTCGAGACCAGCCTGGGCAACACGGTGAAACCTTGTCTCTACTAAAATACAAAAAAATAGCCAGGCGTGGCAGCGTGCACCTGTAATCCCAGCTACTCAGGAGGCTAAGGCAGGAGAATTGCTTGAACAAGGGAGCCAGAGGTTGCAGTGAGCTGAGATTGCACCACTGCACTCCAGCCTGGGTGACAGAGCGAGACTCTGTCTCCAAAAAAAAAAAACAAAACAGAAATAAGAGTTCCCACATGACAGCAAGAATCACTGAAAATGCTGGACCCACTGTCAATGCTGTATTGTTGCAAAGAAAATGTTTATCTTGCCTAACTTTAAAGTCACACATGCCTGGGAACTTCCAACTAGAACACAGCTGGCAAAGCAGACACCCTCTCCCTGCAGCCTCGTTGAAAATGACCTCCTTTACATTTCCTCATTGAGAATCTGCCCAGTGAGGACTGTGGCAGAAGAGAGTCAGGGAGAATTTTCTAGCTGATTAGGGTTAGAAAATGAAGACGAGGGCTCTCTTGTAATCAGCAGGAAGCTATGATAGAAAAGAATGCCTTTTAAATTTGAAGTGCAAAACTAGAAAATAGAAAATTATTAGGGGGGTTTGATATGAAGTTTCGGAATTCTTTTCAAGACTGTGTGTTTTGAAGTTAAGATTTTAAATAATGTAGGAAGGTACAGTCTATACTGATGGGTTCAGGATATGCTAACCCAAAATATGGCACCTTGGTGTTTGAGAAAATGGCGGAAGCAGGAAGGTCATTCTCACCATCCACCTCCCTTTCCCCCTCCTGAAGCAGGTCTTCTTTGAAAGGCCCCTCCCTGTAACCAGAAGAAAGGAACATTCTTACCTTTGAAGTCACAGGGTCACAGAGAAGAATCTGAACAGGACTTACTAAATTCTTCCAGTTTGTCACCATTTGCTCATACCATCTTTGTCCAGTTATATTTCTCCAAAGCTATCCACTCTTCATCAAACTTAGCATAAAAATTGTAAAACCTTACACATTTCTTCAGGTCTTCCTTTTCCTTAGGAAGCCTCCCATGTCACATGAAACTTAAATAAAATAAATCTGTATGCTTTTCTCTTGTTAATCTGTCTTTGCGAGGCCTCAGCCATGAATTTAGTGATAGATGAATTTAGTGATAGATTCTTCCTCCCCTACAGTGCCTAGAAATGCATTAGGTTAAATGTAATAATAATTGAAAATTGCCAAAGTGTCCCTGGGTATTTATCCCTTTTTAAAAAAATCAGCTTTATGGAGGCATAATTTACATTCAATAAAATTTACCAATTTTAAGTGTATAATTTATAAATTTTGACAAGAGTATGCGGTCATGTAATCACTAATAATAATTATTGATTAGAAAAATATCAAACTCTTCCTATAGTGTTTGTGTCTTTTATAAAGCTTCATGAGGTTATTCAGTGTTCTCTAAGACTTACCAGATTTAACTAATTTTATAGAAAATTCTACTTTTGATTAAGGAGTGATTGAAAACCTTCCTTGCCATCGGCGTGCACTTTTTTTTTTGAGACAGAGTCTTGCACTGTCAGCCAGGCTGGATGCAGTGGTGTGATCTTGGCTGACTGCAACCTCCACCTCCTGGGTTCAAACGATTCTCCTGCCTCAGCCTCTTGAGTAGCTGGGATTACAGGCGCCCGCCAACACGCCCAGCTAATTTTTATATTTTTAGTAGAGACGGGGTTTCACCATGTTGGCCAGGCTGGTCTCGAACTCCTGACCTTGTGATCCGCCCGCCTTGGCTTCCCAAAGTGCTGGGATTACAGGCGTGATGCACTTTTAAACTGAAGCCACGAAGTAGGGCAGCACAGCCTGCTGCAAGGGAAAGTTCCTCAAAGGGGGAGAAAAAACATTGGCTTGATAGCAAAGATTATAAACCTAAATTAATGAAATAGCTAGAAATAGTTGAGCAGAGGTTGGCGGCATTGAGGAGTGCTGCTTCCCACACTGCACCCACACCCTCTCAGGATGGCTCACACACTCATCCCAGCGCACATTTACATAACACTTCACCGTTAGAAAGTGCTTTCACAACCATTTTACAGTTTAGAAAGTGCTATCACAACCATTAACTTATTTAATCTCTTCCTGCTTGCCCTGAAGCTCAACAGGCCCTGAAATGAATTTACCCAGAGCTGGATCATAAAAATATTCATCTCTGTTTGCCTGCATCTCCCTTACCAGGCATGGGGCTGTCTTAATGGCAAGGTGGATGGCTCCACTGCCATCAGGCTGGAAATGAATCAGGGACTATTCATCATTTCTTGGGTTCTGTCCCCACCAAACACTGGGTGCCAGGGGCTAATGAACGAGGGAGTCTGATCCAACTGTAATTTGGAGCTCTGGGCTCTGCAGCCAAGTCCCCGCTGCCCTGGCTGGGACTTGGGAGAGTATCGAAGGATGATGCAGAAGAAGGATCCAAAGTGAGTTTTGAGAAAAAAATCTTCACATTCTTCTTCTAAAGCCTAATTGTGGGGGTAAGGGAGAGTCCTTGGGTGACTAAGGGCTGAAGATCTCCATCTTCAGAGGACATGTTCTGCAAGCCTAGGACATGCACAGAGATGAGACGGGGGATGAATTATGCCAAACCTCATGGCAACTCCCAAGTAAAACCAGGGGAAACCAGGTTACCGTGTATGTCAAGGTCACCCAGGGGAATGACTTAGGAGTCAAAAAGCATGGATCCTACTGCCCACTGTGGTGTCAAGTTGCTGTTCACCCTTGAACAAGCCTTTTGCCTTCTCTGATCTTCAATTATTTTATTTGTAAAAGGAGGAAAGTTGGTGATTTGATTTCTGTGTGTCTTCTAGAACTGAAATTATAGGGCTCCATGGAAGGGGAGCTAAGGGAGGAGATATGGAAAAGTGGTTTGAATGGTGGGCTGAAGAAGAGGGAAGCTTCTGTTTGTGCACTGTAGGTACAGGAATCTCAGTACCACAATCTTCTTTTCATCTCCCGATGACTCTAATCAACCCCCCTCTCTCCTCTCACTCTGTGTCTGTCTCTGTGTGTGTGTGTGTTCATCCTCCCTAAGAGCCTCTTGGATGCTTCAAATGTAGAACCCTGAGAGATTGCCCCAGTTTTCAACATGACAGGTCAGTATACATGGCAAGAGCTTTGGAGCAAGCAGATATTGATTCAAATATTCCATCCTCACTAGCTGGGCATTCTCCACTACTTCTCCCTTCTGATCCATTCCTGCAAGGAGGGATACGGCTACCTATCTTGCAGGGCTGTTGAGAGGATGAGATGAGATGCATAAGAAAACCACTTAACACGTGGAAGCACCTTAATGGGTGACAGTTATTATTAAATAATAATAACATTTAAGTAGTCAGAGAATCAAGACACTGACATTGTCCCTCCATTGTCCCCATTGTATTCCATAGGGGCTGCCAAGGCAACACCAGAAATGTAGCTTCATCATTTATCCCTTCCTCCCCATCCCTCTGCAAAGGGGAACAGGCTTAGAGCAGAAGCCTGGGAGTCATGCTCCAGACACATGCTTACCAGCTGTGGGAGTGTGAGCCTCCCAAGCCAGTATTTCCTGTGTTTGTGTATTTACTCATTCACTTGGCAGGCATTTGTTGGGCACTGACTGTGTGCTGGAGGGGTGCTTGTAAGCCCCAATGTTGTAACAAGGATGTGTAGCCCCAGCTCTGCCAGCCTCAAGGGTTGACATGAGGCTCTGAGGAGATGATATCTGGGAAGCACTTGGTGGGATTGAGCATTGTGCATTATTATTGCTATTAATGAAGTTATTACTATAGTGATACACAAGGCGGGGTATAATAAAGGGTAGATAAGACAGGAATGGCCAGAGAGACTGTGGTGGGAGGGGCTTATTTAGGGATCCAGCTCCATGCACCAGTAGGACTCCCAGCTGGGGAGGAATCAGGCAGTAGGTTCGTGCCCCTGGAAGGGCAGGAACAAGCCCTGATATTGCACATCCCCCATCCCTAGTGGCCAACTAGATGCCAGGCACAAGGGGGTTCCCAGAAAGGATGGAAGGGAGAGATGGCTGTGGCAGCTGTTTCAGCTGAGGGAACAGCATAAATAGAGGGGTACGGGCAGGAATGCTCTATGCATGTTTGGAGGAACAGACTCCCCTGTGGTCTGAAGGAGTCTGGATGTCCAGGAGTTCCTAAGGGATTGTGTCATTTTCAGAAACAGGATCTTCCACATCCCAGCCACTGTGAGGCCTGTAAGGTGCCCTTTCACAGCAAGTGTCCAGTGTTCAGCAATTTGATCCAAGGTGCAGTTTGAAGTGGTTGCAATGCATGCTTCTTGCTAATTGTCTAGCTCTGTTACACCATGGAATCTCAGTCAGTAAGACACCAGAGCTAACGAAACTGCCTATCTGAACACTTAGGAAAAAATAACGTAGCATTTCCAATCATTACTACATTTCAGGCATTGTTCTAAGCCTTTTATTATATATTAGTCTATCATCACACCCATTTTACAGATAAGGTCATGGTGGCATACAGAGATTAAGTGAATTGTCTAAAATCACGCTGCTGGTGAGTGTCAGAGGTGGGATCTGAACCTAGGCACCTGGATTCCAAAGGCCACCATTTTAACTGCTACAGCATATTACCCTGGACAAAATAGATGTGGTTCCACTTGAGCTTACAGACTAGTGGTGGAGAGGTTCAGAGATTCAAAATCATTGACAAAATCAATTTTAAAGAAGACAAGTGTTGAAACAGCGATTAGTCTGAGCGACTCTTTTTGGATAGGGTGGTCAGCGGAGGACTCTTTGAGGAGGGAGCATTTGAGTGAGAGGTGAAGAGTGAGAAGGGGCCTCGGAAGAGTGTCCGAGGGGGAGGGACAGCCCGAGGCAGTGGAAAGCTTGGCGTGTGAGAGGAGACAACGGAAGGCTGAGTGTGGGGTGCGGTGAGTGAAGAGGGTGAAGAACACGAAGTGGGAGTGGTTCTGATCTGACAGGGCTGCCAATTCCCAATCAGCAGCTGATTAGAAGTCATGAACTAGGAGAGGGAAAGTTCAACACAGGGAATTAGCCCACAGCAGGTAGTAATGGGGGTGAAGCTGATGTCAGGGGAAACCCGACCAGCTACATAAAGCACACACAGACACAAGCCACAAAGCAGCCCCTTACAGAAATGGCTGATTCTTGGGCTAGAAAAGGAGGATGCAAGATAAGCCTGGAGCATCTTAGCTTCCTGCAGTGTCAGAGAGCAAGGAAGTGTGCAAAAGGAAACCCACAGTGATGAGGGGATGTCAAAGGGAGGCAGGAGCCAACTGAAGGATCTCCCAGTGGTCAATGCTCAAACAATTTGAGCAACGTGATAAATAAAAGAGTATTAAATTATAATCCAAATTATAGAATAAATGTCCATGAGCCTATACTGATATAAATATGTGATTGAATAAATAAATAAATGAGACACCACAGGCACATCTCACATGCAGAATTTCAAATAATTTATACAGATGCTCTGCCCTTAAGAAGGTAGAGCATGGCTGACTCTGAGAACACTGCCTGGGAGCAGGAGTTAGCCCTGCTCTGCAAGGAGCAGCAAAAATTAAAAAAAAAACAACAAAAAACAAAAGGCCGGGTGAGGTGGCTCATGCCTGTAATCCCAGGACTTTGGGAGGCTGAGGCAGGCAGATCATGAGGTCAGGAGATTGAGACCATCCTGACTAACACAGTGAAACCCCGTCTCTACTTAAAATACAAAAAATTAGCTGGTGTGGTGGCACGCATCTGTAGTCCCAGCTACTTGGGAGGCTGAGACAAGAAAATTGCTTGAACCAGGGAAGCGGAGGTCGCAGTGAGCCGAGATTGTGCCACGGCACTCCAGCCTGGGTGACACAGTGAGACTCTGTCTCAAAAAAAAAAGAAAAAAAAAGAGAAAAGAAAAGAAAAAAAAATAAGGTAGAACATAACTCTCCAACTCCCCACTCCTTAAGTGTGGGCTACACATAGTGACTTCCTTCCAAAGAGCATAGCATGGACAGGGGGAGGGAGGAACGAGTAATTTACAATTGAGAAATCTAACAAGCACTACCATTGCCAGGTGGCCAAGATCAGCATCCAGAGTGATGCGTTGTGAGAACAGTATGCACTCTCCCTTGGTATGATGTGAGGACCTTTGTGATCTTCTCCCCAAAACCTCATAACCCCAGTCTAATCACGAGAAAAATATCAGAAAAATCCCAATTGAGGGACAGTCTACAGAATACCTGAGAGTAGGCCAGGCACAGAATACCTGAGAGTAGGCCAGGCACAGAATACCTGAGAGTAGGCCAGGCACGGTGGCTCACATCTGTAATCCCAGCACTCTGGGAGGCCGACGTGGGCGGATCACCTGAGGTTGGGAGTTCGAGACCAGCCTGACCAACATGGAGAAACCCCGTCTCTACTAAAAATACAAAAAAAAAAAAAAAAAAAAATTAGCCAGACGTGATGGCACATGCCTGTAATCCAAGCTACTCAGGAGGCTGAGGTAGGAGAATCACTTGAACCTGGGAGGTGGAGGTTGTGGTGAGCCAAGATCGCACCATTGCACTCCAGCCTGGGCAACAAGAGTGAAACTCTGTCTAAAAAAAAAAAATACCTGAGAGTAATCATCAAAACTGTCAAGGTCATCAAAAACAGGGAAAGTTGGAGAAACCATCACAGCCAAGAGGAGCCTAAGGGGACGTGATAACTAAAGCCATGGGATATCCTGGATGGAATCTTGAAACTGAAAAAAAAAAAAAAATCCCACAACAGGTTAAAAACTAAGGAAATCCGAACAAAGTATGGATGTTAATAAATAATAAGTTATCACTATTGGTTCATTAACTGTGACAAATGTACCATACTAATGTAAGATGCTAAGAATAGGAAAAACTGGATGTGGAGGACATGGAAACTCTGTACTATCTTCACATTTTTTCCCTTTATATCCAATGCTATTCTAAAATAAAAAAGTTTGCTTTAAAAATTCCACTGACTGGGTTCCTTCAGTGGAGAGACAAACAGTTCTGTACTCTTTCTCAGAATCTATGTGTCTCCTTGTATTCTAAAATAACACATATTCATTTTGAAGTTTATAATTTTGAAAAAGTGACACTTTTGAACTAATTAGTTTCAGAGAGCAGGGATGAATGTAATACATTTAGAATGATGCTGAAGACTTCTTTAGCTCTCACAATGGTTAAAAAGTCATTGATGCTTAGCGATAATGTTGGTGTCTCTGTTCCAGCTATAACAAAAATACTTTAGACTAGATAATTTATATAGATTACTGAATTTTATTTCTCACAGTTCCAGAGGCTGGGAAGTCCAAGGTCAAGGCACCAGCAGATTCAGTGTCTGATGAAGGCTCTCTCTTTGCTTCCAAGATGGCGGCTCTTACTGCATCTTCACATGGCGGTAAGGGTGAAAAAGGGTTGCTTCCCTCACAGTAGTACAGAGAGTACTCTTTATACAGGCACCAGTCCCACTGTTAAGAGTGGAGCTGTCATGTCCTAATCACCTGTTAAAGGCCTCACTTTTTTATACTATTGCATTAGAGATTAAGTTTCAACATGAATTTGGAAGGGACACAAACATTCAAACCATAGCAACTGGCTTAGCACTGAAAGCGCAGGCTTGGCCTTTAGACAGACCTGGGTTTAAATCTCATCTACCAGCTGTGTGGCTTTGGATAAATCCACTCAATCTCTCAGGGCCTTGACTTCTCCACCAACAAAACGAGAATAAAGTATCTGCTTTGTATTCAATACTTTCCTGAGGATTAAATGAAATAAAATACATGAAGCACCTTGCAAAAGCTGCAAGGTTCCTGGCCCCTCATATGCACTACATAAATGACAACTTCCAAGAAAGTCATGTTCAAGTCAGCACCCTGCCTTGGATACGATTGGAGTTGTCTAGGTTACTTAAAATTTACCAGCGCACAAATCACCCAAGGATCTGGATAAAAGGCAGAGTCTGGTTCAACAGGTTGGGGGTTGGGGGTAGATGCCACATCTCTCACAGGTTTCCAGGCGATAGTGACGCGTAGCGACACTGCTGGACCGGGGCCCCTGCTGAGTAGGGAGGAACTCGGCTGTGGAGCTCGTTCTGACCAAAACCACATGGTGCTCTTGGGCAAGCGACCTTCCCTCGCTGAGGCTTACTCTCCCACCTGTAAAACAAAACAAAGAAATGCAAAATAAAAACAAGAACTATTTATTTTCCAAGAGCATAGATTTGTTTCTTGGTGTGATACGACTGGTCCACTCTGGGAGCCAGAAAGGCAACTGCAAGGTCCACTGCCTCTAGGGGTTTCTCAGGGGGTGACTCAGTTTCCTGCTTAACTCCCCTACTGCTTAAGGTTTATAAAGATCATAGTGCGGACCTCTAAAAGACTTAAGGGAAAACAAAAACCAAAACAAGAAAAACTTCTAATTTTACGGATAAAACTAAATGGAACAAACTGCATTATTTTCATCTGAATTCCTTTCCTCGTGGCTCATTTTGACACGGAGAAAATAAATTGCCATCTACCCCCCAAACCAGCTGCTTCCAGTCAGAGCGAATGGATCATGATTTAATGAAGACAGCCATCTGTTACAGGGTAAAATCCTAATTAAGCAATATATGAATCAGAACAAAATTAGCCATCAGGTCATTAGACTTCTGTAACTGCTGAAAGGAGCGTGGAGTCATTACCACGTGAGGCAGTCCTTCTCTAAGCACCAGACTGCGAGGAGAAACCCATCCCTCCCCTGGAATGCTGCAGCCCAAACAGGAGGGGTTGGAAGGTCCTGAGGCGCTAATTGAAATAAATAACCTGCTTTCAGAGAAGCCCTGGTGTCCTACGTAATGAATGTACCTCTCGTCTGTCCAACATGTCACAGTTTGACAGATGCTTTCGCACCTAGGAGGACCTGAACCCTCCTCTGCTAACCCCTTGTGTAGGTCTGATGGTGGGAGCTGTAGGTCCAGCGACTCGCTCAAGAGACCACAGCCGAAAAGGAGCCAAGGCAAGGCCAGCATCCAGGTGTGTGGCTTCCACATCCTGCCACCGACACTGCCTCCTCCTCGATGAATGTCCCCAAGGAGCGTGTGTTATCCCAAATTAATGAGAGACTCTAATGACTGAAGCTCTTGGCTCTGCAAGATTGGATGCCTCTCTGAAGCTTTCAGATGCTAGGGGGATGACTCTAGCACACTGCAAAGCTGCTGGAAGTGTTGTGCACCACTCTCTAGTTGGCCAGAGGACCAGCTGACTAAAAGACCCTGGCTGCCTTTCACTGCTGTTCCAGTAACGCTGATAGCTCTGCATCCTGCACATAGTAGGTACTCAATAACTAAATGTCGAATGGGTGAAGAATACGTGCACATAGTAGGTACTCAATAACTAAATGTCAAATGGGTGAAGAATACGCGAACAACCTTGACGAGTCCCTGCATCCCTCTTAACTAACCCTCAGGACTCTAGAGAAAAATATTTAGTTGTTCCCTCTTGTCTATAACATAAAGCTCTCAATATATCATCTTTATCAAAAGCCTTTAAATAGAGACAAGTTGTATCACTAGACAATGCCCTCTCCAAACCCACAGGCAAAGAGCAGAAAGCTTTCTGCTCCATCCCTTGCCAGCCCTGGGACTCTTCTATGGTCACAGCTTTGCTAGGGATAAATGGTAGCTCATCTTTATTTCAGCTTACATGTGGTTTGTTACTACAGAGGAGGGGAGGTGCATTTTCCTATATGTCTCCCTACTAATTATGCCCCTTTTTGGAAATTGTATCCTTTACTCATTTAGTTACAGAAAACTCAGTTTTTCTTATTTATGTGTTTGATTTTTTTTTTTTTTTTGAGACAGAGTCTCACTCTGTTGTCCAGGCTGGAGTACAGTAGCACAATCTCGGCTCACTGCAACCTCCACCTCCCAAGTTCAAGCAATTCTCCTGCCTCAGCTTCCCAAGTAGCTGGGATTACAGGCACGTGTCACCACGCCCAGTAATTTTTGTATTTTTAGTAGAGACAGGGTTTCGCCATGCTGGCCAGGCTGGTCTCGAACTCCTGACCTCAGGTGATCCTCCCACCTTGGCCTCCCAAAATGCTGAGATTACAGGTGTGAGCCACTGTGCCCGGCCATGAATTTTTTATATAATAAAAATATTAACTCTTTGCTGCAAATATTTTTCCTACTATTTTTCTCCTCTCCCCATCCCACCTCCAAGTGCAGAGACTTTAAAATTTGCTGACGTCCCTTCTGCCCATTGTTTTCCCTTGGGCTTGTTTCCAGTGATGCTGTGCTTAGCAAGTCTTTTCTCCCTCCAGATGTTTGATAGATATTCAAGTCTAATTCTTCTGGTGGTGTACGGATTGTCTCACACTTACCTAACCTCTGTCATCCACCTGGAATGTGTTTTGATATGTGATGTAAGAAGCTTTTCTCTTGGCTCCCTACTTCTTCATTCTCCACGTGACCGCAGAGTTCTACACAAGTGTAGGTTAAAGCTGGACACAGTTAGACGTTGCTGTGAGCCTGAGTGCATCCTGAGGTTTTTTCTCAGGTATGTTGATTGAAAGTGTCTAACATTAGACGGCCCCAGGAAAGGAAGTCTTAGTCATCTCAGCACAAGTGGAAGAAGAAACAAGATGAGGAGTTAACTGTGTTGTCTTTAGGTCCTAAACTTTTACTCATTATCGAAATTCAGATCCAGGGTCATTTTTCCTGGGAAGCCTTTCTTGTGATGCAGCCCCAGCCTGGGTTTGCTATCTGCTCTTTGGGCCCCACAGTGTTCTTGTCTTACCTGCCTATGAGTACCCACAAGGGATGGCTGCTATCGACTTGGCTGATTCTGCTTTGTTCCCCTCAGGGAAGGGACCTTGACTTCTCATTGATTTGCTATTGTTTCTCCAGCCCCTAGCACAGCCCTTGCTCATAGCAGGCCCTCAGTAAATACATGTCTAATCCATGTCCAAACTCATGAATAAGTGGCACCTGAGACGTCCCCCTGGCCACCCATCATGCATGGTAAGCATCCTCTGACGCTGTCTCATGAACACTCACACCAACTAGGAGGGCACTGATAACTATTGCATTTACCCACCAGGAAACCGAGGCTCAGAGATGTAAGGAACTTGTCTGCCGTTTCTCAGGGCTTTAGTTTATGATGATTCTGCACATCCTCACATTATTCAGAACCTGCTTGTTCAGTTGAGGACATTGAGGCCCAGGGAGAGGCACAAAGTCACACTGTCAACATGCTCTTAGGCAGACTCATACTGCATATGGAACTGGGATGCTTCAGGGATCCCAAAACCCTCGTCTCTCTCCTGCTGGGCTTCTAGTGGGCCATGCCCATGGTCTTGCCTGTGATTGGTTCTCAGAAAATAACGATTAAGTTACACTGATTTGAACCATGATACCAACACCTACTAGTGTGTCTATGAAACTTTCCACTCTTCCAAAACATTCTTGCTCTTACTGTCTTGGATCCATTCATTCTGTCGTCCTTGGACATAGATAAAGTCCAAGGATATCAGCCAAGCATCTTGCAGGGCTGTTTAAATCACTAGATTCTCAACTGCAATTGCATGTGCAAAAGGAGAGGAAATTCCTGACCTTGAAAAATCTGTGTCCACATAATTAATTTTATGTGTCAACTTGATTGGGCCACAGGGTGCCCAGACCTTTGGTCAAATATTATCCTGAGTGCATCCGGGAGGATGTTTCTGGATAACATTTGAATCAGTAGACTTAGTAAAGCAGATAGGGGGTCCTCATCCAATCAACTGATGACCTGAAGAGATAAAAAAGTCTGATTAGGAGGAAACTCCTCCTGCCTGAGTGCTTGGACTGGGACCCTGGTCTTTTTTGCCTTTCTGACTTGAACTGAAACTCAGCTCTTCCTGGGTTTTGCACCTGCCTGTCTTCAGCCTGGAATGACACCATCAGTTCTCTTGATTCTCCAGCTTACCAACTGTAGATCTTGGGACTTCTCAGCCTCTGGACGCATGTGAACTGATTCCTCATAATATTTACACACATATATGTCCTGTTCTGTTTCTCTGGAGAACCCTGACTAATATGTCCATAGAAGGAGATGGTGTCTCCAGTATCAATTAGAGGAACATGTGCTTCTCAGGTGACACCTGACTCCCTGTGCTCCATGATTGCGGTTTACAAAGCGTATCCATGGACATGAAGTTTAATTTACACAAAAAGCTTAGGAAGAAGGAATTGGTATTCTCACATTTACAGATGGGGACATTGAGGCCCAGAAAGCTAAGTTACTTGCCCCTGACTGCATCCATTTTCTAACTCCAGTTCTTTCTGTGCTCTCTTATGGGGTGTGAGCTGGATTCATTGTCTTCCTCACGTGTGGCAGAGCCTCTGGGGAACACAGCCACATCAAGGGTCTTGGTTCAAAAACTGTCCCAAGATGTAGAAGTCTGGTTTTGTACCTGATCCAATGGACGCAGTTCAGCAGGATAGAAAGTTAGGAAACAGTAACCAGAAGGTTGTGGACTGGCTTCAGGGATGCAAAGGTCCTGGGTGACAACATGGCTCAGGATGCAGCTGAACTTGGCTGCTGAGCTAGAGGAGAGTGAAGATCATTCAGCATGGTAGACATGCAAGAGACTGTGGTAGGAAGGGAGAAAGAAATAGGGAATGGTAGGGATGGTAGTGAACAAGAGGGCATGCATGCTCAAAGACATCTTGCCGAGACCAGCTCAGTCCGCATTAGGGAGAGACCCTAACGCAGCGGCGCTAGAGGAATTAAAGACACACACACAGAAGTATAGAGGTGTGATGTGGGAAATCAGGGGTCTCACAGCCTTCAGAGCTGAGAGCCCCGAACAGAGATTTCCCCACATATTTATTAACAGCAAACCAGTCATTAGCATTGTGTCTATAGATATTAAATTAACTAAAAGTATCCCTTAAGGGAAACGAAGGGATGGGCCGAATTAATTGCAGCAGGAGCATGTCCTTAAGACACAGATCACTCAGGCTTTTGTTTGTGGCTTAAGAATGCCTTTCAGCGGTTTTCCACCCTGGGTGGGCCAGATGTTCCTTGCCCTCATTCCCGTAAACCCACAACCTTCCAGCCTGAGCGTTATGGCCATTATGGACATGTTGCATTGCTGCAGAGATTTTATTTATGGCCAGTTTTGGGGCCAGTTTATGGCCAGACTTTGGGGAGCTTGCTCCCAACAACATCCACCTTATTTTATGGAATGAATGCTTGTGTATTAGTCTGTTTTTATACTGCAATAAAAAACTTCTCTGAGACTGGGTAATTTATAAAGAAAGGAGGTTTAATTGACTCAGTTCTGCATGATTGGGGAGGCCTCCAGAAACTTACAATCACAGAGGCAGGTGAAGGAGAAGCAAGTATCTCCTTCACAAGGCAGCAGGAAAGAGAGAGGGAGTGAAGGGGGAAGAGCCTCTAATAAAACCATCAGATCTCATGAGAACTCACTCACTATCACGAGAATAGCATGGAGAAACTGCCCCCATGATCCAGTCACCTCCCACCAGGTCCCTCCCTCGACACGTGGGGAGTGTGGGGATTACAATTCGAGATGAGATTTGGGTGTGGATGCAGAGCCAAACCATATCAGCTTGCATCCCCCCAGAATTCACAGGGCAAAGCCCTGGCCCCCAGTGTGTCTCTATTTGGAAATAGATCCTCTAAGGAAGTAATTAAGGTTAAACAAGGTCATGGGTTGGGGGCCCTAATCTAATAGGATTAGTATCTTTATAAGAAGAGACAGAGCTCATTTATTTTCCCTGTCTCTCTCTCTCTCTCTCTCTCTCTCTCTCTCTCTCTCTCTCTCTCTCTCCCTCCCCCTCCCTCTCCCTCTCCCTCTCCCTCTCCTATTCCTGCGTCCCCTGCATGCACACAGAGAAAAGGCCATGTGAGGACACAGCAAGAAGATGGCCATCTGCAAACTAGAGAGAGCACCCTCAGCAGAAACCAATCCTACTGTCACCCTGGCCTCAGACTTACATCCTCCAGGACTATGAGAAAATAAATCTCTTGCTTAAGCCACTCAATCTGGACTATTTTGTTATGGCAGCCTGAGCTGGCTAATACACATTCCTATTTAAAAACAAATAAATAATGTGTGCAGGGCTGATTCAGCCAGTGGCAGGTTTGCAGCCTGTAATACTCAAAGGCATTCATAGTGCAGCGTTCAGGTGCCAGAGTGCTCTGTAAATAAAGAAGAATGTCTGGGGTTTTGGAGACAACGGCAGGAAGGAACAGCATAGGACTATCTGGCCTGAGGATGTGATCCTGAAAGAACGGGCTTTGTATGTGAAGCTGAAGAAATAATGGTCTAGGAGGAGCAGTGGGGATTAAGAAGAATTTCAGCCTGTGTCTGTCCCTCATGTGAGAAGAAGCCTGTCAGGAAGTGGCACCCTTGGAAGACAGCCAAGCCTCAGCAGGGAGGATGAAGAGAGCTGAATGAGAGGTTCAGGATAGAGAGGTGATATGGTTTGGCTGTGTCCCCACCCAAATCTCATCTTGAATTGTAGCTCCCACAATTCCCACGTGTTGTGGGAGGGACCTGGTGGGAGATCATTGAATCATGGGGCCAGTTTCCCCCATACTGTTCTCGTGGTAGTGAATAAGGCTCATGAGATCTGATGGGTTTATAAGGGGTTTCCACTTTTGTTTGGCTCTCACTCTCTCTTGTCTGCCACCTTGTAAGCTGTGCCTTTCATCTTCCACCAGGATTGTGAGTCTTCCCCAGCCACGTGGAACTGTGAGTCCATTAAACCTCTTTTTCTTTATAAATTACCCAGTTTCAGATATGTCTTTATTAGCAGCATGAGAGCAGAGGGCATTCCTGCTCTACAGCTGGGATTCTGGAATGCACAGTGGGGAAGGGGGCAGGTAGGAGAGCAGAGGAAATTTGGGTCAGGGAGCAACATGAGGTGGTAGAAAAAACTGGGTGCCTGGAGGGGTTTCCACTGGGGATGGTGACCAAGCAGGCAGGGCTGAGAGGCATGGAGAACTGACCTGAGCCCGCGGTGAGTAGGTGATCCTACACCAGGGAGGGGCAGCTTCTCCTCCTCCACTTCTGGAACAGCAATCAGATAGAAGGCCACATTAGGGTCTGGGCCAGGATGGTGTAGGAGGTGGCAGAGTGAACCCAGTGGCAATGCAGGCCTCAAATCCCATCTCTGTAGCACCGATCAGACTCAGGAAGGCCTACGGCTGTGATGGGTCAGGCGTCTGGAGAAAGCAACTCGATTCTAAGGTGCCACCTGGTCTGGGTGAAAGAGAGCAGGTCTGGGTTGGGGAGAGGCAGACTGGAGAGTGGGGCTTGCAGAAGGCAGAGCCCTGATGAACCAGCACCCGAATGAATGGATTCCAGAAAAGAGCTCTAGTTTTATTATTGCTGTCAGTGATTTCCATTTTCATATGTTAATCCCCAATTATGAAACACTTAAAACACACATAGAAAAGTAATTTAATAGCATATTCTCTTTGTCGAAAAACGTTGCAGATGTTATAAAACCTTTGCCTCCGTCTCCCCAGAGGTTGCCTCTGTATCGAAGTTGGCATACAGTCTTCCTGCCCAGACTTTCATGGTTTAAGGATAAATACCTAAACAATTTACAGCACTGTCTTACGTATTTTTAAATGCACGTACATAGTTTCAAACTGCATATACCCTTATAAGTTTTTAAAATCAATGTGCACATACAAATAACCACTGGCAGGCCCAGGGTTTTTTTTTTTTTGAGACGGATTCTCGCTCTGTCGCCCAGGCTGGAGTGCAGTGGCGCTATCTTGGCTCACTGCAAGCTCTGCCTCCCGGGTTCATGCCATTCTCCTGCCTCAGTCTCTCGAGTAGCTGGGACTGCAGGCGCCCGCCACCACGCCCGGCTAATTTTTTTTTTTTTGTATTTTTAATAGAGGCAGGGTTTCACCATGTTAGCCAGGATGGTCTCGATTTCCTGACCTCATGATCCGCCTGCCTCGGCCTCCCAAAGTGCTGGGATTACAGGCGTGAGCCACCGCACCCGGCCACCCAGGGGGTTTTATAGGTGAATGTTTACAGTATTGCAAGGACTAGGAAATCCCTCATTGATACCAGTCCTGCCAGTCTTGTCAATATAACATCGAGACCTGAGCAGTCTCCCAGGCTGTCCCCTTTGACATTAGAGATGTCTCCAATTACTGAAAAAGCAACGCTCAAGACCTGTCCCAACACAATCGCATTAGGTTAGTACGATTCCTGACTCGAGATCATTATCTAAGCTGTTTCCTCTTCCAGGAACACTTTTTCTGCCATCTGTATCTGGTGAACTTGCCTGTGAAGGACTGTGTCCCTTTCTCATAAATCTCCCTGTCTCCTCTGCTCTTGCCTCATGAGCAAAACGGAACCCTCCTGGGCATGGGGCTCCTGGGATGAGGAATAGAGAGCATTTCTTTCTGGGTTCTTTCCTTGGCATTACCAGGAGAACGTAGGTTCCACAAAGGCCACAGTGGTCCCATTTTCTGAAGGTCAGGGACAACTCCAGGAAAGTGTCTGACTTCGAGTTCTGCCTTTGGACACTTTGTTAGACACTTTGTTAACTGCAGAGTGCCTCAGCGGGACACCCGTCCAAGGTGAGTGGCATCTTCCCTTCTTAATTGCTTCCTGCAGGCTTTTCTTAACTAGGGCTGCAGACAGATACAGACAACAGCTTCTTGACACCGCATCAGACCCACTGAAGTAGTGGGTGACAGACAGACCCAGTTAGATCATGGTATTTTTAGACCCCAGCTTGCTGGAAACCTTTCCCCCTCAACCCCCAGTTGTGATGTGTTTCTGATAACCTCTGTTCACGCTGAAGGACTAAAGTGTCTATATCTGTGTGTGGAAAAAACAGAACATTGAACCCAAAGGAAGTTTCTAGGCCATCTTCTTCCACTCTCAGACATCTCAGGTGAGAAAACTGAGCTCAGAGAGGCCTCCTCCCACCAGCCACCTTCCATCCCAATTGCCTGCTTGGTCAACAGAGTGATCTTTCAAAATACAACACTGGCCCTGTCAGCTCCCTGCTTAAAATCCTTCAAAAGTTCTCTTTTGCCATCTGGATGAAGTAGGGCCTCTGCTCTCAGTACAAAAGGCCCTTATCTGGTCCGTGCATGAATACTTTGCACACTAACTGCCCTTAGTGCACTTCTTCAAGCAAGACGCACGCCTCCAAGCCTCCCTGCGTTTGCTCTTGCTGGTCCTCCTGCCAGGGACTCCATCCCTGCACCTGTTCATTCACCCATCCTTTCAGACAAAGCTTGAAGGCCACCTCTTCCTAGAGCTGTTTCCTGACCGCATCTCCTGGGATGAATTGGGTGCTCCTTCTCTGTGCCTCTGTGCCATTTGACACAGTCTGTATGATGGCTCTGGTGTTGAAATGTCTGTTTCATGCCTATCATACCCCTTTTATCTCTGAGCTCTCTAAGGACAAGGACTTGACTTTTCAACTCAAATATTCCTGTGCTTTTGGCATACTTCACACTCAGAAAAAGTTTGTCCAATAAATGAAATGAGTGGGTGAATGAATGAGGAAACCCCTTGTTCAAGGTTTTATACAGGTGAGCACAGAATCAGGATTTCCAGGCCAGTGTGAGTCCCACCATCTTTAATGCCTGATTAAAATATACGCTAACTCTGCCAATAAAATTATGCCATTGAATGCCTTACTGGGATTGTACCTACATCTTCGAAATACAGAAAAGGCTTTTTAGCCCTAACAAAGCTGTCTTACTGCCCCAGCTTGGCTGGGAGCTCAGCTGTGGAAAGTCGGCAGCTTCAACTGAGGCCATTAAACCGGGCATTACCTGAAGCCACGTGCCGGATAGCATCAGTCACTCAGCTGGTTTTCAAGCTTTAAGGACAGAAATCGCGTTATCTTTATGAACCTCAGAGCAGTGCACCCTCTGTTGGTCATATCTGGAATTGCACAGGGTCAAGGTTTGATCCTGTATTTGGTCCGGGACACAGCAGTTCTGTGAAATCATCCACTCGCTCACTCAATTCATTTTCTCGTTCATCCATCTTATAGACATCCATTGAGTGAGTTCCATATTCCCGCCATGGTACCACGGGTGGGTGTAAATGGTGAATGAGAAAGTCACAGCCCTCCATTAATGGTGTTGATAATCTGGCAGGGAAAGCAAAAATTCAACAATCTATTTCAAGAGTAGTGAGTGCTCTTCTAAGTGGAAATTCAGGATGCTAACAGGACACTAACAGGGAAATTCGGGACGCTAACAGGGCCTGGAGAGCTCACCTGGGCGGTGTGGGAAGGTGGGCGGCGAGGAAGAAGTAACGCCTATCCACCCCACCTCATACTCATCTAGCGGCTGTTACATGCCAGACATTGCGATGGTTCTGGGAGACAAAAACCAGAGTCTAGTGGCGGAAGGAGGGCAGGAGACCCCAAGGCAATTATGACAGCAGCGGCAACAAAACAACAGCTATTACGCATTGCGCAGCTTTAACTCATAAGACTCCTGTGCTGTAGATGTAGGTCTACACCGCGGACGTTGGTCTGTCTGCATGACGTAGATATTATGACCTTTTTTTTTTTTTTAAGACGGAGTTTTGCTCTTGTTACCCAGGCTGGAGTGCAACGGCACAATCTCAGCTCACTGCAACCTCCGCCTCCCAGGTTCAATCGATTCTCCTGCCTCAGCCTCCTGAGTAGCTGGGATTACAGGCATGAGCCACCATGCCTGGCTAATTTTTTGTATTTTCAGTAGAGATGGGGTTTCTCCATGTTGGTCAGGCTGGTCGCGAACTCCCAACCTTAGGTGATCCACCTGCCTCGGCCTCCCAAAGTGCTGGGATTACAGGCATGAGTCACCGCGCCCGGCCTATTATGGTCCTTTTTGAGGGGAAAGAAATTGAACCTCCTGGTTGATTCCACCACATTATGCCCCTCTCACTACATTATCCAGCCTCTCCAACCTGAGTAAGTTCAAAATAGAAGTACATCCGGGGCACGATCTTCACCAAACCCCATGCTCTGGGGACTGCCATGACTCTGCAGGTGAGAGACCCAAGACATGGTGAGGTCAAGAGCCTTGCGCCAGGTCCCCCAGCTGTCAGGAGAGAGCTGGTCTAGAGTGAATGGTCAGGAAAGAGAGCTGTGCAGTCTCACTACCTGACACTCGCCAGGTATGTTAGTTCGTTGTGGCATTGCTATAAAGAAATACCTGAGACTGGATAATGTATGAGAAAAGAGGTTTGGTTGGCTCATGGTTCTGCAGGCTGTACAGGAAGCATGGCAGCTTCTGCTTCTGGGGAGGCCTCAGGAAGTTTCCAATCATGGCAGAAGGCAAAGGTGGGGTAGGCACATCACATTGCGAAAGCAGGAGCAAGGGAGGTGAGGGAAGGTGCCACACGTATTTAAATAACCAGATCTCATGAGAACTCACTCACTGTCGCGAGGACAGTACCACAGGGGATGGTACTAAACTATTCATGAGAAATCTGCCCCGATGACCCAATCCCCTCCCACCAGGCCCTACCTTCAACATTGGGGGTTACATTTCAATATGAGATTTGGGTGGGGACACACATTCCAAATTATATCACCTGGCGTGTGACCTTTGGGCCAGTGACATTTTCTGTGCCTCAGTTTCTCCACTACCTACCTCATGAAATGGTCTTGAGGAAACAAAACAATACACTTTTAGAGTCTGGCACATTCAGCCTTCAATATGTGTTATTCATTATTATCATTACTAGCTCTTATAGGGGGGATATTTTTCCCCTACTCCTTATGTTTCCATGTGGAAGGACCTCCACTAGGGCGACACCCTTGGTCTCTTTCTGCCACACACTCTTCACCTTACTCACACCTTCCCAAGAAAGGTGGCAGCATTTACCGAACTGGTGAGCCTGGGAGAAGGAACTGGGCATGTTGGGATCAGCCCTTTCTGGGTCCTCTTTTAGAGCTGGGTAGGCACAGGTGTCTGATTCAGAGGTAAAATTTTAGGGACCCATGCAACTAAGCCACTTGCCCCAACCTTACTTTTTTCAACGGAGGTTTTGTCTCCCCCGTCTGCCTGATGCCTCTGCCCTTTTCCTGTCATTTATCCTGAACATGGGTGGGGAAGAGAAACTCCAACATTAGCCAGAAGTGATACCCAGTTTCCTTTCTGCAATTTCTCATTGTGCTTTTGCTGCTTCTAAGGGTTTTGTGTCTCTGGGGTAGAAAAGGAAGAAAACCTTTTTCAGGCTGAAGATCTACAGAAGTCTGGACTTGGACTTAGAGTAGACCTTGAGAGCCTGGACATGACTGGCAGTAAACAGCCCAAGGCTGTAATTCCTCAGAGGATGGAACTGGGATCCCAGAAAGGCAGGTGGTGAAGAGTGAAGCTGAATGCAGCTCACAGATCCTGCCTGCCAGGCCGGGCCTTTCCCCAGAGGTGCTTCCCTCGACCACCTGGGGGGCTGCAGGCTTTCCTTGGCTTTAATTGGTGGATGGCTCACCTGGCGTCAGACATTCAAACAATTATTAGGTAATTAATGAGAAAGGGGTACTAGTTGTGAGAATGAGTAAGATGGGGAAGGCAGGGGCCTCAGTCTCCAGGGGTCCAGCTCCCCCAGCCCAGGCCCTGGTGTGCAGGGCACAGCCTTGCCTGCTGTGCACAAAAGGAGGTAAGGCCCTCATTGCTATTCAAGCTGTGTTCCTCTCAGTCTCTCATGATGAAATCCCTGTATAGAAAGCGAAATGGATCTCTGGCTGATCTGAGGCTCCCAGCCCAGGCCTACCTTGCACCTGACACCAGTCTCAGGGAGTGTGTGGGTGGCACGGCTGCTCTCCTGACAGAAGAGCCCTCCTGAGTCTGGCCCCCATCTACTCTCCAGCTGCTTGCCTGGGCCCTGTGCTCCTGCCCACTGCACAGCAGACGTGGGCACCACCAGGGCTCTGCCGCTTTGCTATGCTCTTCTCTCTGTCTGGAGTGCCCTTCCTCCCCCTGGGCCTGGAGAACTTAGAATTCACCACCAAGGCTCAATGCAAATGTCATCTTTTTTATAAAAACATTTCTATCCTTCCTTTGTGGTTCTCCAGCAAGCCTCTAGTATAACAGTTTTCATTTCGTTGAAGACTCTAAGGCTCCTGACCCTATTTAGCTACAAGTGTGTTTTGTTTGGCCAGCATTGTGATTTTAGAAAACTTAAAAGTAGGTAGAGCTTGTACACTCCAGTTCACCACAGAACCACCACTGCCCTGTTGTATTACACCATGCCTATCAGGTATTTTGATTTTTCGCCTTGACCCTGAAGGCTTTTGAGTTTGCATCCCTGTTGAAGAGCCTGGCTCCAGAAGATACAGTTTTGAAGGAGGTTGTTCATAGAGGTATACTCCTGTATATTAGGGTTCTCCACAGGAAGAGAACCAACATGGATATGTATTAGAAAAGAAGTGTGTGTGTGTATATATATATGTGTGTGTGTATGCATATTGTGTGTATATATATACACATATATATGAATTAGATAACTAATGGGAATTTATATTTATATATACATATATACATGAGTTAGGTAATTAATGGGAATATATATATATGTGTGCATATATATATGTGTGCATATATATATACACACATACATACATGGCTCACATGATTATGGAGGGACAAGACCCAAGATCTTAAATTGGCAAACTGGAGACCCAGGAGAGCTGATGGTGTAGTTCCAGTCTGAATCGGAAGGCCTGGAAACCAGGAGGGCTGATGAGTCCAAAGACCTGTAGGCTTAAGACCAGGAAGAGTCAATACTTCAGTTTGAGTTCAAAGACAGGAAAAACACAATGTCTTAACTCTAAGGAAGTCAGGCAGGAGGAGCTCCCTCTTACTCTCAGGCACGTCAGCCCTTTGGTTCTATTCAGGCCTTTGACTGGTTGGATGAGGCCCACCATATTGGGAGGGCAATCTAGTATACTCCATCTACCAATTCAATTGCTGTTGTCATCCAGAGACACACTTACAAACACACCCAGAACAAACACACCCAGAATAATGTTCAACCAATGTCTGGACACCCGGTGGACCAATCATGTTGACACATAAAATTAACTGTCACATCCCCTGAGATTCCTGATATGGTTTTGCTGTGTACCCCCCCCAAAAAATATCATCCTGAATTGTAATCCTCATAATCCCCTCATGGCAAGGGCGGGACCAGGTGGAGGTAATCAGATCATGGGGGCAGTTTTTCCCATGCTGTTCTTGTGACAGTGAGTGAGTCCCATGAGATCTCATGGTTTTATGTGTCTGGCATTTCCCCTGCTTGCACTCACTCCATCCTGCCACCCTGTGAAGAAGGTGCCTGCTTCTCCTTTGCCTTCTGCCATGATTGTAAGTTTCCTGAGGCCTCCCCAACAATGTGGAACTGTGAGTCAATTAAACCTCTTTCCTTTATAAATTACCCAGTCTTGGGTATTTCTTCATAGCAGTGTGAAAAAGGACTAATACAATTCCCATCTCCTGGTTATTCAAGCAAACATGAGTCTAGGTATTGTTGTGAGGGAATTTTGCAGATGTAAATGAGATTAGAAATTTGAAGACAGGGAGATTATTCTGAAGACAGGGAGATTATTCTTTCCCAAGCTAACCACATGAGCCCATAAAAGCAGAGAACCTTCTCTGGCTGGAGACACAGGTGCAGCAGAAAGAGAAGAGAGAGCCTAGGCCTGAGGACTTGGCACATCGTGGCTGGTTCTGAGGTGCAAGTGGCCACCACATGCAAGGCCTGGGGAGAGGCCTGTGGGAGCTGAGGGAGACCCCCAGTCATGGTCAACAAAGAAATGGGGCCTCAGTTCTACCACAGCAAAGGAACTGAGTCAGGTCAACAACCTGAATAAGTGCAGTAGTGGGTTCTTCCCCAGGGACTCCAGTAAGGAATGCAGCCCTGATGGCCCTTGATTTTAGCTCAGTGTTAGATTTCTAACCAGCAGAAATTGTGAGATAATAAATTTGTGTTATTTTAAGTTGCTCTGTGGTAATTTGTTACGAAAATAGAAAATGGATACAGGGAAAGTCCATGCCTTTTTCGTTTTTAGCTTCCCTCCCACCTTCTCAAAGTCTGGCACATAGTAGGTGCTTGCCATGTGTTTGCCAACTGACTGAGAGGCAAATCACAAGGGATGAAACTTAGCCCTGCTTCCCCTCAGAGAACAGACCTTATGATTTCTATTTCTGACTGTATGTGCGGCTCAGGATAGGAGAAGCTGATTGACAGCAAGTTGACGGACAGCCCAATTTAAATCTCCAGTCAGGAAAAACTTGGGTGAATCATTGTTTTCTGCAAAAAATGACACTTCAGTATGTATGTTCCATAATTTGTGGAGATGGGTTCCAGTTTAAAGAGTTCCTTAGTGAAGAAAAAAAAACCATGATTTATCTTCCTAAAGCTTTCTTTTTCTTCTCCTGATGATGACAAATGTCTGCAGCCCCCTCAGGGGATGATGGGATGAAACGCACACCATTGGTCATTGTGACAGAACAGCCTGGACCCCCCAGAAACTTATGGTTTAGGAAGAATGGCATGATGCCCACAAGCAACTGTAGCACAGCACAGAGATGCTGTAGGATGGAGAACAGCAGAGCAGGGAGCACGGGACAGCAGAGAACATCCTGAAACAGGAGACAGAAAACCTGGTGTCCACTCCTCTCTTTGTTGCATAACCTGAGTCTCAGTTCCCTTTTTAAATGAACCTCCTCTGTTTCTTTCAAGCTCTGGGATCAGAAAATATTACCTATGCCAAAGAGTTCTGACCTTGACTCTACTGAGGCCCCAGGAAGGCTCAATCTGACAATATGGTACCTATTCATATGTTATTTTAGCCATAACAGCATGTATGCATGTATATTGGAATATTACAAACATGAATTATAAGCTAAAAAAAATTCAAGAATAGGCCGGGCATGGTGGCTCACGCCTGTAATCCTAGAACTTTGGGAGGCCAAGGCGGGTGGATCACGAAGTCAGGAGATCGAGACCATCCTGGCTAACATGGTGAAACCCTGTCTCTACTAAAAATACAAAAAATTAGCTGGGCATGGTGGCGGGCACCTGTAGTCCCAGCTACTTGGGAGGCTGAGGCAGGAGAATGGCGTGAACCTGGGAGGTGGAGCTTGCGGTGAGCCGAGATCGCGCCACTGCACTCTAGCCTGGGCGACAGAGCAAGACTCCATCTCAAAACAAAACAAAAACAAAAACAACAACAAGAACAAAAATTCAAGAATACAGAAACATCAATAGATATTTCCCTATCACCTCCAAAATCTAACTGGAAAAGACTCTACACATCAACCAGCCAGTGGTTTTCTAACAACAACATTTAATGTTGAGAAACCCCTTCATCCGGTCATCACCCAGCAGCATTCCCACAAGCACTGAGGAAGAAATGCCTCAAGCTCTGAGGGGCACACTCTGAAAATCTCTGGTGTAGCCTATTTTGAAGAGAAAGAAACAGGCCTACAGAAGGTCAAATGATTTGTACAAGGTGAATGGCTTAGTCAGGGCTTGGACCCTGTGTACTTGACCCCAAGACCAGTGTCCAATCCATGACACTACTTCCCACCATCACACACAACGAGGAAGATAAGAGTGTTGGGTAGGACAGCAACTCAATTTTCACGCTCCTTTTCCCTTTATTCACAGGCAGAAAGAGACAGATGAAAATGTGGACTAGGTTTATTATCCCTCAGCATATGTTGGTTTTAATAAGTGTGTTCTTTGTAGATTCATTAATCCACTGTTAGAAACCGAAAATGAGTATTTCAGATGCTTAATGTGATGTCCTAGATGCTCTGAGACTCAAGTCCCCTCCAGAGAGAGTGTTCTTTAATCTTCCTAAATGGTCCGTAATGAAACCTGTGGGTCTGTAATAGGGAATATAGTCCGTTATGACTTATTGACAAGATTTTCTAAAAAAAAAAAACCTCATTAAAAAAGTATCCCAAATGATATCACTGAGGCTTAGTCTCTTTATTCCATGATGACATTTTGAAATGTAACTTTAAATGGTTCCTCCTTTATATATATACATATATAAACAAACAAGAGGGATTTTGACAAAATAGCAATGATCTGATTTTAACGTATATTTTAGCAATACAATTTAAATTATCTGTAATGGTTTATAATTAAATCCTATATACTGTTAGAATTGTGATGAACCTTAGATATTACATAATTTGCATCTGTTTTTAGAAAAGAAGATCCCGAGACAGCAAATCACCTTTCCAGCGTTGTACTGCAAGTTTGAGATATACCCAAAACAAAAATTCAGCTCTCCTGATATGCAGACCTAGGTTGTACTGCAAGTTTGGGATATAACCAAAACAAAAATTCAGCTCTCCTGACATGCAGACCTATGTGTCATTCATGAAGCTATGCTTCAGAACTGGCCCAGTGCAATTCTAACTTCACTGTGGTAAAATTACAGCTTTTCAATAGTAATAAGAAAAAGGAAATTCTTTATTTAAGAAAATAAGAAAAAGGCACCCAGGGGAGCAGTGAGGAGCATAGCCTTTGTCATAAGACCCTATAATCTCGGGGCAGTTACCTACCTCTTGAAGTCTAGCCTTTCTCATTTGTAGAATGGGGACAAGTTGTCCAACATGGTAGGACTATTGTGAGAATTAAGTGGTCCAAGGTAGGTAAAGCATACAGCACTTGGCATAGTAAGCATTATTTATTATTATTATTACCTTGTGAATTTTTATATATGGTCATATATTGTATACATGAACGCCTTCAGAGAAACTTGCTTCTCTCTGCTCCAGTTTATGGCAAACTCCTATTTCTTAACCTGTCAAATCTTGGATTTTTTAAACTCTGAGAAAAGCATATATTCCCTTATCTCCCAAGATATACACCCTGTCAGTGAATTATTTTCTGTGTTTGAAATTGGAGGCTAAAAGCTATTTCTAAAGGAGCAGAAGAGTTGGCCAACTCACTTCAGCAAACATTTACGCAACACCTCTCTTCCATTAGGCTGCGTAAAATGCAGAGACAGAAACAGATGTGATTCCTGCCCTCCAGGGGCTCCCAAACTGGTGGTAAAGACAGACATCTTCAAGTGTCTCTAATATAGGCATTAATACAAGTGTTCCTCTAGAAGGACAAATAAAGCAATGTAGAACGAGGATGTTATGAAGTGAGAGGAATTATTCTGACTAGGACATACAGAAAGATCTTTGAGGAATATAATTTGATTTAACTCTTAAAGGGATGGTAGGTCTTGAACAGGAATTGCAGTAGGCAGCTTTTAAGATGGTCTCCAGTGGTCCTTACCCGCTGATGTCCACAGCCTCATGTAATCCCCTCCCCTTGAGTGACTTGCTTCTAATAAACAAAACACTGCAACATTGAGGGGATGTCACTTCCATGATAAAATTACAAAAGATTCTGACTTCTGTCTTGCCAGCAGACTGCTTTCAATGGTGTTTTTGAGGAAGCCTCTTATTACATTGGGGTGGCCTATGTGCCAAGAAACTGATAAGGCAATTTGCACATCCTGAGCTATGAATTTGTGGAATAGAAATTAAACTCATGTGACTGGACCATGATGTTTGTGGAGAGATGCAGCAGGATATGAGGTTAGAATGATAGGTTATGGCTAAATTGTGAAGGGCCCTCAATAGCCAGCTAAGGATTATGAGCTATACTGGAAGGCAATAGGGAACCATTGAGAATCTTGGAGCAGATGAGTAACTTTATTAGATAGAGTTGCTCTACCAAAGACTAATCAAATGCTGTATGCACAACACATCAAAGGGGGAGAAATTAGAGACAGCTTCCCGGGGGAGGTAGTGAGGCCCTGAATTCGGACCCTCTGACTAAAGAAATAAACAGCAGCCCAGAAAATACTGTAATAGAATTCTCATTGATGTTGAAGGTTCTCTGAACACTCCCCAGTTTGTGAGGCAGAAACTCTATCAGGTATTTATTTGACATCCACCTCATTTCCACTCCACACAGTGACAAACTCATATTGGAACTGAAAATAATCACAAGCCTGACTCTGTGAAAATGAAAGGAAATGTTCCCAAGATGGAGAAAGGAGCTGGTAGGGCTGAGTATTTTCTCAGCTTCCTGGAGAAGACCCATTTATAAACCTTAACAAGGGTGCCAGGGTTCCCAGGCTCTGCCTTCTTCACCTTTCCATGTTCTGGCTCCCCACATCCCTAGGCATCCTTGAAGGAGGATTGAAGGGTGTTAGAAACCATTCCAATATTTAAAAAAAAAACCCACATAGATATCCTTGCAGTTACTCACAATATTCAGCACAGTGAACAAGGATGCCAAATCCCTTTGGTTGGGGCTAGAAGTACAAGCAGTACTACATGGCAGTTCTGGATGACCAATTAAAATTCCTGGCTGGATCTGTGCTTTTAATTAACTAAAATGGAAAAATGAATTAATTGCCACTTCAAAATTAGAGCATGTTTAGTGGTGGTAGCTTGATGTAATGGTCAGTATAGCAAAATGAAGTTGCTGTGTTGGTCTGCTGTGTGCTCTTGATAAGGGATTCCTCAGTGAGATTCAATTTTTGCTCCCCAGGAGGATGGGGCCAATAATCATTGCCTTTCAAGGTTGTTATTTGGATTAAAGACATAATGTATGCAAGGATCCTAGCCCTCAGTAAATGGTGGCTATCTTAAAAATAGTTGGACAAGATATTTATACAATATTCTGGCAAAAGGGGATTGGACTGAGAGGAGATCTGTCCGTGGTCCTGAAAGTTTGATCACCACTGCTTTTGTTCTTTATGCCAGGAGCATTGGTTCAGCTGACTTCATTTCTGTCATGGACTTTTTCTTCAGCCAAGTTTTTAAAATGTTTTTCTAGCCCTGATGTAATTGTTCTTCTATCTTTTTGCTACAGTAATCTTTTAAAGGCACAGATTTAGTAGTCTTATGCCCTTGACAAGGTCCAAACCTCTCCCAAGGCATCGGAGACCCCCAAAATAGACTACCTCCCTGCCTCTCCACCCTCCTCTCCCCTCAATTCCCATCATATGCTCATATGTTCAAACCTGAGGAGGGGATCGTGGGAATCCCCGATTTATAGCCGGTTGGCCAGAAATACTGGAGGCCTGGACTTAAGAGTGGAATCTCAAGTCAGGGCAGTCTTGTGAGGTCAGTGTGGGAAAAATCTCACATGTTCTGGTGACCAGAGATGTTATGTGTTGATTGTGTGCCTATTATATGCAGTGATTTTTTAAAGGACCAGTGATTAATAAAGGAGATTCTATAAAAGCATTCCATGAGGGATCAATTATGTTGACTTAGTTGGACACTAAGCAGTGAATGGACAATAACAACAACAGAGATCAATGGGACACAAAATAACAAAACAAAAGAAATACTGCCAGGCTTGGAAAAGAGCACAGGATCTGAAGTAAGAAGGTCTGAGTTCAGGCTTCATTCCACCAGTTCCTAGGTACGTGACCAAGAGCAAGCACCCAACTATAACAAGCCTGTTTCCGAATGTGAAAACTTGCAATGAAAAAATGCCCTTTTCTATCTACACCAGAGTGAGCATGTTTGGGTAGATGCTTCTTACTAAATAAGACACAAAAGTTGCAAGCTAATTATTGGTATAAGATGCTGTGCAAAAATAGCTGAGTTAAAGAAAATAACTCATCAGCCTTTCCCTACTAACCTGCAGACAGAGACACTATCTTCCCCCAAGGGCCAAATAAGAAATATGTTCTTGTTTTCAATTTCTCTTTCCCAAACTCCACACCAAGCCCCGCCATTATATCATGTCAATTCTTCTTCCATATGTCTCCTTCTATTCTGAAACCCCACTCTCTGCTTTGAGTGGGGTTGTCACCATCTCCAGCCTGGACCCCTGCAGTGCATGGTCTTCTAATCCAGACCTTCCCAAGCTTTCATGCATGAAGAGTTGGCCCTCTGTATCTATGAGTTCATATGTGTGATTTCAACCAACAGCAAACCGAAAATATTTTAAAAAACAACAAAAGTAACAACATAACAATACAAATGATACAAATGTAAAACCAACACAGTAGAACAACTATTTACATAGCATTTGCATTGTATCAGGTAGGTCTGATAAGCAATCTAGAGACGATTTAAAGTATACTGGAGGATGTGCATAGGCTGTATGCAAATACTATACCATTTTATATAAAGTGCTTGAGCATTTGTGGATTTCGATATGCTCTAGGGTCCTGGAACCAATCCCTTGTGGATACCGAGGGATGACGGTACACATCACCTGGGATCTTGTTAAAATGCGGACTCTCAATCAGTAGTTGCTCAGGATGTGTCCTGAGATTCTGCTTGCCTAACAAGGAGGGCCAATACTGCTGTTCCATGGACCACACAGTGAACAGAAAGGCTCTAACCGGTGTCCCTGAATGTAATCTTACACCTGCCACACAACCCATTAACTTCACTGTCCCCAGAGGGATCTTTCCAAGGCAGAAAACTGACAATGTTGTGCCCATGCTTAAGACCTGCAATGAGAAGGCAGATTCAATGTCAGGATTCTCAAACCTGGCTGCAGATTTCAATCCCTTGGGAAGCTTTAACTAACCAACCAGACAGACAGTGCCCAGACCCCAGGCCAGACCAATTAAATAAAACTACCCAGAGGTGGGCCCCAGACAAAGATATTTTAAATAACTAACTTTCCAAGTGGGTATGATGTACAGCCAGGGTTAAGAATCCCTGACTAACAAGGGTCATTTCAGCACAAAAACTTAAGACTCCCCCATAATTTAACACTCACAATAAACCCAAATAGATTTTCTTATTCCCAGATGAAGAAACAGTGGCCCCAGAGGGTTGAGTGCCTCACCCCAGGTCATCCAGTCTGTAAGTGCTCCTCATCTGAGACCTGAGACCCAAAGCTCTCCACCATATGAGGGGTGGAAGAAAAGGCAAAAGTGTGATGTGCAGGAGTCCCCAGTGCATCATTTCACGAGAACATTTCCAGTTGTTTTCAGCATCTCTTCTATTTATTCCCCAAACCCCCACAGCCTTTGATGAATTCTGGAGGAGAGAAACTGCCTGGCATTTTCAACCAAGTGCTTTGATACTTGAACACAGCAGTGGATGGAAAGTGACAGCACCTTATCAGTCACTGTGTCCCAGCTGCTGTCAGAGCTCCTTCCTCTCTGCCAACAGCGTGGGCTGGGCTCCCTGGCTCGCAGAGTGGTGAGCGATGCTTCCGCGAGGAGATGCGGCATCTCAAAGTGCAAGATGCACCCATTGCAGCTCTCAGCTTTTATGCCCCGTGATATTTATCAGAAGGAAACAATTAAGTCCCCCAGAACGTGGAATCTCCCTTGGAGCTCATGGGGGTAGTGACAAAAATGTATCTGAGCAAGGCATCTGGGCTGGGAACCTGCCTTAGGACCTCCTTCTATGGGACGGCAATGGGCACTTTACACACATGATTCCGTTCAATGCTGAATGCAATGCCAGGAGCTCTGTGCTGGATCCTTACATTGCAGATGACAAAGCTGAGGCTCAGAAGGATGATGTGACTCGCCCAAGGCCATACAGACAGGTCAGGCATGGCCAGAATTAGCCTGAGGTCAGACGCCAAATCTGTGGCCTTTCCAAAGTTAGGCTCCCGGTATCCAGCATGGAGTCCCACATGGCAAAGGCACTTGATTAACACTTGTTGAGTGAATGAGTGAATGAATGAATGAATGAATGAATGAATGTCTTATGCCATGCTGCACTGAAAGACAGGCTCCATTGGCATCTGGGACAAGCAATGTCACCTTTTCTTTGCCTCTGTTTTTCAAGAGTAAAATACCAGTTCTTTAGGATTGGTGTTGGGATGGCTGGTAGAGATTTATTTTCATTTTTGTTGCCTCAGATGGGTTTAACTTGCTGTTGTTGAGTTCATGTTAAAGGGAAATAGGTCCCAGGGACAGAGGTCCAGGAGCTCTTAGGTTCAGGCAAGTCTCTTCCTTTTAACTTCCTGATGTTGAGTTCATGTTAAAGGGAAATAGGTCCTAGGGGACAGAGGTCCAGGAGCTCTTAGGTTCAGGCAAGTCTCTTCCCTTTAACTTCCTGATGTTGAGTTCATGTTAAAGGGAAATAGGTCCTAGGGACAGAGGCCCAGGAGCTCTTAGGTTCAGGCAAGTCCCCTCCCTGCCCTGGGCCTTTGGGTTCCTCATCTATCAAACTGGGAGAGTCGGATGAGATGGAGATTGAAATCCTATGCCTTATGGATGTTCTTGGATCCAGCAAACCCAGTAATGCTTACTGATGGACAAGCAGTAAAGGTTTTGAGGGTTTTCTCCCCATGCCCTGGTTCATCCCCATCAGAGCACCTCTGCTTGAACTTGGCTGTGAGCAGCATGAAGGAGGCAGAACCGATGTTCAGCTCCTTCCATGTCCCTCTAGGCATCATCTGCCTCCTGCCCTGGGCATGCTCTTCCCTCCCCTATGGCAAAGTTCTCCTTTGCCAAGCTGCCAGCCTGGCATTCAGGGCCCCATGTGTCTGGGCCCAACCTTCCCCTTCAGCAGTATCTTCCATGGCTCCTGTCCCTGCCCTTCATGGCCCAGCCAGCCTGAGCCACCTGTTCCCTAAACTGCCCTGCACATTCCCACCTCTGCCTCTGCTGGGGCTGTGCCCTTCACCTGGAGTGCCATTTCCCCAGCTCCACCTAGGGAGACCCTCCTCATCAAACACCACCTTCCACTAAGGTCCCCAAATGCTGCCTGTTCCGGCGGCACTTTGTACTACATCTATTCTTCATTCATGTTTTCACTCACCCACTCATTCACTCATTGATTTACTACCTATCCTCTCAGGGAGTTTCTTGAGCACTTGCTGAGTGCCAGGCACTGTGCTATACACTTATCATATGTAACCTACTCTCTTCAACTACCTGGGAGGCAGGTTTCAAAGTTATCCACATTTCACAGGTGAGCAAACGGAGGCACAGAGAAATGAAAGCCACCCAGCACATCCATAGCAGAGTGTGTATTTAGACCACATGGTTTGACCCCAGATCCCAAGCCAGCCTCTCTGTCTGGTGTCTCTTCTGCCAGATCCTGGGCTGCTGCAGGACAAGGGCTGTCTATTCTTGCACCCAACATTCATTCAACATGCATCCCTTGAGCACCAGACATGCATCCAATGCATCCATTGAGCATAGCATGTGTCAGATGCTATGATGGCCACTGCACTTCTATGGGTGTGATGGGGTCTCTCACTCTGGTAGGGTGTCTGGCTTGGGGCTTGGCCTCATGAAGGATCCTTTGAGACTCCTTGCTGAATGGCATGGCTGGTAACACTAGGTGAGGGACAGGGTTCATAGCAAGGTCTGAGGACAGATCCTTTGATAGCTGCACTGGAAGCAGGACACTGATGGGGGCAGATGGCTGCTCAGAAACAGGGGGATGGGGTAGAGCTGGTACTCACTGAAGGTCAGGGAAAGCCGAGTTGAGAATGAAGGATGACAAGCCTCACTGCTTCAGATTGGCCCAGGGCTGCCCCCAGTGCTTGGATTCAGACTGGAAATTCTGCCTGCCACAGAAACGGGGCCAAGACTGTGTGCATGCGTGGCCAGAGCCAGCCAACTGTCACCTCCACTTAGGGGCCAGCCCCCTTCACAGAGTAAAACTCTGGAAGGCAGACGATCTGGAGAGGTTGACCTGGTGCCAGGCTCCCTCCTCCAGGCTTGGTTTCATTTGTGCATCAAAGGGAGGAGTTGCTGTCTGGCTGTTGCATCTTGCAGGTTGGTTTCTTTTGAAGCTTCAGGTGAGAGCTCCAGAAATTTCCACTGCTCCTTGTCCTAGTTAAGCAGAAGCCCTGCAATTTGGCTTAATGTAGTGCTCATTCGCTCATCCTGTTTTATGCTGGGTGTGGCATTGGGCACGTGAAGATGTGAATGAAGGGTGAGAAAAACAGGGCCAGGGCCCTGGAGAGGGAGACACACCTGTGTGCAGCTTGCTGTATCCCCAGGCAGGCAAGGCCACAGTGCTGTCATTGATGAACAAGACGGCACCAGGATGCCCTCAAACAAGGACTGAGGGGTCCACCACATTTAAGCAAAGCTTCTCAGAGAAGGTGAAATTTGAGCTGGGCTGGGAAAGAGTGGGGTTTTGACAGCCTGAGAAGGAAGTATTAAGGTCATTTCAAATAGTGTGCACTTTATTCTAATGAAAGGACTCAAATGCTTCTGGTTTGATGGTGGCTCTCACAAAGCAAGTGACAGAAAACCCTCTTGCTGCCTCGAATCTTCCCCCTTCCAGGGTTTCCTGTTGCAAGGAATGACCCTGACACTCACCTACCCAGTCACCTAAGCACCCTTCACCTCATTCAACGAATTTCCCAGGCCTAGCCAGTCTAGGTTTCTAATGACCCTCAAATGTCCTGTTTCTCTGTTTGCCGCCCCCTTGACTGCTCAAACTACCAGTGATTCTTCACCAGGTCACTACAACACCCTCTCAGTTCCAGGCAGAGTTCATTGTGCTTTCCTCTGGGTTCTCAAAAACACTTGGCGCTTATTTCTCTTATTGACATCATCATGTGGCATTTCACAGTATTTTGTGTCTATGGATGCTTCATTCCTTTATCCCAAGCACAGCAGCTGTCGCATAATAGATGCGCAGTAAGTGCCTTTTGAAATGTTGGGTTGGAGCTGCCTCTACTGTCAGTCCACATTGTGTTGGCTTTCAAGATCGGACTGATGGAGATCCAGCTAAAAGTTGGAGCTCAGGAACCAGGGGCTTTGTCCAGTTGATCTGGCTTTCAAAAGGGACAATCCTATCAGGCTCCATTGGCCATAAAAGTGGGCGTTTCCAGGGGCTGCTTAGGACTGGGCAACAGCATTCTGGGAGGGGCCAGAGGAAGGCAGCATAGTTAGAAATTCCAACTGCAGGTAAGAGGGGAGATGTTAAGACAGTGGTTGGGAGCAGGGAAGGTATAGTACCATTCCCATAAAATAGCAATGCATGAACTTTGTATTAGTCCATTTTTGCATTGCTATGAAGAAATACCTGAGACTGGGTAATTTACAAAGAAAAGAAGTGTAATCGACTCATGACTCTGAAGGCTGTACAGGAAGTAGTGGCTTCTTCTGGGGAGGCCTCAGGAAGCTTCTAATCATAGCAGAAGGCAAAGGGGGCGCAGGCTAGTCAAGTCTCATGGCTAGAGCAGGAGCAAGAGAGCAAGAGAGGAGGTGCCGCACTCTTTAAATGATCAGATCTGCAAGAACTCACTCACTATCACGAGGACAGTACCGGGAGAGATGGTGCTAAACTATCCACAAGAAATCAGCCCCCATGATCAAATCACCCCCCTCCAGGCCCCACCCCCAACATTAGGGATTACATTTTAATATGAGATTTGGGCAGAGACACACATCCAAACTCTGTCAGTCTGTAACCACAGGGATTCCGTTCACTTCCTACAGACTCTGCTACTTTGCAAAACTGTGGAAGAACAGCCAGGTTTGGGAGAGTTTGCAGGCTTCCAGGATCTCTGGAATGGCAGACAGCACTTGCACTCTGAAAAGATTTCATTAAGAGTCCAGAGACCCAAGCGGGGATCCCAGCTGTGCTGTGACCTGACTGTGACCTCTATGGCAAGACCCCCCTCCAGCCCAGACCACCCTCCTGCACTCACTATGGATCCCTGAATATGCCAATCAGACGTGTTGGTGAGAACTGTTTTTCTGTGGTTTCCCTCTCCCAGGCAGCAGCTGATAGGAGCAGAAGCCATGGTCAAGCTAGCGTGGGTTTGATATTAGCAAAGTGGAGAGAGAGGAGCCAGCCTGTTGCTATTGCCTGAATGCTCACGTTCCACTCCTGCCCTTTCCGGCTACCCTGCTCGCCCATGCCCTGCACAAGCACACAGCTGCCCTCAGCCTGCCACGGTCCTGCCCTGCTCTCCATCTCCTCAGCCGTGACCTTCAAGGCTCCCCTTTAACCGCATGCTGTCTTTCTTCAAATATATTCCATGGGTACTTTCGGCCCAACAGCTTTGCCCTCTTGGTGGAGTCCAGTGGTACATACTGCAAGCAGCAGAAATTTCCACCTGCATAAAGAGTTCTCTCCCACTCCCCTCTCCTCAGTGTGCCATGCAAGACTGCAGCACCAAGAAAGCATTTGCTACCTGATGAAGAGAAGTGGTCACCTACTGATTCCAGGCCCTGGCGTGGAGCCAGGCCTGCCCAGCCTAGAAAAAACTACGCCTCTCTCCCCATGGGGGGTGGCAGCTCCCATCCCCATCCCAGTGAGGATCTCTTAGGAGAAGCAATTTTTAAACGTTGTGCAACACTCAGAATTCATTGAAACTCATAGGCAGGAGTTCTGGGTAGACTCTTGCTTAGAGGAGTGATGCAATCTGAAAGCATCTGTGAGATAGACCCTTGGAAGGAGCTGGGGTCTCCGCACACCGGTGGCACCTTCAAGGTTGTAAAGGGAGGCACAGGGCCTATGCAGTTCTTCAGAATGAAAGAGAGAAATGGAGAGAGAGGGGCAAATAGAGTCAGAAGATAGACTGACTGACTTCATTGTACTTTAGAATTGCAGTAAAATAGCATAGGACCTAGAAGTAAAGTAGGGATTAGGGACTGGTTCTGCTACTCATTGGCAGTGTGACCTTGACAGAAGTTGCTCACCTCTCCCCTCTAATTTATAAAATGGGAATAACAATCCTCTCTCAAGTGCTGCTGGGAGGGTTAATTTAGAGAAGGTAAATGAAGGTGCTAGGCAGAATGGAAAGTCCTGCACACTGAGAAGCTAGTCCAGGAGCAGCTGGACATCAGCATGGTGGATGGGGACTTAGGGCATCAGGCTTAACCTCGAGCCCAGTGCACTGTCTTGCTCAGCTCTGCAGCCAGACAAAGGGGCTAAGAGAGAAGATGAGAGGAGAGATCAGGAGGCTGAGGGCCTGGGAGGGGGAGCCCCTAGATATCAGTGTCAGGGCAGAGCCAATGGTCCAGGATTCATGGCTTCCGTTATCCCTGCAGAGGATAGACACTGAGGACCAGCTTGATGCTGTTCCTGCTGCACCAAAGGGTAAGCGGAGTTGGGCTAAATGGCATTTGGAATAAGCACCCAGGAGAGGCCTGAAGACTGTGCAGGCAGCGAGGTTCAAAGCACAAGGTTCCCAGGCTTTGAGCATCCTACTTCTCCAGTGTCCCTCGCATCCATTTGTCCCAGACCTCCTACCCCAGTCTGCCCTAGTTGAGGCCCCATCATATTTCCCATGAACCTGATATGGTTTGCACGTGTGTTCCCTCCACATCTCATGTTGAAATGTTATTCCTCGTGTTGGAGGCGGGGCTTCGTGGGAGGTGTTTGGATTTTGGGGGCGAGACCCTCATGGATGGCTTAGTACCATCCCCTTGGTGATGAGTGAGTGCTTTCTCTGAGTTCACGCAAGAGGGTTGTTTAAAGAGCGTGTCCCCTCCCGCGCCCCTTGCTCCTGCTCTCATCATGTGAGGCACTGGCTCCCCCTTTGCCTTCTGCTGTGATTGGAAGCTTTCTGAGGCCCTCCTGAGAAGCAGATGCTGGCACAATGCTTCCTGTACAACATGCACAGTGGTGAGCCAATTTAACCTCTTTTCTTTATAAATTACCCAATCTCAGATATTCCTTTATAGCAAACAAAAATGGCCTAATGCAGGAGCATTACGACAGCACCATCACTGTCCCCCAGCCTGCAGTCTCCACTACTCCACTCATTTCCAACAGCTTTCAGCTGGGCCATGTTAAGGCGCATCTCAGTGTGTCTTTACCTGGCTTGTAAACCTTCAAATTGGTGTCCTCACAGATACTGCCTAGAGCAGTTTCCCAAATGATCTTCCGAGTCACACTAGTTCCTATAAAATATTAATGGTGTTCCTTGGAAAAAAAGCTCCATGCCCAAATTGTGTTGGAACTGCTGGGCACAGCAACAAAGGCAAGCTTCCACACAGATGGACTTCTCAGCACCCCTACCATGCAGGCTGTACCGTGAAACTCCCAGAAGGGGAGAATGGGCCACCATTTCCTTGTTCCCTAGCTTACTGGGAACATCTTCTTCCTCGCTCTTTTGTGGAAGTAGAATTCCACTGAACACAGTGTGGGGAAATGTGGCCTAAAGAACGAAGTCCAAATTCCTTATGCTAGCATTCAGGATAACCTGTGATTAGGTCCTAGGATCATGGAGAATTGAGTTAATTGTATCAGAATGGGATTTCCACAACGACAAAAGCCTCCAGTGAGAGTAAATGAACTCGAAGCAGAAGAGATCTTGTGCTGCAATCCTGGGGATGGTGCCATAGGTGGGAATAGGTGGATGCATGAGGGTCAGGTAGCCTGGAGACTCTGGGCTTAAAGAAGGATCTACTTAGAAAGGAAGTTTCTGGTTGAACACTTTAAAGGGAGACTATTGTGAATGTAGCACTAATATCTGCCCTACCCATCTGAGAAATGGCTGTGATAAGGTAGAGGACATAGGAGTGGGAACAAGATTTGGAAGTCACGTAGTTTGGTGGTCTCATAATAGTGTTCCTAGCAGTCACCTGGAGGTACTTGTTAGACACGCACCCCCCACACTCCCCTCAACATGCACATGGAAATTCTAACACAGCAGATCTGAAATGGAACTTGGGAATCTAAATTTAAAATATGTTTCCCAGATGACTTGAATGCATGTGGTCTTTACATATTTCCATATATATTGATCCAATCAATATTGGCTAATAGATATTGATCTATTCTTTGTTTCATAAAGACAATGAAGCTGAGGCCCGTTCAATCCATGGGGGGCCAGGCCATGAGTTGAGGTGCCTTCTAACTTTACAGCAGGTCTCTCTCCACTTTACCAGGTCTGAGTGAGCTGGAAGTCATCCCTGGGAGAATCAGGGTTTGGAGAGACAAGGAGCAAGTTGTGTCCTCTCTGGAGGACTAATCTGGAAGTTTAATTACATAAACATAGGAAGAAAATACTGAAGAGCCTAAGGGGGTGACAGCCATAGTGATTTTAACCAGCTGGTTAGAGTACAGTGAAGTATTCAGGGTGAGAGAATTATGCTAGGCCAAGGGATAAAACCTTGCATGGAGAAAGGATGGTGATGACATGCTTCCAGGGAGGCCAGCCATGCTCCAGAATGTCCTCGCCTAGAATAGTCGAAGAGTCAGTCAATATAGCTACAAGTATTTTTCGAGCATTAGTGCTTTAGGTCAGGAGCGGAGTCTGGGACAGGGACTCAGAGACAGAATGCACTGAGGGATCAAGGGACTGGGAGAAGTAGGACATGGTGGGAGGAAAGAGGCAAGGATGTAGCCTCCGCTGAAGTCTAGCTTCTTCTGGACCCATGGGGAACTCAGGAACATGGCATCTGTTTTAAAGAGCTATCTTGCATCGTGCCCTGAAATTCAGCAGTTGTTGGCTCTGCTGAGCTGGTCCCACCTCGAGGCAAGGGTTGGACTGCTGTACTCTCATATCAGTCTGTTAATGGCTGCAGGCTGCTCCTCCTGGGGAGTGGGGTGGGAGCTACCCTTTCAGAGGAGGTGGCTTCCTTCAGCTGAGAACAGTTATCCAGAGAAGGTACAGCTGTGATTTGCCAGCTGCTAATACTTGGAGAAGGTGGGAGCTGGAGGCATGGCAGAGTAGAGGGGATTTGGTGGAGTGCACACAGCATCCATCACCACCCAATTGTTTTGTACCCTACGGAGGGGAAAACTGAGGTCTTGAGAGAACAAAGGACTTGCTGAGGGTCACATGGCTCAGTTCCTGAGTTTGGAGCTCTACTGTCACCAAGTCCCTTATTTTTATCCACAGATCCTCGAAGCAAAAGGGTGTCACTGGTGGAATCTGTTTCTTTGTCCTTTCTAGGTAGAGCCAACAACCCCTGAGCTTCAGGGCATGCTGCAAGATTTTTCTTTAAAACCGGTGCTATATTGATTTTTGCAGGATCTTGTCCTTGCTGCCTCTGTCCTATACACTGTAATGAATTGCTTTCTTTTTCTGCTTGTACCTGGGGGTGACTTTATCATAGACAGGGCTATTTTAAAAAGCAGACGGCAATGTCCTCTTCAATATGTTTCCCTGATGGATAAAAGTGCATACTCAAATGAACACAATGTTGGAATCATAGAATTTAGCACTGGAAAGGGAATATCAGAGACTATCTAGGGATCAGCGGGGTGGAGGGGGGATGTTTTCAGCATCCATGATATGCCACCACCCACTCTTCTTCACACACCTTTTCCTTGGCAGGTTTTGACTACAAGTCTGCAGGTGTGCAGTGGCTGATTTCTCTCCCTCCCCACTTTATGAACCAGACACATAGCAGCAGAGTAGGCAATAAAAAAAATCCCAGGATTTCCTGTGTTATCACTTATAGCCTATCAGAGCTTCTGATCACTGCAAGATAATCTGAGACAATACCTGAGCCAATATCATTCCATCCAAAGCAAAGAAGCTTGACATTTTAATTAACTTGTCTGGCCTGGTCATGGGCATATGTAGAATTCTCGGGGGGTGTTTTGAAATATCAAAACAGCTCTTGGATTTCAGTTTTGACCTTCAAATTCCTCTGGGGGTCTGGGAAAGCCCACTTGGGACTCTGAGTATTTTCAGACTGCAGATGGGGAAGCTGAAGCCCAGAGTGGGGAAGTGATTTTCCCAAGGCCACATAGCAAAGAAGATAAAAAACTGAAACTTAAGGTCAGATATTTCCTCGAGACATCAGAAGTTAAAGCCCATGATATAATGAGTGAAAACATGCATAGTAAACTGTAAAGCTGTCTACATATGTATGTGATAGGCCTTGAGTCCACTCCTTGAGTCCATCATTTTGAAAGTTTGCCTCGACAAGCAGCAGGACTGAGAAGTTATCAGAAACCTGGAAATACCAAGACTTACAGGTTGTTTTTTGTTTTTCAGTTTTTTTTGAGACGGAGTTTTGCTCCGTCACCAGGCTGGAGTGCAGTGGTGCGATCTTTGCTCACTGCAACCTCTGCCTCCCAGGTTCAAGCGATTCTCCTGCCACAGCCTCCCGAGTAGCTGGGACTACAGGAACACACCACCACACCCAGCTAATTTTTGTATTTTTAGTAGGGATGGGGTTTCACCATGTTGGCCAGGATGGTCTCGATCTCTTGACCTCGTGATCTGCCCGCCTCAGCCTCCTAAAGTGCTGGGATTACAGGCACGAGCCATTGTGCCCGGCCAGGACTTACAGTTTTAATAAGGAGAGCCAAGACATTTTTCTGTGGCTTTTCTTGAAGGTGATCTCACTGCACTGACTGACGATCCTTCCCCATTTTTATAGCAATCTGGTGGTGATATCACAGCAAATAAATTTAAGTGACATGTTCACTTCAGTCGCAGGCTTTAAACTCTAACTAAGCACTGTATTTTATTTTCCCGAAGATGTGGCACACAGCTGATTCACCTGTACTCCTGAGTCATATTTATAGGACAAAAGCTTTCTTGGCAGCAACGCGAATCAGTTCATGATCTTCAAGATTCATTGCAAAAGCTGGGTGCATGTGGCTTTCTGTCTGGAAGGGCTGAAGTCATATTATTCTCCCTCATTGACACAGGGTTCACTGCCATGTGGGCTCAGGCTGCCCACCTGAGGTGCTGTTCTCATTAAGGAGATTTGCCTCCACAAGCTCTAAGACTGCTTGGAAGATGTGGGGTCATTTGAAAGGTATTACTGAATTGCTTCCTTTGGCCCTCTCCTGCAGATCCTGAAATTCCATTAGAGTGTCTCAGTTCAGTTTCATTCATTGACATCCAAGCTGGAAGGGACCTGGGAAAATACCTAAATTAGCATCGTCATTGCACAAATGAGAAACAGAGGCTTCTACCAGGGGTGTGTCTCACCTGTGGTCACACAGCTAATGACAGAGCCAGAACTAGGACTTAGAACTGTTGGCTCCTCCTGGAGGGCTGATTTTGCCACATCCTGTTGTCTTCTCAATTGAACAACACCTGATAGAGTGCTTATCAGGCTCTGGTGTGGACAACGTAGCCACACATTCATTCTTTCAGCACACTTTATCAAATTCCTATCACATGTGAGGCACTGTTCTAAGCTGTTGGGAGCAGGGTGATGAACATGATAAAGGGTTTTATTTTATGAGCTTCTATTCTTGGGAGAGAGATGAACTGATCAACTAATAAATAAGTAGGCAAACAGATAACATCAAAGACTTAAAAGTACTATTTAAAAAACAAAGCCACATAGGGACTTAGTAGGAGAGAGAGTGATGGTTCTAGGGAGGTACTTTGGCGAGACTGTCCAAGAAACACATCTCTGTAGAGATGGCTTTTGAGCAGAGACAAAATAACAAAGCAAGTCATCTGAAGATCTCCCCAGGCAGGGTGAAGAGTGGAGGTAAAGGCCCTGAGGTCAGAATTAGCTTGATGTACTCAAAGAATAGAAAGAAGATCCATGTGACTCTAGTAGAAGGAATAAGGTGAGAGTCTTAGAACACGAGTTTACAGAAATAGGCATGGGCTAGATCTCCTAAAATAGAATCTTTTTAAAAATTAGCTTGTAATAATTGTACTTATTTATTAAGCACAAGTGATATTTTGATACATATACAATGTATCACGATCAAATCAGGGTAATTGGCATGTACATTGCCTCAAGCATTTATCATCTCTTTGTGTTGGAAACACTCTGAATCCTCTCTTCCAGCTATTTTGAAGTACGCAATACATTTTTGACAAAGGTGTGAAGTACATGTATTTGGGAAAGAAGAGTCTCTTCAATAAATGATGCTGGGAAGATTGGATATCCATGTGCAGAAGAATAAAATCAGATCATCTCTGCCTATCTCTAACATAGAATCTTGTGGCTCATGACAAAGCATTTAGATTTTATTTGTAATTGATTAAGATGATCTGATTAACAGTTTTTAAAAGTCACTCTAATTGTTGCCAGGAGATTTTCATATAAGGGGTTTGGTAAGGAGGTTTTGCAGCAGTCCAGGTGACCATGGAGGCAGTAGTGAACTTGGAAAAATGATGTGTGCTCAGATTCTGAGTGTATCTTGAGTGCAGAGCTAACATTCTTGCTAATGGATTGGATGAGGGTATGAAGGAAAGAAAGGAGATAAAGTTGCATTCTTTAATTGAATAAATGGAATGCCACTTATTGAGGCGAATAAATACGTGGAAGAAATGTTTATGTGATTAGGGGAGGTGGATGAAAACATGAGTTCTGATTTGGATGTGTTAAGTTTGAAATACTTAGTCAACAATCAAGTGGAGACAAAAGTAGGCAATTGATACATGGGTCTGGAGTTCAGAAAAGACATTAGGCTTAAAAAACAAAGTTTTTAAAAATTTTTTATAGTTTGGGGCTTAGCAAACTACAGCCTGCAGATCAAATCCATCTGCTGGCTGTTTCTTGTAAATAAAGTTTTATTGGAACACAACAACATTCATCCTCATATTGTCTGTAGCTGCTTTTGCATTACAACAGCAGGAGTTGAAAGACCATCTGAGTCAAAAAACCTACAATATTTCCTAGTCTGGCCTTTATGGAAAGTTCACTGGACACTGTAATAGTTAATATTTAAAACTGTGAAAGTAGATAATAGTAAGAAATAAGTGGGAGTATAGACAAGAAAAAATGACAAATAACTGAGTCCTGGGGCATTTCACCATTTAGAGGACTAGAAGAGAGTGGGGACCATCAAAGGAGATTGAATGGAGTGACTGGCAAGATAGGAGAAAAGGATAGTGTGGTGTCCGTTATGTCAGATGGTGTTGATAAGCAGAGATAAATGAGGTCTAAGATTCAGCCTTTGGGCTTGGCAAGATAGCAGGCATCTGTGACCCTAAAAGGGTCTATTGTATTGTAGGGGTGGGAATAGCAGCTCAACTCAAATAGCATTAGGGAAAAAAAAAAGGGTGAAGAAATAGAGACAGTGGGAGCAGATATATCTCGAGTAATTTTGCTGTAAATGGGAGCATAGAAATGGGGGTGTGGCTAGAAAGGGATGTGGGGGTCTAGAGAATTGTTCTTAATTTGGGAGACATTTTGGCATAGTTGAGAATTGGTGGGAATGGAGGGAGAAATTGGTGACACAGGAGAGACAAAGAATGTTGGAAGAAACAAAGTTCTTGGCTAGAAAGCAGTGTTCAGAACCCACACTTGGGCTGGATAGGACGGCCTTAGATGGGATCAGTGCTATGGTTTCAACATTTGTGTCTACTTCAAAATTCATGTTGAAACTTAATCCCCAGTGCAATGGTATTAAAAAGTGAGGCCTTTTAGAAGGTGATTAAGTCATGATGGCTCTTCCCTCAATGGTGAGATTAGGACCTTATAAAAGGGCTTGAGGGAATAAGTTTTCCTTTTCCTTCCTTCTACCATGTGAAGACACAGCATTCAACCCCTCTGGAGGAAGTAGCATTTAAGGCACCATCTTGGAAGCAGGGACCAGAGCCTCTCCAGATACTAAACCTACTGGCACCTTGATCTTGGACTTCGCAGACTCCAGAACCGTAAGCATAGATTTCTGTTCTTTATAAATTACCCAGTCTCAGCAGGAATGGACTAAGACAACCAGGAATAATTCTTCCATTGTAACAGAATGAAAGCAGATAGGTTGGTTGATTTGAGGTGGGAAGATTAAGAAGGTTTTTTTTTCTTGTTGCTTCTATACTGTTTTCTTAGGGAAATAGTAGGTAAAACCCACTTCTACGTATATACCCAAGAGACATTAAAACATACATCCAATCAAAAACCTGTACGTGAATGTTCATAGCAGATGTATTCATAAGAGTCAAAAAGTGGGAAAAACCCAAATGTCTATGAACTGATGAATGACTAAATAACATGTGGTATATCCATACATGGGTATATTACTAGACACTAAAAAGAATAAAGTGTGGATACATTCCATAACATAGATGAACCTTAAAAACATTATGCTAAGTGAAAGAAACCAGTCAACACAAAAGACCACGTAAGATTCCACTTATGAAATATCTGGAACAGGCAAATCTATAAGGACAGAAAATAGATTAGTGGTTGCCTAAAGTTGGAATGGAGGTTGGGGAAAATCATGAGCGCTAATGGGTATGAAGTTTTCTTTTGAGTGATGAAAATGTTTTAAAACTGATGTGGTGATGATTGTACAGCAGCTCTAGCAAACTGACACAGGTGACAAGGATAAAGACATTCATCTGGCTGGAGGGGAAATAAGTTCTTCCTTAAGTCTTTCAAAAATTTGGACCCATGGGGGGTGACTAGAAGGGATATGACCTAAGAGCTCAAGGGATTTGAAAACATTGTGCTTGCTCACCTACACCCATCTAATCTTCGACAAAGCTAACAAAAACAAGCAATGAGGAAAGGACTCTATTCAAGAAATGCTGCTAGGATAACTTGCTAGCCATATGCAGATTGAAATTGGATCCCTACCATTCACCATATACAAAAACCAACTCAAGATGAATTAAAGACTTAAATGTAAAATCTGAAACTATAAAGAACCCTAGAAGAAAATCTGTGACCCTCAGCAAGTGCAATTATTATTTTTTCTTTCCAACTTTTATTTTAGTTTCAAGGGGGTACTTGCTGAGGGTCACAGGGTCCAGAAGAGTCTTTGAAATGGAGGTGGAAGTTTTCACAGGTGTATGTGTGTGTGTTTCTGTGTGTGTGTGTGCGTGTGTGTGTGTGTGTGCATGTCATGTGCACATTTGTGGGCCAAAGTATTATAGAAACAAAGTCGTGGAGACAGGAGAGCATGAAGTGGGTTTGGGAGCAGCACAGGGATGAATGATAGGATTAGGCCAGGGAGGCAAGCTGGGGCTTTGTTTCAGATACTGCTCCAGTGGGTGGCCCCATTTTTCAGGGCTAGATGAAGATAACGAAAGTGGGAGCCACTGTTTCCCCACAAGTTTCCTAGAGGAGAGGATGGGCCAATCAGTGGTTGTCCTGGAAGCCACAATGAGCCTAGAGCCCATGTGTGAGATATAGACAAGGAAAAGTCACTTGGGGCAGTTGGGAATATCAACGAGGAAGGAACCTTCCACCCTAAAGGTGTGGTAAACTTAGGAGAGGTTGGGTCCACGCAAAGAGGGTCTACTTTGGGAGTGGGTACATTAGGGAGGCACAGAAGGGAAGAGATAAACTAATGAAATTAGTATCTGCTGAGCAGCTTCTGTGTCCCAAACACTCTACTAGGCCTTTCAGGTGTGTTATCTGAGCTCCTTCTCACAATAGCCCAGTAAAAATGGTACCATTACCCCATCTTCCACATAAGAAATAGGCTCAGAGAGAGGTAGTCACACGCCCAAAGGCAAACAGCTAGTGGCCAGGCTGAGCATGAATCTAAATTTCCCTGTTTCATTTTTACACTCTACCATACCTCTGCAATAATTTTTGAAAGGACAGATTGCCTGGCCAGATGGGACATCTGCTCAGTTCTTGTTGACCACATTCCACCCACCCCTCTGGCATAAACATGCCTTGTTCACCCAAGCAGAGGAGCTTGGATACCATCTACGCCTCCTTGGGTTCTTAAAGACCACAAGAATAGTCACCCAAGATGAAATGGTGATGCTTTTGCCTAAAGCGGGGGCCTCAGTGGGCTCAGAGACCGATGGGAATGTGTGTGACAGTGTGTTTATCATATTCAAAGGGAGACCTTTCTGATAACAACTGTTGTACTGGGGACAGTTATTTTCAACCAGGGCTCTTTCAAGAAAATATGGTCAATAAACTTCATGTGCCCTTCAGCTAAAAGCATTTTACTTTAACCTTCAGCTATAGAAAGCCTGGGGAATATGACAACGGTTTTCGTTCATTGACCACCTACTGTGTACCAGGGGCTCTACATATATTATCTTTCGTTGTGATGGGAAACACAGGGATGGTGCATTGCCAGCCACTGAAGCCAACGTAGCAGAAGCATGAGAGCCCTTGTCACATAGGTGAGCACCAGGGCAGTAATCCCCAAAGTCTGCTGGGTGGAAAGAATGGGTGGTCCTCTATCTGGTGCGCTCCCTGCAGCCACACAGATTGCATTTCTGGGACACTTGCTATGGTTTAAATACGATCCCCAAATTTTATGTATTCGATATTTAATCCCCAAATTTATATGTTGATGGCATTTGGAGGTGGAAACTTTGGGAGGTAATTACCATTAGATAAGGTCATCAGGGTGGGGTCCCCAAGATGGAACTGGTAGCTTTATAAGAAGAGGAAGAGGGACCTGAGCTGGCATGCTCTTGCTGTCTTACCATGTGATGCCCTTTGTGATGTTATGACATGATAAGAAAGCCCTCACCAGATGCAGCCCCTCAACCTTGGACTTCCCAGCCTCCAGAACTATAAGAAGTATTTTTTTTCTTCATAAATTACCCGTCCTTGCGTATTCAGCCATAGCAACAGAAAAAAGACAAAGACAATACTGTGATCTGCATTCCTGGAGAGGGGCAGAACATCTGAGCTTCCCACGTCATCACAGCCTCTGCCAAGCCTCTCTGATAGTTTCTGCTTTTCTGGCAATTTCAAGCCATCTCCCCATGGGCTCAGTGGTTGCCTTTCTCCATTCTGAGAAGATTCTGATTGTGAATTCAGCACAAAATCAAAGCCGGTTCTCCTTGATTTTTCTCCTTCCTTTACTAGGGAATTTTCTGTTTCATTAGAGCAATTGATACTCTTCTACCAGCAAGATTTTGTGTGCACAGTGATTCCACTGGGACAAGTGTCCAAATAGACCTTATTTTCTGAGCTTGTGATTCACTGGGGGTAGATTCAAGGAAATTGATGAGCGCATCACCACATGTATGAGGGTCCGTGACTCTTGAAATAGCTCATGTCCTGCTAGTCTAGATTGCAGCCTTATTAACTCTTCCTTGGACACAACCTCTAATGGCTTCCCCACTTTCACTGCCTGTCACTCACCTGGAAATGCTCAGTGAGGCTGGGGCACGCAGAACAGAAAAGGCCATTGCAGAATTACGGAGTAAACATAAAAGACGCCAGGGAAAGGGGAGGGTAAGTCTAGGACTAAGAAGGCTTGTGGGGTGGGGGAGCTGGAAGGTGGCAGAGGAGCTGATTTTCTGAGAATCTTCTACATACCAGACACTACTCTGAGCCTTTTAAGCTCAATATCACAGTGTAATCCTTCTAAAGCATAATTCTGCTCTCACCGCTTCTCTGTTTAAAACCCTTCGAAGGCATGTTGACACCTGTAAAATAGAGATCCAAACCACTTCTTATGATATAGAAGACTCCCCAGCTCCAGTTCCTGCCTACTTTGCACCACTTTTCTTTCGTACACCCTGTAGTCATACAATGGCTTCACCTACAACTGACACTTGCCATTTCCCAATGACTTCCTCTCATGCCTTCAAGCCTCAGCATGTGCTGATCTCTTTGGTCTGATACCCTGTCTTCAGTGTCTTCATCTGTTAGGTAAACAACCTGCATTTGTTCTTTAAATGTCTCTTACTCTAGGCCGGGCAAGTGGTTCATGCCTGTAATCCCAGCACTTTGGGAAGCTGAAGTGGGTGAATCACCTGAGGTCAGGAGTTTGAGACCAGCCTGGCCAACATGGTAAAACCCCATCTCTACTAAAAATACAAAAATTAGCCAGATGTAATGGCGCATGCCTCTAATCCCAGCTACTGGGGAATCTGAGGCTGGAGAGCTCTTTGAACCCGGGAGGCAGAGGTTGCAGTGGGCCGAGATCATGACATTGCACTCCAGCCTGGGTGACAGAGTGAGACTCTGTCAAATAAATAAATAAATAAATGCGTCTTCCTTTGGACACAGCCTTTTGTCTTCCCCAGGCTTGGACAGCTGTCCTCTAACTGGGTTCGCATATGCCCCATTGCAAGCCCTATCCTAGACACATTTCACCACATAGTAGTTATCTGTTGCCCCACCGGACAGTGAGCTCCTTCAGGACCAGGTCTGGATCCCTGAACCCTCAGCAGCCTGCATGATACTGAGCATGTGGTTGGCCCTCCAAATACGTCTGTTGTGTGAATCAATGTCTGAGTCCATTTGCAGATAGGCTGGCAGGATACCAAATTTCTTTCAAAAGCAGTGTCAGAAAGCTTCTAGTAGCCAGTTACTTTTTGATACCCAGGGATGCAACTGTAGAACTTTGGGTCCTTTAAAACCAGTAAAGTCATCAGAAAACTTTAGTGGGTGAAGACATGGAGGGACACACATTTCCAGCAAGTGCAGGAGAGGAAACAAAGAAAATCACCAGAAGATCTGACTTCTGAGCTGTTCATGCCTGGGCAATTCAGAAGGCAGCAAAATGCTCTGGGCAAAGCCAGAGTTTATTTATTCTGGCATTCAAGCCAGTATTCAAGCCAAATTCAAGCCAGTATTAATAATATAATGGCTTTAAAATGGTTTGGTATTCCTGGCATGGCCTTCCTCACCTGTGCAAGCCCAGAATACCCCGCCCCCTAGCATATAGACATTCATTCACCCACTCATTCATTTTTTTCATTTACTCATTGAACACATAGTCTATTAAGTGCCAGCTCTGTGCCAGGCTTTATACTACTGCCCGGTAAGTAAGAGATTGTCAGAGAAAATGAACCTACTGAGGGATGGGAAAAGTACATGGTCTCTCTAATACAATGAGTGGTATAGTGGACTTAGCACAGAGGAGGGCCCCTGATCTAGCCAGGGATTCAAGGAAGACTCAAACTTGACAAATGAGGAAAGAAGCCTTTACTAGCAGATGGAATAGTGGGGCCAAGTCCTGGGGGTGTGAGAAAGAACTGTGTATTGTTAGGACTCCAGGTTGTTCATCACTGATGAATAATGATGCCAGAGAGGAGGCAGGGCTGAATCTAGGGGGCCATGAATGACAAGTCAATAGTTGTCATTTTAACCTTTGGATGATGTGAGCCACTGGAAAGCTTTAAGCGAGGAAGGACAGGATCTGATTTGCAGTGATTGCCAGGCTGCTATTTGGAGGATAAAATGAGGTTGGAAGTCCAAGGTGAGGGGTGGAGACTGACTGTAATCAGTGAAGGAGCTTGCTTCAATTCTGGTGCAGATGCATTTGAGGACTACTTCCTCTGCTGCCTGACTCAATGCAACATTCAGATCTTCCTCTCATGGAGAGTTCATAGGTTCAGAGGCATCAAATTCTTTTGTTAGGTGACTTGTGCCTTTTATGTAGTCTGAGGAGATGTGCTGAAGACTGATTTCATGCCCACTTGTCACCAGCCTGATGTCTGTTACACCCTCAAAATTCTATGGCTTCACAGAAGTGAAGCTTGGGGGGCCTTGGAGACCATATAACCAAAGCTCTGTGCTGACTATACCTGCCTTTGTCTCTTTCATTCCAGCTTATTTGGGAGTGACTTGAAAAGTACCATGAGTATAACCCTTCCCTGAAGTGTAGGGACCAGCCCCTCCCTTCCTCTCCTGCTTCCTATCCCTCAGCATTTTTTTAATGGGAGAATGTCTTAATTTTTCCTTTATTCTTGAGGGATAGTTTTGCTAGATATAAAATTATTGGTTAAGAGGGTTTTTTTGTTTGTTTGTTTGGTTTTTTTTTTTCAGGACTTTAAATATGTCATCCCACTGCCTTCTGGCCTCTTTGGTTTCTGATGAGAAATCAGCTGTTATCATATTGAGGTTTCTTTGTACACAATGAGTTGGTTCTCTCTTGTTGCTTTCAAAATTCCCTTTGTGACTTTGGGTTTCCACAATTTGAATATAATATGTCTTGATGTGAATCTTAGAAGTTATCTTGTTCAGAATTAATTGAACTTTATGAGTGTGTAGATTCATATCTATCATCAGGTTTGGAACTATTTTGTTTTTGAGATGAGGGGTCTCATCTCAAAAAAAAAGTGAGATTGGGGCTTTTTTTTCTTTTTGAGTCTCACTCTGTCACCCAGACTGGAGTGCAGTGGCACAATCATAGCTCACTGCAACCTTGAACTCCTGGGTTCAAGCAATCCTCCTGCCTCAGTCTCCTGAGTAGCTGGGACTATAGGCATATGCCACCACACTCAGCTCATTTAAAAAAAAATTTAGTAGAGATGAGGTCTTGGTATGTTGAGCAGGCTGGAGGTTTGGGAAGCTTTTAGCCACTATTTTCTCTCCATTCTCCTTCTGGGATTCCTATGATGCATATATTGGTACAATTGGTGGTGTTCCACAGGTTCCTCAGGCTCTGTTCGTTTGTCTTCATTTTGTTTTCTTTCTATTCCCCAGACTGGATCATATCAATGGCCTTATCTTCAAGTTATCTGATCCTTTATTCTTCTTGCTTAAATCTACTATTGAAGTCCTCCAGTGAATTTTTTATTTCAACTATTGTACTTTTCAACCAGAATTTCTGTTTGGTTCCTTTTTATAATGTCTATCTCTTTATTAATATTTTCATTTTGTCCATACATTCCTTTCCTAATTTCATTTAGTGCTTTGTTCATGGTTTTCTTCAGCTCATGGAACACATTTAATACAGCTGATTTAACATCTTTGCCTAGTTATGTCTGGTCTTCCTCAGAGATGGTTTCTGTTAAGTTTTTTTTTTTCCTATGATTGGATCATACTCTTCTGTTTCTTTGTAGGTTTTGTTTTTTTTTTCCTTGAGAACTGGACATTCTGAGTATTATAATGTGGCAACTCTGGAAATCAGATTCTTCCCCTCTTCTAAGATTGCTGATTTTTGCTTCTTGAAGGCTAGCATTATCTGTTTGTGACTTTTCCAACTTATTTCTGCAAAGTACATATTCCTTGTTGTGTCTGGTCACTGAACTTTATGTTCTATTTTCTTTGCAGTCAACTAGTGACCTAACAAAGATTTTTCTAAATGATGGGGTAAAGGGTTCTGTCTCTTTAAATCTTCGAATAGATGACACCAGGGAAGTCACTGATGACAAGAGACTGTACCAGTCTCTCAAGCCATGACCAAAGCAACCAAAATGTACAACTTCAAACTTTTGGAGGAAAAGTCTCACTGCCCACCCTCTCACAGCCAGCTGTGCCAAGAATATAAGCTTCTATGCCCACAGGTGTAGTGGGGCTGAGAAATGGAGGAAAGTACTCGGTTTGCCCATGCTACTCACTTATGAAGGATCAGCAGCCTCTTCCTTTATCAAGAATTCTATTGGGTGTCATTAATGTCCTCAAGTTCCAGAGTTCCAGAAGAGTTTATTTCACTTACTCTTTTCAGCTTTATGTTTGCTTTGGGGGAGGGACTGGTCTATAGAGCTATTTGCACCATGATTTTGGGTGATTTCAGGGTATCACTTGGAAGAGCTTTCTGAGTTCCCCTATCTGGGAGGGAGGCATCTGGGGCTTGGTAGAATGTCAGTGGTAAGTTCAGGTCTCAAAGAATAGAAGCAGGGATTTGACCACTTAGGATTGGCTCCAGGCTTGGATTCAGAGTGAGAGGGAGGGGTGAATTGGGGCCCTCTTTAATGCTACTCAGCTCACCACCTTTGGGTAGGATGAAGTAGCAACTGACATCTACTGAGTGCCTGACATTTTTTCATTAAAGCTTCACCAGTCTTGAATACGAAATTTTACTGTCCTCATTTCATAAATGAAATGACAGAGGCTCAGAGAGGTGATATAATATTTCCCATACCATATAGCTGGTAATGGTGGGGGCAGGATTTGAACCTAGGTCTGTGCAAGTCCACAGCTTAACCCCTCTCAGCCTATCATGCTTTGGATGGGGAGTCCATGTAGTAGCCCTGCCTAGAAATAAAAATGTAGTATTTGATTAGACCTTCACCTGGGCTGTACCTCTCAGAGGCTAAGTCAACTGGACCTCAGTTTTTCCATCTCTACAGTGGGAGCTCAAGGTGGTTTATCTCTGAGATTCTATGGAATTCAAAGAAAGCAGGGACCCAAAACAGGCCTGTAAAGCCCAAGTTAAGAGCTTCCCAGGACTCAGAGAGAGGGGCTGGGTCCAGCCTGGCTGCGACAGGGCATATTCCCTCCACAGAGGACCAGTCCTTCTCAGCAGCACCAGGCTGGCCCTTTGTCTGCTGAGGTGCCAGTTGGCTGAAGAAGCTGCTAATCTCTGCTTAGCATCCTGGCAGGATAGGGGGCTAGAGAGCCAGGGTTGGAAGGAGCTGCATCTTCCTTCAAGGAGGCCTTCATTACACCCACACCTTGGGCACTGCAAGGTGATCTCTCTGTCTTGTTCCAAACATGGCCAAAGACTGGCCTTGGCTGAACATGGCTTATCTTCAGAGAACACTCTATGCTCAGCTGAAATTAGAACCATTGTTTACTTTGACACTGTCAACCCCTCAACTTTTTGCTTCCTACCTGCATGTTGGCTGCTAGCCTATGCTTGCTGACATAGCAGATCCTACTCTTCAGACCAGGGCCATTTGCTGTGGGGAGTTAGCCTTTCCATGGAGTTGCATTTCCTGCCTCTCACCCAGGTAAAATCCCTCCTAGTGGCCTTGCCCCACGGGAAAAAAGCAAGAGTGGTCCTTCCTCATCATAACTAACACCAGGCACCAGTTGGATGCTCGAGGCAGGTAAACTCCATCCTGATCCACACTCAACACTTCCCTGCCTTCATTCAGGTTGTTCTTCCTCCTCTTTCATGTTATCCAATCAAAGAGCAGGGAGCTACATTTTCTCCTTCTCTTGGCTTCTCTGCAAACTGAGTTGAAACCAGCAGATACACAAGGGTCCTTGCTGTGTGTCAGGCATCAAAGCACCAAGATGAAAGAGGTGGTCCCTGGCCTCAGGAACTCATAATAAATGTCAACCGATTGGCTGAGGCCAGAAGAGCTCCGAAGACCCAAAATCAGAGAGGTTATGGAAAGGTCCTCCATTTTTCAAACCAATGAGGGATGGAACTTTCCCTTATTGGAAATGAACCAGGAATGATCCAGGGATAAGGCATGCAGCCTAGAAGCTGCTGTCTGTGGTGTCAGAGAAACAGAACTAATAGTTTCGCGCTCTCTCTCTCTGTGTGTGTGTGTGTGTGTGCAGAAAGAGAGAGAGAGAGAGAGAGATTTATTACTTGTATAGCAATTGACTAACATGATTACAGAGGCTGACAAGTCCCAAGATCTGCACTCTGCAAGCTGGAGACCTGGGAGGGCCGATGAGTAGTTCCAGTCCTAAAGCAGGCAAACTCAAGACCCCGAAAGGGCTGATGTTTCAGTTCAAGTCAGAAGCAGGAAAAACCTGACATCCCAGCTTAAAGGCGGGAAGGCAAAAGAAGCTCCTTCTGACTCAGTCTTTTTGTTCCATTCAGGAGGGCAATCTGCTTTACTCAGTTTACCAACTCAAATGTTAATCTCATCCAGAAACACCCTCACAGACACACCCAGTGTAATGTTTGACCAAATGTCTGGGTGCCCTGTGGCCCAGCCAAGTTGACACATAAAATTCGCCATCACAGGGAGAATCTTCCACTGGTTTCTGTGTGCTGAGTCTCACCATCCGACAGAGTGATGCATCATTTGATGGGGAGAATGTAGCAGAGACATTAATGGTGCGGACTCTGAGCCACTCTCAGCATTTGTGCCCTAGATTTATCACTTTCTCTCTGTGTGAAGTTGGTCACTTTGTTTAACCTTCTGTGTCTAAGTTATCCCACCAGCAAGATGCAGCTATTAATAGAAACCATGTTGTGGTGTTGTAACAGAAGAGAGTAACTCTGCAAAGCACTTAGCACAGTGTCTCGTGGATAATACCTGCTCAAGACTTGTGAGTTATTGTCATTGTTGTTATTACAGACTTTTTGCCTCTTCCTCCAGAGTGTGTGCTAACTCAGCACAGAGAAAAGTACATGGGGTTTGGACCCAGAAAGGCCAAGTCTGACTCCATCCCGCACATCTAGAGCAAATAGCCAAGGTTCTCTGTGCCTGGCACTCCCTGTGTGTAAGTAGGGAGGATGTGACTTCAATAGATTGCTTCAAGGGTTAGAGAAAGCGTCCATAGAGCATCCAGCCCACCTGAGCTACTCAACAGTAGCTGGTTTCCACCCCCAATGGCAGAGACTGCATCTGTCTTTCATTGGCATCCCCAGTGAGCACCATACTCATAGTAAGGGCTCATAAGAGGTTGTTTGAATGCAGTGGCTTTGCCTTATGAGAAAACATGGCCCTATCTATTCCCAGACACCCTTTCTAGAGATCAGGTCCAACAGGTGCTCAGTATCATGTTTTCTCCACACAGTCTTCTAAGAGGACATTGTGTCCCAGGTACTTGTGAAACTCATGCTGCTGCCAGGTCTAAGCGAGCTAATGGAAGGCAAAAGAGATGGCTGGTGGGAGAAGAGCAAGGCTGTTTCCCAACTCTGGGACAACGGGAAGTGAATAGAAAATAGAGAATCAATTGCACTTGGGAGTGATTCAGAATAAATTGCCACTGTGTCCCCTGAGCCATCACCCCACTGACCAATGGTCTTCCTTATGTCAATTTAGTGTTTTCCATTTGTAAAGTACCCGGACATCACCACATCCCTGAAGACAGGCCGGGCAGGGGCAATTATTCTCATTTTTCAGAAGAGGAAACTGAAGCTGAGTAGAGGAATTTGCCCGGGGTCACACAGCTCTCCTCTTTCTCAGGTTCGTGTTTTTCTCCATGGAGACAAACTAGAGTCTTTTCAGAGTATCCTTGGTGGCTGGCCAGGCAGAAAGCACAGCCCCACAGGTATGTCTCAGGCTGGCAAACATCCCTGAGTGGCTGGAGATGAAGGATTTCTTCAACAGTAAATTGAGTCTATGTTATTGTAACAAGAGTTGTGCTTCTGACTCCAAAGGCAGCCCAAATGGTCAATCAGGACATAGGTCTTTCTCTCCAGCCCTTGTCAGTGGGTGCCAAAGTCTCTTTCTTCTCTTCTTCTTCTCATCCTTCCCCTGCTCCTTGTCCTTCTTCTTTATCTGCTCCTTCTTTTCCTTCTTTTTCCATAATCGCTTTTCTTGACCAGATTGCAACATGCAGCTTCACACTTTAATGGTCTGGCCTTGGGATAAAGTCATCAATATTCCAAGAAACCATTTCAGGGATTTTTTTCTTTCTTAGTCTCTTTTTAAGTCAGGTGTTTTTAACCTGATGCCATGGACAGTGATTGACTCTGAAAAACAGGGAATATTTGAATTGATGTTAAATTTTTGTGTCTTTTTTATGTGAATTGGGGATGGAGGACATAGCATTCATCAAATTCTCAAAATGGCATAAACATAGAAAGGGTCTTTATTAAGGGCCTATTGACTCAGACTTAACACACAATGATGACAAAATGGTATGATGTGGGCTTCCTGATCCATGGAAAAATGGCAGAATCTAAGCAAGAAGACCCCTGCACACAGCAGGGCCTAAGCCAAGTTGTCTGATGTCTGTGGACATGACAGATGAAAAGAATTGGTGTTTGTCTTTTGAAATTATTTGGTCCAAGCTGAGTGACTCTCTTTATAGAGAAGTGATCAAAGAAGAGTCTATCAGCCTGCAATCCCAGCATTTGGGGAGGCCAAGGCATGTGGATCATTGAGGTCAGGAGTTTGAGACTGGCCTGACCAATATGGCGAAACCCCGTCTCCACTAAAAATACAAAAATTAGCCTGGTGTAATGGCACACGCGTGTAATTCCAGCTACTTGGGAGGCTGAGACAAAAGAATACCTTACACCAGGGAGGTGGAGGTTGCAGTGAGCTGAGATTGTGCCACTGCACTGCAGCCTGGGTGACAGAGTGAGACTGCCTCAAAAACAAAACAAAACAAAACAGTCTATCATTGCACTGAATTGTTTTACAGAGAAGAGGTGACAAATTTTATTCTTGCAGAAATATCACATATCTGGAGTAGAAACATGGAAGAAGTTTATTTTCCTTTTCTAGAGAGCTTCCCATCAAAAGAAATGGAAAAAAATGAAGCTTTGGGAATTTAGTTGGACAAAAGAAAGAACTTCTTGGATTCAATGCAATTACAGTGTAATTTGGCCAAGAATCTATCTTTGGATTGAGCTGATGGCTAGGAAACTTAGAAGTTATTAGTCACCCTGGAGTTCAGTACACAGGCTGATGCCTATTGGAATCCTTTTCCCATCATCATATCCCAGTCCTGTCCACACAAAGAATCATGATAAGTACGATCATTAGGTGATACCAACATATGGGGCTGTTGGGTTTAATTACGAGAAATCCCATGTTCTAGTGGAAAGAGATCAGGCTTTGAAGTCATAAAGTCTTGGGTTCACTTCTTGGCTGCACTGCTCATCAGCTGCATGATTTGAGGCAACTTTCTTCATTCTGTAATTTTCTCATTCCTTGAGCATAAAGTGAGGATGAAGACTCTTGCCTTACCATTTGGTTATGATGATTAAATGAGATAATGTACAATAAAGAGCTCAGCCTGGGACCCGATGTGTTAATTCCCTTTTTCCCACTGAAAACGTGTTTATCTAAAGGTCCAGCTCCAGGGAACCCAGGCTGCTCAGAACAGGAATCTCCAAGCAAGAAGGGAGAGTCCAAGAATAAACAAAAAAGTTGTGACAAAACTCAAGCACTGAGCCCTACTCAGCCCTACTGGTTTCCATTTTACCCATATGCCCAGCTACTTCATGATTTAGTTTTCTAGCTTCTAGTTGATTAGAAATTGAATTAGAATTGGGTTAATATTCAGCTCTCTTTCATCTTTGGAAAAAAAAAGAATTGGGTTCATAAAAGGAGAAACTATTATATTCATACATAAGATTACCAAGAAAAGATTTTGAAAAAATATAAAAAAGTAAACCCTAGATATGACCAGCAAGGGCAGTATGTTAGCCCAGGACTGCTGTAACAAAGTGCTATACAACGAGTGGTTTAACCAACAGAAATTTATTCTCACAGTCCTGGAGGCTACAAGTTGGAAATTATGGGATAGGCAGGATTGGTTCCTTCTGAGGGCTGTGAGGGAGAATCAGTTCATGCCCCTCTCCCACTTTTAGGGTGATTTGCTGTCAGTCTTTCAAGCCATAGTAGGTGTTTCTTGGCTTATGGATGCATCACCCTGATTTCTGCCTTCATCTCCACCTGGCATTCTCCCTGTGTTTGTGTGTCTGTCTCCAAGCTTCCCCTTTTTATAAGGACACCAGTCATATTGGATTAGGGTCTCTCTCTACTCCAGTATGACTTAATATTAACTCATTATATCTGCAAAGACCCTATTCCCAAATAAGGTCACATTCTGAGATACTGAAGGTTAGGACTTCAACATACGAATAGGTAGGGTGATGCAATTTAATCTATACTAGGTAGAAATCTGGGATTATTTAGTTTAGGGGCAAGCAATATCTACTTTCTGAAAGAAAGACTATATTTTGCCCCATACTCAGAATGATGATCCCTGGGTCATTAAGAAGACACTTAAATTTTGTTCAGCATCTTATCATTTTAGAAAGATCTCTGTAAAAAATGACTAATGTGGAAGACGCATGGGGCTCGATGCTCACTGATGCAAACTCACTGCTCACCAGGCACAAATGCAGGGTACAAGCTGCCTTTCCAGAGGATTCCCAAAGCAGGCAGCTGAGCACCCACAACAGCATGAGATCAGTTTTGTGGTTTTCACCTCAAGCTTTAGGACCACAGGGTCTCTGCTGAGCTGACTTGCAGGAACTTGGACTAGAAGCAGAATGACTTCTTCTGCTAGGTACAGGTCACCTGAACTAACCAGGGATGTGGACCAGGCTCTGAGCAGATGCTCAAAGGAGGATTCCATGAGATCACTGGCTTTCAGGAATCACTCCTCCCTAGGGAGTGTGTTAACATCTCTGGCTATGAAATATATATACTATGCAGCAAGGCATAAAACAAATGGCACCTACTGTCTGCACCTCCAGACTGAGTATTTATATACGCATCGGAGGCAGTCTGAAGTAGCCTAAAGAGAATCAGAAAACCTAGGTCTGAGGCCCAGCTCACTAACTTCCTAGCAGAGCAAGTTTGGCGAGTGCCTTACCCTCTCTAAACATCAGTTTCTAAATCTGCAAAATAGTGATGACTTCCACACAGGGTGATGTAAATATCGCACGGGGCAATGGGTGAGAAAGTACCTGGAACGCTTTAGGGTGTGCCATAGGTGCACTGAGTCATGCTGGTCTCCACCCAACTCCTCTCGGGGGCTGTGTTCTCATTTCCCAGATGCGGTAGGTGTTGGCTGCCAGCAGCTCATGCTTGCATCCTTTTGGAGGGTGGCCTTTGGTTGATGGGAGCTACTTTGCCCAGAGATGCCTGGGATGTATAGCCAAACCCCCAGGAGTGACCTGTGGCCAGTGGCAGATTGATATGGGGTGTAACCACCCAGCCCTCCTGCCTCTGCCAAGACAACTTCTGTGGTTTATCTGAAGCTCCAGAGCTCCCCATGGCGTCAGGAGGCCAGACTCCCACTAAACCACACATTTGCCTAGCTTGTCCCCTTCCCATGTTTCACATTTCTGACTCCTTCACAGGTTTCTCCTGAGAACACTTCCTCTTTAAATTGCTCACACAAGAATCTCTATCTTAGGCTCCATTTCTAGGGAACCTGACCTAAGCCAGGAGGCCATGCAAGAATCACTGGTTGGTCTTTCCATCTTGCAGTGTTTCCTCTTTCAGAGGTGACACTAACTAATCTGACTCTAAGATCTTTGCACAGTTCTTTACTCTGTCCTGAATGTTCTTCCCCCAGATCATCAGCCGGCTGACTCCTTGTCAGTCAGATCTCTGTTTAAATGTCACCAGCATAGAGAAGCCCTCCCTAACTGTGCGATGTAAATGGCCATTTACATTCCCCATGTAGCCCTTGGCATACTCTGCTTCTTGCGATCTCTTTGTTTATTATCTCATCCCTCTTCCTTCCCCTGTGGTAAGCGAGTCTCGCTTTTCGTCTCTGCGATAGCACATTTGGGCTGAACAGTCTCTGAGGGTCCTTCCTGCTTTGGCATTCCACTTTCTATGGGCTGGGATCAAACGCAAAGCATTAACATTCCATTAGCAACAGCAGGCAAGTGATAGCGTGAGAGTTCCACGGCTGCCTCCTGCGTGACCCAGTGCAGACTCCTTCCCTCCCTGAGTCGGTTTCCTCACCTGCTGCACAGAGGTAGGATAAGATGACCTCCAGCTGCAGTCCTATAATTCTGATGACATGTAATGTCTATTGTTTCTGGAACCTGGGGACACACTACTGCAGGACTGCTTGTGTTGAACCTTCTTTGTTTTCTGTGCTTTCTTAAAACAGTTATAGTCAGCTGATGTGAAGACTTGCAAATGCTTTTTTATTATTTTGGGGAGTATGCCTGGCTTCATCTTAATACCATTAGGCCTGTGTCCCTCAAACCTCATCCTTTCCAATCACAGATGCTGAAAAGAAACCTGTTTCTCCCTGTCATCCATAGGTGCATGGGAAAATGAGACATAGTCCCTACACCAAGGTGCTCAGTCTCTCAAGTGACTGTAATTATAGCACATTGCATTCATTCATTCTTTCCTGCATTAATTCGTACATTTATTCAACAAATACCTAGTGAATGACTATTATCTAGGCTCTGAGGACTCAACAGTGAACAAGATAAACTGCCTATGCTCATGGAGCTTGCGTTCTTGTGTTACCTGCCATCAAAAAGTATTTCAGGGTCCTTCCTCTCAAGCACTGAAGAGAAGGCAACCACCTCTCTCTGCTTGGATAGACTTGGAAGCCTCTTTGGAGGAGAGAACATTTGGGCTGGGTTTTGAAGAATAAAGAAGTTTTCCAGACAAAGAAGGGGTTCATGAAGGCATTGCTGTGGCTGAGCTGGAAGGACAGTAGCAGGGAGACTAGGGGAGGAGGCCAGAGAGGTGGACCAGGCAGAGCTGGATTGTGAATCATCCCAGATAGTTGCACTTTATCCTGAAGATAATGAGGAGTCACTAAAGGTTCTTGCGAATGGGAAAGATATGGTTTGAGAAGTGTCTTGACACTCAGGCAGCGTGGCGGAGAGTATTCATTTCCTGCAACAGCTGTAACCAATCACCACAGACTGGGTGACTTAAGACAACAGAAGTTTATTTTCTCACAATCCTGGAAGCTGGAAGTCTGAAATCAAGGTGTCCGGCAGGGTTGGCTCCCTCTGGAAGGATCGGAAGGAGAGTCGGCTCCATGTGTCTCTCTCAGTTCCTGGCAGTTACTGGCAAAGCTTGGCATTCCTTGGCTTGCAGTTGTAGCACTCCTATCTCTGCTTCACGTGGTCCTCTCCAGCGTGTCTCTGCCCTCACACGGCCTTCCACTCTCTCTGTTTCTTCTCTTCTTATATGGACACTGGTCATATTGAATGAAGGGCCCGCCCCATTCCAACATGACCTCATCTTAACTAATTACATCAGCAATGACCCTATTCCCAAATAAAGTCTCACTCTGAGGTACTGGGGTTAGCACTTCAACACATCTTTTATGAGCACGCGGTCAGCAGGAATGGGGCCACAGAGCCAGGGGGGCCAGCATGAGGTGGACACTCTGCCTGTAACAGCACCTGTGTCACCAGGTGAGGGACTTGTGGGGAGATCTGGGTTTGGGGTATTTCCATAGCCCTCTATGTGGGATTGAAAACCATCAGTTGTCCATAACAAAGAATGGGGCAAATAATTGATAAGGCTATGGGAGACTAAATCCCATCCTCCAGTCACTCCTGAAGCAGTCACTGCCTTCTCTGTGGATGGTTCCTCCTCTCTGATAATGCACGTCACCACTGGGAGCAACTTGAAGAGCCTCTCTGTACTTTTACATTCTAAATTATGTACATGACCCATGCCTGGGACAGCCATGGCCAGTACCCAGCCACTTAGCACCCAGAGGTGCCGCAACTCCAGCCCACACCTCTAAGCAGGGCCCCCAGCAGAAGTTGTGCAGACTGCAACCCTGTGTGCAGCTTGAAGACCTGGGGTTTCTTCTGGAGCCCTCTCTCTGCTGTGGTGGATGTGGAATCTCTGCCCTCCCCACACTCCTAAGCCTCCAGTGATATCTCCTGAGGTGTGGGCTGGGCAACAGAGCCTGTTTGGAATGTTGTTAGGATTTTTTACTGCTAGTATCAGAGGAGCTATTGTAGATTCTTCTCGTATTTCACCTGACCCAAATTGGGGGTGGGGAAGTGGGGAACTTCCCCTTCTCTGAATTCCCACAGCTCTTGATTCTCATGTTGATTCTTGTATTCATTCATTCATGCACTCATTCATTTGATACCTTCAGCAAATATTTAATGAGCACCTATTCAGTGCCAGGCTATAAACAAAATAGAGCAAAAGCCCTGTCTCACAGAGCTAATATTTGACAATTATGCGATGAGTATCTTTCATGTGCCAGGCACAAGGAAGACACCTGCTCTTCCTTTTGCCAAGTAGCATTTCAGTGATTAAAAGCTTGGGCTGTGGAATTCAAGAGCCAGGTTTCAAATACACAATCAGTTACTTATAAGCGAGGTGAGCTGTGGCCATATGTTATAATATCTCAGAGCCTCTGTTTCTCTCTATGAACTGAGGACAATAATATCTTCCCCTGGACAGTTATAAGATCAAGTGAAATGATACATGAAATGTGCACCATAGAGTCATGAGTGTATAAAAAATGTTCAATGAACATTCACTGTTATTATAATTGATACCATTATTAGTAAATATTACAGTTACAAGAGAATGTGGGTTCTCTCTCTTCACCTGGTTGTATGTGCACATCAGCTCATGTTCAGAGTTGAGAGCTTGCAACAAAAACATGGGTAAAATAATACTAAAAACAACTCAAACGAGAAACAGAAGAAAAGGGACAGATTAAAAAACAAAACAAAACAAAACAAAACCCTGAGAAACCACAAAAAGCACAGGAGGGAAGAGAGAAAAATGACTGAAAGGCTATTTCTGTAGCTGATTTTCAAGTAGCCTGCCTTCTACCAGAGTAGAAAGAGTCTGGGCAAAGAGCAAGGCAGGCTCTGATGTTTGTAAAGGAAGCACAGGCTGTTAAGTGGGTAATAAATGCTTCTGACTTTGACATCAGAGTGGGATGCACCCCACAGGTCTTTTTACAAGAGACATATAGGATGATGCTCTTCAAAACATTTGCACCAAAAAACTGCAGGGCTGCTCTTGTTGGAAGTCTGAGGGAACCTATTTAATCGCCCCTCTCCCCTCTGAGTGTGTAACCGATTGAGAATGTACACAAGGAGCCAGGCGAGGCTCAGTATCAGTGTTGTTATTGATGATGCTGTATTGACAAGCTTCCCCAAACTGCACTCACCATAACAGAAAGTCTGGAGCAAGGCAGGCTTCCCCTCTCAGGGAGTGCTGGCTGGGGGGTCATCCTAGAGGCAGCCTGGGCCTCACAGAATCCACAGTAGGAACATTGGCAGAACTTCAGCAGGTGTGGCCAGAGAGCCATCTCTTTCAGGTCTCTCACTCGCCAAGGGTCTAAAATTCATACCTTCAGTGTTATCTCCGAACAAGTTATAATAGTTTGCTAGGGCAGCCATAACAAAGTAACACAGATTGCCTGGCTTAAACAACAGAGATTTATTTACTCACAATCCTGGAGGATGGGAGTCCCAGATCAGGGTGTTGGCAGGGGTTCTTCCCAGGCTTCACCCTTTGGCTTGCAGATGGCTGTCTTTCCCTGTTGTCCTCACGTGGTCTTCTCTCTGCGAATGTCTGTGTCCTAATCTTCTTTTCTTACAAGGACACCAGTTATATTGGATTAGGGCCTACTCTAATGACCTCATTGTAACTTGATTGCCTCTTTAAAGGCTCTATCTCCAAATACAGTCACATTCTGAGGTACTAGGAGCTAGCACTTCAACATATGAATTTTGGAAGAGACATAATTCAGCCCAGAACACAAGGTTAGGCAGACAGTCAGGGAAATATTCCTGGAGAATATAAAAATGTTCATCATGCAGCATTCTTTTAAAAACCATTTATTCTTTTGAATATGTGACATATTCACATGGTACAAATTTGAAATGCTACAAAAAACTATAGAAAGAAGCATAATTTTCCTTCCTCCCTGACCCCAGTCCCCATAGAAGCCATGTGATTTATGTTTTGTGTTTGACTCTCCAGAGAGAGTCTTTGCACATATGTGTACTCACACAGAGCACACTCTCTGTTCTGCACCTTGCTTTTTCAACTAAAAGTGTATCTTTGAGGGGACTTACTTGCCTAAGAAAAAAAAGCAGGTGCACTTTCCTCTATTCATCCTGTTAAGTGCAACTAAAAGCCTAGGCATTGTATGCAAGACAAACATACGGAGTTCCTGCAAGATAGAGGGGAAGGCAAAAGGCTAGAGACCTCAGAACCCAGGGAATAACATGGTGGTGGGTTCCTTGGGTTTTCTTTTTGCCTCATATATCCCAGAATTGGATGTGAAGAAGCCAGCACTCCCAGAAACATGAACAGGAGCAGACAAAATCGAAGCTCAAACAGAATCTGCTCCCAATAACTACTCTACATTAGCCAAACACTTTACACACAAAAACTTGAAGCCTCTAACCTCACTCATGACAGAAAAGGGCAAAAGAAGAGCCTAGATTTTCAGTCTCATGATGTTTTAACAAGGCACTCCAATATTCCTACTGATGTCAGAGGTGGCCAGTTAGGAAGCCAAGAATTTCATTCCTACCAGCTGACAATGAGACCTCCTTCCCAGCAATATCACTAGAGACCATGTGGGGAGCCTGGACTTTCACTCTCACCCAGCAAAATGGAGAGCCCCCTTCTCAAGTATCAACAAAGCCAAATGTGAACTCAGGAGTTCTATTTCTGCCTAAAAATGACAAGGCAGTGTCCCCACTTCCCCTGCTAGAGCAGTCATTAAAAATAGCTAAAACACTCAGATTCATAGCCTCATTGCATAAAACTAAAATGTCCAGATCTTAAAATAAAATCACTTGTCATATCAGAAGCCAAGAAGATCACAGACTGAATGAGGAAAGACATTTAATAGATACCAACACTGAAATGACAGAGATATTAGAATAATCTGACAAAGATTTTAAAGTATCATGATAAAAATGCTTCAACAAACAATGATAAACAGGCTTGTAACAAATGAAAACATAGAAAGTTTCAGCAAAGAGATAGAAAGACAAGGCAAAAATTGAAAGATATAAAGAAGAATTAAAAGGTAAACTTAGAATTGAAAAATACAGTAACCAAAATAAAAAGTTCAGTGTTCAGTGGATGGGCTGAACAGAAAAATGGAGGGGATAAAGAGAATAATTAATGAACTGGAAGATAGAACAATAGGGATTACTCAGTCTGAACAACATAGGAGAAACTGAATGTGAAATCATAAACAGAGCTTCATGGACCAGTAGAAACTCAACAAAAATCTAAAATTTGTGTCACTGTGGTCCCAAAAGGAGAGACAAGAATTGTGCTGAAAAAGTAGTCAAAGAAATAATAATAGCTAAAACTCCCCAAAGTTGGGAAAACATACAAACCTACAAAGTCAAAATGCTGAGCAAATCTCAAACAGGATAAACCAAAGAAATCCACACCAAGACACATCATATTTTAAATTTCTGAAAACCAAAAACATGAAAAAAATCTTAAAAATGGCCAGAGAAAGACAATATCTTACCTATAAAAGAAAAACAAATAGAATAACAGTGAATTTCTCATTAGAAAATATGGAGGCCAGAAGGAAGTAGCACAATATTTTCAGGTGCTGAGAGCAAGAACTGTTAATCCAGAAACCTACATCTAGTGAAAATATCCTTTAAAAATGTATGAGAAATGAAGACATTTTCAGATGAAGGAAAATTAAGAGAATTTGTCATCAGCAGACCTGCCCTAAATAGTGGCTAAAGACAGTTCTCTAAACAGAAAGGAAACAATAAAAGAAGGAATCTTGGAACATCTGGAGGGAAGAAAGAACATGGCTAAGTGAAAATATGGGTAATAAAATAGGTGGTCTTTCTCCTCTTTGGTTTTCCAAACTGTGTTTGATGTTTGAAGCAAAAACTCTAGCATTGTCTGATGTGGTTCTAAATGTATGTAGAAGAAATAGTTAAGAAAATTATTAATCTAGTTTGGCTCTGTGTCCCCACCCAAATCTTATCTCTAATTGTAATCCCCACTTGATGAGGGAGGGACATGGTGGGAGGCTATTGGATCATGGGGGCAGTTTCCCCCATGCTGTCCTTGTGATAGTGACAGGGAGGGAGTTCTCACAAGACCTGACATTTTAAAAGTGGCAGTTTCCCCTCTGCATTCTCTTTCTCCTGCCACCTTGTGAAGAATGTGCCTGCTTCTCCTTTGCCTTCTGCCATGATTGTGAGTTTCCTGAGGCCTCCCCAGCCATGCAGAACTATGAGTAAGTTAAACCTCTTTTTTAAAATAAATTGCCTAGTCTCAGGTATTTCTTTATAGCAGTGTGAAAATGGACTAATACAATTATATTATACATGGGGGAGAGTTAAGGGTCATTAAGGGAAGTGAGGTATCATCCTTTACTCAAACTCTAAAAATGGTGATAAGAGTAGACTGTAATAAATTATGTATATAAAGTAATATCTGGAGCAATCCTAAAAAAAAATACCCTACACAAAGAGATGCACTAAAAAACACTATAGATAAATCAAAACTCTACATCTTTGTAAATCTAAAAATGTCCACATAACCCACCAGAAGGAAGAACAAAACAGAGAACAAACAGAAAAATAAGACTTAAGGCCTATCATGTAAATAATCACACTCAAACACATCAATTGAAAAACAGAGATTAGTAACATGACTCAACTATATTCTGCTTACAAGAAATTCACTTGAAGCTAATGATACAGGCAGGTTAAAAGTAAAATGATAGAAAAAATATATATCCATGCAAACATTAATCAAAGGAAAGCAGGAGTCGCTATGTTAATATAAGACAAAGTAGGCTTCAAAGATAATTATCTGAGCTAGCAAGGGATATCATACAATGATAAGTCAATTTACCAAGAAGAAATAGTAATTCTAAATGTGTATGTCTCAAACAACAGAGCTGTAAAATGTGTGAAGCAAAAACTGATAGAGCTGAAATAAGAAAGAGACAATTCATAGTTATAGTTGAAGAATTCAACATATATTTCTGAACAATCGATAGAACTAGAAAGAAAACCATCAAGAATATACAAAAACTCAACACAATCAACCAACAGAATCTAATTGGCATTTATAGAACACATCACCCAACAAAAGCAAAATATACATCTTCTTCACATGCTTAAAGAATATACCAAGATAGACCATAGCCTGGGCTATAAAATAAACCTCAACAAATTTAAAAGAAATGAAAACATACAGAGTATGTTCTTCAACCATAATGGAATTAAACTGGAAGTAAATTACAGAAAGATAACAGATAAAATCTCTAAACATTTGGAAACTAAACAGCATACTTCTAAACAATTCATGGTTCAAAAAGGAAGTCTTAAAGGAAATGAAAAATTACATTGAAATGAATGGAAGTGAAAATATGACCTAAAAAATTTGTTGGACACAGCTAAAGCAGTGTTGAGAGGGACAAATTTAGCAGTAAATTCATACTCAAGAAAAGAAGAAAAGTCTCAAATCAATTATCTAAGCTCCCACCTCAAGAAACTAGAAAAATAAGAGCAAAAGAAACCCAAAGTAAGGAAAAAGAATGAAATAATAAAGACAAGAACAGCAATCAATAAAACTGAAAACAGAGAGCAATAGAGAAAAGTCAATAAAACAAAGAGTTGGTTCTTTGAAAAGATACATAAAATTGACAAACCAGTAGCAAGACTGACCAAACAAACAAACAAAAAACTAAAACAAAAAATAAAGATGACACAAATTAGCAATATTAGGAATGCAACAGAAAATAACACTATAGATCCTGCAGGCATCAAAAGGATAATAAGGAAATACTTTGAACTCTACACACATAAATTTTAAAACTTAGGTTTAATAGACCAATTCCTCAAAAACCCGCAAACAACCACTATTCACTCAATATGAAGAAAATAATTTGGGTATACCTATAACTATTAAGGAAATTATATTTGTAATTTTAAAACTACTCCCCAACATCTCCAGATGTTTCACTGAAGATGAAACATCCCGATGTTTCAGTGGAGAATGCTATCAAACATTTAAAGAAGAATTAACACAAATTCTATATAAATTTTTCCTAAAAACAGAAGAGAAGGGAACACTTCTCAATTCATTTTACAAAGTTAGTATTACTCTCTATTCAAACTGGACAAAGTCAATACAAAAAAAGAATGCTAAGACCAATATCCTTCATGAATACAAAGCCAAAAATCCTTAACATTATATAGCAAATAGAATGCAGCAGTTGGGCACAGTGGCTCACACCTGTAATCTCAGCACTTTGGGAGGCTGAGGTGGGTGGATTACTTGAGGTCAGGAGTTTGCGACCAGCCTGGCCAACATGGTGAAACCCCATCTCTACTAAAAATACAAAAATTAGCTGAGTGTGGTGGCACATGCCTGTAATCTCAATTACTCAGGAGGCTGAGGCAGGAGAATCACTTGAACCCAGGAGGCGGAGGTTGCAGTGAGCCAAGATTGCACCATTGCACTCCAGCCTGGGTGACAAGAGCAAAACTCCATCTCAAAAAAAAAAAAAAAAAAAAATTCAGCAGCATATAGTAGGACAAAGTGGGATTTATTCCAGGTATGTAGGGATGGTTCAATTTTTAAAAGTCAATCAATGTAATATACAATATTAATAGGCTAAAGAAAAATACTACATGATAATACCATTCCATGCAGAGAGAGGAATATGATAAAATACAACCCCAATTTTTGATTTAAAAATATTAGGAAAATAGGAATAAAGGAAGGAAGAAACTACAACTAACCTTATATTTAATGATCAATAACTGAATAATTTTTCCCTAAGATCAGGAACAAGGTAAGTATGCTCACTCTCACCACTTTTATTTAATCTACTGCTGGCAGTTCTAGCCAGTACAATAAGACAAGAAGTAAAAATAAAAAAAGCATACAGATTGGAAAGAAAGAATAAAACTGTTTTTATTGCAGATGACATGATTGCCTATGTAGAAAATCTGAAGAAATATGCCAAAAAAACCTCCTAGAAATAATAAGAGAGTTCAGCAAGGTCACAGGATGCAAAATAAACATAGAAAAATCAACTGCCTTTCTACATACTAGCGGTGAACAACTGGTAACTGAAATTAAAAATACAATAGCATTTACAATCACATAATAAAAGAAATAGGTATAAATCTAACAAAACATGTAAAAGACATTTGTGCTAAAAACTACAATCCACTGACGAAATAAATCAAAGAAGATCCAAATAAACGGAGAGACATACCATGTTCATGAATCGGAAATAGTAAAGATGTCAATTCTCACCAAACTGACGTACTGGTTTAAGGCCATTCTCATAAGATTCCAGAAAAATATTTTGTAACTATAGACAAAATTATCCTAAAATGTATGTGGAAAGACTAAGAAACTAAAAATGCCAAAACAATTTTGAAAGAGAATCAATCTGCCCAATTTGAAAACATAGTATATAGCTACAGTAATCAAGACTGTTTTATTGGCAGAGGGACACACACCTAGATAAAAGGAACAGAATAGAGAACCCAGATATAGTTTACATAAATATTCTCAAATGATTCTTGAAAAGGCACACAAGCATTTAATAGAAGAAAAGTAGCCTTTACAACAAATACTGCTGAAGCAATTGTACATACACAGGTAAATAAATAAACCTTGACCTATCTGACACCTTATACAAAAGTTAACTCAAGATGCATAATGGACTTAAATACAAAATGTTATGCTATAAAATTTTAAGGAAATAAACACAGGAGAATATCTTCAGGACATAGGACTAAGGAAAGAGTTCTTAGACCTGACACCAAAAGCATAATTCATAAAAGGGAAAGTTAATAAATTAAACTTTATCAAAATGATAAAGTTTTACTTTGCCAAAACTCTGCAGAGATCATACACTAAATTCTTATATGTATTTTGGCCTATTTCTGTAACATTGATCTGCTTTTCTGTTCATGTGCCAGTAGCACAGCCTTAAAGACTAATACAACTTTAAACAGGCACAATGAATATAGACAATGAATAAATGAACCTTTAAAAATTATGTATTTTGTTTTGTGAATATCATAAGTATATGTCATTGCATTTTTTACATTCAAGGTGTTGGTTTAGTCAGTGTATGTGTTTAAAATACAGCATAATTTTGGTAACTGTTATAGGATTTCCTAGTTTTTTAATGTGTTCCCTAAAATATGTAGAAGTTTCCTAGTCTTCTTGGTCCCTGAGATGCCTTGCTGGAAGATGGTATAAAAATGGTATAATAAAAGAATAGAAAACAAGAGGAAGTGATGCATGAGCAATGAGCCCTTAAATATTAGGGACTAAAAACACGGCCCCACAAATGCTAGGCTCCAGTCCACACCCCTGATAGGACCTTAAGTTCTTTGTTGGTCTATCCTCAGCACTGAGAATTATACCTGCCACATAGTAGGTGCTCAACAATTTTGTGTTAAATGTAATTTCCTGGGGAAGAAATGAATCAGAAGTAAGAGAAAGGCAGAGTCCACCCTAGCACTTCCACTGGGTAGGGAACTATTGGTAGAATTTCCTCCTTTTCTATAGAAATGGGAGACGTAGCCTTGCTTCCCCTCCAAATTTCCAGGTGGTCTTTCTCACTTGATCTGAGGATAAAAGACAAGGAGCTCATAACGGGTCCCAGCATCTTAAAGGCAACTTTCCAGTGTGTATATGGGGGTGGTTAGAACTAGGATTAGAACTGGCCTGATGACATGATTGCTGATAATCTCACTGGATAGGGGGTAATGCTTGGAGCTCACAGGTTTTTGAGAAGTGGTGTGCAGTGTTGAAAACAGCATGGGCTCTGGACTCCGAGAGATCCAGGTTTGAAGCTATTTTCTGCCACCTAATAGCTGTGTGTCTTTTACTTCTGTCATCTAACCTCTCTGAATCTTTGTTCCTTTGGGAGAAAATTATCTTAACTTGATCTACCTTCTCAGGCTACGATGAGAATAAAGTGAAATGTTTGTAAAATATTTACATACTTAGTAGTCAGTCAGCAAATGCTTGTTAAATTCTTTAATGGAACAAATATGAAATCTTTATCATTTTAGGTACTAATTGGAAAGATGTGGGTTCAAAGTTGAACTGATGAAAGTTCATCTCATGTGTCTTTCAGGATGATTTAAATAGACTCAAACTAGACTGAAAAATAAAGAAATTGATTATCTGACTACCCAGGAAATCTAGAGGGAGGGCAAGCATCAGGAGTGGTTGGTTCAATGGTTCAGAGACCTCTTCCATCTCTGCTTCACACTGGCTTCATCCTAAGGGTGGCTCCCTTCATACTTACTAGATTGCTGCATAGAAACCGAGGTCATACATAGAACAACATCATTAGCTCAGGAGACCCTCACCCCACACAAATCATATACTCACCCATAAGCAAGCGGCATAGCCACCAAACAACACACGTTGCTTGTTGGAGGTAGTGAGACTGAGTCCTGGAGCCAGGGATGTGGTCACCTTTCCCTGCGTGGACAGAAAATTACATGGATAAAATTGGGATTCTATTAGAAAGGAGAAAGGTGGCAATGATGCTGAGTGGATGCTCCAAAGTTTGACCAGCTGAAACTGTAAGCAACTTTTATTTAATCTCCTGAGATTTAGTTTTATCATTTGTAAAATAAAGAGTAAATCAACCCTATAATCTCTTATTGGGTTTTTTAAATGATTGCATGAGAGCATATATATAAAGCGCATTGCCCTGAACCTAGAATGTAGAAGGTGTTGAATAAATGCATAGATATTTTTATTCTTTAGGGTACTGAACTATGGTTTCCAGAGCAGTTAGAGTTCTTAATTTCCACATGGGGAAACTGAGGCTCAGAGACATTGTGTGACTGTTCATGGTCTGCACAGCTGGGAGAACACATCTGACACCAGACTGCTAGATCCATGGCTCCTGGTGATGTGATCCATGTCCTCCAGTTCCCCCCGCTTTCAGGGGGCCCCAGGGGAGAATGTGAAGCTCCTAGCGGGTGGGGGATGGCTGCAGCAGCAGGCAGGGAAGTCACAGGATGGCCCTTTCTTGTTTTGGCCCCACAGTGGGTCTACCAAGGAGGCGCTGACATCCTCTCTCAGCAGCTCAGCGCATATGAGCCCCAGGAGTCCCAGGCTGCCCAGACCTGCTTACTCAGATAGGCTTCCCAACCCTTCCAACGCCTGACCAAGAAAGAAAACCTCCACATAAGCATCTCGCTATTGCCTTCATGTTCTGCTCAGGAAGTGGCCCTCGGGGAGCAAACTCCAATAAACCACCTTCAGAAAATGGAGCTGGTGACTGGAGAGGCCAGCCCTTGCCTCTGGAGAATATGCTGACACTGGGCTTCCTCCTGCAGTGACAACATCAATCAGACCCTCCCACAAAAAAAAAAAAATGCTGAATTCATCTAAGTAAAGGGTCCCTTCTGAGGTCCCGCTTCCCATTGCAGGCTGAGCCTGCCCTTTTGGGTACTTGACCCCTTCCTTATTACCTGCAGTCCTTTCCCACAGTGGGAAATAATCTTGGATTTGATCTGCCATCTGCGCACAGGGAGGCATGCTGGGGTGGAGGAAAGAAGGCAGGAACTCAGATTGGGGTCAAATCGTAGTTCTGCTACTTCCTAACTGTGTGACTGCAGCCAAGTTACTTAACCTCGAGCCTCAGTTTTCTTGTCTCTACAATGAGCATAATAATTCTGCCTACTTCTACCTAAGTTGTTTCACATCATGCCTGGCAATTAATAAGGACTCATTAAATAGCATTTTTTTAAAAAAGGAAGTTCCATATTTGGCCTTATAATTTATATGTGTGTTAGGAAAATCCACTATCTATTCAACAGGCATTTATTGAATGCCTTCTATGGATCAAGCATTGTACTAGTCACTGGGGACATTATGAGAAAACAGTTATTGAGTCTTGTTGGGGAAACAGTATTATTCAACTAAACACAAAGATGTTTATTAAACAAATGTGTATTTAGGCACCTAAGCGCTATACAATTGTTAATTCATCTGATCCTTATAAAAATCACACGAGGCAGATACTATTCATTCCCCTACTTTACAAAAAAGAAAATGGGGGCATAGATGGATTAACTTGCCCAAGGTCACCTGTATCAGTTAGCTATAGCCACATAATAAACCAGCCCCAAAAGTTAGTGCCTTAAAATAACCATGTATTGGTTCTCACAAGTTGTTGGCTGGGTATCAGCTCTGATCCAGGCTGGGCTCAGTTAGGCGGTTCTCCTGTTCTCATCCATGTGCCTGTGGCCCGTAGGGGCTTGACTCTGCTCCACATGCCTCTCCTCCTCTTCTGAAAACATCAGGCCAGTCCAGGCATGTCCTTTTTATAGGGATGGCAGAAGTACAAGAGAGTGAGCAGTAGATTCAGAGCTGGTATCCTGTCATTTCCCCCCTAATTCCACTGGTTAAAGCAAAGCAAGTGGCCAAACACAGGGGCAGGCAGCAAGCCCTGCCCACAGGGGAGGGTACTGCAAACTGGCATGTTAAGGGTAAGCAGAGATGAGTGAGGAACCAGGGTAATGATGCAGCCCTGCACATCACCTGCCCGGTAGGTGGTGGGGCCAGGTGTGCACTGGCAGTCTTGATCCAGTGTCCTGCTCTTATGCATTAAGCTTAACTGCCTCTTGTGTGTGTACAAATGAGATAAATGCTGGGAAAGACAAGCATGGGGTAACATGAGTGTAAATCACAGGGGAGTGCTGGAGTCTGGGTAGTCTGGAAAAGGTCTTTCTGAGGAAGTCATGTTTGAGAGGAAAAGGATGCATCCAGGTTAATGCAGCAGAGATCACACTTTGTGCCAAGGTTGCAAGGTGGTTTCACTTCCTAGCAGGGGAGGGAGGGCCTTTGCAATGCCCCCTGACCACCCTTTGCAGCCCCCCAGCCTCCAAATATGTCCTCTCATCCAACGAGCCTGTGCTCTGCCTAGCCACGCAGGACTGCTGACCTTCCAGAGACAACCCTGGGCCTGCTGTCTTCCATTGGTCAATGCTCCCTCCTGGACTCCCCTTCTTCTTCCGAGGCCAGGCTCAAAGGCCCTCTTTGTGGAGCAGCCTGCCCTGATCCTCCAGGTAGAATTCACCCCTTACTACCACCAGCCACCGGACCAGTCACGCATTCTGACCACGGAATGCATCACACAACTTTGTAGTGATTGGCTTTACGGAATAACACAAAAGATGGTCATTGAGCACGTACTGGTTGGACTTCCACACTGGACCCTGAGTCTCTTGAAAGTGTGGGCACATACACACACACATGCACACACGTGTCCCCACAAATGTACACACACACACAATGCACACGCACACACCACGAAGAGGTGATGTGAAGAGGAAGGTGGAGATTGGAGTCATGTGACCTCAAGCCAAGGAATGCCTGCAGCCACGAGAAACTGGGGGAAGCAAGAAATGGTTTCTTTCTTGATTCTGGACTCATGGCTTCCAGAATTTGAGATAATACATTTTTTTTGTTTTAAGCCACTCAGCTCGCAGTGAATTGTTACAGCAACCACAGAAAACTAATATGCCCCTCTTTGTCCATTAAAGGAAGAAAATTCCACCAACATTTTAGCCTTCTTGGAGGAGCTGGGGAAAGGGCTCAGCCTCGGCTCCACCCATTCAGGCAGAATGACTTATAGGATGGGCCCATCTTACCCATGGGTGCTTCAGAAGCAAAAGTAAATCAGGCTCTTCCCTCTCTTCCCAGCCCTGCGGGCCCCTGCCTGCTCTCAGGGGAGCTATGGCTGGTTCCTCTTTCCTGTCCCAGAGAGCTAAGCCTTTGTTCATCCAATTCCAGTGACTCCAGAGAGATTCCCCAGCTCTGTAATCAGAAACACCTTGTGGTGTGTGGCCTTGTGGCCATCTGGTCTTTGCAATTCCAACCCCAACTTCATGGAAGCAAATGGTCAGGTCAGACCACCCTGTCACTAGAGAAGGGAAGAGGCAGGAAAACCAAAGCCACATGCTTTGGCAGAGATCCCAGGAGAGTGGTCCATCAGCCTACTCAGACGCACACTCGTGTGTGAGGCTCGCCATGGAGACAGGTGCAGAGGACTCTGTTCTCTGTTTGGGGAGCTCATGGATCAATAAGGCATCATCCAAGCATCATTCAGTCATTCATCAAACATGCCTGGCAAGCCTCCTCTGTGCTGAGGACTGCACCAGCTGAGGCCAAGGGAGGCCATGGTTAGAGCAGGCTCTGGTGCCACACTGGCTGGGGACACGGTTCTGCCGTGACAGCCCTCGCTTTGATGATGCAACATGGGGACAATAATAGCACCTGCCACTGGAGGTTGGGGTGGGATTGATTGTTTACACCCCCTCATTCAGCCCCTTTCCCTCCAGAGTTCCTGCCAGTGGATTCTGCACACAGGACACTGAACCAAGAGAGGCAAATATCGGCTTTGTTATCTTTGTAGGGCACAGCACTTCTTGGTACACTGAAAGTGGCTTGGCCCCCAGGTCAAAATGCAAGTCTTCCCCATGAGTACAGGGGCCTTCCTAGCTGCTCTGCCTGCTTGCTGGTGGAGATGCTGGACCCAAAGGGGCAGAGGCTGGCTTTCAGCCTGTGAGCAGAAGAACATGGGTTCTTATTCCAGGCACGCTGTGTGGCCTTGGACAGGTAGCTTAACCTCTCTGAGCCTCAGCTTTCTCATCTCCAAAAAGATCATTATGTGGGTCTTCCTGTGTGGCTGTGATGACAAAAACTGAAGAGAGGCTCTCTGTGGTGGCCCTATCCTCAGTGTCCCCCACAAACAGGTGCACTGCAATTCCCTCCGTCCTCTCCTGAGACAGAGTCTGAGCCAAGGACACTGTCCCAGGCTGGCAAAGCAGGGGTGCTCCTGAAGCTCGTCCCTCCACCCCACCACCCACCTCTTTCCTACCATGCCCCAGTTCTGGCCCTGCTCTTTCTGTTTCAGGCCTTTCCCTTCTTCCCCTTCCGCTTCTCTGCAGCTCCTGGCTGGGCCCCTTCATCTTGTAAACGCTGCAATGAGAGCCCTGACAGCCCCACTGGCTCCCTGGAGAGGGAACAGTCACTGAATAAGAAAATGTCTATTAAGGCTGGGCTGGAGCTCCCATCATTCACATGGCATCGGCTGCATTCAGCAAATGGGCTTAGACTGTACTCACATCCTTAATGGGAGACTGGGACAGAAATAAAGCAAGCAGGAGCTCTGGGACAGCCTGGGGGCAGAGGGGGAGCTCAAGGAGCTCTGCTACTTTCCACGTCTGTGATCATGGGCACCTCCCTTCTGTCTCTGCACCTCCATACTTCCATCTGGGAAATGGGGCAACCCCCTTCACTCTGCTGCATTAATGTGAGGCTTTGACCATTCGCTTGAAAAACCCTTGATTTTATTCCTTGAAGACTCTATGCATTCAGCAAGATCGTTTGTCCTGAGAGTGACCGAGAGGCTGCCCTGGCCCCTGGGGCTGCAGAAAGGGCGGAGAGCCAGGAGCCTTGGTTCTGGGTCCCACTCCTGGGCCTGCAGCCTAAAGGAATGACAACTCAGCCCTGCCCTTTCCTTCAGCGTACATGGTGGGAACCTCCCAGCACAGCCAGCTTCAGTCTCACCATCAAGAGGTCCTCTAGGCCCTGCGTTGTGCCGGAGCAGGTCAGGGAATGGCTTCCCCTCCCGGTCTCCTCCCTTCTCCTCTCCTCTCCTCTCCTCTCCCCAGGCTGCAGCACACAGCAAGCCCCTCCCCCAGGGTGCTCCTCCTCCCCGGCTGGCTGGTTGAGGCAGGGGTTGTTGTTTTCATCCCACCTTCCTCTGCCATCTTCCCTGTGGGCTAGTCAGCAAACATGTGGTTAGTCTGGGGTCACGCTAATGTCCTCAAATCTCAGTTTTCAGGGAAGTTACTCCTTCCCTTAATGCCACACTTCCTTAGCCAGAGGTCCTCCAGGGTAAGACCAATGGGAGCAAGTCCCAAGCCAGGGGATCCGGGTACCAGCTGTCCTGACTGCAGGCTGTCACCTCTCACTCCAGCTGCTGCTCTGACTTCCTCCCATCACCTCTGGACAGCTTTGAATGGCCTTCGGGGAGCTGCACCTTCAATTTCCAGTCCAAATATGGACCAGAGGAACCACAAACACAGTTGGCTTAAGGCTGTTGGGTTAAGAGACTTTTCCGAGTTTTGAGTGCAACATACAGGAATTATTTTAAAAGAAGCATCTAAATATCAGTATGGGATCTTGCTGCTCCTGATGTTCCTTGGTCTTGACTCTATTTGGAGGGAAAGAAGGAAGTGCCTCATGGACATTTCCTCCTTTTAGTCCCCAGTTGTACCAAGTTGTAGCATCCTGCCCTTTGCCATTTGTGCCCCACACCCCCCCCCCCAATTCTCTAATTCTGTCACTGGATCCTACTAGAGGAAGCATTAGTTCATGGCAGCAATTGGGTTCCCTGTGAAGCTGTCCCAGAGAAGTTTAGCCTGAGGCATCCCTGAAAGGGCTGACAGCATGCCCAGCAAATGGGCGACAGGTCCTTCCCTGAAGAGGGTTCCGGGCGGTACATCTCCCAGCCCATCACTGCTCACACCTTAATTATGTCTGCAGGGATCACCTTGTCCACAGTAAAGACAGTCTTTGACATTTTTACACAAAACAGTCACTGCATTGGGATTATTCAGCGCTGCTCCAAGAACACCGGGTAAACACTGTCCTTACAATTGTCTGGAGCACCAAAATGACCACAATATTGTACCTTCTGGAACAAAGCTGGAGTCAGCCCAAAGACAGGGTCCGGTTCCATTCCCAGAGCCACCAAGAGCTGGGAGATCAGAAGTATTTCTCTCCGAAGCTTTGGTGCTCCACGCTATACCCACGCAGACCTCCCAACCTGCATTTCTGTGGAGGCTGTGATCACTGACAGGCTGCCTATTTTTCGTGGCAGTCCCAGGCTTACTTACACTCTATCCTTTCACCAGGGAAAAGGCAGAGGGTTTCTTTGCCAGTAATTTGCATTCCTGTTAAATTTCATTAGCTCTAATTGGTCTGGCCTGGGTCATGTGCCCATTTCTGAACCAATCACTGTAGCTAGAGGAGAATGCCATGCTCTGATTGGCCAGCTATTCATGTTGCTATGCCCATCCCAGGAGAGGAGAATGGAGAACAGAGTTTGAGTCAGAAAACTAATCTTGGATTTAAGAATGGGGAGGGGTGGTTCTCCAAGGAAATCTGGGGTGCTGTCACTAAAATGAATGGAATGGATGCTGAGCAGGCAGATAAAAGAGGAATCTACTCAGTGGTTGAGCCTTTGCCATAGTGAAAGCAGTTGGTGTGGAGTGGATCCTCAGAACTAGGTGCTCATCCTTCGGTCTCCCCGTTACCCTGGCAGGTTTTCTGGGGGTACCTTCAGGTCCTGTCTCAGCTCTGGCTTGGGATCTCCACGGTGTCCGTACTCACTGGGGGCTTCCAGAAGTTCATGCTCAATACCGTGAATCCCCAAACCTCGAGCAACTGCTCAGGGTTTCTGCAGTGTCTGCTAGCTTTGGGTAAGGGTTAGGTCACTGATTCTGTTAACGATCCATTTTAGGGTGCTAGCATTCATCCACAGGCACAGGATCCCACCAGCCTGGCCCACAGGACTTGTGATTAGGGGAACCCAGTTGTGCAGTCAGCAGCAAGGCCCTAACGATTGCTCAGGCAAGAGTCATCCCCTTTCTGAGCCTCAGTTTCCTTCTCTGAAAGATTAAATGGATGGTCACTGTGCTCCATCGGCTCTGAGATTGATGGGCCTCCCAGCTTGAAGGGGAGGAAGCTCACGCCTCTTGAATAGCTACTGTGTTGGCATTATCTCCATATATAGCAACATACATTCCTCACACAGTGACCCTTGGAGAAAAGTATTTAATCTCTCATTTTCAGCTGAGAAAACAGAGAGAACAGTTTAGACAATTTGCCCTGGGGTTATAGAGCCAAGCCTTGAACTTAGTGTGTCTGCTTCCTAGTCAGGAAAGCACCAGCCAGCTCAGAGATGGGGCTCTGTCAACCCTCTTCCCATAACTTCTCTCTCCCTCTCCCTACTAGAGAGAGCTCCGGGAAGAGTTAGTTGCAAAGTGGGAGAGATTTATGTCTCCTGTCCTCTTGGGCAGGCCCTGTTCCTCTCTGGTGACAATTGCATTCTTGGCATTTCCATTTCCCTCCTGGAAAGCAGCCTTGTCTTATGTGTTCTCTCACACTTGCCCTCTTGTTCTTTAGTTCTTTCTTGCAGAGTGACATTAATCCAGTTTGGGGGCAGTGATAGCTGAAAAACAGTCAACGTGAGGGCTGGAAATAGCCTAAGAAATCGGCAAATGCCATCCCCTGCTTTTGCTTCTCTGCACCTGCTGGAGGGAGAGAGCCTTCATTATCACACATGTAATAAAAATAAATGTTTATTGACTGTTGACTGAGTGAGGACAGGATTCATGGTGGCTAGAACAGACCTTATCATTTAATTCAATACATTGCCATGCAGTTTAATCAAGAAGGGTGGGTGACCAGGGCAGGCTCCCACCAGCTGGGAAGTGGCACAGCAGGGACAGGAGGAGGTATTCAAGCTCCTAGCACATAGAATTACATCAGAAAATGCACAAAAGCCAAAGTCGAAGTCATAATTCTCTGCCCCTTATTCCCACTCCCAGTCTCTTAGCATTTCAAATGCGAGAAAACAGAAGAGAGGAAAGGAAATCCAGCCATAAACTCCTGATTCAGAAGCAAATGTCAATCCCAAGAACAGGGCAGTCCCTCTTCCCAGCTTTCAAAGTAACATTCCTGAATGGAACATTCATCAAAAGCCTGTATAGCAGACAGATCAATCAGTTTGCCTCCCACACCCAACTTCCCCTTCTGACTTAATCAGCTCCACTTCCTCTGCAAAGAGCAGTCATGTGACCTCAACCCTACCACAGCCAATTGGACCAAGCATGACCACATGACTCAAGACTGGCTTGTTTGTGGGCTGGACTGAGTCAATGAAACGCTCAGTGAGAGGAACTGAGTCACAGAGGTCAGGGGTGGTAGCTATTCAACAAGAAGATCTGGAGAGCTGTAGTTGGGGGTGGTGTCTTGCTAAGCCAGAACCATGAGAGATGGAGTAGTGTGGTCTGCAGAAACAAGAGGGTATACAGGCTGTGAGAGATGCCAAGCTGGAAGGCCACGAGGCCCTAGAGAGAAGGGGCTGAAAAAGCCAGAGACTCCTCTATGTTTCCTGAAGCTCTGTCCTATAAGTAAGGAAGGTGCTAAATGCATTCAATGACCCTTCCATTTACTGGGGCTGGATAACTGGTGTATTAGTCCATTTTCATACTGCTATAAAGAACTGTCCAAGACTGGTTAATTTATAAAGGAAAGAGGTTTAATTGACTCCCGGTTCAGCATAGCTGGGGAGACCTCAGGAAACTTACAATCATGGCAGAAGGCAAAGGAGAAGCAAGACAATTTCTTCACAAGGCTCAGCACAGGAAGAAGTGCCAAGCAAAGAGGGAGGAGCCCCCTATAAAACCATTAGATCTCGTGAGAACTCACTCACTATCACGAGAACGGCATGGGGGAAACCACCCCGTGATTCAGTTACTCCCACCTGATATCTCCCTTGACACGTGGGGATTATGGGGATTACAATTCAAGACGAGATTTGGGTAGGGACACAAAGCCTAACCATATCAACTGGTTTTCATGATAACCAAGAGAGCTCTGCCTGGGACAGCCTACCATGAGTCAGGTGTGAAAGTTGATCATATGAATTGGGTTATTCCTTTTTTTTTTTGAGATGGAGTTTCACTCTTGTTGCCCAGGCTAGAGTGCAATGGCGTGATCTCGGCTCACCACAACCTCTGTCTCCTGGGTTCAAGGGATCCTCCTGCCTCAGCCTCCCGAGTAGCTAGGATTACAGGCATATGCCACCACGCCTGGCTAATTTTATATTGTTAGTGGAGATGGAGTTTCTCCATGTTGGTCAGGCTGGTCTCGAACTCCCGACCTCAGGTGATCCGCCTGCCTCAGCCTCCCAAGGTGCTGGGATTACAGGTGTGAGCCACCGCACCTGGCCCTCTTTTTTTTTTTTTTTTTTGAGACAGGGTCTCACTCCTGGAGACAGCCTGCAAGGAATGACAGATTCCTAAGAAGGGAAGAAGAGACCGCAAAGAGAAGGGTCCTAGGACTGACCCTGGGGACACACAGACTTTCAAGGCAGGAGAAAGTGGTCAGACAGAAGCAGGGGACCCAAGGGAGTAGAGACTTTTGGAAGTCAGGGTAGGAGAGAATGACATGTCAAAGAGTTAGAACAGAACCACGCCACCTGCTGCTAAGAGGCAAACAAGAAGAGCATGGTGAAAAGGCTTTGTGTTTTACTCCGTTGAGTGAGGTTGACTCAACCACCAGCACTTAGTTGTTATAAAATGAGGCATAGCCTACTGTTCTTTAATTATGCAATTTAATTAAGTACCTTTTTCTCCCCTTTACCTGTTTGGCTTTACAATCATATGCCATCCAAGACTCTGCTTAAAAAACGCAGTGTGGGCCCGGCGCGGTGGCTCATGCCTGTAATCCCAGCACTTTGGGAGGCCGAGGTGGCAGGTCACGAGGTCAGGAGATCGAGACCATCCTGGCTAACATGGTGAAACCCCGCCTCTACTAAAAATACAAAAAATTAGCATGTCATGGTGGCACGTGCCTGTAGTCCCAGCTACTCAGGAGGCTGAGGCAGGAGAGTTGAGGGGTGGAGGTTGCAGTGAGTCAAGATTGTGCCACTGCACTCCAGCCTGGGCTACAGAGCAAGACTCCATCTCAAAAAAAAAAAAAAAAAAAAAAAAAAAGGTGCGGTGTGCCATTGAAATCCATACTTTGCAGGGCTGGTTCCCACTTCCCTCACCCTAGTGTATTCCCAGCTTCAGCTTCAAAGATACATCTCAAGGCTTGGTTTAAGACTGTTAACTACTCCCAAATTAAGATACATTACGCTCCTCCCCATGTTCCTCCTCCACTATGTCTGCTGGGCTGAAAACAAAAGAACCATTTCAAAATGCAATAAACACTACATGCAAATTAGTGCCCCAAATAACTTTGGGTAATCATTTTGGAGAACCAAAGCTGCTTAGAATACCAATGCTGGGCAGGCAGGTTTGCATGAGGAAAGAAATCCCAGGTGGCCCTGTACTAGTTTGGCTAAGAGAGGATGGGTAAGTCAAAGGAAAACGTTATCACAGAGACCTGAGCCTTTCCTTGAAGATTCTCCAAGAAAATACCACCAGTCTACAGCTCTATTTTATGAGCTGAGTTGGGACTCCCACTTACCAATGGGCACCAATAAAGTCTCAGCCCATCAATGGTTATGGCAGCTATTGGCTGTCCTCTGCCTGCTCCCCAAGCACTATGCTGTGTGTCTTCACAATCTCTATCTCACTTAGTCCTGCATGGGAAAATACAACCTCCACTTTACAAATGACTGAACTGAGTTTCTGAGCTCTTAAGTAGAACAGGAACTCAATTTCATACAGCCATAACCAGAAATCTTTATCCTTATGTGGCCTCTCTCTGAGTAGATTTTGTTTCATGTTATATATTTGTTCAATGCCTAGGTTGAGAGGGGACGATAGAGTGGGGTGAAAAGGATCAGAATGGGGCATTTGGAGAACTGGGTGTTGGCACCAGCATGGACCTGCTTTGTGGTTCTGGGGGAGTCACCTCATGTCCATGTCCATGGGCCTCATTTTCTTCCTCTATGAAAATGAGGGGATGGGCTGGTCCCATTGTGACCTCTCCTACTCAACTTTGCAAAGGTGGCAGGATAGAATTTAAGTTCCTTTGTAGCCTCACTCATTCTCATCTCCCACCCCTCCCTGACACCCTTTCACTGCTGCTGCAGCCATGACAAAGGTTGGAGGTCCCCTGGACAGCCCCCAGCCTTTGCACCTGCTGCTGCCTCTGTTAGGGGGCCTTCCAGCTTTTCTGGTTGGCAAGCTTCTCTTCATCCACTGAAGCCCCAGCTCAAGTGTCCCCTCCCCGTCACAGTCTCCCAGACTCTAAAAGGAAGTTCTAATAGAGCCGTCCCCCCCTCTTATATCCATAAGAATCCAGTTCACAGCTGTCCGTTGGAGCACTCTGAAATGCTGTGTCATTGTCTCCCTCCCTTCTCCATGACCCAGGGCAGGAGATGGGCTGCACTGGGGCACCATTGCATTGCCACCCTCAGGCCCAGCATCTAGCATATAATGCTTTCTAGATGGTGACAGAATGAATGCCCTTCCAAGGCAAACCTCATCTCTGGCATCTTAAGATGGTATGAATTTAACTGTGCTCCTGGCAGAGCAGAAAATGCCAAAACGAGAGATAATTTTACCTTCCCTGTCTATTTGTGTTTCTCTGTGTCATTGACTTTCACTCCTACACTCTAGTTCCTCGTCAGCAGACAAGCCATCTTGTGAGCGTAAATAAATGTCAGTCATAGCTGGGATTCCCTCTTCTCCTGAAACAAAGCCTCCATGAGCCTGCGTTGGAACATGGAAGGGCATGATATCTTTGTGGCTAAGATTATTTTAATTTGGAGATCCAGTCACCCAGCAAAGCCCCCTGCTCCTAAATATCCACCATATTGGGAAGCCATGGTGTCTCAGGGCACCGTTAGTAACTTATAGTGAGGAAATTCTCTGTTCAATGGACGTGTCATATGGAAAAATATCAAAGCCATTAACTATCATTCAGAAGTATTTTGACTCACTCATCATTCATCTGTTTATTTATTCATGTATTCACCCATTCAAGCGTTTCTATAAACTGGGTACAAATCATTTTAACTTCACTCCTGAGAAAGGTTCCACAATGGCTTATTGACCCAAGGTTACCAATTAATATAGTAATAGCTGATATTTATGGAATGCTTATTGTTTACTGGGCACTGTATTAAAAACTTTATATATGTTAATGTATTTAACCCTCACAAAAACTCCACTAGATTGGTATCATTTTTTATCGTCTTTATTTTGCAGATGAGAAAACTGAGGCACAAAGAGATTCTTAGCTTGCTTAGGACCACATGTCTGGCAATCAGCAGAGGTGGACTAAGATCATCATATGCTCTTAACCACAACCTGCACCCTTAGGATGGGAAGGGACCCTAAGAGACAGTCACGCCCCCAAGGGTCTCGGCAGAGTCTAAGGAGCATCAGACAGGAGACAGAACCCGTGACTTCCATCCAAAACTATGCCCCTGGCCAAGTATGTCACCTTGGCAAAGCACGTGGCCCTTTGAGTAACAATGTGGTTTTGTTGTTCTTGCTGGTTTTCATTAACCTACTAATATTTTTAAAGGCACTTGGATTAGAAGATGACTAGCAAAGCCAGAGGGCTCTCCAGCCTCTACAATTCTGCAAACTAGATCTTCCCCACCCCCTGCAAATTATTACCGGTACTGTCAAGGTGGCTGAGGCTTAATGTCTGAAATCGACATCAGCAGAAGGCAGGCTGTGCTCTGAGCAGGCTGCTCTGGAGGGCCTGACACCTTGTTTCCTGGGGATATAATGAAGATGGGGGTACTGTGGCTACAGCCTTTGATTAAACCATTTCCAGGAGGGTGTAGGGAAGAGAGGCCTGAGGCCATGACCTTGGAGGAGCCTGTTGAAAATGCACATGTTCCATTTTCACAGTGTGTCCCTTCCATCCTGTCCCCAGCTCCAACTTCTGGCACTAACACTGGTTAGAATCTCAAGGGTGGCTGGAGGGTCTCTCACACGGGGCAGGGTGATGCTGGCCAAAGGGGTTTTCAGTGCGCAGGAGACACAGAGGAGAATAATGCACACGCCGAGCCAGGAGAAGTAAGCTGGACAGTGTCATTTTTCAGATCAAGTGACAAGGTATCAGGTCATTCAGTGTTAAGGACAAGGTCTTCATATATCCTAGTGCTGCCCCAGAAAGGCCATGTGATAGGGCGGAGCGAGCACAGGCCCACACGGTAGTCACATGGACTTAAATCCAAGTGCTGCCTCTCATTAGCTGTGTGTCCATGAGTGGGCTATTGGCATCTGTGAGCCTCACTTTCCTATTCTATAAAATGGGGAACTCTCTCCAACTTTCAGGGTTGTAGCAACAATTAGAAATGACGTTAGTCGAATGCTCAGCTCTCAACTTAGCACAAAGATGCTCAATGTTTGTTTTGTTTTGTTTTTTTGAGACGAAGTCTCGCTCTGTTGCCCAGGCTAGAGTGCAGTGGTGTGAACTCAGCTTGCTGCAACCTCCACTTCCTGGGTTTAAGTGATTCTCCTGCCTCAGCCTCCCAAATACTACAGGCGCACACCACCCTCCCCGGCTAATTTTTTTGTATTTTTAGTAGAGACACGGTTTCACTATGTTGGCCAGGTTGGTTTCCAACTCCTGACCTCAGATGATCCGCCCACCTTGGCCTCCCAAAGTGCTGGGACTACAGGCATGAGCCACTGCTCCCGGCCCAATAAAGTGGAGTTCTAAGACCACTGCAGCAAGTGCTGGTCATTTTGTTCAGCTGAAGTAGAGGTGTGTAAAGGGGAATCAGAAGATGGGGCTGAAAACACGGCCAGGGACCATTCCCTTTTTCCTGTATTCATTCCATACAGACTTTTTAGGTACTGACCTTGAGCCAGGGATAGGCTCTGGTATATAGCAGACACAGTTCTTGCCCTCGGGTATTTTTCTTGAATACATCTCTTCTTTGTGTTAAGGAAGTCCTCTTCTATTTCTATTTTGCTAAGAGGTTTTTATTTTTTAATCATGAAAGGCTATGAATTTTATGAAAGGTTTTTTCTCATCAATTGAGATGAATATGTATTTTCTTCTTTAATATGTACCATTTAAACTAAAATCTTAGATATGGAATTTGGGGTTAAAGAGGTTAGCCACTCGCAATGTTGGAAACATGTTGCTAAACTGTCCTTTAGAATGATTTTAATCACTCATACCCCCCATCATGGTAGATAAGCATGCCAACTTCAGCACACTGTGATAATCATCAGTTATTTTCATCATTTCCATCTGACAGGTGCAACATGGAGGGTTTGTTGGTTGAGTCCTTCTGAGAAGCAGATGTTGCGATGGGATTAGACATGGAGAGAGTTAGTGAGGAAGGGGAGGGGCTGGAGAAGGTGGGAAGGGCCATAAAATGCAGCCTCAGTAAAAGAGGGGTGAGTAGACAGAGCATCAGACTGCCCTGCATTTCCAAGAAACTTTCAGCCAGGCCAACTTGGACTCCATCCAAGTCACCCTCAGAGGAGTGTCTTGTCCCAGGAAGAGACCTGCATTCCTGTTCTTGGCTGTGAGCAGCCCTGGGAAGCATGGCCTTGGGACAAATGTGGTGTTGAATTCCAGTCAAGTTGAAGCTGCCCATCAATGGTGCCCCCACAGTAGGAGAGCTGAGTGAGTGCTCAGTGCATGTTCTCACGGCAGCCAAGGGCTGTTTGTTTTATTCTTACTAATTTGTTGGAGTTCTTTATAGATTATGGATATTAACTAATAGAAGCATTGCAATTGTTTTCCCCAGTTTATCGCATGTCCTCTGACCTAGTTGGAGAGAGAGGGAAAGATTGTCATAAAGGAAGGGAATTCTAAATATTTAGACAAGAAAAGCTGTTTTCTAAATATTTTTTGGCTTTTATTCCCTTCCTTCTTTCCTTCTTTCCTTCCTTCCTTCCTTCCTTTCTATTATTTTTTTTGAGATAGAGTCTCGCTCTGTCACCCAGGCTGGAGTACAGTGGCGTGATTTCGGCTTACTGCAACTTCTACCTCCCGGGTTCAAATGATTCTCCTGCTTCAGCCTCCCGAGTAGCTGGGATTACAGGCACCACCCACCACGCCCAGTTAATTCTTGTGTTTTTAGTAGAGACAGGGTTTCACCATGTTGGTCAGGCTGGTCTTGAACTCCTCACTTCAAGTGATCTGCCCAGCTTGGCCTCCCAAAGTACTGAGATTACAAGTATGAGCCACTGCACCCAGCCAATTCTTCCCTCCTTCCTTTTCCTCTCTTTCTCTTTCTGTTTCTCTTTCTTCTTCTCCTTCTCCTTCTCCTCCTCCTCCTCCTCCTCCTTTCCTTTCGTCATGTCAAGGAAGGCTCTTCTTTCCCCTCACGGTTTAAAAAAATTATTCTTGGCTGGGCGCCGGTGGCTCACGCCTGTAATGCCAGCACTTTGGGAGGCCGAGGCAGGTAGATCACCTGAGGTCAGGAGTTTGAGACCAGCCTGACCAATATGGTGAAACTCAGTCTCTACAAAAAATATAAAAATTAGCTAGGTGTGGTGGCTTGTGCCTGTAGTCCCAGTTACTCAGGAAGTTGAGGCAGGAGGATTGATTGAACCTGGGAGGTGGAGGTTGCATGGAGCTGAGATCATGCCACTGCACTCCAGCCTGGGTGACAAAGTGAGACTCCATCTCAAAAAAAATATTATCTTGTAAGTATGAACTAAACCATATGGGCTCAGCCGAATTGGATGGCCAGTCTGCAAAAATGCAGGGGTGGAGGCACAGGCTCGGTGACACCACTGGACATAGTCAGTGGAACCCAGACAATAGGAAACTGCACACCAGTGACCTGGCTTCTTCAACAGATAATTCACAAGGATAAAGGGAAAAAAGGGGAGTCGTGGGGTAGAAGGGACTCGAGAGCCATGTCAGATAACTTCAGTAAATGGATCCCTCCCTCCAGAAAAGTGAAACAAGAAGGGAAGTTTGAAAACCGACTGAATATTTGCTATAAAAATATAGTTATTTGTTAGAATGATGATGGAACTGAGATTATGTTCAAAGAAAGACGCCTGTGTATTTTGGCGCCACATGCAGGGATATTTTCACATGAATAAGTCTGGGATCTGTTCCAAAGTCACCCGAAGTGGGCCCAAGTGTGTGGGGATACGGATGAAGTGGACTGGCCATGATGCTTGTTTTAAATGGAGGGTGGTACATACATCCACAGGGGCTCATGGTACCATGTTCTCCATCTCTGTATATATTTAAGGTTTTCCATAAAAAAAGATAAAAACTATAATCTACCAGAAACACACACACACAAACACATGTACACACACACAACACACACACACACACGAAAACAAGAGAGCGCCCTGGAGCCCAAATTTCAGGGTCTGAACGTCATCCCCACACTTGCTAGCTGGTGGCCCTCAATGGAGTTATCTAACCTCTTTGTATTTCTGTTTCTCATACATAAAATATGGAAACTATTATGTCTTGTGTCATATCCCTGTTTTGAGGATTAAATGAGAAAAAAACAGGTAAAGCACTCCTCTATGGAGAATCCAGCACATAAAAAGCACTGCATTAATTGATATTACAAATGTTTATTGAGTGCCTTGAATGTGTCAGGCACTGTGGCCAACACAGAGACTATCTAGTCTTTTCTAATTATTAATAACTAGCATTATTATTTTGTGATTCTATTTCCTACATTTCCATCTTTTTCCATCTGGATTTCATTTTGGTATAAGGAAGGATGCAGGGAATTTTTTATTCGAATATTTTGTCAATTATCCAATGTCATCATTCATCAAATAGTCCTTTTTTCTCCACTGATGTGAAACATTCTCTGCTTCATATTCTAAATTCACATGTCTATTTCTGAGCTCTCTATGTTCTTTGATGCTCTTCTAACCATGTTTTTGTCTGATCACCTTTAGGAATCTGTTTTTAATATTTGGCTAGTGTAGATGAAGAAAATATTAGTTTAAAAAAATTTTTTTTTCTAATTTAAGAAAGCAGAATATTTTTATTTCCACTTTACTTAGAAAGGATTTTTGGCTTCTGTCCACTAGATCTTTCCACAAAATACAGAGCAAATTGTAGAATGATCCGCTGAACTCAGAACAATAAGAGAAGAGTGATCCATCGTCAGAGCCGACCAGTGAGAAGGAGGGAGTTAACTGGGCTTCCGCAGGTAATACCCAAGTAAGGCCATAGTTAAATCCACGGTCCCAGCCTTTTGCATCTTTGCCCAAGGTTTTTCCCGCTTATTTATAGGGTTAGTTAAGTTCAATTTTGTTTGCTTTGTGTATTTAAAAAATTTAATTGACAAATAATAATTGCATATACTTAGGGAGTCCAGCGTGACATTTTGACCTATGTATACATTGTGGAATGATTAAATCGTGCTAATTAACATGTCTGTCATCTCACATATTTATCATCTTTTGTGGTGAGAACATTTGAATTTTACTTATTTTTAGCAATTTTGAAATATACAATGAGTTATTATTAACTATAGTCACCGTGTTGTGCACTAGATCGCAAAAACTTATTCCTACTGTCTAACTGAAACTTTGGACCCTATAACTAATAACTCCCTCTTGTCCCTCCTTCCACCCCTAGCCCCTGGTGGCAGAGCAGTACATCTGAGCTCTACATCATTGGATTGTTTTAATAATTCTTTAGAAAACAAATGCAGCTCCAATTTCTGTGTATCTGTGCAAAGTGTCTGAAGTGTCTGTGCATGTCTATGACAAGCAATTCTTATCTTTTCTGATACACCTGTAGGAGTAGATAAAGTTGATATTTATTGAGTGCCTATTATAAGCATGATACTTTATATATGTACCAATGACCTTTTCGCCTTGGGCTGGCTAAACTTTTTTGGCTGTGAAAAGGGGTAGGAGAGTAATTGAGGTGGCAACCCACTACAGTTGCCCAAAACCACAATAGTTACACAAACTCACATAGGCCACCAAGACTATGAAATCTGCCTCCCCCAGCCCAGGCCCCACTGTGGCAATACAGTAAGCAGGGCATTTGAGGCAATGTAGGTTTAGAAGCAGGTAGCTTCTTTCCAGTTCACAACCAACCCACGGGGGAACCAACAGGCATTCCTGAGATGCTCTCAGGCATGTGGCCCAACTCTCTCTCTCTCTCTCTCTCTCTCTCTCTTTCTCTCTCACACACACACACACACACACACACACACTTCTATGATGTACTCAAGTCCTTCCAAATATGTTCTCCTGTCTCCATACAATTTCCCTTTTCATCTTCTATCAAATGCTACCCAAGTCCCACTCCAGTGCCTTTTCCAAGGAGGAGCACTTGCTCTGTCCCCATCACTGTTTACATCACCTGTGTGAGGAGGACCCCCTATGCAGGGAAAGCAGGGTGGATGCCTGCACACCTTGGTCTTAAGCAGATTTTCCTGTATCTTTGGTTGACATTAACTTAAAGTCCTGGCTAACATCATTTCTGAGGTCACAAGAAGGCCAGCACTTTGCAGCCTCCTCCTCTCCCTTATCTTACCTGTATTTTCTTATATCTTACTGACCATGACATTGCCTTATCCCTAATTTAGTACTTTATCTTCCTACTGCCACAACAGAAGTGTTTCCAAGTGTGCACATCCCATAATTTCACAAACTTTCTACTACTTTTCATAGGCTTCTGTAGCAGTGAAACAGCAAAGAAGTGACATAACTGACTCCACTTTTTGTTGAAGGGTTCTTTACCCATTACTGCACATAGGCAAGGATAATTTTAGAGCACTGAGATAATATGCAACAACAGCAATCATGTGGTTTTTAAAACTAACTTTAGGGTTAAAGGGGAAGTATGTAAACAACTATGTCTTGTTCAAAGATTTATAGGAGCACTGTGAATTGACCAAAGACAAAAAAGTTCTTAGCCTCCTCGGAAGCTTGCCGGTCCCCAGATGCCTGCAGTTGTTGGTCACCTCTTGATCCCAGTCCTCTACTCTTCCCCCTGCACTTAACATAAGAAGAGGCTGAAATTTGTACTCACTTGAGATGTTCTTTGCAACACCAGTCCACTATCTCCTTAAGTTGCCAGCTGTTGAATAAACCTGCATTTCCTCTCATCAACTCTTGTCTCTGGTGTTTGGCTTTTGAGCAGTGAGCAGCTGAACTTGGGTTCAGAACTTGAACCTACTGCATTTAGTTTTTCTAATGCAGTAGTTTTCCTTCCTGCTCAGGAAGTAGGTTTCCTACCCAAAATGTGTATATTGCTTTTTTTTGAACTCTTACAACCATGAGTCACTTTGCAAGATACAGAGGGAAAAATGAGGCTCAAAGAGGTTAATTCAATTACCAGGGTTGCTTGCTGGATAAATAGCAGAATTCAAGTGTACAGATCTGACACTTGATCTAAAAGTCAGCATTTTCCACTCCAGTTTTCTGCCCCTACCTCCCCTGCCCCCATCACTTATGGCATCACATGTAGTAAAGGGACACAAGCTAATGGCTTGGGATTTCTGGGCATGAGAATTCTGTAAACATGGTGTGGGTCTTGTTCTTTATATTGGTGTTATCTGGATCAGATGTTTTGATCTTCTGAAAAAGTCCAGGGAAATTTGATCAAAGGCGCTTACCCCAAATATAACTAGTCAGTGAAGTCCTTGAGAAGTAAAATCGAATCCTCTAATTGAAAAATTCACTCATTAGAAAAGACTTTGAATTATAAATAGAGTCAGATAATGGATCTTATAAGGAGTTGTATGTATGATAGGATTTTCTCTTATTAATTCATTTTTTTAATGGAACTAAAATGCACATTGATTTTCTTCTTATCATTCTTTTAACGACTCTGGCTAAATGGGAACTGAACAGATGAATGACAAATGGAACATTCCAACCTGTCTCTGGGCTCATGAGACATAGTCAAGTTTACAGTTTTGGGAATATTCTTAGTATGTGACAGAAATTCATTAGGCAACTAAGCAGAACACAGTGATTTGAGTGGGAAGAAAGCTGTCTTGCTCTGGAGGGCCAGCACCAACTAACAATAACTCCTTTGCTCTCTCCTGTTCCCTCCCTTCATACAAAGCCTAGTGACATGCAGGCTGAGAGGTCAACACGTTTCCATTTGTGCTGGGTGTGTGCCCAAGTCATCAGAGCATGATCCTGTGACTGCTTTGTGAAAAACTTGCTCCAGCACATTAGGCAAGCCACCCCGTCTCAGTGTCCCCATCCCTATCAGTTTCCTGGGGCTGCTGTAGCAAATTCCCAAAAGCTAGATGGCTTGAAACAGCAGAAATTAATTCTCTCGTGGTTCTGGAGTCTAGAACTCCAAGATCAAGGTGTGGGCGGGGTTTGTTCCTTCCAAGGGTTGTGAGGGGGGAGCTGCTCCACGTGTCTCTCCTGGCTTTCAGTGGCTGCTGACCATCCGTCACTCCAATCTCTGCCTCCATTTTCACATGGGCTTCTCCCCTGTGTCTGGGTCTCTGTGTCCAGATTTCTCTCTACTTCTAATAACACCAGTCATTGGATTAGGGCCTACTCTCATTCGATATGACTTCATTTTAAATGAATTACATCCACAAAGATCCTATTTTCTTTTTAAAATTTTTTTTTAATTTTTAATTTTTGTTGGTACATGGTAGGAGTATATATTTATGGGGTTACATGATATGCTTTGATACAGGCATGCAATGTGAAATAAGCACATCATGGAGAATGGGGTATTCATCCCCTCAAGCATTTGTCCTTTGATTTACAAACAATCCAATTATAACCTTTAAGTTATTTTAAAATGTACACTTAAGTTATGATTGACTGTGGTCCCTCTGTTGTGCTATAACATAGTAGGACTTATTCATTCTAACTTTTTTTTGTACCCATTAATTGTCCCCACCTCCCTCTGCAATTCCTCCACTACCCTTCCCAGGCTCTGGTAGCCATCCTCTGCTCTCTATGCCCATGAGTTCAACTGTTTTGAGTTTTAGATCCCACAAATAAGTGAGAACATGTGATGTTTGTCTTTCTGTGCCTGGCTTATTTCACTTAACATAATGAGCTCCAGTTCCATCCATGTTGTTGCAAATGACAAGATCTCATTCTTTTTTATGAGTGAATAGTACTCCATTGTGTATATGTACCACTTTTTCTTCATCCATTCATCAGTTGATGGACATTTAGATTGCTTCCAAATCTCAGCTACTGTGAACAGTGCTGCAACAAACATGGGAGTGTAGATATCACGTCGATACACTAATTTTCTTTTTTAGGGGTATATACCCAGCAGTGGGATTGCTGGATCATATGGTAGCTCTATTTTTAGTTTTTTGAGGAACCTCCAAACTGTTCTTCATAGTGCTTGTACTAATTTGCATTCCCACCAACAGTGAGTGAGGGTTCCCTTTTTTCCACATCCTCATCAGCATTTGTTTTTGCCTATCTTTTGGAAAAAAGCCATTTTAACTGGAGTGAGATGACATCTCATAGCTTTGATTTGCATTTTTCTGATGATCAGTGATGTTGTGCACCTTTACATGTGCCTGTTTGCCATTTGTGTGTCTTCTTTCGAGAAATGTCTATTTACTTTTTTTTGCTCATTTTAAAGATCAGATTATTAGATTGTCTTTTCCTATAGAGTTGTTTGAGCTCCTTATATATTCTGGTTATTAATCCCTTGTGAGATGAGTAGTTTGCAGGTAATTTCTCCCATTCTGTGGGTTGTCTCTTTACTTTGTTGATTGTTCCCTTTGCTGTGCAGAAGCTTTTAACTTGTGATCCCATTTGTCCATTTTCACTTTGGTTCCTGGTGCTTGTGGAGTATTGCTCAAGAAATTTTTGCCCAGACAATGTCCTAGAGATTTTCTCCAATGTTTTCTTGTAGTAGTTTCATAGTTTGAGGTCTTTAATTCTTTAAGTCTTTAATTTAAGTCTTTAATCCACTTTGGTTTGATTTTTGTATGTGGCGAGACATAGGGATCTATTTCATTTTTCTGCATGTCTCTTATTTTCAAATAAGGTCACATTTATAGACACTGGAAAGTAGGACTCAAACATACTTTTTGAGGGGTGCTATTTAACCCACAGTACCATTCTTAATTGGGGATATTGGAAGAGGTGTTAATATAACAGATGAGTTCTATTCTGCCAAGTACTCCGGCTCTTTTATCCTTAGGTCTAATTACAACAAAACATGCTTAAGGACAGTCAGAATCAGAGGGCGAGAGGTTTTCAAAAATCTAGACGTGGGACTCTTTAGGTGTACAGTGTCACGCTGAGGCATAAATGCTGGAAAGGGCAGCCTTGGGATAATTAGAGTTTGACTTGGAGTTTGTTTAGCAGGAAATGTCATATTTGTACTTAAGTTTAGAAGTGATAACCTCGCTGACTAGTTTGAAATAAAAAAGGGTTCATCATTTTGGTTCAAGTGCTAGTGCTGACCTGATTGTTGAAAAGCATTTTTAAATAGCATAAGATAAAGGTCAAATACTTCATAACGCTCAAACTTCTGCCAAATGGGGTTGGAAAGATTCGTGATTCCATAGCACACAGGGAAGGTGCTGAATGCTCTACCTACTGCTGTCCTGGCTCAACCTCTCCAGTCATGGCTCCTTATCTCTTGAATCCCCTGTCACGGAAAGCCTCCACCTCATCAGGCAGCCTTCCTGGCATATCTTTATCTCTGTGCTTTGTTCTTGCTGTTGTTCCTTTAGCTAGAACTCTAGTCCCTCCCAATGTATTTCTTCTGCCACTGGCCATCTTCCACTCCCTTCCTTGTCCATTTTTCCATGCAGGCCAAGCTCAAATGCTGCTGTTTCAGGATACAGATGTTCCAATCATTGTTGACAGCAGAATCCTGATGTCACTAGCCAGGGGAGGTCATTCAGTAATCAATCAAGTATTTTCGAACCCGTTATGTGGTAGACACAGTGCTAGGTGTAGCGGTGACCATAGAACCTGACTACCTCCTCATCTTTGCCTGGTGGATCTTGAAGTCTAGTAAGGACTCTAATAACACCTGAAACAGTTATTTTATCTCTGAATGCTATAAAGATGCCATAGAAAAGTTATTGATGTGAGCTGAACTCATGATATGGAATTTATTTAATATAGAGTTTACTGAAGAATTAACCTTAGCCCAATTTCATGTGACAAGTTATTACATTGTATTTCCTCGAATATAAGATCTTGTCTTTTCGAATGTCAATGGTCTTGAAATCAAGCTGCAGCTTAAAATTGATTTTTAAAAGAGCTTGTCCTCTGTGCAAATGTTGCCTCTGCCTGTCAGGTGCTGTCAACTAATTTGAGTTATTTGACTTGGCAGCACCACCTAGAGTTGGATTTTATCTTAAACTGAATCCCTAATTGTCACTTGCAATGTCTTCAAAAAGATTACATTCTAGGGCAATGTTAAAACAGAAGTTATTACAGGCAGAAGGGCCTGAGTACAGATCTGCGGGAGGTAAATTTACTAAGAGTAAAGCCAATAATTGTGGCCAGAGGGGTCCCGCACTTTCTCATTGTCTTGAAAAACAACAACCTTTCCTCTGGGCGGTAAGGATGCTAATTCACAACCTATATAGCAAAGCCTTTGTCTTGTTGTGAGACACGTATAAAACGATGGCACCGGTCAGGCAATGCAGTTAGCTGGCAGCAAGAGAAATCGACTGATCCCTTAGAATGGATTAGAGAATGGTAAAGCTGGGAGAGTTAGTGTGACCGGCCCATGCTAATGAAGGACGGTGACTTAGGAGTCATGAGTCAGAATCTTGCTGATTTCCAAGAGAAGCTTTCTACCTTCCAGCAATAGAAACTCAATTAAGAAAAAAACACAATGTTGAGTTTAACCAAATAGGAAACTCAGACAGAGTGCCAATGTTCTTCAATATGCCTTGAATTAAGGCATTAAAGAATGAAGGTCATGAACAGAAATTATGGAAAACAGCATGTCTCCACACTGCTCTGCATCAATGCCAATGGCCTAAGGTGAGTGAAACTTCAGACACTGACTTATGTAAGCCCTGGGCTTAAACTTGAATTAAGAAACTAGAGGAGAAGGTGGCATAAATGGGTGACATTGTCATCTAAATTTTCTTTAATGTACATTTAACAGTGCTACTTAAAAAACAAATATTAATGAATTTAGGGATATTTTATAATGGTTAAAACTACAGCAATTCCATTTCTGAGTATATGTGTATATATATGTATATATATATATATACACACACACACACATACACACACACACATATATATATACATACATATGTCAAAATTCATTGACATCAGGATCTGTAAGAGATATCTGCACTCCCATGTTCATTACAGCATATTCACAATAGCCAAGATTTGGAAACAAACTACATATCCATTGATGGATAAATGGATAAAGGAAATGTGGTATATCCACACAATGGAATATTATTCAGCCTTTAAAAAGAAGAAAATCTTGCCATGTGTGACCAAATAGATGAACCTGGAGGACATTATGCTAAGGGAAATAAGTCAGCCACAGAAGGACAAATACTGCATGATTCCACTTATATGAGGTATCTAAGTAGTCAAACTCATAGAAGCAGAGCATAAAAAATGATGATTGTCAGGGAGAAATGGGGATTTGATGATCAATGGGTATAAACATGCAGTTACATAAGATGAATAAGTTCTGGAGATTGGATATAGTGCCTATAGTTAACAATACTGTATTGTGTACTTAAAAAAATTAAGATGGAGGCTGAGGCGGGCAGATCACAAAGTCAGGAGATCGAGACCATCCTGGCTAACACGGTGAAACCCCATCTCTACTGAAAAATAGAAAAAATTAGCCGGGCATGGCGGTGGGCACCTGTAGTCCCAGCTACTAGGGAGGCTGAGGCAGGAGAATGGCGTGAACCCGGGAGGTGGAGCCTGCAGTGAGCCGAGATCGCGCCACTGCACTCCAGCCTGGGTGACAGAGCAAGACTCTGTCTCAAAAAAAAAAAAAAAATTTAAGAGAGTAGATCTCATGTTAAGTGTTCTTACCATAGAAAACAAAGACAACAGGGCATGAGGAAATTTTGGGTAAGATGGATATGTTTATTGCCTGATTACGGTAATGGCCTCAGGGGTGCAAGCATATGTCCTAACTCATCCAATTATATATATTCCATGTGAACAGTTTTTGTATGTTAGTTATACCTCAATAAAACTGTTAAAAACAAACTAAATTAAACTAAAAATGGAAATTCTTGTTGGATTATACTCATATTATTAGCATTTATCACTTAGGGATTTGCATTTGAGTGATATGGCAGAAAACCCAAATATCAATGACATAAGCAATATAGGTTTATTGTTCTCATAAAAAGGTAAGTTCAGAAGTAGACAGTGGCCAGCATTAGTTCAGGGCCAGTGACATCCTGATGTTCTTAGTCTAGTCTTGTTTGTATGGTTGCAATATGGTGCAGTAGTTCCAGCCAACACATCTGTGTTTTGGGCAGGAGGATGGAAGAAGAGAAAAGGTGCAAAGGAGAAGAATTTGCTCCCTTTGAGGAGCTTTCTTGGAACCCACCCCAAAACTTCTACCTACATCTCACTGACTGGAACTCTACGAAAGAGTAGCTGGGGAATGCGGTGGTTATTTGTAAGCTGGGTTCCTTGCTATCTTCTAAAAATTGAGTTTTTTAAGTAAAGAATTCAGGGATAGTGGATATCAGTGGGCAACTAGCAGCATCATAGTACCTTCTTATGACACTATGGAGAGTGTTTCTCTCCATCTGTAATTGCTCAAAGGTCACAATTCAGGAAGAGAGTCTTCCCTATTTGCGGCTCATATTTCGTGATTTAATACTACACAGATGCACTCAATGATAAAAGCACAAATTAGTTTGTCTTCCCCAATGTGCAGACTTTTCTGCACTGCACACTCCACTGTGGTGGAGGGAAAGTTCATGTATCCCTGAGTTTGGCAGGAAGGACAGAATTTTGAAAGTGTTTTAGCTGGAAAAAAAAATCTTTCTCACTGCACAGAAATCAATAACTGAAAAACCCCTGCTGGATTGCACCATCAAATATCTCCTCTGGCCCTGACACTTGGAGATTTATCTTTAACCTTCCATTTTGGCTATTTATGGAATTGAACCAGCCTCTCCACCAAAATAGAAGTTGCATCATTTGATCGCTGAAGTTCCTGCTGGGTTTTCAGTTGTGTGATCCTCAGTGTTGGCATTCACGGTTTCCTCTTATAGGCTTCTTTGTCTGTTCATCTCTCAGCATTTCTTTATTTCTGTCTTGTGTGATAATTTTCACGTTTGCATCCACACCATACTGTGGGCTGTTTGAGACCAGTGATCTTCGTTCCTTCATCCCAGCAGCATCCCTTCCATGGGCATCTTGTGGATCCTTATTAATACTGCCTAAATAAATGGAGTCTTCTTGTGGAGTTAGGTCCTTGCCTAAGGACGCTGTGGACTATTGAAAGCCTATTCCCTCTGCGTCTCCCAGTGTTGTTTCTGCCCATGATGATGGTTAGGATGGCAACACCAATAGAATAATGACCACCGTGGACCAAGTTATAAACTAGGTAGCACACATTCTATCTAATCTTTCTACAAATCTGAGAGGCAGTGACAGTTGAGAGGGAGCTGATTCCCAGAGAAGTTTAGCCCCTCGGCCAAGGTCACACAATGAGCACTTGGCAGAGCTGGCAAACAAACCCAGATTTGACTTCAAAGCTCTGTTTGAGGCCGGGCACAGTGGCTCATGCCTGTAATCCCAACACTTTGGGAGGCCGAGGTGAGCAGATCACAAGGTCAGGAGTTCAAGACCAGCCTGGTCAATATGGTGAAACCCCATCTCTACTAAAAATACAAAAATTAGCTGGGTGTGGTGGCATGCACTTGTAGTCCCAGCTACTCAGGAGGCTGAGGCAGAAGAATCGCTTGAACCCAGGACAGAGGTTGCAGTGAGCCGAGATCATTCCACTGTACTCCAGCCTGGATTACAGAGTGAGACTCCATCTCCAAAAAAAAAGGCTCCATTTGATTGAACTCAGGATAGCTCATCTTGCACTTTCACACTTTCACGGACTAGACATTGACTTGTAGTGTGTTGTGGTTGTTGCGGAGGAAATGGAGACATTCCTTCTGAACTTAGAGCTAGGAACAATAACGGCTTGGAAAGAGCATTCATATTTGTTAAAATGCACTCCTTAGCTACAATCTCATACTGTTTCCTAGAAAGAAATATCTTGCATACTGTCAAACCTCCCACAAAGATTTTCACATGTCTCCAAAGCTTAACAAATAAATATCATTGTCTTATTTGACATGCTGATCCCACGTGTTTTCTGGCCGGTGAAAATATCCAACTAAGGAAGGCTGGAGCATTTTAGTTCAAAGATGTTTGTCAAAGCCCTCAGTCTCTGTAGAGCACCTTCAGGGGAGAGGGAATCAGCCGAGTGATGCCCGTCGTCGTGGATGTCCAGCACTTTACAATTCAGAGAACACCTTGCCTCCAATATCTCTGTTGTTTTGCTTCCCTTGAAAGGTAGAAAGGTCATGTGAGGTAACAGTGGGTTGAACAATCTATTCATGGGCATAGACAGAGTAAGAGGCAGCTTTTGCCACAACTCAGCTCCAGGACTCCGACTCTCATGATCTGTCCCCACTCCAGGCTGCTGTGGCTACAGAAAAAAAAAAATTCAAAGTCCTGTGCAACTATCTTTGTTTCCTCAGTGAGCCACAGACAGCAAGCATAAAAGCATTTTTCATTTGAGCCTGGGCCGCCTAGAATCCCTGGATGTGGACTGCCCAGGTGGGGTTCTGGGCACCTGTGTGTATGTGGCTGACCTGGCCCTTGGCTGACCAATCGCCATACAGCAGAGCTGGGCCTAAGCAGAGCCCGGTGGACCAGGCCAGGAAAATGAAGAGGTGGCTTCGGTTTTGTGTCAGCCACTAACTCACTGCGTGACCTTGAACAAGCCCCTCTCTTTCTGTGTGTCTCCGTCTCCTTATCTGCAAAACTAAGGGTTTATAATCAATCCTGGCCAAGCTTCTTTCAGCTCCGACAACCCACAGTACTGGGACCTGATCCCAGGTCATGCTTACCCACAGTGGGAGGGAGGTTGGCCTTCCGGGCTCTCTACCATGTGCAGATTCCGATCACAATACCTGCCTCTCATCTTCTTTCCCATATTCCCCCCACTCTGCTCATAGCAGAGCCTCTCTAGTCTTTATTTTGATACTTTAGGAGCAAGTAAGAGAAAACCGGACTCAAACCATTTTTAATAAAAAAATGTAATGGGTTTGTGCATCTGAAAAGTTCAGCAGCTCAGGGGACACAACCAGGACCCTGTTTCTCTCAGTATCTCCAGGTTCCACTTGTTTGGTGTTTGCGTTCTTCTCAGGATGAGTCTTTCTTCATGGTTTCAAGATAGCCCCTGCCTCTTGGGAAGACGTGCTTCCTTGTTTATCCTCAAAGATGGGAGGTGGGGGTGCAGTGAGAAAGCATCTCCTTGTACTACCATCCAACAAAACCCTGGGCTTTTGGCTGGGCATGGTAGCTCATTCCTGTAATCCCAACACTTTGGTAGGCTGAAGCAGGAGGATTGCTTGGGCCCAGGAGGTCAAGGTTGCAGTGAGTTGTGATCGCACCACTGCACTCCATCCAGCTTGGTCAACAGAGCAAGACTTCGTCCTGATAAAAAATTAACAAATTAACTGGGTATGGTGATGTATACCTATAGTCCCAGCTACTGGGGAGGCTGAGGTGGGAGGATCGCTGGAGCCCAAGAATTCAAGGTTGTAGTGAGTTAGGATCATGCCGCTGCACTCCAGCCTGAACAACAGAGTGAGACCCTGTCTCTACAACAAACAAACAAAACCCTGGGCTCTCACCTAACTGGTTCCATGTATGACACATGCTCAGTCCTGAGCCTGAAGAATAACTGTACTAATTAGTTTAGGCCTAAACCCTGTGCCCTCCCCTAGAACCAGAGGTGAGCCTGCCTCACTGAAACACAAGCTCCACTAAGGAAGGGGTTCAGCTAAACAACTGGGGTGCAGGTGCCATCAGAAAAGAATGGGTATTGGGTGGTTCTGATCACCAGACGGGCCTTACAATGGCCCTTTGTTGGTATATTGGTACCAATACCAATTGGTACCTTGGGTGGTATATTAGTTTCTGATGGCTTCTGTTGAAAGAAATTACCATAACCTTGGTGGCTTAAAAAAAACACAAATTAATTCTCTTACAGTTCTGGAAGCCAGAGGTCCAAAATCACTTTCACAGGGTTGAAACCAAGGTGTTGGCAGGGCTGTGCTCCCCCGCGGAGGCTCTAGGAGCGAAGCTGTGTCCTGGCCTTTTCCAGATCCTAGGGCTGTGTCCCTCGGCTCATGGCCCCTTCCTTCATCGTCAAAGCCAGCAGTGTGGCACCTTCCAATCTCTCTCTGCTTCTGTGGTCACGTCATCTTCTCTCTCTCTCTCTCCTCGGACCCTCCTGCTGCCCTCTAATGAGGCCCTTGTGTCCACATTGAGCCCAAAGGCAATCCAGGATCACCTCCCATCTCCCATTCAAGATCATCTCCCATCTCCCATTCAAGATCCTGAACTCTATCCCATCTGTGAAGTTTCTTTTGCCATATGACATTCACAGGTTCCAGGAATTAGGACCTGGACGTCTTTGGGGGACATTGTTCCATCAACCACAGGTGGCTCTCCTGCTGCCATGGGCATAATTACGTGTACCTTCTTGGTGCTTCCCAGGCCTTTCTTCATACCTGTGCAATGGCACTTATCACATTTACATCCTGGAATCCTGTATGTATTTACAGGTCTGCCCACTGGGCTGTGAGTGCCTTGGTACTATGAACTTTCTATTTATTTCCCCAGTAAGCATAGCAGCATGGCTGGCTCAGAGCAAGTTCTCAATGAGTGAATAGATAAATCTCTTCACCCAAGCAATGTAATGCAAATTGAAAGCACAAGACCCAAAGGAACCTGGGACCAAGGACAACTCAGAGGCAGCAAGGGGTTAACGCAAAGACCCTAAATCCCAGTCTCAAATCTCCAGGCCCCTTCTGCTGCCTCCATACTGAGAGAGTTAGCCAAGCACATCTTATTTCCTGGAACCTATTTTTAAAATCCCTAAGTACTAGTGAGCAACATTGTAGCTATAAATAGAAGCCATGGATTTCATGATCAGGGAAAATGAGTCCATCATATTATTTAAAAAATACCCAAACACGCTCACTATTTATAGCCCAAGGATTTCCACAGCTGAGCATACTCACTGAGAACCCCTGGCTGATTTTCCTTCCAGCCAAACAGGGCTTGTGGAAATGTAGCAGGCAGGGGGAAAGTATGTCATCCTAAATTGCATTTATTTTTGAAAACCCACTTTCTAAAGAGAAGGGGATCATGGAAAATGTATGAAACTGACAGGAGTCTTTTAGGAAAAAAAGAATCACATTGCTGGTCGTGGGGTAGCTCAGGGTTCGGAGAGTGAGGGTGAAGGATCCACGCAAAGACGTTCATTGGGAAACGTACCACCAGGCCAGAATATTCAGGACCCAGTGAGTCCCTCTGAAATGGAAGTAATAGCCAGTCTTCACTGAGCTCTTACTGTATGCCAAGCTCTGTGCTAGGGACCTGCATGTATTATTTCCTTTCACCATTTCAACAGACACAATATGCTAGTCCTATTATTATTAATCCCTTATTGCATGTGGGTAAACCAAGGCATAGAGAGGATGAGCATGTGGGATTGGAGAGGGAGCCAGCATTCTGAAGCACAAGCCTAGGCTGTCAGCATCATGGTTTCAGAGAGCAGGGAGAAGGTGGGTGGAGACCTGTCTGCACATGTTTTCCGTTTGGTGTGCAAGACCTCCATCATCAACCTCTATCTGACTCCTGGGACACCCCTTCCTTCTCTTTCCAACTCCTTCTCCTTCCTCTCCTCCCACTCAGCAAATGCATCCTAGAGAGGGAGGTCATTGCCTTACTGGCTTAGGCTCAGGATGATGTTTATCATATTTACCCTCCAGCCTGGGAGGCTATGGCCAATCAGGACAGCTGTTGACCATAAACAGCCAGGGCCACCATACAGTCCTGTTCTGCACCCAGGAAGGTTTCCTTTCTTCCAGCTAGATGCCCTCCTTATTTCTGTACCCCGTCCAGGCCCACTACTTCCTAAGATGGCTTCCCTAATTACCCCTGCCATTGCCGCTTTTCCTCAACTGGCCTCTGTCTTCCTAGAGGACCGTATCTATTAAAATCACCCAAGTTGCAAGACCCTAAATGTCCTTGGAAAAAGCAGATGCTGCAAATATCAGGTGTCAGCTCCCAGGAAGCAGGCACAGACAGTCACAGAGCTGAGGCCAGAGGAACATGAGCTCAAGTCTCAGACTGGCTGATGAAGAAACTGAGGCCCAACTCAAGGGAACGTCCGTCCCTGGCCACTGGTGGAACCAATGCAGGGTTCAGTTTTCCCAAGAGTGAGCATCAAATGTCATGTAGGAGAATTCTGAGCACGGTAATGCCTGTGGGCAAGACATATCATCTGTCAACTTTCTCTTTTGGAAAATGAGTATCTAAAATAAGATTTTGTAATTACTTCTCAGTAAGATCTTCTTTATCTCCTCTACCACGCTCTTGTCCAGGTCAACATGAGATCTCCCCTGACAGCAGCAACACCCTCCCACTTGGTTGCCTTTTCTTTGCTCTGTCCTTTCTCATTGTCATTCATTCTTCACGCTTCAACCAGCAAGGTCTTCCAGAAACTCAAATTGGGTGATGTCATCCCTGCCTCCTCTCTATGATGTCATCCCTGCCCCGTCCCATTCCTCCAGGTAAATCATAAACTTCCTATGACCGTTCTTAAGGCCTTTCATGGTGTATAAGGCCCTCTCCATTTCTCTAGTCTTTCCTGTTGTTGCTACACAGGAGGCTTTTGCTCCAGCCAGAGCAAGTCACTTGCTGTCCCCTGAACCCATCTGCTCTTTTGTGGCCCTGGAGTCTTTGCTCAAGCTCACAGGAGTTCTGTGGAAACAGAGACTGTGTTTTTCATCTCCATATTTCTTGGTTTGTGGGGATGCTCAACACCTGTTAATGGAATAAATGGATGGATGGGAGGATGAATGAGTAAACGAATGTATGAATACTATTTTCCACCTCTGGAATCCACCTGTTTTCCAAGACTCCTTCAGTGCTTCCTCACCTTCAACCTCACCTCTATTGTAAAGTCTCTCCTGGACATCACCTCCAGTATACGTCTGGTACAATTTCATTAAGCCTTTCCTGATCCCAGTGACTGCAGCCCAGTATATATTTTCTGTATCTGCCTTCCCCACTAGACTGTTCCACCCAAGAACAGAGACACTTTTTTGAATATGGGTTGATTCCCGGTGCCTGGCATGAGCTTTAATGACTGAATGCACTGAAAAGCTGTCTGGCCATATGCATGAATGAAAAAGCTCAGTGACACATGCCCATGGTCATACAGAGAGCTAGGGGAAGAGCTAGGGCCAGATCCCAGTGATCAGGCTTCCAGTTCTCTGTTCTTTCCAACATGTCCCAGTGTATATAAGAAGCTGGAGATTTCACTAGTTTTAGGATTTTTTCCAGGTCTTTGGAATGCCACAAAACACACCAAGCAAGTAGGAGTCATCTCAAAGTGACCAAACCAGAATATGTCTGCCCATGATGCCAAACTCAATCACTCATCAGTGGCTTCTTTTCTGGAAGAATGGTATCCAGGGCATTGCTAGTTTCACCTTGTATCCTGAATGACTGGATTACAAAACAAGTGATGATGCCTTCGGAGGAAGGTGTTGACAGCAGGAAGATGGGAACAGATTTCAGAGCTGGGAGTGGTTTAGAGTAGCAATAAGAGCCTCAGACAAGAACCTGCATTATTTTTTCAACTCTGTTACTGATTTGCGGGTCTGTCTGGGCCTTGGCTCACATTTCCACAATATGATGAAAGTAGAATGCATTTTCTCTAAGGCCCTTCCAAGTTCTCAAGCTCTGTGTGTTTATATCTCCAAAGCTCATTGGAAAAGATGCAAATGATTTGAAGGCTAATAATGAAGACAGAAATTTTCCAGTAATGTGACAAGTAGTAGGCTTATTTTCCAAGTGTTCAACAATCAACAACAAATGTAACAAAAATAAAGATAAAATTTGGAATGTTTCTTAAAAACAAACCTACTAGATTCAATGTGAAATTTAATCACTTACAAGTAATATCCTAACCGTGATCCATCCCCATTACCTGGAAGACCTTTGTTTCTGCTGATTCCCATGCCTTCTTCTAATAGAAATGCCCTTACAACTATTGTTTGCAGTGGGGTGGGGAGAAAGGAAAGAAGGAAGGAAAGAGGGAGGAAGAGAGGGAGGAAAAGGGGGAGGGAGGGCAGAAGAAACCCCTTAAAAGATTACAAAGTACTTTTATGTAGATTAATTTAATCTGTCATAAGAAGCCTCTGAAGCAACTCCATGATTCCCATTTTACAGATAAAAGAACAGGGGCATAGATAAATCTCTTGCTAAGGTCACACTATTAGTAAAAGCAGAAATATCAATCATGGTCATCTTGAATTTCCATTCTATGGAGCTGACAATAGGATAGGAAAGAGAAGATCAAAAACCAGTATTAGCCACATAAGGGCCATCATCCCCCACCAAAACAAAGTGATGTTGAACCTGCCTTATCAGATAACAGTCATCAATGTAGGTCAGTAATTTCATGTGACTGAGTCACCATGACAAAAGCTAACAATGGCTCTCAGATTTTGAAAGATGTGGCTTTGTTTAAAGTATTCAAAAGAGATTTCCCACACTGAAATTCCTACATTAAAATTTTAATTAAATGCTACATAGCATAATAAAATAGCTACCCATTTTGTCCATTCCTTTGTCATATTTCATCTTCACTGCTGCCATTTTAAAGATTTTCAGTTTTCTCTATGAGTTACACCAATTTCTAATTGGCATCATTTTGAAGTTGTACAACTTCTGGTGTTTCAAAGGAAATCAAAAAAGAAGGAAAAGAGAGCCACAAGATGTGATTGATGGAGAAGGTAAACTCAGCCCTTCCACAACATGCATAACTGCTCAGTTTGAGTGACTTGGCTTTGAGAGGCATTCATTGCAAAGGAAGGAACATTTGTTGTGAATCTAGTGTTTGGCATGGGGAAGGGACAGATGAAAAGATGAATAGACTTTGAGGAGTTCAAAATCTGCTGACAAAGATGGACCCAACCCCACTTAGTGAGTTCTATAACAGTCCTCTCCCAGCTTCTTGTACTGAAGTACCATTTTTAACCATCTTTGCAGCCATCTCTTTTGTGGGTGTGTCAAATGAAAAAGGTGCATCTGCTCCCAGGTCTGTTAATAATACATTTCACAGCAACAATACTATTATTGCTAACA